>NC_000005.10:70109807-71359807 GCF_000001405.40 Homo sapiens | reverse complement strand
AAGAAAGATATGATGCAGGCAGTAGTTTTTTCTTAGTGCCTCATAGTATCTAATAGCAGAAAGTGAGCCGCATAGCGGAGCACATTAGTTTTTATGTATCTACAGGACAGAAGGGCCACTTAGCTGATGGCTCCAGGTTTCCTTTGATATAATCTAATGTTCCTATGACCTCAAAGACTGAACACATTTCCCTAAGTGCTTCACTTAGCACCCAGGAGCAACTTGGAGTCTTCGCAGAATAAAATCCATTATTTTAATGTAGATTAATACATGGGTACTTATATCTATGCAGGTCTATAATAGTTTATTCCTATGTAAGCTTTATTAAAAGCATTGGTATGTTTTACATAAAAAGTTAATGTGAATATTAGAAAAAAAGGACAATATTAAAGCAGTTTGTAGAATTTGTTCCCCCCCCAAAATGAATGAAATACACAATAGATTTAAAAAAAAAAAAACAATGAAAGTGAAATGAGGAAAAGGTCTAATTTTCCCCTTAAATTTCACAATGTGTCAGCCAGACAGAGCATAATTTTGGAATAAACAAAAAGCCAGGGAGTCAATACAGGGTTTCTCCTTCTATCAGATATCTTGCTTTGGCAGAAAGTAAGAAGAACATCTCAAAAACCTCATTGGTGTTCTTAAACTGAGGGTGGAGACAGGGCGTGCAGGCTACTTGAGGAAAGACTGGGATGTGTACATGGAACTCACTTGCTCAATATGAATCCATGGCAACCTCAGGTCTAGGCCAGAAGTCCTATGGAGTATTTCCTTGCAGAGGTTGGTGGTAGAAATGCAGTCTAAGATGAGCCATTGACTCAGCTGGAACTAACTAAAACCAGCAGAGATGGCTAAGCCACTAAAGAAACAAAACTCAACAAAAAATATGGTTGTCCAAATGCCCATCAATTGATAGACTGGATAAAGAAAATGTGACACATATATACCATGGAATACTATGCAGCCATAAAAAAGAAAGAATTCATGTCTTTTGCAGGGACATGAATGAAGCTGGAAACCATCATTCTCAACAAACTAACACAGGAACAGAAAACCAAACAGCACATGTTCTCACTCATAAGTGGGAGCTGAACAATGAGAACAAATGGACACAGGGAGGGGAACATCACACACCAAGGCCTGTCGGGGGGTGGGGGGCAAGGGGAGGGAGAGCATTAGGACAAATACCTAATGCATGTGGGGCTTAAAACCTAGATGACAGGTTGATAGGTACAGCAAACCACCATGGTACATGTATACCTATGTGACACAATTGCACGTTTAGCACATGTATCCCAGAATTTAAAGTTAAAAAAAAAATGGTTGTATCAAACCCCAAATCTTGAAAATATAAAAACTTAAAAAAAAGTAACCCACTCCCCTTGAAGCAAGGACAGGCGCACCTTACACGGGAACAGACATCCTCTGAAATGCAATTATTTTGCCTTTTGTTTGTTTGTTTGCTTTGTTTTTTCTACTATTTCTTTTTAATTGAAAGAGTAGTAATGCAGTAATAGAATTATAACTGGTGGCATCACAGGGCTGCATATTAGTAACCTTACCTGAAGAGCTGTATAAATATCTCATGCACATGTTCTGAAAGAAGTGGAGCTTTATGGCCCAGAGTGATAAGGAGGAAAAAATAAAAAATGCCTCCATACATTCAAATTTTATTAAAAGTTGAATTAAAACATAAACATGTGACAGATTTTAAAATTTAATTATTTGCAAAAGCGTTTTTTGAAATTTACCTCCTAATGTTTTGCCTATAAATTCATGTTTTTATAAATGAACCTTTTTTATTGCTAGAAGGTGGCAGGTTCCACATCATTCTTATTCCTATATCATTATTTTTATAAGATCTAAGAACTGAGAAATCTTGTTCTCAGAAATAAGTGGATAGGATTGGAAGGGCTTTGTTATAACAATGACATTTGATTCTTTGAACTCCTTTGAAGAATGACAACAAAAATTGCAGATGTCCATTGACAATTCAACTAGGTATTTCTTCAAATTTTTAAAAGTAATTAAAAATCTAAAACAAAACAAAACAAAACAAAAAACACAAATGATTAGCAAGATTTTGTTACCCAGTCATCAAGGTGACTTACTTTTGAGAAGTGGAGATGAATGTTTTGAATTGCCCCTTCGTTTTGCATCCTGGAAATTTCAACACCTGGGGACAAAGCACCAAGGTAAAGTTAAAAAAAGTGGAGATATATTTTTCTCTTTTAAAAAAAGAAACATTGTGGGAGAAGAATTCTTTTGAAAAAGAAGAAATGAAAGAGGGACAGCAAGAATGATGAAAGAAGTATTCGAATGTGACACCTGGAAACCTGTTCTTTAAAAGTCTTTGCCTGGCCGCAGTACGCCTCACAAAGTCTTTGTGTAATCTCCAGGGTTAGCAGGCCTCAGATCAAAATTAGAAGCCTAAATGGCAAACTAACCAAATTGGTTTTTTTTTTATAAAGTAAAATCTCTCAATTCACTTTTAAAATAAACTTAATCTGGTTTGAAGTGTCCCTATGACAACCATCTCAATACTGAATTTTAATTATATGATAGGTATGTAGCTAATTACATCAAATAATAGTTAACAGTTAAATCGATCTCTGGCTGTATTTTTATTTTTATTTTTTTGAGAGCTTCTCTCTCTGTCATCCAGGCTGGAGTGCAGTGACATGATCTCGGCTCACTGCAACCTCTGACTTCTGGGTTCAGGCAATTCTCATGCCCCAGCCACCCAAGTAGCTGGGACTACAGGCAGGCACTACCATGCCTGGCTAATTTTTTGTAATTTTTTTGTATTTTTAGTAGAGACAGGATTTTACCATGTTGTCTAGGTTGGTCTTGAACTCCTGGCCTCAAGTGATCCATCTGCCTCAGCCTCCCAAAATGCTGTGATTATAGGCGTGAGCCACTGCGCCTGGCCTCTGGCTGGTATTTTATAAACTTAATAATGAAGAACTGATTCTCTACCGAAAAAAAAATGTATATATACAAAAAAAGAAAATGGTGAGGTATGGTGGTGCATGCCTGTAGTTCCAGCTACTCAGAAGGCTGAGGTTGGAGGATTGCTTGAGCCCAGGAGTTCAAGGCTGCAATGAGCCGTGATCATGCCACTGTACATCAGCCTGGGCAACAGAGCAGGACCCTGTCTCATAAAGAAAAATAACAACAACTACCACAAAATGAAGAATTGGCGAATGTAGTAACTAGATCCAAGTTCATGGTTCTTACAGTTACCACTTCACAAGAAAAAGCCTGTAAGATTTAAAGCTGAGGATCACATGGCTAGTAACACTGAAAGAAGCACTATAGAACAAGGGAGATGAAGTCATTCTGAACATTCAGATTACTTATTTTTAACAAACAACTTAATATCTCTATCTTTTATATACTTTTCAGATTATAAGTGTAATTATGCTTTAGAGATAAAGACAACCATGCAAAATCGTCAAAAACACTTCCTTGTAAAATGAGCCCTTCCTTCAGCTGACAGGGTTGACAGGAGATCCCAGGTGGGGAAAACACACCAAAAAGATTCTTATACTTAGGCTTTGCTCCACTAGGGACATTCACAAACAATCTCCAGGACATATTGGTTTCCTTGGGACTAAGGTATTTGTACAATGTCCATTTATAGGGGGTTAAAGTGCCTGTGATAGTGGTTGAAAGTTTTGACCCACTTTTACAGATTAATCAGCATTGTGGTGGTTACAGAATTTCCAGATAAGGCATGCTTGCTCTTCTCTAGACAAACTCATCCACGATATCTTAGTAACACTGATTCTGAGTTACCTTTAGTATTTTAGGTAGATCCACACAGTGTGATTGCTAATGTTATTTGTACGGATTTAGGAGCCACCGAGTGGCTATCATTGAACTGTCAAATAAATCTCAATACCTAGTTAAAATTCTTTTACAAGTAACTTTTCATAAAGAGGAATAAATGTTTACAGTAAGGGAGTATTTTGTTTACTTGGGCAGCTTTCTATGAAGAGGAGCATTTCTTGCAAAGCAATATGCCTGAGAATTAACTTTAGATTTCATTTCTATTTCACTGGAGTAGATATGTTTAAATTAACTTATAATTTCTTAAGGAGTCAGATAAAACATTAATTTTCTTTTTAATTTCTATACTTGCAGCTAAGAGTCGAAAATGAACCTAAGAGCCCTTCATTCCAAAATCATGCACAATTTCTAGTGCTTGTCTACTATCTACATAAATGTTCTCTCTCTCATATACTCTTCACTTTTTGCCTCAGGCTGGATTGTGAGTTCCAGTTACAAAAATTGATTCAGCAACCCAGGCAGATGGAGTCTTCAGAGATAAGAGAATATCCAAAACAAGGTTAATTTTCTCTATTCTAGGTGAAAACTGTCAACAGATAATGTAAGATCAGAGTTAATTAAAGTTATGCCATTTAAGTCAGTTTTGGACAAGATGAGAGTTTGAATCACTGTCAGCTAAATATGTGGTTGTCCTTCATCCTGGAGGGGAAAAAGAAGGCAGTTTAAGATTTGTGCATTTTTGCTAATGTTATGAGATGTGAATAGCAAAGTAATCTCATCAATAGTAATAGTGTGGGTTGAAATATACTGTGTTACCTTATAGAAATGTTTTCTATCATACACGGGACCAGTTGGATACTGTAAAACTGACAGGGAAAAGAAAGTAAGAGGATTCTACTAATTAAACAGTATCTACAAGATTTCACAACAAAGGGGACACTGTTTGGTAACATTGTCTGGAAGAGTATTTGTTTAAGTAGTAAGTAAAGGTTTGGCATAATTAAGTTCATTTAGTGTAAGGGTTGCTACAACGTTTCCTCAATAGTTATAAAAATAAGCTAAGACTGCTCAAATGAAAAGAAATACAGGTTATTCAGTCAGAGCTTGCTGTAGCCAGGGAGTTGGCCACCATCACTTGCAATATGGCAACGAATCAAAGGCAGGCAGGCAGTGAGAAAGCTTTATCGTGGGAAAACCAGAAGGCTGCAGGAATGCCCTGGTTGGAAATTATTGTCATGGGGAATCTAAAGGTTGGATAACTAGAAGCAAAACATCCTATTTGATGGGTGAAGCTGCATAATTAGCATTCTCTGGTTGGTTCTAAATTGGAAGCTGGAGGGAAACACTTAGGGAAGCTGGAAGTTACCCACCAATTCCTAAGCATTTGGACCAATCGCTGCAGACTGGTTGCTGCAGAGGTCAGAGTTGATTTTCTGTGTGTGGAACCACCATTGTCTGTTAGTGTATTCAGTCTCTCATAGTATAAAGGCCGAAACTGCTTCAGGATCCAGATAAGAAGCTCTAGAAATTAGAATTTATTAGGGTCATGTAGTCCTTAGTCTGCCTCATGGACATAGTGATTGGTCTAAAGAAGCATTCTTCATTTCTGCTGCCCTAATCATATTATTCCAGCTTCCACAGACTGATTCAATAGGTCCCGAAGCTAAATTAAGAACCAGGATTCTTCAATAATACATTTGAACTGGAAACAAAGAAAGAGTAAGACTCCGTTGGAAAATGGGAGACTGTGAAACTAGGAATTGACAGTGACTATCTCTACAGCTGTGACAGACGTTAACCTGAGAGATAAAGCTGAGACCCAGAAGGCAAAGAATGTTACATACACAGAAAGAACATGTAAAATTGGAGCATCTATGTTTCTGCAACACATGAAGTATAACAATACCCCACCTTTCTTGAGATATTGCCTATGAGCCAGTTAATTGCCCTCGTTTGTGAAACTGTTTGTCTCCTGCAGCCATTGAATCCTGATTAATACTCATTAAATCTCTATGATGTCATAGTATATATCAGGCACTATGGCTCATATTATTGTTTTCCCCTGATATTTGGTTATTTTCTTTTCAAGGCACATGGAGACGGACCTCTACCTGCAATGCCCCCCTTGCACTTGGACAGAACCATGTGACTATTTATAAGCTATGACACATGAGCAGACATGACATGACGGGATTGATGGAGCAATGACCTCATCTTTTCTCCTGCCAAATATTATGAAAGAGGACTCAAGTCACTCACCTGAGGGACACTGGGTGAAAGTCAGTAATGAAGCTGAAAGGTCGCTAAATGCTGGCAAGTGAGATGGATTATAGTGTCTAGACTTTTTCCTGAGGTCATTCTATATCCAGCAGATATCTTTCAGTATATAGTCTATTCAGAACAATGTGCTAGTGACTATTGAGTGTGGTTACATTCTTTTTTTTTTTTTTTTTTGAGATGGAGTCTCACTCTGTCCCCTAGGCTGGAGTGCAGTGGCACAATCTTGGCTCACTGCAACCTCTGCCTCCTGGGTTCAAGCAATTCTCCTGAGTCAGCCTCCTGAGTAGCTGAGACTACAGGCACCCACCATCACGGCCAACTAATTTTTGTATTTTTAGTAGAGATGGGGTTTCACCATATTGGCCAGGCTGGTCTTAAACTCCTGACCTTGTAATCTGCCCACCTTGGCTTCCCAAAGTGCTGGGATTACAGGAGTGAGCCACCAAGCCCAGCCAGTTACATTCTTTAAACAAGGAGTGGACGTACCCTGAAACAAGAGATTAGTCAAAGAGATTTTGCTATTCATGGGACCTAAAAGGTGGCTGTACTTCCCTTTACTGCTTTTCCATACACAGCAATGCACGCTGTATGGGTTCTTATAGGTCAGAGAGTGAAAGAGAACCAGGACCTATAAAAGAATACAAGTCTCTAAAATCAGAAAGTTTATTATTTAAAAAAATAGTTACGTGCCAGTCTGCTTATAATTTATTTTTATGACTGAGAGTGCCTTTCATAAGCACATTCTGGCAAACTATAAAACAAATAAATTGAAATTGAATAAAACCTTTAGACATTAGAAGTGTAGCACCAGATTTAGTACATAACTGCAAAACTTAAACATGCAATTTTACATCTGCAAGCACATTAAATTGAAAGAAACTTTAACTTAATTTAGATACATTAATTGATACAAACTTTTCTGGTATATAGCACTTCTTGGCGCATTGAGTATTCTTAATCTTTAAGGCACATGAATATAATACCTTAGGAAAGATCTGTTCTCCACACATTTCCTCTATAAAGTGCCAAAAAAAAAAATAACGAAGAGCCAGTTTGTCTTCCGCATCAGTGTGATTTAGCATACATAAATAAGTATCTTTTCACACAAAATAAAAGGTTCAGAACCCAAAGTGTCTGATTTTTATAGTGCTTTTTCTTTCCTTTTAAAAAGATAGCAAGATGAGGGTAAGAGGTAATTTAAGAGAAGTAATCATCTTCTAACAGCCAGCTTGCAGAAACTAAAACAAATATCAATGATGTAAAAATGTTGTTTTGACACTTTGGTAAATGAAAGTGTGAGATGAGTAAGAATATATTATAGGTGCTTGTATATCAAAGGCCTGTGAAAATGGCTGATTATAAAGGAGAAAGTTAATGATCTCTAATTGTGTTGTAATGTAAATGCAGTATCACCGTAATGAAGAGAACAGATTTGCATGTTAACAAAAGAAATATTAGAGGAGTGAGTGTAGGATGTTTGGGATAATTAATTCCATCCTCCACTCCTACATACATATGCATATACAAACTCAATTCAATTTTAAAGAGAACCCGAAGAACCAAAAATAGACTGAACACACTTGATGTTGTATGGGAGCTTAAATTACTATTTTTGTTGTTCTCTGTGACTATCTCATTTAGTTTCTATTGTGTTTGCAGTTTCTTCCAAGGTGATTTTTAATGGATTGAGTAATGCATAAAAATTTGCAGAAGTATGCAGAAAGTTTGTATGCAGGGCCATGTAGAGCTTTTATCCTACAGTAAATCCTAGTAGTTTGCTGGTGCTGTGTGATTTTTTTTGTTTGTTTAGGGTTTTTGTGTGTGTGTGTGTGTGTGTGTGTGTGTGTGTGTGTGTGTGAAGCTTATTTATTCCATTTCAAGAAAAAGAAAAATAGACAAATTAGAATACCAAAAATAATTTGCAGCCAGTATCAACCAATTTATATTCAAGCTGAAAAATTAAAATAGCTTTCAGAGAATGGTAGAAGCATATTATTTAAAAAACAAACTATGAAGAAATGGACAGAAGCATGTAGACATAGATAACAGAAATTTAAAGTAAAAAGTAGAAAATGAAATTATTCCCTTTTATACCTGAAAGCAAATGATTTCCATGATTCTAAGCCTCTGTAAAAAGCAGCAACAATTTCATCATTTTCCTATTCACTCTTCATATTATCTAAATCAGGATTCTGCAAAATTATTTTCCTTGAATTACTTTTAAAACATACCAGAAATGAATTCACTACTCTAATTATCACAGCAATTCAGGGAATTATTAAAAATCAAATCAAATCAAATGAAACTTCGTAAGTTGTTTACAAAAAAACTTCAGGTTCATTTGCTTTTAATGCAAGACATGGCAATGTATCTCGGCCTGTGGATGTCCTCTCCATGTTAATAGTAAGTGCAAGTTTATGAAAAGACTAGACACCGACACCACCTGGGGAAATCAAAGCTTACTTACCTAAAATGCACAGGAGCCAAGAAGCATGTTTAAGTTCATGGGAGGGTAATGAATGCTGTTCTCTAGAACATGTTTCAAGGAGCTGGACACGTTTCCTTACCAGGGGAGACTCACACTGCAGATCATAATTTCTGAGCAAGTGAGAAGTGAGAGTTCCATTGCACCTGTGGGAAGCTCTATCCTCCAAAGTGTAGCTTTACACACCCAGCTTGAGTCATTCTTCTTTCAGGTGTATCTGGACATACTCCAGGGACTAGCTTATCTGTGCCTGGTGCACTTCATTTATCACGATTAAACAATATACAATTTGACTGAAGGGCACAGTATAGGTCAGTGCATTTATGCATAACAGCAGGACTTATTAATCATCCTCAGCTCCTGCAGGCTAAGAAATCCTGCTTAAAATTTATTTGCATGCTTAGAACTAGAACAGAGCTTCGAAACTAGAAAAAGGGTCACTTACTCTGATGTCTCTGGAAGCTCATGAGGTCAGCCCTGAACGCTAAGTTGCACTTCTTGAAACAGTTTTAATGCCCACGGCTATCTCCCAATTCATTCTGAGTTTGAGAAGGGAAAAAAATGAAATGATATTTAGTAGACTCCTATAACAGTTTGGGTAACACCAGCTGTTTTAACAAACAATCCTCAAAGTTAAAGTGGCTGAAAGTTTAAAATGTGTTTCTCATTAATAACATTCAAATAAAGGCATTTCTTGTCTGGGTGGCTTTTACCAGGGAGTAATTCAGGAAACTGGCCTCCAGTATTGTAGCTCCAACTTCCTAGAGGGCTTCAGAGTTCTCCTTTTTCAAATGACACATGTTGAAAGAACTGGAAGAAACATTTATATGTACCACCCTCTAAAAGTGGTACACATTAACCGGGACACAGTTGCATGGAAATATAGCCAAGCTATGTATCCAGAAAGAAGAAAAAACAAGTGTGGTAAAGAGCTATCAGTCTATGCCTCAGCTTTTCAAAATCCAGTCTTACGGCGCACAGATCTAGAGAGAATATGTAGACCTTATATTATGTAAAGGCATTCACAGAACTATTTTTGTTGTTGTTAACATACTTGAGCTTCCCTACGGCAATGTTCTTGTAGGTTTCCCAGACTAATAGCCTTCAAAATGGAGGTGAATATATACATACAAGAAAAAAATAAGTAACTTAAGTCTTCTAATAAGATATGTTTTATAAAAATATGAAGAAGATATAGTAACAGCTCCTTACAGCAGTGTAAGACCTTTCTTTCATCCATCTCCTCACCTATGGTTACTATCCTCACAATCCCATTTCCCTCTATGTACATTTTACTTTATAACATTATGTTCTCATACACAAAAAATACAATAAAAAATTTTCCATTATCCAACAGAATTTATAAAGCCTACAAAATTTCTAAATATATCATTTTATATGTAATGAATATGCTTGTTATTTCCCATTAAAAAAAAATGCAGCGGCCGGGTGTGGTGGCTTATGCCTGTAATCTCAACACTTTGGGAGGCTGAAGTGGGTGGATTGCTTGAGCTCAGGAGTTTGGGACCCACCCGGCCAATGTGGCAAAAATCTGTCTCTACTAAAAACCCAAAAATTAGCCAGGAGTGGTGGTGGGCACCTGTAGTCCCAGCTACTCATGAGGCTGAGGTGGGAGGATTGCTTGAGCTCAGAAAGCGGAGTTTGCAGTGAGCCATGGTTTTATCACTGCAGTCCAGCTTGGCGACCACTTGTTCTTTTTTGCTTGTTTCTTTGTCTTTTGCTTTACTTTGCATCATAGAGATACGGGTGAAAATTTCTTTAACCCTTTAAGTGTTTCTACTTTGTCTCATATGCTATACCTCATTTGTTACTTGGAGTATACTCTTGGCCATGCTATTAGAAATGGATGATGTAAAAATGGCGCCCCCTGAAGTCAAGCAATGTGAAACATTTGTAAATCTCTACAACAAATGCCCTAAATTGTAGTCGCTTAATTAAAATAATTATTTTCTATTTACTGTAATAGTCAACAGGTAAGAAATGCAGTCTTGCATGGATGTCCCACTAAAAAATATATGCCATCTTTTAGTCCGTTGATACTTAGCATATTGCCCTCATCTTCATGGACAAAAATTGGCAATTTTTCTGTAAAATCTCTCTTTCATATTACTGATGACAAAATTCTGCACTTTATCTGAGGAAGAAAATGACAAGACTGACATGTGGGACTCACTTCTCACTGTATAATACCATCCTTGGCTCCTGCCCCAGGATAATTTTGATATTTTTAATTATCAAACCAAAACCAATAAGTTATATAAAATATAGGCAAAGTTACATTCACTGGGAGAATTTTAGCACTCTCAAAATAACATATCAGTTCCTATTATCCAGTAAATTCCTACCACGTCCCACGCTCCCGGAAGTGTGTCCGGATTCATGTTTTTCTGATAGGTGAATGCAAAGTCACTAGCCATTGCCATTTGCCAGGGATTCAGAGAGACAGAAGTGTGGAAATTAACATTTAGATGTATGAGAAATATATGCAAGAAACTGAGACTGAGCAGGCAATTTGTAGATTGCATACAGTGTAGCCTAAACATGTTTGCTTCAGTGAATTTGTCATTTCTTGCATGGGGTAAGTCTAAAATTATTTATTGTTTAATTTTTTTCATTAGAAATAAACCCTCTTGGAAGTAATTAAAATGCATATTTCACAAAAAATTAGTGCGATGATGATGACAATCATGTAACTTGCAAAACTTGAGTGTTGTTTTATCACAAACCTTATGAAAACAGATGCATCCTTGCCTTAAAAAGGAGAAGGAAAAAGGAAATGCTCTGGGCACAGCATGAAGCCCAGAAAAAGAATATTTCCAACAGCCCCATGGACATATGGAGAGGATAGAACTTAACAGGGCTCATCATCTCTGGTCATCAGAGAAATGCAAATCAAAACTACAATGAGATAGCATCTCACACCAGTTAGAATGGCGATCATTAAAAAGTCAGGAAACAACAGGTGCTGGAGAGGATGTGGAGAAATAGGAACACTTTTACACTGTTGGTGGGAGTGTAAACTAGTTCAAACATTGTGGAAGACAGTGTGACGATTCCTCAAGGATCTAGAACTAGAAATACCATTTGACCCAGCCATCCCATTACTGGGTATATACCCAAAGGATTATAAATCATGCTACTATAAAGACACATGCACATATATGTTTATTGAGGCACTATTCACAATAGCAAAGACTTGGAACCAACCCAAATGTCCGTCAAGGATAGCCTGGATTAAGAAAATCTGGCACATATATACCACGGAATACTATGCAGCCATAAAAAAGGATGAGCTCATGTCCTTTGTAGTGACTTGGATGAAGCTGGAAACCAGCATTCTCAGCAAAATATCACAAGGACAGAAAACCAAACACCGCATGTTCTCACTCACAGGTGGGAATTGAACAATGAGAACACTTGGACACAGGGCGGGGAACATCACACACAGGGGCCTGTCGTAGGGTGGAGGGATGGGGGAGGGATAGCATTAGAGGAAATACCTAATGTAAATGATGAGTTAATGGGTGCAGCAAACCAACACGGCACATATATACATATGTAACAAACCTGCACGTTATGCACATGTACTCTAGAACTTAAAGTGTAAAAACAATAATAATAAAAAACTTCCAGCCCAAACAAAAATAGTATTAGCTACATTCAGAAGACCCCACAGAAAGGGTATAGTTTCCCACAGACACCCTACTAGAAAGCAGCTTCGTGGACAACATTCACCTCACCGTTTCCCAAAGATCATCATCATCACATCCTCTGCCTTAGAACCTATAACAGTGTCATTCATGGGGATGCCTCTCGCTCCTTAAAAAGTACTGAGAAAATTATGAGACAGAGAAGAAAGGGGGAGGGGATACAATTAAACTTTGTTTACAGAAGCCTGGGCTCTCCTGACTTTGATTTTGCTACTAAAGTAGCCGTGGGGAAATATTTCTTGAAACAATAAAAATGATTGACTTAGGTTTCAAAGTTTTTAACTCACAATAAAGAATTTTTTCTCCTTTCTCTTGCACTGTTTTTCATAATGATGGTATAAAACATATTAAGGTGTTATCACAAACAATTACTTCATGAGATTATATTTGAGTTTGGGGATTTCAAAGTCATTTTATTAAAATTAGCTGTATTGTTACACATTTTGTCTGGAAAGTCTAAGTAATGTCATTAAAAGCCCAGTTTAATTGCTTTGAAAAAGCTTATGCTTGACATGATATTCAGTCTCTTAGATTTCACAATTCATTCTCCATGTATTACTACTATGACTGACTTGTTTGTCTCTTTTTGAGTTCCTTCTAGAATTTAAAAGCATTAAGATTTAAGTGTGGCTGACTGCCACGGTTACTACTTGAGACCGTCATTACTAGACTGAATGAAGAGACGAACATAGAAATGGTAACAAAAAACAAAAGAAACTGTTTTAAGGAAAGGCTAGCATGGGGAAGAAGAGAGCTCCCTGCTTCTAGTGGTCCTCATTCCATCTTTGCATTCAGATTCAACTGGTTCATGGTTCATACTGGGGGAACAAGGTCCATGGTTGGGATCCATGGGTCCCTCCAGTCTCCTGTTCAACGGTCGTACACACCTTGGGAGCACCCACTCGGTTTGTTCATCTTCTGCAAAGATGTAAGTATACCCTCGTCCCCACGTTAGTAAATCTACCAAACAGAATCAAAAGTGTTTTCTTTTTTATTTATTTTTTATTTTTTTTGCTGTAGCCGGGAGGCACGCCATTGCTGAAACATTTGTAACTCAGCTTCTGCCTCTTTGGTTAATTGCCGTGGGGTAAAACTTTCCACTGAGAACAAGAAGCAGGCTCTTTCTGATTAACACACGGCACAGAGAAAGCAAATCGAGGCTTATCCTTCTCGTAAAACAGTATAGCAAAAAGCAATCCTTAAACCTTCAATTTGCACTGTACAGGTGGGTCCACTAGATGCTATGGGTGGTGATAGATAAATCTCTCTCCTAGTTGCACTTCCAAATCCCTGACCACCTCGCTTCTTCTTATGTGGAGAAGGGTACAATTTACAGGGAAGAAGCGAAAATTGAGCAACGTATTGTCCCAGTTCAAAAACCCAAAGATCTTGTGACATTACCACTACCTGAATTTCTCCTTCACAATCAAAATCAACAACTCCTGGGCCTGTAAGTTAAGACAGCTTTTACCAAAATCAATCCCTTGTATCTTGTTGGCAAAGATCCCCAAATACCAATGTGAATCTTAGTGAGTTTGTTTCTTTCATTTAATGTAATTGGTTCTCTGGGAGATCTAATCCTGCGTTTCCAGGTGTTCCTGGGGAGAGGGAATCCATGTGCCTCTGGAAACCCACCCCTGAAACGGAGTTGTGGCCTGGACAGGGAACGCCCTCATAGTTTGAGGTGCCCGGGTCCAGGCCCCCTTCTTGCTTCCCAACAGGGGGGTGCCGTTTTGATGAAATTTTGAGTGGTGTTGATTAGCCCAATGATTTCCTTTATTGCATCGAGGGCAAAGTCCGGCATTTTTTTTCTGTTAAGAGGGGGACTATGTTACAAGATCTCTTGTTCACAGAGGTCTGACGGCATTCTCTTTTGAAACGTCCAAGTTTTCTACACTTATGACACTTTCCCACTTTAGGGCTTGACCCTTGGCTTCTTTTAGATCTGTCAGCCACCAAATTTGCTATTGCCTGAGTCAATACTGCAGAGCAATGAAGCTCAGTTCCCACATCTTGACAAGCTCTGAGAAAGCCTCCCAAGTCCTCTGCACATCTCACAGGTGCCAGTGCACGTTTACAATCCATGAAAGCCAAAGCTAAAGTTAGCCTTTCTGTAGCCACCAAAGAAGACGATACAAGGCAATTTTCATTCTCCCTCTTCTGTTCACCATTTTCGATAGGCACTGTAGGTGGGGCAAAAAATTCTAAATAACAAAAAGATGGTACATACCAAAACTCCAAACAAACAAAAAAGAGAAAAGAAATAGCCAAATTCTTCCTCGTTTCCCTGTTTTAAAAACTTCCCATTCTTTGTACCTCTAGGGCACTGACCAGTACCTTTTTAGAGCACTAACCTTATGTCGCTGCCAACAGAGTTGTAATGGGCTTTCTCGTTCATCTAGTTGGTTTTAGTTTTTTTCTGTTCCAGCAGACCTTCCTCGCTCTAGTCCTATAGGACCCTATCTGTCCCTATCTGTCCCTGTCTGTTCCTCCAAATCTCTCCTAGTCTTTGCTAGTCTCTACTTTTGTACCTCTTTAGGACACAGACCAGTACCTCTTCAGGGCACTGACCTTATATTGCTAGTCTTTATCTATTCCTATCTGTCTCTGTCTGTCCCTATGGTACCTGTTAGTTCCTGCAAGTTCCTGCAAGTCCCCGTCTTTCCCTACCTATCTCTACTTTTCTCTACTTACTTATCTCTACTTACTTTTCTCTACTTACCTCTACTTATCTCTGTTTATCCCTGCAGACCTCTTCAGGTCCCTCCAGGTCCTTTCAGGTCTCTGTATGTCCCTGATAGTCTCTGAAATGTCCCTGTTCAGGCACCATTTGTAGTTGACTGTCACTGCTACTACATGAGACCATCACAAGTATGTTGAATTGAGCCTGGAACTCCTAGATGATAAACATTTTTTTATACCAACCTTCAACTTTTTCATTAAAATTAGATTGGGTAGATACTATAAATAGTGTCCCAAGCACTAGTGGAAAGATTCTACCATGTCTTACACTGGTTACTATGAGTTTGGAGTCAGAGGTATAAGGCTTGAAGAAAAAAGCACAATGAAATACAATTTTATCCACCAATCCGACATTTTTAAGTTTTAGGAAAATTGTGTCTTAATTCAAGCTGCTATAACAACAACAAAAACAACATACACTGACTGGTTTAAACAATAGAAATTTACTTCTCGGAGTTCTGGAGGCTGAGAGTCCAAGATAAAGGTGCCAGTCAATGGTTACAGGTAAAACCTCCATTCCTTGTCATGTCCTCATAAAGAGACAGAGAGAGAGACCAGACAGAGAGAGAGAGAGAGAGAGAGAGAAAGAGAGAGAGAGACTCATGACCTAATTATTTCCCAAAGGCCCTGTTTCCAAATATCATCTCAGTGGAATTAGGGTTTTAACATACAAATTTTGGGGGCGACGCAAGTATTTTTAGTCCATACCAAGTTAGATGCAACTTTACCAAAATTATTGTGGGTAATTTGACAAGGTAAGAGAGGTCAGTGAAACGCAAATTATATGATAACTTCTTGGTGCTCAGGCAGTATACCTGCCAGGTTGTCTCCTGGCTAGAGGAATGAAACAAGTAGTATTCAACAAGACTTTGGTAGTGAGTAAAACATGGCATATAAGTTGTTTTTTGTGGGAATGACATAGTCTAAATATTATTTTGATGACATACCTGTGTATTGACCTCTCTTGCATCAAAATGACATAAACATGGAGAAATAATTCTGAAAGTCAGCAGGAACTTGCAACTCACTTCTGGGAGGGGACCAGTTAGGGGAACTATGATATTAGACTGTGGCAATGTCGACCTCCACACAGGAGGAAAGAGTAGTCACATACCCTAAATCTTGCGTAACGTGGTGTCTTAAAATTTCAATAAATCTACTGAGTTAAATTAACAGCAAAGCAGAAAAATTTGCCAAAGCTATTTATAGCTCCACTAAAATGGAAGACAAGTTAAGAAAATGTGTGTTCTAAATAATCATGTCAGAAGTTAGTGTTTCCTTCAAATATAATCATAGGCCTAAGAATTTTTATCCAAGATTGATGAAATTTTATTTTACGCAACAATAAATGGAACACAAAGGCTGCACATCATTTTTTTGTCTTCTGTACATATCACTAAAAAAAAAAAGCATCAAACTAAAACAATGAATATAATATTAAATAGGGATTTTTTAATTGCTAATATTTTTAATATAGAGAAAGAATAATGTTTAATGATTAATTACAAAATTGATGAACTAGAATAGTGAGAAATCAAGGAGAGCTGAAATTTATGGAACTTTATGATAAACTAATAAAGGACAATTTTATTCCTAGCATTTTAATTATTTGCTTTATCATTGCATTTTAAATGCAATTATCAAAAATAAAGGTTATAACTAAGAATTTCAAAAATTCTCATTGTAGCAGAATTGGTAACAAAGAATTGAATACAGAGGGTGAATCTTATATTGCTTTATTATTATTAAAACTAAGGAAATATTTAGAATTTTGTGTACTAATTTAGCTACGAAGGAAAAGGAGGGCGTCATCATTTTAAAAATGTTTCCACATTGTCTACAGAAGCCTAGATTATTAAAAAAAAGAGTGGCCTCAGATAGATATCTGATTGGAATACACTACAAAATCTAGTAGTCAACTTGTTAAGATATCTGAAGATTCCATTTAAGACAGATTGTGAAAAAATATACTGGAAGAAATAGATTTTATTTAATATCCTTAAACATAAAACTTTGTTACCTTCTAAAACGCTATATTTAGTTTTATTTCTATTTTATAATATTGTATATGATGTGCTTTCTTTTCCAGGTAAAACTAACAAAAGACAATAAAATGTTATTAACTTGAGTTATGGTTAAAGTAGAAGAGCTGTGGATATTACACTACATGAAAAAAAATTCTTCCACAGATATTATTTGTGTATGCATACATCGATAGAGATACACATAGATAGATACAGATACAGATAGATATCGATATAGATATAGACTTGGCTATAGAGACTGTGGGTTTTTTAATACAGCAAGAAAAGAGAAATATTTATTTACACTGGATCAACAAAGGAACTAGGCTATTAACTCAGATTGTAATAGTCTAAAATTTTTCCAAAAATTAGGAAAAATAAAATATTTATATGAATTTTACCTGGAAGTGTTTCAAAATAGTTTGCAAAGAGTGAGAATGAATTTCAACTTGTGAGTAAAGGGTAAAACTGAAATGAAAGTTAAAACAAATAGTTTCCCCCTTTCATTATTAGATCATGATTTATTGAAAACAATCTTGATTGTTAAATATTGATTAAAATTAATGAAGGTGCAGAGTTCCTAAGACCTTGTCATTTGAACGTTATGAATATCTTCACAATGAAAACATTATTCGTGTTATTTATGTGAGCTTATATGTACTTTTCCGCATAAATAATTTGTACTCTTAGTTAGAAACAAATGAACTATGGCTTTTGGTTTGGTTTTGTTTATTTATGAATAAACATTAAGAACTGTGCTTATGAAATTTTCAGGAAATATACTGAATGCTTTAATGTACTCTGTAACATTGCAACATATAATTTCCCCTCTTCCCTCACTTTTTGATGTAGCTATCATTGCTTTGAGTTTTTATTTACTGGTTATTTTAAAGAGCTTAATGGTCTCATTTACTTAAAAGTGGAATAATATTGGACTACTATTTTCTTTTTTTAACCTCTCTAGGTCATTCTACAGTCATTACCTTCCAGCCTATTTGTTTCTGCAGAATCTACGTATGTAATACCTATAAATTTTCTTTTCATATTTGTTCACTCATCCACATCATTAATAAAGTTATTAAGTGAAGACAAACCCAGCAGTAGCACTCCCTTACCACCTTGAAATATTGTGCTGATGTAGAGGTTGTATCTGATTTAATTCTTCAAGGATTATTAATGTATGTGGAACTAGCTTTTCAGCCATGGAAATCTTTAGTACGTATTTAAGAAAAAGTGATTTAATGCTCAGTAGGGAAATGTTGTCCAAAACAGTGCCTGAAAAAAGCAGGTATGTGTCCACATTGGGCACACTGCAGGTGGGGTATATTGTTGAGATAGGAAGGAAAAATAAAATGTGAGAAAAGGCAAGAGACAGAAAACAAAGTGCAGGTCGGGAAGAGACAACTTTAACTTCCACCATTTGTTAATCAATTCTGAAATATTTTCATTTTTACAGCCTAAAATTATGCATGTGTTGGCATTTTTTTAAATGGATGATATTACAGTTTTCATTCAAGCATTGGTATAGAGCCTAACCTTTTGTTATGGATGAGATGTTTAGATTCTTCATCTGGAAAATCTATTTTCCTGTTATTGAAGTCACATATATACATATATGTATATATACTTTTATATATGTGTCTATATATAGTAAAAATGTGTATATTTATTTTAAAAAGTATTTTGGTTCATGTTTTTGTTCTTAATGTTGTCCTACTAAAATTACTTAATCATAAATCTTTCTACTAACAGTAAGGCAGAAACAGAGTAACAAGGGATTTTTTTTTTTCTATTAAACTGAAGACAGAGAAGTTTGGTATTTATTTTTACCTAATATAGCAAACTTCAAAAAACAATCTATTTCAATAAAAATATTTTCCCCAGCTACAGCAATAAACAAGGGATAATATATAATCTAAAAATGTAATGGAAGAAAAGGCACAGCATTAAGAGATTGCCTTATTTTCCTTTCTAGCACATCTTGCTCTTAAAATATCCATTAGTCTATAAAGGGTGCTATTTACAAGGATCAGTTTCCCTGTATTTCTGGGTTGAATGATCCTCTACTTTTACTATCCTTTGCTAAACATGACAAAATAAGAAAATAAAAGATAAATATGAGATGAAGACCTCAAATGACATCAATTTCATTGCCTCTAAAAAGTTGTGATGATGAATGTTACCACTACTCAACTGAGTTTATGAAAAGGCAAATATACTTTTAAAAATGTAGGGGTGCTTATACAAAGACTTATGTGTTTACGTTTACTTTTTTTATAAAGCTGATTTAATCAAAAGATTTAGTTAAGGCCGGGCGCGGTGGCTCACGCCTGTAATCCCAGCACTTTGGGAGGCCGAGGCGGGCGGATCACGAGGTCAGGAGATCGAGACCATCCCGGCTAAAACAGTGAAACCCCGTCTCTACTAAAAATACAAAAAATTAGCCGGGCGTAGTGGCGGGCGCCTGTAGTCCCAGCTACTTGGGAGGCTGAGGCAGGAGAATGGCGTGAACCCGGGAGGCGGAGCTTGCAGTGAGCCGAGATCCCGCCACTGCACTCCAGCCTGGGCGACAGAGCGAGACTCCGTCCCAAAAAAAAAAAAAAAAAAAAAAAGATTTAGTTAGTAATTTATTGACTCAAATACTTTATGCCTTCTATTTCACATTTTTTACAGGTTTATAAGTCTAGATACCTATGTCAATTAGTGAATTTTCTACCAAGAGTTCATGTTTTGTTGCTTAAAGGCAGATAATTTTTTTATTTAAATAATATTAAAAAGAGGAAAATATTTCAAAATACCAAGATTGGGAGGTGTCTGGGAGATTTATATGTATTGCTTTTATTAACTGTCTAGCACTGGATTTATAAACCAGCTTATTTTTTTAATTTAAAAGCTCTCTGCCTTGCAATTTAATTCACATGATCTGCATTAACCATGCCATATTCAAAATTTCATTGATAAATTCTATCCAGTAGTCAATATCGAATTGTAAACTGATGTAATGTGCTTTAAAATATGAAGATTTAATCTTTAAAATATGAATATTTGATTGAATAATTACTACCACTAAAATCATGTTTACTTATTAGAATTATCATATAGGAATTGTTTTATAATGTATATGTTAATTGAATGTGATTTCTTGATACTTAGGATATACGTTAAGTATACATAAACAAATTGGAAATAAAGTTCTGATATACTGTTCCATGAAAGTTTCAAATCTTTATATTAAAGATTACCATTTGAGTCAGAGGCAATGATAGGATTTTCTGTACTTTATCCACATGTTTATATATATACATATATATATGTTTTCATATAACCTTTCATAAGGATAGAAAAGAACTATGAATGTTTCTCCATCAGGCATCTTTCAAATACAACATAACAATAACTTCCTTAAGTATTTTATTTAGGCAAAAACTATAAAATGATGGAATGGAAAAAGAATTCTCAATGATCAAACCAAAGCAATTATATTTGATTCTGAATTTTAAAAGATTAGTCCATCAATTTATATTTAGAGGTTAGAAAACACATTCTGAGAGACAGAAAATTATATTACTTTTCTAACTTCCTGGAGAATATTGTGCTTTGTCAAATTTTACATTTATGAGAAGTTTTATATTAAAGCTATAAAATCTATCAGGGTAAGTTAATATGAGTATTTGAAAGTTTCACTGTTAAATTTATATTATCACATATTAAATGAAAGAACTGTTAACTGTGTACTGAATTCAAAAGTTAATATAGCTTCTCTCTTTTTTAAGAAATGGGACACAATATTAAAAAATTAAAGAGTTTTCAAATATTTATACTTAAATTTATATCTAAGGAATTATATATAGAATGCATACCTTTCAAGTAGATACTATTGTTGCTGTTAAGATTATTGTCAACAAAATTTAAATACACAGACTATTAAATAAAGAAATTAAAACAACAAAAAATAACCTCTCGGCCAGGTGTCCTGGTTAACCTGTAATCCCAGCACTTCAGAAGCTTGAGGCAAGAGGATTGCTTGAGACCAATAGTTTGAGACCAGCCTGAGCAGCAAACTGAGACTCTATGTGTATCAAAAAATGTTTTAAAAGTAGCCGGGTACTGAGGCAGGCACTTGTAATCCAAGCTACTTGGGAGGCTGAGGTGGGAGGTATGCTTGGGCCCAGGATTTTGAGGCTGCAGTGAGCTGTGATTGCACCACAGCCCTCCAGCCTGGGAGAGAGAGGAGACCTTGTTTCTAAAAACTAACTAAATAAACAATAATGTAAAAAATCTCTCTTTAGGTGTATGCTTCTCTTTGCCAGTGTTTAAGGGTTAAAAAATCAATATGAGAGATTAACTAAAGTACCAATTTAGAGTTAAATGAGTGCATTTGCCACTTGAGTGCCGATTGCCTCGCATGACAGACAATATTAAGTGCTGATGACTTTAACTTTCACAAGTTTTATGCGATAGTGGGATAAATTTTTACTTAAAATGTGTTAAACTTCGGTTTAATTGCACTAATTAATGTCTCAATAGATATACTGTTGTATCTACCTCAAAATGCAAACACCAATGAAGTAATTCATCAGAAGACTTGATATGAATAAAGAATGGAACAGTAAAGTTGAAGATAAAAAACATAGAAATTGAATAACAAATACAAGTAAGAAACAAGAAGAGTGATAAATAGCAGAACATGGCATCCAAGAGCTGAAGGACAGCTCTGGATGCCTAACTTGAACGGATTCATGAAAGAGAACAAGGATGATAAATACTTAAAAACAAAATGAATGAGAATTTTCCAAAAGAAGTGAAGGCAATCAAATCGTAAATCCAAGAAACATTTCTAGAGATATAGGGGCTACGTAAACAAACTAAAAAAAAGGTAAAAAATTATATGAAGACAAACATAGTTGTGTTGTATGTATTATATAGTTAAATATACGTTATACACAGGCACGAAGAAAAGAAGTACAGGAAACCTGTCCTCAAGAACTATTTAACTGTATACTGGAAATTTTAACCAGTGTACTAAAGTAAGAAAAATAAACAAAAGGCATACAAATTGGATACGAAGAAATAAAACTCTATTTGATTCGTGGATGGTCTATGCACAGTATTCCATTATGTACAAAATAATTAAAATTATTAGCAGTGAAGCTGCTAGAAATAAATTGTGAGTACAAAATAATTAAAATTATTAAAAGTGAAGCTACTAGAAATAAATTGTGAGTTTTGTAATTTCACACTATGCACTATAACACTATAATGTTAATATACAGAATTATTTTTTATATATAATTGTTGCAGGAAAAACCCAGACCTGTGTAGAAGAACATCCCTCTGCCAAAGAGATAGTGCTGAAATAACAAAGAAGGACTCAGACAAGTCCAGCTTCATGAGAAGATGAGTTTATTAGGACTTACGTAAAGGGCAGCGGGATAACTCCAGAGATCCGCCTGCTGCCCACCATCTTCCTCTAAGCTGCTTTTAAGCTACTTTTTTCTTTTCTTTTCTTTTCTGTTTCCTTTCCTTTCCTTTCCTTTCCTTTCCTTTCCTTTCCTTTCCTTTCCTTTCCTTTCCTTTCCTTTCCTTTCCTTTCCTTTCCTTTCCTTTCCTTTCCTTTCCTTTCCTTTCCTTTCCTTTCCTTTCCTTTCCTTTCTTCTTTTCTTTTCTTTTCTTTGACGGAGTCTCGCTCTGTCGCCCAGGCTGCAGTGCAGTGGCGGGATCTCGGCTCACTGCAAGCTCCGCCTCCCAGGTTCACGCCATTCTCCTGCCTCAGCCTCCCGAGTAGCTGGGACTATAGGCGCCTTCCACCACGCCCGGCTAATCTTTTGTATTTTTAGTAGAGACGGGGTTTCACCACGTTAGCCAGGATGGTCTTGATTTCCTGACCTCGTGATCCGCCCGCCTTGGCCTCTCAAAGTGCTGGGATTACAGGCATGAGCCACCGCGCCCGGCCAAAGCTACTTTTCTGGCTCTTTGCTTACTACATGTGATGAAACTGTTCTTCTTGGTATGTACCTAGATATGCTCCCGGATGTTTTGGTTTTCAGGGACATCTGCTCCTCGGCTGAGCACCATGAACTTTGCTCACCATCTAGCCTTCAGGACTCAAGCAGTCAACATATGCCCTTAAATTCCCTGGTGGGGGACCCGCTACTTTACAACACTATTAATGAACAATTGGAAATTAGAATTTTTTAAAGTTACATTTAAAGTAGCACAAGAAACATTAAATTCTTAATCTAAAAAAACATGGAGAAAGGGTAACAAAAACTAAAAAAACACTGGTAAAAGAAATCAAAGAAGAAGTAAATAAGTAAAGAGCTTGGTAGCCAATATTGACAATAAATTAATTCTGTTCAAACCAAACAAAAAATTCAATACAAAAATTCAATCCAGTTAAAATTCCTAACAGGATATTTGCAACTAACAAACAAGCTCATTCTAAAACTTTCAACAGAGAAGCAAAGGAATTATAATGGAAAAATCATTTTGACAATAAAAAAATTGAAGAATCCACTGATTTATATGTATACTATATACATATATGTATATATACATATATTATATATACATACATTATTATACATATATGTAATATACATATGTATATCTGTTGGTGACTTTAACCATATGATTCATAATTTCAAAAACTGGTGAATAGTCAAAAAGTTATATACTGTATCTATTTAATATCACATTAGGAAGAAAAAGAAACAAATCTGATAACATAACAACATGAATGTGTCTCAGATTTATTATGCTATTTTAAAAGCCAGATTTAAAGGCCTATTCAGGATGCTGTTTGCTCCCTTGTGTATGACATTCTAGAAAATATAAAACCATAGGGACAAAGAACAGCGATTTCCAAAGACTGAGGGCAGCAGAAATACTGATTCAAAAGGCACAAAAGGGAATTTTTCTAGGTGATGTTACTGTTCTATATCTTGAGGATGGTATTTGTTATATAACCATCTATGTTTTCAACACACTGCATACTTAAAAAGATGACTTTTGGCATATATAAATTTTAATTCGATAAACCTGAGTTTTTAAAACAAAGATTTTCTGTAACCAGTAGACTCATAACACTGTCTTCCTGCCATTGACTAAGATGGTTTCAATAGTGGATTCCTCTTGTTCATGCCAGCCAATGTGTCTTTTGTTTAACCAAAACCCTTGAAATATCTTTGCCTCAGGCTTTTATTGCAATTTCCTGTAATTTAAAGACTTCACCCTCCTATTCACAGGAGTTAGTATCTTGAAATGGTAATAACTTGAAAACAGCTATGGTGGGAGGACTTACTCTTTGAAGTGTAAATTACATACATGCAGCATACACCATGTATCAAGACTTTCTTTTTTTCTGGTTTTTTTTTTTTTTTTTTTTTTTTTGAGATGGCGTCTCACTCTGTTGCCCAGTCTGGAGTGCAGTGGTGTGGTCTCAGCTCGCTGCAACCTCCACCTCCCTGGTTCAAGCGATTCTCCTGCCTCAGCCTCCTGAGTAGCTGTGACTACAGGCACCATGCCACCACGCTGGGCTAATTTGTGTATTTTTTATTAGAGACGGGGTTTCACAATATTGGCCGGGCTGGTCTCGAACTCCTGACCTTGTGATCCACCCGCCTTGGCCTCCCAAAGTGCTGGGATTACAGGCGTGAGCCACCGTGCCCAGCCGACTTTCTTTTCATTTGGATCACTAGTTTACCAACATCACTGCCTTTACTCAACTCTATTAACAATTATTTAACCTAGTTTATCAAGTCACTTGTCAAAATAGAGATTTATATTGTTTATATATGTAATATTTTACAAATCTGTATTTTTGTACTTCACTATCTAATTAAACCTTTGGGGTAACTTTTATGTGTATCCCAAATAGGACAGGACAGTCATTCATTTCTTATAATGTATCAGCTAATTTCAAGGAGACATCGGAATTTTTGTGGAGACATCGGAATCTGAAGAGCAAAGTGATTCAAATTGGGTCACAGATTAAATAATTTTTAAAATGTTTACTTTAAATATCTTAAAAAACTTTAAGGAGAAAATTAATTTTTCTATATTGTTCTTGGCCTTAAAATATACATTAAGCATTAGTTTTCTGGCTTTTGATGTTTTTCATAAAATTAGCTCAAAAAATGCAAAAAGCTTGTATGAATATATAAGGGCCTTTGTAATCATATTGTAATTGCTTGACATAGTTAATTTCTTGATTTCTGACTCTGGCATCTGAGTTTCATAATTGTTATGTAATTACTCTATTTTTTTAAATCATGTTTTTAAATGGAAGTTTCAGTCTCAGATCTTTTCTATTTCATGCAATAAATAATTTTTAGCAGTAAAGAATTATTTGGCAATAAATATTTTTTGAGACGTCATGCTCCAATGATATAATTTAGTCCACTTTCTGCTTGAAAATATGCAAAGAAGAAATCTCTTGTTGGTATTAATTTCAGAAGTCGTCTTTGCACACACAATGATGATCATTCTGTTTTCCTTAGATAATTCATGGTAGTGTAACCCAATAATATAATCTTAGATGTGTAACTTACATACATGCACGTGGCACATGAAGCATGTGGTGTACTGAGATGAAAATAAGCTTGTAAAAGTCATTGGTTACCTAACTGCGGCTTGGTACCTAGCACACCCTACCTGCAACGGTCCCAACAGTTACACTGGCTCTATTTGACTTAGATGATGCAGGGGTGGGTTCAAAATCCCTCTCTTTTTCCTAATTACATACGACTGAGCATCCCTTCCCTTGTCTCAATCTGGGATTTTGAGAGTTTATTATAAGATCCCCAGTGAAAATCCACCCAGGTGGTTCTTCCCTACCCTCTTTAAATGTTCACACCCTAGTGTGAACAAGCTAGAAGTGGATTCTTTGA
This sequence comes from Homo sapiens, assembly GCF_000001405.40. NCBI lineage: Eukaryota > Metazoa > Chordata > Mammalia > Primates > Hominidae > Homo > Homo sapiens. The sequence continues at coordinate 71,333,859 of NC_000005.10, read as the reverse complement.
GGCAGTGACAACAGACCATGTTCAACTTCTACACTCCTTGATGTTTGTGTATTGGAAGAAGGTGTGACAAGATGCCAGGCACCAGAATTTCAGGTTGGTCTTTATGGAATTCTTGAACTCTAGGGCTGCATCCCTCCCTATAATGAGGCAAAGTTGGGGAAGTAGAAAGTTCAATGCAGCCTATGATTTTTACCTCATGGTTTTCTATAACCTAATACATATCACATTGAATTATGTGTTAACTCGTGAGCATTCAAATTAATAGAGCATGCTGTACCAAAATATTGTCATTATTTTGGTTATTATAAATTATATATGGCCATGATCAGTGCTATAGGGCAAGACTATATCATTTTTTACTTCTAGGCTAAAAGGATTATGTTCCTACACATGAATTATGTAACTTTTTAAAAAAAATAGTGATATTTTTCTATTAGAAGTTAAAGCAATTAGTTCTTTACAACATTGGCTACGTACTCAAATCAACTGATTCCTGGGTTTCCCCTCAATCCAAGTAAATTAGGCAGAGAGCAAAACTAAGGAACAGTATTTTCAAAGCTGACCAGGATTGACAATGACTGGTATTCAAATAGCTGTGAATTTGTGCAAATGTAGCAGAAGACAGCAAAGGGTTCTGGATATGCCAATTATTATTTATTTATTTTTATTATACTTTAAGTTCTAGGGTACATGTGCACAATGTGCAGGTTTGTTACATATGTATACATGTGCCATGTTGGTGTGCTGCAGCCATTAACTCGTCATTTACATTAGGCACATCTCCTAATGCTATCCCTGCCCCCTCCTCCCACCCCACGACAGGCTCCGGTGTGTCGTGTTCCCCACCCTGTGTCCAGGTGTTCTCATTGTTCAATTTGCACCTATGAGTGAGGATATGCGGTGTTTGGTTTTCTGTCCTTGCGATAGTTTGCTCAGAATGATGGTTTCCAGCTTCTAGAACTGGAAATACCATTTGACCCAGCCATCCCATTACTGGATATATACCCAAAGGATTATAAATCATGCTGCTATAAAGACACATGCACACATATGTTTATTGCGGCACTATTCACAATAGCAAAGACTTGGAACCAACCCAAATGTCCATCCATGATAGACTGGATTAAGAAAATGTGGCACATATACACCATGGGAATACTATGCAGACATAAAAATGTATGAGTTCATGTCCGCTGTAGGGACATGGATGAAGCTGGATATGCCAATTATTATTAAAATAATTTTTGGGTTAAGCTGATTTTTACTTTTCTGAAAGAAAGATCCAAACACAATGCCTATAATAAATCTTAGAAATTGTCTGTCTCCATTGGTGAGATTAGTCAGTATAAACACTAACATATATAAATAAAACCAAACAACAGTTACTCTTTTCCATAATGTTATGCTTTTGTGTTCAATGAAATATTTAATTTAATTACTAAATTTCTAGCATTTCTCTGAAGGATAAAACAAATAAGCAAACAAACAAAGTAACAAGAAAAACCCAAAATAACTTCAATGAATTAAAACTGTCTAGTGCTACCTTTCCTATAATTATTGTCACCAAATAAAGTGCCTATTGGACAGAGATGGCTGGTTCACTGCAATCTCCATTGACCCTTTCGCCATCAGTAAAAATGTCCTCTAATGCTTAGCCGGACACATGATCACCAGGAATAAATGCTATATTCCCAATCTTTTCTTAACATAGGGCATGACACATGTGACCAATTTCTGACCTATGTTGTGTAAGGGGAAGTAACGCGTGTAACTTCTGAGAAGCTGACTTACATGCAGGGGGCATGTCCTATCTCTGTGCTTTCTTCCTTCTTGGAAAGGCAGCTCTGATGGCTAGATCTGGGGCAGCCATGGGGCAACATGAGAAGCAGCAGTACTTGGAGGTGCAAAGCAACAAGATAATAGCCATCTGGATTTCTGATGATCATGAAGACATCATATCTGAACTGGGGTGTCTGCATATCCCTGAGAGGCAAAAAATGTCTATATTGTTTCCATGAGTTCTTAGCCTACACTGCACATACGAGTTATCAGAGAACTTTCAAAATTTATCAAATGCCCAGTCCTATTAAGGTATCTGGAAACTTATTCTTGGCCTATAATTTTCCACTGGGTCAACTATAACCCAGGTTTATCTGTCTTCTATATCCAGAGACTGTACCCTGCTCCTATGCAGTCTTGCTCTCTCCATAGCTTCATATGTGCAGCAGAACTCACCCTCTGCCTTCCATAACCAGGAGTGGGGCGCTACCTTCCCTCACCTGACTCCTGTGCTGCAGAAACTTGCTAAGAAACACGGAGCATATGTTTCAGACTCAGAATAAAATTATTTTTACAGTCACCAAGTTTTAGAGATTCTGATTTAGTGTATCTGGGTGTGTCCAGGGTACCAGTGTGCTCCCTTCTCACTCAAATGAAAATTACTGGAACATGATGTTATTTGGTATTCAGTTACACAAAGCTGAGTGTAACTGATTGGTTAATAGTAAAAGTTTTGATTTCAGTAAAATAGTTGAATTATTCTAAACCATAACTTTGTAGCTACATGATTTGGGTGAGATGATTTTTTTTTTTTTTTTTTTTTTTTGAGAAGGACTCTCGCTCTGTCACCCAGACTAGAGGGCAGTGGTGTGATCTTGGCTCACTGCAACCTCCTCCTCATGGGTTCAAGTGATTCTCCTGCCTCAGCCCCCCGAGTAGCTGGGATTACAGGTGTGCACTACCATGCCGGACCGGTTTTGTACTTTAGTAGAGATGAGGTTTCACCATGTTGGCCAGGCTGGTCTCAAACTCCTGATCTCAGGCGATCCACCTGCTTTGGACCCCCAAAGTGCTGGGATTACATGAGTTAGCCACCACACCCTGCCTGAGATGATGTTTTTGAGCCACAGTATTCCCATCAGTAAACCGGACATACTAATTGTAATTTCAGGTATTTTTGTGACACATATATTATTGAAATTATTATTATTAAATTACTGACTTTAATAATACATTCTTAAATTAGTTATTATTATAATAACATAATTAATATTGAAAGCAGTTTATAAACTTGCGTGGTGCTAGGGGGCACTACAATGTAAAGGAATTTATGTAATAAAAGTAAAGATGCAACGTTTGATTTTATTTTTCATGTTTTGTAATGCAAAAATTAACTGTCCTTTTATTTAAATTACAGCACATGCAAATTAACTTTTAGGTATATAATTATTCTGAATTATTTCAGAAAACTATTATGGTCTCATCACTGGATTAAAAAATGTAATAATATTCTCAGTTTAAAGAAAATGCACAGGTTTTAAATCCTCTGTGATAAGGGCCCATGAACTTGGAGCTGCTGATTTTTTTTTTTTTTAATTTGCAGGGTTTTTACATAACAAATTATCAGAAACCAAAGCACCCAGATATCAGACTATGAATAGAAAACATCTTTCCTGAACAAGTACAGGCTTTATTACTTAATTGTATTTACACTGATGAGTGCACACAAAGAAAAATCAATTTGTGGGAGTTTATTTCATTGGTATTGAAATTGTATCTTCCTTGAAAAACTTGGCACACAGTGCCTAGTTTGTCTCCCAGTTCATTATATTATTATTTTACTATATTCTGTGCTGTTATGTAGTTTTATATGGGCTCACTAGTTGAGTGTTCAAAATTGCTTTTCTGAACTATAGAATATTAACTTCCAGTATTTACCAAAAAAATGTTATTTATTAAAAAAATCACAATAAAAGGGCATAAAATAAATATAAATACTCAACATTTTCAAGGTTCTTGTGGAATCATTCTGAAAGCATTAAAAGGAGAGGCTGGAAATCTGCGTTTATAATATTGGTCATTTCCCTACCTACTTAATAGTAACATTAAAGCTTCCTCAGTATGCTTTCTGAAACAAGTAAAAATGTTCTTTTACCTTAACTTATACTGTGGAAAATCTCAAAGGAATGCTAGAAAACCATTCCAATGTACTCACCCAAACAACACAAAATACCCACACCTTCTCCAATTCAAGCAATCATTTAATTAATCGAAAGAGCTGAGATGCACTCCCTCTCTACCTCATAAGGGCTTCCATCATGAACTTGATTGTGTCCTAAATTCAGTCCTCCAGGAGAAGCTCATCACCCTCCCCATGTCCTGAATGTCAGAATCCAAAGCTGGAAACTGCATCCTACTTAATCTTTATGTTTTTTGAAAAAGTTTATCTTTCTTCCCAGGAATAAAAACATCTATTCTCTGAGGCACATGTAAGCATTTATCCTTCAGTATAATGAACTTTTTTAGTCATATTGTTAATGACAAGCTTACATAAATTTTTTTCTGCTCCCACCTTCAAAGCTCCAAGCCCTGTATTCTTACAGGATGATATTCATAAACTATTTGACCTTAGCTTCCCTCCATTTAAGGCTTTCTTGCTCAGAATCACTCCTTTTATTAGTTATCTGTTGATGCTTAACATATTACCTCCAAAACTTAGTGGATTAAAACAACAAACATTCATTATGCCAACTTCTCTGGGTCAAGAACTATATCAGAATTAGTAAGGCCCTCTAGCTCAAGGACTCTCATAAGGCTGCCATCATTTAAAAGCCTTACTTAGGGAAGATTCACTTCTAAGATTAATCATGTGGCTGGGGGCAGTCCCCAGGTCCTTCCTTGCTGGCTGTGACTGGTGACACTGGCTCCGTGCTATGTGGACTTCTTAATAGGCAGCGCCCAACATAGAAGTCAGCTTCCCTTACAATGAAAGAGAGAGAGAGGATTCCCAAGACAGAAGCCACAGTCTTTGTGCAATCTAATGTTGGAAGTGATATCCATCACTTCTGCCACAGTCTATTTGATAGTGAAGTGAGATAAATTCAACTAGGACAACAGAGTAGAAGATTCCTCAAGGAGTTACCTCTACCAGGGGTACAAGTGACATGGAGCAATTTTAGAGGCTGCTTACCAAACCCATGAAATGTATAATGACAAAACATGATATTCCTCTTAAATGACTAAATAAGCACACCACTCTTTGATCAATCTCCTGTCTGTTCAGTGTGGCAACAATTCCCACTGCAGCTGTTCTCCTGCCTCACTAAGACTTTCAATCCACTGGTGCCTCAGCCTTTGCCTATAGCATTATGATCCTCCTGCGGTCAGTTACTCCCACAAGCAAACTAACAATGGCTCTTCTCAACACTGGCTTTATGTTAGAATTGCCTGAGGAGGTTCCAAAGATACATATGAGTGCCTTGGCCCCAATTGAGATTGGCTGACCCAGTGTCTCTGGGACCTGGCATTCTATTATGATACTAATATGCAGCAATAGTTGGGAATCGATATTGTAGATTCAATTACTGAATATTTTAAAATGTAATTGCCAGTAACATAAAACCAGAATTGACATACTGCTTCCCTTGGGCTAAATACAATCCATCTCCTATTTTTTAAATAAATTCTTATTGGAACGCAGCCACATTTTCTTATTGTCCATGGTTGCTTTTGCAGAACATGGGAGAACTGAGTACTTCCTACAGAGACAATATGGCTCACAAAATAAAAATATTTACTATCTGGCCCTTTGCTTAAAAAAAATTACTGAGTTTTGACCTATCCCCTTTCACATCTTCATTTTTCTCTCTCTCTCTCTCTCTTTCTCTCTCTCGGTTGCTTTTGGTTTTGTCCTTTTTAGAAGCACATTGCAACCTCTTCTCTAGATGAACTCAACTATCTGATTTCTGCATATTTCTCAGTCCATGACTGCTGCTGAAGAATGTCATGCAAGAAAACAAACTGATAATATTTTAAGACGATGATCACCATTGGAAACCGGGTTTTCAATTGTGCCTGACATAACTTTTTCAATCTCTACAATCCTCTAATTTCTGACACTCTCTTCTCCCTTCTCACTTCTCTCTCTCTGCAGATGACTTTGCTACTGCAACACAGAGAAAATATAAGTCTTTATACTCATAGTCTTTCAACTACCTGGCACTAAATCAATATACCTGTCTCCATTTGCAACTATTATCTTTCTCCCTGATCCTGTCAAGATGATCTTACTCTTTGTTGTAGGCTACTTTCCTCCTCTGACTTCAGAATTAGTTCTCACCTGACATTAAGAGGAAATTTACATTGTTACCAATTTCTCTACTGAAAATCCAACTTTTTATTTCCACGTAGATGCTTCCCATTGTGGTTTCCATGAACTTTATTGTCTCAATGATTGTCATTTTAGATCTATAACTCTTTTTCTGAGCTTTGGGTCTATATAAGCCAAATTTCTGCTCAACGGAGCAACCATATCCCCACTTTAATTGGACAAGTCTCTCCAGAAAATAAATCTCCTATTTCCTGTTGTGTTAAATGAAGAATAATTACTAAGGTATTCAGTAATGATAAAGAATCTGGGAATTTAACTGTTCTTGATATGAAATTTCAAATTACACACTTTTTTTGGGGGGGAAGCCAAACCCACCTCCAGCATTTTATTCCCACACATGATAAGCTTGTCCAAGGTGTGTGTGGTTTGGATGACTTTATATTTTGTTAGCTTTCCTCTTCCCTCTACATATGGACACTATGTTTTGTCAAAAGGAAATGTGTACACTAGATGCTTGTTAAAAATAGCAAGGAAGACTATTCAGGACTATAGCAATGGGGGAATAATATAGCTATAGTAGAGAGAGATTGAACTAAAATTTCTCCCAGCATGGAGCTGGAAATTTATAAGCAAAGAGCTGAGGGAGTGAGTCAGTGGATAGAAACTAATTAGATATTAAGGGTGGCGGGGGGTGGGGTGGCGGGGAGCGGGGTTCTTGCTAAACTGCATTATTGCTAAAGGCATGCCAAAGTGATAAGATATCCAGGGCGAAGTGATTCTCAGTGAACTGGCTTAGCAGGCGTCTTTGTTAAACTGGGCCTGAGAAGAGGGACTGGAGAAGAATGATTAAACTTTGGTCAAGATGGGAATCTGTCAGTTTTGGCCTTCTCTAATCTATGTGGTTACGCTGCTCGAGAGCTTGCTAAGATGTATTCAAGAAGGCTAGTGTATTAGCTTGTTCTCACACTGCTGCTATAAAGAAACACTTGATATGGGGTAATTTATAAAGCAAAGAAGTTTAATTGGCTCACAGTTCTGCAGGCTGAACAGGAAGCATAGCAGCATCTGCTTCTGGGGAGGCGAAAGGGAGATTTTACTCATGGCAGAAGGCAAAGTGGAAGCACGAATCTTGCAAGGCAGAAGCAGGACTGAGAGGAAGAGAAAAGGTGCCACACACTTTCACCAACCATATCTCATGAGGATGCTATCATGATACAGCATCAAAGGGGGAAATCTGCCCCCATGATCCAATCACCTCCCACAAGACCCCACCTCCAACATTGGGGATTACAATTCAGCATGAGATTTGGTAAGGGACACAGATCCAAATCATATCAGCTAGTAATAAAGTGTATTAAGATTTAGGAGTTGATATGGTTTGGCTGTGTGTCCCCACTCAAAATCTCATGGTGAATTGTAAACCCCATAATCCCCACATGTCAAGGGAGAGACCAGGTGGAGGTAATTGAATCATGGAGGTGGTTTCTCCCAAGCTGTTCTCATGACAGTGAGTGAGTTCTCTCGAGATCTAATGGTTTTACAACTGTTCGGCAAGTTCCTCCTTCCATCCTTCTTTTTCCTGCCATTTTGTGAAGAAAGTGCCTGCCTCCCTTTCACCTTCCACTACGATTGTAAGTTTCCTGAGGCCTCCCCAGTCATAGGGAACTGTGAGTCAATTAAACCTCTTTCTTTAATAAATTACTCAGTCTCAGGTATTTTCATATAGGAATGTGAGAAAGGACTAATACAGGAATCTTCAAGGACATCCCATCCAAATTAAAAGTTGTGTATCACTTGCTTCTTTGACCTCATCTACTGTATTAATTACATTTATATGTATATATACACACACACACATATGCAAACATATATATATATATATCAGCTTTACTAAATGGTCTCTATATTCTCAGTTTTATTGTTTCATTAGGAAAAGAAATTGGCTGGGATATTGGTAACAGTATATTTCTGCTTATGCTGTAATACCCAAGTTGAAACATTTGATAGAAATTGATTGATGCTTGTTACCTGATGTTTTAAAATAAGGGCTAAATAGTTATATATCTCAATATTATCGTTATCCTGGATGTGACAGGGTACAGATGTGACAATGCATGTTTTTATAGTGTGTTCTACTGGTGATTCAAATAACTAAGGTATTGCCATTGGCAACATAATTTTTGTAAATATTGAAAGACTCTGGGAAGTTTCTACAATAAAAAGACTTTTTCTCTTCAATTTCCATAGTGGTTGCATTCTGAAAAATTTAGTTTGTATTAAGCCATTCAAAGTATTTACATGTAAAATATTCATTTCTTGACTAAATAATTACAGATGATCACTTACGTGGCTATCCATTGGGGCATTTGATGGGAATATTTTTTACAATGTAGGATCGCAGGATATCTAGTATTGTTTGTCCTCACATTGGAAATACAATTACTGCCTTCTGATCGTTTTGACAATGGAGACACTCAAGCATTTCTAAACAGAAAAAGCTGGTACAAGCACACTTGAAGCACAATACATCTGAAAGGCACATGAAGAGTTCAATAAAATGTTTAACAACTGAAAAGACTGCAGAAATAAATTTAAGTATTCTGTCTATACTAAAATCCAAATGTAAATTATATTAGAGTTGCAGCTATTTAATACGCTATTTCAGCATTCACATGCTATTTTCATTTTCTATTCAGATGTTTTTTCCACTGCCAGACACTTTCTAACAAGTCCTTCAACCCTCTTTATAATAACTTATGAAAATATTTGTTACATTATGCTCAATGATTTCCTCAATTAAAATGATATATAAAATAAGAACAAGTGAGAGGAAAAAAACATAGTTTGTGCATCTGTTTTGTGATAAATATAGTAGTTAGATCTATTTTATATAAATTTTCTCATTAAACCCACATCAAACTTTTTCTCCTGCATTTTTTAAATGGAAAATGTGAGGTTGATAGGAGTTAATTAACTCTACTAATAGCTGACGGTAATGAAACTATCATTACTGAGAACTATAGTTGGTTTTTACAATTATTTCATTTTTTGTTGGTTTGTTTTTGTTTTTGTTTTTTGAGATGGAGTTTCGTTCTTGTTGCCCAAGCTGGAGTGCAATGGCGTGATCTCAGCTCACTGCAACCTCTGCCTCTTGGATTCAAGTGATTCTCCTGCCTCAGCCTCCTGAGTAGCTGGGATTACAGGCACGTGCCACCACGCCCAGCTAATTTTGTATTTTTGGTAGAAATGGGGTTTCTCCATGTTTGTCAGGCTGGTCTCGAACTCCCAACCTCAGGTGATCCACCCACCTCCGCCTCCTAACGTGCTGGGATTACGGGTATGAACCAGCATGCCCGGCCAATCTATATCTTTTAAGTGTGAAATGCTTTCAGAAAAATATTTCAACCAAAAGGGAGAAATGTGGAAGTTGTGAGCACCAAAATGGAGTCACTTACATCAAACCATAAAAAAATGAAGCTGGGAGGCCATGAAAGAGGGGCCTTCATGTACATATGTCTATAATAAGAACTGCTGCAATGGTTCTCTCAAAAACCACGAAAATGTTAGATATGATAATTCTATGAAGACATCTCTCCAGCAACAGCCAATATTATCAATGAGTATTTGCCAACTCTTGTAACAAGCTTCTCTGGCCCATGAGGTTTATTACAAAACTTACATAAAATTTCTCTTTTAAGATTTTTGCCTTCCTGATATGGTTTAGATTTGTGTCCCCACCCAAATCTCATGTCGAATTGTAATCCCCAATGTTGGAGGAGGGGCTTGGTGAGAGGCGATTGGATCATGGGGGTGGATTTCCTCCTTGCTGTTCTTGTGATAGTGAGTTCTCATGAGACCTGCTTGTTGAAAAGTGTGTGGTATTTCCCCTTTGCCCTCTTCCCCCTGCTTCGGCCATGTAAGACGTGCCTCCTTCCTTTTTGCCTTCTGCCATCATTGTAAGTTTCCTGAGGCCTCCTCCAATCATGTTTCCTGTACAGCCTATGAAATCATGAGTCAATTAAACCTCTTTTCTTTATAAATTACCAAGTCTCAGGTAGTTCTTTGTGCTAGAACAAACTAATACAGTCCCTCAGCTTCTTTGGTGCCTAAGGTCCACCATAGCATGTGTATTTCAAATTGCAATTTACTGCTATTTCCTGAATACACTCTTTATTTTAGAGAGTCAGTATCTCTGTTGTTTAAGTTGACATAATCTAATGTCAGAAGCAAGATGCAAAGGCTCCAAGCCTTCTTTGTTACTTACAGTTACAGCACTGTTATCCAAACAGTAACAAAGAAAGCCTTTGGAAGGCTTTCAAGTATCTGGCGATACTTGAAATTGTGTATGATACTCACCTGAGCCTATTGTGATCTTCACTTGTACAAGTTGTCTTTATGCTGCGAGATAAGTCCTCTCTTGGTTTGAGCTCCCACCTTTTCAGTGAACTCTTACATTTTGGGGGATCTGCTCTTGTAAAGGACATCCTTTCTGGTGAGTATTCTTTTGGTTTAATTTTTGGTTTGGTTATTTGTGCATGAATTTAATCTCATTAGGAAACAAGTTAAGTTGAATAGACCAACTAGTGAATTAATCCGTCTCCAAAATATACGTTTTTGGCATTTACCTGTTTATTTTGAAACTCTTTGTAAGAAATGTAAACCTGTAATGATAATCTCTGCTTTGTAAGGATATCTCCCTCTCTGACACCTAAAACACTAGATGCTTTCACAAAGCAAAAGGAAGAGACCTAAATCTATCTATCTGTGTAAACTCACCCTTGACCATTTCATTTTGAAGGCTTCCTATATATGCTTTTTTTCATCTCAACAAATAGTGGTGTTTAAGTTCTGTACCTTTGAGATTTAAATTTTCTACATTCCTTCACCTAAAAATCATCTCTTTGGAAGTACAAATTTTGGGTGGCCTAACTAACACTTGTTTATGGGCCAATTGAACAGATCATTAAAAGACAGATAGTCTGAAAGAGGGAGTAAAACTACTTGCAAGCCAGGCAAATAACAATTCTTAATGCAAGTTGTAAGTTCTTCCTCTGTCTGTATTTTTCTACGTGTGTGTGTGTGTGTGCGTATGTACAATTTTTTCTACCAAAATTCATAAACGGCTCTACTTAATTGGCTTACAGAGAAAACATAAGTGTTTAAACTAAGAATTCTCTCAGAAAAACAGAAACTCAATTGCCTTTTGGCTTATGTGACGAAATAATCTTTGGCAGACAAAGCTAGTTTTAAAATTTGTTGGCAAAATAAAAACAAATATTTTCAGAATTGTCAGCATTAATTACAATGTACAGATACAGTTTTTAAACCTAAAGTTACTGGTGAAACAAGCTTGCTATTACTGAGATGTATAATGAATGTCTTAAAGCTATAAATCCACTCATCCTTGTGTTTAAGGAGGAACTGAAGCACAATTGTTAAGAACAAGTGAATTAGGTGAATATAAATTGACAAAAGGTTGATAATAAAGTTGTCAGAATTTCAAAAATAATTTAGTGTGACTTGAAATCTTAAAATCATGTTATATTAAATTAAGTAACACTTTACTGATTTAATATTTGAGTCATTTCTAAGGAAAATACTGAAATATCAATTGCTTAACAGAAGTTTAAAATATACGTAATTTGGCATCTTGGTTTCACATGTTATGGAAAAGCTAAACATATTTGGGCCTGTTAATTAAAGGCATAAAAATTATTTTATGAGATGGTGTTCATCTGCAAAATACTAACATGATGCACTTCAAAATGCTTACTAATTTTCACTAGAAATTAAGGTTACTAAGAGTTAATTAAAATTAATATTAGAGTAATTTAAACTAGAAATAATGAAGGGAAACAAATCTGTACGTGAGGGAAGGAAAACACATACAGAAAGTTATAAGTAAGAGGTTGTGTTTTTGTTAAGGGAAAAAGAGAGTATTTTTTGTCTAAAAGTAGAATGTCTTACTGTTCCAAAAAGAAAAAGAGAAAAAATATAGACAAAAACTGAATAAGATAACTGGATGACAAATTTATAGAAAGTTTGTGGAAGATTAATCTTGTGAAAAGAATTTTATGTGTGACCAAGTTGGCTAAAGTTAAAAGGAAATTATTTATAAATATTCTGAAAACTTGAGCATTATTATCAAAAGTACAGGAATGGAAAACTTGAAATTTGTCCCCTGTGCTGAAACAACAAGCTTTTCTTTGAGTATTGACCTGCTCTTAATAGACAATAGTGAAATGTTTTCTCTACCTTTTAGATAACTGGCCTAATAAACCAAGATTTTTTGTTTATCAAGGTAATTTCTTATGCTTTATGCTCTCTTTTACTAGGTCTTTGATTACTTGAGAAAAGTGAGTGAGGTGGGGCCAAGATGGTTGACTAGAAGCAGCTAGTGTGTGCCACTCTCACAAATAGCAGGAAGAGTGGTGAGACACTAGCTCTTCAACCGGAACATCCAGGTGGACACATAAGGATTCATCAGTGACATAGTGTGACCTTCGGATCACGGAGAAGAGTGAGACAGATCAACCATTCACCCAGGAGTGGCACAGACCCAGGGGAATCCCCCTACAAGAAAATGGTGAGTGAGTGAGAGTCCCGTGGGATGCATATTTCTGCCACGAACCTTTGAATCCCTGGGCTCAGGAGATACCCCAGCTGGGGTCTCCAGACCAAAACAGAGAGCCATGTGGAGTCTGGGTAGAGCTGCTTCTTAGGTAGGTGTGGAGTCCCAGTAGCATTTGTTCCCTGGGTACCCCAAAACCAGGGGCTGCAGCTCCAGCAATTGGGAAGGCCAAGTTTTCTTGCACGCTCCCCAGAAAAGGGGCCAAGTCCATGGGGCTGAGCAGTGATAGACTGCAGACCTCACCACCACTGAACCTTGTAGGATAAGGCCCACTAGCCTGGGATGCTAGTGAGGCCACCCTAGTCCTCCTGAGTTCTCCAGCTGGGAGCAGCTCTACACTTCTCCGGCATGCAGCTCCCAAAGAGAGAGGCAGTCCACCTTTTTGCTGTCTCGCAACCCTCCCTCCTGCTGCTCTCAGGCTTGGGAGGGTGCACAGCAATTAGGGACTATCACAGAACCCCAGCACAGTGCATCTGGTGAACTTAAAAAAATCAACAAGTGAAAAACAAACAATCCCATTTAAACGTACACAAAGTACATGAACGGACACTTTCAAAGGAGGGCATACATGTGGCCAGAAAGCATATGACAAAATGCTCAACATCACTAATCATTAGAGAAATGCAAATCAAAACCACAATGAGATACCATCTCACACCAATGAGAATGGCTATTATTAAAAACTCAAAAAATAAGAGATGCTAGTGAGGTTGTGGAGAAAAGGGAATGATTATACAGTGATGGTGGGAATGTAAGGTAGTTCAGCCATTGTGGAAAGCAGTGTGGCCATTTCTCAAAGAACTCAAAGCAGAAGTGCCATTCAACTCATCAATCCTACTATTGAGTATATACCAAAAGAAATACAAATCATTCTACCATAAAGACACATGCACGTGTATGTTCATTGCAGCACTTTTCACAATAGCAAAGACATGGAATCAACCTAAATGCCCATCAGTGGTAGACTGGATGAAGAAATGTGGTAGATATACAACATGGAATACTATGCAGCCATAAAAAGAATGAGATCATCTCTTTTCCAGCAACATGAGTGGAGCTGGAGGCCATTATCCTAGAAAACCCAATACCATATGTTCTCACTTATAAGGGGAGCTAAACATTGAGTACATATGGACACAAATGGAACAACAGACACTGGGCCTACTTTAGAGTGGAGGGAGGAAGGAGGATGAAAATTTAAAAATTACCTACTGGGTACTATGCTTATTATCTGGGTTATGAAATAATCTACACACCAAACCCCGTGACACACAATTTACCTATATAAATGCGTAAGTAACCCACATGTGTACCCCTGAACCTAAAATAAAAGTTAAAAAAAGAGAAAAGTAAATGTTCTCAGTATTAAAAAGCTATGTTTTTGTTGACAATTATGTAAATTTCTACATTTATTTTTTGAAATCTTTTAATTTTCATTTTGGTTACCTGTTATCGTACTCTGATAAAGTGTTTTAAACTGTTTGATGTTTTTGACAAACTTCCCAAAATAATATTTTAAATTAACTCTTTTTGCCCTCAAGTTAATTTTGATATTTCTCATTTGGACCCCTGGAAAGATCAAAGAATGTGTATCTCACATTGTAAAGAGATATATTAAACTAATGAGACTTACTTGATATATTAAATTATATAGGGAGTATTGTCAAATACTAAGTGGTGCTAAACCTTCTTTAAGTTGTATTTCAGAATGTTATTGATATGTGTTACAAAATAAATTCTTCAAAATCTGATATGTTATCGGTCATAATCTTGGTTATTATCTTCAAGTTTTGTATGCCACAGAAATAAACAAATTTCTTTGTCAATTACATTATTATTATAATAAACTCCATGAGATTTTTAACCATGGCCGCTCTAAGTCTGTCATCCACAGGGACCGACTGCTTTCATTCTTTTCTAAAAGCATTTGCCATCAGCTACAATAAAAAATTGCTTCTTCTCTGAAACTGATGGTCCATTAAGGTTTAACCCATATACTCCTCTATATACCTCTACAGCCTCCCCAAATCAAGTTGATATATTCCCCTAGCAGTCTGTGCAATGGAGACCAACATTACATTCTTTTAGATTGTTTTAAATTACATTTTTGAACTTCCAGTTTATTACATACCAAGAGTTGATTACAACCTCCTTGTTTCATAAGTGGAAGCTATGTTAGGGTTGGATGTGGGTGCCATAATTTCTTCAAGGATCCTGGACAGAGACCCACATCAGGATCAGAAACCCTACGATAGCATTGCAGATCTCATGGCTCAATAATCCTTGAAGATTATAATTTTCATCCTACTATCAGTTGCACTTTCTGTCACTTTTACTGCATTAAGTCTCCCGGTATCAAACAGAGCTCTGTGGTGTCACTGACTGAGGAATGGAATAGAGATGTCCACAAGGGGTCTTGATATCATGACTGCACAGAGATGTGAAAGGAGAGACCACTTCCTCACCACCCAGCTACTTCACTTCTCTCCCGGTATCAGCCCTATAGTCGGACCTAGGCTTTCAGAAGTGTAAGTGTGCAAACAAGTTTCGGTTGGACTTTAAGAGGACACTTTGTCATAGAAGAAAATCCAGTATCTCTAAGCTGGTTTTCTTTTCAGGAAAACATCCTGAGGGACCAGTAAGCAGGGAGATCCTTTTTCTAGTTTGCCTGTAGAGTTAGGAAGACAGTTGATTTTTCAGTCTTTTACAGGATGCTTAAACAAAGCTGTGTAATTACATAAGGTGGATCTTTATCTTGCCTAAGAAGATAAAGTGGGAATCTTCACTCCGCCAGGGCAAATTTCCAAAGAGCTCATTTATTCCATGTCTTTCAAACTTTCATGAGATACATTTCTCTTTCACATTGTTGCTGATTTCCAAACAGCTGTCAGCTAGTTTTTTCCTCCCCCTTTCCTATTCTTCACTATTTTGATAGCAAAGCTCATAGAATTAGAGGACTTAGAAGATGCTTTGTAAACATTGCCACAAAGGAACTGCTGAAATGATTCACAGGAAGACTGGTCAGTTGGGAGAAAGATCCTAAAGATGTTACACTGGTTTTCAACAACATGCTTAGAGAATTCTTGAAGCAGATAGCTGTCAACCCAGTGAAAACAACATTTTGATTTATTTTTTTTTTAAGTTTATGGTGATTGTGTCGGTTTCTAAAATAAGCAAATATTCAAGTCAAGAGATGTTTTGTTTTTTCTTCTGCCAAGAATGGGGTTAGGGGAGCAAAGACACAATTTGGGAAAGGACATATGTGCTATTATAGGGATCACCTTTAAGTTTCTGGGAAGGAATGGGCACGGGTGAGTAGGTTGGCTCAACATTGTCCTGCACTGCTTATTAGGACCTGAGACATGCAAGGGAAATGTGGGTGACATCAGGGCACCCAGGGCACAGCCCCACTAACTGCTGTGCTGAGTTTCTGTAGCCTGCCACGTTTCCCTTGGTGAAGTAAATGAAGATCAAGGAGTCATTTTATGATGTCCTGGTGCTGAGAATAATAAATGTCTTGTTACAAACAGATGTAACAATGGTTTTTTTCTGGATTATTATCAGGGTGGTCAGCTCTGGGTTAAGCACCCACATCCAATTTGTACAATAATATTGATACATAGGGCTACGCTTATTACTGCTCAAGCATTCTGTTTTAATAATTGTGTTTTCTTCTAAAGGTTAAATAAAAGCAAAAAATGGGGCTAAACTATCAAACTGTTCCCCTATTTGTTTTCTCCAGTGTACAACATATATATGTATATATTTTATTTTATTGAAGATGCAGTAGGATACCTGCCATTTAAGAAAATAAATAGAAAATTTAAAATCCCAACAAATGAGAAAAAGAAATTCAGTACCCAAGAATAGGGCTGGTCCAGCACCACCCTGAAGTAGGCTGTGGTTTATGGACTGAAGAGCCTTGCTCCCTTTACATTCGCTCATGCTCCCACACAAGGCTAGCAGTAGAAATGCTTGAATTCTGCTTGGCTTGCCAAGGGGACTCAGGAGTCAACCAAGGGAACTATTTGGCTCCACGAGGAATGGACACCTCAGGATGCTTCCTGAACAGGGCCTAGTCAGGAAGTAGCCTGGATGTGCATAGTCATGGTCACCTTATGAAAATGTGTGGCAGGTGGCTCTCAGGAAAAACACCAAGCCTGGATCATCTGTGTGGCAGCTTTGCCTGGGGAGGTAACAGCTCCAAATTGAAACTGAACTGCATCCTACATGCTTTACCAAAGCAGTGATGAGAGTGATCAGTGCATGTGGTGTGAGTGGTAGGTTTAAAAAAAAGGGAATGTTTTACGCTCAGTGTTTCCTCTGTCTTTGGGCTACTCAATCTGGACAATAGGTAACCATTCTTTTCAAGGAATCAACCCAACTTTGCTGGCTTGGTTTGTGGTTTGTTTCATCCCTAGCTATGAGCATGCTTTGGTCTATAAACGTGGCTTGTCTCATAATACATTCCCTTTCTGTAATTTTTTAAATTTTTTATTTCCATAGGTTTTTGGAGAACATGAGGTATTTGGTTACATGAGTAAGTTCTTTAGTGGTGATTTGTGAGATTTTGGTGCACACATCACCCGAGCAGTATACACTGAACTCAATTTGTAGTCTTTTACCCCTCATGCCTTTCCCACTCTTTCCCTTGAGTCCCCAAAGTCCACTGTATCATTCTTATGCCTTTGCATCTGCATAGCTTAGCTCCCACTTAAGAGTGAGAACATGCAATGTTTGGTTTTCCATTCCTGAGATACTTCACTTAGAATAATAGTCTCCAATCCCATCCAGGTTATTATGAATGCCATTAATTCATTCCTTTTTATGGCTGAATAGTATTCCATTACATATATGTATTTATGCATATATATATATATACATATGCATATATATATACATATACATACACACACACACACACACACACACACACACACACATAAATATATACCACAGTTTATTCACTCATTGATTCACGGGCATTTAGGCTGGTTCCACATTTTTGCAATTGCTAATTGTGCTGTTATAAACGTGCATGTGCAAGTATCTTTTTTGTGTAATGACTTCTTTTCCTCTGGGTAGATAACCAGTAAGATTGCTGGATCAAATGGTAGTTCTACTTTTATGAATTGTCCTTGTTTTTCTTTAAAAGTTAATACTTTTGATCACTATAGTTTGTTAGTGTTGGATTGTTTCCACTTTGAAATTTCTAAACTTTTTCCCTTCATAATGTTAAAACAAGTTATGTTAGATGCCCTTTCAACATGAAAGGTCTGTAGTTAAGATATTACATATATTTTATTGTTTATAATAAAAATCTAGACATAAGAAGTGCCAAGTGTTAATTATAATATTTTGCACAGTATCTTTTTTCCCATGATGTGTTAATATCTACAATTTCATTAAATGTTGATGTTATTCTCTACTGAGATTCAGAAGCCTAGGGAGCTATGTGTTCATTTTGGTTATTTTTGTTGTTATTTCCCTGAAGCAAAAGACTACATGGCCTTCAGTGCAACAACCTCAGTCCAATTCTGAAGTTTATTATACTTGCTTGCCTCTTGGCTATTTAACTTCTGAGTGCAAATCATTGAACTCCCTAATGAAGTATTGTAGAGAATAAATTAAAATGAATAAAGAAAAATACTTCCTCTTCAAGGAGGTTCATGAAAAGGACTCTAACAAGTATGCTGGAATTTAGATTTCTTATGAGTTTAAGATTATACCACTGGACTGGGAAAGAATTTCCAGGACTCTAATGAAGAAACGATGGCTTCTTAAAACATCTAACCCAGATCAAGTAGAATAAGTTTAATGAATGGGACTAAACAAACTGATGGCAATATTTTCGAGTGACTTTTTGTTTAACATTTTGCTGTTTTTTTTAAATTTTTTGTTTTCCAGATTTGAGAAAACTTTTAAAAAGCTATCTATAGCATACAGCAATTTGGTAAAGTATACTTTTATAAATAAAAATGGAAATATTTATTTTTTCTTCCTACCTGCGGCTGCAGTCTTCAGAGAGCTCTTATTGATATTTTTATTTTATGGCAACATAGTTATTTGCATTAATTCAATAAAAATCTATTCTCTTTGTAAC
This sequence comes from Homo sapiens, assembly GCF_000001405.40. Lineage (NCBI taxonomy): Eukaryota > Metazoa > Chordata > Mammalia > Primates > Hominidae > Homo > Homo sapiens. The sequence goes on along the minus strand of NC_000005.10, from coordinate 71,315,016 downwards.
AGGATAGAATTACAAACATTGGTTATATTATAAATGGTTTGACTTGAATGTGATATTTGAGACTATGCACAGGATGCCTAGCTTCAAGGATTCCCAAGCTCACAGTGAGTGAATAAACATTTTTACCTCTTGACAGGCCAGGAACCTCCAGATATATTGGAGACCTCAAGAAGAGAGAAATTCATGCAGATTTTTAGATACTGCAGCCAAAGTCTGATGTTCGCCCTCCTTTGACTTCTGACCCTTGAAAGGCTTTTAAAAGTCTAATCTGAGATTTCTTATCAAAAGTTCCATCAAAATAAACTTAAAAACAGCCCATGTTTCATCCCTTTTCTTGCTATACTGTTGTCAATAATCATGCCAAGTTTAATGAGACTAAACTTATTCAGCAGACAAATTAGTCTTACTCTGATTATCTTTAGTAGAAATAGGGATGATTGTACAGAGAAAAATTATGTTTCTGAAGAAAAACTGCAGTACACCTGTTAGTAGATTGTAGTTTTCTTTGTTGTTTTCAAGTTTTTGTCATCTATCTCTAAATTAGACAGGGCACTTAATTATTCTAATTTCCTCCAACGTCTGGCTATGATTCTCCAACTAAGAACATAAACTGCCTTGTTCCTAAAGTCCTACAAGTTGGAGCCAGAAAACTCCATGTAAATTTCAAGAGAGAAATCTCATGGCTATTGTGTGGGCTACAAAGAGAATTGACTAAAATGCCCCATGCTATACCCAGGAACATTCAAACTACAAACCAGAGTAAGAAGTTGATGACATCACAGTGTGGAAAGCTTTTCCCAAGACATTGTAACAAAACTGGACTCTTATCCTTCTTATTTTTTTTTTTCTTGCTTATGCCTACATTTTTCACTTGGCAGAATAACGCTGTGGTTAGAATTTCACATTCAGTAGCTTCCGTAACTGAATGAAGTTTTGGATCTGTCGTGTCAAACCCACATCTTTACATGACCTAAGGGATCCTTTAGTCCACCCAGTGGGTAACTATGGCAACATCCCTAATTTATTTGCCACCTTGGGTTTCGTTGCAGGCTTCACCGCAAAGGCTATTGCCGCCCAGCAGTGCTCATTAAAGTATCTTGCTGAGTAGCCGTAGATAACACAACAGGACAGGATGAGATAACTCTCAATTATCTACTGGTTGAACAAGAATGTCTGTGCCATTGCTAATAACTACATGCTGTACCTGAATATATTTCTCTGGGGAAGTCAAGACCTAATTGCATAAAATAGCAAGACAGGCTTTATGGCTACAACAGATCTCACTCAGTCTCACATAGACTTTTGATTCATTAGTTGGCTGCCTTTGGGTCCATGTTCATAGACAATATTTCATGTTACTATTAATTTTGTACCGCATCATTCTTTTTAAACTTTTTATCTGTTTCCTGTCCAACCTCTGCAGAAATGATGCATCTAACAGAGTAACACTGGTCCAGAACTTCCAAATGGTAGTCAATGCCTATGGAACTGACAAAATTGAACTTAGCAATGAACTCCAGGCAGATTTATCCTGAGAGCCACTCCTTCTGAACCTCTTTGTTTCTTAAATGTGACTAATAGGGTTTTGACATCTGCTCTTAGTTGCTGGCCATTCACCTCTGATGCAGGATCAGACTGACTAGGAAAGGTCCACTCCAGCACCAAGAAACAATCAAAACCTAACTATAGGCTGATTAATCAGCAATGCTTTCAGAAAAAATTCTTGGTCAAAGGGGGGAAATGTTAAAGTTACAAGCAAAGAAGTTGACTCACTGAAGTCAAACCACAACAAAATGGAGCTGGGAGAGTATAAAAGAAGGCCCTTCATGCATGGATGTCTCTAAAAGAATTATTGCAAGGACTCCCTGAAAACTACAAAAATTTTAGATACGACGCTTCTATGAAGACATCTTCCCAGCAATAGCCAGTATCACCGATGAGTATTTGTCCATACCAAGCAATAAGCTTCTGGGGCCAAAGAGGTTTATTTTAAAATAATTTACATGAACTTCACCTTTTTTTTTCTTTATTTCTTCTTCTTCTTCAAAAAACAAACAAAAGTGATATATGTGCAGAACGTGCAGGTTTGTTACATAGGTATACGTATGCCATGGTGGTTTGCTACACTTTTCAACCTATCATCTAAGTTCCCTCCCCTCACCCCCCAACCTCCAACAGGCCCCAGCGTGTGTTGTTTCCTTCTCTGTGTCCATTTGTTCTCAATGTTCGAATCCCACTTACGAATAAGAACATGCGGTATTTGGTTTTCTGTTCCTGTGTTAGTTTGCTGAGGATGACGGCTTCCAGTTTCATCCATGTTTCTGCAAAGGACATGCTCTCATTCCTTTTTTATAGCTGCGTAGTATTCCATGGTGTATGTGTACCACATTTTCTTTATCCAGTCTATCAGTGATGGGCATTTGGGTTGGGTCCATGTCTTTGCTATTGTAAATAGTGCTGCAATAAATATATATACGTATGTTCCCTTACAGTAGAATGATTTATATTCCTTTGGGTATATACCTAGTAATGGGATTGCTGGGTCAAAAGGTATTTCTAGTTCTAGATCCTTGAGGAATGCCCATACTGTCTTCCACAATGGTTGAATTAATTCACTTTCCCACCAACAGTGTAAGAGCATTCCCATTTCTCCACATCCTCTCCAGTATTTATTGTTTCCTGACTTTTTAATAATCTCCATTCTAATTGGCGTGAAATGGCATCTCATTGTGGTTTTGATTTGCATTTCTCTGGTGATCAGTGATGTTGAGCTTCTTTTGTATGTTTTTTGGCCACGTAAATGTCTTTTTTTGAGACGTGTCTGTTCATATCCTTTGCCCACTTTTTGATAGCGTTGTTTGTCTTTTTCTTGTAAGCATGTTTAAGTCCCTTGTAAATTCTGGATATTCGATCATTGTCAGATGGGTAGATTGCAAAAATTTTTTCCCAGTCTGTAGGTTGCTTGTTCACTTTGATGATAGTTTTTTTTTTTTTTTTTTTTTTTTTTTGCTGTGCAGAAGCTCTTTAGTTTAATTAGATCCCATTGTCAATTTTGGCTTTTGTTGCAATTGCTTTTGGCATTTTTGTCATGAAGTCTTTGCCCACCATGCCTATGTCCTGAATGTTGTTGCCTAGGTTTTCTTCTAGGGTTTTTATGGTTTGGGGTTTTACATTTAAGTCTTTAATCCATCTTGAGTTAATTTTTGTATAAGGTGTAAGGAAGGGGTCCAGTTTCAGTTTCCTGCATATGGCTAGCCAGATTTCCCACATTATTACTGAATATGAGATCCTTTCCCATTGCTTGTTTTTGTCAGGTTTGTTGAAGATCAGGTGGTTGTAGACGTGTGGTGTATTTCTGAGGTCTATGTTCACCTTCATTGGTCTATATGTGTGTTTTGGTACCAGTTCCATGCTGTTTTGGTTACTGAGGCCCTGCAGTAATGAAGTCAGGTAGTGTGATGCCTCCAGTTTTGTTCTTTATGCTTAGGATTGTCTTGGCTATATGGGGTCTTCTTTGATTCCATATGAAATTTCAAATAGGTTTTTCTAATTCTGTGAAGAATGCCAACGGTAGTTTGATGGGGAACTTCACCTTTTACCCTTAAAAAAGCTTCGGCTCCCCCAGCTTTTTCAAATGTGCCTATGGTTCAGTACGGTACACATATCCCAAATTGCAGTTCATTGCTCTTCCCAGATAAACTATTTTGAAAAGTCAGTCTCTCTGCTGTTTATTTTAATAATTTTTAATAGAAGTACATCTTTCTTAAAAGCATAGCAAAAATTTTAAGTACATTCACAATAATAATAATTAGGAAACAAATGATCATTGCTTTGATTTTAAGAATTATTAATTTCTTTAATTTTTCAAGTTGAAATATAGAACATGTTTTATTTAGTTACCAATTTATTTCTGTATTTTTCATGAAACAATTTACTTTGGTAAGAAATTTCAAGGAATCTGTGGCATAAATACATATTTGGTCAATGTTCCTTGACCCAAAGTATTAAGGCTGGGTTGTATTTAATTCAGTGACTAAGTAATTTAGTCAGGTTATTCAATAAATTAATGAGGTAATAATCTATAAATTGTTATAATCTGTCAATCTATAAATCATATGTAAAATTGTATTATAAAAAGCAAATGAGTCTTTCTAACAATAGCTAGTTCCGACAATAAAATAACTTCACTTTTAGTTAGCAAGCCCGTATTACATTTCTAAATATTGAAGTCTGTGCAGTAGTTAATGAACTTTTAGTCAATTATTGAGAAAAAAACTTTTAGTACAGTAGAAGATATAAAAAACATGATTGAGCTCAATTTCTCTTTTTTAAAAAATCACTGATTTCTTGGTCAAACTTTTGCTTCTTTTGGAACTTTTGAACTTTGTGGCCATGTGAAATGGCACTCTGAAACTTCTAGTAGACTCAAATTGAGGTAACTTTCTTGCTCACGACAATTTTATGTCCAGTTTCTAATATAAGCCATTATTTCTAACACATGCCATGGTTCCATGTTTGAACTAATGTTAATACCACCTGCCCCTACATGACTGAGTCTGAGCACATCCCTGGGCCACATCAAGCACCATGGCAGATTAATCATTCCTTATGGTTTTAACAGGCAAGCTGGGGAAAAAAAATAACTGTCTCCTCCAACTTTGGTTATGAGTGAGTTTCTTACCTTTTAATGGTGAAAAATAAACTTATCTGTCATAGGAGAAAATAACATTACACTCATATGGAAGCAGAGGTGAGAAGTGAAGCCTTAGTAGTGATGTCATCGTTGCCAATTACTGAAGCCAGGAAGTTAGGAATCATCAGTCTTTTTCTTTTGAATTAATGTGACAGTAGTCGAGAGAGAGAAAAAAGTAGGCATGCTGTATGTTATTTAGAGGATAAGATCTATAGATTTGAAATTGATTTGGCATAAACCCACAGGAAAGTGAAGAATCAAGCATGTATTCTAAGCTTCTGGCTTGAGCAAGTGAGCAATCAGCAACATCAGCCCTATGACTTACTAGATTTTTACTGAGGTATACTTTGTAATGTAATAGCTGCGAGAAACTGAATATCATTGAAATTTAGAAAAGGTTATGACAATGTCATTGGGTTAATAGATAGCCTTTTCTTACAAAGATTTGTAAAAAATGAGAGGCCCTAGACATTTGCTGTGTATATTATGCATAAAAATACCACCTCCAGTGAATTCGTTTGGAAAAGAAACTCAAAGCAAGGCCAGACAAAGGAAACAAAAAGAAAAGAAACGAAAGGGAAAGGACAGGGAAGAAAAGGCAAGAAAAAACAAGACAGACAAAAAATTGGAAAAATATGACAGAGAGAGCAAGAATTGTATATATCATAATTTTATAATATTTTAAATTTATAAAATTATTTTTTGACTTTTTTTAATTCAAGAAGACCCTGGATATAAGTCCATCAGTATATAAATAATTGCTAAGAACTGGGACTAAATTTTAAATAAACTACACTGTTGAAAAAGCCAATATTTTCAAGAAAATTGACCAAAAGGTATCCTTGTCTTCATTTCCACTGACATCTTATGACTGCCATATTTTTTCAGCTATGGCTCTTTTTCTACCAATGGCATGTCACAAAAATGTGTGAACCTCTGGTCACTCTAATTAGTCATACCAATATTGCATAATTTTACCTCAGAATGTTTTTTCCAACTACATTCTTTCTCCAGGGGCATTTATATTCAATGTTTTTTCCAGGGGCATTTACATTCTGAATACCGTGCCTCAAAGTCAAACTGGTTAGCATTACAATCTTGTCTGGTATTATATATGCATTTATTAATGTACAAATTGACCTCAGAAATAGAATATATTTGTCAGGAGTTTTAGGTCTTGTGTTCCCAACACCTAACAATAGATACTTGTTGAATAAATTATGAAAGGGAAAAATAATTTTTAAGAAATTTTGAAAACTTAAAAAGGAAACAAAGGTGTCACAATGGAAACAAAATTTCACTTTTTTTCCTCTGAGTTTAGAGTAAATCTCAGATTCAAACACATCTGAGGATGTACAATTATCAATTATGTAATTCCAAGGGAAAGTAATTTGTACTTACAGGTTAGATATGATAATCAATTCACTTAATTCTACTCGTTTCCTTTAAAAAAAAAAAAAAAGAGGCTGTCAGAAATAATACATCACAGTAAAACCTCCTATCAAACAAGAAAAGATTGTATTTGGGAAAACATTTTCATAGACCTAAATTGAGTAATGTTTCCAACTTACATTTCACCAGTTAAGCTTCCCATTAGAAAATGTGTTTGTATGACACCAGTTCCACTTGCATTTTTTTCCCATAGGTTTCCCAGCAGACGTTTACAATCCTTTAGTGATGTTATAGCCAGAATTGTATTAGGTAATAATATAAAATCCCTAAATTTTATGTACAAACCTTCACTGATATTTTTAGTTATCATGAAAGAATCCTTGTATTTATTTCTATTCTAATTCTCCTCATGTCATTGGTATTTTATATGTATTCATTGTAAACATGTGTTGAATGTTCTAAATTTATACAAGCAAAACAATGTACATATTCTAGAGCTTAATATTTTCCCTCTCCCTGTTTTTTTTTCCGTGGCTTTCTCTTGCTTTCACTATTGCAAACTCTGACCCTGAGAGGCAAGAGTCGTGACCATTTAGTAAGATGTATCGTTGAGTATCATAAAATAGTTGGATAGTCTGCTATTTTTTTATAGTAGCAAAAATAGAATGTTCATATGCTTGCCCATGATTTTTATACATTTTTAAATTTGTCTACCACATGCCTAAATTTACCAAATTAAGTCCGTGTATATAAAACATTTGCACAAATGTTACTCAAGTTGTCTGAAATAAAAATACATGTATTTTGCAATTTAGAGCACATGACACTAAAGATGTATAGCTCCGTTAACTCACCTTCTGAACAAATTTCAGCAAGAAATTTCAGAATGAATATAAAAAAGTTAAGAAATATTCTAATATATAGTAGCTGAAAAGTTTACAGAAGTAAAGAAGAAAGACACAAATTAGTAGATTCTGAAGAATTATCTAAACGAACCCATAACTATTCTCTTTATTTTGGATATTCTATTGTTTCCTTATAATTTGTTTATAAGTTTCCTTATAAATAAACAAATTATAAGGAAACAGTGGAATATCCAAAACAGAATATGCAAGCCAATTAACAATCACCATTTTTACCAACAAAAATATTGAAAGTCAGAAAATTGTGGAATATCTTTGAAGTGCTAATAAATGATAACGGCAAATCTAGAATTTTATGTCAATTAGATTTAGAATTCAAGAGCAGATCAAAATAGAGACATCTTCAGACAATCCAAAAACTGAGAGTTTACTACCAAGAATAGTAACTTTTACAGTATGTACCATAGAATAAAGGATAATTAACTGGATGTAAATTCCAAAATATTAGAAGAAGAAAGGATGTGAAAAAACATATATAAGCAGTCACAATTTTATTTAACAAACACACCAACAATATGTGATTTGTGGGAATAAGAAAAACAACATGAATATAAAATAATGAACAATTTGTAGCAAATATTTTTAAATAATTGCAATTAAAGAGCCCTAAGACTTTGTATTGTTTGGGCTTGGTGTTAGTAAACTTTATATTTTATGTTAATAATGTTTATTAGAATATCAAAATTGCCTAGCAAAAGAAAACTGATAATGTGAATAATTTCCAAAATAAAAGAGATAAGTTACAAAAAATGTTAAAGTAAACAAATGCAAAACAAGGCAAAAAAAAAAAAATCAAAGTGAGAAAGACCAGCAAAGTGAATAAAAGGAAGAAAATATGACTTTAAATATAAAAAAATAAATAAATGAAAACCTAAAAAATAACATGCAAGTTGCCAAAAGAAAACGATTTACTTGACTGAATAAAGGTCGTTAAAGGATTTCTTCAGCTGGTGAGCACCAGGCAAACCTGAAGACTAGGTGGTTCCAGACTGAAGTAGGATCAGGCGTCTAACAGAAGTCTGTGGAGTATGCCTGGTTTAGGCTGGACAGATATTTTCTGCTTTAACTGAAGTTGAGTTTAGGTTTTTGGGTTCTTTTCTGTTTGTTTTTGTTTTATCTGTTTATGTTCCACTTTCAGAGTCTCATTATCCATCGGAACAATATTATATGAGAACAATCTTTGCAGCTGATGGGCTAACCACGTTCCCTGGGTGGGGCAGGGGAAGTAGACAAGAATAAGAATGAAGTGGATGTAAAGGAAGAAGGCAAGGGGCGGGGGATTATTACCCTCTAGTATGTTTGTTTTAATCGCTTTACACGGTTACTAGTTTTCAAATTTACTAAATATTTTATATGATTCAAATCATTAACTGAGAAATTTCTTTCAAATTCAGTGCTCTTTGCAGAGTACTGGCTAGATGTTGGAATCCAAAAATGAACTGTGAAAAAAGGCCCGTGTCCTCAGGAACTTATGTTCAGAAGAAATGGAAAAACAAAATTAAATAAGTGGATAAATACATGTGTGTTGTTTTACTAAGACCTTATTTATTAAATATTTTGCTAAGCCTATAATATTAAATCAGCTATTTATATATCTCTATATAACAATGGTTCTAGAGTCAGGAGGTTAACCTTGTGGATTCCTCAGTGACCTTGAGTAATCACTCAACCAAAATACATTTGTATTTAAATACGAACATAAGTTCGAACATTACGTTGTTACCCTAGCCACTTCACAAAATACGTTCGAACACTAGGTTGTTACCCTAGACACTTCACAAAATATTTGAAAAACACATGGATAGACAATTTGATGATTCTATAAATCTGGTAAATGAATTAGAAATATTATAAAAGGTTTTTCTGAGAGGATACCATCGAGCAAAAAGAAAATGACTAGCATTTGACACTATGTAACTTTAAATCTATATTTCAGGGACCTCTGTCACTTTCTTGGGGAATTGAATCACCTATTCCTACTTAGCAGCATGAAAATGAGTTGAATCTCCAGGTTATAGCATTTGAAGGCATGCCTGAGAGGAGCAGATTCAAAAATCAACAGGTGGTTGATGTTTTCTGTGGGGAGCATTCCTGCCTCAGTCCTGCTGCTGTGACCCATTCCTAAACAGCTTTGGGGTCTACAGTCCCCCTTGGTACCTGCTGGGGATTTGTTCCAGGACCACCACCAATCCTACCACCATCATCCCTTCATAGCAAAAGCCAGAGATGCTCAAGTTTCTTATATAAAATGGCCTAGTATTTGCATATAACTTACACAACCCTCTTGTATACTTTCTATCATTTCCAGATTATTACTTACATTAATAATACTGAATACAATATAAATGCTATGCACATAATTGTTATAAGGATTGTTTTTTATTTGCATTGTTTTATTGTTGTATTTCTTTTTAAAAATTATTCTTGGTATTTCTTTTAACAAATATGTTTGATTCATGGTTAGTTAAATCCACCCACAATGGGGGTATGGAGGGTCAGCTGTATTCAGGAATTTGCATTAACAGACTTAAGAGCCTAGTAGATTCTTTGCTTAAATGAACTCTGTGCAGACACAGCATTCAACATTTCTATTTTGATACTTTAAGCAGACTGCAGTGTTTGACAAGCTATTTCAGTAATATGCAATAATCTTTACAAAATAGACATAGATGTTCTGTGACCCCAAATTCTCTGAAACTCTAAACTCAATTATTGAATCTATAGTGGTGTTTCTGATCAGATTACAAGATGAAGGAAGCAATGGAACTTGGCCTAATGTAATGAAAAATATTGCTATCTCTCCACTGATTATTTTGGATGATGGGAGAGCTGTATAGCCATTTAACTAAAGAGGAATCCTTTCAGGAACTACTCTGAAGTACTTTAAGAGATGGAGTTGCTGAAGAAAAAAGATTGAAAACAATTGGCTTAGCTGTTCAGAGCATGGCAAGAATGTAACTATAATCTGTCATTGTGTGGGCAGACAGATGGCCTGAAAATTGAATAAATTGGAAATCACTGGAAGGCAGCTATTTTGTCCTTGAGTGCATTAGGTATCTTGGAAAAATGTTATTAAATGGTGAACAATTGCTATCGAAAAGTTTCTAGTTGTTTGGAACATAGAGTTACATAAAGTCAAGATTCTATTATTATTCTAATAATAGATAAAATCCGAATGTAAAGAAAATGTTTCCTATGAACTATGTAATTTAATTCTTATCAGAGCAATACTTTAAACAATTATTTGATTAGCCTGTGTTTGTGAATGTATATAAAGTAAGCAATAACCTTATTTTCTCCTCTTTGTAATTTAATTCATTAGAAATTGAGAATCTCAGACTTCTCTCCAGCCCTATTAAATCTGCATCTTCATTTCCAGGTCACTCATACACTGTTTAACTTTGAGAAGCACTGTTGTATATTGTCTTGAGAGTCCACACTATGAAATAAATTGGCCCTTATTTACTCCTCAATTGAAATTCTTCAGACTTTCTTAAAGTTTCTAAATAAGTCCCAGTTAGTGGAAATGAACTGATTTTAGTTTAATTTTTTTTTATCATGCATTGCTGTCCAAAAGAAGAAAGCTTATTTCTGCCAACTTCTTCTTATCCTCAACTTCCAACCACTGTCACGTCTGTCTTCTTTCTTTTTAATATTTTCAGGTGAATTAGAGGTTTGTCAACCGTAAGAATGAAATATATGGTTTATGGCCTATTTTTATGTAACTGGTCATTCTGAGATCTGGAAAACACTACCTGTGTTTATCTGCAACTAAAATCTAGACACCTGAGCCTACACTGCATAGCGAAACAGGTCACTAGAAAAACACAAGCAATTTAGAAAGGCTTTTAATATTGAACAGTTGCATTTTGTTTCTATTCATGTCTATCGCTTTCTCTTTTTTATTCTAAATTGCTTTATTATATTCTATATTTAATATTCTATCATTAACATGTCAATGACAGTCAATAATAATTGAGGACTCAGGTTTTGTCAATACACTGATTTATAATTAGTACAATATGTTATGAGTTTCCTTCGCACATTAATATTATCAGCTCTTCATTTTTTGTTGTTCACAATATATCTTCAACTACCTTTTTATTTTTAGGCAATGTACATATTACAATTTAAGAATAACATCTTCTTTGTTAAATATTTATTTCCACCCCTTTTCAGAAAATTAGATGGTTTACATTTATTGTTAGAAATAATATAAAGCTTTTCTGGTTTTGTGCTTCTAAATAATATTATTAATATATTCTTTTGTAATTACAAAAGCTCCTTGTTTTTGTTTTGTAATTCCTTTCTCAATAAAATAGAGCTGCAAATATTTTGTTCCTTTAAATATTTCAAATAAATAATTTTCATTTATAATAAAAAATATAAAATATGCCAAAGAATTTATTATTTCAAAAAATATGTCATTCACCAATTTGCTTTTAGATTTGTGAATACAGTCTCATTTTATTTTAATACTTTAATCATAGATCTTAACTTTTTTATAATTAATTTTAATTTGTATTTAACATGGTAATAATATTTTTACTTAATTTTATATTGTTGGGTTAGTAGTCACTGTTAGTACACATAACTATTTTACTTTTTCAACATGTAATTTTCATTAATCTTATTCAGATAAAGTTCATTTTCACTATTTTTCTTCAATTGGAAATATTTCATATTTTAAAGACTTCCATTCCTAACAAATGTGGAATACAACATTTTTAGCTCAAAATATTTTTCAAAACAAAACAGAATTTTTCCAGTCTTCACATATAAAACTAAAGCAACAAGCTCAAGTCTATCCAGACATTTTATACTTCAGAAACGAAAATACTAATCTTACGTGTTTATGGCGGATGTTTTTCTTATAATTTTAGTTAAAAAATATTTGTAGAAGGTTTTTATAGTAATATAGTCAGAAAATTAGTCTGCATTTTTACCTACAAATTAAGCAGTATTTTAAAAATTAGCTCAGGAAATTTTATTTTATATTGTATTTTAGTCTGTATTTGAATGATATTTAAATTCTTAGATTTTCACTTTAGATGTGGGAACTCAGGTGCTTAATTCTATCCTCTTTAATTTTATATCTGTGATTTCTTCTGCTTTGTTTTCAGTTCTATTTTTTTCCTGCACTGCAAAAGAGTTTCTAAAGGTTGTATTTAATATTACAAGCTTCATTTAGTGCTCTATCATTTGGCATTTACATTTTTACATAGTTTTAAAATTATATATATTTCTTTGTATTTTTTATCTAATTTTATACAATTTTAAAAATCATGCACCTCTAATATCTATTGACTAGGTTTAGCTTTCATTTCAGAGATAACATTAATAGTGAAAAATATTATCTTAAATGCAAAGATATTCATTATTTAAAAATTGATCAATGACATTCATTAAATTATCACAGGGACAAAAACATAAAATGATCATCTGTAGAGATGCAGAAAAATAATTTGACAAAATTCAGCACTGATTTATAAGAATTATCAGCAAAATAAGAACAGAAATGAAAATTGACCAACAACCAGAAATGACAGCAACAACAAAATACCAAGTCAGTAAAGATGGAGAGAAATAGGGAAGCAGTGAAGGTAGATGTCATTTCTGTTTTTAGTGGTGGAGTACAAGGTGTTCTTGTGCTTAAAGGTCATGTTCTTGTGATAAAACGCACTGCAGAGACAACACAGTTTAATTGGCTGAGGCAGGTGACTCCCTTTAAGCATCAGGGTGGAACAAACTACACGACAAAATGTAATTTTAAAGACCACTCTCATTCAAATGTAATAATATCAAAGCACCCTTAACTCATTAATGAGTGAAACAATGAGTGTCATGGTCTGAACTGTGTTCCCCTCCCCAAACCCGTATGTTCAAGCCCTAACCCCTAGTTATACACATAAGGTAAATGAAACCTTATTTGGACACAAAGTTTTTGCAGATGTAATCAAGCTAAAATTATGTCTGTAGGTGGGACTTAAAATAACATGGGCTGTCTTTATAAGAAGAGGGAACAGAAACAGATAGGATGTGGAGAGGACCATGTGAAGAGAGAAGCTGAGACTGAAAAGGATTTATGTATTAATATTGACAGAAGCCAAGGAACACCATCTGAAGTTCTGATGGCAACATCAGAAGCTAAGAGAAAGGCATGGAAAAGATTCTCACCTAGAGCATCCAGAGGAGAGGTTGGTCCTGCAGACACCTTGTTTTCTGACCTCTGACCTCCGCAACTGTGAGGGAAGAAATTTCTGTTGCTTAAAGACACACAGCTTGTGGTACTTCATTATAGCAGCCCAAGGTAACTAATATAGATGACAAAATTGGTTCCAAGGGTGTTTGAGGAACTGGACCTTTATAGGCATTATTTTCATAATACTGCATTAAGCTATGATAACTGGATTAGATTCAAAATTGGATAATGCCCTAAATGCAATAAAGCTATAATTTTGAGATAAAATTTTAATAGCTTTATGAGATATAATTAACATCTGGTATACTGCACATTTTTGAGGTGTGAAATTTTTAAACATTAACATACGTATATACTTGTAAAACTATCACACTAGAAAGAGATCTCAAGCCTCTTCTTTTGACTTTCAACACATTGTCAATCCAGTACTAATCTGGTTTTATTACCATATATTAGCTTTTATTTTCTACAATTATATATCAGTAGAATTATAGAGTATGAATTCTTTTTGTCTTTTTTCCTTAAGCATAATATTTTTGAGATTCAACAATTTCTTGCATGTTGAAGTAGCACTTTTTTATTGTTACATATTATTTCATTTCATAGACATACCACTATAATTTATTTACTAAACTCTTGACCAGAGGTTCTCAAATGAGGGACATTTTACCTGCCAGGGGACATTTCCAATGTTTGGGGACACTTCTGGTTATCAGAGGTTTGTGGAGGAGGGGATAGAGTGTCCACAGGCCAGGGTTCCACAAAGGATAGCTCCCCACAACAAAGAATTAAGCCACTTCAACAGCTAATAGTGCTGAACTTGAGAACGCCGCTCTTGGTGGACAGTTGCATGGTGTCTGTTTTTGACAATAATGAATAAAGGTACTTGTGCAAGCCTTTTTACAGACTTATGCTTTTCTCCCCCCTAGGATAAATGCCTAGGGGTAGAATTGGTACATGTAAGGTAGATTTAGTTATCCAAAGTAGCTGTACTGTGTTACACTCCCACCGTCAATGTATGCAAACTCTAGAGTCTGGTTTCTTGACATCTATGCCAAATATTGGTAACACAATTTTTAAAATAGTAGCTTTTCTAGTAGATGTGTATAATTATCTCATTTTATTTTTTATTACTAACGATATTAAGAAATTTTTCATTTGCTTATTTGCTATTATATCATTTTTGTGTAGCATCTGTTAGTTTTTATAGCTCTCTTGTTTCTATGTTGTACATTATATTTATATATTCTTGCTCTTATTCATAATAAATAGTATATATAATTGTGTAATTAAAAATAAACATTAAAGTATAAATATATTTACACATTTCTGTAGTTTATCATTATATAATTATTGCTTTCTGAATAAAAAGAAATGTATCCACAGTTTGGATAAAAAGAAATGCTTTCATGTAGTTTACTAAGACATTTTCTGTGCTTTATATTTGAAGCCTATGCTTTCACTTTTACACATTGTTCCATAATATATTTTGGACTCCTTTAATTTTGAACTCATTCACGCTTTTGTTGTGAGGAAGGACTTGAGGTTTGTTTTCTTCACATTTATCTCGTAGTTCTGCACACTTTGTTAAATAAAATTATCTTTCCCCTTTGAATAACTGCAGTATCTTTGATATTATATTATTCATATAAGCATGGATCTATTTGTGAACTCTATTCCATTCCATTACTCTAATTGTTTATCCATCTACTAATAACACATTCTCTCGATGACTATAGCTTTAAGTTATTGCATGGTGTTAGGAAGTGTGAGTATTCCAACTTTTTTTTCAGCTTTCTATCATTTGTTTTTGCTCTCTTGATGTACATTTTTAAATCAGTGTGTCAATTTATATAAAAATATCTTTTGTGATTATGGTGAGGATTTCTAGAATGATTAATTTGGAAAAACCAAAACCTTTTACACACTAAAATTCACTGAACTTTCAAGCCATGATTATTGTATTAGTTTGTTCCGGCATTGCTATAGAGAAATACAGAAGATTCAACAATTTATGAAGAAAAGAGGTTTAATTGCCCCACTGTTCTGCAGGCTATACAGGAAGGATGATGCTGGCATCTACTTAGCTTCTGGGAAGACTCAGGAAACGCACAATCATGGCAGAAAGCAAAGGGGGACAGGCACGTCACATGGCCAGAACAGCAAGAGAGTGAAAGGGGAAGCTGCTACACACTTTTAAATGACCAGATCTCATGAGAACTCACTCACTCACTATTATGAGAACAGTATCAAGAGGGATGATGCTGAACCACTCATGAGAAATCCACCCCATGATCCAATCACCTCCCATCAGGCCTCACCTCTAACATTGGAGATTACATCATACCAGATTTGGGCAGGGACACACATCAAAACCATCAATTATTGTATGCGACTCCATTTATTTAGAACTTTCCTACATCTCCCAACACTTTTGCTAGTTTCCTATTTAGAGAGATCTTGCATGTAATTTGTTAAAATCATATATACATATTTTATTTTTATTAGTATTTTACATGGATTTGATTTTTATCATTAATTGCTCATTGGAAATATATAGAAATAAGTTAATGGGTTGACTTATTTTTTCTATGATGTGGCTAAAATTACTAGTTTATTCCAGCAGCTGATTTTTACAGTCACTAGAAGTTTATGTGTAGGTAATGGAGTTGTTTAAAAATTTAGAATTGTATTTTTCATTTCTTAACTGTGTATGTTTTACTTATTTATTTGATTTGTCTCACTGGTTAATTCCTCCCATACAGTAGAGAGAACAATAGTGAAAGAGGACACTTTGTCTTCTTCTGGATCTTAAATGAATAATTTATTAGTTCAAACTTCAGTGTGATATTTCCGTAGATGCCTTCTATTTGCTTAAGGATGCTTCTTTGTATTCTATTGGGGCGAGATATTTTTATTATAATTCTATCTTGAAAATGCCAAATGTTTTTTCTGCCTCAGAGGAAGTTTATATATTTTTTTCATTTTACTCAGTTAATGTGGTGAGTTTGAAAATTCAAATACTTGAAAAATCACGTTCCCATCAAACACTGCTTCTTACTGTCCCTTTCTAAGAGGACTACCTTCAACTTGGGCATTTAGAGGATACTTCCCTTCCTATAGCTCAGGGTTTTTTTGTATTTTTTTTATGTTTAAATTTTAGTGATATTTCTTTTATGTGTTTTTAAAATATTTTATGGGCTACTGCATTGACCCATTTGTTTCAACTTTACAGCTCTAGTTAAATATAAAAATTAATAAAATGTCAACACTCAAGTATTACATATATCCCTTGATCTGGTGATTTAGGACTATGAGAAAAATGCTCAATTTCCCTCGATAGAAGGAAGTATGAACTTTTTTATTTATTTATTACTGTAGTCTCACAGCCTAAAAATCAGTAGGTCTCCACTGGTCAGCAAGCAAATGATCATGATTGTTTTTCTGAATTTTTGACAATTTCAGAATAGGCAAGAAAGCTAAGTTTTAAAAATAAAATGCCAACATCAAGAATTTAAAATCAAATTCGTCACAGTGAATCCCAACAGGAAATAGTTCTTCATTTTATGATTACTCAGAGATTTTGCTTGTTGTAGTGGTCTTCCTTCTGGCTCATAATTTTTTGCTACTCTGCAGCAGAAATAATAAGAAATATTTTCCCAGTCCACAGCGGTGAAGGAGAAGAAAAC
The DNA here is from genome assembly GCF_000001405.40 of Homo sapiens. Classification (NCBI taxonomy): domain Eukaryota; kingdom Metazoa; phylum Chordata; class Mammalia; order Primates; family Hominidae; genus Homo; species Homo sapiens. Next base: position 71,298,117 of record NC_000005.10, on the reverse strand, counting down.
TATAAATCAAAAGTAGCATATTCTGTGGATCATTTATTGAAATAAACACAGTGAGTACAAGATGGGTAATCTATTTGCATAATCAAAGACACCCTTCATCTGTGTCTATTTTTCTCTTTTCTTTTCTTTTCTTTTTTTTTTTTTTTTTTTGAGACAGAGTCTCACTCTGTTACCCAGGTTGGAGTGCAGTGGCATGATCTTGTCTCACTGCAGACTCCGCCTCTCGGGTTCCAGCAATCTTCCTGCCACAGCTTCCTGAGTAGCTGGCATTACAAGGTATGGGCCACCATGCCCGGCTAATTTTTGTATTTTTATTAGAGATGGGGTTTCGCTATGTTGGCCAGACTGGTCTTGAACTCCTGGCCTCAAGTGATCTGCCCGCCTCAGCCTACCAAAGTGCTGGGTTACAGGCATGAGCGACTTGCCTGGCTATGTCTATTTTTAACATAGTTATAGTGAACTATAATTATTTTTACACAAAAACTATTCTTACAAATGTTATATGTATTTTAAGAGCATACAAACTTACAGGTTTTTTTATTTAATAAAAACCAGTGGCAGATTGATAATGCAGAATATATTATTTATAAAAAATCATTTGTTGTCATACAAACATATATTTTATTTGAAAATTATACTTTTGAATAGCTTTTTGGAAAGTTAAAGTATTCTCATTTATTGCATACGTTTGTCACCAAAATTATACGAAAGAGTGTTTGATTCAAAATGTGTGTGTGTGTGTGTTCCTATATAGGACCCAGATAACACATATATATTAAATAAATAAATACATGTATATATATATATCATGCACACACATTTAAATATAATGTAAATGTGTGTGTGTGTGTGTGTGTGTGTGTGTGTATGTGTATGTGTATGTGTATGCAGATGCCCCTCTGGAAACAAATTTAAAAAGAATCCCCTCTTTTGAGTGTATAAAGAAGTTCCTTTCTTAAGGAATGGATAACAGGGGTTGGTACTTTGGCTGAATTCCTCTTCCTCTTACTTTCATTAGACTTGGCACTGTTGCATAGAACACAATTTTCCAAAATGTAATGTCTGTGTTATGCCTACAAATGTACCATACATAACAATTTGTCATTTTCTGTAATTACATACTGACCTATTTAACATTTATCTAACCACTTATATATCTTAATCAAAATAAATCAACCCATGTAAATTGTTTATTTCTATTGTCTTTCTCAGTATAATGCACAAGATACCTTTCTATCTCTATATGTATTTGTCATTTTCATGTCTGTCCCTACATGAGTTGACTCTATTTTTCTGTTACATAGATATGTGATGTTAGTACAATATATGTTAACTAAAAATGGATGATGCAACCTTTTAAAATTATGACCATCGCAGTGAAAATTATGTCTCTAAAACCCAATGACCACAGGGACATTCCAGTTTTTAGAAAAATATCAGGGGCTTAGGTATTTTCAGATTAAATTAGGAAAAATAGAGTATCTTTCCATTTATTTATGTGGGCAAATTTCCCATTTGTTCACATTAAATCTTTTAATGGCATATTGCCTAAATCTTTCTCAGAAAAGCTTAGCCAAATTGCCTAGGATGTTTCCTTTCTCCCATATTACCATCACTGTTTACCATCATATTTCTAATAATTTTAATTTTGGAACATGAAAATGGTATTTCAATTTAAATGCGTATGTTTTTCTATTTGCAAAGAGATTAAACATCTCTTCAAGTTTTTAAACTATATGCAGCCCTTCTTTTCTGCCATACCTGTTCATTTCCTCAAGCTATTTTTCCATCAGACAGTTTCATGTTTTCTCATTGATTTGAAGCTTCTATTAAAGTATTGTATACACATGGGTAAATGCACATAAGTTTAAAGCTTAGTGAGTTTTAAAATACTATGATCATCCAGAATAAGAAAATGTAATAGTCACACACCTGATTTCCACCCATCCCTCCTAACATAACACTATTCTAACTTTTACCAGTAAGGAATCAAATAGTGTGTGTAGTGTTTTGAACCACATTTTTTTGCTTAATATTATATTTGTGAGACGAATTGACTATATGACCTGCAAATGAAACTATTTATATTTATTTCTCTAATATTTTATTAGGTGATCATATTACAACTTATTTGTTTACTGTACTCTTTATAAGTATTTTAGTCCACTTTTGGGCCACAGTTTGGGGTTATTTTGGTGTTATTCTGAAAAGTGTTTTCATGAGTACACATTTTTTTTTAGCTATATATATGCATGCATTTCTGGAGAAACCATCTTTACAAGTAGAATTTTGGGGCCTAATACATATCTTTATCCAAATTATTTGAACTAAGTTATGCCAATAACATCAATTTGAGTGTTCTAATTAGTCAACATTCTCATCAATACTTTGCACTTTCTCTTCAACTTAGAATTCTAAAATATTCCTTTCAAATTCAGGATTCTGAATGACAAGTACTTACATCTCATTGTGGTTTGAATTATTTTTTCAGGTAACCAATATAAATAAAAACCTTTTAATAAGTTCATTGGTTATTTGAATATTTTATTTTTGAAGTGTCTAAGATATTTTCTTTCTAATCCAGTCCAGTTATTTTTCTGTGGTTTGCTTCTTGTTGTCTTATTGAGTTCATTGCCTTTTTAATATTCTTTTCCGGTTAACATTTCCCCCTCATTGATCTGAAATGTTTTCATTATATACCACCTTTCCATATCTGTCAATGTCTTGATTTTCTATATGATCTTCATCTATCTGTAGTTATAACTCATTTTAATCATAGAAGCTTTAAGAATTGCTTAATATTTTGTATTGACTCCAAATTCCATTGATTTTATAGGATATTTCTAGCTATTCTTGCTTCTTTATTCCTCCAAGTAAATTTGTCTATTTTTCTAAATCTGGAAAAAGAAATTCTAGAAAATGTCGTTTTGTTATGACACAGAAGATATAAGTTTATTTAAAGAACTGGCACATTTATGATTTTAAGGCTTTTTCAAGAGCATGGAATTTCTTTCCCCGTGCTCAAGTCCAAATTTGTGCCATTCAGAAGTGTTTTCTAGTTTTTTTTATATATAGGTTTTAAACATTTCTGGTTAAGTTTATGCCCTCACATTTTATTTTAGTTTGGTTAATGACGTTTTACATGTGTGAGTTCCCTCAATTATTTGTTTTAAATGTTCTGATTCAATAGGAACACTCTCCTTAGTATCCTTAACAGAAATGATTCTTGTTTATAGAATTGCTAAATAAGTAAAGAAATTTTAAGTTAAATCATGGCAAGGAGTTATAATTATACTAAGCTTTTTTGTTCCTAGAGGTTTTGGCTCACTCGTATGGTAATCTATATGAAAATTTTTCTGTGATATCTAATATTAGAAAGATCCTCAGTGATAGAATAGTGTTTCTTCCTAGCTGATTCATACATCTTTCTCTGCCAACATTTTGTTTGTTGAAGTGTTCCCCAACATATGACTCATTGCTTACTAAATCCCTATTGAGCAGCCAAAGCCCTGGTGACTAATTATGTCATTAATTTGGGAAAGTCAGAGACAATAAGACTGTCAGTTGAAACTTTGTAGGAGGTAAAAAAGTCACTGCTGTCAGCTGCAAAGATCCTTAAAACGGTCTTCAGTAAAGTCAAATTTTGTGACAAGAATTATTGCATCAAAGTCGGGGAAATACCTCTTAGATCAAATAAGATACATTGAAAAGCCAAAAATTATTTTTATCTCACTTTGGGTTCTCATAAGGTCTACCCACTGTTACTTGGATATGAGACTTAACAAATGGAAAAGAAGACAGGGGTACTGTCACACTGTATTTTCCTATGGCCTAATGACCACAATGGTTGATGAACTGCAGTAAAGTTTCTATAATATTTTCCATCTATTCATTTGCTCAATCACCTTGTAATGGTTATGTTGGTTAATTCCAGTCTTTCATGGGTAAGCAACAAAATGAGACTTAATTTGAAATATCCAGTATTTTTCTATTCTTACAAATAATTTTCAGGATCAATGCACTGAGGATTAGGAATGGCAATGTGTATTACTACTTTGATACCAACTATATCCAATCTAATGTTGGAATTTGTTTGACAAAGTGTTGTGTATTTGAAAACAGGCAGCACTGAATAAAAAGAATATGGGCAAAAGAAAAATGGAAGTGTTTTGAATGGAAGTCTAAAATATTTATTGATCAATGCTGAACTGAGTAAGCAGGAGATGCCTGTACATAAATGACATTATCCTGATCTAGTAACAGGGAGAAGCAGAATATCTGAAAGCTGTTTATTAATTTGATAATAATAAGATTAGAAACATGCAAATCAAGATTAATAGTATTCACTTCTAATTGGGTTTAGGTAGACTTTGACTATTTTGCTTCTGATGTTCTTATATTTTTAATTTTCTATAATGATCATATAACATATAATATTTTCATAATATTAAACATTTTAGAATTAAACTCCATTAGAGTGTATCTTTCCTAAAATAATATAAACATCCAATCTTGTCCTTAACAATTCTGTTCTCAAACATTAGCCTATTCCCTCAAGCCAGTGTTGCTTTCGACCCATATTGTCCATCATTTCAATTTATCTCAAAGTTTTTTATTGCAACAATTAAATGCTTTGAATGATACCCAAGGCATAGTTCTATTTCAACAAAATTTCAAAGTTAATAGTTACATCAAATTTTGTTGGTGCTCATTGAATTTGGTTATTAAAACCATAAGTAGTATGTTTTATGCTGACTGAGGGAGATAAAAGTAGTAATGTTTAATATTCAAACTGTGATGACTGAAAAAAAAATGAGGCCTGTAAAATCTTATTTAACGTCAAATTTTAATTAAACAGGCTTAGCAGACCAAAATTAAAATCTCAATTATTTTTAAATTATTAATGACAGACAACTAGATTGAGTGAACACTGGCATCTCTTTTCAAATAACTTAGTTTAGTGGATGAGTTAAACATAAACTAGTTATTATAATGCAGCGAAGTATGTGAAAAATTTAATTTGAACCCTACTTAGCTTAAAATCCTGACATTCTAGGATGCAAGTCCTGCAAACTTTCCATATGTAATCAACAATTTTCTAAACATGCATGCTGTATCTCTCCTGTGTGACTTTGCATACATCATTCCCACATTCTAGATCATCCCGACCCACCTTAAGTGACTGCTTTTGCATAATCTCCCTTAAAATTCTAACTCAAGCACTGCATCTTTTGAGTCCTTCCCTAACATCTTAACATCTTCCTTCTTTCATTCATCATTAACTATAGTTAGTTATTATAGCACCTGTTAGCACTGTAAAATTATGTGTGTTACACAAGTACAACATGCAGACTAAGGTCGTGTATTACCTAGCCTCATACCAGCGTCACCTAGAACAGCAAAAATGTATGCAGATTAATCACAATATATTTGGATGTACAAAATATATTGAGAGCAAAATATGATGGAAATTTAGGTGATGCTCTTTGAGCATTGCTTCCATTTTCCAATAATGTAACCAGGAATCACTGTTCATGTAATTAAAGAACAATAAGTCTATGTGAATCAAAATATACATATACATGCAAATGTTAAACCTCAGCAGGAAGAGGCCCATTCTCTTGCTTGCTGATATATATATATATATATATATATATACACACACACACACACACACACACACACATATATGTATGTTGTGTGTATATGTATATACACACAACAATCTATAGGCTTGCCTTTTAAAATAGTATAAGCAACAAATTTTAAGAGAAACAATAATGAGTGTGTAAAACATTAGATATGTGTATGTACCTTTGCTATTATTTGTGGAAATGGGGCTATAAAATAAGCTCCTTTATTTTCTTTTGTAAAACATTTCTTTAATATGAAGTAATGCAATACGTATTTATGTTCTAAGTGTTAATTTCCTTGGATATAAAATAATATCTTGTTCCTTTGATTCTCTTACATATAAGTGTATTTACTCAGATATTACTCCAAATACACCAGATATATTCAAAGTTGAAAAAAAATATACTTTGGAATGTATTATCACCTTATTTCACATGAAGAAATCAAAATCTCTGGCATCCAAGTGCATTCCAGCCTGAAAAAAATTATGCAATTGTGAATTTAACAGAAAGCAAATTGCTCACATATGGAGTCAACGTGAAGCTATATCAATATTTATTAAAAGTTTATATATTACTTTTGATCCCCTGGAGAGAAATACAAAATTCAAATAATTATTCTATTTTTATATCCCAATTTGTAATTATGAAACTCTAGCATTTTAATTTTTCTCTTTCAAGTTTACCTGAAGCTTCACAAAATTCTGTGAGGAATCTATTATAACAGGTATTTTGCTTATTTCCACACAAACAGAAGGAAATGTGTATTTTCTATGCCCTGAAGAATTTACTCTTTTCTGTAAATGACATATGGTAGTTAATTCTTTTTGGTAATAAAATATTCCTGTTTTTAGGCCGAACAGCCTTTTCTTTAAATTCAGGGCAACATATCAAAGCTTTGCCGTAATAATACAGAGTAATCGACTAAAGTAATATAGAATTTAAATAACAAAGAGTTTAAACAATTTAATATGTCTTCTATTAATTTCAAACTGAAATTTTACAGAAATTATTTGGAATATGCTGCCAGAGTACACACACACACACACACACACACACACACACACACACCACACGCTCACATCACACACTCACACCCAGCTAAAGGAAATTACCACAGCTATAATGATTTCATTAAATATCTGAAATTAAAGTTTCTTTTGGATTTTCAGCTGAAGCTCATAGTAAATAAAAGTAATATGATCATTGTTGCATACTGTGAATCAACAGCACCCAGAAACCTTCGACTTTCTATATTTACACAGCTTAATTATCCGAACTGAAACCTGAGGCCATCTGTGTCAACATGATTTCACAATTCATTTTTCAGGAAAGTAAGGCTGCAAACCAATAAATAACTTATTGTTTGCTTCAGGAAATTTCTGCAAATCAATTTATGTCAGTAAGCAACTCTCCTCTGGGCCAACAGATTGCTCACCTGGGCAGGTAGCAGCTTGTGTCAATTAACAGTTTACTTATGAAGACTTCTGTCATGGCCCTTAACTCACAGTGTCCCCCAATCCTAAACTCTATGTCCTGAACATTACCTATTCTTATCAGTCATTGGTCTTGAAAGGCCCCGGGCAACCATTTGAGCCCAGACTTCAATACTCTATCAATACCACCTTATCATCTACTTTTCTAACATGACCCCTCAAGGTGGTGACCCCACTTACAGTCGTCTTTTATTGAATTTAGCTTTCCCTAATCAACATGCTAGTCTATTGGATGCAGTGTCGGAGGCAAAAATCACAGAGGTTCTGAAAGCATCAGCCCATGGTTTTCTAAACATCATGGTTCAAGACCCTTAACACGAAACAGAAAGTTTCCCCGAGGCGCCGTAAACAACCCATTTGGGCGCTTCCCTGATAATTATAGTGAAATCTGGCATCTAATTTTTTTTGGTGGACTCTCAAATTTTATATTTATGTTTTGATTCCTAGAAATAAAAAATGTTTTTATAAGGAATTCTTTGATCGTTTATGTTTTATTCTTGATAGAAACCTACTACTTTATAACTTCGTTTATGTTTTACTCTTGATAGAAACCTACTACTTTATAACTTCGAACATTATTGATGTTCTTCCTGTATTTCTGAGAGGTGACAGCTTGCTGGCATCCCTCGCTGGCTCTCGGCGCCTCCTCGGCCTCAGCCCACTCTGGCCGCGCTTGAGGAGCCCTTCAGCCCGCAGCTGCACCGTGGGAGCCCCTCTCTGTGCTGGCTGAGGCCTGAGCGGGCTCCCTCTGCTGGCGGGGAGGTGTGGAGGGAGAGGCGCGGGCCGGAACCTGGGCTGCCTGCGGTGCTCGCAGGTCCAGCGCGACTTCCGGGTGGGCGCGGGCTCAGCGCGACTTCCGGGTGGGCGCGGGCTCGGCGCGCCCCGCACTCTTGAGCGGTCGGCTGGCGCCGCCGGCCCTGGGCAGTGAGAGGCTTAGCACCCGGGCCAGCAGCTGCGGAGGGTGCACTGGGTCCTCCAACAGTGATGGCCCGCCGGCGCCGCGCTCGAATTTTCGCTGGGCCTCAGCCACCTCCCCGCGGGGCAAGGGGGCAGGGCTCGGGACCTGCAGCCTGCCATGCTGGAGCCCTCACCCTCCTCCCCGCCCCCGTCCCCTGCCCCCCGCCCCCCGCCCCCCGCCCCCCAACCGCAGGCTCCCGCGCGCCACCCCGAGGGGACGGGCGCCACCTCCTGCTACGCGGCACCCGGTCCCGTCAACCGCCCAACGGCTGAGGAGTGCGGCAGCGCGCCAGAGACTGGCGGGCAGCTCCGCCCGCGGCCGGGATGCACTAGGCAAAGCCAGCTGGGCTCCTGAGTCCGGTGGGTACTTGGAGAACTTACTACGTCTAGCTGGAGGATTGTAAATGCACCAATCAGCATGCTGTGTCTAGCTCAAGGTATGTGAACGCACTAATCAGTGCTCTGTGTCTAGCTAATCTGGTGGGGACTTGGAGAACTTTTGTGTCTAGCTAAAGGATTGTAAACAGACCAAGCAGCTCTCTGTAAAATGAACCCATCAGCTCTCTATGAAATGGACCGATCATCAGGATGTGGGTGGGGTGAGATAAGGGAATAAAAGCAGCTGCCAGAGCCAGCAACAGCAACGTGCTAGGGTCCCTTTCCACAGTGTGGAGGCTTTGTTCTTTTGCTCTTTGCAGTCTTGCTGCTGCTCACTGTTTGGCTCTGCGCAGAGCTGTAACACTCACCAAGAAGGTCTGCAGCTTCACCCAAAGATATTCCAAAGATACAGAAAACTATATAGAGACATTTTGTATAGTTCTAATAGCATATAATCCACAGGTCCCTGATCTATAATATGGGTTTTTTATAAAATTGTTTTTTTGTATGCTATGAGGAATTTTACTTGTTAAAAAGAAGAGGTGGAAAGGCAGAATATGAAAACTATGAAAATGACATAAGAGACTATGAATTAGGTGAGAAACCAGAGAGGTTTAGAAACCTGTAGACATTGTGCATCCCCCAATGCCTTTCCCCTTAAAAAAATATTATATTCTAGTCCAGTCCATCAAATAAAGTCTACATTCATTAGAAACATATTCTCTTGGTTTTTATAATTTCAGTTTTTTCCAGACACAGTGCATATGCAGATTTGTTACTTTTGTACAGTGCACCCTGGTAGTGAGCATAGTACCCAGTAGGTAGTTATTCAGCCCATGCTCCCCTCTCTCCCCCACCCCCATAGCCTGCAGCATGTCTTGTTCCCATGTTAATGTTCCTGTGTGCTCAGTGTTTAGGTTCCACTTATAAGTGAGAATGTGTGGTATCTGGTTTTCTTTTCCAGCACTAATTTGCTTAGGATTATGTCCTTAGCTCCATCCATGTTGCTGCAAAGGACATAATTTCATTCTTTTTTATGGAGGCATAGTATTCCATAGTGTATATGTACCACATTTTCTTTATCCAATCCACCTTTGATGGGCACCTAGGTTCATTCCATGTCTGTGCTATTGTGAATAACATGCTGATGAACGTACGAGTGCATATATATTTTTCTGGTAGAATAATTTATTTTCCTTTGAATATATACCCAGTAATGGGAATGCTGGGTCGAAGGGTATCTCTGTTTTAAGTTCTTAGAGAAATCTCCAAAATACTTTCCACAGTACCTGAACCAGTTTACATTTCCATCAACAGTAGTGTATAAGCATTCCCTTTACTCTGCAGCCTGGCCAACATCTAATTTTTTTACTTTTTAATTATAGCTGTTGTGACTGATGTGAGATGGCATCTTACTGTGGTTTTTGCTTGCATTTATTTATTTGATGATTAGTAAGGATGAGTGTTTTTTCATATACTTGAGTGTCTTCTTTTGAGAAAATATCTGTTCATGTCCTTTGCCTTTTCTTGATTTAAATTTTAAGTTCTGGGGTACATGTGCAGGAAGCGCAGTTTTGTTACATAGATAAACGTGTGTGGTGGTGGTTTGCTGCACCTATCAACCCATCACCTAGGTATTAAGCCCAGCATGCATTAGCTATTTTTCCTGATGCTCTCCCTCTCCTCAACCCCCTACAGAAAATTATAGTGTGTGTTGTGTGTTGTTCCCCATTGTGTGTTGTTCCCCTCCCTGTGTCCATGTGTTCCCATTGTTCAGCTCCCACTTATAAGTGAGAAGATGCGGAGTTTGATTTTCTGCTCCTGTATTAGCTTTGCCCTTTTTAACTGGGGTTGTTTTATGCTTGTCATTTTTTCTTCCTTATGGATTTGTTATATTAGATCTTTATCAGATGCATAGTTTGCAAATATTTTCTCCCATTCTGTAAGTTGTCTGTTTACTCTGTGGATAGTTTCTATTGCTGTGCAGAAGCTTTTTAGTTTGATTGACTTTCACTTGTCAATTTCGTTTTTGTTGCAATTGTTTTTAGAAACTTAGCCAAAAATTATTTGCCAAGGCCAATGTCGAGAAAAATATTTCCTAGGTTTTGTTTTAGAGTTTTCATAATCTGAAGTCTTACATTTTAACCTTTAATCCATCTTGAATTAATTTGTGTGTATGGTGGAAGGTAAGCATCCAGTTTCACTCTTCTGCTTATGGCTAGCGAATTATCCCAGCACCATTTATTGAATAGGGTGCCTTTTCCCCATTGTTTGTTTTTGTTGGCCTTGTCCACGATCCAGATGGTGGTAAGTGTGCAGCTTTATTTTTGAGTGTTCTATTCTGTTCCATTGGCTTAAGTGTCTGCTTTTGTAACAGTATCATGGTTAGTGTACACTTATAGTATAGCTGGAAATTGGGTAGTATGACGCCTCTCTGGCTTTATTATTTTTGCTCAGAATTGCTTTGGCCATTCTGGCTTTTGGGGGTGTTCCATATAAATTTAGAATAGTTTTTTCTAATTCTGTGAAGAATGATGTTGGTAGTTTCATGGAGATAGCCTTGAATCTACAAGTTGCTTTGGGCAGTGTGGCCATTTTAACAATATTGATTCTTTTAATCTGTAAACATGGAATGTTATTCCATTTATTTGTGTTATCAAAATCTCCTTCCTTCCTTCCTTCCTTCCTTCCTTCCTTCCTTCCTTCCTTCCTTCCTTCCTTCCCTCCCTCCCTCCCTCCCTCCCTCCCTCCCTTCCTCCCTCCCTTCCATCCTTCCTTCCTTTTCTTATTTCCTTCCTTTTTTGAGACAGAGTCTCACCCTTTCACCCAGGCTGGAATGCAGTGGAGTCATTATAGCTCACTGCAGGCTTGAACTCCTGGCCTCAAGCCGTCAGGGTAGTTAGGACTACAGGCATGTGCCACCATGCCTCGCTATTTAAAAAAAAAAAAAAAATTTGTATAGATGAGGTTCCACTATGTTGCCTAGGTTGGTCTCAAACTCCTGGGTCCAAGCGATATACCTGCCTCGGCCTCCCAAAGGCATGAACCACTGCATCCAGCTTCAGATTTCAGCTGTGTTTTGTAATTCTCCTTGTGGAGATCGTTCACATCTTAGGTTAGTTGTATTTGCAGGGATTTTATTTTCATCCTAGGTGTTGTAAATATGATTGTGTTCTTAATTTAACTCTCAACCTGGATGTTGTTGTTGTATAGAAATGCTACTAATTGTTGTACATTGATTTTGTATCCTGAAACCTTGCTAAAATCCTTTATCATTTCTAGTAGACTTCTGTTGAAGTCTTTAAGGTTTTTTAGGTATAGAATGATATTGTTGGGTGAAGACAGATAGTTTGCCTTAATCTTCACTTCCTATTTGGGTGCTTTTCTCTTTTTCTGTTGCAAGATTGCTCTGACTAGGATTTCTGGTACTATGTTGAATAGGAGTGGTAAGAGTGGATGTCCTTGGCTTGTTTCATTTCTAAAGGAGAATGCTTTCAGCTTTTGCCCATTGAGTATTATATTGGCTGTGGGTTTGTTGTAGATAGCTCTTTTTTATTTTGAAGTATGCTTATTTGAAGCCTCAACTGTTGAGGGTTTTTTTTTGTTTTGTTTTTTCATGAAGGGACACTGGATTTAATTGAAAGCTTTTCCGGCATCCATTGAGATGATCATATGGTTTTTGATTTAATTCTGTTTATCTGGTGAATCACATTTATTGATTTGCATATGTTGAACCAGCCATGCATCCCAGGAATAAAGCCTGTATTGTCATAGTAGATTAATTTTTTGATATGCTGCTGATGGATTCAGTTTGCTAGTACTTTGTTGAGAATTTTTGAGTCTATGTTCGTCAACAGTGGTCACCTGAATGTTCTTTTTTTTTTGCGTCTCTGCCAGGTTTTGGTATTAAGCTGCTTCTGGCTTCACAGCGTGAGTTAGGAAGGAGTACGTTCTCTTCAACTTTTCTGGAATAGTTTCAGTAGAATTGTACTAGTTCTTCGTTATACTTCCGGTAGAATTTTGCTGTGAATCCATATAGTCCAGGGCTTTTTGGCTTGGTAGATTTTTTATTACTTATTCAATTTCAGAGCTTCATATTGGTCTCTTCAGTATTTCAGTATCTTCCTGATTCAATCTTGGAAGATTGCCTGTTTTCAGAAATTTATCCATTTCCTCTAGATTTTCTAATTTTTGTGTCTAGAGTTATTCCTAGTATTCTCTGAGGATTATTTTGTATGTCTGTGGGACCATTTTTAATGTCGTTTTTGTCATTCTGATTTATATATTTAGATCTTCTCTTTTTTTTCTTTGTTTATCTAGCTAAAGGTCTATCAATCTCTTTTTTTAAATCAACTCTTGGTTTCATTAATCTTTTGTATGGATTTTTGCATCTCAATTTCATTCAGATCTTCTCTATTTTAGTTGTTTCTTTTCATTCCTAGCGTTGATGTAGGGTTGTTCTTTTTTTTTTCTTCCCTAGTTCCTTTAGGTGTAGTGTTAGATTGTTAATTTGAAGTATTTCTAACTTTATGATAAAGGCATTTAAACGTTCCTCTTAACACTGATTTAGCTGCATCCCAGAGATTTTGGTAATTTGTGTTCCCATTTTCATTAATTTCACTTTCTTAAAATTTCTCCCTTAATTTTGATTTTCACACAGAAGTTATTCAGGAGAAAGTTGTTTAATTTTCATCTATTTGTGTAGTGTTGAGAGATGTTGATATTTATTTATATTTTGATTACATTGAGATCTAAGAGTGTGCTTGATATGATTTCATTTTTTAAAATTTATCCAGACTTGCTTTATGACCAAGCATGTGGTCAATGTTAGAATATGTTCCCTGTGCAGATGAGAAGAATGTATATTCTGTGGTTATTGAGTGGAGTGTTCTGTAGATGTCTTATTAGGTCCAAATGGTCAAGTGTGAAGTTTAAGTACACAGTTTCTTTCTTGGTTATCTGCTTTGATGATCCAGTGCTGCCAGCGGGGGTGTTGAAGTCTCCTACAGTTATTGGGTGGTCGTCTGTCTTTTTGTAGTCCAAAAAGAACTTGTTTTATGAATCTGGGTGCTCCATGTTGGGTGCATTTATATTTAGGGTACTTAAGTATTCTTGTTTGATCATATACTTTCTCATGACGTAATGCTCTTCATTCTTCAATTGTTCTTTTTAATTTTGATTAAAGTCTGTTTTATCTGATATAAGAATAGTTACTCCTGCTTTTTTGTTATCATTTGCATGGCAGATTTTCTCCATCCCCTTATTTTGGGCCAGTGGCTGTCATTACATATGAGATGAGTCTCTTGAAGACTACAGATGGTGAGCCTTGCATTTTTATCCAGTTTGCCATTGTATGTCATTTAAGTGGGGGTGTTTAGCCTATTTACATTTATGGTTAATGTTGATACATGAGATTTTGATCCTATCATCACGTTTGTAGCTGGTTTTTAGGTAGACTTGATTGTGTAGATACTTTATAGTGCCTGTGAGCTATGTACTTAAGTGGGCTTTTGTGGTAGCAGGTGTCATTCTTTTTACTCAATGTATAGCACTCCCTTAAGGACCTTTCATAAGGCTGGTCAAGTTGAAATTGATTCCCTCAGTATTTGCTTATCTGAGGAGAAATTTGTTTCTTCTTCACTTAGGAAGTTTAGTTTAGTGAAATATAAAATTATTGCCTGGAATTTATTTTCATTAATGATGTTGGACATAGGCCCTTAATCTCTTCTGGCTTGTAAGGTTTTTGCTGAGATATTTACTACTAGCCTAGTGGAGTTCTTGCTTTATGAAAACATGACCTTTCTCTCTAGCTGCCTTTAAGATTTTTTTTTTCTTTTGTATTTACTTTGGTGAATATGATGACTGTGTGCCTTAGGGATAGTCACCTTTTATAGTGCCTAGCTGGGTTTGCTGTATTTTTTGGATTTACATGTCACTCTCTCTAGCGAGGTTAGGAAAATTTTCATAGACTCTATTCTCAAATCTATTTTCCAAGTTGCCTTTTCTCTTTGTTTCTCTTCTAGGAATGACAATGAGTCGTAGATTTGGTCTCTTTATATAATTCCATATTTCTTAAAGCTTTGGTTCATTTTCTTTTTTTAATTCTTTTTTAAAATTTTCTTTTGACTCAGTTGATTCAACGAACCAGTCTTTGAGCTCTGAGATTCTTTCCTTAGCTTGGCCTACCTTCTGTTAATATTTCTTATTGTATTATAAAATTCTTATACTGAATTTTTTCTGCTCTAGAAATTCAGTGTGGCTGTTGTTTAAAATGGCAATTTCATCTTTCAGCACTTACTTAAATTGCTTTACTGGATTACTTGGCTAGGGTTTCAACTTTCTCCTTAATGTTCATGAGCTTCCCTGCCATCGAGGTTCTGTATTCTATGTCTGTTGCAATTATTTTAGACTGATTAAGAACCATTGCTTGGTAGCTAGTGGGCTAATTTTGAGGTAAGAGGACACTCTAGCTTTTTGAATTGCCAGAGTTCTTGCACTGATTTTTTCTCTTCTGGTAGGGTTAGTGTTCCTTTAACTGTAGTGTATGTTGAGTATAGGCAATTGGTTTTGTTTCTGGATGCTTTCAAAGGGTCAGGGCTTTCTCTGTCCAGGATTTTTATGTATGAGTAATTCTGGTGTTTGGTTTCACAGGTGTATATGTAGCAGGATAAATTTTGATGTTGTAGTTTGGGATGTGATCCAATGCATAGTGCTTAAGAGTGATGGCCAGTGGCTAGCCTAATACCCAGTGGCATGGCTGTTTTATACTTCCTTTTGTTTGCAGGTGTGCTCTATAGTGGGGGTGGGAGAGATGCCTCCATCACCAGATGTGCTCCTGGGCCCTGGGGGAGTCTCCTGCAATCACTGTGTTTCTTGTGTTAGGTGTTCTAGGCCACAGGTCTCTCTCAGGCAGAGGCCCTTTCCTAGGAGCCATTCTGGGGAACTAGCTGTAGTGTTTGGGTTCCCTGCACAGGCTTCCTCCCTCTTCAGCTCAGCTTCATTGCTGCCTCTGCATCCACTCAGCATTTTCTCTCTCAAGATCTGCCTAAATTACGGTGGTTTACTCCATAATTTGGTATCTCTCAGTGGGGGTGGTGCTTCCTGACAATGTCAAATTGACCATGTATTGTCACAGAATGAAAACCTTTTGATAGACTTTGTAACATTTTTGAATATTACATTCAGGAGTAAAATCTTACGCAGTGTGATCCCAGCTTTCTCTTCACTTTTGAGAATAACCTTAAGTAATTAAAGGATAATTAAATATGTAATTAAAAATTGAAAAATATAACAGCTACACTTCCAGATGTTAGCTTCTTTCAGAAAATTTTAAAATCTCTTTAAAGAAAGGTAAATTGAGACCAAAATAGATTAATAGCTTTATAAAAATAAGTGCTCAAGGAGGGTGTTACATGTGAAAATTAAACTTGGAATTTGTCATTTTACCCGTAAAATTACTGAGAGTAATTTCCTTGAAATGGAAATAACTTTACAAATTTTTAATTAACAAAAATGCTAAAATATTACTCCGCTTACCTTTATGTAACCTCTTCCTTGAAAACAACAATTTACTCATCTGGTGTGTGACTCTGATAACCTTCAATCATTCTCTATATCTGACACCATGACTAGTAACTTAGATCTTTAACTAAGCAACCTTTCTTTCCACCTTTGTGATATTATATCTAGTAATTTAATAACAGACAATCTATGTTGCAAATTAAACTTCCAAATTGAATAGTAATTTTCAAATCCCAAGGACCCATTTCTTCTGCCTCAATCTTAATTAGGTCTTAGTTAATAGAAAAATTAACTGGCTGGGTGCGGTGGCTCATGCCTGTAATCCCAGCACTTTGGGAGGCCAAGGTGGGCGGATCACCTGAGGTCTGAAGTTCGAGACCATCCTGGCCAACATGGTGAAACCCCATGTGTACTAAGAACACAAAAAATTGGCCGGGTATGGTGGTGGGTGCCTGTAATCCCAGCTACTCAGGAGGCTAAGGCAGGAGAATCACTTGAACTGGCGGGGTGGAGGATGCAGTGAACCGAGATCCCAGCACTGCGCTGCAGCCTGGGCAGCAACAGTGAAACTCCTCAGAAAAAAAAAAAAAAAAAAAGAAAAAGAAAAAGAAAAAAGAAAATTAACTAAATCAAGCCTAAATAAAACATATTCACAAAGTGGCAGACTTTTTTAATCCAAAAATTTAACTGTATTAATGTCTCATTTGTAGAACATTATTTTACAATGAGGTTTTACACATCAATCAGTTGAGTCACTTCTTTTTTTTTTTGAGATGGAGTCTCGCTCTGTTGCCCAGGCTGGAGTGCAGTGGTGTGACCTCAGCTCACTGCAGCCTCCACCTCCTGGGTTCAAGCGATTCTCCTGCCTCAGCATCCTGAGTACAGGCACTACAGGCACGTGAGCAAGAGAAGCTGACAGATTCAAATGTTCACAAACATTTATGTTCTATTTTGATAGATACATAAACTATGTTTCTCATTCTTATATACTTTATATTAGGGCATGGGATTAAAGTCAAAATAGTGGAAAATTAGTAGAAATAACATATTTTATATCCAATTTAGTCTCCAAAATCCCAACATGCACTCTTCTGTATACGTTTTTCAGTATGCTTGACTGGAACGGCCAATTCTACAGTAGTCTTGGAAGCAACATACTGCAGATTAAATACCTTAGTAGCCTATGTTCTTGAATGCGGACATAAAGGAGCAATGCTTTTCCTATCTTAAAAAAACAGTTTATATGAATGAAACTTCTGTTCTGTTTAAGATATTATATGTTGTTGAGTGTAGTTGTCAAAGCAACTAGCACGATTCCAAGTAATATAGAAATCACCAGCTTGAGTTGGGTCTGCCATAACAGCACCTAAAACGTATCCACTAAATTAGTATTAAATGGACAAGTAAACCAAACTCAGAGGGTTGAAATGAAGACTTGTAATACCCAGTGAAAAAAAATTATTGAAACTACCATCTAAAATTAATTGGAAGCTTAATATTACCTCTAGGAAAGAGTGTGGGAAATGAGGAAAGGCAAAAGGTAATGTGTTCATGTTTGTTCTGTTCCATAATCCAAGAAATAGATAAACACAGGCAAAAAAAAAAAAAAAAAAAAAAGAAAAAAGAAATATCCTGTCTTTAGAGTGGAAAGAAAGTGGATAGAGTTGAGTTGCTAAACCTTAGCATTATTGACATTTTATGCCTGATATTCCTGCATTCTGTGGGAGGTTATTCTTTGCATTGTAGGATATTAATAGTATCTTTAGGCTATACCACCACATACCAGTAGCATCACCACCTAATCATTATAATTCAAAATGTCTCCAGACACTGACAAGTGTTCTATGGAAACAAAGTCATTCCTTGTTGGAAACCACTTGTAAACAAAAAGTCTAGTAATGGTGGAATTATACAGTGACAGAAAAGCTCAGGTTTTTCTGATTAGGTTGAAAAAGCTGCTCAGAAATTAAATCCTACTGTGTTCATAAAAAACAAGGAACCCAGCCCTGAAGCAAAGAACTCATCAGGGAAGTTGTTTTCTCTTTCAAGTCCATGATTTCAAATGACCTTAAAGTAGTCATCTTTACAGTCAGAGAAGCATATGTGTGTTGGGGAGGAGAAAAAAGAAGGAAATGAGGCAGACTTTAGAATTATACCTAGGAAAGAACTGTATGTTTGGTTATAAACTAGATCCAATAAATAAATAAATGGTTTCCACATAACTACTTGGCAAAGGTACAATAAGCCTATTGTGAGAAAAAAAAATTAAGGCTTAAAATATCCTCAAGCATCCCAAATTGCACTAATCAGTGCAATTGATGAGTCATGCTGAGAAAACACTCATTGTTCTAATTTAAGATGGAGGCATGGAGAATAAGAGAAAATGTAAATTACCTCAGAAAGTAAATCTATGAGCCACAGGGACAATGGACCTTAAAGTTATTTCCACAGGACATGTTTATGGTTTCATCAAATAAATATTTGTACTGCTCAGAAATATTTTTGTCAGTGCTCTGCAGACTTCTTTGTCTTCTGATAGGAGCTTCACCATGGTAACTTAGATTTTACAGATAATTTGTCTTTTGACTTTATAGGACACTAGTCCTCGTTAAGTCATATAGTGGCCTGAGGGAGAGAACTGCACGTCATGAAACATCCTGAACTCTAAGTTGTAGGCAGTAACTGGGCAAAACTTTAAGTTGTTTACAGAGGGAAGAGAAGTGAATTTTTCATATATAAAGAAGTGTGCAAATTGTATTTCATGAGTAGTCTTTTGTCTTCTGGAATGGTGATATATACAAAGTAATCTGGGAAGATACAATTTGGTAATAGTAGATCCTTCGTTAACTTGAATTATTTTTTGCAGGAAAGATGCGTCTTTAGCCAAAATTACTTATGGTAAACTGTTATGTAAGCAAGAAATCACCTTCTACTTGGTTTAAGCTATTCAGTGTACTCTCTAGATAGATATGACACAAAGCTAGCATTATGATACAGTAAACCAAGTGTTAATGTAACTTTATGTTGATTTTGACTACATTCTGAAAATAATAAAAGTCATCTGGTATTTTAGGCTTACGATATGAACTTGATACTATGATAGGTGTCTGAAATGTTTATCTCATTTGATTCTTAGAACAAACTTATATTGTGGGTACTAATACAGTACTGATTTTTTAAATAAGAAAAAGGATTGCAAAAAATGTAAAAAGTCTTATTAAAGAGTACAAAATTCTATCTCCAAATGTGTAATGAATTTTATATAGTCAGTTAATATTTGTTTAGCTCAATAAAGTAATGTTCGGTGTAATAGTTGATTTCTTTAATGTTCATTCAGAATCACATTATCAATTTGAAATTAATTCACCTATTCGAAGAAGTTGCTTCCTCCAATTAAGACAGTATAGTAAGCAAAATAATGGTTTACAAAACAAACAAACCAACAAAAAAAAAACCGCATGTCCTGATTTCTGGAAGCTGTGAATATGTTAACTATCTGGTAAAAGGGGCTTTGCAAGTATTATAATGTTAAGGATGGTAAGATGAAAAAGTGTCCTTTTGAGTTCAGTGTAATCAAATGGGTTTAAACTAGGGAAACATTCTTGGCTAGAAACATAAGGTGGTATGATTTCAAAAGAATGGTCAGAGAGACACAGCATTTCTGGTTTGAACAAATGAAAGACCATAAGCTAACAAATCAGGACAGCCTCTGGAGGCTGGAAAAGTCAAGGAAACTGATTTTCCCCTAAAACCTTCAGAAAGGAACACAACAGTTCTCACTCTTTGATTTTAGCCTCATAAGATGCATTGCAGACATCTGACAAACACAATTGTTTGACACTATATTTGTGCTATTTTAAACCACTAACTTTGTAGTAATTGGCTACAGCAGCAGTAAGAAAATAATGCAGAGTGTTTCTATAATGGAGATAAAAGTATAAACAAGAGGCAAGGATTTCCTTCCTTCACAGTGTTTATAATATACTAAGAAAACAAACATTAAATACACAGGGCCCCAATAGATTATTCCACTTTAATTTTAGCTGGCACTGTGGAAGGAAAATAGAAATTCTAGAATATAGTGAATAGGAATATAACTTATTCTTATGTGGGAAGAAATGCTTATTACTGAATACTATTTGGGCTGAAAATAAATGCACTGTAGTTACAGTAAGTACAGTAAAAAAGGTAGTTTGCTATAAGGGAACAGAGCCATTGAAATGTAATGAAAGTCATCAAAGTTTTAGGCACTAACTATAAGTTGCAAGGAGTTAAACAATTGTAAGCAGTCCGATTATTAAAAAAATATGTGCCTGATTCTCAAAATCACAAGTATTCTTTAAGATTGCTAACCGTAGTAGTCAGTTTTCACAATGATATAAAGAATGACTTGAGACTGAGTAATTTATGAAGAAAAGAGATTTAATTGATTCATAGTTCTTCAGGCTTTACAGGAAGCATGAATGGGAGGACTCAGGAAACTCAGAAAATCATGGTGGAAGGCAAAGGGGAAACAAGGTTCTTCTTGACATGGCACCAGGAGAGAGAGAGCACAAGGAGGGAAGTGCCACACACTTTTAAACCATCAGATCTCTTGGAACTCACTCACTATCATGAGAATAGCATGTGGAAATCTGCTCCCATGATCCAGTCACCTCCACCCAGGCCCCTCTCTTGACATGAGGGGATTACAATTTGAGATGAGATTTGGGTGGGGACAGAGGGCCAAGCCATATTATTTCTCCTCTGGCCCCTCCCAAGTATCATGTCCTTCTCACATTTCAAAACCAATCATGCCTTCCCAACAGACTGGAAGTCTTAACTTATTCCAGCATTAACTCAAAAGTCCATGTCCAAAGTTTCATCTGAGACAAGGCAAATCACTTCTGCCTATAAGCCTGTAAAATCAAAAACAAGTTAGTTAATTTCAAGACAACAGTGGGGGTACAGGGATCAGGTAAACACTCCAATTCCATAAGGGAGAAATTAGCCAAAACAAAGGGTCTGCAGGCCCCATGCAAGTCCAAAACCCGACAAGGCAGTCATTAAATCTTAAGGCTCTGAAACAATCTTCTTTGACCTCATCTCTCACGTCCAGAGCATACTGATGCAATATCTGGGCTCCCATGAGCTTTGACAGCTCTGCCTCTGTGGCTCTGCAAGGCACAGCCCCCACAGCTGCTTTCACAGGCTAGGATTGAGTGCCTGTGACTTTTCCAGGCACACCGTGCAAGCTGTCAGTGGATCTACCATTCTGGGGTCTGAAGCACTATGACCCTCTTCTCAAAGCTCCAGTAGGGAGTGCCCCAGTGGGGAATCTGTGTGGGGGCTCCAACCCCACATTTTCCCTCTGCACTGCCCTAGTAGAGGTTCTCCATAAGGGCTCCACTTCTGCAGCAGACTTTTGCCTAGACATCCAGGCATTTCCATACATCCTCTGAAATCTAGATGGAGGTTCCCAAACCTCACCTCTTCCCTTCTGCACAACCACAGGCCCAGCCTCATGTGGAAGCCACCAAAGCTTGAGGCTTGTATTCTCTGAAGCAATGGCCTGAGTAGTGCCTTGGACCCTTTTAGCCACAGTTGGAGCTGAGCAGCTGGAACACTGGGCACCATGTCCCGAGGCTGCCCAGAGCAGCAGGGCCCTGGGCCCATCCCACTAAACAATTTCTCCCTCCTAGGCCTCCAGGCTTATAATGGGAGGGGCTGCCTCAAAGGTCTCTGAAATGTACTGGAGACGTATTCCACATTGTCTTTGCCATTAACATTTGGCTCCTCTTTACTTATGCAAATTTTTGCTTGAATTTCTCCCAAGAGCGTGGGTTTTTCTTTTTTACTATATGGTTAGGCTGCAAATTTTCCAAACTTTTATGGTCTGCTTTCCTTTTAAATATACGTTTCAGTTTCAAGCCATCTCTTTCTTCATGGACATGAGCATAAACTTTTAGAAGCAGCCAGGCCACATGTTGGAAGGTCTGTTGCTTAGAAATTTGTTTCACCAGATACCCTAAATCATCTCTCTGAAGTTCAACATTACACAGATCTCTAGGGCCGGGTCAAAAGGCTGTCAGTCTCTTTGCTAAAGCATAGCAAGAGTAACTTTTTCTTCAGTTCTCAATGAGTTCCTCATCTCCATCTGAGACCCCCTCAGCCTGGACTTCATTATCCAAATCATTATCAGCATTTTGTTCACAACCATTCAACAGGTCTCTAGGAAGATTTAAACTTTCCCATATCTCCCTGTCTTCTTCTGAGTCCTCCAAACTGTTTCCTACCTCTGCCTGTTACCCAGTTCCAAAGTTACTTCCATATTTTCAGGTATTTTTATAGCAATGCCCCACTTCTCTGGTACCAATTTTCTGTATCTATCTCTTCTCAAACTGCTATAAAGAACTACTGGGTAATTTATGAGGAAAAGAGGTTTAATTGACTCACAGTTCTGCAAGCTTAACAGGAAGCACGACTGGGAGGCCTCAGGAAACTAACAATCATGGCAGAAGGTAAAGGGGGAGCAGGTGCCTTCTTCACATGGTGTCAGTAGAGAGAAGAGCCGGGGGGAAGTTCCACACACTTTTAAACCATCAGATCTTGTGAGAACTCACTGACTGTCACGAGAACAGTATGGGAAATCCACCCCCATGATCAAATCACCTCCTACCAGACCCCTCCCCTGACACGTGGGGATTACGATTCAACATGAGATTTGTGTGGGGACACAGAGCCAAAGTATATCACTCACCTAATAAGTGCTTATCTTGATTAAATTGTATGGAAAACTACAACTTAAATTATGTGATCAGAAATTCTATCTAATGATAGACATTAATTCAAATGCCACCATGTTCTCCTGTCAGCTTCTCATATATTGTCATGGATATGATTTAATTGTCCTTCAGTGTCATGGAACACATCCTGAGATTCAGCTGATGAAGTTGCAAACTGGATAAATATAAATGATGATGTTTCAAAAAAGAAAATCCTCACTTAGTAAAAAAATGTTAGGTTTATTTTACACTTTCTTGACAGCTGAACTAATATAAAAAGCACTCACCTTGTTTCTTTCAGTTTTGTGTATGTTTTGATTGTGTCAGCTGAGTTCTTCTTCACGGGATTTTCTATGTGTCAGAGACACTTGTCCCCCATTCTGTTTTCCTGTGTAATCTCAAAATTGACAAGGGTCTTCACTGTATGTGAAAAGGATGTCTGTGTTGCTTGATTTTATGTGTGACTACTGTTTGCGATTGTCCTTTTCCCAATATGACATGTAATTTTACAGCACAGATAGTTTTTCAAAAGAATTACATTCCCAGGCTTAGCAGAGGGAGCGGCCTACTTATTGAAATGTGAAATCGAATCTCTGAAACAGAAACACCAAATTATTATACTAATCTGTAAAGTAGCTATAAAACGTTATTTTTCAGAGTGAAGTATCTGTCAAGATGGCTAGTTTTGGTGTATAATAGAAACGGTATTTTATTCCTTTTATTTCTGTAAACAGATTAAGTCTGTGTGTGTGTGTGTGTGTGTGTGTGTGTGTGTGTGTGTGTGTGTGTGTGTACATGGGATATAATACAAATCTACCTCGACTTATAATGAGTTACATCCTGATAACCACAGGCCAAGATGTGTTATGATGGATCTGGATATACTCATAAGTTGAAAATATTTTAGGTAAAAAATGCATTTAGTACATTTAACAAAAATACTGGCAAACCGAGTCCAGCAGCACATCAAAAAGCTTATCCACCAAGATCAAGTTGGCTTCATCCATGGGATGCAAGACTGGTTCAACATACGCAAGTCAATAGATGTAATCCATCACATAAAGAGAACCAAAGACAAAAACCACAAGATTATCTCAATAGATGCGGAAAAGGTCTTTGACAAAATTCAATAGCCCTTCATGCTGAAAACTCTCAATGAACTAGGTATTGATGGAACATATCTCAAAATAATAAGAGCTATATATGACAAACCCGCAGCCAGTATCATACTGAATGGGCAAAAACTGGAAGCTTTCCCTTTGAAAACTAGCACAAGACAGTGATGCCCTCTCTCACCACTCCTATTCAACATAGTGTTGGAAGTTCTGGCCAGGGCAGTCAGGCAAGAGAAAGAAATAAAGGGCATTCTATTAGGAAAAGAGGAAGTCAAATTGTCCCTGTTTGCAGGTGATATGATTGTATATTTAGAAAACCCCATCATCTCAGCCCAAAATCTCCTTAAGCTGATGAGCAACTTCAGCAAAGTCTCAGGTTACAAAATCAGTGTGCAAAAATCACATGCATTTGTATACACCAATAACAGACAATCAGAGAGCCAAATCATGAGTGAACTCCCATTCACAATTGCTACAAAGAGAATAAAATACCTAGGAATCCAACTTACAAGGGATGTGAAGGACCTCTTTAAGGAAAACTACAAACCACTGCTCAACGAAATACAAGAGGACACAAACAAATGGAAGAACATTCCATGCTCATGGGTAGGAAGAATCAATATCGTGAAAATGGCCATACTGCCCAAGGTAATTTATAGATTCAATGCCATCCCCATCAAGCTACCAATGACTTTCTTCACAGAATTGGAAAAAACTAAAGTTCATATGGAATCAAAAAAAGAGCCCATATTGCCAAGACAATCCTAAGCAAAAAGAACAAAGCTGGAGGCATCACGCTACCTGACTTCAAACTATACTACAAGGCTACAGTAACAAAAACAGCATTTTACTGGTACCAAAACAGAGATATAGACCAATGGAATGGAACAGAGGCCTCAGAAATAACGCTAAACATTTACAACCATCTGATGTTTGACAAACCTGACAAAAACAAGAAATGGGAAAAGGATTCCCTATTTAATAAATGGTACTGGCTAGCCATATGTAGAAAGCTGAAACTGGATCCCTTCCTTCACCTTATAGAAAAATTAATTCAAGATGGATTAAAGACTTAAATGTTAGACCTAAAACCATAAAAACCCTAGAAGAAAACCTAGGCAATACCATTCAGGACATAGGCATGGGCAAGGACTTCATGTCTAAAACACCAAAAGCAATGGCAACAAAAGCCAAAATAGACAAATGGGGTCTAATTAAACTAAAGAACTTCTGCACAGCAAAAGAAACTACCATCAGAGCGAACAGGCAACCTACAGAATGGGAGAAAATTTTTCCAATCTACCCATTTGACAAATAGCTAATATCCAGAATCTACAAAGAACTTAAACCAATTTACAAGAAAAAAACAAAGCCATCAAAAAGTGGACAAAGGATATGAACAGACACTTTTCAAAAGAAGACATTTATGCAGCCAACAGACACATGAAAAAATGCTCATAATTACTGGTCATCAGAGAAATGCAAATCAAAACCACAATGAGATAGCATCTCACACCAGTTAGAATGGCGATCATTAAAAAGTTGGGAAACAACAGGTGCTGGAGAGGATGTGGAGAAATAGGAATGCTTTTACACTGTTTGTGGGAGTGTAAACTAGTTCAACCATTGTGGAAGTCAGTGTGGCAATTCCTCAAGTATCTAGAACTAGAAATACCATGTGACCCAGTGATCCCATTACTGGGTATATACCCAAAGCATTATAAATCATGCTGCTATAAAGACACATGCACATGTATGTTTATTGTGGCAGTATTCACAATAGCAAAGACTTGGAACCAACCGAAATGTCCATCAATGATAGACTGGATTTAGAAAATGTGGCATACATACACCCTGGAATACTATGCTGGCATAAAAAATGATGAGTTCATGTCCTTTGTAGTGACGTGGATGAAGCTGGAAACCATCATTCTGAGCAAACCTTCGCAAGGACGGAGAACCAAACACCGTGTGTTCTCACTCATAGGTGGGAATTGAACAACGAGAACACTTGGACACAGAGTGGGTAACATCACATGCTGGGGCCTATTGTGGGGTGGGGGGATGGGTAGGGATAGCATTAGGAGAAATACCTAATGTAGATAATGAGTTAATGGGTGCAGCAAACCAACATGACACATGTATACATATGTAACAAACCTGCAAGTTGTGCACATGTGCCCTAGAACTTAAAGTATTAAAAAAAAATACACTTAAGAAATGTGCTCAGAACACTTACATTAGCCAGTCCAAAAAAAAAATCTAACCTAAAGCCTATTTTTAAATAAAGTGTTGAATATCACATGTAAATTATTAAATACTGAATGTGAAAAACGGAATGGGTATATGGGTAATAAAAGCATTGTTTCTACTGAATGTTTATCACTTTTGTACCATGATAAAGCTGTAAAGTTGTACCATTGTAAATCTGGGACCATCTGTGTTACATTCAAGAGAAAAGCTCAGTCGAACTAATAAATAAATCAAAATTTCTTCTGATTATTTAGGTGTTTTTTCCTGTTAGATAATTAAGACATCCAACTGTTGCTTGCTGCTTCACCACACAGACCATACACAGATACAAATACACACTCCATGAATGAGCATATGTGCTTGTTTAAAGAGACATACTAACCAAACAGTTGTATGCTGCCGTGATATTGATTATGTCATCAAGTTTCTTATTTAACAAAACACAGCTGTGTATGAAGTATTTCTCTAAAATGTACATTCAATAGCAACTGGTTTTGTTCAGTCTTATGTACCCATATTATTTAAATGAGCACCTGGAGTCTAGAATTAACTAAAAAATATCTATGTTGATGCATATTAAGTTGATTTTGAAGTCATAAATTTTGACAAGAATTGATACTATGGCACTGTCATAACTTTACAAAAGATGACCTGAACTAACATGATTTTATGCTTTTACCAGTGGAACTCCCTGAAATATATTCAGATAATTTGTTATTAAAGCAAAACTAAGTTTATTGAAACCCTGTGCCAAGAAAGTACACCATTTTGACATACTTTTGCAGTGTTTCAGCAGGGAAGAGTGAGAGGAAGATTTTTCATGTTTGTGGAGAATGGCTTAAGAGAGTTAAATGAGTCTTTCAAAGTGAGTAGCTGATTGAAATTGAGCTAAACTCAGAGCATAATAGTTTAGATAGTCTAAGAAATTGAAAAAAAAGTTGATGCCAAGCATACAAGAAATAACACCACCAAAAAATAGACCTAAATACAGACAAAATTAGATTAAAAACAAGAATATGTTCAATGTTAATAAAAGCAAAAGGAACATAGACATAGTTATGGAGGAGTTTTGTTTTGTTTTAATAAGATAAAAATATGGTTAGTTTTATAGCAATACACCTGGAAATCTGGATCAATTCTGTCCACTATAGTCATTACTAGTGACATGTAGATATTGAACACTTGAAATATGGTGGATTTGAATTGATTTATGCTATATGTAAAATACAAACTAGATTTAGTTTAAAAAATGTAAAACTGAATAATTTTAATATTGTTTTATGCTGAGATGACAATATTTTGGATATACTGGATTAAATACATATAAAATATTGTTAAAAATCAAGTAGTATAGTAAAATTGGTCTTTTTGTTTTACTTTTTTATTTTGTTTTGGTTTTTGAAGGGATAGAAATCATGGCTAAGATGGACCCTGGGGCATATCATTGACCATCATGAAACATGCACTGATTTGCCAAATGTATTATTTTCCTGTGGCTGTTATAAAAATCACAATACACTTAGTAGTTTAAAACAACATAAATTTATTGTTTAGCAGTATTCCAGGTTAGAAGTTCAACACAGGTCTTACTGATTTAAAATCAAAGCATTGGAAGACTGCATTGCTTCTATAGGCTCTGTGGAATAATCCATGACCTGGCCTTTCCCAGGCTTTAGAATCCAGCTGCATTCTTTGATGCATGTTCCCTGTCTTGGGCAGCTTGGAATACTGTAAGAAAATACCATAGACCGGGTGACTTAAACAACTGACATTTATTTCTCAGAGTTCTGAAAGTTGGGAAGTCCAAGATTAAGGTGCTGGTATATTTGGTTCATGGTGAGGGCCCACTCCCTCTCTGGTTAGTAGATGGCCTCCTTCTCTCTGTGTTCACATGGCCTTTCCTGGATACATGTTTACGGAGAGAGAAAGAGAAGGGTGGTTGGGTGGGAGGTGGTCTAGTATCTCCACCTTTTCTTATAAGAACACTAACATTATCATGAGAACACCACACTTAGGACATTATCTCAACCTAGGTTCCTCCCAAAAGCTCCATCTCCAGATACTATCACACTGCCAATTAATAGATCATTGAAAATAATCTATTAATATTTGAACAATGCCAATCATCTTCAATAGATTAATTTTAGGGAGACACAAATATTCAGTTCATAACAGTTCCTTTCCTTGACCTTCAAAGCTACAAATGAAGGAGCAAGTCTTCACATTCTCCTTTTATATCTCCCTCTTCTACGTGTAAAGAATCTTATGATTGCATTTGGCC
The DNA here is from genome assembly GCF_000001405.40 of Homo sapiens. Classification (NCBI taxonomy): domain Eukaryota; kingdom Metazoa; phylum Chordata; class Mammalia; order Primates; family Hominidae; genus Homo; species Homo sapiens. The sequence continues at coordinate 71,269,719 of NC_000005.10, read as the reverse complement.
ATCTAAAAATCTATGATAGTCTCTCCATTTCAAAATCCTTAACTCTAATTGCATTTGCAAAGTCTGTCCTGCCAGGTAAGCTAACAAATTTATAAATTATCTGGATTAGGACCCCATCATCTCTGAAGAGCCATTATTCTGACTACCACATCAGTATGTTAGTTTATGTCAAGATTGCTGTAATAATCAATAGGTTCTGGTACCACAAATCCAGTAGCAGTCATTAAGGTTGATTGAGTTTATTGATTGCTTTCAGCTCCATTCTGCTATTAATCACTTTTGGGGATATAAAATGAAGACCTTATCACATAGAGGAAGAGGTAGATGTGATAGGAGCTTGAATATGTAATAAGAATTTTTTATGATATGTAAATGTGAGAAATGAATTAAGTATGTGCCATTTGTTCTCTTCTTTTTAAGACATTTCTTTCTAAAGGTTTAGTGACAGAAGTTGCATTCTATTAAAGATCCCTAAGTGCTGTTCTGCTGTAGGCATAAGCTTTCTTTCCTGGGTGCAGCATGTTAGGATTTAAGATTTCTATTTATCTAATACTCTGCTGTTTGTCAGATAAAATAACAATAAATAGTGAGTCCAATTATTGATAAACCCAGATGTTTCATATTTAGGAATCGATGTTAAAAAAAAAAAACTCTAATTGGCATCCTAAGGAAAATGTGTGCAGCTTAGCACTGATTCAACTGCATGTTTAGCCAAATTGTGAACAAATTACGGCCAGCTTCCGGACTCTTCTAGAGAGTGACTAAGGACGGCATAGAGGAATTAGGAATAGTAGCTTTATAGGTAAAGTAATTAAATGTAACCTTAAGCATAAAAAGATAAAGTTAACTAGGAAAATGAAAACTCAAGATATACAGATTAAATATGACAAACAATGGATCTTTTTTTGTGGATCTTGGTTTGCAGATACCGATATCTCATATAGTGATTCACTTGATCCAAAGGCATTTGATGGAAGCTGTCTTCTCCCAAAGACTATTTGCTTTTGGAAGAATCCTAAGAGTCGTTAGTTAGAAGTTTTTGGTAGGGATACTTTCCTGTAATATGAAGATGACCTAAACCTCTTTACTTGAGAGATAGGAATCAAAGGATCAGTCTTTTAAAGACTATGGGTTTGCTAGTTGTTAGCTGTGCCTGATAGTGACTTTTTTCCTATGATCTTTCCCTGCCGTGTCTCTTAGAAGACAAGGTATCCAGGTATGAAAACCAATTTTGCAGACATTGTTTAGGATACTAATGGGGAAAGTCTTCAGTAACTTTTGTTGAAAGAATGGATTTCCTGAGTCCTTACAGCATTTAGTTAAATAAGTGTAGATTTCTAGAATCAGAGCTAATATTCCTAGACACTTGGTTTAGCTGTTACTAACTCATGAACCACAGAAAGAAGAAATACCTTAGACCATGCAAGTTTGACGATCTCTGTGAACTTTACCAACTTTAGTTTCAGAATTCCATCTTTCTACCTTCCCAAAAGGTTGAAAGTGATATGGACAGTGAAGTCTGATTAATTGACAGAACTTTTCCATGTTAATAAAAATTCCGGTAAAATGGTTTCCTTGTTACTAGAGATATAGTTTGGGATTCCCCAGGCTGAAAAAAAAAAAAAGGATTTTCTCCATGCCAACAAGAGACAAATAATGATCAGAACATATTTAAAATCTATTGCCAGCACTTGTTATGAAAAATTCATTTAGATTTTTACTGAGACATTTTACAGTTTTGTTAGGATTAATCTGACGAAGGTTGAGACAAGTTGTAAGGATATAGTTATATAAAGATATACTTACCAATTTTAGCAAAATTTTCCCCCAGCTATTGGTTAAATACATTGGTCAATTTGTCCTCATTGTGCCAGAAAAGCTCAGCAGTTCTGACTAAAGTTTATGTTAACCCATTGCCAGTAGAATGAAAGAGTTGAATCCTCTCTTAAATTATAATATATAGTTGACTCCTCAACAACACAGGTTTGAACTGTGCAGGTCTGCTCATATGTAGATTTTTTCCTATAAATATATTAGAAAATTTTTGGAGATTTATGAAAAATTGAAAAAGATAACAGGTGACCCATCTACACAAGAAATATTAAAAAACTAAGAAAACGATGTCATGAATGCATAAATCATATGTAGATACTAGTGATCATTTAATACAATGAAATATATATGCGTCTATTATAAAAAGTTAAAATTTATCAAGACGTAGGCAAACACAGAGCATACATGCAGCCAATTGAAGTTTAGAGAAAAGTAAAACAAAAATATACAAAAGTAAATCATAACTGCACAAAATTAACTGTAATACATACTGTACTACTGGGATAATTTCCTAGCCTCCACCTGTTGTTCTTGCAGTGAACTCAAGTGTTGTGAGTATTCACTTAAAATGCCACATAATGCTAATCATCTTCTTGTGAGTAGCTTGTCTCTCCAGTAAATTAACACAGTAAAAAGTGTTCTCTCATGTTTCTCCTGTATTATTCATGATGTCTAGTGCAATACCATAAACCTTGAATAACACCTTCAGACCTATAAAAAGTGCTGCTAGTGATGCTGAAAGTTCTTCCAGGAAACAGAGAAGGGTCCTGACATTACAGGAAAACAATGAATTGCTTGATAGGTACCCTAGATTGAGGTCTGCAGCTGTGTGTGCTGCCATTTCAGAAGAAGGATCCATCTTGTAAACACAGGATTGTAAACTTATGAGAGAAATAAATATACTGTAGTACTGTAAACGTATTTTTTCTTCCCTATAATTTTCTTAATAACACTTTCTTTTCTGTAACTAGCTTCATTGTAAAACTACGGTGTAAAATACATACAGCGTATGAAATATGTGTTAAGGATTGTCCAGTCAACAGTAGGCTGTTAGTTTAGTTTTGGGGAGTCCAAAGTTATATGTGAATTTTTGACTGTGCTGGGGTGGTGGGGAGGGGTTAGGGAGGTTTGATGGCCCTAAACCTTGTGTTTTTCAGGAGTCAACTGTACAGTTTAGAAGAATATGATTTAGAATTTCCCTGAGATTAAGAACATATTAAATGGTGGGAAGGATATTGATAGACCTCTAGATCTAGTGACACTATCAACTTTGACTGTGTCTGTTTGATGAAGGAATTAAAATCTAGTAACAAAAGCATTTTGTAGATAGTTATTGTACCAGTCTTTGTTCTTGAACATCAGTGTGTTTTTTTGAACTGAAAATCACACATTGAATGAAAGGCTTCATCTCAATATATTTTATTTACACATAAATTTGAGCTGTTTTTTGTTCACAAGTTTGGCCGATAAAAGAGCCCTCACAATAGCTTTAATTACCATTTAAAATTACAAATTAATGTGATTTTTTAATTTTTCTCTCTTTTGTAGGGTGAAGGAGCAATGCTTTTGGTTACTCAGTATTCTCTCAAGAAAATTTAAAGATAGTTTATACACAGAAGATATTTTAACAGGTTATATTCTGAACTTGTGGCCCGGATTTGGAAAAAGCAATATCAAGTATGGTTCAAGGGGACAAGAAAGAGAGAAGCATTTGTTACCATTTTTCCAAGTCAAAAATATTTAATCAGATAATATTTTAAAAGCCAGCAATAATTAGTAATGATTGGTATAATGTTTTTGTCAAAATTATTAAATAGGAGATAAAATTAAAAGCTTTATTTTTTTGCATTCAAATAAAATTTTAAGTATTTTGATGAGCTTATTAAATCAACAATGCATGTATTACATTGAACCTGACTTCTTAATAAGTTGCAACCAAATCTTTAATGATAAGTTTAGGTCAGAGAGATAATTTTGAGATTTGTCACCATAAAGATAGGGTATAATGTGATGTAAATAATTAAGATCAGGTGGAAAGACAAATAAGATTGAAGGAAGACCCAAGACCAAGGTTTGGGGCACTCTCAGAAGTTCTAAAAAAAAAATTTAGACTATGAGTAAAGAAGGATTGATCAGCAAGGTGAAATGGATCAAGGAAATGTGGGCACTCAGAGGTACAGAGGGGTTAATTGCTGCTCAGAAAATACTCAGACGAATGCTGAACAGTAGATTAGATAGAACCGATGTCCTAGAAATCATGAAGATAAGTGACTTTATTAAAATACATATTATAAACAAAGAAGGAATTTACTGTTCGAAAAGTTGTCTTGAAGAATTGTTTTGGGAGAAAATAAAAAATAAACCTTATTTTCTAAAATACACTAAAACTAATTCCAAATGAGTCAAAGGATTGTGTACAGATATTTTAAATTAATAAAACAATGTTAGTGCAGATTCTCTTTAATTACTTCCCTGATTGTTTTACCTATAGTAACTCATTTAATTCTACTAGCAATCTTTTCATGTTGGATACAGCTATTCAAATTTTCTTTTGTTATTGCAATAGCCTCCTAACCATTCTTCCACAAAATTGAGGCACTAAAAGGTTGTGAAATTTCCTCTATGCCACAGAGCTTTTTAGTGATGATTTGGCATTTGGAAGCACATCTTTGAAATGTTCATTTTTCTCTGATGGCCAGTGATGGTGAGCATTTCTTCATGTGTTTTTTGGCTGCATAAATATCTTCTTTTGAGAAGTGTCTGTTCATGTCCTTCGCCCACTTTTTGATGGGGTTGTTTGTTTTTTTCTTGTAAATTTGTTTGAGTTCATTGTAGATTCTGGATATTAGCCCTTTGTCAGATGAGTAGATTGTGAAAATTTTCTCCCATTCTGTAGGCTGCCTGTTCACTGTGATGGTAGTTTCTTTTGCTGTGCAGAAGCTCTTTAGTTTAATTAGATCCCATTTGTCAATTTTGGCTTTTGTTGCCATTGCTTTTGGTGTTTTAGACATGAAGTCCTTGCCCACGCCTGTGTCCTGAATGGTAATGCGTAGGTTTTCTTCTAGGGTTTTTATGGTTTTAGGTCTAACGTTTAAGTCTTTAATCCATCTTGAATTAATTTTTGTATAAGGTGTAAGGAAGGGATCCAGTTTCAGCTTTCTCCATATGGCTAGCCAGTTTTCCCAGCACCATTTATTAAATAGGGAATCCTTTCCCCATTGCTTATTTTTCTCAGGTTTGTCAAAGATGAGATAGTTGTAGATATGCGGCGTTATTTCTGAGGGCTCTGTTCTGTCCCATTGATCTATATCTCTGTTTTGGTACCAGTACCGTGCTGTTTTGGTTACTGTAGCCTTGTAGTATAGTTTGAAGTCAGGTAGCGTGATGCCTCCAGCTTTGTTCTTTTGGCTTAGGATTGACTTGGCAACGCGGGCTCTTTTTTGGTTCCATACGAACTTTAAAGTAGTTATTTCCAATTCTGTGAAGAAAGTCATTGGTAGCTTGATGGGGATGGCATTGGATCTATAAATTACCTTGGGCAGCAAAGACTTGGAACCAATCCAAATGTCCAACAGTGATAGACTGGATTAAGAAAATGTGGCACATATACACCATGCAATACTATGCAGCCATAAAAAATGATGAGTTCATGTCCTTTGTAGGGACATGGATGAAATTGGAAATCATCATTCTCAGTAAACTATCGCAAGGACAAAAAACCAAACACCGGATGTTCTCACTCATAGGTGGGAATTGAACAATGAGAACACATGGACACAGGAAGGGGAACACCACACTCTGGGGACTGTTGTGGGGTGGGGGAAGGGGGGAGGGAAAGCATTAGGAGATATATCTAATGCTAAATGACGAGTTAATGGGTGCAGCACACCAGCATGGCACATGTATACATATGTAACTAACCTGCACATTGTGCACATGTACCCTAAAACTTGAAATATAATAATAATAAAATTTAAAAAAAAATGTTCATTTTTAATTATAGCACTACACCATGCACTGAATCACGGAGGGTAAAAATGCACACTGTTAATAAGAAGGAGGGAGTCAATCTCATTAGTATTATAATATTTATACTGAATGAGACTCCATTCCCGAAATTCACAGAATTAAAATAATAAAAATAAAAATTTATTGCTAGCCAATTTGCAGCAAAAAAGATTCATTCTCATATTCTGCTATGAGAAAATAAATGAAATTGAATTTTAAAAGACATTTTTGGAAAGCCCTTTGAATTAACCAGAAAATTGTTAAATTCGTAGTTTTTTTGACTAACATTCTTCTTCCACGTTAACAGAATTTATATATAAGTGACACTCATTGCATATACTTTTAAGGGGTAAAATAATTACTAAATTTATGTACACTATTAATACTTCATTGTATAAAATTGCATATATACCCATATGCAAATGTGCACAGAATCAATAGGGTAACCATAGACATAAAATGATCAGTGCAGGATATTTTATTTATGCATTTTATATATAATATACTTTTCATTTAATATTTTTGCTAATTTTATTGAATTGAATATTTATGCCTTGGTTATAGAACAACTAAATTTATTTTCAAAGAAACTCCATTATTATTGTCTGCAAGAGTAAAACTTATAAACAATCTAAAAATTCAACCAAATACAACCATTTACAATTGTGCCCTAGTTGAATTTGTAATCGTAGGAGAAAACACAGGTGTTGAATTTTTTGAATTTCATTTAAAAAATAATTGACACAATCCCTAAGGTATCATATAAATTAATTGAATTGTTATTGTCTTGGGTTAACATTTATTTCTAGAGTTTTTTTTCCCCTAATATCTGATTTTTTCCATTAACATTACTTATTTGGATAATCAGAAAAAAATCAACATTGCCAAAAGATAGATAATACCACAAGCGAAATATCTATGATAATGATAGGAAAATGCTTTGAATTCAGGCTGAATGAGAATTAGTCTAGGAAAACAGCTTGGACCCTCTCATTCCTGTTAATGTCATCTCTGTGTTTAGCACTGCTGCTATTCCTCAGCTACTAAGAAATGCTCTATTGCTGGGCATGGCATATGGGAAGCCAAGAAAAATGACTGGCTGCTTGGTGACAGCTCTCTAGTCCTCATGCCAAGTTCTGCCAGTGATTTAAATATTAAGTAATGGAAAGAATTTTGAAATCCAGGATGATTAGAAAAGTCATTTTCTACAAAAGTGAAGCATTGTCTTTAGAGATTAAAATCTATGAAAATAACATTATTGAAATACTAGACTTCAGACTATTTTTCTGAATTACTGTAACTGTTGAAATAGGTCTTTCAGCCCATTAAGATAAACACCACACTTTTCTCTTCATGATCTCCAGCTGTAATTTTATAGTGAAAGGTGCTTGCATAAAAGAGTTCACACTATCTGAAAGATGTCACATGTAACATTGACTGGCAGCCATTTCAGAATGGCAGACAGCCAATAAATCATTCAGAACTATGTGTCACTCGTTGTGGCTTTAAAATTGTATTCCTTCTCCTTTGATAAAGAACATTTCAATGTCAAATAGTTTGTTCTATTTAAACTTATACATCAACCAGAATATTGAGATACACAATAAAATTAAATGATTTGGTAATACCTTTAGAATTTATCTAAAAACAGCCGTATGTATTTGCATGACAGATTTGGTTCACAAACCGATCAAGTTGTTAGTATCAAAGGCATGTTTTAGTGCTGATTTGTGTATAGATAAATTTAGGAAATTACATAAATAGAAATACTTCTTTATAAAATTCCTTGACCTTGTGATATCTTGGTATTAAGAATCTTAAAGGAATCATTTAAAAAAATTCAAAAGCAAACAATTTCGATTTTACAAGAGCTAAGAAAAAAACATTTTGCTATGGACACAGATCGCTCTTCAAGAAAAGATTTCTTTCCCCCTTGGCTGCTAGGAGCAATATTACAAAGCAGCCTTCAGCTCTCAGCTCCTTCAAAGTTTGCCTCAGCTGTAACCATTGTCTGGCTCAATGTTAGGGCATCCTGGAGCACTGGACATGCAAACACGAATGGAGATGAGGTTATAAAGCCTGGCCATTTTGACCCACCTGAGAGGATTCTGACAGGTCCTTCCAGTGCCTGAGAAACCCAGGGCTCACATGCTTTATATTCTGATCATTCTGTAGGGGTTGTTCCCATGGGTGATAGAAGCTGCCAAATATAAAGAGGCAACCATGCAAATTTTTAGGAATTATTTCCAAAACTCTCATAACAACATCATATATATTTATTGGTTGTTTAAGTAGATTTCTGAGGAGTAGATAGCAACGATAGAAGTGAAAGAAAGTAAATGCAGTTGTTAAAGGATTAGTCTTCCCATACTTAGAAAGTACACAAGTTGCATATACACTATGTTCCTTCCCTAGAGCAAGTATTTCAATGCAGTCGTGTGTGTGTTTGTGTGCTTGTGTGTGTGTGGTGTGTGTGTGTGTGTGTGTGTATGCTAACTGAACTCATTATAGATTTTATTGGATCAGATATATGAAGAGACTTGGAAGACTTGGGTTTGTCTGGAACTGGGTGAAATAGAGAAGGACGATCATTGACATAGAAAGCTGATTACTTTGTCCTTTGAGTATAAATAGTCTTACAATAAAATGGCATCTCCACTGTCTAAAACACATTTTTACATTTGCTCTCCTTCTGAAATTATTTATGTGAAATTAACAAATGTACTTATTACCTTAGAAACAAACGATCCGTAATTTATATTATTTATTGTATATTTGTAGATCCACTTAAAATTGATTTGCAATATAAGGAAAAAATGCGTTTTATAAGTTGTTTGCTTTGTGTAGTGCATCTTGTTAACCGTAGGACTACTGTTGCATTGAAACAAAATAGAATTAATCTGTTCAGGTAAATAGAACTGGAAGTGAGATTTGTTGTCACTCCTTCTCCTTCAAGTACTGACCAGTCTTTTAATTCACACATAACTAACACTCTGTGCAATAATATTTTTTTGTTCTCTGTCTTTTCAAACAGAACTCAAGCTCCATGAGGAGATGTTTCATTGTCGGTGAGCACATTCTTGTCAATTAGTTCCTTCTTGTTTCTTACTATAGCCCCTGTGTCTAGAACCTTTCCAGGTATTCAGTAGCCATTTAAAAATTATTTGTTGAATGAATTGTTATTTTAAAGAACATCCACAATTTTGCCTGACTGGGCATGGGAATACATGCCCATCTTTGGACTGAATGTCCATTTTTCCCTTCTTTGATTTATCAAAATATTGGTTAAATGATCAGGACTACCGTCAGAAGGAATTTTATATCTAAAAATAGTTTACCTTCTATGGATGTAAAAAATAGTTGTAGTAGTTCTGGCTTTTATATTATTCGATGTTTCAAAGCGGTTTTTTTTTTCCATCACCATATTCTACGTTCTTGAAAAGTACTCGTTCATGTGACTGCTATCATTTATGCTTGTGCAGCACGTAGATACAGGAGAGAAGATAAGGAAAATGCTTACCCTGTGTCTCCTTCCCTGTAACACAGTTTTTTTTACCATATTGATTCTCCACTTTCTACTCCCTAAGTAAAATTTTGCAACAGGCATTTGGGAAACTCTGGATACAAGAAAAAAATTTTAATATTGTACAAAGAGACAAGAGGTGACTTCTTTTTTATTTTTCATTTAGAGTTTATAGTTTAATTAAAGAAAATGCACATATATCTAAAGATAATCATGGATAATACACTCATGTAATTACTACTTTCAGTGGTTGTAACAACAGCCAAAGCACAAACAGAAATGAGAAAGAATTATCAGCATTATGCAAGTACATATCCTCTTTAAGAATTCCTGTTATAGTGAAAGCATTAAAATAATTGAACACGTACAGAGACCATATACTTTGTGATCTTTTTAAAAAAGTATTCAAAATATATTTCTGTGTGCAAAACATTTTCATAATGGTCTTGTTTAAATGAAAGTATTTAGAATAGCACATTGTAAAATTATGCTGCAGAGCACAAGTATTTTTCTCTTTAGAAGACACATAATAAAATAGAATCATCAGTGTTTTTTCATAAACATGAATCTTTAGAGTGTTACTTGATCCTGCATAATAAGGGTACTTTTTTGCTTAATGTAAGCATAGTATACTAATTCTTTTAAACTTCAGAAAGCATATTTACAGTCTAGGCAGATGGGACATGAAGGTCACACAGCATGAGCAGTGAAATATCTCATTTACCTAGAGTTCTAGAGAGAATTTTAGGAACTCTTATTTATTATCAGTGCATAAACAAGAGTAAACTCTACAAAACTGTTTGCAAAACTCTCCTCTTTCTACTCAGAAGGCTTTCCCTAGAATAATCATTATGGAGTCTGTCCATCCTTTACTCATTCACTGCATGGGGACAGGTGTTAGTTATGAGATTGGTGAATTTAGAAAGCTAACCAATTTCATACCTATTTTGGGATTCTCAATTCACAAACTTTTGTGCGTTTCTTAATTATTTCCTTTCTTTTTCTTGTAGAGAGCAGTCATGATGCCCTGCACTCCACACAATGCAACAGAGTGAAAGAGCAGGTTCTGCTTCTTTGGTGTAGTCCTGAAGCTTCCTAAGAAACTTCACATCAGGTGATGGATAGGAGCAACCCTGTAAAACCAGCCTTAGACTATTTTTCAAACAGTAAGTAATAAAGGTGACGTTTTGATCTTTATCTGCTTAATTACTTCTGCTATGATTCTATTGATTCTAACATTGAAGGAGCAGTAAATTTATATGTATTATCCAACTATAAAACAATAAATAAACGATATGTCAAATACATTATCACATCCTTATGTTCTTATGATAATATTGTCCTTTTTTTAACAGTTTTTATTCTTATTTGTTGATTGGTTTGTCTTTATGTTGTCCTTTCTACTATCAAACTGAACATGTTGAGGTCATAGGCTATCAAAACTGTACATTTCTGATGCTAACCATAGAGACTTAACAACAGTAAATAGGCCAAAATGGAATGTTGTTAGCCATAGTGTGTATTATTATTTCTTTTATACATGTGGTCACTGTTAGAGGAGTTTATGACTTTTTGCCTAGATTAATGACACACAAACCATCTACAAACGAATCATACCTTATTCCCTCACTGTAATTTTTAATGTTGCTATTTTTGCCTGTTAACATTCCATAGGTTTATCACATTGCTTAAAGATTTAATTTAATTTCTGTAATTGTATATGTCATGAGAGATTGCTTTTAACCTTCCAATGTTCGTGGTCTCATTTTCACTAACATAATCCCAACTTTAGCTGCGCACAATACCACATTTCCCAGCATTCCTTGCATCTGGATATAGCTGTATTCAAATAAGCCGTGTGAAACTTCTGGGATGGCTCCTTAAGTGCAGTTGACTCATTAGGGAGGTATGTCTTTTTTATTTTTCTACACTTTGTGCTGCTGTCCTGGAGTACAGACATGGTGGCTAGAAGCATGAAATCACCTTGAAGGTAGAAGTCATGCATTGAAGTTAGTAAAAGTGAAATGTAAGTGTATAGTTTCCTGATGAAAATGGGAAGCTTATGTACTAGCAACAGAATGCTTATTATGCAGGCTTCCTATATGTAAAAGAGGACAAATTCTCATTTTATTAAGTTTCTGAAAGTAGATTTCTAAATGCTGGTTCTATTTTTTATTGAAAGTAATGGCAAAAAACGCAATGCCTTTTGTACCAACCTAATAGTTAATAAACATATCCTCAAATGAAATGTCTTAGAATTGTGTTCATCAAGTTAATATTAATAATTTATTAGAATAGCACTCTAAAGGGTTGCAGCCTATGCATGAAAATACTTACAAACTACTACATGATAATCAATTCTTTTTGGCAAGACTGCTATTTACATGGACACAAGAGTTATTATAAGAATGTTGTATGTATACATGAATAGTGTCTGTTAAACACTGGATATAATAAAAACAATAGTTTTTCTGTTAATTATAACAATCTGAACATTTTTGTGATTATATTTCACAAATGACACACCATTTTATTTGCAGATTTTTCTTATCCCCAAAGTTTTTGTTAATTTATTACCAACACAGCACACAAGTCTAGTGGCAATGCATTACCTCTGCAGTTGATTTTGAAGTAAGAAGGCCTATTTATTGCATTCATTCCTGCTTAGATGACATCTTAAATTTGTTAATTGGATTATTATGCTCTATTCTATACATTTATTGATTTATAGATTTTGTGGACACAAATTTCAAAACATATTCGAAAATTTGGTGATAGCTTTTTAGAATCTATTCTTCAACATAGTTATTGAAAGTGAACAAGAAGGACCTCCTCTAGAGATTAGGTTGAGAACCACTTCTTTGATTTGTTAAATATGTGTACATGGATACCATGTGGCTTTATTATGAGGAGCCACTTAAGTGGCTGAGTTACAATTCACAAAACATTGTCACAGGGAAAATATCAGGACAAATTTTCAAGTCGCATGCCAAGAAAAGAAACTTTCTGAATGCTTATAAGAAATACCTTAATTAATGGGAGCCCTTCAAAGTACACAAAACATCATAACTAGGAGTTGCAACACAACCAGCAATTTGCTGATTGAAATGCATTCATTCATACTGACTTCACCTGCTGAATGGAATATTGTGCTGTACTGTCCTTAGCTATGGAGAGAGAATTAAGGAATATCCCCTTCTGGTGTTCAACAACAACGAAAGAGCAAGAAAGATATATTCCTAATTTTTAAAGAAGAATGTAGAGATACTTAAACAAGACAATGAAGGTGGTAGAAAGATTATTACCATCCCCAAAGTGTTTGCTCATTAAAACATTTTGTGATTTTCTCTGCCAATATCATACCTGTATGGATAATTGTTTTCCTATCCACACAGTTATGAGAGTGAGAAGATGGAATATAAAAGATGGAACAAGAGGGAATCTGTGTGGTGACCACAGTAATCACAGGCTGGTTGGGATCCTAAACTCGGCCACAGCACAAAAGCATGTTCAAGTTTAAAGTCATGAGAGAGGCCTGGCATAGTGGCTCACACCTATAATCCCTGCACTTTGGGAGGCCAAGGTGGGAGGATTGCTTGGGGCAAAGAGCTCAAGATCAGCCTGGGCAACATAGTGAGATCCCATCTAAAAAAATGTTCTTTAAGTTAGCCTTATGTGGTGGCATGTTCCTGTGGTATCAGCTACTCAGGTGGCTGAAGTGGGAGGGTCACTTGAGCCTGGAGGTTGAGCCATAATCATGCCACTGCACTCCAGCCTTGGTGACAGATTAAGACTCTGTCTCCAAAAGTAAAACACCAAACAACACAAAAAGTAAAGTCACAATAAAATGAGATGCTATTAAGGTTGTTTTAGGTTGATTTTCAACTAGACCAGCATTTAGCCTGTACAAAGGCATATACAAAATAAACCCTAAACCTAAATGGGATTCAGCAGCAGCAGTGTGGGTTAAAGAAGCCACCAGTTCCCTGGAGGCCAGAACCACAGGCCTGTGGCCTTTTTTATTGTTTTGACAGGGAGGTGGAAAGCAGGAGTATAACTACATTCAAGTGTCTGCTCTGTTGCTGTAGGAGAAAATCCGTGCTGTAGCACATCAAAGTTTTTCCAAATTTTATTTCTTAGGACATCTTTGGGGTTTATGTAAGTATTAAATAGAGCTCCCCTAGCCCAGGCTTACACAGGACATATGTCTAGTGTCATAGGTCTGTATGCTTAAATTATAGCAGAAAGTTTGCTAAAATTTAAGTGAAGTAATGTTGAAGGTTGAATCATTTGAAACAAACTACCTGCACCAAAATATTCTTTAGTGTACTGATTTCTATCCCACCCCTAATGAGGCTGAATTTTAATCTTAACTCTGCTTGTAATTAGGTATTTATATGTGTCTGTTATTCATTTTTTAACAAGATGTCTCTTCAGAGATAAAATGAGGGTAGCAAAAAATAATTTTAATAGCCATTTATATGGCTTTGATAACAATTGTCTGTTCTACTTATCTGACTGATTCTAAACTCTAAAGGTTATTTTACAGTTAGTAAATTACATAATTTTTATGCAACAATTTGCCTGCCAGGATTCCTATAATACTTGTCAGCTATCAGTAGGTATAAGCCTGTTAGCCTCTAATGTGAAGATAATATCTCTTTAAGTTATAACGCATTTACAATTGTTACAGTTTCTAAGGTCTTTTTGAAGTTAGAGATGCATCTGAGGATGATGGTTTTCAAGGAGATAGCTCTTTGACAAAAAATGACAATATGGGACTTAGTGTTATATTAATTTACACATTATGTTTTTGCTATAAAGAGATAAAAGGTGTGCTATACTACCTATCAATTACTGTATGCCACATTTTGTAGAATTGTTTTCCATATTATTGTAGAATGTGGCACTTAAATAGTATCATGAAAAAAGTTTATTCAAGAAATAAGACATTAATGAAATATAATTAATATATAAAGACTATATTTAAAAATAATTATGTATTTCTAATCCTAAACTTTTTAAGGTGACATTATTTTTTTCTGTGATATAATTTCAGTTGAGAAGAACTTTAAATTTTAATAAGATTTTAAGATGATTCAGTAATGTTAACATACTTTTCTTCTGTAAATTTTGTTAACAATTTAGCTGCATTAATTAAATATTTATGTAGCTAATTTTAATAGTGATATTTTAATACAATTCTTAATTTTACTCCTGGCTTTCAATCATTCATATATGTTTTTAAAAATTGCTTTTTCCATTGCTTTACTTCTTAATTACTTTTATCAAAGTCTTAATTGTGTGTGGTTGATTTTAAAAGTTAAATATTTCTATAAGATTTATAAAGACAAACTGGGTACAGTGACTCACACCTGTAATCCCAGCACTTTGGGAGGCCGAGGGGGTAGATCACTTGAGGTCAGGAGTTCGAGACCAGCCTGGCCAACATGGTGAAAGCAGTTTCTACTAAAAATACAAAGATATGCCTGGTGTGGTGGTTGGCCCCTGTAATTCCAGCCACTTGGGAGGCTGAGGCAGGAGAATTGCTTGAACCTTGGAAGCGGAGGTTGCAGTGAGCTGAAACCATGCCATTGCACTCCAGCCTGGGCAGCAAGAGCGAAACTCCATCACACACACACACACACACACACAAAATATATATATATATATATATATATATATAAAATATATATATGTATGTATGTATATATACATGTATATGTGTGTGTGTATATATATATATACACACACTATATATATATATATATATATATATACACACACACACAATAGAAATGTCCTGGCTATATCTATATTAATAGGTTTTGCACATTTAAACCAAAGTCACACATATGGTTTGATTCTAATTAATTCTAATGCATCTTGCAGGTTTCAAACTGTATTCTATTATGTAATTATCTGCTGATCCACTCTGTATCCTGTTGTGTAAGTTGCGATGATTAACCTCTGCCTTTACGATGTAATCCAAATGTAGCATATAGACCTCAATGATAAGATTGATCATGGTGCATTTAATCATTAATTTATTATTAATCTCTTTTATCCTGGTACTTAGAGTGCAGATTTTTCTCAACAACTATTTACGCAATCATTAAATGAAATACAGCCTTGTGTCACTTAGCAATGAGGATATGTTCTGAGAAGTGTGTGGCTAGGTGATTATCTTACTGTGCAAACTTCATAGAGTGATCAATCTATAATGGTGATAGCAATTTTTCAACCCTATTATAATCTTAATGAGCCATTGTTTTACATGCTGTCTCTTATTGATGTAAACGTTGTTATGTGGCACATGATTATATAAAAGATATTAATCCATTCATTATTTATGCATTCATCCATTTGACCTATGGTAGTGTTCTATTGAAAATGAGTCATCGTGATACAGAAATCCACTGTTAGTTGTTTTTACTTTCTCTTGTTCGTGGGGAAGAGTGGGTATTGATTTTAAAAGTCTAAAGAATGGGGTATTGTGAATAGTGCCGCAATAAACATACGTGTGCATGTGTCTTTATAGCAGCATGATTTATAATCCTTTGGGTATATACCCAGTAATGGGATGGCTGGGTCAAATGGTATTTCTAGTTCTAGATCCCTGAGGAATCGCCACACTGACTTCGACAATGGTTGAACTAGTTTACCGTCCCACCAACAGTATAAAAGTGTTCCTATTTCTCCACATCCTCTCCAGCACCTGTTGTTTCCTGGCTTTTTAATGATTGCCATTCTAACTGGTGTGAGATGGTATCTCATCGTGGTTTTGATTTGCATTTCTCTGATGGCCAGTGATGGTGAGCATTTTTTCATGTGTTTTTTGGCTGCATAAATGTCTTCTTTTGCGAAGTGTCTGTTCATGTCCTTCGCCCACTTTTTGATGGGGTTGTTTGTTTTTTTCTTGTAAATTTGTTTGAGTTCATTGTAGATTCTGGATATTAGCCCTTTGTCAGATGAGTAGGTTGCGAAAATTTTCTCCCATTCTGTAGGTTGCCTGTTCACTGTGATGGTAGTTTCTTTTGCTGTGCAGAAGCTCTTTAGTTTAATTAGATCCCATTTGTCAATTTTGGCTTTTGTTGCCATTGCTTTTGGTGTTTTAGACATGAAGTCCTTGCCCACGCCTGTGTCCTGAATGGTAATGCGTAGGTTTTCTTCTAGGGTTTTTATGGTTTTAGGTCTAACGTTTAAGTCTTTAATCCATCTTGAATTAATTTTTGTATAAGGTGTAAGGAAGGGATCCAGTTTCAGCTTTCTCCATATGGCTAGCCAGTTTTCCCAGCACCATTTATTAAATAGGGAATCCTTTCCCCATTGCTTATTTTTCTCAGGTTTGTCAAAGATGAGATAGTTGTAGATATGCGGCGTTATTTCTGAGGGCTCTGTTCTGTTCCATTGATCTATATCTCTGTTTTGGTACCAGTACCGTGCTGTTTTGGTTACTGTAGCCTTGTAGTATAGTTTGAAGTCAGGTAGCGTGATGCCTCCAGCTTTGTTCTTTTGGCTTAGGATTGACTTGGCAATGCGGGCTCTTTTTTGGTTCCATACGAACTTTAAAGTAGTTATTTCCAATTCTGTGAAGAAAGTCATTGGTAGCTTGATGGGGATGGCATTGGATCTATAAATTACCTTGGGCAGCAAAGACTTGGAACCAATCCAAATGTCCAACAGTGATAGACTGGATTAAGAAAATGTGGCACATATACACCATGCAATACTATGCAGCCATAAAAAATGATGAGTTCATGTCCTTTATAGGGACATGGATGAAATTGGAAATCATCATTCTCAGTAAACTATCGCAAGGACAAAAAACCAAACACCGGATGTTCTCACTCATAGGTGGGAATTGAACAATGAGAACACATGGACACAGGAAGGGGAACATCACACTCTGGGGACTGTTATGGGGTGGGGGGAGGGGGGAGGGATAGCACTCGGAGATATACCTAATGCTAGATGACGAGTTAGTGGGTGCAGCACACCAGCATGGCACATGTATACATATGTAACTAACCTGCACATTGTGCACATGTACCCTAAAACTTAAAAGTATATAAAAAAAAAAGGGGGGGGTATACACACAATCAGGTGTCAAGCAGTGGCACCTCGTGCAAAATAATAAACTCATCTAAGATCCTAGCAGTTCATTCTGAAAATAAAGCTGGAAATATATCTTGGATATGTAAAATGTGAGTGTAAAAATTAATGAAACTAAGCAATGGGAATATGAGTAGTAAATTATTTGAGAAAATATTATAACATTTACTTTTTTAAATTTCAAAACTATATTTCCTTATTTAAAACTGAAAATTTTTGTGTACATATAGGAAACTAATTGTGTCATTTTTCTTTTTGTTACAATATAGAGTGATGTTTCAAAACACAAACATAATAGGTAGAGTCAATTACTTAGGGGAGTCTAAACCTGGAGGTAACATTAGAAATAGAAATAATAAAATGCAGTGTTTTTGGATTTGTCTGTTAAGATTATTTTAATCCAGATCATATTTAATGGTTTACATAGTTGTATATCAAATTTGGTTTCAGAAATAAATTATACAGTAAATTTAAAAATGCAAAAAATGTATATTGTTATACATTCTGTAACCTATGAATCCATATAACTTGGGCAAGAAAATTATATAATTAAAAATAAAACCTTTCTGTTCTCAATTATGTTTTAGGGACAGCTATATAGTTCACACTCACAAAGGAATCATAAAAACTCTATGTATAATCTTGGAAGTAAAAATATCTGTTGTATCATATTTATGAAGTATACAATTGATTAAAAATGATAATGTCTGTCTTCTATCCAACGGCAATAACAGAAGATAATGGCATATAAGTAGGCCTGTCTCCTTTTTTTTGGCATTGATTTATATATCTTTACTAGCTTTGTTGTTTTAACTCCAATAAAAGATTATTTAGTAAGCCAAAGCAAAAAAAAAAAAAAAATCCTGTGAGCAGCCACAAACTGAAAGACTACGATTTTTAGTCAATGTCCTAAGCGACACAGTAATTTTAGGTTAACCAATGTGTCAAAGAGAATGAGGAAAAATTATTACAAAAATGAATAAATAAACTGGTCTAGGTCAAACCGTACTCCTTCTAAAGAGAGTAGTCAACTGATATTAAAGCCTGTGACGTAGTATGTGCCATATTGAGTATGCAATATCTAAATATTTCTTTTTTTTCTTTCTCCAGCTACTGCAAACCCTAATTGTTTCCTTATCCGATCACTTTAAAGTCATTCAGCAAATCATAATTATGCCATTGTTAACATCAGAAACTGAAAACCTACTGTCAAAAGTGAGCTAAAATATCATATTTGGATTTATTTATAAATTTATTTTATAAAAAGATTGACTTTCAATTTGAGAATAACATAAAAAATCAATTCATTCCTCTGTGCATCAATATTGTATCATTGGTAGTTTAAACTTTTCATCTAATATTAGATTGCATGCAGGATTTTATATCTAATTACTCTGGCAGATGGCCTTTAGAAAGTTCAAAAATAAAATGCAGCAATTCATATTGGCAGATTTACTATTGAGACCAATGCTTTCTTAACTAAAAGGTTTTGTTTAAAATCGTTAGTTTAGGAAATCTGATAAAGATTTTTGAATATCAGAGCGTTTAAAAGAGATTCTTACTTTACATCTGGCATATTTCTTGTGTTACATATTATAATTTCATTGAACATGGCTGTCTGTAAAACTATGTATATGATCCGGAAGAGACTCAAATTAAATTAAGTTTTAACAGCCATCAATTCATTTTAAAATGACACAGGCATGAAAAATGATCTATCAAGATTTGTAAATCTTATTCTGTTAGCTATTGCTAGAGATAGTCTAAAGGTATTCTACTTGGAATTTGAGATCAAGACAAAGATTTTCTGTTGGTAATAATATTCAGATTATTTTTATTTTAATGTATAAATTTAAAATTCTTAGAATATTTTCAACAATATTTTCCATTTCTAAATTTATTTTATTTCTAAACAAATGTAATTACTTTATTTATTAACTTTTATTTTCAGTTCAGGGGTATATGTGCAGGTTTGTTATATAGGTAAACCTATAGGTAAATAGGTATACAGATTATTTTGTCACCCAGGCATTAAGCCTATGCGCGTTAGTGAAAAATGTTATTGCTTTAAATATCCAAATTATTCAGCTGCATTTGATCTCATTCTTTAGTCCAATGTAAGTAAGAGTAAAACAATGACATTTAAGGCCACCAGGCTATTCTCATTTTTGGAAAAATGCTGGATTACATTACCAGCATATTAAATGAGAATATCAAGGTGTAATATCTCCCTAGAAATTGTCTCACCTTCAATACTATTGACATTTTTGGACCTGATAATTTTGTTGTGGGCTCTAGCCTCATGTTATAGGAGGTTTACCAGTTTTCCTGCCCTAAACTTACCGGATGTGAATAGCACACTCCACTACCTACAGCAGTAAAAACTAAAATTGTCTCTAAACATTGACAAATTGTCCCTGGTAGTGAAAATCACCCCTGGTTGAGACCGTGTTGTTGAAAATAAAACAAAAACTTTCACATCAATAAATATGTTAGGCTGTGTATGTTAAGGATTAACATTAAGACAATATGGAGCAAGCACTACATGAAAGCAGTGACGATTGGGAATTAGTGGCACATTATCCTAATAGTTAATATAGTGACTGTAATATCTAAATATCATCCTATAGAGTTTTTCTTAGATTTTTTCATTAGTATAACAGGATGTTGTGTATGTTACACTGTATATACTGTTATTTTGAGAGACAATTTTGGGAGATTTTGCCAAGGTATTTTCAATTATAGGTCTTTAATACATTCTAAGCAAGTGGGTCTCAAAAATGGGAATTTTACACCCCACATTCTTCTTCCCATCCGGTGGACATTTGTCAATGTGCGCAGATATTTCTGATTAAAAAAAAAAAAAAAACTGTGAAAGAGAGGGTGTGCTACTGGCATCTGGTGGTCGAGGCTAGGGATGTTGCTAATCATCTTACAATGTACACGATAGTTCCCCACAATGACTTTGAGAAACCCTGCTCTGACACTACTGCAGGATGAATTTTAAGCACAATTATGAGAGGACCTAGATATTGAGTTTTAAAAGGAGAAAATATAAGTACAAAAGAAGAATGAAGATTGTTACAACAGGGGCAAGTAGAAGTTAGAAGAAAATGTGATAAAGTAAATCTACATTTTAGAATAGTACTGGAAGTTATTATCAGGTGTTACAGACAAGTTTGAGACTTCCGTAAGTGACCTAAAGAAATTATGGACACTGCAAGACTAAATAATCATTCATTTAGGAAGGAGCTTAAATGCACTTTCTCAAGGCCGGGCGAGGTGGCTCACGCCTGTAATCCCAGCACTTTGGGAGGCCAAGGTGGGCAGATCACGAGGTCAGGTGATCGAGACCATCGTGGGTAACACGGTGAAACCCCGTCTCTACTAAAAAATACAAAAAAAAATTAGCCGGGCACGGTGGCGGGCGCCTTAGTCCCATCTACTCGGGAGGCTGAGGCAGGAGAATGGCGTGAACCCGGGAGGCGGAGTTTGCAGTAAGCCGAGATCCCGCCACTGCACTCCAGCCAGGGTGACTGAGTGAGACTCTGTCTCAAAAAAAAAAAAAACTTTCTCAAGCATGCTAAGTCACAAAATTTGAGTTATCCTGAGCTTTTTTTACTTTAAGCTATCAAGCCATTGTTTGGAATCTTCAGAACCTCTTTAGAGTTTGGGATTTAAGAGTCAGTAGGTAGATAGTGAGCTTAAGATGCCAAACACAACATATAAAGCTATAAAAATCCATATGATCTTGAAAGATTAAATGGAAGCCCAGCACAAAACAATTGCTGAGTATATTATTTACATTATCTGAAAGTATGCCAAACAGACACTTTATATGTTAATAAAGATATGAGAAAGAAAATTCCAAAGAGTTTCTAAAAAGTGAACAACCACAAAATTTCAATAGCTTGCAACAAACATTTTCTTCTCACTCATGTTACCTGATGGAAAATCAAATGGCTGCCTGGAGACAGCATGGAGGGAGAGACTGATTACTGAGGTGCACAAGAAAACTTTTCATAATGATGGTTGTGAATGTAGTGATATTTCCAAAAGTATATACATATATATATATATCTATCTCAAATTTGACCACATCACACATTTCAAGTATACTGAATTGACTGTGCATCTCTTATTATACCCCAGGAAAGTTGAAGATATGACAATGAAAAAAAAATTCTTCCACCGACTACCCATCAATTTTCTTCTCATTAGCCTCACAGATTTCACAGTTAATTAAAGGGAAGATGCAAATATGTTCAAACTGTACATATTCTGAGGCCCATACCTTGCCATTAGCTCAATAAAGAGAGACATTGTCCCTGGCATGAAAATGAAAAACTTGCACACTCCCTAGGTGGCTTCTGGACACTCTTAAGACATGAACACACTTTGGGGGCTCACCCTGTCAGGCTTTGCTCTCCGAGCTTAGATGAGAAAAACACAAAAATAAAACCAAAAGGTGACATTTAGGTGCCCATCAAGAAAGATGTGTTGGGAACTGGACAGGTCAGGGCTTTAAGTACTGTATCTTACTGTATGTTTAAGTACTGTATGTTACTGTAGAAACTTACCCATTTTCCCCTCAGAACAACTCTGTCTCAGGAGGTGAGTCTGAGAGCTACTGTTTCTTTGTAAAGGTTTTATCTGATCAGGCCCACGGTCACCACGTCAGCCCCACTGCCCCTAAATAGTTTGAATCTTGATGTTTTGATTTCAAAGACTTCTGATTCTAGCTACATAGCTTTGTCCATTTCCCACCTTACCACTATTTACTTTGAATTTTGTTGCATGCCGAGACCAGTGACTGCCACAAATGTGACTGTTCCTAGAATCTGCTTTCTGCTCTGATCTTTAGTCAGTGTGCAGACTCTAACATAAACTCCTTTCTATCGTATTTTCTTGAGTCCAAGAGCCCATAGATTGTATAATGCACTATTTTATGTCCCGTTAAGCAAGTAATTCGCATTGTGGCTAATTAAACTAAGACATACCACTGAATTGTAAAATGCATTATATTTTCAGGAGATATTAAAATATGAAATGTATAGGTCTTGGAATAGATGAATTGTGACAGTATCTTTGGAAAGCTAATTCAGTTGCAGTATTGCTTAAGATGTCTTTAAGAGCTGACTTCCTTTAGTTGGAATACATATGTAAATTATTTGCAGAGGAGATTTACCTCTTTTATCTCATTCATTTGTTTATTCAGTCATTTATTGATATCAATATGGACTAAGGAAAATTACATTTTTGGGTATAATCCAAATATACTACCAATTAATGTATTGTGTTGCTAAAATTATTCTAGAAATTGAAAGACCTTTCACTTGGCCCCTGTGCTTGTTTGACATATCTCACGAATAGATTTTTGTTAGTATTTTCATAATTTCTGGCACTAGAGGATGTCCCAGGCTCATCTTGTGTATTTTCTTCCCCATTCTTAGAATCAGCCACTTTCAAAGACGCCCTGCTTTCTATATATGAAATCAATATTTAAGTGCTAGCTGTGCCTGTAGCTAAGGGAGTATCAATTTTTTCATAGCTCTCTAAGATGAGAGAGCAAAGAAACAATGTGTATATTCTTACACATATCTTTAAATATTTCTATATGTAAACATCTATATTAGTCCATTATCCCATTGTTATAAAGAACTACCTGATCCTAGGTAATTTATAAAGAAAAGAGCTTTAATTGCCTCACAGTTGCACAGGCTGTACAGGAAGCAAGGATGGGGAAGCCTCAGAAAACGTACAGTCATAGCAGAAGGCAAAGAGGAAGCAGGCACATCTTACATGGCTGGAGAAGGAGGAAGAGAACTAAGGGGGAGATGCTACACACTTTTAAACAACCAGATTGTGTGAGAACTAAGTCATTATCACAAGAACAGCAAGGAGGAAATCTGCCCCCATAATCCAATCCCCTCCCACTAGACCCCTCCTTCAACACTGGCGATTACAATTGGACGAGAGGTTTGAGAGGGGACAAAATGTAAACCATATCACCATCTATGTCTGTATTAAGCTAAACATGGGTTCTTACTGATGTCACTACCTCTAACCTAGTCCCGCAAGCATCAATGCCTTCCTGTATCTCTAAACCCCCACTCCAACAATAAAAATCCTGACTCTTATTTTGTGACATCTATTTAGTTAATTGTTCACTTCCAGTATATGTATATAGCTGTACCAGAATTGATAACCTGCCCTTAGTAGAAGAACATCTTTATCAACTAAATTAAATGCCTTCGTACAAGTTTCTTTTGCCTTTCATCTTAAGAGACTGCACTCATTTTCAATATCACTTTGACTAGCACCCTTTCCCTTAAGTCCCTCACTGAAGTTATTTTGTATGGTTCATAATAGAGCTAGATAAATTTGTAACAGTCTGCATTCCATCCTGAGATTCTACAACCTTTTAATTAATTTTTAATTAAAAATATAACTTTTATTTTGGTAAATATTAGCACTTCTGTGCCACACTACTATATATAAATATCAAAAAAAGGTCCAGAAAGCTATAGAAAATTTGAGTAAAGTGCTGAATGTTGAACCTAACAATAACTGGGCTAAAGTAAGTACAGAAGGCAATTTTTTATTTATGTAAATTTATGGGATACAAATATAATCTTATTACCTCCATAAAGTACATAGTGTTGAAGTAAGGGTTTTAGAATATACATCACCTGAAAAATGTACATTGTACTCATTACATAATTTCTCATCATCCCCTCCTCCCACCCTCCTGAAATTTCCAAGTCTCTGTTGTCTATCATTCCACATTCTATGTCCATGTGTATACATTATTTAGCTTCCAGTTATAAGTGAGAACATGCAGTATTTGTCTTTCTGTGTCTGATTTGTTTCACTTAAAATAATGACCAGTTACATCCATGTTGTTACAAAAGACATGATTTTATTCTTTTGTATAGCTGAATAGTATTCTATAGCGCATATGTGCCAGATTTATTAAT
Organism: Homo sapiens; assembly: GCF_000001405.40. Taxonomy (NCBI): domain Eukaryota; kingdom Metazoa; phylum Chordata; class Mammalia; order Primates; family Hominidae; genus Homo; species Homo sapiens. The sequence continues at coordinate 71,245,260 of NC_000005.10, read as the reverse complement.
GTAATCATCCACTGAGGGACACATTGCTATTGTGAATAGTGCTGTGATAAACATATGGGTGCAGATACCTTTTTCATACAATTATCTGTTCTCCTTTGGGTAGATCTCCAGTAGTGGGATTGTTGGGTGAAATTGCGGTTTTATTAAGAATGTATATTCTGTAGTTGCTGGGTAGTATTTTCTGTAAATGTCAGTTAGGTCTATTTCATCTAAGGTTGAATTTAAGTCTTAGGTTTATTTGTTTTCTGTCTTGATGATAACATTTAATGCTGTGAGTGAGATGGTAAAGTCCCCCAGTATTATCGTATTGCTGTCTATTCCTTTTTTATGTCTAGTAATATTTATTTGATGAATCTTGGTGGTCTAGTGTTGGATGCATATGTGTTTAGAATTGTTATATCCTCTTGCTGAATTGATCCCTTTATCATTATGTAATGACTTCCTTTGTCATTGTTATACTGTTTTAGATTTAAGTTCTGTTTTACTTGATATAAGTATAGCTATTCCTGCTTGCTTTTAGTCTCCGTTACATGGAGTATCTTTTTTCACCCATTTACTTTAAATCTGTATGTGTCTTTACTTTTCAGTCTGTATGTGTCTATATGTTTCTTGTAAGCATAATATTTTTGGATCATTTTTTAGTTCGTTCCATCAATCTACCTTTCTTTTTTTTTTTTTTACTTTTAGATGGAGTTTCACTCTGTCATCCAGAGTGGAGTGCAGTGGCGCAATCTTGGCTCACTGCAAACTCCGTCTTGCAGGTTCAAGCGATTCTCCTGCTTCAGCCTCCCAAGTAGATGGGATTACAGGTGCCGGCCACCACGCCTGGCTAATTTTTGTATTTTTAATGGAGATAGGGTTTCACTATGTTGGCCAGCCTGGCCTCGAACTCCTGACCTCGTGATCCACCCACCTCGGCCTCCCAAAGTGCTGGGATTACAGGTGTGAGCAACTGCACCTGGCCCAATATCTATCAATCTATATATTTTAAGTGGAACGTTTAATTCATTTACATTCAAGGTTAATGTTAATACATGAGGTTTTCTTTCTGCCATATTGCTGTTTGTTTTCTACTTGTTTTATAAGTTCTTTGGGGTTATTTTGTTGTTGTTTTTTGTTTTTCTTTCTGTGTGTCTCTTTGTCTTTGTGGTTTGGTGGAAATCTGTTGTGTTGCTATTTGATTGCTCGTCCTACTTTGTGTGACTGTTTTACAAGACCTATGAGTTTGCTACTTTCATGTGTTTTGATGATGATGATGAATGTTGACCTTTCATTTTTGTGTTTGGGACACCTTTGAGTATTTCTCATAGGACTCGTTTGGTGGTGACGAATTCCCTCAGTGTGTGCTTGTCTGGAAAATACTTTGAATCATTTCAAGAAAATTAGCAGTGAGTTATGTCAATCAAGCCATTGGTTTGTATTTGGTGGCACATTTACTCTGTATTATTTCACACTAGAACCATCTGAGTTAAGTTTTATTATTTGCTATATGTTGCAGATGAAGAAACTGAAGCTGAGAGAGGTTTAGTGAATGACTAAAAAGGTTGTCAGGCTGCAGGGAAAAAAACAAAACAAAACTGTACGACTAGCCTGCAATGCTTCCCAAAGTATGTAGCTTATTATTATTGGTCACTTTTTGAGTACAAAATGCTGTGCTATGTAACAGAATAATACAATGTACATATACATATCAATTAACATAAGCATAACTGTAATCACATATACTGATAAATAAAAATATAAAGTAATATATGGTAATGACCCAACCATTTGCCTAAGTTTCATGTATTACAGAAGTTTTGAGGAGGGACTTCAGCTGTATGCAAATGAGCAATTCGGGTCGTACAGTTGATTACCCATTAGTTCAGAATTTTAATAATTTAAAATATATTTATTAAGAACCTAACAATTGGAAGACCTTACAATAGGTGGGAAAATTCGACAGATGAATAATGCTTAGGAGATATCAGCATGTTTTGGAAGGATATTCCCATGAAGAGAAAAAGTATCGTGGGAAGTGTGGGAAGTGTTATGGTGCGAGAGTAATACAGGTTCCAGCATGTGTTTACATTATTTTGTTGGAGGTGTTGGGGAACCTTTCATGGAAGGTGTGTGGTAGACTGTTGGACAGGTTTCCTCAACTTTCGTTCCACTCTTTGAAGAGGTTAGAAAACTAAAACAAAACAAAACAAGCAATGCAGCTTCCCTTGAGCTAGCTTTATGAATGCAGCTTAGACCACTTACCGATTGTTTGCATATGAATCAGACTTAGAAAAATGGAAGAGATCAAAGCCTGTCTTGCTATTGTTGATTCTGGCAAGTGAAATCATGGGGACAATAGTTCAGAAGTAGTGGAAGTGGTAGGATTCAATATCCTTGTGCCTAATCCCCAGTTTCATGGGCATAAGAGGCTTAAAGTTTTAATAGCAGGAGCATCTTTTTGACCCAGGATTGCAGAAATGATTGCGTGCCTTTGAATTCAAGAACTCAAAACCTTCCTCCATGCCACAGCTACTTTAGTTATTTTAGCCCTTCCTATTGTATATGTATGAAATGCACTTTCTGCTTAAGATACCTATTGCGGTTTTTATTTCCTTATTAAAACCTTGGAAAAATATAGCACTTAAATTATGTTTTGTAGAAATTCACTAAGCAAATAAAGCTAAAGGGGGAGAGAGTTAACCTTCTCTGCCCCCTTTTTATCAGAAGTTAGTTGTAGAAGAAATACACAATTTTTGCGCAATTTTAGCACCATCTAAGTTCTGTAGGTCTGGAACACAGACTGGTTAAATGAGCATTTCAGGAGCACTATAGTTGCAAAGTTAAGCAGTCACCACAATTTTATGTGTCATACAAAGATTTTTAACTTTATGTTTAAGCAACGAGCCTAGAAGCAAATGGTATTTCCATCAAGAATCGTCTCATATAAAGTAGAGCGTTTTGGAAAATGAAGTTATTAATAGATAAAAACATGTTTATGCAGTTGGTTTCTAAGTATGACAAACCTATTTCTTGGTAAATTGCAAGTCCATTCCACCTGTGTTTGTAGGCTCATTTGCCTAAAAGTCTTGGGATTTTTTCTGATGATCTATTAAATTTTCTTTCTGATTATCTTTTCTAATGCTGTAATAGCATTTCTAACACTGTAATGAAAGAGAACAAAAGTACACGCTTGCTCATCATTTACTAATTCTAAAAATATATATTGAATACATCTATGTAGCAGGTACTGTGGTAGGTGTGGAAGATAGTTGAGACAGGTAACAAGCCCAACATTACGGAGCTTAGCATCACCACCTAGAAGAGTTTTTAAAAAACATAGATAAGTGAATAATGATTATAAAGACAAAGAGATTCTTGCCATATAATTACATATAAGCAAATTTAGGATGTGATGAAAGATTTTGATATTGGTCTTCTGATTTGGCTGTAGGATGAAGTGTTTATAAGTCATCCCAAGGAAGAAACAATTCAGATGAGAACTATTCAATGGATTTGCAATAACAATCCAAAGATGGAAGAAGACACTTCTAGGTAGACAAAATTGCAAGTATAGAGAATGTAAATTAAGAGAGAGCTTAGCTTTCAGATGAATTAAAAGATTGTGGTGATCAGAATGTAGAGATTGACGAGAGACAAATGAAATAAAACTAGAAGGACAAGTAGAGATTTGTGGGTCAAGTTTTTAAATTTTATTATAAATGCACTGATACTGTTCTGAACATTTTCTTACACATGGAAATTTAATGATTATGGCTATTGAAAAATGTAACTCTTCATTTATATTTTTCCGAGAATGAAATCGGTGGAATTGCTGGGGGGTGAAAATGTCCAATGCGAAACAGGAGGCTGATTTAAGAAGGGATACTGCAAAATTGGTCATGATGGCTCAAACTGCTGTTCATAATAGAGAGAAGAAAATGGATAGAGTTACATATGGATGAGAGTAAATTGACAAGGCTAAATGCTAAAACGTGGGTAGTGACAGAAAGTAGGTGTCAAAATAGACTTCCAGGAAAAGAAAAAATGGGTCTACAAAAGAGCCAAATGCTGATGTGGGTTACATGATCCTGAGCAGATGCAGATGTAATTGGTTAAGTAAAGTAAGTTCTTAAGATAGATTTGGCCTGGCGCTATACATTCTAGAGCCCCTGAATATAAGTGGGATATAAAACCATGGGAATGACTGTATTTGTCTAAGGAGAGAATTTGGCAGAAGAAAAGGAGACATAAGATGAAATGCAGAGGAAATTCAAATTTAATTGGCAGGTGTAGGAAGACAAGGAGATGACAAAAGGAACTGGAAATGAGTAATCAGAGACAGAAAAGTAAAAGTAAGAGTAGAATGTCATGGAAGGCAAATAATTGGAATGTTTCAAGAACAGGGAAATGGGCAATAAAGAGAAGAAAAAAATAGTGACCAGAGGGTATAGTAATGTGTAGAAATTCATCCTGTGTTAGGTTTGATTGCTTAGACGTTTTATATAAAAATCTTTCCCAGAGAGTAATAAAACAGAAGTGAGGTTAGAGAAAGAACATACGATTTAGCCAAAAGGTGGGAAAAGTTAGGAAATGAAGAATAAATATGTTTAAAGATAATGTTATGGCTACTCAATGTACAACCTCTTTTCTTTCATTATTTTTAATTGTCATATTTAAAAATAGTAATTACCACTTTTAAAAATTGTCTTATTATTTGTTACATAAGAAAATGCATTAATTCAAGCCACATAGTATCATTTATATTATGACTGTCGAAACATTACTAGAATTACTAGAACTATTAACCTAATGGCCTGAAAATTTCAACTCACTTCCCTAGCTGTCCTGATGATCATTAGTGAAAGGAAAGACTCCATTAAATAATGCTTACTTATAGAGAACTGGTTATATCTGTCTCATTTCCATACATATATCTGTATAAATTAATTTGATTAATAAAACAAACACAAGGCACAAACAACAAAACACAGTTTATAAATGTCATTGAAAAATGCATGCCTGTACAATTTGGGTATTTGTAATTGTAAATTGATATACTTCATTTTTTATCCAGGAGTTACTTAGATTGAAACTTTACCTAATGTATGATAAAATAATACGTGATTAAATTTAAAAACATGATGAATTTATTTAAAATTGGCTTCAATAATGTCAGAAAGTAATAAAATAAAATGATTCCTTCAAAGACTGCACCTGTTTATTGCCTGAGATTATCTCTCTTGGCCACAAATCAATATTACTTTCTTTCATTCATCAGTGATAAAGCTTTTCAATAATTCTAATTTTAAAGGATGATTACAGCAAGTATATAGTCATTGATTGCTTAAAGGTTGCAGCTAAAATGAACACAATGGTCATTTTATTTTTAATAAATGAGCCCTTTTGAAAAGTCAAGCATTTTTCCTCTCACAAAACTTTGTGTAATAAGATTATAGATTTGATCATGTATGAGTTTGCACTGTGTGTGTGTATATATGTGTGTGATTTCAGCGATAAAGTTCACTGTTCCACAGCTGGCAATTTCTTCTGCTTAATTGAAAATTCCGTTTTAAAATATTTCTTTAAAGTTCTAAAATGGGTTTAAATGGGTTCATGAGCTGTAATACTATTAAAAATATATATATCTACATATTTGTTGATTCTTCTCAGTTTAAGAAGTGGAGCTTCATACTCCTCCCCTTGAAGGCAGGCTAAGCTGAGTGACTCCCATCTAAGAAATAAAACACCGCAGGATTGGAATGTTACCTTGTGAGACAAGGTCACAAAGGCTAGGGTTTTAATTTTGAGTGAACTAATTTGCTCCTTACTGGTGTTTCTCTCTCTTTCTCTCCTTCAACTCTTTACGAGCCCAGCCACCATGCAAATAATTCCAAACTATCTTTTCTAGAAAGCTCACATGAAGAACCGAGGCATCCTATCTGATATCCAGCCAAATGATTAAACATTCTAGAAGCAGACTATGATGCACTGAATTTGTGAAATCCTAACCCCCAGTGTAATGATAGTAGGAGGTGGAGCTTTTGGTAGATGATAGTCTGTCTTCATGTTGGGGATTAGTGCCTTGATTATTATTTTTTGTTTTTATTTTTATTTTTATTTATTTATTTATTTATTTTTGAGACAGAGTTTTGCTCTGTTACCCAGGCTGGAGTGCAGTGGTGCCATGTCAGCTCACTGCAACGTCTGCCTCCTGGGTTCAAGTGTTTCTTCTGCCTCAGCCTCCTGAGTAGCTGAGTAGCTGAGACTACAGGTACGCACCACCACACCTGGCTAATTTTTGTATTTTTAGTAGAGACGGGGTTTCACCATACTGGCCAGGCTGGTCTGGAACTCCTGACCTCGTGATCTGCCTGCCTCAGCCTCCCAAAGTACTGGGATTACAGATGTGAGCCACCTTGCCCAGCCGGGGATTAGTGCCCTTATAAAAGAGACCCCAAAAAGCGTCCTTGCCCCTTCTGCCATGTGAGCTAGAGGACAGTAAACTATGAACTAAAAAATGGGCTCTGACCAGACACCAAATCTGCAAGCACCTTGATTTTGCACCATCCAGCCTCCGGTACCATTAGAAACGTTTCTGTTGTTTATAAGCTACCCTGTCTATGGTATTCTGTAGCGACAGTGCAAACAAACTAAGACACGGACCTTCCAACACAAGTTAAAGGCTTCAGGGGATGCTGCCTGGGTCAACAACATGACAGCAACCTTTACTCATGAGAGACTTTGAGTCAGAACCACCTACCCAAATCCATCATTTCCCTGACTTCTATGAATTGTGTCATACATATTTGTTATTTTAAGCCATTAAGTTTTAGGGTAATTTTTAAATGGAAAAATACATGATCATAGGTAAACTATAATTAATAGAAAAATCTAATGCCAATAATATTTACCATTGATTGACCGTCAAAACTCCATTAATTATTTGCTTTCCATTTATATTTATTTTTGGATTTCTTTTTTAAGAGAATGGCACCTGTGACAGCATACTGTTAATATTACCCTTTTATCGTACTTTACCATGCCATCTCTGAAGAATATTACAGACCATTTTGGAGCATGGTGAATAAGAAATTTTCACCTTAGGAGTTCACTTGAATAGTCATTTTTATATTTGTGACTGCAAATCACTCTTAGGGGCTGTACTTCCTTAGTACTGGTAGCATTATTATCCCATGGACTTTTATAGCTTTCATTAGGTTTTCTTTTGTTTTTGTTCTTTAAAGAACGTTTTACTTATCTTAGTATTTCATTTTTCATCTATATTATGAGGCAGTAAGAGTCTTCTGTTTTTCCAAAGTGGAGACTGCTTTATATTTATTTCGTATTGTCTACAGCTGTAGTGTTCAATACATTAGCCACTAGCCACATGTGGTTATTTAAATAAGATAAAATAAAAATTGGCCGGGCGTGGTGGGTCACGCCGGTAATCCCAGCACTTTGGGAGGCCGAGGCGGGCAGATCATTAGGTCAGGAGATCGAGACCATCCTTACTAAGACGGTGAACCCCCATCTCTATTAAAAATACAAAAAATTAGCCGGGCGTGGTGGCGGGCGCCTGCAGTCCCAGCTACTCAGGAGGCTGAGGCAGGAGAATGGCGTGAACCTGGGAGGCAGAGTTTGCAGTGAGCCGAGATGGCGCCACTGCACTCCAGCCTGGGGGACAGAGCGAGACTCCATCTCAAAAAAAAAAAGAAAATTAAAAATTAAGTTCTTTAGTTGCACTAGCCATATTTCAAATACTTGATGGATACATGTGGCTAGTGGCTAACATAAGGGATAGCACAGATATAAAACATTTGCTCGTCATATAAAGTTCTATTGGATAGTGCTGGTCTGTAGCTTATAAGGATGGTATCTTAGTCTGCTTCAGCTGCTAAAACAGAATACCATAAATTAGGTAGCTTAAACAGTAGATATTTTGACCAGGCGTGGTGGCTTATGCCTGTATTCCTAACACTTTGGGAGGCCGAGGCAGGTGGATAACTTGAGCTCAGGAGTTTGAGACTAGCCTGGGCAGCATGGCAAAACCTTGTCTCTACGAAAATTAGCTGGGCGTGGTGGTGCACGCCTGTAGTCTGAGCTACTTGGGAGGCTGAGGTGGGAGAATTGCTTGAACCTGGGAGGCGGAGGTTGCAGTGAGCCATGATCGCACCACTGTACTCCAGCCTGGATGACAGAATGAGACTCTGTCTCAAAAAAAACAAAAACAAACAAACAAAAAAAAACAGATATTTCTCACAGTTCTGCAGACTGGAAGTGCAAGATCAAAGTGTTGGCAAATTACGTTTCTTAAAGAGGGCCTGCTTCCTAGATTGGAAATGGCCATCTTCTCTCGGTATCCTCACATGGTAGGGAGAAAAGCAGCTCTAGTGTCTCTTCTTATAAAGGAAGTAATGCCACCATAGGGGCTCTATTCTCATGACCTCATCTAAACCTAATTCTCTCCTAAAGGCCACGCCTCCCAGTATCCTCACCTTGGGGGTTAGGGCTTTATCATATGAATTTTTTTTTTTTTTTTTTTTTTTTTTTTGAGACAGAGTCTCGCTCTGTCTGTCACCCAGGCTGGAGTGCAGTGGCACAATCTCGGCTCTCTACAAGCTCCGCCTCCTGGGTTCACGCCATTCTCCTGCGTCAGCCTCCTCAGTAGCTGGGACTAAGGCGCCCGCCACTGCGCCCGGCTAATTTTTTGTATTTTCAGTAGAGACGGGGTTTTACCATGTTAGCCAGGATGATCTCGATCTCCTGACCTCATGATCCACCCGCCTCGGCCTCCCAAAGTGCTGGGATTACAGGCATGAGCCACCGCGCCGGGCCTATCATATGAATTTTGAGGGAACACAAACATGCAGTCTGTAGCAGATGGTAATAGGCTGACATATTACACTTGTTGATGTAAATCTGATAGGTTTCTTTCTCTCCAAGGACAGCTTTTTAAATATTTAACAGTATCAATAATTTTTCAGGTTCTGTGAGAATTTTATAATTTATAATTTGCAGACTTAATGTATAATCTATTTTGTCCTAACAATTACAAATATATTTTTTATTTCAGATTGTATATATTCCTACCAGATGGAGATAATTACAGCTTTAAAAATTTTTATTTTTTCATTTTATTTCACACATTGACATTAAATTTTTATGGACACATAATAACTGTACATATATATGGGGTAGAATGTGATGTTTTAATACATGTACTCAATGTGTAATGATCAAATCAGGGTAATTTGCATAATGATTTTTCTGTAGGGAGAAAATTCAAAATCTACTCTTCTGGCTATTTTCAAATATATAATATGTTATTGTTAACTATACTCATCCTACTATGCAATAGGACACCAGAACTTATTCCTGGGTTCTACATCCGTTAAGGCAACCAAGGATTGGAAATATTGGAAAAAAAAATTGCGTCTGTACTGAACATGTACAGACTTTTTTCTTGTCCTTATTCCTTACACAATATAGTACAATAACTATTTGCATGACATTTACATCGGATATTATGAGTGATCTAGAGTTGATATGAAGTATATGGGAGGATGTGCAAAGGTGATGTGCAAATACTATGTCATTTTATATCAGGGACTTGAGTATCCTTTGTTACCCTCAGGAGATCCTGAAACCAGTCCCCCATGGATACTGAGGGCTGACTGTATAGTCCTATCCTCACGGAACTTTCATTCTAATGGGGGAAGACTGACTATAAACAAAATATATGTAATAGGTGGTGGTAAGTACCGTGGAGAAGTAACAAACGGGGCAAAGTGAGTTATACAGCTCCATTCTTAGAAACCTTGGAGTACTTTTCTTAGTTTATACTCGTGGTGGTTTCCTTTTGTCTCCTTTATTACATGGGACTCTGACATGTGCCCATAGCTAGGGTGACAGTAGGATCTACCCGATAGTAGGGTGGCAGTAGGATCTACCCAAAAAGCATCCTGCTGATACAGGACCAAAGCATCCTGTTGTTCTCGAGCCTATAAAAAGAGCTAATGGTCTTGCTTCTCTTAACTGTGGCCTCCTACACTGTGTTTTGGATGATTGGTGATGTCTTGGATATTCTGTTTCTTTGGAACTTTGAATATACAACACTTTACTAGGGAATTAGCAATGGAAGCAGAGCAAAGATGTACAGAGGAAACAATGCGTAACTCTGATGGAATTGAAGTCATGAGGCAGCAGAGAGCTTAAATTACAGCTTTAAAAATTTTTATTTTTTAGAGGGAATTTACTTGGGAGTAACAGCAGTAATAGTTAACGGAGCCAGAATGCTTGAGTCATATAATTGCAAAGCAGAGTTGGGAGCAACAGATGCTAAAGAGTAGTTGCTGTAGTTCCTCTGTGGGTCGTAGGAGCAGTTGTCATATTACTATATAGCTACTGCATGAAGAAGAGTTCTTAGTGAGGCCTGGGTGAACAGCTCTTCTTAGTATTCTGTGTGACCCCATTTGACCTTTTAACAAATCCCTAAGTAAATAAATAGCCCCTCAGGAAAACTAAGTTTTTCTCTGCTGTTTTTTTGCTTGAGAGAGCTATAACTGTAATAGACTTATATTTCTGAACATTTTAGTGCTTGCCAATATTTGGTAATATTTATGTTTCCTATATTTGTAATGAACATTCTTCTTCCGGTACATTTTTTGTTAAATTATTGTTTGATGGATAAAAGTTCACCTTTTATTGTATAAAATTGACTGAGATTAATTTATACACATTGACAATGGGTAAATAGAATTTTTCAGATTATTAAAAGCTGAAGGATGCCCACGTAAGCAAAAAAAAAAAAGAAAAAACCAACAAAAATAAACCCAAACCCCTCAAACAATTTCGAACACGAAACATTCTTCTGATGCCGGCATCCCTGCTTGCAGGTGTGAAGGGGGCAGGAATCAGCGAGGTGTCCTGGGCTGAGTCCCCGGAGTGGGAAGAGGTGGCAGGAAGGGGATCTGAGGAGGAGAACAGGGGTCCTGGTGGTCTGTGCTTCTTCCCAGACACGGGAGCTGTAGAGGAGACCTCTGCAGCAGATGCTAGGGGGGCCAGTAGGCCCAGGCAGTCTTGGGACTTGGGTCTGTCCTGCTGTGCATCCATAGTGGGTGCTTTAGAAACGGGAGGCCCACCCGAAGCCCCTGTTGCAAGTGAGGACAAAGTGTGGGAAGGCCGTGAGGGTCTGCAGTCCGGGATGGCCTTGTCCTCAACGTGCAGTGCACTGTTGATGCGCTGGAATGCCGTCTCTTTTTCCAGGTGCAGGTCTTCAGCCGTGACCCGGTACCCCAGCTCTAAGGGAGGTGGCAGCATCAAAGGCTCCCCTCGCCTGCGTGGCAGCAGGGGAATCTTGCGTCTACGGGGCCTAGAGTCCTGGGATCTGGGGGAGCCACCCGTTGGGGCGATTGTCTGCCCTGGTGCTGTATCTGCCCCCTTTTCACACCGTGTGTGACCCGAAGAGACAGCCTGAGGCCTGTCCTCACTCACTGTCTTTGAGTAACTGAGGGTCAGCTGGCAGCGGGATGAGGCTGGCCCCCTCCTCTGCTTTAGCCCCGGCAAGCCTCCCGTGGAGCTGTAGGAGCTGGAGATGGCATTTCGTTTGGTGTTCGAGCTCGTCCAGGATGTCTGGGATGTGTGGTTATATCTGATTTCTGAGCTCTGGGCGTGGAGGTCTGTCTGCAGAGGCCCGGGCCTGGGCACAAAGGGAGAGGGGCCTCCATTGTCCCGCAGGGGCCAAAATGCAGACCGTGCATCCCCGGTGACCTCGGGGACCGTTCTCTGATCATCAGGATTTTCTTGGACTCTGGGGTCCTTGTCCTGCTCAGGCATCCCTGCCCCGCTCTCCTTGAGGGCCCTCAACACTATCTTCCCTGGACACAAGTCTGGGGACAGCCGGGTGTTGTGGACCCCAAAGGGGTGACTACCTGCTCCTGGGCCCCACAGAGTCCTTGTGCTCAGTGTAGTGGCTGAGCTGGGGGATGCCCTGGAACTCGGAGCACACAGCACTGGCTTACTGTGGTACCTGTGCAGTGAAATTGAAGACAGAATCACCAGGATGGAACACAGGTCTTGCAGGATCACTTGAAACCTTCTTAGAGTTGTCTTGACACCAGTGATGTCGAGTGTCCGGGTGTTTGTAGGATGGCCTGCCACTCAGTCCAGGGGCAGGAGCAACGGGGAGATCCCACAAGCAAAGTGAACTGGGGGATGGGCTGAAGGGGCTCCAGGCAACTGAGCCCTACTCGCAGGTCCTCGGCCTTGGCCCAAACAGGAATGAGGGGCACAGAGTGCCCGGGTAACCGCTCCTGGGAGCAGTGGGGAACTGTCGGATACTTGAACTCTCAAGAGCTGGGCTCTGAGCGTCCTCGTCCAGCTGCCAACTTGGCCAAAGGCTAAGCCAGCAGATTGTTCTGTTGCCGGGCAACGCGACTTCTAAACCTGAGGGAGTGGGCATGTGAGCACATAATGGCACCAGTGACAGAGCGACCATAATGGATGAATAAGCGCAGCCAGGTACCCGCGCAAGGCACCTGCTGGCAATGGCAGGAGGCGGACGTGGGGGGTCGTGCAGTAGGTACTGGAGGGAGAGACGTGGGCACAAAGGTCGCGGGAGGAACAGGTGCCCACAATGGCTGCATATTTGCCCGTGGATCACTGAAGATTCCTGCTCTCCTGCTGAGGTGGAGACTGCAGTGAGCTGAGATCGCACCATTGCACTCCAGCCTGGGCAACGAGTGCAAAACTCAGTCTCCAGATAAAAAAAAGAAAAAGAAAAAAAAGAGGCCGGGTGTGGTGGCTTATGCCTATGATCCTAGCACTTTGGGAGGTCGGGGTGGACGGATCACGAGATCAGGAGTTGGAGGCCAGCCTGGCCAACATAGTGAAAGCCCGTCTCTAGTAAAAATACAAAATTTAGTCAGACATGGTGGGCAGGAGAGAGCATGTGCAGGGGAACATCCATTTATAAAACCATCAGACCTCATGAGACTTATTCACTACCATGAGAACAGCATGGGGGAAACTGCCTCCATGATTCAGTTATCTCCACCTGGCCCCACCCTTGACACATGGGAATTGTTACAATTCAAGATGAGATTTGGGTGCGGACAGAGCCAAACCATATAATTCTTCCCCGGCCCCTCCCAAATCTCATGTCCTCATATTTCAAAAGCAATCATGCCTTCCCCTAAGTCCCCCAAACTCTTATTTCAGCATTAACTCAAAATTCCATAGTCCAAAGTCTCATCTGAGACAAGGCAAGTCCCTTCCACCTATGAGCCTGTAAAATCAAAAGCAAGTTAGTTATTTTCTAGATACACAGGGATACAGGCATTGGGTAAATACACTCGTTTCAAATGGGAGAAATTGGCCAAAGCGAAAGAGCTACAGGCCCCATGCAAGTCCAAAACCCAGCAGGCAAATCTTAAAGCTCCAAAATGACCTCCTTTGACTCCATGTGTCACATCTAGGTGATGCAAGAAGTGGGTTCCCAGGGTCTTGGGCAGCCCCGCCCCTGTGGCTTTGCAGGGTACAGCCCCCCTTCTGGCTGCATTGAGTGTCTGCAGCTTTTCCAGGCACACAGTGCAAGCTGTCAGTGGATCTACCATTCTGGGGTCTGGAGGATGGTGGCCCTTTTCTCACAGCTCTGCTTGGCAGTACCCCAGTGGGGACTCTGTGTGGGAGCTCCAACCCCATATTTCCCTTTGACACTGCCCTAGCAGAGGTTATCCATGAGGGCCCCCCCTCCCCTCCCCCCCACAGCAAACTTTTGCCTGGATTTCCAGGCATTTTCATACATCTTCTGAAATGTAGGCGGAGGTTCATGAACGTTAATTCTTGACTTCGGTGCATCTGCAGGCTTAACACCACCTAGAACCTGAAAGGCTTGGAACTTGCACCCTCTGAAGCCATGGCCTGAGGTGTACCTTGGCCCCTTTTACCTATGGCAGGAGCAGCTGGGATGCAGGGCCTCAAGTTCCTAGGCTGCACACAGCAGGGGGTTCTGGACCCACAAAACCATTTTTCCTTCTAAGCCTCCTGGCCTGCGATGGGAGGGTCTGCTGTGAGGGTCTCTAACATGCCCTGGAGACATTTGCCCCATTGTCTTGGTGATTAACATTTGGCTCCTCATTACTTATGCAAATTTCTACAACCCAGTCTCCTGAGAAAATAGATTTTTCTTTTCTGTTGCATCATCAGGCTACAAATTTTCTGAAATTGTATGCTCTGCTTCTTCTCGAATGCTTTGCTGCTTAGAAATTTCTTGTGTCAGATACCTTAAATCATCTCTCTCAAGTTCAAAGTTCCACAGATCTGTAGGGAACTCTAGAAAAAAATTCTTATTTTCCCTCTTTCCCGCCTATCTGATGCCCGTTTCTAATACAGGTGCACAATGCCTGCAGTGTCTTTGCATAGTAAGAGTGACTTTACTCCATTTCCCAACAAATTCCTCATCTCCCTCTGAGACCACCTCCGCCTGGACCTTGTTGTCCATATCACTATTAACATTTTGGTCAAAGCCATTCAACAAGTCTCGAGGAAGTTCCAAACTTTCCCACATTTTCCTATCCTCTTCTGAGCCTTCCAAACTGTTCCAGCCTCTCCCTGTTACCCATTTCCAAAGTTGCTTCCACATTTTCGGGTATCTTTACAGCAGCACCCCACTCTACTGGTATCAACTTATTGTATTAGTCTGTTCTCACACTGCAAATAAAGACATACCTGAGACTGGGTAATTTATAAAGGAAAGAGGTTGAATTGACTCACAGTTCTGCATGGCTGGGGAGGCCTCACAATCATGGTGGAAGGCAAGGAGGTGCAAAAGCATGTCTCACATAGTGGCAGGCAGGAGAGAGCATGTGCAGGGGAGCTCCCATTTATAAAACCATCAGATCTCATGAGACTTAGTCACTACCGCGAGAACAGTATGGGGGGAACCATCCCCATGATTCAGTTATCTGCACCCGGCCCCACCCTTGACACGTGGGAATTATTACAATGCAAGGTGAGATTTGGGTGGGGACCCATCCAAACTATGTCAGTATGTTTTGACTTCTTGCTTGATTGCTAGGTTGCATAGAGGACAAACATGGAAATTAATGAAGTACCTTAATATCTGGCTTCAGATCTTAGACAGGATCAGAGGGCCAGCTCAAATTTGCAAGGAGGGGAGGTAGATCCCACCATTTTATGGGTGAATGGCAAAATCAAACAGAAATTATGTGGGATGGGAGATACTGATGCAGCCATCTTTGGAAACATTCTACTTAGCTAATTTTATGCTAGGCTTTAGGTCAAGAAGGAGAGAGAGAGCTGACATGCTGTGGTACACACTTATAGTCCCAGCGACTTGGAAAGCTGAGGCAGGAGGATTGCTTGATCCCAGGAGTTTGAGGTAGTGTGCGATGATCGTTCTTGTGAATAGCCACTAGCCACCGAACTCCAGCTTGGGCAACATTGAGACACCCTGTCTCTTAATTTAAAAAAAAAAAAAAAAAAAGGAGGAAAGAAAGTGGTCTCAGTTTTTAATGTAAATATTTTTAATGGGATACTGATATTTTAAGATTAATGTATATTGTATATCAGTTAACTGCAGGTCAATAATTATATAAAACTTAAGGTACGAAAAACATTTATTTTTGCTAACATATCTGTGAGTTGACTGTTGTTGGCTTGGTGAGGCTGCAAGCTGCAGATAGAGTCTAGGTATGTTTTCTGTGTGTTTGTTCCCCCTTGGATCAGTGGACTACCTGAGAATGTGTTTCTGTCACAGTGATAGAATCACAAGGAAACTCCAGTTCTGGAAGTACATTTTAAGCCATTGCTTCTCTCATGTCCACTAACATTCAGTCAGCCAAAGCACATACCTTGTCCATGGCTAACATTGATAGTATAGATAAATATACCTGATCTCTAGCAGGAGGAACTGCATTGTCTTGGGGAAAGGTTTTAGATATAGGGAGGGGTGATGAGTTGGGAACAATAATGTAGTCTGCCGCAAACATATTAAAGTGTAACTGGATATGGTTGCTGCAGAATTTTGAACCTTTGTTTTAATTGTGATTTTTACTCTTTCCCCCCTATCTAGTGCCCTTTTGTAATACAGTAATTATCATGATTTTTGTCTGAACTGAAATCTTCTGAGATTAGATTGTCTACGAAAATACAGTCGATCCTCCTTGTTTTCAGCTTTTGTATTTGTGAACTCACCTACTATTTTTTGTAACCCCCAAATCAGTACTCACAGCACTTTCATAGTCATGTGTTTGCGCAGAGTGTCAAAGAATTTGAGTTTGAACAGGATGATATTCTGCCTTCTTTTTCAGCTCTCATACAATAGTCAGGTATCCTTTTTGTGGTCTATTTAATGCCATGCTTTTCCTGTTTTTGTACTGTTTGTTGGTTGTTTTGCCATTTAAATTAACCCCCAAGCATAGTGCTGAAGTGCTGCTTAGCATTCACAAGTCCAAGAAGTCTGTGATGTGTCTTACAGAGAAAATACATGCATTAAATAAACTCCATTCAGGCGTGAGTGCTGTAGTGCCGTTGGCTGTGAGTTCAATGTTAATGAATGAACAATGTATATTATTTATTTATTCTTCATTTAATTAATTATTATTATTTTTTTTTTTGAGATAGAGTCTCACTCTGTTGCTCAGGCTGGAGTGCAGTGGTGCAGTCTTGGCTCACTGCAACCTCTGCCTCCTGGGTTCAAGCGATTCCCCTGCCTTCGCCTCCCAAGTAGCTAAGACTACAGGCATGCGCCACCATGCCTGGCTAATTTTTTTTTTTTTTTTTTTGTAGTTTTAGTAGAGACGGGGTTTCACCACGTTGGCCAGGCTGGTCTCGAACTCCAGACCTCAAATGATCTGCCCGCCTTGGCTTCCCAAAGTGCTGGGATTACAGGCGTTAGCCACTGTGCCTGGCCAACAATATATATTAAATAAGCACACATACAACAAAAGTAGGTGTTGGTAAGCTTACAAAAGTGTGACCAGTAGCTTGCTGAAACCTAACTTTTTATTTGTTCATGGAACTTTCTAGACCGTAACTACACTGAATAATGAGAATCTGCTGTAATCTTTTTAGGTGCTGTAGATGAGCCATTGGATTAAATTATTACAGTATGTTTCAGACTGCTGTATGTTGAACCCTAGTGAAATGCCTCTCAAACCTTCATAAGGATCACAATCTCATGTCCTTTTTTTTTGTTATTAAATGCCCAGTATGTGTTAGCGATTTAAACAAAATTCAAATATTTTTTTTTTTTTTTTGAGACAGAGTCTCGCTCTGTCACCTAAGCTGGAGAGTGCAGTGGTATGATCTCGGCTCACTACAACCTCTGCCTCCCGGGTTCAGGCGATTCTCCTGCCTCAGCATCCTGAGTAGCTGGGATTACAGGCACCCGCCACCACGCTGGGCTAATTTTTGTATTTTTAGTAGAGACGGGGTTTCGCCAGGTTGTCCAGGCTGGTCTGGAACTCCTGACCTCATGCGATCTGCCTGCCTTGGCCTCCTGAAGTGCTGGGATTATAGGCGTGAGCCACCATGCCCGGCGTTGACTTCTTAATAATAACCATACTGACTGGTGTGAGATGGTATGCCATTGTGGTTTTGATTTGCATTTCTCTAATGATCAGTGATATTGAGCTTTTTCTCATATGCTTGTTGGCCGCATGTGTGTCTTCTTTTGAAGTGTCTGTTTATGTCCTGTGCCCACTTTCTAATGAGATTTTTTTTTTTTCTTGTAAATTTGTTTAAGTTCCTTATCAGTGTTGGACATTAGATCTTTGTCACATGCATTGTTGCAAAAATTTTCTCCCATTCTGTAGGTTGTCTGTTCACTCTGTTGATAGTTTCTTTTGCTGTGCAGAAGCTTCAAGAAGAAAGGAATCCGATTGGTTCTGTGTCTGTCTCTTTTGGTATTCTCAGAATTATGTAGTCATTCATATAGAAAGATGATTAGGAAAATAGGACAAGAATAGCAGAAATCTACATAAAAATGTAGGAAATTAAAATTAGTTACCAGCATACAAAAAGCTTCTGTATGTTATAATTACATACTATAACTCACCCCTCCTTGGCAAATATTCTCTCTCTTTTGACTTCAAAATCATGGCTTATATGTACTTTCTCTATTTCCCAGATGCAAATATAATTAATTGACTTTATTTGTCTAGGAAATGTTACTCATATCTTAATTGTAGTCATTGGCTTGAGTGACGGGTTTTGGTAATTCAACTACTATTACTTGAAAGTAGTAGATTTCATAGGATACTGTTATAAAATCTTTTTAACCTCTTTTCTGATTTCAGGAGTAATTAGTAATTGTGGTTTACTGGAAAATTCAATGAATAGGGTGTTAAAGGAAGCAATTCATTAATAATATATGTAATCTATTGGGAGACTGAGGCGGGTGGATCACCTGAGTTCAGGAGTTCGAGACCAGCCTGGCCAACATGGCAAAACTCCGTCTCTACTGAAAATAGAAAAATTCGCCGGGCATGGTGGTGCATTCCTGTATTCCCAGGTACTCGGAAGGCTGAGGCAGGAGAATCACCTGAACTCCAGAGGTGGAGGTTGCAGCGAGTCAGGATCGCAGCACTACACTCCAGCCTGGGTGACAGTGAGACTCCATCTCAAAAAAAAAAAAAAAAAAAAAAAAAAAATTAAAAAATTAAATTAAAAGCGGGCTGGGCGCATTGGTTCAGGGCCGGGCACGGTGGCTCAAGCCTGTAATCCCAGCACTTTGGGAGGCCGAGGCAGGCGGATCACGAGGTCAGGAGATCAAGACCATCCTGGCTAATGTGGTGAAACCCCGTCTCTACTAACAATACAAAAATTAGCTGGATGTGGTGGCAGGTGCCTGTAATCCCAGCTATTCCAGAGGCTGAGGCAGGAGAATCACTTGAACCTGGGAGGCAGAGGTTTCAGTGAGTCCAGATCATGCCACTGCACTCCAGCCTGGGTGACAGAGCGAGATTCTATCTCAAAAAAAAAAAAAAAAAAAGCAACAGAAGCAAATGAGAGTGCCTGGGAGTGGTCATTGTGGGGCCTTCCCGTTTGTGTGACCCAGGTCATGTCCCTCCCTAAGCCCTGGTCTCTCTTGCCTCCTGCAGGGCTGGTGAATTACCAGATCTCCGTCAAGTGCAGTAACCAGTTCAAGTTGGAAGTGTGTCTTTTGAATGCAGAAAACAAAGTCGTGGACAACCAGGCTGGGACCCAGGGCCAGCTGAAGGTGCTGGGTGCCAACCTCTGGTGGCCGTACCTGATGCACGAACACCCCGCCTACCTGTACTCGTGGGAGGTAATGGTGGTTTGGGACTTGCGTAAGGGAGGTCTTTTGCCCCCATCTGGTAGCCCTGGCTTCAGCAGGAGCCCAGGACAGGTGAACGGGCAGGTGTGGTCCTCTGAGCTTTCTGATGTTTCCCACCCTTGGTGGGAGGCCCAGATTATTTATTTATTTATTTATTTGTTTGTTTGTTTGTTTGTTTGTTTTTGTGATGGTCTCACTCTGTCACCCAGGCTGGAATGCAATGGCCTGATCACAGCTCACTGCAGCTTTGAGCTGCAATCCTCCTACCTTGGCCTCCTGAGTAGCTGGGACTACAGGCACATGCCACCATGCCTGGCTAATTAAAAAAATTTTTTTTGTAGGCCGGGCATGGTGGCTCACACCTGTAATCCCAGCACTTCGGGAGGCTGACGCGGGCAGATCACTTTAGGCCAGGAGTTGGAGACCAGCCTGGCCAACATGGTGAAACCCCGTCTCTACTAAAATATGAAAATTTGCAGGGCATGATGGTGCACGTCTGTAATCCCAGCTACTCGGGAGGCTGAGGCAGGGGAATTGCTTGAACCCAGGAGGCAGGGGCCGCGGTGAATTGAGATCATGCCGCAGCACTCTATCCTGGGTGACAGAGTGAGACTGTCTCAAAAAAAAAAACTCCTTTTTATAGAGTTGGGGTCTTACTAGGTTGCCCAGGCTGGTCTTGAACTCCTGGACTCAGGTGATCCTCCTGCCTTAGCCTCCCAAGGTGTAGGGATTCCAGGCATGAGCCACCTCGTCTGGTCAAGGAGAAGGCCTGATTTTGAAGGGCAGGTCCCAGGGTCAGCCAGTGAAGGGCAGAGCCTCTGATTGCTGCTTCTCTGCAGGCCCAGTGGCGACTTCTGGGGTGCATGCACGAGGGGTCTTCCTGCTGTAGGGCAGGCCAGATGGGGCTCAGGCTGTCGGGGCGCTCACACCTGGCGCTTTGGCTGTCGTAGGTGCGGCTGACTGCACAGAAGTCACTGGGGCCTTTGACTTCTACACACTCCCTGTGGGGCTCCGCACTGTGCCCGTCACCGAGAGCCAGTGGGTGAGAGCCAGTTTCATTTGCGGTAGAGGCAGCAGAGGTTGTAGAAATGCTCCTTGAGGCAGATGCCACACCCCAATTTCATGGAGTGATTTGGGCTGAGCCGAGTCTGCAGCAGGCAGAAGGCTCTGAGATGTTGTCCTAGCCTGGGCAAAGGACAATTCAGAGCTCGGGGGATTAGGGGTGTGCTCAGCACGACTGGGTGGACAGGCCGTTTGTTGTGAATCGTACAGGCTTCCAGGAGCGGGTGCCTGAGGCTTCCAGACAGGCTTTGGGAGGTGGCCAGAGGAGATGCCTGTTTCCGGGGCAGGAAATGGAGGGAGGGCCCAGGCTGGAGAGGTTCAGCCAGGCTGTCACAAGGCTTTGAAGCTTCCCATCTGAGAGCCTGGCTATTGGAGAGTGTGGGTTTGGAACTTGAGGCTAGGAGGTTCTATTCTGTCCTGTGCCAGCCACAGCCTTCGGATGGGCAGAGCAATGATGGGGGGAAGATGTAAAAGAAAAGAACTGAGGAAAGAAGAAGAAAACCAGCTTCAACAACGGTCTAGGCCGGATGCGGTGGGTCACGCCTGTAATCCCAGCAGTTTGGGAGGCTGAGGTGGGTGGATCACCCGAGGTCAGGAGTTCGAGACCAGCCTGGTCAACAGGTAGTGAATCCTGTCTCTACTAAAAATACAAAAATTAGCTGGGCATGGTGGTGGACGTCTGTAATCCCAGCTACCAGGTAGGCTGAGGCAGGAGAATCGCCTCAGGTGAACCAGGAGGCAGAGATTGCAATGAGCTGAGATAATGCCACTGCATTCCAGCCTGGGCTACAGAATGAGACTCTGTATCTCAACAAAACAAAACAAAACAAAAACACAACAGTCTGTTCTGTGGAGGCCTTGGGCAGATGCTGGGAGCTCTGAGCACGGACTGGTCCCTCTGTTGGGAGCCTCTTCCCTTCATCCCTCCTGGTTAACTTGACTCAGCATAAAGGCCATTTCTTCTAAGAGCCTGTCCCTGACTCTCCAATCGGGGATGTGTCTGTTGTCTCATAGAGTGCCCAATTCCTGCCACCACTTGTCATTTCCATTCGCAACATTTCTTTCATTGTTTGTTTTTCAGAGTCAGGGTCTCACTCTGTTGCCCAGGCTGGAGTGCAGTGGTGCAATCATAGCTCGTTGCCATCTCGACCTCCTGGGCTTAAGCGATCCTCCCCACTCAGCCTCCCAAATAGCTGGGACCACAGACGTGCGCTGCCTTGCCAGGCTAAATTTTAATATTTTTTTTTCCCCACGAGTCAGAGTCTTGCTCTGTCTCCCAGGCTGGAGAGCAGTGTTGCGATCTTGGCTCACTGCATCCTCTACCTCCTGGGTACAAACAGTTCTCCTGCCTCACCCTCCCGAGTAGCTGGGATTACAGGCTCACGCCACCATGCCCAGCTAGTTTTCTTCTTTATTTTTTGTTGAGATGGGGTTTCACCATGTTGGCCAGGCTGGTCTCGAACTCTTGAGCTCGTGATCCACCTGCCTTGGCCTCCCAAAGTGCTCACAGGCTTGAGCCACCATGCCCGGCCCTAATTTTTAAATTTGTTGTAGAAACAAGGTCTTGCTATGTTGTCCAGGCTGGTCTCAAGCGCCTGGTCTCAAGTAAGCCTCCCAAAGTGCTGGGGTTCTAGGCTTGAGCCACCTCGCCTGGCACTTGCACCGTTTTTCTGTGCATGCATCTCCACTCCCACTGCCCAGGACCTGTGGACTTAGATTTGAGTCATTACTGAGCACCTAGCACCCAGCCTCATGCCTACCTCCCACCTCGCACTACCTGTTTGCTTGATGCATTAATAAATATTCCACCTGAATCCACAGCCCATTCACTCCTGTGTTCAAGAGCTATTTCAGGAAGTGAACCTCATTTCTGGCAGTGTTCAGTCCAGTGACCTCAGCTCTGTGTACCCGGCAGGGTGGCTACGCCTCTGGGGGAGTTGGATTCAGGGGTGGGGGAGAAAGAGTGTTGTTAGAGAGCTCGGTCTAGGACTAGAGGAACGTGCCCTTATGTAAAATACATCTCAAGTTAGGGAAGAAAGCAGCGGCTCTGTGCTTTGTTTTTTTTTTTTTTTTTTTCTTTTCTTTCTTTCTTTTTGTTTGTTTGTTTGTTTGTTTGTTTGTTTGTTTGTTTTGGGGCAGGGTCTTGCTCTGTGGCCCAGGCTGGAGTGCAGTAGCGTGATTTCGGCTCACTGCAACCTCCACCTCCCGGGTTCAAGCAATTCTTGTGCCTCAGCCTCCCGAGTAGCTGGAGTTACAGATGCGTGCCACTAAGCCTGGCTAATTTTTGTATATTTAGTAGAAATGGGGTTTTGCCATGTTGGCCAGGCTGTTCTTGAACCCCTGACCTCAGTGATCTGCCTGCCTCAGCCTCCTGAAGTGCTGGGATTACAGGCGTGAGCCATCGTGCCTGGCCACCAGTTGTGTTCTGGCAGGGGAAGATGGGACAGAGAGGATGGGAGGGTGTCTGAGCCTTTCCCGGACTGACGGAACCTGTGTCTTCTCTCTTTTGTGGACAGGATGGTGATTGCTCACACCAAAGCCTTGGACCCCTCCCAGCCTGTGACCTTTGGGACCAACTCCACCTACGCAGCAGACAAGGGGGTGAGCCTGGGGGTCCCCACCCCATTTCTCCCTGCCTTTGCCTGGGCTTGTCCTGAAGCCTGCTCATGGGAACAGCTGGAAAGAACCATGTGCTGCCAGTCTGAGCTTTTTATTTTGTTTTACTTAGAAAGATAGAGACAGGGTCTTGCCATGTTGCCCAGGCTGGTCTCGAACTCCTGGGCTCAAGTGATCCTCCTGCCTCGGCCTTCCAAAGGGCTGGGGTTACAGGCGTGTGCCACCGCACTCAGCCGCGGCCAGTCTGTTTTCAAAGATGGTCTTTGGGTTAATGACAATTCTCTCTCTGCTTACTCTCCAGGCAGTGTGGCTTTCTGAATCCAAGGAGGCTGGGCATAGGGAGATGGGATTTGTTTGCCCGGTTTGGACTCAGCATTTTTTGTACTCGATTTAATAGACTCATAAAATGTCAAAGGTTTAAGTGAGCTTAGAGTTCATCTGGCCCAAACCTGGCTGATCAGAATCTCCAGGGGAAGTTTTATTGAAATGCCAGATCTCTGCGTTCTGAGATCCTGATTTAGTAACTCCAGGGTTGGAACCTGAGTTTTTTGTTTTTTTGTGTGTGTGTGTGAAGGCAAGGTCTTACTCTGTTGCTCTGGCTGGAGTGCAGTGGTGTGATCACAGCTCACTGCAGCCTTGAATTCCTGGGCCTAAGCAACCCTCTTGCCTCAGCCTTCCAAGTAGCTGGGACTCCGGGGGTACACCACTGTGCCCGGCTAATTTTAAATGTTTTTGTAGAGATGGGATCTCACTATGTTGCCCAGGCCAGTCTCAAACTCTTGAGCTCAAGTGATCCTCCTGCCTTAGCCTCCTAAAGTGCTGGGATTACAGGCATGAGCCACCGTGCCTGGCTGATACTAGCATTCTTTTTTATTTTTTATTATTTTTTTAAGATAGAGTCTTGCTCTGTTGCCCAGGCTGGAGTGCAGTGGCACAGTCTCAGCTCAGTGCAACCTCCGCCTCCCAGGTTCAAGCAATTCTCCTGCCTCAGCCTCCCAAGTAGCTGGGATAACAGGCACATGCCACCACGCCTGCGCTTGATCGTGGGAGGCAGAGGTTGCATTATTGTGCCACTCCATTCTAGCCTGGGCAACAGAGCGAGACTCTGTCTTCCAAACAAAGCGGAAAAAGATTATCTGCGAGAATGACTGCATTGGCCCCTTGGGTGGGAGGGCTTCTCCAGGGCAAGGTGAGGGGATGCCCAGTGCTGGGAGTGCTGCCTGGAGAGGAGTCAGTTCCAGTGGCGGGGGCCCTGGGTTTTGGCTGAGGACTGCGTGTTGGCAGCTGCTCTGCCTCTCACAGCCCTTCCCAGCTGCACACGTCGTGAGCGTCAGTGTGCAATCACAGGCCTGCCTCCTTTGGGCCACTTTGTGACCATGTTTTTTGCTTGTGGGGCAGGGTAATTTCAGGATCTAAATTGGTGCAGTTGGATGTTCTCAGCCCCGAGAGGCAGCTCTTCCCGTTGTAGGCTTTTTGTTTTGTTTTGTAGAAATGGAGTCCTACGACGTTGCCCAGGCTGGTCTCAAACTCCTGGGCTCAAGTGATCCTCCCACCTTGGCCTCCCAATGTGCTGGGATTACAGGCATGAGCCACTGTGCCGTGCTGATTTTCTTGATACTATTTTTTGTAGAGCTGGGGTCTTGCTGTGTTGCCCAGGCTGGTCTCGAACTCCTGGCCACAAGCCACCCTCCTGCCTCAGCCTCCCAGAGTGCTGGGATTACATCCCCTTCTTACCTTCTCTGTCAGAGGAGCCCCCACAGCATGTGAGTACTGAGTCATGCGGTCTTGTGGTTGCTGAACGGGCTCTGCTGCTCTGGTCCTAGGCTCTGTATGTGGATGTGATCCGTGTGAACAGCTACTACTCTTGGTATCGCAACTACGGGCACCTGGAGTTGATTCGGCTGCAGCTGGCCGCCCAGTTTGAGAATTGGTGTAAGACATCACAATCCCATTATTCAGAGCGCGTATGGAGTGGAAACGCTTGTAGGGCTTCACCAGGTAAGCGGTGTTGAACTTTCTGCTTGTGTATTCTCTCTGGGCAGAGATGCCACTTGCCTCCCCCACCATGCCATCTCTGAAGAATATTACAGACCATTTTGGAGCATGGTGAATAAGAAATTTTCACCTTAGGAGTTCAGTTGAATAGTCATTTTTATATTTGTGACTGCAAGTCACTCTTAGGGGCTGTACTTCCTTAGTACTGGTAGCATTATTATCCAATGGACTTTTATAGCTTTCATTAGGTTTTCTTTTGTTTTTGTTCTTTAAAGAACGTTTTACTTATCTTAGTATTTCATTTTTCATCTATATTATGAGGCAGTAAGAGTCTTCTGTTTTTCCAAAGTGGAGACTGCTTTATATTTATTTCGTATTGTCTACAGCTGTAGTGTTCAATACATTAGCCACTAGCCACATGTGGTTATTTAAATAAGATAAAATAAAAATTGGCCGGGCGTGGTGGCTCACGCCGGTAATCCCAGCACTTTGGGAGGCCGAGGCGGGCAGATCATTAGGTCAGGAGATCGAGACCATCCTTACTAAGACGGTGAACCCCCATCTCTATTAAAAATACAAAAAATTAGCCGGGCGTGGTGGCGGGCGCCTGCAGTCCCAGCTACTCAGGAGGCTGAGGCAGGAGAATGGCGTGAACCTGGGAGGCAGAGTTTGCAGTGAGCCGAGATGGCGCCACTGCACTCCAGCCTGGGGGACAGAGCGAGACTCCATCTCAAGAAAAAAAAGAAAATTAAAAATTAAGTTCTTTAGTTGCACTAGCCATATTTCAAATACTTGATGGATACATGTGGCTAGTGGCTAACATAAGGGATAGCACAGATATAAAACATTTGCTCGTCATATAAAGTTCTATTGGATAGTGCTGGTCTGTAGCTTATAGGATGGTATCTTAGTCTGCTTCAGCTGCTAAAACAGAATACCATAAATTAGGTAGCTTAAACAGTAGATATTTTGACCAGGCGTGGTGGCTTATGCCTGTATTCCTAACACTTTGGGAGGCCGAGGCAGGTGGATAACTTGAGCTCAGGAGTTTGAGACTAGCCTGGGCAGCATGGCAAAACCTTGTCTCTACGAAAATTAGCTGGGCGTGGTGGTGCACGCCTGTAGTCTGAGCTACTTGGGAGGCTGAGGTGGGAGAATTGCTTGAACCTGGGAGGCGGAGGTTGCAGTGAGCCATGATCGCACCACTGTACTCCAGCCTGGATGACAGAATGAGACTCTGTCTCAAAAAAAACAAAAACAAACAAACAAAAAAAAACAGATATTTCTCACAGTTCTGCAGACTGGAAGTGCAAGATCAAAGTGTTGGCAAATTACGTTTCTTAAAGAGGGCCTGCTTCCTAGATTGGAAATGGCCATCTTCTCTCGGTATCCTCACATGGTAGGGAGAAAAGCAGCTCTAGTGTCTCTTCTTATAAAGGAAGTAATGCCACCATAGGGGCTCTATTCTCATGACCTCATCTAAACCTAATTCTCTCCTAAAGGCCACGCCTCCCAGTATCCTCACCTTGGGGGTTAGGGCTTTATCATATGAATTTTTTTTTTTTTTTTTTTTTTTTTGAGACAGAGTCTCGCTCTGTCTGTCACCCAGGCTGGAGTGCAGTGGCACAATCTCGGCTCTCTACAAGCTCCGCCTCCTGGGTTCACGCCATTCTCCTGCGTCAGCCTCCTCAGTAGCTGGGACTAAGGCGCCCGCCACTGCGCCCGGCTAATTTTTTGTATTTTCAGTAGAGACGGGGTTTTACCATGTTAGCCAGGATGATCTCGATCTCCTGACCTCATGATCCACCCGCCTCGGCCTCCCAAAGTGCTGGGATTACAGGCATGAGCCACCGCGCCGGGCCTATCATATGAATTTTGAGGGAACACAAACATGCAGTCTGTAGCAGATGGTAATAGGCTGACATATTACACTTGTTGATGTAAATCTGATAGGTTTCTTTCTCTCCAAGGACAGCTTTTTAAATATTTAACAGTATCAATAATTTTTCAGGTTCTGTGAGAATTTTATAATTTATAATTTGCAGACTTAATGTATAATCTATTTTGTCCTAACAATTACAAATATATTTTTTATTTCAGATTGTATATATTCCTACCAGATGGAGATAATTACAGCTTTAAAAATTTTTATTTTTTCATTTTATTTCACACATTGACATTAAATTTTTATGGACACATAATAACTGTACATATATATGGGGTAGAATGTGATGTTTTAATACATGTACTCAATGTGTAATGATCAAATCAGGGTAATTTGCATAATGATTTTTCTGTAGGGAGAAAATTCAAAATCTACTCTTCTGGCTATTTTCAAATATATAATATGTTATTGTTAACTATACTCATCCTACTATGCAATAGGACACCAGAACTTATTCCTGGGTTCTACATCCGTTAAGGCAACCAAGGATTGGAAATATTGGAAAAAAAAATTGCGTCTGTACTGAACATGTACAGACTTTTTTCTTGTCCTTATTCCTTACACAATATAGTACAATAACTATTTGCATGACATTTACATCGGATATTATGAGTGATCTAGAGTTGATATGAAGTATATGGGAGGATGTGCAAAGGTGATGTGCAAATACTATGTCATTTTATATCAGGGACTTGAGTATCCTTTGTTACCCTCAGGAGATCCTGAAACCAGTCCCCCATGGATACTGAGGGCTGACTGTATAGTCCTATCCTCACGGAACTTTCATTCTAATGGGGGAAGACTGACTATAAACAAAATATATGTAATAGGTGGTGGTAAGTACCGTGGAGAAGTAACAAACGGGGCAAAGTGAGTTATACAGCTCCATTCTTAGAAACCTTGGAGTACTTTTCTTAGTTTATACTCGTGGTGGTTTCCTTTTGTCTCCTTTATTACATGGGACTCTGACATGTGCCCATAGCTAGGGTGACAGTAGGATCTACCCGATAGTAGGGTGGCAGTAGGATCTACCCAAAAAGCGTCCTGCTGATACAGGACCAAAGCATCCTGTTGTTCTCGAGCCTATAAAAAGAGCTAATGGTCTTGCTTCTCTTAACTGTGGCCTCCTACACTGTGTTTTGGATGATTGGTGATGTCTTGGATATTCTGTTTCTTTGGAACTTTGAATATACAACACTTTACTAGGGAATTAGCAATGGAAGCAGAGCAAAGATGTACAGAGGAAACAATGCGTAACTCTGATGGAATTGAAGTCATGAGGCAGCAGAGAGCTTAAATTACAGCTTTAAAAATTTTTATTTTTTAGAGGGAATTTACTTGGGAGTAACAGCAGTAATAGTTAACGGAGCCAGAATGCTTGAGTCATATAATTGCAAAGCAGAGTTGGGAGCAACAGATGCTAAAGAGTAGTTGCTGTAGTTCCTCTTTGGGTCGTAGGAGCAGTTGTCATATTACTATATAGCTACTGCATGAAGAAGAGTTCTTAGTGAGGCCTGGGTGAACAGCTCTTCTTAGTATTCTGTGTGACCCCATTTGACCTTTTAACAAATCCCTAAGTAAATAAATAGCCCCTCAGGAAAACTAAGTTTTTCTCTGCTGTTTTTTTGCTTGAGAGAGCTATAACTGTAATAGACTTATATTTCTGAACATTTTAGTGCTTGCCAATATTTGGTAATATTTATGTTTCCTATATTTGTAATGAACATTCTTCTTCCGGTACATTTTTTGTTAAATTATTGTTTGATGGATAAAAGTTCACCTTTTATTGTATAAAATTGACTGAGATTAATTTATACACATTGACAATGGGTAAATAGAATTTTTCAGATTATTAAAAGCTGAAGGATGCCCACGTAAGCAAAAAAAAAAAAGAAAAAACCAACAAAAATAAACCCAAACCCCTCAAACAATTTCGAACACGAAACATTCTTCTGATGCCGGCATCCCTGCTTGCAGGTGTGAAGGGGGCAGGAATCAGCGAGGTGTCCTGGGCTGAGTCCCCGGAGTGGGAAGAGGTGGCAGGAAGGGGATCTGAGGAGGAGAACAGGGGTCCTGGTGGTCTGTGCTTCTTCCCAGACACGGGAGCTGTAGAGGAGACCTCTGCAGCAGATGCTAGGGGGGCCAGTAGGCCCAGGCAGTCTTGGGACTTGGGTCTGTCCTGCTGTGCATCCATAGTGGGTGCTTTAGAAACGGGAGGCCCACCCGAAGCCCCTGTTGCAAGTGAGGACAAAGTGTGGGAAGGCCGTGAGGGTCTGCAGTCCGGGATGGCCTTGTCCTCAACGTGCAGTGCACTGTTGATGCGCTGGAATGCCGTCTCTTTTTCCAGGTGCAGGTCTTCAGCCGTGACCCGGTACCCCAGCTCTAAGGGAGGTGGCAGCATCAAAGGCTCCCCTCGCCTGCGTGGCAGCAGGGGAATCTTGCGTCTACGGGGCCTAGAGTCCTGGGATCTGGGGGAGCCACCCGTTGGGGCGATTGTCTGCCCTGGTGCTGTATCTGCCCCCTTTTCACACCGTGTGTGACCCGAAGAGACAGCCTGAGGCCTGTCCTCACTCACTGTCTTTGAGTAACTGAGGGTCAGCTGGCAGCGGGATGAGGCTGGCCCCCTCCTCTGCTTTAGCCCCGGCAAGCCTCCCGTGGAGCTGTAGGAGCTGGAGATGGCATTTCGTTTGGTGCTCGAGCTCGTCCAGGATGTCTGGGATGTGTGGTTATATCTGATTTCTGAGCTCTGGGCATGGAGGTCTGTCTGCAGAGGCCCGGGCCTGGGCACAAAGGGAGAGGGGCCTCCATTGTCCCGCAGGGGCCAAAATGCAGACCGTGCATCCCCGGTGACCTCGGGGACCGTTCTCTGATCATCAGGATTTTCTTGGACTCTGGGGTCCTTGTCCTGCTCAGGCATCCCTGCCCCGCTCTCCTTGAGGGCCCTCAACACTATCTTCCCTGGACACAAGTCTGGGGACAGCCGGGTGTTGTGGACCCCAAAGGGGTGACTACCTGCTCCTGGGCCCCACAGAGTCCTTGTGCTCAGTGTAGTGGCTGAGCTGGGGGATGCCCTGGAACTCGGAGCACACAGCACTGGCTTACTGTGGTACCTGTGCAGTGAAATTGAAGACAGAATCACCAGGATGGAACACAGGTCTTGCAGGATCACTTGAAACCTTCTTAGAGTTGTCTTGACACCAGTGATGTCGAGTGTCCGGGTGTTTGTAGGATGGCCTGCCACTCAGTCCAGGGGCAGGAGCAACGGGGAGATCCCACAAGCAAAGTGAACTGGGGGATGGGCTGAAGGGGCTCCAGGCAACTGAGCCCTACTCGCAGGTCCTCGGCCTTGGCCCAAACAGGAATGAGGGGCACAGAGTGCCCGGGTAACCGCTCCTGGGAGCAGTGGGGAACTGTCGGATACTTGAACTCTCAAGAGCTGGGCTCTGAGCGTCCTCGTCCAGCTGCCAACTTGGCCAAAGGCTAAGCCAGCAGATTGTTCTGTTGCCGGGCAACGCGACTTCTAAACCTGAGGGAGTGGGCATGTGAGCACATAATGGCACCAGTGACAGAGCGACCATAATGGATGAATAAGCGCAGCCAGGTACCCGCGCAAGGCACCTGCTGGCAATGGCAGGAGGCGGACGTGGGGGGTCGTGCAGTAGGTACTGGAGGGAGAGACGTGGGCACAAAGGTCGCGGGAGGAACAGGTGCCCACAATGGCTGCATATTTGCCCGTGGATCACTGAAGATTCCTGCTCTCCTGCTGAGGTGGAGACTGCAGTGAGCTGAGATCGCACCATTGCACTCCAGCCTGGGCAACGAGTGCAAAACTCAGTCTCCAGATAAAAAAAAGAAAAAGAAAAAAAAGAGGCCGGGTGTGGTGGCTTATGCCTATGATCCTAGCACTTTGGGAGGTCGGGGTGGACGGATCACGAGATCAGGAGTTGGAGGCCAGCCTGGCCAACATAGTGAAAGCCCGTCTCTAGTAAAAATACAAAATTTAGTCAGACATGGTGGGCAGGAGAGAGCATGTGCAGGGGAACATCCATTTATAAAACCATCAGACCTCATGAGACTTATTCACTACCATGAGAACAGCATGGGGGAAACTGCCTCCATGATTCAGTTATCTCCACCTGGCCCCACCCTTGACACATGGGAATTGTTACAATTCAAGATGAGATTTGGGTGCGGACAGAGCCAAACCATATAATTCTTCCCCGGCCCCTCCCAAATCTCATGTCCTCATATTTCAAAAGCAATCATGCCTTCCCCTAAGTCCCCCAAACTCTTATTTCAGCATTAACTCAAAATTCCATAGTCCAAAGTCTCATCTGAGACAAGGCAAGTCCCTTCCACCTATGAGCCTGTAAAATCAAAAGCAAGTTAGTTATTTTCTAGATACACAGGGATACAGGCATTGGGTAAATACACTCGTTTCAAATGGGAGAAATTGGCCAAAGCGAAAGAGCTACAGGCCCCATGCAAGTCCAAAACCCAGCAGGCAAATCTTAAAGCTCCAAAATGACCTCCTTTGACTCCATGTGTCACATCTAGGTGATGCAAGAAGTGGGTTCCCAGGGTCTTGGGCAGCCCCGCCCCTGTGGCTTTGCAGGGTACAGCCCCCCTTCTGGCTGCATTGAGTGTCTGCAGCTTTTCCAGGCACACAGTGCAAGCTGTCAGTGGATCTACCATTCTGGGGTCTGGAGGATGGTGGCCCTTTTCTCACAGCTCTGCTTGGCAGTACCCCAGTGGGGACTCTGTGTGGAAGCTCCAACCCCATATTTCCCTTTGACACTGCCCTAGCAGAGGTTATCCATGAGGGCCCCCCCTCCCCTCCCCTCCCCCCCACAGCAAACTTTTGCCTGGATTTCCAGGCATTTTCATACATCTTCTGAAATGTAGGCGGAGGTTCATGAACGTTAATTCTTGACTTCGGTGCATCTGCAGGCTTAACACCACCTAGAACCTGAAAGGCTTGGAACTTGCACCCTCTGAAGCCATGGCCTGAGGTGTACCTTGGCCCCTTTTACCTATGGCAGGAGCAGCTGGGATGCAGGGCCCCAAGTTCCTAGGCTGCACACAGCAGGGGGTTCTGGACCCACAAAACCATTTTTCCTTCTAAGCCTCCTGGCCTGTGATGGGAGGGTCTGCTGTGAGGGTCTCTAACATGCCCTGGAGACATTTGCCCCATTGTCTTGGTGATTAACATTTGGCTCCTCATTACTTATGCAAATTTCTACAACCCAGTCTCCTGAGAAAATAGATTTTTCTTTTCTGTTGCATCATCAGGCTACAAATTTTCTGAACTTTTATGCTCTGCTTCTTCTCGAATGCTTTGCTGCTTAGAAATTTCTTGTGTCAGATACCTTAAATCATCTCTCTCAAGTTCAAAGTTCCACAGATCTGTAGGGAACTCTAGAAAAAAATTCTTATTTTCCCTCTTTCCCGCCTATCTTATGCCCGTTTCTAATACAGGTGCACAATGCCTGCAGTGTCTTTGCATAGTAAGAGTGACTTTACTCCATTTCCCAACAAATTCCTCATCTGCCTCTGAGACCACCTCCGCCTGGACCTTGTTGTCCATATCACTATTAACATTTTGGTCAAAGCCATTCAACAAGTCTCTAGGAAGTTCCAAACTTTCCCACATTTTCCTATCCTCTTCTGAGCCTTCCAAACTGTTCCAGCCTCTCCCTGTTACCCATTTCCAAAGTTGCTTCCACATTTTCGGGTATCTTTACAGCAGCACCCCACTCTACTGGTATCAACTTATTGTATTAGTCTGTTCTCACACTGCAAATAAAGACATACCTGAGACTGGGTAATTTATAAAGGAAAGAGGTTGAATTGACTCACAGTTCTGCATGGCTGGGGAGGCCTCACAGTCATGGTGGAAGGCAAGGAGGTGCAAAAGCATGTCTCACATAGTGGCAGGCAGGAGAGAGCATGTGCAGGGGAGCTCCCATTTATAAAACCATCAGATCTCATGAGACTTAGTCACTACCGCGAGAACAGTATGGGGGGAACCATCCCCATGATTCAGTTATCTGCACCCGGCCCCACCCTTGACACGTGGGAATTATTACAATGCAAGGTGAGATTTGGGTGGGGACCCATCCAAACTATGTCAGTATGTTTTGACTTCTTGCTTGATTGCTAGGTTGCATAGAGGACAAACATGGAAATTAATGAAGTACCTTAATATCTGGCTTCAGATCTTAGACAGGATCAGAGGGCCAGCTCAAATTTGCAAGGAGGGGAGGTAGATCCCACCATTTTATGGGTGAATGGCAAAATCAAACAGAAATTATGTGGGATGGGAGATACTGATGCAGCCATCTTTGGAAACATTCTACTTAGCTAATTTTATGCTAGGCTTTAGGTCAAGAAGGAGAGAGAGAGCTGACATGCTGTGGTACACACTTATAGTCCCAGCGACTTGGAAAGCTGAGGCAGGAGGATTGCTTGATCCCAGGAGTTTGAGGTAGTGTGCGATGATCGTTCTTGTGAATAGCCACTAGCCACCGAACTCCAGCTTGGGCAACATTGAGACACCCTGTCTCTTAATTTAAAAAAAAAAAAAAAAAAAGGAGGAAAGAAAGTGGTCTCAGTTTTTAATGTAAATATTTTTAATGGGATACTGATATTTTAAGATTAATGTATATTGTATATCAGTTAACTGCAGGTCAATAATTATATAAAACTTAAGGTACGAAAAACATTTATTTTTGCTAACATATCTGTGAGTTGACTGTTGTTGGCTTGGTGAGGCTGCAAGCTGCAGATAGAGTCTAGGTATGTTTTCTGTGTGTTTGTTCCCCCTTGGATCAGTGGACTACCTGAGAATGTGTTTCTGTCACAGTGATAGAATCACAAGGAAACTCCAGTTCTGGAAGTACATTTTAAGCCATTGCTTCTCTCATGTCCACTAACATTCAGTCAGCCAAAGCACATACCTTGTCCATGGCTAACATTGATAGTATAGATAAATATACCTGATCTCTAGCAGGAGGAACTGCATTGTCTTGGGGAAAGGTTTTAGATATAGGGAGGGGTGATGAGTTGGGAACAATAATGTAGTCTGCCGCAAACATATTAAAGTGTAACTGGATATGGTTGCTGCAGAATTTTGAACCTTTGTTTTAATTGTGATTTTTACTCTTTCCCCCCTATCTAGTGCCCTTTTGTAATACAGTAATTATCATGATTTTTGTCTGAACTGAAATCTTCTGAGATTAGATTGTCTACGAAAATACAGTCGATCCTCCTTGTTTTCAGCTTTTGTATTTGTGAACTCACCTACTATTTTTTGTAACCCCCAAATCAGTACTCACAGCACTTTCATAGTCATGTGTTTGCGCAGAGTGTCAAAGAATTTGAGTTTGAACAGGATGATATTCTGCCTTCTTTTTCAGCTCTCATACAATAGTCAGGTATCCTTTTTGTGGTCTATTTAATGCCATGCTTTTCCTGTTTTTGTACTGTTTGTTGGTTGTTTTGCCATTTAAATTAACCCCCAAGCATAGTGCTGAAGTGCTGCTTAGCATTCACAAGTCCAAGAAGTCTGTGATGTGTCTTACAGAGAAAATACATGCATTAAATAAACTCCATTCAGGCGTGAGTGCTGTAGTGCCGTTGGCTGTGAGTTCAATGTTAATGAATGAACAATGTATATTATTTATTTATTCTTCATTTAATTAATTATTATTATTTTTTTTTTTGAGATAGAGTCTCACTCTGTTGCTCAGGCTGGAGTGCAGTGGTGCAGTCTTGGCTCACTGCAACCTCTGCCTCCTGGGTTCAAGCGATTCCCCTGCCTTCGCCTCCCAAGTAGCTAAGACTACAGGCATGCGCCACCATGCCTGGCTAATTTTTTTTTTTTTTTTTTGTAGTTTTAGTAGAGACGGGGTTTCACCACGTTGGCCAGGCTGGTCTCGAACTCCAGACCTCAAATGATCTGCCCGCCTTGGCTTCCCAAAGTGCTGGGATTACAGGCGTTAGCCACTGTGCCTGGCCAACAATATATATTAAATAAGCACACATACAACAAAAGTAGGTGTTGGTAAGCTTACAAAAGTGTGACCAGTAGCTTGCTGAAACCTAACTTTTTATTTGTTCATGGAACTTTCTAGACCGTAACTACACTGAATAATGAGAATCTGCTGTAATCTTTTTAGGTGCTGTAGATGAGCCATTGGATTAAATTATTACAGTATGTTTCAGACTGCTGTATGTTGAACCCTAGTGAAATGCCTCTCAAACCTTCATAAGGATCACAATCTCATGTCCTTTTTTTTTGTTATTAAATGCCCAGTATGTGTTAGCGATTTAAACAAAATTCAAATATTTTTTTTTTTTTTTTGAGACAGAGTCTCGCTCTGTCACCTAAGCTGGAGAGTGCAGTGGTATGATCTCGGCTCACTACAACCTCTGCCTCCCGGGTTCAGGCGATTCTCCTGCCTCAGCATCCTGAGTAGCTGGGATTACAGGCACCCGCCACCACGCTGGGCTAATTTTTGTATTTTTAGTAGAGACGGGGTTTCGCCAGGTTGTCCAGGCTGGTCTGGAACTCCTGACCTCATGCGATCTGCCTGCCTTGGCCTCCTGAAGTGCTGGGATTATAGGCGTGAGCCACCATGCCCGGCGTTGACTTCTTAATAATAACCATACTGACTGGTGTGAGATGGTATGCCATTGTGGTTTTGATTTGCATTTCTCTAATGATCAGTGATATTGAGCTTTTTCTCATATGCTTGTTGGCCGCATGTGTGTCTTCTTTTGAAGTGTCTGTTTATGTCCTGTGCCCACTTTCTAATGAGATTTTTTTTTTTCTTGTAAATTTGTTTAAGTTCCTTATCAGTGTTGGACATTAGATCTTTGTCACATGCATTGTTGCAAAAATTTTCTCCCATTCTGTAGGTTGTCTGTTCACTCTGTTGATAGTTTCTTTTGCTGTGCAGAAGCTTCAAGAAGAAAGGAATCCGATTGGTTCTGTGTCTGTCTCTTTTGGTATTCTCAGAATTATGTAGTCATTCATATAGAAAGATGATTAGGAAAATAGGACAAGAATAGCAGAAATCTACATAAAAATGTAGGAAATTAAAATTAGTTACCAGCATACAAAAAGCTTCTGTATGTTATAATTACATACTATAACTCACCCCTCCTTGGCAAATATTCTCTCTCTTTTGACTTCAAAATCATGGCTTATATGTACTTTCTCTATTTCCCAGATGCAAATATAATTAATTGACTTTATTTATCTAGGAAATGTTACTCATATCTTAATTGTAGTCATTGGCTTGAGTGACGGGTTTTGGTAATTCAACTACTATTACTTGAAAGTAGTAGATTTCATAGGATACTGTTATAAAATCTTTTTAACCTCTTTTCTGATTTCAGGAGTAATTAGTAATTGTGGTTTACTGGAAAATTCAATGAATAGGGTGTTAAAGGAAGCAATTCATTAATAATATATGTAATCTATTGGGAGACTGAGGCGGGTGGATCACCTGAGTTCAGGAGTTCGAGACCAGCCTGGCCAACATGGCAAAACTCCGTCTCTACTGAAAATAGAAAAATTCGCCGGGCATGGTGGTGCATTCCTGTATTCCCAGGTACTCGGAAGGCTGAGGCAGGAGAATCACCTGAACTCCAGAGGTGGAGGTTGCAGCGAGTCAGGATCGCAGCACTACACTCCAGCCTGGGTGACAGTGAGACTCCATCTCAAAAAAAAAAAAAAAAAAAAAAAAAAAATTAAAAAATTAAATTAAAAGCGGGCTGGGCGCATTGGTTCAGGGCCGGGCACGGTGGCTCAAGCCTGTAATCCCAGCACTTTGGGAGGCCGAGGCAGGCGGATCACGAGGTCAGGAGATCAAGACCATCCTGGCTAATGTGGTGAAACCCCGTCTCTACTAACAATACAAAAATTAGCTGGATGTGGTGGCAGGTGCCTGTAATCCCAGCTATTCCAGAGGCTGAGGCAGGAGAATCACTTGAACCTGGGAGGCAGAGGTTTCAGTGAGTCCAGATCATGCCACTGCACTCCAGCCTGGGTGACAGAGCGAGATTCTATCTCAAAAAAAAAAAAAAAAAAAGCAACAGAAGCAAATGAGAGTGCCTGGGAGTGGTCATTGTGGGGCCTTCCCGTTTGTGTGACCCAGGTCATGTCCCTCCCTAAGCCCTGGTCTCTCTTGCCTCCTGCAGGGCTGGTGAATTACCAGATCTCCGTCAAGTGCAGTAACCAGTTCAAGTTGGAAGTGTGTCTTTTGAATGCAGAAAACAAAGTCGTGGACAACCAGGCTGGGACCCAGGGCCAGCTGAAGGTGCTGGGTGC
This sequence comes from Homo sapiens, assembly GCF_000001405.40. NCBI lineage: Eukaryota > Metazoa > Chordata > Mammalia > Primates > Hominidae > Homo > Homo sapiens. The sequence goes on along the minus strand of NC_000005.10, from coordinate 71,208,000 downwards.
CAACCTCTGGTGGCCGTACCTGATGCACGAACACCCCGCCTACCTGTACTCGTGGGAGGTAATGGTGGTTTGGGACTTGCGTAAGGGAGGTCTTTTGCCCCCATCTGGTAGCCCTGGCTTCAGCAGGAGCCCAGGACAGGTGAACGGGCAGGTGTGGTCCTCTGAGCTTTCTGATGTTTCCCACCCTTGGTGGGAGGCCCAGATTTTTTATTTATTTATTTATTTATTTATTTATTTATTTGTTTGTTTGTTTTTGTGATGGTCTCACTCTGTCACCCAGGCTGGAATGCAATGGCCTGATCACAGCTCACTGCAGCTTTGAGCTGCAATCCTCCTACCTTGGCCTCCTGAGTAGCTGGGACTACAGGCACATGCCACCATGCCTGGCTAATTAAAAAAATTTTTTTTGTAGGCCGGGCATGGTGGCTCACACCTGTAATCCCAGCACTTCGGGAGGCTGACGCGGGCGGATCACTTTAGGCCAGGAGTTGGAGACCAGCCTGGCCAACATGGTGAAACCCCGTCTCTACTAAAATATGAAAATTTGCAGGGCATGATGGTGCACGTCTGTAATCCCAGCTACTCGGGAGGCTGAGGCAGGGGAATTGCTTGAACCCAGGAGGCAGGGGCTGCGGTGAATTGAGATCATGCCGCAGCACTCTATCCTGGGTGACAGAGTGAGACTGTCTCAAAAAAAAAAAACTCCTTTTTATAGAGTTGGGGTCTTACTAGGTTGCCCAGGCTGGTCTTGAACTCCTGGACTCAGGTGATCCTCCTGCCTTAGCCTCCCAAAGTGTAGGGATTCCAGGCATGAGCCACCTCGTCTGGTCAAGGAGAAGGCCTGATTTTGAAGGGCAGGTCCCAGGGTCAGCCAGTGAAGGGCAGAGCCTCTGGTTGCTGCTTCTCTGCAGGCCCAGTGGCGACTTCTGGGGTGCATGCACGAGGGGTCTTCCTGCTGTAGGGCAGGCCAGATGGGGCTCAGGCTGTCGGGGCGCTCACACCTGGCGCTTTGGCTGTCGTAGGTGCGGCTGACTGCACAGAAGTCACTGGGGCCTTTGACTTCTACACACTCCCTGTGGGGCTCCGCACTGTGCCCGTCACCGAGAGCCAGTGGGTGAGAGCCAGTTTCATTTGCGGTAGAGGCAGCAGAGGTTGTAGAAATGCTCCTTGAGGCAGATGCCACACCCCAATTTCATGGAGTGATTTGGGCTGAGCCGAGTCTGCAGCAGGCAGAAGGCTCTGAGATGTTGTCCTAGCCTGGGCAAAGGACAATTCAGAGCTCGGGGGAATAGGGGTGTGCTCAGCACGACTGGGTGGACAGGCCGTTTGTTGTGAATCGTACAGGCTTCCAGGAGCGGGTGCCTGAGGCTTCCAGACAGGCTTTGGGAGGTGGCCAGAGGAGATGCCTGTTTCCGGGGCAGGAAATGGAGGGAGGGCCCAGGCTGGAGAGGTTCAGCCAGGCTGTCACAAGGCTTTGAAGCTTCCCATCTGAGAGCCTGGCTATTGGAGAGTGTGGGTTTGGAACTTGAGGCTAGGAGGTTCTATTCTGTCCTGTGCCAGCCACAGCCTTCGGATGGGCAGAGCAATGATGGGGGGAAGATGTAAAAGAAAAGAACTGAGGAAAGAAGAAGAAAACCAGCTTCAACAACGGTCTAGGCCGGATGCGGTGGGTCACGCCTGTAATCCCAGCAGTTTGGGAGGCTGAGGTGGGTGGATCACCCGAGGTCAGGAGTTCGAGACCAGCCTGGTCAACAGGTAGTGAATCCTGTCTCTACTAAAAATACAAAAATTAGCTGGGCATGGTGGTGGACGTCTGTAATCCCAGCTACCAGGTAGGCTGAGGCAGGAGAATCGCCTCAGGTGAACCAGGAGGCAGAGATTGCAATGAGCTGAGATAATGCCACTGCATTCCAGCCTGGGCTACAGAATGAGACTCTGTATCTCAACAAAACAAAACAAAACAAAAACACAACAGTCTGTTCTGTGGAGGCCTTGGGCAGATGCTGGGAGCTCTGAGCACGGACTGGTCCCTCTGTTGGGAGCCTCTTCCCTTCATCCCTCCTGGTTAACTTGACTCAGCATAAAGGCCATTTCTTCTAAGAGCCTGTCCCTGACTCTCCAATCGGGGATGTGTCTGTTGTCTCATAGAGTGCCCAATTCCTGCCACCACTTGTCATTTCCATTCGCAACATTTCTTTCATTGTTTGTTTTTCAGAGTCAGGGTCTCACTCTGTTGCCCAGGCTGGAGTGCAGTGGTGCAATCATAGCTCGTTGCCATCTCGACCTCCTGGGCTTAAGCGATCCTCCCCACTCAGCCTCCCAAATAGCTGGGACCACAGACGTGCGCTGCCTTGCCAGGCTAAATTTTAATATTTTTTTTTCCCCACGAGTCAGAGTCTTGCTCTGTCTCCCAGGCTGGAGAGCAGTGTTGCGATCTTGGCTCACTGCATCCTCTACCTCCTGGGTACAAACAGTTCTCCTGCCTCACCCTCCCGAGTAGCTGGGATTACAGGCTCACGCCACCATGCCCAGCTAGTTTTCTTCTTTATTTTTTGTTGAGATGGGGTTTCACCATGTTGGCCAGGCTGGTCTCGAACTCTTGAGCTCGTGATCCACCTGCCTTGGCCTCCCAAAGTGCTCACAGGCTTGAGCCACCATGCCCGGCCCTAATTTTTAAATTTGTTGTAGAAACAAGGTCTTGCTATGTTGTCCAGGCTGGTCTCAAGCGCCTGGTCTCAAGTAAGCCTCCCAAAGTGCTGGGGTTCTAGGCTTGAGCCACCTCGCCTGGCACTTGCACCGTTTTTCTGTGCATGCATCTCCACTCCCACTGCCCAGGACCTGTGGACTTAGATTTGAGTCATTACTGAGCACCTAGCACCCAGCCTCATGCCTACCTCCCACCTCGCACTACCTGTTTGCTTGATGCATTAATAAATATTCCACCTGAATCCACAGCCCATTCACTCCTGTGTTCAAGAGCTATTTCAGGAAGTGAACCTCATTTCTGGCAGTGTTCAGTCCAGTGACCTCAGCTCTGTGTACCCGGCAGGGTGGCTACGCCTCTGGGGGAGTTGGATTCAGGGGTGGGGGAGAAAGAGTGTTGTTAGAGAGCTCGGTCTAGGACTAGAGGAACGTGCCCTTATGTAAAATACATCTCAAGTTAGGGAAGAAAGCAGCGGCTCTGTGCTTTGTTTTTTTTTTTTTTTTTTTCTTTTCTTTCTTTCTTTTTGTTTGTTTGTTTGTTTGTTTGTTTGTTTGTTTGTTTTGGGGCAGGGTCTTGCTCTGTGGCCCAGGCTGGAGTGCAGTAGTGTGATTTCGGCTCACTGCAACCTCCACCTCCCGGGTTCAAGCAATTCTTGTGCCTCAGCCTCCCGAGTAGCTGGAGTTACAGATGCGTGCCACTAAGCCTGGCTAATTTTTGTATATTTAGTAGAAATGGGGTTTTGCCATGTTGGCCAGGCTGTTCTTGAACCCCTGACCTCAGTGATCTGCCTGCCTCAGCCTCCTGAAGTGCTGGGATTACAGGCGTGAGCCATCGTGCCTGGCCACCAGTTGTGTTCTGGCAGGGGAAGATGGGACAGAGAGGATGGGAGGGTGTCTGAGCCTTTCCCGGACTGACGGAACCTGTGTCTTCTCTCTTTTGTGGACAGGATGGTGATTGCTCACACCAAAGCCTTGGACCCCTCCCAGCCTGTGACCTTTGGGACCAACTCCACCTACGCAGCAGACAAGGGGGTGAGCCTGGGGGTCCCCACCCCATTTCTCCCTGCCTTTGCCTGGGCTTGTCCTGAAGCCTGCTCATGGGAACAGCTGGAAAGAACCATGTGCTGCCAGTCTGAGCTTTTTATTTTGTTTTACTTAGAAAGATAGAGACAGGGTCTTGCCATGTTGCCCAGGCTGGTCTCGAACTCCTGGGCTCAAGTGATCCTCCTGCCTCGGCCTTCCAAAGGGCTGGGGTTACAGGCGTGTGCCACCGCACTCAGCCGCGGCCAGTCTGTTTTCAAAGATGGTCTTTGGGTTAATGACAATTCTCTCTCTGCTTACTCTCCAGGCAGTGTGGCTTTCTGAATCCAAGGAGGCTGGGCATAGGGAGATGGGATTTGTTTGCCCGGTTTGGACTCAGCATTTTTTGTACTCGATTTAATAGACTCATAAAATGTCAAAGGTTTAAGTGAGCTTAGAGTTCATCTGGCCCAAACCTGGCTGATCAGAATCTCCAGGGGAAGTTTTATTGAAATGCCAGATCTCTGCGTTCTGAGATCCTGATTTAGTAACTCCAGGGTTGGAACCTGAGTTTTTTGTTTTTTTGTGTGTGTGTGTGAAGGCAAGGTCTTACTCTGTTGCTCTGGCTGGAGTGCAGTGGTGTGATCACAGCTCACTGCAGCCTTGAATTCCTGGGCCTAAGCAACCCTCTTGCCTCAGCCTTCCAAGTAGCTGGGACTCCGGGGGTACACCACTGTGCCCGGCTAATTTTAAATGTTTTTGTAGAGATGGGATCTCACTATGTTGCCCAGGCCAGTCTCAAACTCTTGAGCTCAAGTGATCCTCCTGCCTTAGCCTCCTAAAGTGCTGGGATTACAGGCATGAGCCACCGTGCCTGGCTGATACTAGCATTCTTTTTTATTTTTTATTATTTTTTTAAGATAGAGTCTTGCTCTGTTGCCCAGGCTGGAGTGCAGTGGCACAGTCTCAGCTCAGTGCAACCTCCGCCTCCCAGGTTCAAGCAATTCTCCTGCCTCAGCCTCCCAAGTAGCTGGGATAACAGGCACATGCCACCACGCCTGCGCTTGATCGTGGGAGGCAGAGGTTGCATTATTGTGCCACTCCATTCTAGCCTGGGCAACAGAGCGAGACTCTGTCTTCCAAACAAAGCGGAAAAAGATTATCTGCGAGAATGACTGCATTGGCCCCTTGGGTGGGAGGGCTTCTCCAGGGCAAGGTGAGGGGATGCCCAGTGCTGGGAGTGCTGCCTGGAGAGGAGTCAGTTCCAGTGGCGGGGGCCCTGGGTTTTGGCTGAGGACTGCGTGTTGGCAGCTGCTCTGCCTCTCACAGCCCTTCCCAGCTGCACACGTCGTGAGCGTCAATGTGCAATCACAGGCCTGCCTCCTTTGGGCCACTTTGTGACCATGTTTTTTGCTTGTGGGGCAGGGTAATTTCAGGATCTAAATTGGTGCAGTTGGATGTTCTCAGCCCCGAGAGGCAGCTCTTCCCGTTCTAGGCTTTTTGTTTTGTTTTGTAGAAATGGAGTCCTACGACGTTGCCCAGGCTGGTCTCAAACTCCTGGGCTCAAGTGATCCTCCCACCTTGGCCTCCCAATGTGCTGGGATTACAGGCATGAGCCACTGTGCCGTGCTGATTTTCTTGATACTATTTTTTGTAGAGCTGGGGTCTTGCTGTGTTGCCCAGGCTGGTCTCGAACTCCTGGCCACAAGCCACCCTCCTGCCTCAGCCTCCCAGAGTGCTGGGATTACATCCCCTTCTTACCTTCTCTGTCAGAGGAGCCCCCACAGCATGTGAGTACTGAGTCATGCGGTCTTGTGGTTGCTGAACGGGCTCTGCTGCTCTGGTCCTAGGCTCTGTATGTGGATGTGATCCGTGTGAACAGCTACTACTCTTGGTATCGCAACTACGGGCACCTGGAGTTGATTCGGCTGCAGCTGGCCGCCCAGTTTGAGAATTGGTGTAAGACATCACAATCCCATTATTCAGAGCGCGTATGGAGTGGAAACGCTTGTAGGGCTTCACCAGGTAAGCGGTGTTGAACTTTCTGCTTGTGTATTCTCTCTGGGCAGAGATGCCACTTGCCTCCCCCACCCTGCCCTGCGCCCACTGCAGTGCTCCCCTTGCTTCAGCTTTGGGCTCACCTCCCGCTACCCTGTCCACGTTCCCTTCTCACCAGCAGGCAGGCCTCTGCCCCACTCGCTTGGTCCTCAAAGGTGGACTCCTTACTGGCCTTGTTTCCAGACAGCCTCCTATCACCCGTGCCCAAGTGGTCTTTCTAAGAAATCCAAATTTTTATGTGTTTTTGAGACCGCCTCTCTCTGTGTCACCCAAGCTGGAGTGCGGTGGTGCGATCACTGCTCACTGCAGCCTTAACCTCCTGGGCCCAAGCGATCTTCCCACCTCAGCCTCCTGAGTATCTGGGACCATAGGCACAGGCCACCATGCCTGGCTAATTTTTTTACTTTTGTAGAGATGGGGCCTTGTTGTGTTCCCCGGGCTGGTCTTGAATTCCTGGGATCAAGTGACCCTCCTGCCTCAGGCTCACAAAGCGCTGGGATTTACAGGTGTGAGCCACTGTGCCCGGCCACAAATCAAAATTTTTGAGTCCTGTCATTGGCTCCCCCAGGCCCATAGGACAAAGTCCTAACCCCTAGTCAGGACACTCAGTGTCCTCTGCTCTCTCCTGGGTTTTCATCCTCTTCTCTTCTCACTCCTGGCCACTGATCTGTTTCCACTGCCCTCATTTGCTCTCCTGCTCTTGCTTGAGCTATTCTTTCTGCCTGGAATGCCCAAGTTGGCACCATAATCACCAACTAAAAGATCCTTTTCTTTTTATTTTTTTAGAGATAGGGTCTTGCTATGTTGCCCAGGCTGGTCTCAAACTCCTGGACTCAATTGATCTTTTTGCCTTGGCCTCCCAAAGTTCTGGGATTAACAGGTGTGATCCACTGTGCTAGCCTTTTTTTATTTTTTATTTTTTTCCTGACAGGGTCTTGTTCTGTTGCCCAGGCTGGAGTGTGGTGGTGTCATCATAGCTCACTGCAGCCTCGAACTCCTGGGCTGAAGCAATTCCCCTGCCTCAGCCTCCTGAGTAGCTGGGACTACAGGCGTGCACCACCATGTGCAGCCTAGTTTTAAAATATTTTGTAGAGATGCAGTCTCGCTATCAGGCTGGTCTTCACCTCCTGTCTTGGACTCCCAAAGTACTGGGAATACAGGCATGAGTCACGACACGTGGCTGAAAAGATTCCTATTTGGCATCTGAGTCTCCTCATAGCTGTCCCCTCTGTGGGGAGGTTTACCCTGCCTGCCCCAGGCGGAGGGAACCTTCCCCGTGCTCTGCCCTGTTGCAGCCGGAACCTGGCTCCCCCAACATTCTCGCCAGGCACCGTTGTTATTTCTTTGGCTCTCTCTTTGATCGGACTGTGGGCTCAGGAGACAGGAGTCCTATTTATTATTGTTTCCCAGGTACTCTGCAATAGCTGACACAGTACATGCTAAATAATACCTATTGAGGGCATGGGTGAGATCTTAGAGCCATGTTTAATCACTCACTTTGTCTTTTTTTTTTTTTGAGATGGAGTCTCACTCTGTCACCCAGGCTGAAGTGCAATGGTGTGATCTCAGCTCACTGCAACCTCCACTTCCTAGGCTCAAGCGATTGTCCTGCCTCAACCTCCCAAGCAGCTGGGATTACAGGCACCTGCCACCATGCCCAGCTAATTTTTGTATTTTTGTAGAGGTGGGGTTTTGCCATGTTGGCCAGGCTGGTCTTGAGCTCCTGACGTCAAGTGATTTGCCTGCTTCCGCGTCCCAAAATCCTGGGATTACAGGCCTGAGCCACCATGCCTGGCCTGTCCTCATTTGTTTATCCATCTCATTTTTTGTCCTTCTCACCAAAGATATGTTGCTTTGTCTTGTGGGGTTTTTTTCATGTGGATTCCTGAACCCCATCCAGCCCCTTGTCCCCTCCCCAGCCAGCTCACACTCTTTTGCACAGCTCCTGGGACTCCCGTTGACACACAGGGAACAGCCACCCACAATGGACTGCACTGTTCTGTTTGCACCCTTAAATTTATCGTGCTTACAGAATGACACTTCTGCAAACTAGTCAAGTAGGGGGAAGTGATTTGTGGATATGCACCCTTGTTCATTCTCTTTGAAAAGGTAACCAGCTCTGAATTCTTTCTCCTTTTAGGAGGAGTTTCACTTGTCGCCCAGGCTGGAGTGTAGTGGTGCAATCTTGACTCACTGCTACCTCCGCCTCCCAGGTTCAAGCAATTCTCCTGCACCAGCCTCCCAAGTAGCTTGGATTACAGGCATGCACCACCATGCTCACCTAATTTTTTTTTTTTTTTTTTTTTTTAGTAGAGATGAGGTTTCACCACGTTGGTCAGGCTGGTCTTGAACTTTTGACCTCAAGCGATCCACCTGCCTTGGCCTCCCAAAGTGCTGGAATTACAGGCATGAGCCACCATACCCAGCCCCAGTTCTGAATTCTTAAGAAACTCGAGAGGGTCTAGGTGAGCATTGATAGAACCTCTGCAGTGCTGGGTGTGCTGGCTCACACCTGGAATGCTAGCCCTTTGGGAGACCGAGGTCAGAGGATCTCTTGAGCCCAGGAGTTTGAGACCAGTCTGCACAACATGGACCCCATCTCTACAAAATATTTAAGATGAGTTGTGGCTGGGTGCAGTGGCTGACGCCTGTAATCCCAGCACTTTGGGAGGCTGAGGTGGGTGGATCACGAGGCCAAGAGTTCAAGTCCAGCCTGACCAAGATGGTGAAACCCCGTCTCTACTAAGAAAACACAGAAATTAGCTGGGTGTGGTGGCATGCACCTGTAATCCCAGCTACTCAGGAGGCTAAAGCAGGAGAATCGCTTGAACTGGGGAGGTGGAGGTTGCAGTGAGCCGAGATTGTGCCACTGCACTCCAGCCTGGGCGACAGAGCAAGAGTCCGTCTCAAAAAAAAAAAAAAAAAATAGTTGGGTATGGTCGTGCTTGCCTCTAGTCCCAGCTACTTGGGAGGCTGAGGTAGGAGGACTGTTTGAGCCCAGTAGGTCAAGGCTGCAGTCCGCCATAATTGCACCACTGTACTCCCACCTGGGTGACAGAGTGAGACCTTGTTTCAAAAAAGAACCTTTGCAATGATGGAAATGCCCCATGTCTGCACTGTCTGAAATGGTAGCCACTAGCTACATGTGGCTATTGAGGTCTTGATATATGACTAGGATAACTGAATTTATCTGGTTTAATTAAAAAAAATTTTTTTTTGAGACAGCCTTACTCTGTTGCCCAGGCTGGAGTGCAGTGGCGTAATCACAGCTCACTGCTCAACCTCCTGGGCTCAAGTGATCCTTCCTCCTCGGCCCCCCAAGTAGCTGGAGCCACAGTCATGCGCCACTACACCTAGCGAATATTTAGCCTTTTTATAGAGACTGGGTTTTACTGTGTTGCCTAGGCTGATCTTGAACTCCTGAGCTCAAGTGATCCTCCTGCCTCGACCTCCCAAAGTGCTGGGATTACAGACCTGAGCTACCATGCCCAGCCTGGTTTAGTTTAATTTCATTTTACATTCATTCATTCATTCATGAGATAGGGTCTTGTTCTGTCACCCAGGCTGGAGTGTAGTGGTGCAAACCACAGCTTTGACCTCCGGGACTGAAGCAGTCCTCCCACCTCAGCCTCCCAAGTAGCTGGGACCACAGGTGTGTGCCTCCATGCTTGGCTAACTTTTGTACTTTTTGTAGGCTAGTCTTGAACTCCTAGGCTCAAGCAGTCCTCCCACCTCGGTCTCCCAAAGTGCTTGGATGACAGACATGAGCCAGCGCGCCTGACCTAAAGACATATTTTTCCTTCTAGTGTAGTTCAGCCTTAAGACTGTATCAGCAGACAGAGACGGAAAAGTAAGAAAAATTGAGTATCAGGTTATATTTATAAATAAAGCAGTTGCTAATTGATGGTTTTTTTTTAAACCTCCTTTTTAATTCTGGGTTACATCATTCCCTGGCTGTCGTTTCTTTTTTTGTATTTTTTTTTATTATTATTATACTTTAAGTTTTAGCGTACATGTGCACATTGTGCAGGTTAGTTACATACGTATACATGTGCCATGCTGGTGTGCTGCACCCACTAACTCGTCATCTAGCATTAGGTATATCTCCCAATGCTATCCCTCCCCCCTCCCCCCACCCCACAACAGTCCCCAGAGTGTGATGTTCCCCTTCCTGTGTCTATGTGATCTCATCGTTCAATTCCCACCTATGAGTGAGAATATGCGGTGTTTGTTTTTTTGTTCTTGCGATAGTTTACTGAGAATGATGATTTCCAATTTCTCCCTGGCTGTCTTTACCCTAGCATCAGTGAGTCCTGCAGTCCCTACAGCCCCCAGTGAGGACAGATATTTTGGTCACCATCAAGTGGATCTTTATTTTTATCTAACATTTACAATTCTGCCAGTTCTTACTCTTAATTCTCTTTGCCTTGAATCCCAGGATCCACCTCTGATGTTCAGTGAAGAGGACCAGAAAAGTCTGCTAGAGCAGTACCATCTGGGTCTGGATCAAAAACGCAGAAAATACGTGGTTGGAGAGCTCATCTGGAATTTTGCCGATTTCATGACTAACCAGTGTAAGTGGCAGTTTAGCGCATGGGATAATGTACCCGTCCTCATTTTTTCAGGTTGCCTTGCCCATTCTGGACATTTTGGCTGTAAGAATATTGGAAACAAAGGGGGGAACCTGGTTTAATCCATGTAGGTTGTGTTGATAATTTCCTAGGAAAAGTAAGTTGTGCTTAGGAAGTAGGAAAGCAGTCAGGCCCCCGCTTCCCACGTACGGTCAAAAAGCAAACATGAGAGTCTGCTATAGTGAGATGGAAATGGCTAGCTTGCCTTTTTCTTGTCTATTTCATAGCCAAGGATGAAGGAAAAACTGGACCTCATTATGGATTTACTTTTGGGATACACTCATTATTCCAGAGGAGGGTAAAAGGCTGAGAAGCTTAAGGTATTTCAGTCTGTTTTATGTTACTCATTTGCGAAAAGCAGGCTCATCGAATACAGGTGAGTTTCAACGCGTCTTGAATATGGCAGCATTTAAAAGTCTTCAGACCAGGCATGGTGGCTCATGCCTGTCATCCCAGCACTTTGGGAGGCCAAGGTGGGAGGATTGCTTGAGGCCAGGAGTTCGAGACCAGCCTGTTCAGCATAGCAGGACCCCCATCTCTACAAAAACTAAACAGATTAGCTAGGTGTGGTGGTGTGTGCCTGTAGTCCTAGCTGCTTGGGAGGCTGAGGCAGGCGGATAGCCTGAGCACAGGAGTTGGAGGCTGCAGTAAGCCATGATTACACCACTGCACTTGAGCCTGGGCAGCAGAGTGAGACCTGTCTTTTAAAAAAAAAAGGAGCTGGGCACGGTGGCTCATGCCTGTAATCCCAGCACTTTGGGAGGCCGAGGCAGGCAGATCACGAGGTCAGGAGATCGAGACCATCCTGGCTAACAGTGAAACCCTGTCTCTACTGAAAATACAAAAAAAATCAGCCGGGCGTGGTGGCGGGTGCCTGTAGTCCCAGCTGCTCGGGAGGCTGAGGCAGGAGAATGGCATGAACCCAGGAGTTGGAGCTTGCAGTGAGCCGAGATTGTGCCACTGCACTCCAGCCTGGGCGACAGTGAGACTGCTTCTCAAAAAAAAAAAAAAAAAAAAAAAAAAAAAGAAAGGGTCTTCAAAGACAATAAGATCTGTGCTCTCACGTAGGGTGGATGAGGGGCTGCCAAGTTAGCAATGAATGTTTCCCATTTCTTCTTAGTTTATGGACTTTCCATAAACTCAGGATGGCAGTTTGGTTGGTTGGAGAAGGATATGGTGATGGCGGGAGTTACAATACATTACTTATAGGGGAAGATAGGCTTTTGAAAGGTTAAAGCTTAAAAGTGAGAATGGAAAAGGGATGAATGAATGAACATGATGAGGTGAGAGGGAAGAGGTAAAGGGAAAAGGAGAACAAGCAACTCTTCTCTGCGTGGCACCTGGGATGAATGGTTTCTGGGGACATCCCTGATGGCAGTTTTGTGGAGAGGTGCAAAGCTTTATGTGTTAAGAAATGAGCTGTAGGCTCAGTGCAGTGGCTCACGCCTGTAATCCCAGCACTTTGGGAGGCCGAGGTGGGTGAAAAGAAAAAATGGGCTGGGCGCCGTGGCTTACGCCTGTAATCCCAGCACTTTGGGAGGCCGAGGTGGGCGGATCATGAGGTAAGGAGTTCGAGAGCAGCCTGGCCAACATGGTGAAACCGTGTCTCTCCAAAAAAATAGAAAAAACATCCCTGTATGGTGGTGAGCACCTGTAGTCCCAGTTACTCAGGAGGCTGAGGCATGAGAATCGCTTAAACCTCGGAGGCGGAGGCTGCAATGAGCTGAGATGGTGCCACTGCACTCCAGCCTGGGTGACAGAGCTGGGTGGTGGCTCAAGATATGTTTTGTAAACCTGAAGATTTGAGATCATATAAGCCAAATCGAAACTTAATTGGCATTCATAACTTTTGGTTCTAGAGACTCCATGATCAACTAAGAGCCACCAAACATTTCCCATGTAGACTATTTTGACCATGCTGACTCTACTGACACTGTGGTTACTGAATTCACTTTATCTCTAGAAATTAATTCTTACTAATGGATGTCTGTCACTGTAAGATCCTTCTCTCCTCTGAAATAAGGAGAACATTTTAACTTCAGTAGTTTAAACTAGTGTCCTAAACTATAGCATTCAAAATGAGATAATATGCTAAAGTAATACACAAACCAAAAATCCCAGTGGCTAACACAAAAAGTTTTTCTTACTCATTTTACATATCCAGGGTAAGTCAGTAATAGACGCAGACACACCCAGAGACCAAGGATGAGTTGTGATCTGTCTGCACACATAGTTCACAATGCCTGAGTGAGTTGTGCTTTGGCCTTTAAACTTCCACTCATGTTTAATTAATAAAGATTTTGCTCAAATGCCATTTGATGATGAGTTTCATGACGATGATCAACTTTAAAAGAACTTGGAAGTACAATCCTCAAGCGTTTCTGGAAATAGCAGAACTACAATATTTGAGAAAAATATTTTTTAATGTATAAAAAATTGGCAGGGTAGGCTAGCAAGCAAGAGACCTAGAGAAAAGTTGATGTTACAGTCTCAAGTCGAAAGGCAATCTGCAGGCAGAATTATTTCCTTGAGGGATCTCAGTCTTTTAATATAATCAATTGACTGGATGAGCCCTACAATATTTTGGAAAATAATCTGCTTTTCTCAGAAATTACTGATTTTCATGTTAATCTCATCTAACAATACTTTCAGAGCAACATCTATACTGGTATTTGAATATATAACTCTTTTATCTTTTAAAATATCAAATAATACAGTTATATATATATACACACATATGTATATATGTCACCTAAATTGTAGATATCAGAAATCAGAATGCTGTGATATGAATATTTAGTATATTTTAATCATGATAAATTATACATCCTTCTACCTTATGATAATGGATTTTAAGATCTATGCTGTTAAACTCTATATTTATCCTTTAATTCATATCTTGCTTATTTTACATTTATCTGAGAATACATTGGGTCTACTAAATCTTTACTATCATTCACAAGTCTTACATCTTAAGATAACTTTTCAATAAAATAAAAATTCTTCATTGCACCTAGAAAGGAGCAGGGTTTTGAAAGCGATCAATGATTACTCTGATACCTAATATAATAATATAATATAGTAAAAATCAAAATACTTGAATGAAAAATGTAAAATTAATAGTTTTGCTTTCATTGTTTTTATTCCAGTGTCTATTTTAGAATGTTTTTACTCTAATTGTGTTTTTATGCAAAACCAAATGAGCTTTAGATAATTCCATTGATACATTACATATGAAAGTTCTCGTTAAATAGGATATAGCATATTTTACTTAAAAATCCAAATTATAAAATAAAGAGGGATTTTAAGTTGAGTCTAAAATTTTTGTTTCAATTTTGTTTTTATTTAAAGACTTGCTATAATTCTGTGAGAGAGCTATAAAAGTCTGCTCAGAAACATTATAATGTAAAATGGACAGAGAAGGACAATGAGATATTTAATTTGCCACGGCAAAGCCATTGCTGTGAAGAATGGATAATATATGTCAATGGTAATATATGAAGAAATAACACAGGTGAATAGCAGAGGCAATAAATCTGTTTTTACCACAGGACTTGTCTTACACTTTTCTCTTAGTAATAAATAAAATAATTTTCGACCAGATGGAGCTGGCTTGAAATCCTCTTGTTTATGGCAGTACATATCGGTTATGATTCAAAAAATATAGCCCATTTCCAAAAACCTGCAACAAAGAGATACTTTCTCAGGTGAGTGTTCAGATCATTATTCATTACAAAGTGTCAGTTTTGTCTTTATTGATCCTCATTATTGTAAGAAAGTATGTGGTCCTGTCTCCATTCTATTAAAACAACATTGTAGAGATTAGCACTGAGTCTTTCCAGCCATGTGCATCTGTTCATTTCCGTCTCCAGCTTGAGTTTTTCTGTGTATTACAAAATAAGAAAACAAAAATGACACAATAATCTATTTTGTCTGGTTTTGCTCTTTATTAGTAGAAATAGACAAGTGAGGAGTTGGAGGAAGAAATTGCTTCTGATCTGTTTTAGATACAGGTGAAACTCTCCCTCCCTCCCCGCCCCACCCAGTCTTTCTCTGTCTCCCTCCCTGAGCCTATTCTTGCTTCTTCCCTTTACAAATAATTAACTGCTCAGGTCATGTTGAACCAAAAAATAGCGTCTGTAGCCCCTGTGTGCTTACTTTAAGTATATGTTACTGAAAAATGCGGAGTGAGCACTTAACAACTCATTCTCCTGGGAAGCACAGTGCTACTATACCCCAAATGCTTTTCTTTATCATTTTAATTTTTATCTTCTTTACTTACATTTCCAACATCAGTTAAGAGGGTCTTGTAGTTTTCTAACTGAAAGGAGACTGTAAAATCTCCTTGCTCAAAACTCAGATGCAGAATATTATTTTTACTACAATAAATACATCTACAACAATGGTATTATATCTGGTTTATTTCAAAGTCAAGTTCTAATATAGGTAAACAAATATACTAATAAAGAGATAATGCTTTTCTCATGAAATGTATAATCTAGTAGGAATAAAGATAAACAATTTTTTTAAAAATTCTATTTCATTAAGCAAAAATGCAACTCAGAAGAATAATGTATATTAGCAGTCATTTACTATTTTTCAATTAAATTCCGATATATATGTAAAGTAAATTATTACTAATATCAAACATAGTTTAAAGAATTAGTGACTATGTGCACTTGGATCTCCATATGTAATGTACTATCAGCATCTTCACAAACACAGTAAATTTTAATATGCAAGTAAAACTTATTTTACTAAACGATTACTCCTTCTATATTCATATTCCTAAACACATACAGTTTCTTAATGTAATTAAGTTTTTAACTAAAAAAAGGGAAATGCATTATTGAGGCGATAGGATTACTGGGTGGCTATAAACACATCTGCTGCACAGCTGACATTTATCTTCTACAATGAGCAGTGACAATTTTATTTTTTAATAATCAGTATGGACTAATCCTGATGATTTTTTTTAACATTTTCAAATAGGGCTGCATATGGCTTAAAATTAATATATACATGTGTACCTATATAATATTCTTATTTATTAATGGACTTCCTACATAGCTCATATTGACGTTAGATTTAAATGAAATTCCAGAAGGGTTTTCTATAGGTAAGTCATACATTGGATTTCCATATTACCTATGATTATTGAAGTATTTATTTCTGTTTTTAAGACTTCAGAGCAATTTTGCTGGTCATTTGTTTTCTGTGTTTTTATTTTGAAATTGTTCTTTGAGGCATTGTCCTATTACATTTTTAAGGTATGTTAATAAAATAATATTTTTAATGAAATTTTGCCTACTGCTTTCCAGGTGAACTCTTGTTTAAAGTATTAATTCACCAAAAATTACTTATATTCAGAAAATGAACTAAAAAAAATAATATGACGTGTTCAAGAAAGTCGAACAAAAGTTACGTGATGTTTGCAACATACACAACTCCATACCCTTCTCAAATAGTAAAGAGAATAGTAAATAGAATAGGTAGTAAGCAGAGTAGGAATTGTGGAATATGGAACTCTCAGTCACTCAACTGACTTTATTTTTTAGTAATACGGGATTTGAATTATTCAAGCTGAAGCCATTAAATATTCATAGTGCTTCGTATTATAAAGTTATTGATTAATGTCTTTGGTAAAGAACACTATTATTTCTGATTACATCAAGGTCATCCCGAGGAACAGGACCAAAGCATAAAGTTTTATATATGAAATATGAGAAGTTAATACATAATTCATATTTAACAGATAACATAAATGTTAACCCCTTGGCGAATCTGAAGCTAATACCCATGTTCTTCTGGCAATTCTTTATACTGGCAATTTGGAAAATGCCAGTGTTTTATCGCTACCTATTCTTGTATTATGACATGAATTAATACATATCTGCCTCACTATTCCTGTGGGCAAAAAAAGACTGTGAATTATGTGCCAGAGAGAGATTTTACAAAATTAAATGAGGCAAAGTACTTTTCCTCTGTATACTCATTAGAAATATGCTGAGTAGTTCCTTTCACTTTCCGATAAAATATAATCAGTTCAGCCATATAACAGATATCTTTTAAACTTTTAATGTCCTCTGTTAGAATGAATATGATATTTGGGACCAATTCACATTTTGGAATAATGTACATACTAAGCATAAGTGAAGAATTTAAACATTAACTTGATTTAGGACTGGACTCTTAAGAGGTTTTAAAAAGTTGAAAAACGGAATTCCAACAAATTTAAATGGCTTGTTTAGGGTTTCCACAGGCAATACGGGTGGGTGCAATGGAAAGAGAATTCCTTTAATCTAAACGTGGGCTTTATTCTGGCTCTGCCACATATTGACTGTTTCATACAAATGTAACTTAAACTGCAGGTGTCATGATTTTTCACACATATACAAATAAAACAATGTTGATTATATAGGATTTGTTGAGAAAATGCAATTATGCCAAGTACAAGTATTTGGCATATTATCTCACTTTATAAATATTAGCAATTCTTTTTGTGGAGGGAATAAATCTAACATGCTGGCTTTTAGAATTTCTTCTTATTTTTCTTTCAACTTTATTGCCATGTAACATTTTTAAGTCAATAAATCTGACAATTAGACTGTGGGCAATTTTCTTCCAAATCCATATCTTGTTTTCTCTATCCATAGTAGCATTTTAAAACAACAGAAGGGAACTTTAATTACAGTAGGTTGGGAGCCATTTTCTCCCTTTGGTCATATTTTCATTGAAATTCCTACATTGTTTAATATTAGGACTTAGTTTGAATATCACATCAACAAGGTTGCTCAATAGAAATATTATGGAATCATTTTTCTGTCATGCCACAGAACTTATTAACTGTATGTTCAAAATGCAGCTCAATTCTGATCATTTTTGCTACTTTCACCACTAGCATCCTGGTGCTAACCACCATCATTTATTGCCCAGGTTATTGAAATGGCCAGCAAACAGGTGTTTCTGATTCTGCGTAAGGCACCCTTCAGTACATCCTCAAAAGAGCAATTTGTATAATCACTTTAAAACATGTATCAGGTTATTACCTTTTTCTGTGTAAAACTCTGATCTCTCGTTTCATTCATTGTAAAAGTCAGAATCTTGCACAATGCTTTATAGATGCTCCACCACATGAAGCCCCCAATTCTTCTATGGACTTCCCTCCTTCCACTATGTAATTTTCTCACTCAGCTTCACGTACAGTATTTTCTTGGTTATTACTAAACATGCAACAGATACGGTTTGTTCTATATCTTCCTCATGCTTTTGGTCAGATGCCATTATCCCAGTGAAGTTTTCCATAGCCACTTTATTCAAATTCCAAACAATCTGTCCCCTTAGACATTCTCCATTCTTAATTTTTTGCCATTGTACTTACTACAGTCTAACACACTATACATGTTACATTTTTGCTTATTGTTTATTGTATAGTCCCTAGAATATTAGTTCCCTGAGGACAGAGATTTCTGTAAGCTTTTCCAAAGATGTATCCCCAAAGCCCGGAATGCTACCTGGCAACAAATACTTGTTATAATGAATTAGAAGTGGGTAGATTCACACATCAGAGACAGCGTAGTGTATATAATGATTTTTTAAAGCATTAGAGTCATAGATATTAGGATTTGTATTATGTCTTCACCATTTACAATTATGCTACCCTCAACAAGTTGTTTAATCTTTCCATTCCTCAGTTTCCTCATGACTCATATATTGGAAATATTGTCTACCTTAGAGCTCTTCCAAGAGTAATATTGAGACAATGTTTCAACAATGTTTAGCACATTGCTGAATATTAATACATTATTTCTATTAATGTAAGAAATTTCATAGACTTGCTAGAAATAACGAGGATGGAATATAGATGAAGATCATAAAACATGATGGAAATAAATGTTGGAAAATGTGGGTGGTATCCTTAGCACACTCTCTAACGTAAGGAGTAAAATCTGTGTCATATGACTTTATCTTTCTTCTGGAAACTAACAGAATTTAGTAACACACTTTTCTTGACCTGAGGATTTGCCCTTACCACAAAATTGTTTTTGAAACTTGAGTGTTTACAATGGCTTTTTACCAGTTCTTTTATGTTCTACCAGTTCCTCTCCAATTTACTATGGACTGAAGTCACACTAATTTGTTAAGAGCAAACAAAACAAAACAAAACAAAACAAAACAGTTATTACCTCATTCTAGCCTCAAAGCATCTGCCTTTTCAATGCAATCAAAATTAAATGCAATCAAAATTAAATGCAATCAAAATTAAATGCACAATTCTAATTTTGATGACTTTAGTCCCTGCTTATCTGTTATATTAGGCTGTTCTTGTATTGCTATGAAGAAATATCTGAGACTGGATATTATAAAAATGTTTAATTGACTCACAGTCCTGCAGGCTGTACAGGAAGCACAGTGGCATCTTCTTCTGGAGAGGCCTCAGGGAGCTTTTACTCATGACAGAAGGCAAAGCAGGAGCAGGCACTTCACATGGTGAAAGCAGGAACAAGAGAGAGAGAGTATGTTGGGGTAGGTGCACTACCATGGAGACAGCACCAAGTCACGAAGGATTCGACCTCATGATCCAAACACTTCCCACCAAGCTCCACCTTCAGCACTGGGGATCTGGTTTCAACATGAGATTTGGGCGGGACATCCAAACTATATCAGCTGTCTCCCTCATCCAAGACCATGTGATCCGTAGCTCACTTTTGTCTAGCAACAGATTAAATACAGCATTTTCTGTGTGATATCTTTGTTGAGGTCTTTGCAGATGGCTGTTTCTTTGTCCTGAAACTTTCTTCATCTGCTCTTTCAAAATGAGTGACTCTTCATCCTCGAAGTCTATGCTTATATATTGCTTTTCAGAGGAATCTTTTCTGAACTGGGCATTCTGCCTTCAACCAACTATTTTCTATTATAGTTTCCTGTTTGTGAGTTAATAGTCCTTTTGAAAATTTGACTACTCATTTACCTTCTTGGGTTATTTGAAATTATCTCCTCTTCACTAGATTCTATAGAAGCATAGCCATGCCTGCCCTCTTTA
The DNA here is from genome assembly GCF_000001405.40 of Homo sapiens. Classification (NCBI taxonomy): domain Eukaryota; kingdom Metazoa; phylum Chordata; class Mammalia; order Primates; family Hominidae; genus Homo; species Homo sapiens. The sequence continues at coordinate 71,188,545 of NC_000005.10, read as the reverse complement.
CTGTTTCTCTACTGACTTGTTGCAATGAATATTGTCAGTAAACATGGAAATAAATCAGTTATTCAGATATCCTACCTTGGTGCTTGCTTAGATAACTCCACACTGTGATGCCTAATGACCTACACAGGGCTTTCTAGCAAGGAGTGACTTTCTTTCTGCTACGTGTAATAATGATCCATCAACTTAAACATATAGTTATATTTCCAGCAGACGGTTTCTTGAAACTAATGTCCAGGGTGTAGTTATTCAAAAAAGCAAACTCTTCTCTTGATTTCTGCCATACATTGGTACTCTTTCTCTCTCCCTTTTTTATTTTATTATTTTTTTTTTGAGACAGAGTCTCACTCTTTCACCCAGGCTGTGGTGCCATCCCAGCACACCCTGCAACCCATTGCCTCCCAGATTCAAGCGATTCTCCTGCCTCAGCCTCCCTAGTAGCTGGAATTACAGGCATGTGCCACCATGCCTGACTGATTTTTTGTATTTTCAGTGGAGACGGGATTTCACCATGTTGTTCAGGCTGGTCTCAAACTCCTGACCCCTAGTGATCCATCTGCCTCAGCCTCCTAAAGTGCTGGGATTACAGGCGTGAGCCACCCCGCTCGGCCTACTCTTTTATTTCTGTTTTGTCTTTCCTTTCTCAAGAAAGAAAACAAACCAAAACCAAAACAGTTTGGAAGACTTTATAGTATTCATCCATACAAAAGAACAAGATCATGTCCTTTGCAGGAACATGGGTGGAGCTGGAGACCATTATCCTCAGCTCCACCCATCCTCAGCTCCCACTAACGCAGGAACAGAAAAACAAATGCAGCATGTTCTTATTTATAAATGTGAGCCAAGTGATAAGAACACATGGACTCATAGAGGAGAACACCACACACTCGGACCTACCTGAGAGTAGCGGGTGGGAAAAGGGAGAGGTTCAGGAAAAGTAACTAATGGGTACTAAGCTTAATACCCGGGTGACAACATAACCTGTACAACAAATCCCCATGACACGAGTTTACCTGTATAACAAACCTGCACGTGTACTCCTGAACTTAAACTAAAAGTTAACAAAAGGCCAGGTGCAGTGTTTCACGCACGTAATCCCAGCACTTTGGGAGGCTGACATGGGTGGATCACCTGAGGTCAGGAGTTCAAGACCAGCCCGACCAACTAAATACAAAAAGTTAGCTAGATGTGGTGGCAGGTAATCCCAGCTCCTCTGGAGGCCAAGGCAGGAGAATCGCTTGAATCCAGAAGGCAGAGGTTGCAGTGAGCCGAGATTGTGCCACTGCACTCCAGCCTGGGCAATAAGAGTGAAACTCTGTCTCAAAAAAAAAAAAAAAAAAAAAAAAGTTAACAAAACGTTCTTCTCTAGTTCTAAAGCACCAACACAGAGGTGATCAAAATACTCTAAGAAGCACTGGGAAACATTGAGGGGATGGTTCAAACATCAGAGCTAAGGCCTAATTTCCCAACAGTCATTATTTCTGTGGTATTTTGCATATTAGAGACGTATAGGTTCCTCACCTAATCCTTGTTTTTTCATTTTATTTTTAATACATATGAAAGTCATAATAACAAAAAAAATTCATACATCAGCAGCTCAGCTAGAAATAAAAGTCTCAATCTACTGGAAGCCCCTGTGAACTTGTATCAAATTCCTTTCTCTCTTCATAGAGGAAATAATGACTCCCAAAATGTGGTAATGAACAAATATCTCTAATTGTTTAAAATTTAGTATATGTGCAAGTCTCCACAGACACAATCATGATCATATATTTTTAGAAGTTAAAAACGTGTCTATCATCAGGGCGTGGTGGTTCATGCCTGTAATCCCAGCACTTTGGGAGGCCTAAGTGGGTGGATCACCTGAGGTCAGGCGTTCAAGACCAGCCTGGCCGACATGGTGAAACCCTGTCTCTACTAAAAATACAAAAGTTAGCCAGGCGTGGTGGAGGGTGCCTGTAATCCGAGCTACTCAGGAGGCTGAGGCAGGAGAATTGCTTGAACCCGGGAGGCGGAGGTTGCGGTGAGCCAAGACCACGCCACTGCACTCCAGCCTGGACAACAGAGCAAAAACTCCGACTCAAAAAAAAAGTGTCTATCTACCTTCTGCTTTATTTTGTTTTATATGACATTGATGATGTCCATCTATGTTGGCCCATATAATTCTTATCAATTATTTTAAATGCTGTTTAGCATTGTACTATATAAAAATATCAAAACACAGCTCCCTTTTGTTCATTATATTGCCATTTAGTTTTTTTCTCATTTTTTGCTATTTCAACAAAAAGCTGCTATGAATGTGTATGTGTGTATATATATATATTAAATGTGTATATATATGAATGTATATATATATACACATATATATGTCAGAGTTTCTCTAGGCTATAAACCCAGGAACAAAATTTAAAAATCATAGGGTGTATTGGATCTTACATCACTGCAGACCCTCTCAGCATTACCTCTTGTTCCAGTCAGAGCCTTGGTTACTATTTTTATGTAGACTTTGGTCAGTTTCATAAAGATGGAAGTGATAGTATGTGGCTTCAGACCAGAGCAAGAATTCACTTTCTGCTGTGGGATTTCTCAGACAATGTTGTGTGGATTGTTGTAGGCATTTTGCTTGTTACTCATAAATGCACTGTCTAGACACATCGAGAAGTTAGCATCCATGAGGCTATGCTTGAAAAATGGAACTCCTAGAGCTGATGGATACATATTTCCCCCGTTGTTTCACTTCAGTGAATGGTCATATAGTATTCCATCACCTAACTTAATAATGTGTTCTAGATTTTACTCTCTCTCCCTATAGCACCCATCCTGTTTCTTATTCTTACTCCACAATACACTCCCAACTTAAACACACAGTCTCTTCTTTAGGTGTTGGGGGTTGGGAGTTATTACAAGATGACATGGTGTATGCATTTATTTCTTTGTCTACGTTGATTGCACTGATTTACAGTCTCACCAGCAGTTCATAAAATCCTTCCTTGCAGCTAAGATATGGGCACAAGACTAAAATTTATATCTTTAGCTGATATCTCATTCCTGAACACTCATCTCATTTGCGACTGCCTTGAATATCAAATAGGCATCTCAACCTTAGTAAGTAAAAGAGAATTCTTTATCTGCATCCTGCCAATCCTGCTTCTTTCCCAGTAATTTTTCACTCAGTAATTTGAGCCATTATTAATCTATTTTCTAAAGCTTCAAAACATGGAGTCATTACCAGCTGTTTTATATACACCATTCCAAGCCATTAGAAAGTCAATTCCATTTCACCTGGAAGTTTATTGCAAATTTGACAATTGTCTCTTACATGAACTACTAAAATAGCTTCTCAGCAGCATCTGTGTGCTGCCATTATCCATCCTTCCTCCAGTCTCTTCCCCACCAGGCAATGGAAGTCATCTCTGGCAATATAATGCATTTCACATTAGTTTCATTTTTCCAGCTGAAAATCTCAAAAGTATTTCATTTACATGCCTAATAAAAGCTAAAGATATAATCTTGCTCAGAACTATAAGCTGGCTTCTCCACCTACCATTATCCTTTGCCTTGATTACTCTGCTCTATATCATCATCTTGCATACCCTAACACATGACTTTTATACTCATTGCTCCATCTGTTATAAACATACTGATAAATAATGTTTCCTCTTTAGCAGTGATTTCCTGATCTAATCAATATTTTGGTATCATATAAACTCATTGGATTATTAGTGATTATCACTAACCTGCTATCATACAATACACATTTAATTTCTTTTCTCTTTGTTTATTGTCTAAACTGCTAGGTAGAAGGGCACTTTATCTATTCTTATCACAAACGTAGGACAACGGCTAGCACAAGGTTAGGAACTTACACGCTATTCGATTAATTGTTGTTTAATAATTGATTAAAAACTCCAGAACTTTGGGTTCCATTCTTATGATGACAATAATATAATGCTAGGGATGCCAAGTGAATAGCAAGTTTAACCAAGTTATCCTGTATGGGGAGCCACAGTTACTTAAAATGTCTGACAATCCACAGTCCTGGTGATGATGTGGAATATCACTCTCTTAATCAATGCAAACAATTTATTTAATAGTCATAGTGCTAAAGATGGCATGCCCTCCAAATGAGCAATTGCACTCTTGGTTATGCATTTATATGAATATGTATATAGGAATAGTCATGATAAAACTACTAATTATTATAAAATTTTTGGAAAAAGCATAACTATTAAAAATGAAATTGGTAACTTAAGACTACTCAATACATCAGTAAAAATGAATGAACTAAGCAAAAACATGGATGAATTTCAAAAACGAAATTTATTTTCATTATTTATTAAGAAAGAAAATTTGCACTGTTTTCAAGTCTAATACCAAACAGAACTAAATGGTATTTCTGGATAAACAAATTAGAAAATAAAATTATGAAAAATGCAAGAAAAAAATTACCACAAAAGTTGGGATAGAAGTTACATTAAGAGATGGCATGGTCTTATACAAAGAAAACCCTAAAGACTCTGAAAGACTCCTAGACTTGGCAAAAGACTGCAATAAAGTTTCAGAATACAAAGTCAATGTCCAATAGTCAGTAGTATTTCTATATAGCAATAATATTCAAGCTGAGAACAAAATCAAGAACTCAATCTCATTTACAATAGACACACACACACACACACACACACACACACACACACACACACACACATATAACTGAGAAATACGTTTAACCAAGGAGGTAAAATATTTCTACAATAAGAACTACAAAAGATGGGTGGAAGAAACCTGAAATAAAACAAACTAATGGAAAAATATCCCATGTTCATGGATTAAAAAAAATTAAAAATGACCATGGTGTCCAAAGCAATCTAAAGATTCAGTGCAATTTCTATCAAACTACCAATGTCATTTTTCACAGAATTAGAAAACAACAATCCCAAAGTGTATATGAAATCCTGAATTGAAAAAATGACCCAGATAGCCAAAGCAATTCTAAGCAAAAAGAACAAAGTTGGAGTCAGCACTTCACCCCATTTCAAATTATACTACAAACCTATAGTAACAAGAACAGCATGGTACCAATACAAAAACAGATACATAGTTTAATAAAATTAAATAGAGAACCAAGAAATAAAGCCACATACCTACAACCAACTAATCTTCAACAAAGCGTGCACAAATAAACAATGTGGAAAGGATACCTTTTTCAATAAATTATACTAGAAAAATTGGATATCCGTATACACAAGAATAAAACTGGATTCCTATATCTCACCATATATAAAAATTAAGATTGATTAAATACTCAAATGTAAAAACCTATAAAATTCCTAGAAGAAAACCTAGGAAAACTTTACTGAATATCAGCCTTGACAAAGAATTTATGACTAAGTCATCAGAAGCAAATGAAACAAAAATAATAATAGGCAAATGGGACCTAAGTAAACTAAAAATCTTCTGCACAGCAAAGGAAATAATCAACAGAGTAAACAGGCAACCTACAGAACAGGAGAAAATATTCACAAATTATGTATCTAACGAAGTACTAATATCCAGAATCTACATGGAACCCAATAAATAAATAAATAAACACATTATGTCATTACAAAGTAGGCAAATGACATAAACAGACATTTATCAAAAGAAGACATGCAGGTTGCCAACAAACATTAAAAAATACTCAAGATCACTGATGATCATAGAAATGTAAATCAATATTGAAGTGTGTATTAGTCTGTTCTCATGCTGCTATGAAGAAATACCCGAGACTGGGTAATTTATAAGGAAAAGAACTTTAATGGACTAACAGTTCCGTACGGCTGGGGAACATTCAGGAAACTTACAATCATGGTGGAAGGGGAAGCAATCAAGTCCTTCTTCACATGGCAGCAGGAAGGAGAAGAATGAGAGCCGAGCAAATGTGGAATCCCCTTATAAAACCATCAGATCTTGTGAGACTCACTCACTATCACAAGAACAGCATGGAGGGTAACCGCCCTCATGATTCAATTACCTCCCACCAGGTGCCTCCCATGACACATGGGGATTATGAGAACTAAAATTCAAAATGAGATCTGGGTGGGGACACAGCCAAACCACATCAAAAAGTGATTCATTTGACATGGTCTTCCCTATCTTCTCTCATTTAGGGTAACATTATTTCCTTGAATCAAAAGGGTATCCCTGTAGACTTTGAGTTCATCTTGACATCTTTGAACCATGGATTATCAATTTGCAAATGTTATTCGTTGAATTATTGAGCTATATTCCTTGAAATGCTTTTAAGAATGATATTTTCATTAAAATAAATGAGGGACTCATCCTAATATTTAGGAAGATTTCTCAACATCATCACATACAATTATGAATTATTATGGACACAACAGTGGTAGTTTGGATTTTTATTGTGGTTAAACTTTTAGAAAGTACAAAGTATTCATAAATCTACATTTTAATATTTTATAATTCAAATGAATTTTAAGTAACTATTTTGATATTCTATAAATAAAAATGTCACCTATACTATATAAGGATTCACTCACTTCTCTCTGCATTCTCATCAATACCTGATGTGTTGTGACTTTTAAAAAATAGCCATTCTGACTAGTATAAGGTGACATTTCGTTGTGTTTTTAATTTTTATTTCTCTGATGATGAGACTGAGCATTATTTCATATGTTTGCTGTCCACTAGTATGTCTTCTTTTGAGAAATGCCTGTTTATGTACTTTGTCCATTTTTTAATGGGGTTATCTATGTTGTTGTTGAGTTGTTTGAATTTCTTGTCGATTCTGGATATTAGTACTTAGTTGGATGCATAGTTTGCAAATATTTTCTCACATTCTTCAGGTTATCTGTTTTCTCAGTTATTTCTTTTGCTGTGCAGAAACTTTCTTGTTTAATTAAGTCCCATTTGTCTACTTTTGTTTTTGCTAAATTTGCTTTTGAGGTCTTAGTCACAAATTTTTTGCCAAGGCCAATGTCTAGAAGAGTTTTTCCAGGTATTCTATGAGTACTTTTATATCTTCAGGTATTATATTTAATTCTTTAATTCATCCTGAGTTAATTTTGTGGATGGCAACAGATAGGGGCCCAGTTTTATTCCTCTGCATGTGGCTTTCCAATTTTCCCTGCACTATTTATTGAAGGGGATATCCTTTTCCCAGTGTATGTTTTTTTCAATGTTGTCAAACATCCATTGACTGTAGGTAGGTCCCTTTATAAATATCCACTAATAAAGTGACAAAGTGCCTTTGTCACTTTATTCCTGGAATTTCTGTTTTGCTCTATTGAGTATTGTGTCCATTTTTATATCAGTATCATATTGTTTTTGTTACTATAGCCTTATAGTATAATTAGAAGGAATGTAAATTTGTCCCACCTCTATTAAAACAGTATGAAAATTTTTTCAAGTATTAAAGAGCCACAATTCACTCTATCAATCCTATACTGGGTGTATACCCAAAAGAAAAAATATCATTATACCAAAAAAGATATTTGCACTCATTTATTTATAGCAGCAATATTCATAATACCAAAGATATTGAATCAACATGTGTCCATCAACAAATAACTGGATAAAGAAAATGATGTGATATACATATATACACACACATACACGCACAATGAATACTACACAGCTATAAAAAATAAAATCATTTCACTTGCAGCAATATGGAAGGATAATTTTACACTTTATGTCTTAGTCTGTTTTGTGCTGCTGTAACAAAATACCTGAGACTGGGTAATTTATAAAAAATAGAAAATTATTTTCTGATAGTTCTGTAGGCAAGGAAGTCAATGATCAAGATACCAGCATGTAATGAGGGCCTTCTGTTGCACTCTCAGATAGCATTAGTTTAAATGGCAAGAGAAAGGCAGAACTCTATTTGAGAGGGCTGTTGCAACCTTACAGCATGATACATCTTGTGAAATATGGTTTTGAACATTTTTATTAAAAATGTAGGCATCAAAATCTCTACCATTTGTGTCATGTTATAATAATAACTATAAAACTGCATTATTCAGAATATGTAACAATAAAAATTAATATTAAAAAGTTTTAAAATGTATTTGCTTTTGCATATATCGTTTCTATTGATCATAACAACCAGATGTGATAACCAGGGCCAGATATTTCTACTGTTATCATTAGAAATCAAAGAAAACTAACATATTGGATGGTTTTAAAAATTATAAAAATTGTAAGTGTACATATAAATATTAACTTGTAAGTCATCTTGCAAGTATTATAATCAGATTTCATTTTCAAATCGTGATGAATCTAACATGATACCTAAGTTTGTATATTGAACAATGTGTATACATGTGCACACACTTTTAATTTAGATTTTTCTCATTCTGAGTGATAATGCAGCAAAATTTAAAGAGATTACACTATAATTATGTTTAAAACCTTACTTGTACTTTTGAAACAAATCACAGGTTGAGTCATGATAACAGGACAAAATATACTTAGCTGCTGAATATAAACAAAGTATACAGAAGCGTAAATCTTGCAAGCACAAAAGTGTTAAAAACAGCAAGATCTAGAGGCTCAAGTACAAGAGAGATATATTATACCAAGAGCAGTAATCTCAAAAATTTATATCCCAAATGTGCAGACTTGATCTTATTTTCAGTCAGTGTGTTCTGTATGGAAGATGAACATGCTCCTGACAACGGAGTATGATTTAGAAAACTATATCCTGCACAGAGGGATATAAAATGTGATTATATACTGCACTTCTGTGCAAAATTTTAAACAGAATTTAATCAATCACTTTGAAACCTAGATGTATTTGTGGAACAATGACATCACTTTGAAATTATGTGTAGTTTGTAAATGCACAAAATTAGTAATGTATTTTGTGTAAATGGATTACTTTGGAAAGAAACTCATAAGAACTACATTATCAGACAAAACATTCTTTGAAAATGTGTGTGCTACAAGGCAATTTGCCATTTCATTTTAATAGAATGTTCCATGCTGAAAATGTCTAACTGCTCAGAAGTGGAATAGGAGTGTAAATTTATTATCTGAGAAAAGAAAATTAATTGACACAGGCCAAAAATGTAATGGAATTAGACCCATGTGCCTTAGTGAGAACTTAGGAACTCGATCTGGGCTCTATGGAGTGACAAAATTATGCAAAAAAAAAATGAAGTATGTCATTTTTGCACAAAGCTCAGGATTTCTCAAAGGAATATTACATAAAATAATGAAGTCTCCTTTATCTCCAAGACAGTCCAGTCTTAGAACGCAATGGAACATGCCATTTGAAATAAAAAACAAATTTTGTTTTTGTTTTGTTTAGTTATGTTTGGTGCTATTTTAAGTATTTAACATTCATAAAGAGAGAATTAGCAATTAATGAGATAAAGTTTAAAAAAAATCTAGAGATCAGGACAAGGTAAAAAAAAATCATTCAGTCTTGCAAATCTGTTATTTAATAGGTCATGTTTTAAGAACTGGGAATACAGATACTATGTGTATTTTAAATAGAAAATTTGAAATGTACAAGAAGTCATTTTTAAATATAGTCACTCTGCTATAAAGTCAATCTCTAAAACTCAATCTTTGTGTCTAACTGAAACTGTACCCTGTGAACAACATCTCCCCATTCCCTATCCCTTGCCTCCAGCATTAACTAGCATTCTACTCTCTACTTTTAAGGGTTTGCCTTTTTTCGATTGCTAAAAAGTCTATTTTCAGTGTTCTCACAACAAAAAGATAAATATGTGACATAAGAGATGTGTTAAGCAGCTTGATTTAATCATTCCACAATATAAATATATACGAAGACATAATACTGTACCCCTCAAAACAATTATTATTTGTTTATTTAAAACATTTAAAAACAAAAAATGAGACAAATATCAGGAAAGTAATTTTATACATAAGCTAGATAATTGCCTATAGCTGCGTATGCTGTGAAATAATTTCTGTTTGAAAAGACAGGAAAAATTATATGGCAAAACCATAGTGCAGTAATAAATTTGCCATGTTTAGTAAACAAAATATAGTTCAATGTGACTGAAGCATACCAAGAGGCAGAAGAATGTGGTGTACACTGTAGTGTAGAGGAGTGTCTTAGTTTGGGCTGCTATACAAAATACCATAGATTGAGTGGCTTACAAATAACAAAAAAAGTATTTCTTACTGTTCTAGGGGTTGGAAGTCCAAAGTCAGAGTGCCAGGATGTTCTGGTTTTGGGGAGGGCCCTTTTGCGGTTGCAGACTGTTGGGTTTTTGTATAAGCACATGGGGAAAGAAGTGAGAGCTCTCTTAGGTCCCTTTTATAAGAACACTAAGCCTATTCATGAGGCCTCTACTATGACAACCTAATTACCTCCTGAAGGTCCCACTACTAATACCATTACATTGACAGTTACGATTTCAATATACAGATTTTGAGGGTACACTTTAAAAATTCAGTCCGTAACATTCTGCCCCAGGTTCCCCAAAATTCATGTCTTCACATGCAAAATGCAGTCATTCCATTCCAACAAATCCACAAATCTTAACTCATTCCAGCCTCAAGTCCAGTCTAAAGTCCAAGGTCTTATTTAAATATTACCTAAATCAGATGCAGGTGAGCTTCACGGTACAGTTCATTCTCACAAAATTTCTCTTCATCTGTGAACCTGTGGAATCAAACAACATGAACTCTCAAAATACAATGGTGAGACAGGCATAGGATAAACATTCCCATTCCAAAAAGAACCACTATTCGAAAAAAATAAAATATATGAATGCTGGATCCCAAGTAAATCTAAAACCTAACAGGGCAAACTCCATCAAACCCTAAGGTTCAAGAAGCATCCTCTTTGGCTTGATGACTCACCTTCCAGACAGTCCCCGACAGCTCAGTGAGGCACTGCTCGCTGCTGACTCTATGCACTGGACCCACTTATGGCACAGTCTTTTGTCAGGGCTGAGGTCACTCACCCAGGGCTTCACTGGATGGCCCTCCCACACAGCTCCTCTGAGCATCATTTCTGTCCTTTGAAATCAAAATGGAGGCAACCTTGGCCCACCTTGCCATACCCTCTGGATTTTTGGTAAAAGCAGCAGCTGTAATTGTCTCCAAATCCCCTTTGCGCCCCTTCTTCCGTAATTTTGAAGGAGAGAATAGCACACATCCACAACTGAATAGCTCTCGGGTCCGGGCCTGTAGGGCTTAAGCATTCCGAATGTCTTCCTTTATTTCGTCCCATTATCTCTGTTTCCTTTAGTCCCAACTGGCAGTGTTTCTCCTGGTATAATCCCATTTCTATTCATGGTTTGTGTTGAGATGTTTGATTAAGCCTGTGGTTCACACCCATATTAATCAAATCAGTAAGGGTCCGAAACACTCTTCATGTTCTCTTCAGAACACACTTTCTCACTTTTTTTGCAATATGGACAGGCTGAGAATTTCCCAGATCTTAAATTATGGTTACTTTTTCCTTAACAATTCCATCTTCAAACCTTTTTCTTTTTCTACATTTGACTCTACGGATTCAGAAGGAACCAAGCTGCTGCTTCTACATGTTGCTGAGAAATCTGCTGGGTTAAATGTCCAATTTCACTGCACACAAGTTCCACCTTCCGCAAAACACAAGAGCATGAATACAATTCAAAGAAGTTTGTTTCCACTTTTCAACATGGATTGCTTTTGCTCCATTTTCCAATAACATTTTCATTTCCATTTGAGACTCCAACAGAATGACCTTTACTGTCCATATTTTATCAATATTCTGTTCATGATTATTTAATTATTTTCTGAGAAGACAGCGTTTTCTTCTATATTTCTTTCCGAGCCCTCACGAGAATTGGCTTTTAAATTTCTTCCACAGTAATCTAGCATTTTGCATAAAACCTCATCAATCTCTGCCAATCACTGAGCCCAAAACCATTTTCACTTTGTTTTAGGTATTTATAATAACAGCACTCCCACTTCTCATGATCAATTTCCATCTTCAGCCGTTCAGGCTGCTTTAATAAAGTTCCATAACCTGAGTGGCTTTTAAATAACGGAATGCACATCTCACAGTTCTGGAGGCTGGAAGTCCAACAGCAGAGTGCCAGCATAATTGGGTTCTGGTGAGAGAGCTCTCTTGGGTTTCAGACTGCTGCCTTCTCAATGCAGCTTCACATGGTGGACAGAAAGAGCTCTCAAGAGTCATTTTTAAGGGCACCAATCTAATTTATGAAGCCTCCACCATAATAAGCTAATTACTTCCCAAAGTTCATTATAAATATGCAGCTTATAGGTCCTGCTACCATCATACTGAAGGTTAAGTTTTCATCACATGAATTTTGAGGGGACACAACATTCAGTTGCAACAAAAAATACTCAGTGGTTTTTAATTACAATATTAATTATGTAAATACAGAATAAATTTTAGCTCTAAACATTATCCATGATGTGATTAATTAAATTACTAGTTTAAAAAATTGAATCTGTAATTTATCTTGCCTCTATAATTATTATAAGAACTTGTAAACTTTTAACTTGTTTTCTTTAATTTGACCATTTCTGAAATTGTATCTCTAAGTATTGATATATACACTTCCTAGTGCATATAAAAGTTATGCATATTTAGAGTAATAAGTAGTGTGTTATCATGTTTTTATATCAGGGCAGGAAGGGAGAAGTTGAAGAACAAAGTGTCCTTTTCAACAACTTCAGCCCACGTATCTTTCTACAGGACTATAACATGTCACCAGCCACAAGGGCAAGGAGACTGGGCATTGTAGTTATTTGGCAGGACACATTGCTCTTTCAAACAAAAATGGCATTCAGAAACAAGAAAGTAGGGAAGAGAGGTTTTGGTTGGACAACTTGCATTGTTGTCCCTTCTTTTCTTAGACTTCCAAATTCTTGGTTTCAGAATTCTTTATAAGGTTACCCCTCTGAGTAATTTTATCGGTCCATTAAATCTCCCAAGTCCAGGTCCCCAAGCTCTTCTCAACTAGTATGACAGCAACTTGTATAGAGATGTCAATGCAGTACAAATGCTTGTTTTAAAGTTGTTTTAATCCAGCTTCTATCATTCTAAATATTGTTTTAATCCAATATTCTAATTCAGAATATTGAGAATAAACTAATCTTACATGAAATATCTTTTTTCTCCTATTATTTGATATGTGTGTCTATAAAATAACATTTTCTAATTACAGAATGTGCAAGCAAAAAACAAAAAGGGCCTGTGTCCCTAGTCCCATTTTCTTGCTTGGAGGTAACATCCACAACATTTTTAGTTTTCTGTTGTTCTTCTCTAATGCTCCCAATAATATACCTTTGTTGTGGTTATTGTTGTTATTATTGCTCTTGCATCAAGCACTATCTCTTAGTGCTCATGCACATCCTTACCGAGGTCCATTTCTTTACTCTCTGCCCCATTCCAAGTTGTGTTAGGTAGAGGATTATACTGATCAAGTCCTGTTTTTAGCTATCTTCATAACATTAACACTTTAAACCTCAATGTCTTCACTGTTCTACTGTCCTATGAGCTCTAGCAATCTCAAGTTTCATGTCACTTCTCAGACTATGGCAATGGTAATCTGCATTAATGGCAAAATCATTAATATTGATGAAAATTTTTATTTTCTGCCCTTCCCAAAATCATCTACTTCTTTGGAATTTACATTAGCAGGCAACAATGGCAGTGGCAATACTACCTTTTGGAAGGTAACTGTAGCTCCACCCTTATCTGTAAAAAGATATGTATTAAGACCCCCAGTTGATGCCTGAAACAGTGGATAGTAAACATGTACTATTTTTCCTACACATACATACTTATAATAGACTGTAATTTAAAAATTAGGCATAGTGAAATTTAACTAATAATTATAGTAGTTTATTAGTTAAACTACTACTAATTATTATAGTAGTAGTATTTGTTTAAACTAATATACTCATTATGGGAGTAGTATTAAACTAATAGGCTAATTATATTAGTTTAATAATTCTATTAGTTTATTAGTTAAACTAACACTACTAATGATAATAGAATTATATTAGTTATACTAATATATTATGTATAGGAGTAGTATACTTCTATAATTATATAGGAATATAATTATATTCCTTTTACTAATAATTATATGAACATAACTAATAATAGAATTATTATAACAATATACTGTAGTAAAAGTTATGTGAATGTGGTCTCTCTTTCTCTTGAAATACCTTATTATTATCTACTTTTCTTTTTGTGATAAAGAAAACAGGGAGTAGGATGGACAACCTGAGAATTTATCACGTTATGGTACACAATTTCAAAGTTATTATTTCTATAACTTTTATTTAATATTTTTCAAAACATGATTGACCCCTGATAGCTAAAACTGGGGAAAGTGAAACCGCTGGTAAGGGGGGACTGCTGTGTTGCTAAAAGTGTCTTCCTTTGCTAAATGTACCAAGAGTAGATTCTCAAGAGGAGTAACATAGATAGGAATTTACGTTGTAGATGGCCTCAGCTATTGCTAAATATCTACAAATTCACTTGGGAATAATATAAGCAGCCACATCAGCAACAATATCTTGAGTAATATTGTTAATGGAGCATCAGGAATTAGGGCTTTGCAATTATGAGATACATTTTTCCAAAGACATGATGCAAACATCCTTAGCAGTAGAAGAAAAAAGTTGAATTCCAACTCTTTGTCAAGAGGCATTTTTGGGAATTGTTATTATATCCAATTTTCGCCCAGGATTATGTGGCATGATAAATATGCCTTACAATAACTTAGTTAAGAATATTATAGGTAATACATATTTCATCACCTTAAGAAATGTGAATGGCTGTTTGGAGGTATATTAACATCATGTAGATGGAGGCTCAAGACTGCTGAGATAAAATTGAATACATTTAGAAAGACTGATGGCATATTTTCCTGAAGAGAATCTTTAGAAAACCAAAGAGTTAATGTCAGGTTTTCATATGTCTTAGTAGTCTGAATAAAACCTGTTAAATAATTTTTCCTGGAAGAAACATATTACTATTTAATTTTCAAAAAGTGATATTAATAGTTAATTATCCAGTTATCTGGACTTTTTCCAAAAGAGTTTATCTATAAAGAGCATCTACTCTATGAAATGTAGAAATAAACTCAAAGGATAGTAAATCAGTATTCAGTCTGTAAATATTACCTCACTGTGTCCATGACATTTGTGAACTTAGTAACCAAATTTAAGGATTTAATGTGTTTGCTTGTTGTTAACATATATGGAGAGAGAAAAATAAATGGATGAATTTTCAGAATTTATCTAATTTTCTCCTCCATCAAAGTTAAAAATTAGCTGTTTGATTTCCTATACTGAGCTAAAATTCTCTGGCATTTTATCTTGATATTACTGACATCCTGGAAGGAGTATCTTGTTTGTTTGGCAAGTGGATTTTTTTAAAAAAATAAATTATTGCTTCATAATTTTTATTGTTTATATTTCAAGGTTATGAAAAATGCCCTTAAAAAATAGATGGTATATATGTATATATATATATATATATAAAATATATATTTTAATCTGCATGTAGTATACCTGTTGTGACAAAAATAAACGAAAGCTTAATTTCTTGCCAAGTTGTAGACTATTACAGTATATTATTTTAAGCGTTATGCTATACATACTTCTTTTGAAAATTTATGGAGTACATGAGATGTTTTGATACATGCATAATCACATCAGGGTAAATTGAATATCCATCACTTCACACAGTTATCCTTTGTGTTACAAACAATCTGATTATACTCTTCTAGTTATTTTTAAATGTACGATTAAATTATTTTTGACTATAGTCACCCTGTTGTGCTAGCAAATGCTAGGTCTTATTCATTCTTTCTAACTATGTTTTTGTACCTATTAGTCTGCCCCGCTTTCCTCCCAAACCCTCACTACCCTTCTCAGCCTGTTAACCTTTATACTGTTTATCTCCATGAGTTCAATTGTTTTAAGCCTTAGCTCCCACAAATAAGTGAGAGCATCCGAAGTTTGTCTTTCTGCGCCTGGCTTGTTTCACTTAACATAATGACCTCCAGTTCTATCCACATTGTAGCAAATGACAGGAACTCATTGTTTTTTATGGCTGAATGGTATTCCATTTTGTATATGTACTATATTTTCTTTATTCATTCATCTCTTGATGGATACTTAGGTTGATTCCAAATTTTGGCTATTGTGAGTAGTGCTGAAATAAACATGGAGTGCAGATATCTCTCTGATATACTATGTCCTTTCTTTTGGTTATACACCCAGGAGTGGGATTGCTGGATCATATGATAGCTCAATTTTTGCTTTTTGAGAAACCTCCAGACTGTTCTCCTTAAGGGTCATACTAATGTACATTCCCACTGACAGTGTGCAAGGGTTCCTTTTTCTGTATATCCTCGTCAACTTTTGTTATTGCCTGAATTTGGGATAAAAGCCATTTTAACTGGGGCCTCTTAACTTTTTCCCCACACATTTCTTAATTCCTTGATGAAAAATGCTAAAAGATAAGTCACTTTCATACTTCCTAGATACAGTTATTCATTCACTCTTTTATTTTTTTAAGTTTCTTATTTAATAGATATGTATTAAATATTTACCTTGTCTCAGCCAATGTAATGTGTGACAGGCATACAAAGATGAATATAGCAGAAAGTTTATGCCTCTTAAGAAGCATAATGAAGTCATTTAAACAAATAATAGCTACAAATTTTGATGAGCACTGTCATAGAGGTAAGAATATTATGGTGGGGTGGGATGGAAGAAATTAAAATATGTCAATCTACTTTGCGTTGTAAGGAAAATCTTGGCAAAGAAGATACATGTTATGATTTGGCTCTGTGTCCCCACCCAAATCTCAACTCGAATTGTAATCCCCATGTGTCATGGGGAGGGACCTGGTGGGAGGTGATTAGCTCAAAAGGGTGGTTTTCTATGCTGTTCTTGTGATAGTGAGGGGGTTCTCAGGAGATCTGATGGTTTTATAAGTGGCAGTTTCCCCTGCATGCTCTCTCTCTTACCTGCCACAGTGTAAGACTTGCCTTGCTTTCCCTTCACCTTCCACCATGATTATAAGTTTAATTATAAGTTCACTTATAAGTTCAGCCATGTGGAATTGTGAGTCAAGTAAGCCTCTTTTGTTTATAAATTATCCATTCTCAGGTAGTATCTTTATAGCAGTGTGAAATGGACTAATAAGATAAACTTCAATAGAATACTTAAGAAATTGTGGTAATCAACTAGTTTATGAATGGAAAGAATCATTTTATCAAAGGAAATTAAGAGCATAACAATGTGGCATTAAAACAGATTAGGGAGTTCTGAGGGTTGTAAGGATGATGGAACAGGTACATAATAGGACAATATGGGAGAATAATTAAAGAAGTCCTGAGGGTAGGTCACTGAGGCCTTATATGTTATAAAAGGGGGATTTTACTCTAGGAATTGGGAAAGTGTTTGAAGAAAGAGAATAGTGTGATTATATTTGCTTTTTAGTTTGAAAAGAAGTAGCCTGGAAATGAATGAGATTACAGCCAGAGAAGAGAAAGAATATATTTTGATGAAAGAATATATTTGGGTACTGATACAATAGTCCGGGTTAAAGATGATTTGGACCCTGGCACATGGAGGATGCTGTGGGGTCATAAAGGAAGAAATGGTAATAAAAATAACTAAAGTTTTATTGGATGAAGTTTTCAAGCCAACAAAGCATAAAACACAGACACAAAAACGACGTCTAAAATGATTTCTTAGTTTCTTAGTCATGTATTAGGTGTCAACCAAGACAGGGAATACAGACAGAGCAGTAAAGAGTTCAGCCCCAGACTCAATCCTATATGTGATTTTTGGGCCCATCCATAAACAATGACAAAGACTTGACCAAGTGGGTCCCACAGGGAGAGCTGCCCTCCCCACACTAGTGCATAGTCCTCTAATGGCAGTTTCAGTAAGGGCTGCAGGGCCATGCTCACACACAGATCAGCATCACTTGACTGGTGCCTCCCCTGGAGGCCTCTCCACTGTGGGACCTTGGCAGACCTTCCCCAGGCATGTTTGCCCAAGACCTCCTTTTCATGGGGAGAGGAGGAGGAGTCTTGAAGACAATTGTCTTCCTTCTGATTCAATACTCAGTGCTTTTCCGCTCCCAGCCTTTTCCTGACCTTCCATAAAACTGCAGGCAGGAGCCTGTTGTTCAGGGTTCCTTTGATAGTGAGACAACTCCACATCTGTGCTGACCCATGTGATCCTTGATAGAGCTGTTTCATGAAGGAAAAAAAGGATGGGGACTGGACCGTCAGGGCTTTTTCCAGTTTAACCTCAAAGGTTTGTTAATGTCCTTTTGTCTTGATGTCTTAATTGCCTACTCCAACACCTGGCTCTCTCTCCAGAGTAGTTAAGCTCCTGATGGCTGGGGATAAATTTAATGACTACTGTTTTGTATAAGTTGAGGTTAATCTAATTAATTTACCTAGAGGGAAAATTCTGACCTCTATCTCTGAGACCTCATCTAAAACACAGAGGTCATGAAGATAAATCTGGCTTCTGCCTTCAAGGAGCTTACAGTCTGGTGAAGATGATAGCTGGATAGCTAGACATAACAATAAAACCACAGCTGTTCCCTTGTGATAATTTCTGTTATGAGTTATGTACAGTGGAATATGAAAAATATATAAATGGTACATAACCAATTCTAGGAGGTCAGGGCAAGCTTCCTGGGAGAAATGCTGTCTATAGGTAGACACAGAGAGACAAGAATCAAAGCCTCTTCTGAAGAAGGGTTAAATAAATCTCAGGCAGATAGGCTATGCATGACCTGCTTCTTTTATCTGTCATTTTTGTTGTTCAGTTACTTGCTAAATTTTAAGAATTTTATATATATATATTATATTTATAATATATATATAATATACATGTATATATATATATATATATATATATATATATATATATATATCTTCTACATATCAGTGCTCTGTCAATTCAGCCTAATTCTGGCAAAAGCATTAAGGACTTCAATATTTACCAGGTTTGAAAGGGGAGCAGTCCTTTGAATTAGAATTATTTGAAAAATGTAGGGCTATTTTGAAACAACTACCCAATTGAAAATGCATGGACACTATAACTATTATACTTGCAGATGCATACAAAAATACTTTTATTGTCACATGGGCACAAAGATGTATATTGAAAGCTGTTCACTGAAACAGTATTTATAATAATGAAACCTGGAAGCAACATATCTCTTAATGGGGATATAGACAAGTAAAGTACAACATATACATGTTATAGAAAAAAATGCAGCCTTCTCAAAAATGGGTAAGCTGTATAGATATAGAAAAGAAAAAAGCATTGTATAAATAATATGTACACTTTAATAAAAGTTGTACTAAATTTTAAATGTAATATAAATATCATACCTTCTATATATATAAAATTATCAAAAAGACTGAATTATAATACATGAAGAGTAGGAAAAAATAGTTGCACTGAGTTTTATATTTTCTGAATGTTTAAATCTTTCCACACAATATGTAATAATTATACTTTTAAAATGCCAGTAAGGTAATATATACAAATAGCTAATTAAAGCTTAATAAGAACTTTGGAAAAATATTTTTAATAAAGGTTTTACATACATCAGGGTTACAATTAAATTTAACATGCTTTTTATTTTGTCAATTTCTTTTATTTAAAAAATACTTAAACTAACTTCCTTTTTGCTTTTTCCTATTAAAAGAAAAAGCATTTTGCCCTCATAAAAGAAAATCAGTTTCAGATTACTAGTAATTATTTAGGTACTAATTAAAAAATAATGAATCTCAGTTACTAAATACACAAATAAGGGAGTTATATGAAACTGTGCAATAGTCATTCTATGGATAGTCATATTTAAAATAAAATGAAAAGAGACTAAAATATGCATTTGTGCTTTTAACTCTGAAAACCTGAATACCTATTCAACTGTTGATTCTGAGTATTTACAGAACTTTATTTCTTCTTTGGACATGCTTTGGCAGTTTTTACCTAATGTATACACATTTTTGCCTTGTTCTTAATAATTAAAAATCTGAGAAAAAGATATTCAAAAAGTGGTTTTTTGTGCGTACTCATGATAAACAGTAATATAAAAAGTTACAGAGGTCGGGCCCAGTGGCTCACGCCTGTAATCCCAGCACTTTGGGAGGCCAAGGTGGGTGGATCACTTGAAGTCAGGAGTTTTAGACCAGCCTGGCCAACATGGTGAAACTCCATCTCTACTTAAAAAATAAATAAATAAATAAATAAATAAATAAATAAATAAACAGGCATAGTGGCTCACGTCTGTAATCCCAGCTACTGGGGAGGCTGAGGTGGGAAAATCACTTGAGCCCAGGAGGCGGAAGCTGCACTGAGCCAAGATCACGCCATTGCCCTCCAGCCTGGGTGACAAAGCGAGACTCCATCTCAAAAAAAAAGAAAAGTTATAGAAATAAATATGATGATATGATTTACTGAAAGCAAGTCTCAAATACCTAAAAAAGGCCAAACTTCCTTTGGTCTTTGGATATCATTCTGGAGGGTGGGTGAGTCTACTTTTGTTTCAAATGTGTTATTTTCATTTATTTTTGAGCAAAAATATCATTTTATAATTTACACTTATTGAACATAAATGTGGAAATACTACTAAATTGTCTCCACATGGAAAATTTCTTGTGACATGTATTTCATCTAACTTGTGAAGTTCACAACTATTTCAAAAAACAGTTAAGCTTGTTCCAAAAACTCACTGCCATCCCACCAAACACACATATGGACTTGAGAATAATTAGGCTTTCAGAAACCATTTTAGTATCCAATTAATTGTAGTTTTCTTCAGAAAGTGGTGTAAATCTGATTATATATAGTTGCTTCATGTAGTATAAATCTGATTATACACAGTTGTTTCATATAGTATATATCTGATGATATACAATTGCTTCATGTAGTTCAACTTGTTACTAGATAATCCATGTGTAATTGTCACAGAAAATCTTACGTGTACATTTGGACAATGTCTCTATCTCTGTTTCTTTCTCTCTGTTTCTCTCTCTCTCTCTCTCTCACACACACACAGTCCTTTACAATTACTTTGGGAAAAAAATCACAAAAAGGAAAAAATCATTAATCTGAGATTATAACATAAAATCCACAATTTGTCTGTAAACTATCTTTAAATCTATGTTTATACTTGAAATCTACTAGGCTTATGAGAGTCAAAGACTTCCAAGCTTTGAATATTCTTTTCACTTCAAAAGGAACTGAAAATCTAAATGTAATTTGGTACACCTTTTAAAATATTCACTGCTGCCTGCCAGCTAGCTGCAGGTTATTTTAGCTACTAGAAGCAGCACTAATTTGCAATACCTTTCTAAGACTATCTATAGGTAAAAATTTGACATTGGCTGACTCTAACCAATGTCAAGCTTTAGGATAGCAACGTAATCCCTAAAAGAAAAATGAGAAATAACCTAACTATCTAAACATCAAAAACAAATTAACCTTGCTTGCCCATTTTTAGGACAACATAACGGTTTCTTGAGATTTTTCAACATTTATGAAAAGATAAAAATTAAGATGAGTCATTTAATAGCATGCGTGCTTGAACCAATAAAATGATTTCTTATTTTATGAGTTGTTTTTAAAAAATGAGCCCAGATGTTTCAAATTATAAATAATTTGTCAATTTATGCATAAAGCCAAATTTGAAAAATGTGACTGGTCATTCCAATTAAGAAACTCAACTGAAAATCTGTTTCACTGAATCAAGCTTAAATAAGTAATTGTGTACTTAGATGTAGCTGGATTCTAAGAACTATTTGGACCACAACTTATAGACTATTTATATATTTTGCAAACTGTTTGCTGTTCTCTGACTTCAAGTAAGAGAGAGATATTAAGTGACAAATCATACAACGGAAAGGGAGAGCTATTAAGTGATAAATCATACAGTGGAAAGAGAGTTATATAGGAAGACTCTCCATTTTAACTCAGAATAAAATATGTAACCATCTTTAAGTTTTAATGGGGAGACCTGTGTGGCTGACTTTTTTTTTTCCCAATCTAGCTTCCTCATTTGGAAGAACGTTTTGTTTCTGTATATGAAAACTGAAGGATTTCTATTCAAGGCCACTGTGGTAGACAGAATAATGGCTTACTAAAATGTCGACGTCCTAATTTCTGGAACCTGTGAAAATGTCACCTTCCATGACAAAAAGGACATTGTAGAAGCAATTATTTAAGGATCTAGAGATGAGAATATTAAGATGGGTTATTTGGGTGTTCCAAATGTGAACCCAAGTGGAGTTCTTGTAAGACTGAGAAGATGCCTTCGAGTTAGGAAGGAGATGGGAGATGTGTTATGAAAGCAGAGGTTGGAGTGACAGAATTTCAAGATGGAGAAAGGGGTTATAGCCAAGAATCCAAGCAGCCTCAAGAGAGTAGAAGCTCTTGATTTTCACCTATGTGACTCTATTTTAGTCTTTACTTGCAGAACTGTAAGATAGTAGATTTGTGGTGTTTTAATCCACTAAGTTGGTAGTAATGTGCTCCAGCCACTATGAGACAAATACAGTATACACACACACACACACACACACACACACACATACATATATGTGTGTGGGTGTGTATTAGGAAAAGTAGTAAATCTAAATCTAGACTTTCTCATTCTCACCTAGGTTCTTATATTTTTAATTATATAACTAGTTACATAACATTATTTATATAATACTAGTTATATAACTAGTGCTCTATTATTTTCCTTCTATTTTAATTTTTCTGTTAAAAGAAAGTTTAAGAACATATGTATCCATATATGTATATACACATGCAGAAATATATATCTGTGTATGTGTGTGTGTTTATGAGTATATATATTCAAAGTTCTGAAACGTTTTTCAAAGCAATGCTGGCAATGGAATTCTCATTTCTATTTATCTTTTCTGTGGAGGTTTAAGTATGATTTATTTGGGAATTGCTACATTATCCTGACAAAAATATAACAGTAGTGGCAATATATAATCCCCCAAAAATGTTATATCTCCAGATAACTTTTAATGAGTTGGCATTGACTAGTATGAGAAATACAAGGCACAGAGAGTGATATGGTTTGGCTCTGTGCTGTCACCCAAATCTCATCTTGAATCGTAATTCCCATAATGCCCATGTGTTGAGGGGCCTGTTGGGAGGTGATTGGATCATGGGCACAGTTTCCCCTAGATGTTCTCATGATAGTGAATGAGTTCTCATGAGATCTGATGGTTTTACAAGTGTTTGACAGTGCCTCCTTCACATGCTCTCTCTCCCCTGCTGCCATGTAAGACGTGCCTGCTTCCCCTTCCACCATGATTGTAAGTTCCCTGAGGCCTCCCCAGCCGTGCAGAACTGTGAGTCAATTAAGCCTCTTTCCTTTGTAAATTACCCTGTCTCGGGTATTCTTTATAGCAATGTGAAAATGGATTAATACAGAGAGTCTACACATTTCTTTATATAAGATATACTTGTTTTCTGTTTATAGTTAGCATTTACAAAGTTTACAGTAAAATTTTTACTTACATTCATATAACATTTAAGTTATTCTCAAAATTTTATGCAACCATTTTAGATCTAAAGTGGACTTTGTTTTTTTCCATAGAATAAGTATTTTGTAGGACTTCTCTTCAATATTGGTGTGTAGAAAAAAAAATGTGAACTTCAAGTTTCAATCAATTAAACTTTTGCTTAAACTGAAAAACCATGCCAACACACAAAAAGGTCATCTGGGGTGTGCCATTACATTAGGATTACGTACTGGTACTACACACTCAGTTGTGTAGGACATAAGAATGGATTATACTTAAACCTCTAAAGGATGGCCTGAATTAAAGTGATAGAAAATGGGAGTTAATATTGCTAGTGTTACCATGTAAAATTTAATAATTATTTGCTTAATTATTGTCTTATTAATTTAATAGTTTCTAAAGAGAAATTTCATTAACAAATTAACAGGAACAGCTACAAAATTTGCAGTGTTCAGTGCAAAATTAAAATATAGGACATCTTCCTCAAAAATTATTTAAAACTTGACACGAATGACACCAAAGAATTAGCCAAGTGATGGGCCCCTGCAAATGAGCAGATCACATAAATCTATCCCTGAACATCAATTAGTTATAAAAAAATAAGAATTTAAGGCTGGGACCCATAGCCATAATTTTACCCATACCTGCATTTATATCTGTATTTATATACCTATAACAGTATTTAGATCTATTTATTCACAATCTCAGAATCAGATTGTAGAGACATTTAAAGATTAACTAATACAAACTTGTCCTCTTACAAAAGAGAAAACTGAGCCGCAGTGCTTTGATTGTATCAGTAGCTAATATTAGAAATAAAAGCAACACATTATCTTAAATATTTTATGTTTTTCTTATTACTACCAGTTTAGTGCTCCTATGTATTTTGTAGTACTTCTCTTCAATATTGGTGTGTAGAAAGAAAATGTGAACCCCGAGTTTAATCAATTAAACTTTGATTAAACTGAAAAACCATGGTCAATCCCAATACACAAAAGGGTCATCTGGGGTGTGCCATTGCATTAGGATTACATACTGGTACTATATGTTGCTGCTACATGCTCTTTCACTCAGTCGTGTAGGACAGAAGAATGGATTATACTTAAACTTCTAAAGAATGACCTCAATTAAAGAGATAGAAAATGGGAGTTAATATTGTTAGTGTTGCCATGTAAAATTTAATAATTAATATAATGTCTCATATATTCCGTGGTGATTAATTGGTGTGGAATATTTAAGCCACGAGAATAAGTACTATAAAAGCAAGAATTTATAATAGGGTCTTTAATGATCAGTTCTGTTCTTACACAGCTTCTCCCCACTCCTACTCCTTGGAAGCAACCAAGTGGTATGAGTTGGCCCCTACTCACCCCCTCCCTGGTGTCAGTGGACCACATCAGGGAAGTGAGGTTATTTTTTCACTTGGAGGAAACAAAGATATGTAACTCAGTACCCTACTTTTGCCATGAGGTTGCCAGTGGGTGGAGGGAGAAGACAAACTTCCACCTAACCAGTCTGCAAGAAGGAAGTATAAGTTAGTACTCTACTTTTGGTAGGATGGTATTAGTAGGTCCCATCAGGAAGATAAACACGCACACCCACCCAGCTCTCAGGTTACACATCAATAGGGAACCATCTATGAAATAATAAGAGAGAAAAATTCTCATAATATAAAAAAAAATTCAGGACACAATAAAAATCACTTATAAGACAAAAGAACTAGGAAATCATAACCTGAATGAGAGAAAGACAACAGACACCAACACAGACATAAAAAAGGGGTTGGGGCTGGGCGCAGTGGCTCACACCTGTAATCCCAGCACTGTGGGAGGCCAAGATGGGTGGATCACTTGAGGTCAGGAGTTCAAGACCAGCCTGTCCAACATGGTGAAACCCCGCCTCTACTAAAAATATAAAAAGTTAGCTGGGTGCATTGGCACATGCCTGTAATCCCAGCTACTTGGGAGGCTGAGGCAGGAGAATCACTTGAACCTGGGAGATGGAGGTTGCAGTGAGCCAAGATCATACCGCTGCACTCCAG
The DNA here is from genome assembly GCF_000001405.40 of Homo sapiens. Classification (NCBI taxonomy): domain Eukaryota; kingdom Metazoa; phylum Chordata; class Mammalia; order Primates; family Hominidae; genus Homo; species Homo sapiens. Next base: position 71,162,955 of record NC_000005.10, on the reverse strand, counting down.
CCTGGGTAACAGAGTGAGACTGTTTCAGACAAAAAAAAAAAAAAAAAAAAAAAAAAAAAGAGGTTGGAATTATCTAACAAGGATTTTGAAGAAACCATCATAAAAGTGTTTAAATAAGCAATTATATATTGTATTCTCTTGGAACAAATAAAAGTTAAAATTAAAAATAAATTCAATAATGACTTATAAGTTATAAAAAGTAAACATGAACTAAATAAAATTAAAATACAATAATGGAAATAATAGATGCAGAGGATGGTCACAAAAGAAGAGAGCACAGAGCAGAAGATGGAATCAGTGAATCTGAAAACATGCCAACAGAATTTACTGTCTGAACAAGAAGAAGAAAACCGATAAAAAAAAATTTAACAGCATTTCAGGAAACTTTAGAACAATAATAAAAGAGCTAACATTCATAATCACAGGAGATATAGAAGACGAGGAGATAGAATGTGGGACTAAAAAACTATTAAAAAATAATGACTTCAACCTTCCCAAATTAGATGGAAGACATAAACCTAAATATTCAAGAAACAGAGCAAACCCTAAATAGAATACACCCAAATACATTCAATTTCTGGAAATGAAAAAAAAAAATTAAAAATCTTGAAAGCAAACAGAGAAAAATGGCACATTTCTTACAGAAAAACAATAATGTAAACCACAGCAGATTTTCCATCTGAAACCATGAAGGTTGGAAGGAAACAGATAATATTTTTGAAGTACTGAAAGAACAGAACTGTGAACTGTAAATTCAATACCCAGCAATAATATTCTTCAGGCATTAAAGTGACATAGAAAACATTGTCTAATGAAAGAATGCTAAGGTAATGTGTTGCTAACAAACTTACCTTTAAAGAATAAGTTCTCTAAACAGAAAAGAAATGATAAAAGAAGGTTTGCAGCTTTTACAAACATCCATCTAAGTGGGTAAAATTAAGCATAAATATAATGTATAATCAAACTTCTCTTAAGTTTTTAAGCCATTTCTAATAGTTGAAGCAAAAATTAATGACCTATCTGGTTAGATGCTCAAGGAACATAGAGGAAGTATTTAAGATAATTATATCTAAAAAGTAGTGATAGTAAAGAGACTCATATGGAAACAAGTTTTCTACACTTCACTCAAAGAGGTAAAACATCCGTAACAGTAGATCTTGACATTACACATATATTATTTTAACCAGTGCAATTAATAAAACCAAACAAAATCATGTACAATCATGCACTGCATAACGATGTTTTGCTCAGCAATAGACTGCATATATCATGGTGGTCCCATAAGATTATAATGGAGATGAATATTACCTAGTGACATTGCAGCTGAGCTGTCTTAACATCATAGTCTAACATATTTCTCACCTGTTTGTGGCAATGATGGTGTAAACAAACCTACTTCATTGCCAGTTATATAAAAGTGTAGCACATAAAATTATGTCTAGTACTGATATTGTTTGGCTGTGTCCCCACCCAAATCTCATCTTGAATTGTAATCCTCATGATCCTCCCGTGTCAAGGGCAAGACCCGGTGGGAAGTGATTGGATCCTGGAGGCAGTTTCCCTCATGCTGTTCTCATGATAGTGAGTAAGTTTTCATGAGATCCGATGGTTTTAAAAGTGTTTGAAAATTTCTCCTAGACACACTCATTCTCTCCTGTTGCCTTTTGAAGAAGCCAACTGCTTTTATTCCACCATGATTGTAAGTTTTCTGAGGCCTCTCCAGCCATGCAGAACTATGAGTCAATTAACCCTCTTTCCTTTATAAATTACCCTGTCTTGGGTAGTATCTTTATAGCAGTGTGAGAACAGACTAATAGAGTAAATTGGTACTGGGAGTGGGGCACTGCTATAAAGATACTGAAAATGAGGAAGTGACTTTAGAACTGGGTATCGGGCAGAGGTTGGAAGTGTTTGGAGGGCTCAGAAGAAGACAGGAAGTTGTGAGAAAGTTTGAAACTTCCTAGGGACCTGTGGAATGGTTTTGACCAAAATGCTGATAGTGATATAGACAGTGAAGTCCAAGCTGAGGTGGTCTTGGATGGACAAGAACTCATTAGGAACTAGAGCCCAAAGATCACTGTTACTCTGCCTTAGCAAAGAGACTGGAAGCATTTTGCCCCTGTCCTAGAGATCTGTGGAACTTTTAATTTGAGAAACATTATCTCAAATTGGAACTTATGTTTAAAATGGAAGCAGGGCATAAAAGTTTGGAAAATTTGCAGCCTGACCATGCAGTAGAAAAGAAAAACCCATTTTTCAGGGGAGGAATTCAAGCTGGCTACAGAAATTTGCCTAAATAACAAGAAGCCAAATGTTATTACAGTAGCCAAAACAATGGTAAAATTTTTCTTGGGCGTATCAGAGACTTCCATGGCAGCCCTTCTCATCACAGACCCAGCAGCCTCTGAGGGAAAAATGGTTTCATGGGCTGGGCCTAGGGCCCCGTTGCTCTGGGCAACCTCAGGACTTGGTGCCCTGTGTCCCAGCTGCTGCTACTCCAGCTCCAGCCGTGGCTAAAAGGAGCCAATGTACAGCTCATCTGTTGATTCAGAGGGTGCAAGCCCCAAGCCTTGGAGGATTCCATATGGTGTTGGGCCTGAGGGTACACAGAAGTCAAGAATTCAGGTGTGGAAACCTCTGCCTAGATTTCATAGGTTGTATGGAAATGCCTGGATGTCCAGGCCGAGATTGGTTGCAGGGGTGGAGCCATCATGGAGAACCTCTGCTAGGGTAGTGCAGAAGGGAAATGTGGGGTTGAAGCTCCCACACAGAGTCCCCACTGGGGCACTGCCTAGTGAAGCTATGAGAAGAGGGCCACTGTTCTCCAGACCCCTGAATGGAAGATCCACCAACAGCTTGTACTGTGCACCTGGAAAAGCCACAGACACTCAATGCCAGCCTGTGAAGGAACTGCCCAAGGCCATGGGAGCCCACCTCTTGCATTAACATGCCCTGGATGTGAAACATGGAGACAAGGAGATTATTTTAAAGCTTTAAGTTTTAATGACTGCCCTGCTGGGTTTCAGACTTTCATGGGGCCTGCATCCCCTTTGTTTTGACTAATTTCTCCCATTTGGAATGGGAGCATTTATCCAATTCTTGTACCCTCATGGTATCTAGGAAGTAACTAACTTGCTTTTGATTTTACAGGCTTATAGGCCAAAACGTCTTGCCTTGTCTCAGATGAGACTTTGAACTGTGGGCTGTTGAGTTACTGCTGAAATGATTTAAGACTCTGGGGGACTGTTAGGAAGGCATGATGTTGGGTTGGAAATGTAAAAAATATGTGAGATCTGGGAGGGGCCAGGGGTGGAATGATATGGTTTGGCTCTATATCCCCACCCAAATCTCATCTTGAATTGTAATCTTCATAATACCCATGTGTTGAGGGCAGGATCTGGTGGAAGGTGATTGGATCATGTGGGCGGTTTCCGCCATACTGTTCTTACGATAGTGAGTGAGTTCTCAGGAGATCTGATGGTTTTGTTAAGTGTTTCACAGCTCCTCCTACACACAATCCTTCTCTCTCCTGTTGTCTTGTGAAGAAGATGACTGCTTCCCATTTCACCATGATTGTAAGTTCCATGAGGCCTCCTCAGCCATGCAGAACTGTGACTCAATTAAACCTCTTTCCTTTATGAATTACCCAATCTCGGGTAGTGTCTTTATAGTAGTGTGAGAATGGACTAATACAAGTACATTTTACTTAGTAATAATAATAAACAAATATATTACATTTTTGTGTATTTACTACACCATATTTTTTATTGTTATTGTAGTGTACACCTTCTACTTATTAAAAGAAATAGGCCCGAGGCGGGCAGATCACGAGGTCAGGAGATGGAGACCATCCTGGCTAACATGGTGAAACCCCATCTCTACTAAAAATACAAAAAATTAGCCAGGCCTGGTGGGGGGCGCCTATATTCCCAGCTATTCGGGAGGCTGAGGCAGGAGAATGGCGTGAACCCAGGAGGCGGAGCTTGCAGTGAGCCGAGATCACGCCACTGCACTCCAGCCTGGGCGACAGAGCGAGACTCTGTCTCAAAAACAAACAAAAAAAAAAGTAATAGGCAACTGTAAAACAGCCTCACAGTGGTCCTTCACGAGGCATTTCAGAGGGCATTGTTATCATAGATGTCGACAGATCCATATGCATTATTGGCCTAGAGGAGCTTCCAGTGGGACAAGATCTGGAGGTAGAAAACAGTGATGTTGATCATACTGACCCTGTGTAGGCCTACGCTAGTATGTGCATTTGTGTCTTTGTTTTTAACAACAACAACAAAAAAATTAAAAATTAAAAGATGTAAAATTACAAAAAAATCTTAGAGAATAAGGATATAAGGAAATAAAGTATTTCTGTGTACAATATGCGTTTTAAGCTAAGTGTTGTTACAAAAGAGTCAAAAAGTTAAAAATAAGTTAAAAAGTTTATAAAGTAAAAAAGTTACTGTAGGATAAGTTTAATGTATTTTGAAAGAAATAAGTTTCTTTATAAATTTTATAAATTCAGTGTTTATAAAGTCTACAGTTTTGTACAATGATGCCCTAGGCATTTACGCTCACTCACCACTTACTAACTCTCCCAGAGCAACTCCTAGCCCTGCAAACTTCATTTATAGTAAGTGCCCTAATCAGGTATACCATTTTTGATGTTTTGACTGGATTTTTTACTGTACCTTTTTTTTATGTTTAGATACACAAATATTTACCGTTGTGTTGCAAATGCCTACAGTATTCAGCACAGTAACATGCTGTTTAGGTTTGTAGCCTAGGATCAATAGGCTGTACCACATAACCTAGGGTGAGTAGTAGGTTATGCTATCTCTATTTACACATAGAATACACTATATGATGTTACACAGTGAAGAAATTGCCTAATGCATTTCTCAGAATGTAATTTTTGTCATTAAGTGATGCAACATTGTATTTAAAACACTATAAATAAATTAAGATGGAAACTTAACATGTTTATGTAACCCATTGGAAAGCAAGAAAAAGACACAGAGGAATAAGAAACAGAAACAAATAACAAAGTGGTAGACTTCAACCACAACATACAAATTGTTAAACATAAAAGGCCTATAGAAACCAACTAAAAAACATAGATTGGCAGAGTAGTTAAAAAAACAAAAATCAAAAACGAAAAAACATGGCCAACAATATTGTCCAAATTGCATTTGTACCCCATAAATAAATAATTTTTAAAATTCTGTCTATATAAAACTAACTTAAAATACAGCATAGGTAAGATAAAAGTAAAAAGAGAGAACCAGTAAAATAATTTAAAAATGCAAGTGAGGTTATAGTAATATATCAGCTACATAAATTTTATTTTATTTATTTATTATTATTATTATTATTATTATTATTATTATTATTTTGAGACAGAGTCTCGCTCTGTCACCCAGGCTGGAGTGCAGTGGAGCAATCTCAAACTCACTGCAAGCTCCACCTCCCAGGTTCATGCCATTCTCCTGCCTCAGCCTCCCGAGTAGCTGGTACTACAGGTGCCCACCACCACGCCCAGCTAATTTTTTTGTGTTTTTAGTAGAGACGGGGTTTCACCGTGTTAGCTAGGATGGTCTCGATCTCCTGACCTTGTGATCCTCCAGTCTCAGCCTCCCAAAGTGCTGGGATTACAGGCATGAGCCAGGGTGCCCGGCCCAGCTACATAAATTTTAAAAAGTAAAAAAAGTCAAATTGCGTTTTTAAATATTTTACATTCCATTGCCATTCAAAGAAATAACATTGTTTTCAATACGATTAAGCAAGTATCATTAGACCTAGAAATAGCCACAATCATTTCTTAAAAAGATTATTAATATTTATTTATTTATTTATTTATTTATTTTTAGGCGGAGTCTCACTCTGTTCACCAAGCTGGAGTGCAGTGGTGCAGTCTCAGCTCACTGCAATTTCTGCCTCACCCTCCCAAGTAATTGGGATTACAGGCATGTGCCACCACATATGGCTAATTTTTGTATTTTTAGTAGAGACTAATTTTTGTACTTTTAGTAGAGACAGGGTTTCACCATATTGGCCAGGCTGGTCACAAACTCCTGACCTCAGGTGATTGGCCCGCATCAGCCTCCCAAAGTGCTGGGATTACAGGCATAAGTCATCGTGCCCAGCTAAGATTACTAATATTTATAAGCTCTACCTTCTTTCTTGGAGAAATGACTTTATAATTTCACTTTCTAATTCAGTTACCTGTTGAAACTAAATTAAAATATATTCATATGCAAAATGCAAGTAAATAAAAACAGCAGCTTTCTCTATGCTAAAAGGAAGTTCCTTTGGAGCTCATTTCCTTGACAATGCAAGAAAGTACTTCACTGCACTATCTTCATTATGCAAATAAAGGTGCATTTTAGCTCTTTGAAGAAGAAGAGGAAGAACATGTCTCTCAAATGGCAGGAAAGAACAAATTTCCTTAAGGAAGAGTGAGGGAAAGTTCATCAACACCAACCCTAGGTACATCTTCATTCAGACTTGAAAAGCTTTTGAATAGCGTCTGTTTATTCCTGTTAGAACTGAACTGGCAGGAAAAGACAATGGAGAAGCCACAAAGAGGAGTAGCTAGGTAGCAGCATTCAGGTCCACAATGCCTGGATTTCATTATTATTATTCTACTGTATCTTCAGGCAGTTTATGTAAATCATGTTATTGAGTTCTCTCATCTGGAAGATGAGAGTACTAATAGTTCCAGCGTTCTTACATTAGTGCTGCTGCCATTAGTTATCATCATTTAAGTGTCTGTTCTTATTGTTCAAAGAGTGACTGGCAGTTGAGAGTCCCTGGGACCTGAAGTAGGGAGGTAGAGAATTTTGCATTGGAGTATACTGTTATCTTAACCTTGGAGGCCTGAGTGTTCTTAGGTAAAAGACTGCTTTGGAGGCTGCAAATGGAACTAGAATCCCACCAGATCACAGCCATCTGACTTGGTTGCATTTTTATGGAAACCAGCGTGTTGAGGATGTGAGACTGATATAAAAGCACTAGGATATTCACAGGGTAAAAGTCAGGAGGATCATAACAGCACAGTACTAGAGAACCAGTACGTAGTGGTGTGATGAATGAAAGCCACTGACATAACTTTCGCATCTTGTCTTCCTGTATTCTTTCTTTCTGTGACAGTTGTTGAGATCATGACCTCTTCTGGAATGGTGTTCTCAGAAGTCCTTGGACAATCAGGGTGTACTAGGAGAAAACATGCTGTGAGATGGGATGAAAGTCTTCAGGATGGACACTATACTTTCTGTTATTGGAGGATTCGGTAGTTTGAATAAGCGTTTGAATGAATAAAATATTTGAGTTGAGGACTAAATTCTGATTTTTTTTTTTTCATCTTGCCCAAATTCCTATTTAAAGAAACTGGGAGTCAGCCCTACGAATGATAACATCTCTTTACATGGGTTTTTTATTAACCCTATATAATGTGGCTTGCTTTCCAACCTGACTCTGGTACAGCATCACATAACAGACAGCAGACCCTGAAGGATATAAAAATATTTTGCCCTAAAATATATTTCTTTGATGTCTTTTGAAATGGCTGTTGCAAGGCCAGCAAACTGAGGTAGAGGAAATTTGCATCTATGGAGAATCTTCATTAATGCAGCCATGCTTCCCCTTTCTATGCCTTTCCAGGACCTAGGAGTGATTGAGAGTCTGATACCTTTAAAGGTCTGAAAAGAAACATTTACCATCTATTCTCTCTGAGGGCCACCTATGAGGCTTCATCTACTTAATAAGATCCTTGGTCTTTCCCCCACTCTTATCTGAACTCAGGCATTCCTTTCTATCGATTTCAAGACTTTAGACGATAGCATAACTCTCTCAACCAATTGTCAACTAAAGGATCCCTAAAAGCCCCTTATGACGTACAAGCTCCTACCCTGACCTACCTGCAATTACCTGCAGTTGGTTGTCTCCTTGGAATGTATAAAACCAAAGTGTAACCCGGTTGCCTTGGGCACGCTTTCAGAACCTCTTGAGATAGTGTAACCCAGGCCTTGGTCACTTATACTGGCTCTGAATAAACCTCTTTAAATATATTTTGACAGAATTTGGTTTTTGTGTATTTTTCTGTGTATTTCTACCTCTGAGAAGAGGAGTAATTTATACTCTTTAAAAATCATGGTCAGGTATGACTGGTGCTAGAATGAGGATGAAGGGAAGAGAAAGGGAAGAAATAATTCTCCACTCTTTGTTTCCAATTTTAGTTCTTTAAAGTAAAAGTACAAAACATTTTGTAGAGATGTAGTTTGTGGTGGCATGGTTGAAAAACTTCTGCAGTTTATGATTCCTCCACTACAGTGTGATAATGTTTTAAATAGCATTTAAAATGTAGATTCTGTCCAATCCTTACAATTAACTTTTTTATTGTTTGGAATCCATGAAGTTGGTATATGCATGAGCAGATACATATTTATTTAAGAAAAAAAATTAGGCCTTACAGAAAATTGGTTTCTCAGAGACATGATAAAAGTTACCAGATAATGTCTCTCAGACTATATCTATGAAAAAATACATAACCAAATAGACACCAATTGCAAATGAATTAATTACATTGAAATTCTAATAACTTTCATTTCCTAAACTGACATTGATGGAAAAGAATTCTAAGATATAAAATAAGCTCTACTTCATCCTGCTTTCAATAGCACATGATTTAATCAGAATATATAAGTAATACTGTTGAGCACATAAATATTATTTTCATTACTTGATGATAATTATGACTATTTTCATTGCTATAATTTTGGTCATGCCATATTGATTAGCAATAAAATATATACTTAGCTAGAGAGGCAGCTAATCCAAAACTTTTGGGATTTCTTTTTTTTTTTAGATTATTGGTGCTCCTCCTCCTGTCATTGAGGTTAAAATTAAATGTTACATATTCCTTCTCTGTGTATGTGTATCTTATTTCCTCATATTCTACCTCTTCAGAGTAGTGTGTGTGAGTGCATGCACACACACTTGCATGTGAGAGCTTCTAATATCTAAATTAATGTTGAATCATTATTCAGAAACAAAGAGAGCTAACTGTTATCCTGACTTTATTCTTTATGAAGAAAAATACAGTGATTCCAAGTTACCAAGTTAGTGCTGCTTTATTTATAAATGAAGTAACATTTTACAAGTTGTGCATAAGTTAAAATTCAGAAATAAAACTTCATCCTAAAACTCTGTGTGTTGCTTTAAATAATCAGAGCATCTGCCTACTTAATTTTTTTTGTGTGGGTGCACAATAGATGTTTAATGAGATCCTGTCATCTGTCTGCTTTTTTATTGTAAAACAGGAGGGGTTTTAATCCTGGAGGAACAACTGATGTACCTCTGAAAAAGAGAGGGATTAGTTATTAATTGAATTGAGGGTTGTCTTGTCTTAGTAGCTTTTATTCTCTAGGTACTATTTGATTATGATTGTGAAAATAGAATTTATCCCTCATTAAATGTAAAATCAACAGGAGAATAGCAAAAACTTATGAGATAGATGAACATTGTGTGAGTGGCATGGTTTAATTTGTTTGGAAGAAGCACTTGCCCCAGAAGATACACAATGAAATTCATGTTATTGAGTAGAGTAGTAATACAGTGTGTTCCCTTGTGAAGTTCATAACCAAGAATTATTTTAGTAGTGGATAGGTAGGCTGAATAATTGACTTCCTATCATTTTCAGGTTCTGTGTTTGATTTTTTTTACATATTAATTTCTTTGATCCACATTAAGCTCAGTTATGTATTTCCATTTTATAAATGAAAAAAAAAAATAGGCACTTGCAAATGTCAGATCACTTGCCTGTGGTCATTCGGGTAGAGATTTGTGAAGCTAAGTTGGTCTTAATCAAATGTGAAGCTTTTTTTTTTCTTATAAAATATAGATTTTAATATGAGTTTTAAAATAAAATTAATTAGAAAAAGGCAAATTACTCAATATATAAAATGTATTGCATTTGTAATAGGTAGGTATTTCATTTTCTAGTTATGGTGGGATATTATTCAGACTATAATTCCCAATGAAAAAACTTTAAAAAATGCTAGTGATTGCACATTTAAAACACCTTTTAAAAAGCATTGAGAGCTTATAAAATTTTAATAAGTGATCGAACCAAATTTGAAGAGAAAAGAAGAACCCAGAGAGGTAAGGATATAACCTTACCAGTTGCAATTTGCCGATCTCTACAAATATTAATATTTATTTTGACAGTTTCAGGGTGAATGAGAAAGAAACCAAAACCGAAGACTAGCATATGTTAAGTCTTCTTAAGGAGCCCTCCCTTAAAAGATTGAGATGACCAAATCTTATACCCTCAGCATAAGGTGAACCAGACAGACCTAAAGCAGTGGTAGCTTGGATCCACTACTTGGGTTTGTGTGACTGCGTGACTCAGGTAATCTCAAAAATTGAACATTTTTTTAAGGTGGTCCTACTCGTATGCCCAAGTGTTAGGGAGAAGCAAATCTGAATGCTTTATAAAAATACCCTGAAGCTAAATCTTACAATATTCTCAAGAACACAGTGAAACAAGGCAAAATAAGTTAAAATCAACAAAAACAACATGAAACATAATTAGACCCACAAAGACTTCAAACATTGGACAATATCAGAGAAAGATAATAAATATTTTACTCTTTAAAAATTTAGTTAAAAGCTTAAACTAATTGTAGAGAAAAAACTGTGTTAGTATTATATTGTGGATGAAATAAGCAAAACATTTAAAATACAAATGTGATTACTTAAATTAAATATAATAGATAATTTACCACCAGATTAGATACCATTGAAGGAATAATTAATATACTGAAATACAGGTCAGTAGAAGTTTTTTTCAATTCAGCATGGAGATGTAAAAAATGAAAATTAATGCAAAAAATAAGGGCACAAAAAGAAATGAGTAATTTTGATCAGAAATGTATTAAAATTAATAAACTGGAAATTTGACATTTAAAAAAAAGCATTGTCATCCAAGTAGATGTGTCTATTAAATAGTTGTTCTCATATCCAGTAATGTAATTATTATTCCCCCTCATGCAGTTCAGATTCTGGGGTAATCTTTAGACATCAGTTTTATCTTTTATATTATTTATTCTGTTTACTACATTTTATTTTGCTAATGATATTTTTAATTTCTGACATTCTGGAGTATTGCTTGTAAAAGGTATTTTTAAAAATATTTTATGGTTATTTTTGTGATTCCTATTCCTGTATGGACACCAAGGCTATTGACATTTTCTTTAGTTTCTTCTGTTAATTCTATTTTCTTAGTGTTTATATCATTTCATAGATAGGATATTCTTTATTTTTTATTTTTATTTAAATATTTGGTGATTCTTGGTTTTCTCAGCCATCTATTGTCAAGTGTTCTTATTAAGCATTGTTATTAAATAAAGATTATTTCCTCTAATCACATGAGAATCTTTATTTCCCCCAAGTAATTGAAAATTGCAATGCCATGCTGCCATGTGGTACAGCATGGGTTTGGGCTTGCTTTCTTCTTTTTTTTTTAACTTTTATTTTAGGTTTGGGAGTACCTGTGAAAGTTTGTTATATAGGTAAACTCGTGTCATCAGGGTTTGTTGTACAGATCATTTTGTCACCTAGGTACCAAGTACTCAACAATTATTTTTCCTGCTCCTCTGTCTCCTGTCACCCTCCACTCTCAAGTAGACTCCAGTGTCTGCTGTTCCCTTCTTTGTGTCCATGTGTTCTCATAATTTAGTTCCCCACTTGTAAGTGAGAACATGCAGTATTTTCTAGTATTTGGTTTTTTGTTCCTGTGTTAATTTGGCCAGTATAATAGCCTCCAGCTCCATCCATGTTACTGCAAAGAACGTGATCTCATTCTTTTTTATAGCTCCATGGTGTCTATATACCACATTTTCTTTATCTAAACTCTTATTGATGAGCATTGAGGTTGATTCTATGTCTTTGCCATTGTGCATATTGCTGCAATGAACATTTGTGTGCATGTGTCTTTATGGTAGAATGATATATTTTCTTCTGGGTATATATGCAGTAATGCGATTGCTGGTTGGAATGGTAGTTCTGCTTTTATCTCTTTGAGGAATTGCCATGCTGCTTTCCACAATAGTTGAACTAACTTACACTCCCACTAACAGTGTGTGTTTCCTTTTCTCCACAACCTGCCAGCATCTGTTATTTTTTGACATTTTAATAGTAGCCATTTTAACTGGTATGAAATTATATTTCATTGTGGTTTTAATTTGCATTTCTCTAATGATCAGTGATATTGAGTTTTTTTTTTTTTTCACATGCTTGTTGGCTACATGTACGTCTTCTTTTGAAAAGTGTCTGTTCATGTACTTTGCCCACATTTTAGTGGGGTTGTTTTTCTCTTGTAAATTTGTTTAAATTCCTTATAGGTGCTGGATTTTAGACATTTGTCAGACGCATAGTTTGCAAATAGTTTCTCCCACTCTGTAGGTTGTCTGTTTATTTTGTTAATAGTTTCTTTTGCTATGCAGAAGCTCTTAATAAGTTTAATGAGATCCTGATATGTTTAGGCTTTGTATCCCCACCCAAATCTCATCTTGAATTATAATCTCCATAATCACCACATGGAGAGACCAGGTGGAGGTAATTGAATCTGGGGGTGGTTTCACCCATGCTGTTCTTGTGATAGTGAATGAGTTCTCACGAGATCTAATGGTTTTATGAGGGGCTCTTCCCAGCTTTGCCTGGTACTTCTCCTTCCTGCCGCCTTGTGAAAAAGGTGCATTGCATCCCTTTCACCTTCTCCTATAATTGTAAGTTTCCTGAGGCCTTCCCAGCCATGCTGAACTTCAAGTCAATTAAACCTTTTTCTTTATAAATTACTCAGTCTCTGGTGGTTCTTTATAGCAGTGTGAAAATGGACTAATGAAGTTCCCATTTATGAATTTTTGCTTTTGTTGCAATTGCTTTTGACATCTTAGTCATGAAATCCTTGCCTGTTCTAAGTCCAGGATGGTATTGCCTAGGTTGTCTTCCAGGGTTTTTCTAATTTTGTGTTTTGCATTTAAGTGTTTAATCCATCTTGAGTTGATTTTTGTATATTGTGTATGGAAGGGGTCCAGTTTCAATCTTTTGCATATGGCTAGTTAGTTATCCCAGTACCATTTATTGAAAAGACAGTCTTTTCCCCATTGCTCGTTTTTGTCAGTTTTATTGATGATCAGATAATCATAGCTGTGTGGCTTTATTTCTGGGTTCTCTATTCTGTTCTATTGGTTTATGTCCCTGTTTTTGTGCCAGCACCATGCTGTTTTGGTTAACATAGCCCTGTAGTATAGTTTGAGGTCAGATAGCCTGATGCTTCCAGCTTTGTTCTTTTTCTTAAGATTGCCTTGGCTATTTGGCCTCTTTTTTGGTTCCACATGAACTTTAAAACAGTTGTTTCTAGTTTTGTGAAGAATGTCATTGGTAGTTTGATAGAAATAGCATTTAATCTGTAAATTGCTTTGTGCAGTATGGCCTTTTAATGATATTGCTTCTTCCTATCCATGAGCATGATATGTTTTCCATTTTGTTTGTATCCTCTCTGATTTCTTTGTGCAGTGTTTTGTAATTCTCATTGTAGAGATTTTTCACCTCCCTGGTTAGTTGTATTTTACCCTAGATATTTTATTCTTTTTGTGAAAATTGTGAATGGGATTGCCTTCCTGATTTGACTGCCAGCTTGGTTACTGTTGGTTTATAGAAATGCTAGTGATTTTTGTACATTGATTTTCTTTCTAAAACTTTGCTGAAGTTTTTTTTATTAGCAGAAGGAGCTTTGCGGCTGAGACTATGGGGTTTTCTAGATATAGAATCATGTCAGCTTCAAATAGGGATAATTTTACTTCCTCTCTTCCTATTTGGATGCCCTTTATTTCTTTCTCTTGCCTGATTACTCTGGCTGGGATTTCCTATGTTGAATAGGAGTCATGAGGGAGGGCATCAAATCTACACATATCAAATACTAACCTTGAATGTAAGTGGGCTAAATGCCCCACTTAAAAGGTAAAGGGGGGCAAGCTGAATAAAAAAGCAAGACTCAATGGTATGCTGTCTTTGAGACCTATCTCACATGTGATGACACCCATCGGCTCAAAATAAAGGAATGGAGGAAAATCTACCAAGCATGTAGAAAACAGAAAAAAGCAGGGGTTGCATCCTAATTTCAGACCAAACAGACGTCAAACAAACAAAGTTCAAAAAAGACAAAGAAGGGGCCGGGAGTGGTGGCTCACACCTGTAATCCCAGCACTTTGGGAGGCCAAGGTGGGCGGATTACAAGGTCAGGAGATCGAGACCATCCTGGCCAACATTGTGAAACCCCATCTCTACTAAAATCCAAAAAAAAAAAAAAAAATAAGCTGGGCTTGGTGGTGTGTGCCTGTAGTCCCAGCTACTCGGGAGGCTGAGGCAGGAGAATCACTTGAACCCGGGAGGCGGAGATTGCAGTGAGCTGAGATTATGCCACTGCACTATAGCCTGGCGACAGAGTGAGGCTCCGTCTCAAAAAAAAAAAAAAAAAAAAAGACGAAGGGCATTACATAATGATGAAGGGTTTTACTCAACAAGAAGACCTTACTAACCTAAATATATATGCACCCAACACAGGAACACCCAGATTCATAAAGTAAGTTCTTAGAGTACAAAGAGGCTCCCACACAATAATAGTAGGAGACTTTAACACACCACTGATAGTCATAGACAGATCATCAAGGTAGAAAATTAACAATGATATTCAGGATCTGAACCCAACATTCCACCGAATGAGTCTGATAGACATCTACAGAACTCTCCATCCAAAAACAACAGAATATACATTCTTCTCATCTCCACATGGCGCATGCTCTAAAATTGACCACATAATGCCTTTCTTTTCAGTGGTCCATATGTAAGTCTTTTGAAAGTGGCAGCATCTCTACTGCTCATGCTTGTTGCAAGGAACTCTACTGAATACAAGGAACTTTACTAATCTCTAATGCTTGTGAGTAGATTCTGAACTCATCATTTAGAAAGCTAAACTGGGGGCTTTCTTCCCAGAGCAAAGACATAAAACAAACCTCAATTGAGCGTGGGACAGGGAGTCATGTGCTATAAATTTCTTGGACAGTTCTTATTCTATGGACCAATTACCATTCCCTTGTATCTCTAATTTTGGGATTATTTCTGGATTAAAACACAAAAAAAATCAGACTGTAAAAAGTCATCATTTCTACCAGTGTGAGAATATGTATTCCTCACCTTTACTGGGATTCACTGCCAGTATATATGCAAATGACTTATACACACACATACACACACGCACATACACACACACGTGTGTGTGTGTAGGTATGTCTGTAATAGGTATTTATATGTTTGCCTGTCTTTCTATTAGAATTGAGATACAGCAAAATGCACAGAAATTAAGCATTCAATTTAGTAAGTTTTCACAAATGTACATATTTAATCAATATCTCAATCAACACAAAAACCATTGTTTCACCTCTGAAGATAATTTTTAATCTTTTGCAAATTATTGAGACTTATTTAATGACCGAGACTACACAGTCCTTCGTAAACATTCCATGTAAATTTGATAAAAATATTTTCATGAAATTTTTTGTGTAGTGTTCTAAAACTTGAAATTAGACTACATTAGTTGATAGTATTATTAGAATCTTCCAAATCCTTACTAATTTTTATTTGTTCATCTATTGTTTATTTTGAGCCGATGATTAAAATCTTCAACTATGAGTGAAAGTCTATTTCTCTGTTTAGTTCTGTCTGTTTTTACTTCATGCATTTTGACACTCTGTTATCAGTTGTATAAACATTGAGAATTATAATGCATTGCTAATGAGCTTAACCTTTTATCATTCCATCTCTGATATTTCAGCTTATTTTGAATCCTACTTTCTCTGGTATTAGCCAGCTACATCAGTTTTACTTCCTTTCATTTTCAACCAATTTTATGACTCCATCTCAAAAAAAAAATGCATTCATTATACAGAGCATATAGTTTTGTCCTTTTTAAATCCAGTCTCAAAATTGCTAGCTCTTAATTTAAGTGTGTTATGGGTTGAATTGTCTGCCAAAAAAAACATACGTTGAAGTCCTTACCCCAGTAATTAAGGATGCAACCTTATTGAAAGATAGGATCTTTATAGATGTAATCAAGTCAAAATGGGATCATTAGAGTGGCCTGTAATCCAATGTGACTGGTGGCCTTATGAAAGGGGGAAATTTGGACACAAAAATGCCACCAGAAAGCACAACATATGAACATGAAGAAAGCCATCTAAAAGCCACGGAGAGATGTCTAGAACAGATTCTTCTTCACAGCCTTTAGAAGGAACCAGTACCTTGAATTCAGACTTCTAGCCTTCAGGACTTGAGATAATACATTTTTGTTGCTTGAGGCACCTAGTTTATGGTACTTTGTTATATAACCCTAGGAAACTAATATAAATGTTCAATCCATTTACATTTAATCAGTGATGTCAGTGTTGTTAAATCTACCATGTTACTATTTGCCTACTATTTTCTTATTTGGGTGTTGTTCTCTTCCCTTGGTTGTTGATATTTCTTTCTTCACCGGTTCAGTGTTACCTTCCTTAGAGTAAATGGATATTTTTCAATATTTCATTTTAATTATGCTATTGGCTTTATACCCTTCATACATGTGTTCTTGTTGATTCGATGTTCTTGGATCTCTGCATTGAAATTTTTCATCAAAATTTGAAAACACTGGCAATTATTTCTTCAAATATATTTTTTCTTTCCCATTTTCTGACTCATCCTTTTGAGACTTCATTTGTGTATAGGTTTGATGGCTTGATATCCCATGTCATTCAATCTCTTATTTTAATCATTTTCCTCTTTTGTTTGAGATTAGATAAATTCAAAAATGGTTTTCAAGGTTATTTGTCTGCTTTTCAGATAGCTGAAATCTGAGAGTATACCCTGCCAGTGACTCTTTCATTGTATATTTTGCACTTGTTACTTCAACAATGTTCATTTCTCAAAATTACCTTTTTCGTTCTATCATTGTGACAATATCTCCATAGTCTAAGGACATATTCATAATATATATCTGTTGATTTCAATGCCTGGGTCATTATGATGTATGTTCTATTGACTGCTTTTTTCCCCTTGATTATTTATTAAATTTTCCTGCTTCTTTGCGTAACTTGTATTTTTGACTAATACACTGTAGAAAATCTAGACGTTGTCTTCTTGTAAAAGGCCCTAAGATAGTCCTTTGAAAGCTGTTAAGTGGCTTCCAGATCCTTTTGATCTGCCATGCCTGGTTTCATTATTTGTTAATGAAAATCTCTTTCATTTTTGTTCTTAAAGATAGGACATAGTCTTTACTGAAAGAAATAGTCCTTGTTCTTAATGCCTGGAATATTCCGTAAAATATCTTCCCTGTGGCTAGTCAGTAACCCAAACATCTCCTTGTCCTGTTACTACTGATATCTTATTCCCACAGTATCTGCTTTCAGCAGGTCTTGCAGATGTTAACCCTGCTCAGGTATAGAGCAGCTTTTGACGAAATTGGTGCCAAATACTTATTCTGGCTTCTGTAGGCCTACCCCATGCCTCTTTTTCCTTTCCTATACAAATTTCAGCCACTTCAGCAGCTCTTAAATAACCACTTAAGCAAGTGTAAGCTATTTACAAATATCGATAGATAGATAGATAGAGAGAGAGATGATATAGATAGAGATTTAATTGTAATTTTAGATTCAGGGGGTATATGTGCAGGTTTGTTACAAAGTTATATTGCTTGCTGCTACTGTTTGGGCTTCCACTGATCCTGTCACCCAGGTAGTGAACTGAATACCTAACAGGAAGTTCCTTGGCTCTTGTCCCTCTACCCCTACCTCTTTTTGGAACCTAATTAAACTAAGAGCTTCTGCATAGCAAAAGAAATTATCAACAAATAAGCAGACAACCTACAAAATGAGAGCTTTAAGCTTTAATTTCTTCCTCTAAACTCATTATTTTTAGAGTCTGCCTCCTTGTTTAATGGGAGAAAAAGTGCCCCTAGTCACATTCTCTGGTTAAATGTGGTACTTACCTCACAGCTTTCTTCTCTCTTGAGTATGAAAAACTTGTACTTCTTGTTTGATGCATAAAATCTGGTTCCTCATATATGTTGCCCAGTTTTATCATTGTTTATAGTGAAAAGGCAAGTCCCTCCAATAATTCTATTATGGCCAAAGACTAAAGTGCCTCTGATATGACTTATGTCCTTCAGAAATTGCTTACTCTTTAGTCTGTTGGTAGAATTCTTCTCAACTTTCCATAGTTATTTTAATAAGTACTATATTTTCCTATTTCAATGGCAATTTGGAATAAAGGAGAAATAAATGTATTTGTTTGGTCCATCTTTGTGTATTCAAACTGTTAAGTCATTACTTTTCACGTCCACTACACATATTACTGCACAGTAATTCCTTGTTTACACCTATAATCTCCCTCTCCTGTTTTCCTAGTTTCTATTCAAGTATTTGGGGTAACTGATATTTCTTAAAACAATATGTATTCTTGGAAAGAGATGTTTCTAGAATCCCCTTCTTAGGTGACTTATTAGGAAAAATTATAAGAATAAGAACGAGAATAGAGAAGAAAAGTAATTGAAGACATCCACTTCAACTCTAAATCCCCCTAGGAGAAAAAAGGCTAGCACTTATTTAAATGCCCTTCTTAGGTGACTTATTAGGAAAAATTATAAGAATAAGAATGAGGATAAAGAAAAGTAATCGAAGATACCCACTTCAACTCTAAATCCCCACAGGAGAAAAATGGCTGGCACTTATTTAAACTCATCTAGGTTTTAGTTTTGCTGATGTTGTTTTTCCAATAATAATCCGTTTCAATTATTATAACAGCAATTTCAGTGAAATATGGTACTTACCAGCTAAGTTTTACACAGGGAAGCACTTTCCTAAACACTTCCCCATCCTTCTTCAAAGTTTGAATCCAAATCTTTTGTACTCCAGGGCTTATTTTGTTTTTCCTACAGCATTCTGCCTTTCTAGAATTAGCACTAGTTACCCTCAGGAAAAGCAAATACATGGACCCATAAAATAATCTTTGGAAGTCTTTCTTCTCCTGCTAGTTACCAAATTATAATCTTCTTATTGTAATAATAAAATAAAATAAAAAATAAAAAGAACTATTTTACTCTAATAAGTTTCCCATTAAGCTAAGCCTGCTTTTGTTGTATTAGAGATTAACATATGTAGACAGTGTTCTTTTTGACTGGAAATGGGGATTAGTTATGGTTCAAGTAATGCATAAACAAGATGTATTTTTAAAAATACGTCATATTTATGCATTATATTTAAGCAGCCATTTGTAAAAAGCTGAAACTTATTAGAAAGTGAATTCTTCATACTCATGTTTGTATTTTCAATGTTTAGGATTATTTGTTAGCTTAGGTATAGACTAGATTATTTTTCTAAACAAACAGGAATAAGAAATATAGGTAGTAAAATTTACATGACCTGGTAAAATTTAAAATATCCATTCTGACTAACAGGCAGTGATGAGAACAATAAATAAAATATATCTTGGTTTAAATTCTAAGTAAATATATTTGACAATATAAATATAAACATACTCATATGAGTGAATTGCTTCTAATTCTGGCTTTTAGCTAAATAAGCACTTAATGCTAGTAAGAAAAATACATTATTTCATAAAGATAACAAATTCTTTCAGAAATAGTAATTATATTTTTAAAGAGTTTGGGGAAAATAGAAGTGTATACTCTAATCTTATAGCAAAGTTTCTGCTAAGTTTTTGTGATGCCAGTGTTTTCATTATGAATCATTTCACTGTCAAACAAAATGTACGCTGTTGATTAAACACAGGCAAAAAGAGACGGAAAAAAAAAGGTATATTAAAAAAAAGACCTTTGGTTATTCTGGCTGCCACCAATTGCTTTCTTGTTTCAGCTGAATTTTGAAGTAGCTAATCATATTTTGGCATTTTCTTGTCATCAAAGCATTTCGTGAAATTATCCCATTACAATGTTTTTCTCAGAGGCAAAATTAACATGGTTGACAGTTTAATTGACATATTTCTTTTTCGTTGTGTGCCTTTGCCAATTAAACAAATTGCACCCTATTTTGATGTTCATTTTGTTAATTATTTGTAAAACTGTAGACTCTGATTTTTTTTTTTTTTAATTTTCAGGTGTCAGTTTCTTGGTCGGGAATGAAAATAGTGCCAACCTGTGATACCTTCACTCTAATTTTACTTTCTGAGGAAGTTTTCTGTAATAGTTATTTGGTGATAATTATTAATACTGGT
Organism: Homo sapiens; assembly: GCF_000001405.40. Classification (NCBI taxonomy): domain Eukaryota; kingdom Metazoa; phylum Chordata; class Mammalia; order Primates; family Hominidae; genus Homo; species Homo sapiens. The sequence continues at coordinate 71,142,642 of NC_000005.10, read as the reverse complement.
GAGTTTTAAAATTTTTGCTTTCAGCAATTTTCCATTTTTTTCAACATACTTATATCGCAATGAGGCAACCAAATATGAATCCTGAGAATGAAGATGGAAAATGAATATTTTAATCCAATATCGAGTTGTTCTTTCAACATTTTTAGTTTTAGTTTTAATCGAAAATATAAAGTTACATAATTGTGTGAGGAATAATTTTTGCAGAGAAATTTTTAAAAATTCACAAAAGGAAAAAGAAACCTTTACCATGAGTCTATAACATTGAAAGACTGTGTTTAAGTTATTTTAATAAAGCCAAACCAACACTTTCAGCAGGAACTAAATGGCAGCATCTGATTTCACGCTGATACATATGTATTAGTGTGGTGCTCACTTTTACCCTTCATTTTACCTTGGGTCTTGCCATTTTCTTTCTTTTTATTTTTATGTTTTTTTGTGTTTTGTTTTCTTCTGGAGGAGGTAATTTTTAGGGAGAAAAAAAACACTTTTTCCTCATAGGTCGATTTAAAATGTTGGCCTTACCTTAATCTCCTCTCTCAAACTCAATCCACTATGTAATGGGTCAACATACTTTTCTGTGAAGGAGCAGATAGTAAATATTTTAGTCTTTGCAGGCCATATGGTCTCTGTTGCCAGCTCTTCCATTGTGGTGTGAAAGCAGCCATAGACAACACAGAAATGAATAAGTGTAACTGTTCCAATAAAAACAGATGATATGTTGAATTTAGCTCACAGAGTTTAGCTTGCTGCCCCTGCAGGAGGCCTTTGGAGTAAAAGCTTCCTGAGAGGAGGACTTTTTGTCTTTTTTGCTCAAGTTCTAGCTCCAGTACCTAAAATAGTGCCTGTCACGTAGGTATTGATGAATATTTGAACCTGTTGAACATACACCTAAAATAAAACATTTGGCAAGATACAGTACTACACAATTTGGAGAACACTTGGCTCCCATAGAAATCAAAGCCTTCCTGAGTAATTAATTATTTGGCCTGATGATGAATTACTGTGCCTGAGATGATAGAGCTAATTTATTTTTCAATTCACTCAGGGGACACACGTTATTTTCACTGTGAATTTGGTTAAAATGAAAAGATTTCCTGCTCTAAGTCCTGGATAGACCTTTATGTAATAGCATACTCTTCACTCTTTTTGAATCACATGCAGTTGTCACACTGGATGATTTCCAGACAGAGGCTCCAAGTCTTTCATCATGTTTGGGTTAAAGACCTCATTAACATACTAGTCCTGCCATTTGAGTCTGTTCTCTTCACGGAATATTTTCACCTGAATCAGTGGGTATAATTCATCAGTGTCTGGTTGCTTCAAGTTATTTTTCTTAATGCTGATGTTAATGCATGCCCATCTTTATGCCTCAACACATTGCACAATGAAAAACAAAAATTATTTTGGAAGACACAGCTGACATCTATATGAAATATTCAGTATCAGTGATTGAACTTCAGCAAGCTCCTGTGGCCAGCAGGGTTTTACGGAGGTGCAACTGCTCTCCCACGATCACTTATCATAAAGCCAGAGACAATTGGGCCAATGTAGCCTCTTGCCTGCTTTTGTGTACAAAATATAAATAGAATAGAGCAAATAAGGAAAAATAGTCCCGCAGCTGGAAGGCAACTTTAAAGAAAAATGATGTTCATAGCTGTCTTGCCAGTAGCTGGCAAAGCAGTTTTTATAAGACATATTTAATGTTTACAACCACTTGGAGGCTGGGGAAGGAGTAATACTTTGAAAATATGTTTAATGTTGTGAACCACTCTGTGGCCGAGAAGCAACTCCGGCTAAAATATATTTAATGCTTAGAGTCATTTGGTGGTTTCGAAAAAAAGAAACTTCTTGTTAATTTTTAACATTTATTGCTGATCAGTGGCTGCTAAAGTAACTATCAGTACAGCATGATTTATATTTAGGGACACGCTGTGCTGCTACTAAAACAATTCATACTCTTCTCTCAAGGCTACACAAAAAGTGTCAATAGCATTACCTTTGCAATTGCACCACTAATAAAAACATAGGAATCAAACAGACGAATAAAATGCTCCCTGCCCACACAGCCATAACATCCTATGGCCCTGAAAATAGTTCTGCCAAGCTGCGTGCAGTGGACACTTCACGGCTGGCACAGGAGAGATCACAAGGCCTTGCTCAATTTCATCAAAAGTGTTAAAGCGACTCAGCAGATTGTGAAGCACAAGTGGAAGCTGATAATTGGTGTTTCTTACAAATCAACGGCTTGTCTCCACACATCAAGGTAAAGGCGTCCTCTACACCAAAGAAAATGTAAATTGGGATAGAAGGTCATTATGTTTTTAAATAAACTTGGTTAAATTTGTAGAAAGGGCAATGGTAAATACTGAGCTCACATGTCAGATGGAGAGAAAACTTGAGAAAAGGGAAGAAGATAATGAGCTGGAACCTTTACCATTTAGACTTTCTCTGGCTAGCTTTCTGAGAATGATCATCAAACTCTTATGAGGACCCTTTCCAATGTATTGACTGCACTTCCCCAGGGATTGTGGCAAATGGTAAATATATATTTTCTCCTTGCTACTTGCAATAACCCTGCTCATAAAGTGTTACTATTATTCACTTGCAGGTGAGAAAATCAATGTAAAAGAGGAGAAATAACCCACACAACCACATACAACTAGGAAATGATAGATGGATCTGAAAAAAAGGATAAGCACTCTTAACAAGTTCAACACCCAAGTACTATTGCAAGTACAAGCTGTATTTCATGGAAAAAAAAAAAAGAATAACTCAAAAGGCAGAACGAAGAGCCTAGAGGTCAGAGATGAGAGGCATGAATAATTATTCACAGGCGTTGAATATAATCAAATGACTTGCAACATTTACCACTGGGATTTTAAAATGTGGTGGACCAATCATTCTTTTAGTCTGTGCATTTTCCCATTTTTTTCAACAGGAATGTCTAGAGACATTATTCCTGTTTTGCCACTGTATTTTTGGTGAATGTGTAGTAAGTAACTGGCCTCTTTAGTATCACAAAGCTGGATGAAGAAAATGTGGTACATATACACCATGAAATACTATGCCGCCACAAAAAGGAAATGAGATCATGTCCTCTGCAAGGACATGGATGAATCTGGAAGCCATTATCCTTAGCAAAGTAACGCAGGAACAGAAAACCAAACACCACATGTTGTCTCTTAGAAGTGGGAGCTGAACAGTAAGAACACATGGACACAGGGTGGAGAACAATACACACTGGGGCTTGATGGGGGGTGGAGGGGAGGGATGGGGAGCATTAGAAAAAATAACTAATGCATGCTGGGCTTAATACCTATGTGATGGGTTGATAGGTGCAGCAAACCACCCTGGCACATGTTTATCAATGTAACAAACCTGCACATCCTGCACAGGTACTCCAAAACTAAAAGTAAAAAAATCTAAAAGAAAAAAAAAAAAGAATTAAACCCCAAATCACTTCCCCATCTGGACTTGATTTAGATGAAAAGCTTCTGGACTTTGAGCTGATGCTATAGTGGGTTGAAAATTTTGGGGTCCTCAGAAGGGGATGAGGATATATTGCATGAGAGAGCAACATGAATCATTGAGAGCCAGAATATAGAGAGTGGTAGGTAGACTGTAGGAGAGCCCTCAATGATCCCAGCTTTCTTGTATTCGCGTTGCACTTACTTGTATAATATGGCAGATGGGATGTGATGTCACTTTCAAGATTAGGTTATAAATAGACTATGGCTTCAATCAGAGGGTTTTCTCTCTGTCTAGCTCTCTTTTGGGTAGTTCATTCTGAGGAAAGCCAGCTGCCACGTTATGATGTAGGCCTGTGAGGTCCACGTAGCAAAGAACATATGGAAGATTTCTACCACCCCCTAACTAAGCCTTTAGGTCAGACCGCAACCCCAGCCAACAAGGTAGCTACAAACTCTTGAGAAGCCTTGAGACAGAGGTACTCAATAGAGCCATTCCTATGAGAAACGTAAGTATCTGCTGTTTTACACCGCTAAGGTTTTAGCTAATGTATTATGCCATAATAGATAAGTTATATACAACCTTTATCAAATAATAAAAGTAACCATCATCAGTAATGAGACAAATCAAAAACCATGGCCCACCCAATAGAACATAATGAGGAGAGTACAGAATTGCTTCTGGGATATTTCTGACAAAGATGTATATGCTTCATTCATACATGAGGAAACATCACACATACTCAAGATGGGAGAGCCATTCTAAAAAATAACTAGGCAGAAATCTTCAAAAATATTAAAGTCACGGAAACCAAGAAAAAATATGAACCTGTTCCAGATTAAAGGAAACTAAACAGACCTAACATTTTAATACAATGTTTGATTTTGAACTTGAACTTTTTGTTATATAAGACACTATTGAGACAAGTGCTAATGCTTGAATAGGGCTGAAGGATTAGATTATAATAATACATTAATGCAAATTTCCTGATTTTAAACATTGTAGTTTGATTGCACAAGGAGAATGTCTTTATGTGTGGAAAATAAATAGTCAACATTCTGTCTTCAAGCTTCTGAAAAAACTCTGCTTTTAGGGCATAGATAGAAGTGGATGATAATTCACCTGTTCCTCTGCTACTAATTGAGCTGCTCTCTGTTTCCATGGCTGGCTCATGGGATGAGAGAATATATCTAGTTTTTTATGTTTCAATTTGTCTCTCTATGGCATTTTTGTGAAAATAAGGAAGTGTGGAGACTTATATATGTTTCTAAATTGTAATAGTTCATTAATGTAAAGTACAGACACAGTCTTCACTTTTCCTTCTTAGACCGTTTAAATATGGCCACGAAACAAGTAGTCTCTGGTTGGCTGGGCACTGTGGCTCATGTCCTTAACACCAACACTTTGGGAGGCCGAGGCAGGCAAATCACTTGAGGTCAGGAGTTCGAGACCAGCCTGGCCAATGTGGCAAAACCCCATCTCTTCTAAAAATACAAAAATTAGCTGAGTGCGGTGGTGCACACCGGTAATCCCAGTTACTCGAGAAGCTGAGGCAGGAGAATCACTTGAACCTGGAAGGCAGAGGTTGCAGTGAGCCAAGACCGCACCACTACACTCCAGCCTGGGCAATAGAGCAAGACTCCATCTCAAAAAAAAAAAAAAAAAGAAAAAAGAAAATAGTCTCTGGTTAAATAACCTCTGAAAGACTCCACCAAAAATTTCATCTTAGCATTTCTCCCCAAACTTCATGTAAAATAAAATAGAGTTGAGAGAAAAATAGAAAGGCAAGGGAGTACCTGTTCACTATTTTTATTAAACCAGTGTTCTACTTTATTTTAGGTGTATCTTTTCTTATTTAAATGTCAGCTAAACTTTCTTTTTAAGATATTGAATGAAAGATGCCCATCCTTCAGGTTTCGTTTAAGCAAGAATCCCCATTCTCAAATAATATAATATAAACTTTCCAAATTCTTAAGTAGATCATCTGAGATTGAAAGCTAAGTTTAACTTTCTCAAAGATATTTTAGCCGCCATGACACCTAGACAAAGTGGTATATTAAATTCTGATTAATTTGGTCCTAAAGCACCTAAGAATCATTCTTACTTTCTTATCCACAGGGGTTATTAAGTTTTCACATTAAAAAAAATCCAACAGTGAATAATACTGCATTGGGGTTACTGTAATTGTTAAGTAAAATAAGAAATACAAATCTTTAGTTAGATCACATGGCACCTGACTACTGCTTAGAAAATGGTAAGACTTACTACATAAATGATGAGTCACTATTGACATCTACTATATCATATCATAGGTTAGGTATCTAATTATAAATAGTCAAATCAGCTGACTCAAGGTGGCATAGCTCAAGCAGAGGAAGATAATACAAGTTGAGTATGGATTTAACACTCTAAACCTGTCAGCACTGTAGGAAAAGTAACTTAAAACTGCACACCCCACTTATGCATAATCATCAGATATAAAGAGGGTACATTCCTGTAATTTATTGTTGCTCTAGTGATCTTAAAGAATTAAGTCCACATTCATAAAGTCCAAACTTGTCTCCAAGGATTTGCTTTGACTTTGGGAGTATCTGGATCATTAAGTAATTTCCGGAGGTCAGAGTAAAAGCTTTTTATCTCTAAATATTACTTCCCTGGAAAATTAGATGTAGCAGAAGTCAGTAACGGAGTGACCTTTGTCTTAAACAATTCATAGATTCACTGAAATTTTCTTCAACTTTAGGAAAATTAAATATATTCCACAGTGCTGTAAGTCTTAAATATTGATTTTCCTCTGAAATCTTGACTCATCCTACCCACCAACATTCTCCCTTTGTACACTATGTTCTTTGTAATGTTCACGTTACACAAGTGAAAATTAGTAACATTAGTAAATTTTCATTGCAGGTTTATTTGTTCATATTTCTGGATATATAATCCATTACTGTTAAACTTCATATCAATGTTCCGATATTTCTTCATCTTATGTTTTATGTTACAAAACAGGTTATTTCACTATATGTATTTTTAATTGATTAATTCTTCCCTTTTTTGGAAATGAAACAGCCCTCTCAATTATTGGGACAGAAAAGTTATTTCATAGGGAATACTTCAAACACTGATATCTACAACAGGCAGTAAGATTCGTCACAACAATTGGTATACTGTCAATATACCATACAAAGTTCCATCTGGTCTTGATTAAAAATTATTTTAGTTTTCTCAGGAAAATGATACAGAGGGAGAATTGCCTAGATTATATGAGAGAAAAAAAAGTAGAGAGAAACATAATGTTTTCTTAGATTATTACAGCAGTGAACTATTTCCACCTGGTAAGAAGGGTGCACTTGAGAATGGGGTACAAGTACTCTAGGAACATAGATGTAAGTTCTGGATGCACAGTAGTTGTTGCTTAGCTGTAAGCTGGAAATTTCAAGGCAGAAACAGCAGATACCACAACTATAACTGGGTCTTCTTGTTTTTTGTTTTATGTGTATACGTGAGATTATGGGGAAAGACAAAAGTAATGCATAGAGATTTATTTTTTAACATTCAATTCATAAGCAGTGTTTATACCTCTTTGTACTTACTTGAAAAGTGTATATTATGTAAATTTAGTATAAAAACACTTGGACTAATTCATACCATGTGGTAAAATTTCACATTCAAAAGAAATACCCTTCTGTTATTAAAAATAAAAAAAAAAGGAGCCAGGAGGGTGGCTCATGACTGTAATCCCAGTGCTCTGGGAAGCCAAGGTGGAGGGATCATTTGAGGCCAGGACTACTTGAGAACAGCCTGGGCAACATAGCTAGATCCCTTCTCTACAAAAAGTAAAAAAAAAAAAAAAAAACAAAAACAAATAGCTAGGCAGGGTGGCACATGACTGGCTATTAAGGAGGCTCAGGTGGAGGGATCTCTTCAGCCCAGGAATTTAAGGCTTCAGTGAGCTAAGATTGGGCCATTGCACTCCAGCCAGGGCAACAGACCAAGACCCAGTCTCAAAATAAATAAATAAAAATGAAAGAAAGCAGTGCACTGAAAATCAATTTAAGTATTTACTGGAGTTGTCTTGAAGGCCCAATGGGAAATGTCAGTAAGGGCACATGAGAAAACACTTTAAGAACCTATTCTTCCAAAGATCTTTCCAGTATCTTATGACAACACAGTAAATTATACCCACTCCAACTGCAAAAGCTGAAACTACTCTGCTTTCTCACTTACCTACACTTTTGACTTTCCAAATACATTTCTCTCTTCGGATATGAGCTGCAAACTCCTTATATAAAGGCTCCAACTCTGCAGCCCTAATTATTCTAGTTGGCCCAAGAAAAATCCTAATTGTTTTATCTAAGGAGACGGAATTTTCCAATACTGTAGAGGCATGTGTGTGTGTTTGCTTTAAGGAAGCTGTTTTGGTAATAAAAAGTCACTGAAGGTCATAAATTCATGTTAACACATCCAGTGTACATGAAGTAGGCACCGAGTTAAACTATTTGTCTACTATATAGCATGTCATCTTAAAAGCCTTATTTTTTCCTCAAAATATTAACTTTATTTTTCTCCCTGTAAAATCAAGACACAGTTAAAATGTAGCCTTCCTCATTTTCTGGGAATACTTTCTAACAAGATATGCTTCTTTCCAATTGGACTTCTAAATTTCTAGCAATTCTAACAGTGCATAAAAGAGGCAACCCCAAAAGTGTAGCAGGTACTGAATAACAGATTTGCAGCCTTGGGTATCCACATTAAAATTTGAAATCTAAGTGAATTACTTCAAGCTGATTTCTTAGGTCAAGGAGAGATTATGGTCCTTAAATGCCTGATAAGGTCACATACACAATTTCAAGTGCATTATAGTAAATCCATGTGACAGCTCCTACAGCTACTAACCTGCTTCTGCCCTCACGGTAGCGTGCACAATCTTCATCGCATGTCCTGGGTGGTGGTAGGAGCAGTAGAAACCCCCTGGGTCATGTCAGATTTAGAAAATATAAGCAATGGCTCATACACGAATTTTAAGTTGTAACCTACATGTGATAAGTTGCTTTATCTTCCAAATGTAATAAAAACCAGAAGTTACTTTGAAATAAATTGAAGGATTAGCAGTGGTGACTGAGGAATAAAAATTATAATTTAAAATTGTCCTTAAGGCTGGAATTCTTAACTTATTGACCTTATATCCTACATATTATAGGACTTTGTAAATTTAGGCTGATATGGAAATGTATATTTATATCAAATTTAAATTTTTAGAATGATGGTGCTACTATATTCTAATTGTTAATTTGATAATTGTAATTGTAATTTGTTAATTTGTTCTAATAATGTTTTCATGACATTATTCATTTGCTGCTTGGCTTGATGGCATAACAAGTATGGGTTATTTACCCTGAAAAGGAAACAGTATCACCCTTCCAGAATCTCTATTTACAGCTACAAAAGATGCAACACACCTGTTTCTGGACCACTTCCAGATCAGATGTGATGCATGCTTTAGATCATTTACTTTGATCTAGGAATTACTGTCTGGCATTTCGTGGTGTAGGGTAGGTGTCTCCAGCACTGTATAGGTGTCTGGAATTGAGATAAGAATCAATTTCAATACAAAATACATTTTTTGCTTAAAGCACGCAAGGATTCTATGAATTCAGGTAAATTCACAGGGTGGAAAACAGGAACTAATGTTATATATTCCTGTAGTTATCTTCATAATGAAGCAGAAAGAAAAACAAAAAAGTTACAAAAATAAATGAAAAGAACTGTATTTTCTAGAATTGAAAAATAATTCTTTTAGATGATAGATAAGATGTTTACATCAACCTGCAAAAAGTCAATGTTGAAGAGGTCTCATTGTATCTCACAGAATTTTGATTTGCCTACTCACCCACAGGAGACATTTCTGGGACAGTAGCAACATAAGGTCCATCCCAAAACTTTGGCTCATTATCATTAATATCCTGCACTTTGATGATGAATTCTGATTCAGGCTCCAGGGGCTTTCTGGTTTCTATGTCCACAGCCTGAGCACGAAGAGTGTAGAAAGGTTTTTCTTCTCTATCTAGGCTCCTTATTGCGTGAATGTCCCCTGTGGTTTCATCAATGGTAAAAACGGTGCCAGCGCCATCTCCTGAGAGGGTGTATTTCGCAGTGCCCTCTCCCTTGTCTAAGTCGGAATGGAGCTTTAGGGAAGAGAGGGAGAGAGAGAGGAAGAGAAAGAGAAGGACAAAGAAAGAACACCATTAAAAGGATGTTGCCAAATTAAAAAGTCATAATTTGCAATACAATTCCTTTAATCAAAAATGTTAAATAAAAATCTTATGGTTCTGTTTTCTTGTTTTTTATTTCTCCAACTTCTTTTTATAAAAATTTCAACACAAAAAGTTGAAAACTGTGCAATGAACACATATACATATACATCCAAACATTCCTCCATATGTGTGCAATGAACACATATATACCTATACATCCAAACATTCCTCCATTCGTCTATTAATCTGCTTGCCTTATCAGATAGGTCTCATATCCATTCTTCTGTTCATCCTTCTCTTAACCCATTTTTTTTTTGAGGTGTTACAAAGATCAGAACAAAAGTACAACCTCAGATATAGCAGCAGGCAAAAAAAAACAATAAATTTTGAAAATTTGTATTTAGTTCTTCTGTATCCCTTTGGGATAACATTTTCATAAAATGAAATGCACAAAACTTCAGTGTACTTATTGTTTCATTTTAAATAAACATTGCAATAAAAATAAATTAGCTCATAGACACCACAAAATAAACTTTCCAAGTGTTCTGAAGATGAAATCAATGACCTGAATCCAGTGGGAGATAGTGCAAAGGAACTCAGAAAACACTAAGCATTTTCATTTGTAAAGAAGGGAAAAATCTGGCAAATCAAGAGGTTTTCAGTGATATAGGGCAGAGCGTCTCATTTTAACAGGCTGAGTTTGAATGAGTTTACCACTATGATTGGTAGAATCACTGATTATCCTTTCAGATTCACAAATAGCTTGTTCCAATTCATTCTATATAGAGAATATTTATGTTGAGTAATATAGGAAAGCATTGAAATTCTGCTAATTTTTTTTTAAAATTCAACACATGTATGGTACATTACATTATAGCATGGAATAAGATACACATGAATAAGCGATAAGGAAGAGAACTAAAGAGTAGAGAGAATTATCAGTGTAATGCCATAAAGCAGCGTTGTTCAAACCGGAGACCAAGAATAAATGAAAAATGGACACAGTCTTAAAAGTATATAAATTATGTGTAAATAAATATATACATAAAATATTACATAAAATAAAATAGTGAATCATATACAATTTTCTAGTAGTATATATTTGTATAAATATATTCTTATACATAATATAATTATATATACATAACAGTCATAAATAATATTTATATTAATTTTTATGCAGATGCTGATTTAAATGTTTTAAACTATTCTTGCTCATTTGGGTATAGCCATTTGATTTCAGCATCCAAATTTTTACATGTAACAGCTTTTTCCAGACAACAGATCACCCAAAAGAAAATTAAACTTTTGCAGCATTTCTAACCATTTGGGCTACGCCTTAAAAATCTGCATATGAGCACTGCTCTTTGCAAATCATTGCTTAAGAATGAGTTCTGTTTTCCTAACATTTCAACACACACAAAAACTCTGAAAATATTTTAAATTATATAAATATCCTGTTGCAAATAAGCTTCCTGTGTATTAGTATGAGTAATTAAAAGCACAAATATAGCCCAAATAAATACAAGTTCAACTGTGGCTACATCTTTGCTCTTAAGCTCAAGAGCGTGCTTTAAGTTCAATAAAATAATATCATTGTTCATATTAATGTTATTAAGGTAAACTTATTCATTTTGTGACCCTGCATTTCCTTCAATATTTGTTCTAAAACTGTTTTGTATGAGAGTATAAGCATAACCATAAAAACCTGGTTGGGTAATATAATAAAAATAATGTGGCAACAATAAGAGGGAACAAGATTTTGGCGTTCCTTTAAAAGTTTCTGTATATTTTACTTAAGTATAAAGAAAATTGTTATGAATGATAGGAGGAAGGATTTTTGTCCACCTATTAAAAAAAAACTGCTGTGAAGCATAGGAAGTTTCAAGCATAAAATCAAGCAGTAGATAAATGTTCTTTGAACTTACGAATTTCAAATTATAAATTTCAACCATGCTATTAAAGATATTCAACACAGTGGATATTCCTTTTGCTTTCAAATTTATCTAAATATATGAGACAGGCAAAAGCTCAATGCAAAAGGCATGACTTTATAAAATGGATCCATTTTGCCAACAGCTCAAAGAATTATGGTAATATTGTGGGAACTGAGTGAAAATTCAGAGTAGGTTTTGAAATGTGATACAAGTAGAATTTTAAAAAGAAAAAAGAAAAAAATTTCTGTATTTAGCTAAAATCATAACTGTTTCCTTTGCAAACTGACATAAAAATGAAGAAGCAAAATGTGTCTTTAGTTATATCCAAGTTCCAAATTCAAGTTAATTACTGCTGCTCCTCACTCTTCTACCTTTTCCTTCAAATTTAAAGATGGGCTTTGCAGAGATTAAAGCTTCAGAAAAAAATATGGGAAAATATGTTAAAATGTTGACCTGAAAATGAAGTGGATGACTATAAAACTCTTGAGAGAATTAGACTTTTTGTAGCAGTTTATTACATGATAATACCTTAAAGGAGATCATATTCAGTGACCTGCGTTGACAGGTAATATTTAAAATTAAGTATTAATGCTGATTAATTCAGGCAGATGGGTGGTAGCCTAAAGTATAGACATTTTTCCAATATTAATTTTGATATTAAATAAATGACATCGGCTCTTGTTGGATATTGTAAAATTTCCTTTACTTCAACTGTAAAATAATTTCAACAGTGAAAGGTATAAAGTAAGATGAAAATTTCCATCATGATCTTACCTAGAGATAACTTCTCTTTTTTTGAGTCGAAGTATCGCTCTCGTTGCCTAGGCTGGAGTGCAGTGGCGTGATCTCGGCTCACTGCAACCTCCACCTCTCGGGTTCAAGCAATTCTCCTGCCTCAGCCTCCAGAGCAGCTGGAACTACAAGGCGCATGCCACCATGCCAGGCTAATTTTTGTAGTTTTGATGGAGACAGGGTTTCACCATGTTGACCAGGCTGGTCTCAAACTCCAGGCCTCAAGTGATCCACCCGCCTCAACCTCCAAAAGTGCTGGGATTACAGGCATGATCCCCCATGCCCAGCTGAATTGGAGGAAATTTTAAAAGTTAATTTTAAAACTGCTTCTCTTTTATGGGAAAGGAATATGTTTTTAAATGGTATTCAGTGTGCTCTTTTTTAAAAAAATCAAAAATTATCCATTAACATCCGTTACTTTTTTTGTTTTTGGTTTTTTTTGAGATTGAGTCTTGCTCTGTTGCCCAGGCTAGAGTGCAGTGGCATGATTTCAGCTCACTGCAACCTCCACCTCCCAGGTTCAAGCGATTCTCCTGCCTCAGCCTCCCAAGTAGCTGGGATTACAGGCGCCTGCCACCACACCCAGCTAATTTTTGTACTTTTAGTAGAGACAGGGTTTCACCATCTTGGCCAGGCTGGTCTCGAACTCCTGACCTCGTGATCCACCTGTCTCGGCCTCCCAAAGTGCTGGGATTCCAGGCGTGAGCCATCACGCCTGGCCTAATAGCCATTACTTTTTAATGCATGGTAATTTTTTGTTCAGTAGATAAATATATTGTTATCTTAAAAAGATTTTTTGTATTTACTTTTGAGACTGGGTCTCAGTCTGTTGCCCAGGCTGGAGTGTAGCAGCCTGATCATGGCTCAGTGCAGCCTCTACCTCCCCGGGCTCAGGTGATCCTCCCCCTTCAGCCTCCTGAGTAGCTGGGACTACAGAGGTGTGGCACCATGCCCGGCTAATTTTTGTATTTTTTGTGGAGATGGGGTTTTGCCATGTTGCCCAGGCTAGTCTTGAACTCCTGGATGTGAGCCACTGCGTCTGGCCTATTATTTTAAATATAGTTCTCTTTACTGCCAGTAGCTTTCATATAACCCTAGCGACTAGATTTAGTCACCACTGCTTAATTCCAAAAAACAAAAGCTCCATCCTATATTTACTGTAAATCAGTCTCTTTGATTGTATTGCATGTTTTATTTCAAGAAAAAAGTTAACCTGAAGATTTAATTTTAAATAACTACACATGTTGTCACTAATAGAAATAACAAATAATTATATGAGAATAATGGTAATTCTCCTAAGTTTTGTGGTAAATTTTTTGGCAATTTTATTGAAGTATAATAAAATTCAACAATTCAATACGTCTTTATAAATGTTCATTGTGATATAGGACAGCTCTATCACAGTACTGGGGTAAATTTTAATTATATTTATTAATTACAGATGTGAATTTCTTCGGAGTAAGAAATCCTCAGAGGAAATTACCCAGTATATTCAAAGCTACAAGGGATTTGTTGACATAACGGTAATGTATAACAGCAATTTTTTTCTCAAGTTTTTGGATTACCTGTAAGTGTCTGACTCAGAAGGGCATAGGCATTCTTTTTATGTCATGGGTTTGATTTCTTTCTTCCTTTCTCCTTTCATTCCCCTGGCTCCCATCTTCAAAGTGAAAAATATCACATTCACTTGCTGACCTAGAGCCTTTTTCTTTTTCCAGGGCTGGCTTCTGACGGGCTCTGCTTGCCTTCCTGATAGTCTTCCCCTTTATGAATGAAGCCACTTGCCCCAGCTTCCCTCTGCTGCCCCTATCTGCAGGCTTGCTAAGATCTCCTGACCTAGGCGCTGTCACCCACAGTGGGCTGCAGAGCTGGCTCTTCCTAGCTGGCTAACTATCCTGAATCAGTAAAAATTTCCTAGTGGAGAGTGATGGGAAATCGAATCCAAACTGGCTTAAACAAAAATGAGAATTTATTGATTAACATGACTCAGGAGACCAGAACTCTATAGAGAACATGGCCTGACAGTGGGGGAAGAGAGGTGTTTCCTCAAAAAGAAACTGGGTGCAGCTTTCCCAGAAGAATCAGTTGCTCAATATATAATACCCTGATGAATTTAGTTACCATTCTATGTCTCTTACTTCCTCATTCGTCAAAGTACATCTGTGATATTTAAATGCAGGTCTGTTTTCAAGGTCAGTTTCCGGAAACAGTGACCCTGAGAAGGCTTCCTCCTGAGTATGCATAAACATTCACAGCTTGCATGCGTGTGTGTGTGTGTGTGTGTGTGTGTGTGTGTGTGTGTGTATGTTTGCTTGCACTGCATAAAAACAATTGCAACATCAACAGAAATAAAAATTAAAGGAATAATTCTCCTCCGACTCTGCCGTTCCATCCAGTGAAACTCTTCATTCTGGGGTAAAGTTCCTTCAGTTCTTGTTCATAGATAGGTATATACTTCATAAGTCAAACAATCAGGCTGGGCGCAGTAGCTCATGCCTGTAATCCCAGCCCTTTGGGAGGCCGAGCTGGGCAGATCACTTGAGATCAGGTGTTCGAGACCAGCCTCAAGACCTCCAACATGGGCCGGGTGCAGTGGCTCACGTCTGTAATCCCAGCACTTTGGGAGGCCGAGACGGACGGATGATGAGGTCAGGAGATAGAGACCATCCTGGCTAACATGGTGAAACCCCATCTCTACTAAAAATACAAAAAAAAAAAAAATTAGCCCGGCATGGTGGCAGGCGCCTGTGGTCCCAGCTACTCGGGAGGCTGAGGCAGGAGAATGGCGCGTGAACCTGGGAGGCGGAGCTTGTAGTGAGCCAAGGTCGTGCCACTGTGCTCCAGCCTGGACGACAGAGCGAGACTCTGTCTCAAAAAAAAAAAAAAAAAAAAAAAAAGACCTCCAACATCGTGTCTGTCTCTACTAAAAATACAAAAAAAAAAAAAAAATTAGCCGGGTGTGGTGGCACATGCCTGTACTGCTCGGGAGGCTGAGGCAGGAGAATCACTTGAACCCAGGAGGCGGAGGTTGCAGTGAGACGAGAACCTGCCACTGCACTTCAGCCTGGGCAACAGAGTGAGACTCTGCCTCAAAAAAAAAAAAAAAAAAAAAAAAAGTCAGATAATCAACAACTTGAATTTTAATTTCCCTCAGGGAGAACATTTTGTGAATTCCTGGGTCCAGAGAGAATTACCTATGGCATCAGGTAAAAACTCAAACATTTTCCAAAGGCTTTGCTTGTTTATTTCTTCTTTTGATTTTTTGTCCCTATCTCTTTTTGTCTTCCCCCCCGCCCCGCCCCGTTTATTTTGAAGCAAACTCTAGACATCATTCCATCTGTAACTGTGAAGGGACAACTTGAACGCTGATACTTGCAATATCAAAGCCTACTGGTCTCTTTAATTTGTGCAGCAGCAATAAAGATATAGAAAAAAAAAAGACTAAAGCCTGCTGGTCTCACCTTGTGCTTTTTATTCAAGCTTATTGCAATGACAGCATCTTTGCTTACGAAGAACTACGGCTGGACTCTTTTAAGGACTGGCCCCGGGAATCAGCTGTGGGAGTTGCAGCACTGGCCAAAGCAGGTCTTTTCTACACAGGTGAGTCAGTAGGTTGTGCCCACTTGCTTGCTTGACCTTTAATTCCCACATAGACTTTATGCTCCTGGGCTTACGTTTAGCTACACTCAGCAATGTCCACTAGCTTCAGCGTTTCTTTTTCTTTTCTTTTTTTTTCCCCCTTGGAGACAGAGTTGCCCAGGCTGGAATGCAGATCTTGGCTCACTGCAACCTCCACCTCCCGGGTTCAAGAGATTCTCCTTCCTCAGCCTCTGGAGTAGCTGGAACCACAGGCGCCTGCCACCACGCCCAGCTACTTTTTTGTATTTTTAGTAGAGACAGGGTTTCACCATGCTAGTCAGAATGCTCTTGATCTCCTGATCTCGTGATCTGCCCGCCTTGGCCTCCCAAATGCTGGGATTACAGGTGTGAGCCATCGCGCCAGGCCTCTCTTCAGCATTTCTTATAGATTCGTTTTCTTTTCTTTCTATTTTTTTTGAGACATGGTCATCCAGGCTGGAGGGCAGTGGCGAGATCATGGCTCACTGCAGCCTCAACCTCCTGGGCTCAAGTAATCCTCCTGCCTTGGCCTCCCAAAATGCTGGGATTACAGGTGTGAGCCACTGCACCTGGCATACATCTCTTTTCTTTCCTGCATCATAAATCCTCTCCCAGTTTTCTATTCCTCCCTTAGGTGGTAAACCTTCAAATTTGAAACCTTAAGGTCTGGACTAACAATGAATACAAATATTCTATTTGTGATAATTATCATGTCTTTTCTTTCTACACATTACTCTCCTCACCTCTTGTCCCCTGACAAAGTGCTCCTAGAAACTGTCACAGGACACTTCTGCTTATATTTCTTTAATCAGAACTTAGTTGGATGGGCCGGGCATGGTGGCTCACGCCTGTAATCCCAGCACTTTGGGAGGCCGAGGTGGGTGGATCACCTGAGGTCAGGAGTTTGAGACCAGCCTGGCCAATATGGTGAAACTCTGTCTCTACTAAAAATACAAAGAATTAGCCAGGCATGGTGGCGGGTGCCTGTAATCCCAGCTACTTGGGAGGCTGAGGCAGGAGAATCGCTTGAACCTGGGACGTGGAGGTTGCGGGGAGTCAAGATCATGCTATTGCACTCCAGCCTGGGCAACAAGAGTGAAACTCTGTCTCAAAAATAATAATAATAATAATAATAATTATTATTATTATTATTATTATTATTAGTCAGATGACCATACCTAGCTGTAAGAGGAGCTGGGAAACCTAATCTTTTTCCTGGGTGACAATGTGCCCAGCTAAATATTGGGATTTCTATTAGTATGGAAGGATTTGAGATAATAGGAACATGGATAGCAATCTTTGCCACATTCTGCCTGCAGGAGAAAATCAGGAAATTAATTTTCATGATTCCTAAACACGTAGAGCCTTCCACCAGATTGTGGCATTTTCTCTTTAGCTGCTGGTCATTAGGAAGCACCTCTGCAATCTATAAATGATGGGCTGGTTCCTGTCAGCTAAATCTCTGCCTGAAATACAAGATGATCAGGGAAAGGTTCCTAGGTACCTTGCTGGTCTTGCTCAAACCGAACACATGCATAAGTTACAGTGGAGGTTAATGCAGATCTTTAACTGAGAGATCAAGTAGTTGTCACAAATACCATAGAGCAACACAGAGAAGCAGAATATAGTTGTCACTCTACCTAACAGACATGTGCCATTGGAAAAAAAAAATCTGACTGCCTCACAATCTTAAGCCTTTGGAAAGAGTGTTTGCCATTTCTCCCTACTCTACTGTGTCTTCCTCTTGTCAGCCTTCCGCAAGACCCCTCTGACCAGTGTGCTCCCCCTCTTCCTTTCCAATCCTCCACCACTCCACACAAATCCTAATCATCTCTGACTGTTTTCAGATCTTGCAAGCTCTAGGATCTCATATTTCTGGGAGGCTTTCCTCTGCCCCAGCTTTCCCAGAGTGGAAGGAAGATGAGAAATGCTCTGTTTCTAGTTTGATCCTTTTGCAGAGCTAAATACCAATTTCTTTCCAAAGAAATATAATTTCACAAAGAGACTTAATCCTATTTCTGGTGTAATAAACATGGCAATAATGTGGTAAGAGGCAATTAATTCTTCATGCATTCACTTACATAAGGGCTGCTAGATTTGCTGGTATTTTTTTTTCCGTGAGCTCTAAATATATTCTTTCTGATTCATTCATTAAACGAATACTAATTGAGTGCCACATGAGTGTCAAGCACTTTTCTAGGTTCATGTCATTCATTAGTGAGCAAAAACCTCTACCCTCATAGAGCTTATTTTTATTTTTATTTTTTGAGACAGAGTTTCACTCTTGTTGCCCAGGCTGGAGTGCAATGGCGTTATCTTGGTTCACTGCAACCTCCGTCTCCTGGGTTCAAGCGATTCTTGTGCCTCAGCCTCCTGAGTAGCTGGCATTACAGGCATGTGCCACCATGCCCAGCTAATTTTTGTATTTTTAGTAGAGACAGGGTTTCACCGTGTTGGCCAGGCTGGTCTCAGACTCCTGACCTCAGGAGATCCGCTGGCCTTGGCCTCCCAAAGTGCTGGGATTACAGGCATGAGCCACTGCGCCCAGCCCCCTCATGGAGCTTCAATTCCAGATTCTGGTTGCCAATCTGTTTGTTGATCAAAGGAGAATGGGGCAGAGGGATGGTGTGCATCAAAGTGCATGGTGTGTAGGAGCATTCAATGACTACTTGCCAGTTACCCCATTGGTGGACAGAGTCTTATATAGAAAATTGCCTCACTGGTAACCAACTTCTGACTGTCACAAAACCCAACTGGAGACTGAATAGGCTTTCACTATTACAGGTCTGGTGGTTATTATCTGCATGTTAATGGACAGATGCCCATGCCAGTGGCACTGATCAAGTTTCCTTACTTTTAGGTATAAAGGACATCGTCCAGTGCTTTTCCTGTGGAGGGTGTTTAGAGAAATGGCAGGAAGGTGATGACCCATTAGACGATCACACCAGATGTTTTCCCAAGTGAGTGGAATGAATGTTAACCATCTGCAACTTTGGATGCACTTCAACAGTTTTTTTCTTTTTCCTCATTTCCTGCCTTATTTTATCTTTAGATTGAGTCTTTATCCACTCCTCGGATTCAGGCTATGAAGGATGAGTCTTCATGTCTTTCATCCCTTTGCTCCATGACCCCCTTCCTGTACTAGCCTTCCCCTCTTTATAGTTATGGCATAGTTTTGGCTAGATTCATATATTCACATTACATGTTTACATTATCATGACTATACAAATGCTATGTGGAGCTGAAGCTTGTGGTAAATTTTTATTTATTTTTCCCTTCCTGTATATCCTTTTATTTTTTTAGGAAGTAATAACTGTCCTGTTGGTATGTTAGCTTATTTTTTTTTCCTGAGGTAAAATTCAGGTAGTAACCATTTTATTTATTTATTTATTATTTTTTGTGACAGGTTCTCTCTCTTGCCCAGGTTGGAGTGCAGTGGTGCAATCATGGCTCACTGCAGCCTTGACCTCTCTGGCTCAAGCAATCTTCCTCGCTCAGCCTCCCAAGTAGCTGGGACTACAGGCACATGTCTTCACACCCAGCTAATTTTTTTTTTTTTTTTTTTAAGAGACAGGGTCTCTCTATGTTGCCCAGGCTGCTCTCAGACTTCTAGGCTCAAGCAGTCTTCCCATCCTGGCTTCCCAAAGTGCTGGGATTATAGGCGTGAGCCACCATGCACAGCAATTAAACCATTTTAGAGTACACAATTCTGTGGCATTTATTATAGTACATTCACAATGTTGTGCAACCACCCCCTCTATCTAGTTCCAAAACACTTTCATCGCCCCCAAAGAAAACTCTGTATCCATCAAGCAGGCCCCCCTCCTCTCTCCACCCCACTCCATGCCCAGCCCCTGGGATACACCAACCTAATTGGTGTCTATGGATTTATTTGTTCTGACTATTTCCTCTAAATGGAAGCATACCGTTTGACCTTTTGCATTTGGATTCTTTCACTTGGCATATTGTTTTGAAGTTTATCCATGTTGTAGCTTGCATAAGTACTTCCTTCCTTTTGAGACCAAGTAATATTCCATATGGATACACTGCATTTTATTTATCCATTCATCTATTTGTAGATATTTGGGTTGTTTCTACCTTTTGGCTACCATGAGTAATACCGATAGGAACATTTGGGTACAGGTATCTGATGGAGCATGTAACTGTATTCAAGTCTCTGGGGCATATACCTAACAACGATATTGCTAGCTGTATAGTAATTCTATGTTTTTACTTTTTTTTTTTTTTTCTCACACAGAGTCTCACTCTGTCGCTCAGGCTGGAGTGCAGCGGTGCGATCTCAGCTCACTGCAACCTCCGCCTCCCAGGTTCAAGCAATTTTCCTGCCTCAGTCTCCTGAGTAGCTGGGATTACAGGTGTCTGCCACCATGCCCGGCTAATTTTTTGTATTTTTAGGGTTTCACCATGTTGGCTAGGCTGGTCTCAAACTCCTGACCTCAAGTGATCCACCTGGCTTGGCCTCCCAAAGTGCTGGAATTACAAGCGTGAGCCACAGCGCCTGGCCTGTTTTAACTTTTTGAGGAAATGCTAAACTGTTTTTTCCACAGTGCTTGCACCATTTTAAATTCCCACCAACAACAATGTTGTGCAACCACCCCCTCTATCTAGTTCCAAAACACTTTCATCGCCCCCAAAGAAAACTCTGTATCCACTAAGCAGGCCCTCCTTCTCTCTCCACCCCACTCCATGCCCAGCCCCTGGGATACACCAACCTAATTGGTGTCTATGGATTTATTTGTTCTGACTATTTCCTCTAAATGGAAGCATACAGTTTGACCAACAATGTATGAGGTTTCCCATTTCTCATCAACACTTTTCTATTTTTAAAAAAATTATAGCCATCTGCTTAATTTTTTTTTTTTTTTTTTTTTTTTTTTTTGAGATGGAGTCTCACTTTGTCGCCCAGGCTGGAGTGCAATGGCGTGATCTCACTCACTGCAACCTCCGCCTCCTGGGTTCATGCCATTCTCCTGCCTCAGCCTCCCGAGTAGCTGGGACTACAGGCACCTGCCATCACGCCCGGCTAATTTATTTTTTATTTATTTTTTTAGTAGAGACGGGGTTTCACCGTGTTAGCCAGGATGGTCTCCATCTCCTGACCTTGTGATCCACCCGCCTCAGCCTCCCAAAGTGCTCTGATTACAGGCGTGAGCCACCGCGCCCGGCCAGCCATCTGCTTAATTTTTATGTACATTGCTTATTTTTGTTTCTTGAGATAAAATTCATGTATTAATAATTTTATTTATTTAAATGAAATAAATGAAGACGAACACCAGCTCATCTTCAACTTATCCCAAATGTTTAAATCTCCTCTTAAGTCATTCAGACCTACCAGATATCTCATCATTTTCATTTCTTGAAAGAGTCATCATTTTTTTTTTCTTTTTCTTTTTTTTTTGAGACGGAGTCTGGCTCTGTCACCCAGGCTGGAGTGCAGTGGCATGATCTCGGCTCACTGCAGACTCTGCCTCCCAGGTTCAAGCAATTCTTCCTGCCTCAGCATCCCAAGTAGCTGGGACTACAGGCATGCACCACTATGCCTGGCTAATTTTTGTATTTTTAATAGAGATGGAGTTTTGCCACGTTGGCCAGGCTAGTTTCAAACTCCTGACCTCAAGTGATCCGCCTGCCTCAGCCTCCCAAAGTGCTGGTATTACAGGCGTGAGCCACTGCGGCTGGTCCATTTTCATCTTGAAATGAGTTTCCCTGGAAGTCTTCTGGCCTGCTGGATTATGAACAACTTGTCCTATAATCATCCTGGGATCCAGGGATCTTTCTTCACAGGCATCCTGGAGATTATCTCCTCTGTTGTATCTCCTGGATCTAATGTCATCCTCTTCTTGGTTCACTCGCTCATTTTGTTGGAACACTTCATCGGAGTTCCCTGGGAAAGACTGCATAAGAAATACACACTTTTAGTTGCATATAATGCATATACAGACATATAGATCTATCTAGATATATGTTTTTCCTGTATTCTCACACTTATTTGATAGTTTAGCTAGGTGTAGAATTATAGGTTGGAAGTCATTTTAATTCTAAATTGTAGAGGCACTGCTACATTTCTACTGGTTCCTAATGTGCTGTCGAGAAGTTCCATGCCTTTCTGCTTGTCAATCCTTTTACTGCAAACAAAATTTTTTTTTTTCCTGTGCTGGAAGCTTTCAGAAAAATATCTGTTCTAAAATTTTATGAAGAAATATTTCTTTTCTATGAATCTTTAAACTTAATTTTTTTTTACCCATCAAACTCTTTAGAAATGTTTAATTGCAAGAAGAAATTTGTGTTTTCACTATGTAATTAGTAAGAGTTTTTTTTTTAGAAATGAATA
Organism: Homo sapiens; assembly: GCF_000001405.40. Lineage (NCBI taxonomy): Eukaryota > Metazoa > Chordata > Mammalia > Primates > Hominidae > Homo > Homo sapiens. The sequence goes on along the minus strand of NC_000005.10, from coordinate 71,120,224 downwards.
TGAACACATACAGATTTTAAAATGAATGCTTCCTGCTCATTTGTATAGTGGTAAAAACAAAAATAAAACAAAATGAATACTTCTATCTAATTTTATTGCCTTGAAGGTATTTTGATAGCAGTAGTTACCTCATTTTTCTTTCTTATTTGGGCTTAGTGTATAATAAATTATTGAGAACAATGGGGACATTCTACTTAATTCTTGGAAGGATAAGCTAGGATGCAGTCTAGTCTTATTTAGAACTTACTCTGGAATCGATCAACTCCCTTTTATACTATTATTATTATTATTAGTTTTAGTGTTTTGTTGTTGTTGTTTTTGAGATGGAGTCTCACTCTGTCACCCAGGCTGGAGTGCAGTGGCGTGATCTCGGCTCACTGCAACCTCCGCCTCCCGGGTTCAAGCGATTCTCCTGCCTCAGCCTCCCAAGTAGCTGGGATTACAGGTACCTCCCCACCATGCCTGGCTAATTTTTTGTACTTTTAGTAGAGACGGGGTTTCACCATGTTGGCCAGGCTGGTCTTGAACTCCTGACCTCAAGTGATCCTCCTGCCTCAGCCTCCCAAAGTGCTGGGAATACAGGTGTGAGCCGCCACACCTGGCCTTTAGTGTTTTTTTGTTAAGAGACTGGGTCTCGGCTCTGTCACCCAGGCTGGAGCAAGTGCAGTGGTACAATCCTAGCTGACTGTAGCCTCAAATTCCTGGGCTCAAGTGATCCTCCCACCTCAGCCTCCCAAGTAGCTAGGACTACAAGCATGTGTCACCATGCCCGACTAATTTTTTAAAGTTTTTTTTTGTAGAGATGGGGTCTTGCTTTGTTGCCCAGGCTGGTCTCAAACTCCTGGCTCCAAATGATCCTTCTGCTTCAGCCTCCCAAAGTACTTGGATTACAGGCATGAGCCACTGCTCCCAGCCAACTCCTTTTTGGATTTTTACTCTTCCTTTGCCTCTTAAAAAAACTGCAAACCAGTATGTCTCCAAATGATTACCTAAAATTTTTATGTATGCTTTAAAGAATGAATAAAAAGCAACCTATGAACCTCCTAGTAAAGTCAAGAAATTGGACATTATCAATGCCTTAAAAGACCCCTGCGGCCGGGTGCAGTGACTCACGCCTGTAATCTCAGCACTTTGGGAGGCCGATGTGGGCAGATTGTCTGAGCTCAAGAGTTCGAGACCAGCCTGGGCAACATGGTGAAACCCCATCTCTGTTAAAAAACAGAAAAATTTAACCGGGCCTGGTGACACACGCCTGTAGTCCCAGCTATTAGGGAGGCTGAGGCAGGAGAATGGCTTGAACCTGGGAGGCGGAAGTTGCAGTGAGCCAAGATGGCGCCATTGCACTCCTGGGCGACAGAGCGTGACTCTGTCTCAAAAAAAAAAAATCAAAAAACAAAAAACAACTCTGCATGCCAACCACCCCCTAATTCTGATTATATCCCTGTCCCTCCAATCCAGAGGTAAATGTGATGCTCAGTTTGGGTTAATTATTCCCCTGCTTCTCTTTGTGGTTTTACCAACTACATATACATCCTTAAACATATTTAGCTTTGTCTATTCTTGAAGTTCAAATAAGAAGCATACTGCATGATTCTTCTTGTAATTGGCTGGTTTTACTCCACGATGTTTTTGAGATTCATCCATATTTATATGTACTACACAGTTGTAGTTCACTTGTTTTCATTGGTAAATAGTGTATTATTTTATGAATATATAATAACTTATTTTACTGTTGATTAACCTCGTGGGTCGTTTTCAGAGTGTTGCAAATTCAAATAATGCCCTATGAACATTCTTGTACATATTTTCCAGTGCTCATGTGTGTTTCTCTAGGATACATAACAAAGTAAAGAATTGCAGAGTCATAGAACTTTGCGGGTGTTCAACTCCACTAGATAATGCAAAGCTTTTTCCCAAGTGGTTGCACTGATTTACATTCCCATTGGCCTAGATGCGTTTCTATTGATTTGCTTCCTCACTAACTTGGTATTGCCCAAATTTTAATTTTTGTCAGTGTAATTACTAATAATGTTAAGCTTATTTTCTTCTTCTTTTTTTCTTTCTTTTTTTTTTTTTGAGACGGGAGTTTCACTCTTGTTGCCCAGGCTGGAGTGCAATGGCACGATCTCGGCTCACCACAACCTCCGCCTCCCAGGTTCAAGTGATTCTCCTGCCTCAGCCTCCCGAGTAGCTGGGATTACAGGCATGTGCCACCACGCCCAGCTAATTTTGTATTTTTAGTAGAGATGGGGTTTCTCCATGTTGGTCAGGCTGGTCTCGGACTCCCAACCTCAGGTGATCCACCCACCTCAGCCTCCCAAAGTGCTGGGATTACAGGTGTGAGCCACCGCGCCTGGCAGTTGAGCTTATTTTCATATTTTCCTGCAGAATAGTCTTGTTCTTTCTCTTCAAGAGTGTGTCTTAGCTATTTTTTTGCCCTTTGGTCTTTCATATTCCAGAGAATATATTAAATATCCCAAGCAGGCATGGTGGTTCACACCTATAATCCCAGCACTTTGGGAGGCTGAGGTGGGAGGAGTGCACAAGGCGAGGAGTTTGAGACTAGCCTTTGCAACATAGCTAGACTCCATTTCTACAAAAAATTTTTAAAACAAACAGGGTGTGGTAGCATGCATCTGTAGTCCCAGCTACCTGGGAGGCAGAGGCAGGAGAATCGCTTGAGCTCAGGAGTATAGGTTGCAATGAGCTATGATTGTGCCACTGTACTGTGGCCTGGGTGACAGAGTAAAACTTTGTCTCTAAAAAACAGAAATATCCCTCTTTATCCTTGATAGTATTTTTTAGGCCTTTATTAGTTTTTTCATGTTACATCTTTTAGATTATTTTCTTTTTAATCTATCTGTGACTATATTTAAAGTCAATTCTTGTTTTTTCCTTTTCCTTTTTGTGGGTAACGGGGTCTCACTATGTTGCCCAGGCAGATCTCAAACTCCTGGGCTCAAGCTGTCCTCCCACCTCTGCCACCCTAAGTGTTGAGATTACAGGCATGAGCCACTGCACCCAGCCTTAAAGTGAATTGTTATAGGCAACAACACAGTGGGGTCTTTTATTTTATTTTTTATTTGTTTATGAGACAGACTCGCTCTGTTGCCTACGCTGGAGTGCAGTGGTGCAGTCTTGACTCACTGCAGCCTGGACTTCCCAGGCTCAAGCAATCCTCCCACCTCAGACTCCTGAGTAGCTGGGACTACAGGCACATGCCACCAAGCCTGGCTAAGTTTGTTAGTTTTTTATAGAGACAAGGTCTCACTATGTTGCCCAGTCTGATCTCGAACACCTAGCCACAAGCAATTCTCCTGCCTTGTCTTCCCAGAGTGCTGGGATTACAGGTGTGGACCACTGAACCCAGCAGGTCTTGCTTTTTTTTTGAGATGGAGGTGTGAGCCACCACATCCAGCCAGGTTTTCTCTTTTTTTTTTTTTTTGAGACGGAGTCTTGCTCTGTCGCCCAGGCTGGAGTGCAGTGGCACGATCTTGGCTCACTGCAAGCTCCGCCTCCTGGGTTCACACCATTCTCCTGCCTCAGCCTCGCGAGTAGCTGGGACTACAGGCACCCCGCCACCACACCTGGCTAATTTTTTGTATTTTTAGTAGAGACGGGGTTTCACCGTGTTAGCCAGGATGGTCTCGATCTCCTGACCTCATGATCCACCTGCCTTGGCCTCCCAAAGTGCTGGGATTACAGGCGTAAGCCACCACGCCTGGCCAGGTCTTGCTTTTTAAGAGTCTGACAATAACTGCTTTCTAATTGGAATGTTTAGAACGTTTAAATTTAATGCAATTATGAATATGGTTGGATTTAAACCTATTTTACCATTTGCTTTCTATTTATTTCATCACTTCTTTGTTTCTTTTTCTTTTCCTGACTTCCTAGGGTTTAGGGTTTTTTTTTTTTTCTTTTTTCTACCCCCTCCTTGAGTATTTTTTTTTGTACTCCATTTTATTTCTGTCAGCTTATTAGCTATTAATCCTTATTTTACCTTTTTACTACTTGCTCTAGAGTTTACCATATGCCTATTTAACATATCATAGTAATCTTCAAAAATATTATAACAGCTGGGTGCAGTGGCTCATGCCTGTAATCCCGGTAATTTGGGAGGCTGAGGCAGGCAGATCACTTGAGGTCAAGAGTTCCAGAGCAACCTGGGCAACATGGTGAAACCCCGTCTCTACTAAAAATACAAAAAAATTAGCTGGGTGTGGTGGCGCACACCTGTAATCCCAGCTGCTTGGGAGGCTGAGGCACGAGAATTGCTTGAACCCAGGAAGCAGACGCTGCAGAAAGCTGAGATCGTGCCACTGCACTCCAGCCTGGGTGACACAGTGAGACTCTGGGTCAAAAAAATATATAACACTTGACATAAAATGTATGAACCATACAATAGTATATTTCCATTTCTCCCCTCTCATCCTTTGTGCTATTGTCATACATTTTATTTCCATGTACTTTAATAAATCTTACAATATAATGTTATATCTTTGCTTTAAACAATTTAAGTACATTTTTACAACGGCAAAAGTCTTTCATATTTGCCCTCTTAGTTATCTTATCATTCCTGGTACTTTTCATTCCTTTGAGTAGAACCAAATTTCCATCTGCTATCATTTTCCTTTTAAATGATGTGCTTCCTTTCACTTTTTTTTTTTTTTTTTTTTTTTTTGAGATGGAGTCTTGCTCTGTCTCCTAGGCTGGAGTTCAGCGCCACGATCTCGGCTGACTGCAACCTCTGCCTCCCGGGTTCAAGTGATTCTCCTGCCTCAACCTCCTGAGTAGCTAGGATTACAGGTGCCCACCACCATGCCAGGCTAATTTTTGTATTTTTAGTAGAGATAGAGTTTCACCATGTTGGCCAGGCTGGTCTTGAACTCCTGACCTCATGATCTGCCTGCCTCAGCCTCCCAAAGTGCTGGGATTACAGGGGTGAACCACTGTGCCTGGTCCCTTTCACATTTTTTGTAGTGCAGTTATGCTGGCAACTGACTTTATTTGGCATTTGTTTGTATGAATAAGTTTATATTTTACCTTCCTTCATAGTTCTTTTCCTTGATGGGCCTATTAAAATATTTTTTTTCTTTTGTAAGCCACTTCACCCCTTCCCTATGGGTTTGTTTTTATTTACCTCTACATGGCTGACTTTGGACAGAAACGTTAAAAGTTCTACTTGTTGTTTTCCTGAAGCTATGCTTCTATTTCTGGACTCATCGCCAAGTCACCTGAAGGCAATACAAATGAAGTATCTGGGCCACATGCAGTGGCTCACGCCTGTAATCCCAGCACTTTGGGAAACTGAGGTGGGAGGATACCTTGAGCCCAGAAAAAAAAAAAATTAGCCTGGCATGGTGGCACGTGCCTGTAGTCCCAGTTACTTGGGAGGCTGAGGTGGGAGGATCACTTGAGCCTGGGAGTTGGAGGCTACATTGATCCTTGGTCGTGTCACTACCCTCAAGCCTGGACAAAAGAGTGAGACCTTGTCTCAAAAAAAAAAAAAAAAAAAAAAGTGTCCCTTTGCTTTACTCCTGCTCTCCAGTGATTCTACAGCATGGAATAGGCCACTGACTTACTCACATGTATAGTTCTCATCTGTCCATTTTAATAATTGCAACTAGAGCTCTTTTTGAACTTTCTCTCTTGTTCTTCAAGCATACATCAAACCTGAGTTTAGAGGGTATTTGCGTCCTAGTTTCACGAGATTGGCAAGTAGTTTTTAGAGAGTATGTTTGTGGCCATTCTTTTCTTTTGATACTGACGGAGGGTTTCTTTTTTAATTTTTTGTTTGTTTAAGACAGGGTCTTACTCTGTCACCCAGGCTGGAGTGCAGTGATGCAATCACGGCTCACTGTAGCCCCAACCTCCTGGCCTCAAGTGATCTTCTTGCCTCAGCACCCCCAAGTAGCTGGGACTATACATGCATGCCACCCTGCTAGCTAATTTTTAGAGGAGGTCTCTCTATGTTGCACAGGTTGGTCTGGTCTTGAACTTCTGACCTCAAGTGAAACTCCTACTTTGGCTTCCCAAAGTGCTGGGATTACAGGCATGAGCCATTGCACCTGGCAATGGAGTGGTTTGTGGTTGGTTAGTTTTTTGTTTGTTTGTTTGTTTGTTTTTGAGACAGAGTTTCACTCCTGTTGCCCAGGCTAGAGTGCAATGGTGCGATCTCGGCTTACTTCAACTTCTGCCTCTTGGGTTCAAGCAATTCTCCTGCCTCAGCCTCCCAAGTCGCTGGGATTACAGGCGTCCGCCACAACGCCCGGCTAATTTTTGTATTTTTAGTAGAGGTGAGGTTTCACCATGTTGGTCAGGTTGGTCTCAAACTCCTGACCTCAAGTGATCCACCCGCCTCAGCCTCCCGAACTGCTGGGATTACAGGCGTGAGCCACCATGCCTGGCCTTGTTTGTTTTTTGTTTTGTTTTGAGACAGAGTCTCACTCCATTGCCCAGACTAGAGTGCAGTGGCACAATCTCAGCTCACTGCAACCTCCGCCTCCCAGGTTCAAGCGATTCTTGTGCCCCAGCCTCCTAAGTAGCTAGGACTACAGGTGTGCGCCACCACTGCCTGGTTAATTTTGGAATTTTCTTTTTAATAGAGACAGGGTTTTGCCATGTTGGCCAGGCTGGTCTCAAACTTCTGGCCTCAAGTGATCTGCCCGCCTCGGCCTCCCAAAGTGCTGGGATTTTGGGTGTGAACCACCGCACTCACAGAGTTTTTTTCTTTTTTTAATAAATTTTTATTTGAAATTATTTAGATTTGCAGAAAGTGCAAAGTAATACAAAGAGTTCCTATATATTGCCATACCCAATTTACCCTAATGCTAACATCTTACACTAGCATATTTGTCAAAATCATCAGTGTACCAATTCATATACTGTACATTACTATTTACTAAAATCCAGAGTTTATTTGGATTTCACCAGTTTTTCCACTATGTTGTTTTTTGTTCCAGAATTCATAAATAGAGGGTTTTTTTTTTCCTATTTTTGATTCTTTAAGTTCATTTTTGTTGGTTGCATGGAGGAGTGTCATATACGCACTCATTCCACCAAATTCCCTTGATATCCTTTACCGTTACTTTATAAACCATTTACATTTCTCTTGCAGAGAGCCACAACCTAAGTGCCTTACCTGATGACACTGACAGAGAGAATCACTGGAAATGATAGTTTTATACTTAATTCTTGTCACTAAAACTCTAATAGTGTTTTTAAAAACCTAATACAAGGCCAGGCCTGGCGGCTCACACCTATCATCCCAGCACTTTGGGATGCCTAGGGAGGAGAATTGCTCAAGGCCAGAAGTTTGAAACCAGAACAGCCTGGGCAACATAGTGAGACCCTGTCTCTGAAAAAACAAAACAAACAACAACAGCAACAACAACAACAAAAATACCTAACACAAATACTTAAATGCATACAACTATTTTTATAACTTTTAACTTTTACACTTAGTTGTCCATTTCTCCAAAATATGAAGTCCTCTGCGGAAGTGACTCCAGACCTTCAGAGCCGTGGTGAACTTTGTGAATTACTGGTAATGAACACCGTCATCTTGTCTGTTTTACCAGCACATGATCATATAATTGAAAACTGTTTTGAACAGGAATGTCTCATCATAAATAAGTTAATAAATTCTACAAACATCTACTAAACATCTGTTATGTTCTAGGTACAGATTGGGGAAATCACAATAAACCAGTCGGGCACAATACCTAGCTTCATGAAATGTATAGTCAATCTCTTCTACTTCAAGGCCCAGACTCTCTTAGACTTTGTTGATTAGCATCCAGGCTAAATGGATCCTCTCTGGATCTTCATGTGGAGGGCAATAAGGCTGGATTTGCTACTTGGCCTTTTTAGGGGTTGAGAAGATGTTACTTTAACAAAAGCAAGTGCCCAACAAAATCATAAACCCAGGTAATAGGCTGACCACTTTAAGCTGAGAAATCCTACCTAGTTCTCTGGGATATAAGCCACTACTAATTTAATGCACACATATACCACCTTATTTTGAGGCTGTGTGTTAGGTATGTTATGTTTGTCATCCCCCCACCCCCAACACACACAAAAACCAACTTGCTATTCACGTGATTCATTTTCTATATGAATTGAAAAATGGCACTAAAGAAAAAAGTTTGGGGATATAGAAATAGCTTATTTTTTAAGGAAGAAACATAACCTTTCTAAGTACTGGATGTGTAATATTAAAAATGTAGTTAACCAAGGACAGAGGCTGCACCTAATGACTTTTGGAGGAACCTTCTTGCTCAAGACACTATGATTCTCGTTACCTGGATAGTATCACCCATGGATTGTATCATATATGAACCACTGAGGAACACACATTCCTGCAGATGTTTGCAGATTATTAATTGCTTTATATTTGGAGCACCCCTCCCTTCAATCAGCATAAATATTTGAGGGTGGGCTGTGTTTAGAAGATGTTTAGTCTCCAATGATTACAACATGATGCACCACTCTCCTATACAAATTTTGATTTAAGAAAAGATTTTATTTTTCAAAGGAAACCACAAGTGAAAGCAATCTTGAAGATTCAATAGCAGTTGGTCCTATAGTGCCAGGTAAGAACTTTGAAGTAGCACGTGGGATTATATGTATTTGTAAATATATTTGTATACAGGGCAGTTGCAAAAAAAAGAGTATTTATAATTGTCCAAAGAGCTTCCAAAGAGGAGCAGCATTGCAACAGTGTCGTGTATGAGCAAAAGTCAAGATTCTTGTGGCTTCTCCAGAGTGCAGGCAGGACCAAACTGATAGTAGGCAACGTGTCTCAGGTACAAGCAAACCAGTCCTTAGAAGCACCAATCAGTAAACTTCTTTCCTGAGATTTTTATTTTTATTCATTTTATTTTATTTTATTTTATTTGAGACAGGGTCTTACTTTGTCACCCAGGCTGGAATGCAATGGCAAGATCATGGCTCACTGCAGCGTCGACCTCCCAGGCTCAAGTGATCCTCCCATCTCAGCCTCCCCAGTAGCTGGGACCACAAGCATGTGCCACCACACCTGGCTAATTTTTGTATTTTTTGTAGAGACAGGGTTTTGCCATGTTGGCCAGGCTGGTCTTGAACTCCTAGGCTCAAGCAATTCGCCTGCCTCGGTCTCCCACAGTGCTGGGATTACAGGCATGAGTCACTTTGCCTGGCCTCTTTCCTGAGATGCATGGTGCTTATGATAAGCACACATTATGTCTAGGTCCCTGCTTCAAGTGTGGCACTTTGGACACATGCTTCCCACATTCCGATTTTGTGCCAAAACCTATGAGATGATCGCAATGTGGGAATCATGGATGGCTGTGGAAAATCCTAACACATTCGTAGTAGACAGGCAGAATCATGGAATGAAAAGGCATGGCGTTCAGACTGAGGGAGATGTGACTATGAATCCCTGTTGTGCCCCCCTTTCTTTCTCTCCACAGAAATGGCACAGGGTGAAGCCCAGTGGTTTCAAGAGGCAAAGAATCTGAATGAGCAGCTGAGAGCAGCTTATACCAGCGCCAGTTTCCGCCACATGTCTTTGCTTGATATCTCTTCCGATCTGGCCACGGACCACTTGCTGGGCTGTGATCTGTCTATTGCTTCAAAACACATCAGCAAACCTGTGCAAGAACCTCTGGTGCTGCCTGAGGTCTTTGGCAACTTGAACTCTGTCATGTGTGTGGAGGGTGAAGCTGGAAGTGGAAAGACGGTCCTCCTGAAGAAAATAGCTTTTCTGTGGGCATCTGGATGCTGTCCCCTGTTAAACAGGTTCCAGCTGGTTTTCTACCTCTCCCTTAGTTCCACCAGACCAGACGAGGGGCTGGCCAGTATCATCTGTGACCAGCTCCTAGAGAAAGAAGGATCTGTTACTGAAATGTGCGTGAGGAACATTATCCAGCAGTTAAAGAATCAGGTCTTATTCCTTTTAGATGACTACAAAGAAATATGTTCAATCCCTCAAGTCATAGGAAAACTGATTCAAAAAAACCACTTATCCCGGACCTGCCTATTGATTGCTGTCCGTACAAACAGGGCCAGGGACATCCGCCGATACCTAGAGACCATTCTAGAGATCAAAGCATTTCCCTTTTATAATACTGTCTGTATATTACGGAAGCTCTTTTCACATAATATGACTCGTCTGCGAAAGTTTATGGTTTACTTTGGAAAGAACCAAAGTTTGCAGAAGATACAGAAAACTCCTCTCTTTGTGGCGGCGATCTGTGCTCATTGGTTTCAGTATCCTTTTGACCCATCCTTTGATGATGTGGCTGTTTTCAAGTCCTATATGGAACGCCTTTCCTTAAGGAACAAAGCGACAGCTGAAATTCTCAAAGCAACTGTGTCCTCCTGTGGTGAGCTGGCCTTGAAAGGGTTTTTTTCATGTTGCTTTGAGTTTAATGATGATGATCTCGCAGAAGCAGGGGTTGATGAAGATGAAGATCTAACCATGTGCTTGATGAGCAAATTTACAGCCCAGAGACTAAGACCATTCTACCGGTTTTTAAGTCCTGCCTTCCAAGAATTTCTTGCGGGGATGAGGCTGATTGAACTCCTGGATTCAGATAGGCAGGAACATCAAGATTTGGGACTGTATCATTTGAAACAAATCAACTCACCCATGATGACTGTAAGCGCCTACAACAATTTTTTGAACTATGTCTCCAGCCTCCCTTCAACAAAAGCAGGGCCCAAAATTGTGTCTCATTTGCTCCATTTAGTGGATAACAAAGAGTCATTGGAGAATATATCTGAAAATGATGACTACTTAAAGCACCAGCCAGAAATTTCACTGCAGATGCAGTTACTTAGGGGATTGTGGCAAATTTGTCCACAAGCTTACTTTTCAATGGTTTCAGAACATTTACTGGTTCTTGCCCTGAAAACTGCTTATCAAAGCAACACTGTTGCTGCGTGTTCTCCATTTGTTTTGCAATTCCTTCAAGGGAGAACACTGACTTTGGGTGCGCTTAACTTACAGTACTTTTTCGACCACCCAGAAAGCTTGTCATTGTTGAGGAGCATCCACTTCTCAATACGAGGAAATAAGACATCACCCAGAGCACATTTTTCAGTTCTGGAAACATGTTTTGACAAATCACAGGTGCCAACTATAGATCAGGACTATGCTTCTGCCTTTGAACCTATGAATGAATGGGAGCGAAATTTAGCTGAAAAAGAGGATAATGTAAAGAGCTATATGGATATGCAGCGCAGGGCATCACCAGACCTTAGTACTGGCTATTGGAAACTTTCTCCAAAGCAGTACAAGATTCCCTGTCTAGAAGTCGATGTGAATGATATTGATGTTGTAGGCCAGGATATGCTTGAGATTCTAATGACAGTTTTCTCAGCTTCACAGCGCATCGAACTCCATTTAAACCACAGCAGAGGCTTTATAGAAAGCATCCGCCCAGCTCTTGAGCTGTCTAAGGCCTCTGTCACCAAGTGCTCCATAAGCAAGTTGGAACTCAGCGCAGCCGAACAGGAACTGCTTCTCACCCTGCCTTCCCTGGAATCTCTTGAAGTCTCAGGGACAATCCAGTCACAAGGTATACCTGTATATATTTTGGATGACTATTCTGATGTATAATTTCTTTTTCTTACTTTAAGTGGTTGAAAACTTCTGAGGCCATGAAAGCATGCATGCTCATTGATAGAACAGATATAAAATAAACCTTCACTAATTTTTTTTTGACAGTAGCATGAATTAGTGAAAAGTCCTTGAATAATAGAATGGTTTTCAAATAACTCAGACAAAATGAATAAAATATTTATATTAAATTATTGAAGGTTCTTAATAAAGACATGAATTATCTGTTATTAGTAAAAGAATTAGCTATATGTAAGATGATGCTTAGAAATTACCTTCACCCTAGCTGCCTAAAGGAAGAAAGGCCTGTAGTCCCTGGGAAATAAATAAATTAATGGGAAATAATATCTTCATCTATTTGTGTCTTAACTCCTCTAAGCACTATTTGATAGTTTTCAGTGTAGACTTAACCCATCTTTCATTAAATTTATTCCTAGATACTCATATCTTTTGAAAGTATTGTAAATGTCATTAAAAATATTTTTTCATTTTCTAATTGTTGCTAGTATTGCTTTGGTCTTAAGCAGTTTGACTGTTATATGCCTAGGTGTGCTTTGCTTTGTATGTATCTTGCTTGAGGTGCACTGAACTTTTTTGGAATGTGTGGGTTGACATTTACCAAATTTAGAAAATTTTTCATCTTTTTTCAAGTACTGTTTTATTATGGTAAAATACATGTAACAAAGCTTACATTTTAATCATTTTAAGTGTACAACTCAGTGGCATTAAGCATTCACTATGTTGTACAACCATCACCGCTATCCATCTCCAGAACCTTTTCATCATCCCAATTAAACAATAAATTGGGCCGGGCGCGGGGGCTCACGCCTGTAATCCCAGCACTTTGGGAGGCCGAAGAGGGTGGATCGCCAGAGCTCAGGAGTTTGAGACCACCCTGGGCAACATGGTGAAACCACATCTCTACTAAAATACAAAAAATTAGCTGGGCGTGGTGGCATGCGCCTGTAGTCCCAGCTATTCGGGAGGCTGAGGCATGAGAATCACTTAAGCCTGGGAGGCAGAGGTTGCAGTGAGCCCAGATCATGCCACTGCACTCCAGCTTGGGCTACCGAGTGAGACTCCCTCTCAAAAAAAAAAAAAAAAAAAAAAAAAAAAAATCTTCCCTCCCACCAGCCCCTGATAACTTCTCTTCTATTTTCTGTCTCTATGAATTTGCCTCTTCTAGATATTGTTTATAAGCATTATCACTTGTCTGGCTTATTTCACTTTGCATACTGTTCAAGGTACATCATGTTGTAGCCTATATTGGAATTTCATTCCTTCACATGTACTCCATAAATATGTACAATTATTATGTATCAACTTTGAAAAGGAACTTCATCCTTTTTATAGCTAATATTCCATGGTATGTATATAGTACATTTTGTTTATCCATTCTGCTGCTGAGAGACACTTGGGTTGTTTCTACCTTCTGGCTATCATAAATAATGCTGCAATGAACACTGGCATTATAAGTATCGGTTTAAGTTCTTGCTTTTAATCATTTTGGGTATATACCTAGAAGCAGAATTGCTGATTCATATGGTAGTTCTATGTTTAACTTTTTGAGGAACTTGCACAGTAGCTGCACCATCTTACATTCCCACTATCCATGTACAAAGGTTCCAATTACTCCACATCCTCTTCAGCACTTGTTAATTTTTGTTTTTGTGGAGACAGAGTCTAATTCTGTCACCCAGGCTGGAGTGCAGTGGCGAGATCTTGGCTCACTGCAACCTCCACCTCTCGGGTTCAAGCAATTCTCCTGTCTCAGCCTCCTGAGTAGCTGGGACTACAGGTGTGCACCACCATACCTGGCTAACTTTTGTATTTTTAGTAGAGATGGGGTTTCGCCATGTTGCCCAAGCCGGTCTCGAACTCCTGAGCTCAGGCAGTCCAGCCACCTTGGCCTCCCGAAGTGCTAGGATTACAGGCATGAGCCACAGTGCCCGACCTGTTTTTGTTTTCATTGTTGTTTTTCAGACAGTGTCTCGCTCTATTGCCCAAGCTGGAGTGCTGTGGTGCAATCATGGCTCACTGCAGCCTCAACCTCTTGAGCTCAGGTGATCCTCCTGCCTCAGCCTCCTGAGTAGCTGAGACTACCAGCATGCACCACCGTGCCTGGATAATTTTTTATTTTTTGTAGAGACAGATTCTTGCTATGTTGCCTAGTCTGGTCTTTTTTCTTTTTCTTTCTTTTTTTTTTTTTGAGATGGAGCCTCGCTCTGTCCCCCAGGCTGGAGTGCAGTGGCGCAATCTCGGCTCACTGCAAGCTCTGCCTCCTGGGTTCACGCCATTCTCTTGCCTCAGCCTCCCAAGTAGCTGGGATTACAAGCTCCCGCCACCACACCCAGCTAATTTTTGTATTTTTAGTAGAGATGGGGTTTCACCATGTTGGCCAGGCTGGTCTTGAACTCCTGACCTCAGGTGATCCACCCACCTCGGCCTCCCAAAGTGCTGGGATTACAGGCATGAGCCACCGTGCCTGGCCCCTAGTCTGGTCTTGAACTCCTGGGCTCAAATGATCCACCCACCTTGGCCTTCCAAAGTGCTGGGATTACAGGTATGAGCCACCTCACCCAGCCCATTTTGTTTTGTGATTATCATAAAGCCGTTCTAGTAGTTGTGAAGTGGTATCTCATTGTGGTTTTGATTTGCATTTCTCTAATGCAAATCATGAAAATGATGTTAAGTATCTTTTCACTTTTTGAAAAAATATCTGTTTGCTCATTTAAAAATTGTTGTTGTTTTTGTTGCATTGTAAGAGTTATTTGTATATTCTGGATTTCAACCTGTTATCAGATACACAGTTTGAAAATATTTTTCCCATTCCATAGGTTGTCATTTTACTTTATTTATAATGTCCTTTGTGCACGAAAGTTTTAAATTTTGACGAAGTCCAATTTATCTGTTTTTTTCTTTTATTGCTGGTCCTTTTGGTGTCCTATCTAAGAATCCATTGCCAAATCCAAGGTCATGAAGATTAACTCCTATGTTTTTTCTAAGAGTTGTGTGATTTCAGCTTTTATATTTAGGTCGTTGATCCATTTTGAGTTGATTTTTTTTACATGGTGAGGGATAGGAATCCAACTTCATTCTTTCGCATGTGCAAATCCAGTTGTCCCCAACCGTTTGTTGAAGAGATGCTATATTTCTTTTCTCTTCTTTTTTTTTTTTTTTTTTTTTTTTGAGACGGAGTCTCACACTGTAGCCTGGGCTGGAGTGCAATGGCGCGATCTTGGCTCACTGCAACCTCCGTCTCCCAGGTTTATGTGATTCTCCTGCCTCAGCCTCCTGAGTAGCTGGGATTACAGATGCACACCACCATACCCAGCTAATTTTTTTTTTTGTATTTTTAGTAGAGACGGGGTTTCACTATGTTGGCCAGACTGGTCTCAAACTCCTGACCTCGTGATCCGCCCGCCTCAGCCTCCCAAAGTGCTGGGATTACAGGCATGAGCCACTGCGCCTAGCCGAGATGCTGTATTTCTTTTTGTGAGTCTGAAGAGTAGCACAGGGCTTCCCATACAGTGCATAAGCTGCAAAAAGCAATATCTTCATATATGTATTCTTTAAAAAAAAAAAAGAATGTTTTATGGTATGTGGAAGGTTTGCATGTGAAAATAGCTGGATGAATCAAAATGACAGTTTTAAAATGTCCATTCAGAACTCTTTAGATTAATAATGGGAAACTGTGCTGCTTTCCAGACCAAATCTTTCCTAATCTGGATAAGTTCCTGTGCCTGAAAGAACTGTCTGTGGATCTGGAGGGCAATATAAATGTTTTTTCAGTCATTCCTGAAGAATTTCCAAACTTCCACCATATGGAGAAATTATTGATCCAAATTTCAGCTGAGTATGATCCTTCCAAACTAGGTAAGGATGGCACTTTAATATACTTGTTTTTACGTAAGTTGGAAAAGCTACTTGGCCAATAATTTATTTAAGAGTTAAAGTGCCTGTGGTTCTAAGGGTGTAGCCTGTATCCATGGTAAATTGTGAGGAATAGCACTCTTTCTCATTAAGAAAGCAGAGTGCTGTTTGTAATTATTGAGCCTTTACTACACACTAGGAAGTATCCTAAGCACTTCACAAATATGAACTCAGTCTTCATACCCACTCTATGAAGTAAAGTACTATTATTATTATTATTATTTTTTTTTTTTTTTTTTTTTTTTGAGACAGTCTCGCGCTGTCGCCCAGGCTGGAGTGCAGTGGCACGATCTCGGCTCACTGCAAGCTCCTCCTCCCAGGTTCACCATTCTCCTGCCTCAGCCTCCCAAGTAGCTGGGACTACAGGTGCCTGCCACCACGCCCAGCTAATTTTTTGTATTTTTAGTAGAGACGGCGTTTCACCGTGTTAGCCAGGATGGTCTCGATCTCCTGACCTCATGATCTTCCCGCCTCGGCCTCCCAAAGTGCTGGGATTACAGGCATGAGCCACTGTGCCTGGCGAAAGTAAAGTACTATTATTAATGCTATTTTGTAGCTGGGAAAACTGAGACATAAAGAGATAAAGTAATTCGTAATATCCAGCTAAGGAAATGTATATCTGTGACTCAAATACAGGAATTTTGACTCCAAAATCTGAGTTCTTAATCCCTAATATAGGCCGGGCCTGGTGGCTCACACCTGTAATCCCAGCACTTTGGGAGGCCGAGAAGGGCAGATCACCTGAGGTCAGGAGTTCGAGACCAGCCTGACCAACATGGTGAAACCCTGCCTCTACTAAAAATGCAAAAATTTGCTGGCATGGTGGCATATGCCTGTAATCCCAGCTACTTGAGAGGCTGAAGCAGGAGAATTACCTGAACCTGGGAGGCAGAGATTGCAATGTGAGCCGAGATCGCGCCATTGTACTCCAGCCTGGGGAACAAGAGTAAAACTCCATGGGGAACAAGAGCAAAACTCCATCTCAGAAAAAAAAAAAAAAAAGAAAGAAATCCCTAATATAATGTTGCCACTCCAAAATAATTTGTAGGGTTATTTTATTTTGTTTTTGGTTAGGCTGGTCTTACATTGCAACTTACAGATCTGGCAGCTCAGCAGGAAGGAAATCTGCTAATCCGTAGTCATTGGAAGTATTTCCCTGTTTCTCACCAGCCTATCCTAATAGTTCATGGAAAACGGTGCAGCCATCTTTCTTAAATACATCATTTAGCTAAATGACTTAGGCACCATCATTCCTTAACTTAGTAAACACTGAACACCATGTTGGCCAGCCTGGTCTCGAACTCCTGACTTCAAGTGATCTACCCACCTCGGCCTCCCAAAATGCTGGGATTACAAGCGTGAGCCACTGTGACTTGCCAATTTAGTCTGGTTTGTAGGCATGATGTGCCTTGGCATGTGACCTCCTGTGAGACCAAAAGAGAAGCTCATATTTGTCCAGGATGGTGAAACTCTCAGCACAATGGCGTCAGTGCTTTAGGCTTGGCTGTACTTCTTTGGTTTCTGCTTCTCCCTTAGATTTTTGCCAGGTGGTTCTTTATTAACCCATCAGCTCTTTGGGGTTTTTAAGGAGATATTTTCAAAATATTATATTAAGCTGGGCACAGTGACACGTGCTTGTAATCCCACCTACTTGGGAAGCTGAGGCAGGAGGATCACTTGAGTCCAGGAGTTTGAGACCAGCCTGTGATGAGAAAGACATCCTCAATCTAAGTACTTAACTATTCTCCAGAAATGGATACTGCCGTTCTCTCCAATCATTCAGAAATAAAAGATTCAGCTAAAAACTGCTGAATCAATAATTTGTCTTGGGGCATATTGAGGATGTAAAAAAAGTTGTTGATTAATGCTAAAAACCAAATTATCCAAAATTATTTTATTAAATATTGCATACAAAAGAAAATGTGTAAGGCTTGCTAAAAAACAAAACAAAACAAAACACAGTCCTGCATACTCACCACCAAGCTCAAGAAATAAATCATCACCAATACCTTTGAGGTCCCTGAGTAATCCACCCCAGCTAAAGGCAAACCCTTCAATCAAGTTTATACAGCTAACCCTCCATTGTCCATGGTCAACAGGGAAGGGGTTGGGGACAGGTCTGCCAATCTATCTAAAAGCCACAATATGGAAGAAGTATTCAATTTATATAATAAATGGCTAACTTAACGGTTGAATCACTTTCATACATGGATGAAACGGGTTTAACACAGGAACCACATGAATCTTCTGTGGGCCAAGAGATGTTCCTTAATCCTTGTAGAATATTCCTTAATCCTTGTAGAACCTGTTTTCTATATTGAACTAGCTTTGGTACAGTAGAGTTAACTTACTTTCCATTTATCCACTGCCAATATAAAGAGGAAACAGGGGTTAGGGAAAAATGACTTCATTCCAGAGGCTTCTCAGAGTTCAACATATGCTATAATTTAGAATTTTCTTATGAATCCACTCTACTTGGGTAGAAAATATTTTATCTCTAGTGATTGCATATTATTTCCATATCATAGTATTTCATAGTATTATATTTGATATGAGTGTCTATATCAATGTCAGTGTCCAGAATTTCGTTCCTACCAGTTAAGTAGTTTTCTGAACGGCCAGAAGACCATTCGAAATTCATGATACTACTATAAGTTGGTAAACAACCATACTTTTATCCTCATTTTTATTCTCACTAAGAAAAAAGTCAACTCCCCTCCCCTTGCCCAAGTATGAAATATAGGGACAGTATGTATGGTGTGGTCTCATTTGTTTAGAAAACCACTTATGACTGGGTGCGGTGGCTCACACCTGTAATCCCAGCACTTTGGGAGGCTGAGGCGGGCGAATCATTTGAGGTGAGGAATTCGAGACCAGCCTGGCCAGCATGGTGAAACCCCATCTCTACTAAAAATACAAAAATTAGCCAGGTGTGGTGGCACATGCCTGTAGTCCCAGCCACTAGGGCGGCTGAGACGCAAGACTTGCTTGAACCCGGGAGGCAGAGGTTGCAGTGAGCCAAGATGGCGCCACTGCATTCCAGCCTGGGCAACAGAGCAAGACCCTGTCTGTCTCAAAACAAAAAACAAAACCACTTATATTGCTAGCTACATTAAGAATTTCTGAATATGTTACTGAGCTTGCTTGTGGTAACCATTTATAATATCAGAAAGTATATGTACACCAAAACATGTTGAACATCCATGTTGTACAACTGAAATATAAATAATTTTGTCAATTATACCTAAATAAAACTGGAAAAAAATTTCTGGAAGTTTATATCTAAAAATGTTAATAGTGCGTACCTCTAGGAAGTGGGCCTGGAAGCCATTCTTACTTTTCAGTCTCTCCCATTCTGTACTGTTTTTTGTTTTACTTTCGTGCCTGCATTATTTTTCTATTTAAAACAAAAATAAATCTAGTTTAGCACTAAAATATTAACTGGAGCTACCTCTGGAGGGCAAGAGTACTAGAAGGTGGGATGGATTGTCTTCTTGCTTGTCTGATTTTATATGTAATACCTTTGTAATTAGAAAGGTTGTTAAGCATTATATCAGAATCCAGTCAGGAGACAGAAACCACACAGAAATTTGAATGGGGAAAGTTTAATATACAGATGCTCGGCCTGACGCAGTGGCTCACGCCTGTAATTCCAGCACTTTGGGAGGCCGAGGTGGGCAGATCACTTGAGGTCAGGAGTTCGAGACCAGCCTGGCCAACATGGTGAAATCCTGTCTCTACTAAAAATACAAAAAAAAATTAAAAAAAAAAAAAAAGCCAGGCATGGTGGTGTGCACCTGTAGTCTCAGCTACTTGGGAGGCTGAGGCAGGAGAATTGCTTGAACCCAGGAGGCAGAGGTTGCAGTGAGCCAAGATCGTGCCACTGCATTCCAGCCTGGGTGACAGAGCAAGACTCCATTTCAAATAAATAAATAAATAAATAAAATAAGATGCTCCTCAACTTACAACAGGGTTATATCCTGAAAAACCCATTGTAAGTAGAAAATATTGTATGTCAGAAATGCATTTAATATACCTAAACTACCAAACATCATCGCTTAACCTGACCTACCTTAAACACGCTGAGAACACTTATATTAGCTTACAGTTGGGCAAAATCATAAACACAAAGCCTATTTTATAATAAAGTATTGAAAATCTCACGCAATTTATTGAATACTGTACAGAAAGTGAAAAATAGAGGTCGTATGAGTACTTGAGGAACAGTTTCTACTGAATGCAGATCACTTTTGCACCATTGCAAAGTAGAAAAATCCTAAGTCAAGTCATCATGAGTTGGGGACTGTCCGTAAGAGTTATTAACAGAGGATTGGAATGGGGATTGGGTAGTAAGGAATAAAGAGAAGCCTGGGCAGATGCAGGGAACAGCCGATATGGGCTTTTCACCCCAGGCTGAGACAGAACAACTCAAAGAAGAAAGCTCAGGGCTGAGATCCGGGCTGAGATCCAGACTTCGTGTGAGAGGACACAGCTGTGAAAGACAGAGGTTTGCTGAGGCTGTGGAGTTGCAGCTGGAGAAGGTGCTGGGCTTGGGGCACTTTGCAGAGAAGGGACCTTGTGCATGTCAAGGGAAGCCATTCATGTGGGGGTACTGTGCGCTGCTGACCATTGGGTGCTGCTGAAGTTAGGCACCGCCCAAGAAGTGTGCAGCCAGAACGAGGTGCTGCAGAGGCAGAGTGTATGTGCTACAGGAGCTGGTATTGCAGATGGCACAGGTGTTGCAGGTGTCTGCCTAGAGGAGCACAATGGAACCAGGAAAAGCAGCCCTTGCCCCTTCAGTGTGTCAGCAGCACCCTCGATTGACAAAGTTTCACTCTGTGCTTACTGTCATGGGAGAGGTATTTACAGGGCCCAGATCTATTATTACAGAACAGACAATGAAGACTGAATGTGGATATAAGAGGCAACAACTAGCATAACTCATTAAATCTAATAGTGCACACATAAACACAAAATAACCTAGTAATTTCTTAATATTGACTGACAGGATATATGCACGTGATGTATTTATAAATTCATGGAAAACTTATATAAAAAACAGGCAACCATAATTGAGTTTAGGGAGGAGAACAGGATGGCTGGTGGACAGAAAAGGGAGAGAGGGAAGTTTGCTTTTTTTCTCCTGCATACCCTTTTATACCAGTTGAGTTTTGTCCCATGTGTGCATACTATTAAAAAACCATAATACTTGACCAGGTGCAGTGGCTCACGCTGGTAATCCCAGCACTTTGGGAGGCCGAGGCGGGTGGATCACCTGAGGTTGGGAGTTCGAGACCAGCCTGACCAACATGGAGAAACCTTGTCTCTACTAAAAATACAAAATTAGCCACGCATGGTGGTGCCTTCCTGTAATCCCAGCTACTCGGGAGGCTGAGGCAGGAGAATTGCTTGAACCCAGGAGGCGGAGGTTGCAGTGAGCCAAGAACGCGCTATTGCACTCTAGCCTGGGCAACAAGAGCAAAATTCTGCCTCAAAAAAAAAAAAAAAAAATCATAAGATTCCATGCAAATTATTTTTCCAGAGCTGCTTCTAACAGCGTTTAGTTCAAGCAGCGGTCAGTAAAGTATGGCCCTGGACTGTCCAGCCCTCAAGCTAAGAATGGTTTTCACATTTTTTAAAGCAACAGAGACTCAGTGGCCTACAAAGCTAAAATATTTACTGTGTTCTTTTACAGAAAACAAACTATTTCTATGACAAAATACTTTTGAATCATAAGCTCATCATGCCCTTTATTCTAGTTTACATCAGTCTTCATAGGACTCCCAAGTCATCCCTCATTGACCTAAAAACTGTCCTCATGGTTGTAAGCCCTCCCTCCCTTCCTCCATCCATCTCTCCCTCTCTCTTTTTCTCCTTCCCTCTCTCCCTTCCTTCCTTTTCTTTCATAAAGAAAAGAGGTTTAGTTGACTCACGGTTCTGCAGGCTTTACAGGAAGCATGGTGCTGGCATCTGCTCGGCTTTTAGGGAGGCCTCAGGAAACTAAAATCATGGCAGAAGGTGAGCACACATGTCACATGATGAAAGCAGAAACAAGTGAGAGACAGTGGGGGGGCAGGGGGCAGGTTTCATACACTTTTAAATGACCAGATCTCACGAGAACTCAGTAACAACACAAAGGTAACACCAAGCCATGAGGGATCTGCCCCCATGATCCAAACACCTCCCACCATGCCCCATCTCCAACACTCGGGATAAAATTCAACATAAGTAGAGATAAATATCCAAACCACATCATTCCACCTCTGGCCCCTCCCAAATCTTATGTCCTTTTCACAATGCAAAATACAACCATGCCTTCCCAACAGTGCCGCAAAGTCTTAACTCATTCCAGCATTAACTCAGAAGTCCAAAGTCTCATCTGAGACAAGGCAAATCCCTGCCACCTATGAGCCTATAAAATAAAAAACAAATTATTTACTTCCAACATACAATCAGGGTTCAGGGGTTGGGGAAATATTCCCATTAGGGAAAAACCTGCCAAAAAAGGGGGCTATAGGCCCCATGCAAGTTCAAAACCCAGCATGGCAGTCATTAAATCATGAAACTCCACAATGATCTCCTTGGTTTCCATGTGGCACGCTGATATGAGGGTTGGGCTCCCAAGGCCTTGGGCAGCTCTGCTCCTATAGCTTTGCAGAGTTCAGCCTGCTGTCACAGGCTGGGTTGAGTGCCTGTGGCTTTTCCAAGTGCAGGGTACAAGCTGCCAGTGGCTCTACCATTCTGGAGAACAGTAGCCCTCTTCTCACAGCTCCACTAGGCAGTGCCCCAGTAGGGACTCTGCGTGGGGCCTTTAACCCCACATTTCCCCTCCACGCTGCCCTAGTAGAGGCTCTCTGTGAGGGCTCTGCCCCTGCAGCAGGGTTCTGCTTGGACACCCAGGCTTTTCCATACATCCTCTGAAATCCAGGCAGAGGCTACCAAGAATTCACCATTTTTGCATTCTGTGTGCCTGCAGGCTTACCACCTAATGGAAGCTGTGAAGGCTATGGCTTATGCCCTCCAAAGTAACAGCCCAAGCTGTACCTAGGCCCCTTTGAGCCCCTGCTGGAGTTGGAGCCATCTGGATGCAGGGAGCAGTGTTCTGAGGCTGCACAGGGCAACAGGGCCCTGGGCTCAGCCCAGGAAAATATTCAGTCCTCCTTGGCTTCAGGGCCTATGACAGGAGGGGCTGCCCCATAGGTCTCTGAAATGCCTTTGAGGCCTTTTCCCCATTGTCTTGGATATTACCACTTGGATCCCTTTCAGTTATGCAAATATCAGCAAGTGGTTGCTCCACAGCCTGCTTGAATTCCTTGGAGAAAATGGTTTTTTTTTTTACCACCTGGCTAGGCTGCAAAATTTCCCAACTTTTAGGCTCTGCTTCCTGTTTAAATGTAAGTTCCAAATTTAAGTCATTCATTTGCCCCCACATCTGAGCACAGGCTGTTAGTAGCAGAAGGCCACATCTTGAATGCTTTGCTGCTTAGAAATTTCTTCTGCCACATACGCTAGGTCATAGTTTTTAAGTTCAAACTTCCACAGATCCCTAGGACACAAGCAGAATGCAGCCAAGTTATTTGCTAAGGCATAACGTGTGACTTTTGCTCCAGTTCCCAATAAATTCGTTTCCTTTTGAGACCTTGTCAACCTGGACTTCACTGTCCCTATCACCATCAGCATTTTGGTCACAACCACTTATCTAGTCTCTAAGAAGTTCCAGACTTGCCGGGAGCGGTGGCTCACGCCTGTAAACCTAGCACTTTGGGAGGTCGAGGTGGGTGAATCACTTGAGGTCAGGAGTTCGAGACCAGCCTGGCCAACATGGTGAAACCCCATCCCTAATAAAATACAAAAATATTAGCCAGGCATGGTGGTGCATGCCTGTAACCCCAGCTGCTTGGGAAGCTGAGGCAGAAAAATCACTTGAACCCGGGAGGCAGAGGTTGCAGTGAGCCAAGATCACGCCACTGCACTCCAGCCTGGGCGACAGAGCAAGACTCCGTCTCAAAAAAAAAAAAAAAAAAAAAAAAAAAAAGTTCGAAACTTACCCTTATTTTCCTGTCTTCTTCTGAGCCCTGTAAACTCTTCCAGCCACTACTCATTACCCAGTTCCAAAGCTGTTTCCACATTTTCAGGTATCTTTATAGCAATGCCCAACTTCTCGGTACCAATTTCCTGTATTGGGGCATTCTTGCACTGCTATAAAGAAATACCTCAAACTGGGTAATTTACAAAGAGGTTTAATTGGCTCATGGTTCTGCAGGCTTTACAGGAAGCATGGTGCTGGCATCTGCTTGGCTTCTAGGGAGACCTCAGGAAGCTTACAGTCATGGTGGAAGGTGAAGGGGTAGCAGACACATCACATGGTAAAAGCAGGGGCAAGTGAGAGAGCTAAACTCCCGCTTTCTGATCACATATCCCAACCTGCTCCAACTCCCTAAATCCTTCCACTGTGTCTACATGGTAGAATCTCCTACATCCACAACTTCTTATGTCAACATTCCTTCTATTTCTTGATCTAACTCCTCATTCTCAAGCTTTTTTTTTAACCATGACCCACAATAATAAATTTTACATCAAAACACCATACGCACATACATACACACACATATGTGTATACACAACTGAAGTCCCACAAAAACAAACCTTACTAAAATAAAGCTATATCAGATATGATTTTATTAATAGCCAAATAAACAAAAATTCAGAAATACAAAGTTCCGTGAAAGAGTTGTTTACATGCACTGTCAACTGTTCTCTCATTCTTATGTTCTCCCCCTCCAGGATTTTACCTCCTCCATTCCACCAAAACAGCTCTTATGAGGGTCACCAATGAGCTCCACATTGCTAAATTGGTGAATACTTCTCAGTCCTCACTTTAGTTGACCCATTAGCAGCATTTGACCTATTGGCTTTCACATGGCCCATCACCCCTCTTCCTCAAAACACTGCCTTCATTTGGCTTCCAGGGCATCCCTCTTGATTTTCCTAACTCAATGAGAGCTCCTCCTTAGTCTCCTGCACTGTTTTTCCTCATATCCTATCTCTAACCACTGAGAGAACCCCAAAGTTCTCCTCTGACATCTTCTCTATTTGAATGCACTTCCTCAGCTATCTCCTCTAGTTCAACAGCTTTAAATTTACTAACTTCTACATTTCCATCTCTAGCCCAGACCTCTCCTCTGAACTATTTTTTTATTTTATAATATAGACGGGGTCTCACTTTGTTGCCCAGTCTGGTCTTGAACTCCTGGGCTCACAAGATTCTCCTGCCTTGGCCTCCCAAAGTGCTGAGATTACAGGCATGAGGCATTGCACCTGGCCGGGACTCTTTATTCACATCCAACTTCTACTAATGGGCATCTCAATTTTCACATGTTCAAAACCCAATTTCTTTCCTGCCACAAAAGTACTCCTTATGCAGACCTCCATCTCATTAAATTCTAACTTTATTTTTCCAGTTGCATAAGCCAAAAATCTTGGAGTTACACTTGACACTCCTCTTTCATACACCACATGTAGTCAATCTACTGAAAAATCCTGGTGGCTCCACTTGGAAAATATACTCAGATCCAACCACCACTACCCACACTGGCTCTAACTAGTCAGCCTGTTTCCTCCCTTCAAACCTATGGTGTATTTTCAACACAGCAATCAGAAGTCTCTTTCTATAAGTCAGATCATGCTATACCTTGGGTTCAAAACCTTTCCATGGACTCCCAGCTTAAAAAAGTAAATGCTGAAGACCTTACTATCGCTGACATATGGCCTGGCCCTTGACTACCTCTCTTAGCTCCATCTCCTTAATCTCTCCTCCTTACTTCCACTCCAGCCACGATTAACTCCTTGTTGTTCCCCAAACATGTTAAATACACTTGTGTCTTAGGGCCTTTCTATTTGTTATCTCCCTTGCCTGGGATACTCTCCCTCTAGTTGTACCTAGAACAGTTGAATCATCGCATAATTGCTAAAAGGACAAGTGACCATGTGACAACGTTCTTTCATCTTTTATGCTTGTAACACCAGAATTTACTTGAAAAAGTTTGTAAGTGGACAAGTATGAAAGACAGATATGTACACAAAGTAACAGGAAGGTAAAGATGATGTGAAAAATGAAAACCAATCCACTGAAAGTCATTCTAATTGGTATTTATAAATGTAAAAACAAAAATGTTTTGCTGTTATGTAACAAAGAATATAGCCATCATCTATCACTTCAACAAAACTATGAGCCCTAAAGTTTTCAGAAGTATTGCAGTTTGGACAGGTGTGGTGGCTCATGCCTACCGTCCCCAGCACTTTGGAAGGCAGGAAGATCACTTGAGGCCAGGTGTTCAAGGCCAGCCTGGGCAACACAGTGAGACCCTATTTCTACAAAAAATAAAAATAAATTAAAAAACAAAAAGTATTGCATTTTGACAAAGTGAGTTCATGAAGAATACAAATAATAAGGTAGAACATAGTAGAGATGCATTTGAAATCCAAAATCCGTATTTAAAGGTAGGTATGTTCCAGATTCATGCATAATGACAGCTGCTTTCAAAGGATGTAATGCCTTTTAGGTATACATAAACATTCAAAACTGGGAAAATATGGGAAAAAATGTGGGTCTCCTATATTTGGATTCTCATTAAAATTGCTAACAAAGTTAATTTTCACCATCCCTTTAGTCTTCTGTAAATTGTTTACAGACCTCATGATCCACCCGCCTCAGCCTCCCCAAGTGCTGGGATTACAGGCGTGAGCCACCGCGCCTGGCCTATTAAGGCATAATTTCTAATGCATGTTACTTTTGTAGGATGAATTCACTTACACATCAGAATGAAATAAGGAAAGTGAAAAGGGAAGGCACTGATGTTGTGTGATATATTGTGTAGGTTATTAGTAATAGAGCCATAGAGAACGTACATTAAGGGAGAATAAACAAATCTCTTATTAAAAGAGTAGAAGTCAGCTTGAACTTCTTAATTTCTTCTGTGGTTTTAACATTCCACGTTGAGAGGTGAATGGATTAAGAACTACCAGTGTGCTTTGTTCTAGATTAGTGCTTTTCCAAGTGTGGTGCACAGACAGCAACATAGCATTACCTGAGAGCTTGTTAGAAATGAAAATTCTCCTAACCGAGACCTGGCTTAGGTTAAATGAGAGTGGTCTTTCTAATGTGGGCGTGAGATAATGAGACCAGTCTTCCTAATATGGAGGTGGAAAATTGCCATAGATAATTATGAAACCTAATCACATTAGGATGAGAACTAGGTGATCAGATTTTTCTTCTTGGTAATATACTTGTTTAAACTAGCAGTAGCACTGTTTATATGTCTATTACAATGTGGATTTAACTATTAACCTGTAATGATTGCCTTTTTATTATTAGTGTTAATAGTATTTAATGGGCCACATAAATATTAGATAATGTATATAAGATAATTTTCTTCAGTGTCTTCCCCCTTTTCATTACAAGATAAATAATAACTATCTCTTGGGGTTTTTTAAGGTTAAAAATGTGTCTGCAGGCACACAGGACGTGCCTTCACCCCCATCTGACTATGTGGAAAGAGTTGACAGTCCCATGGCATACTCTTCCAATGGCAAAGTGAATGACAAGCGGTTTTATCCAGAGTCTTCCTATAAATCCACGCCGTAAGTAGCATCTCTCTTAGTTTGATAGACTGAGTGTAAAAATGAGTATTTGCATATAATTGGTTTTTGTTGTTTTTGTGCCTTTCTGCTTAAAAAAAATATCCAGCAGTGCACACAAAAGCTGGATCTGGATCTTGGTATTACAACAATCTTTGCTTTGTTGGTACAGAGGCCTACGGCTACTTGGAAGACCAGGATGAGGAGGGTGGGGTTCTATTTCCCTTCTAAGTTGAAAATGCTTCTTTTCACTTACTTGTTTGATTGAAAGGTTGGGTTGGGTTCTTTCACTCTAGGAATGTGGTTCTGCTATTTCTGGTTTTGAAGTTTAGGTGAGGGTGAGAGGAAGTTACTGAGCAGAGGTCAGTGCTGTGCTCAGCCTCTCCTTTTGCCTATAATTGTTGGATCTCATAAACAGAAGGGAGGACATTTCACATTAATCAACCCTGCCCACATACATTTCTGTTAAACTAGAAGACTTCATTTGAATCCAGGAATTGTGGTATTTCATTTGCTGTGCTAGGTCCTCAGTATTGCTGGGAGATGTGAAACCTCAGTGAACGTCTGGCCTAGGGTAGGTGTCATATGATAATTGAAATGGTATCTCTGTGGTGGAAACACTTACCCTAAAGCTCAATTCTAATTCCACCTAATGACTAGTGAGAGAAGACTATTGGAGATAATTGGTATGGACGGGGATGTAATTTTTGCCTAAGGATGATGAAGTCGTTATTTTTACATATATAGTCATGCATTGTTTAACGATGGGAATACTGAGAAGTGTGTCTTTAGGCAATTTCATCCTTGAGTGAACATCACAGTGTACTTAACACAAACCTAGATGGATAGCCTGCTACGAGCCTAGGCTATGTGGTATAGCTTCTTGCTTTTACGCTACAAATGCAGACAGCATGTTAATATACCAAATACTCTAGGCAGCGGTAATACAGTGGTATTTGTATATCTAAACACAAAAAAGGTACAGTAAATATAAAAGATAAAAAATGGTACATCTTGGCCGGGGCGGTGGCTCACGCCTATAATCCCAGCACTTTGGGAGGCCGAGGCAGGTGGATCACCTGAGGTCAGGAGTTCAAGACCAGCCTGACCAACATGGAGAAACCCCATCTCTACTAAAAATAGCCAGGCGTGGTGGCGCATGCCTGTAATCCCAGCTACGTGGGAAGGCTGAGGCAGGAGAGTCAGTTTAACCCGGGAGGCGGAGGTTGTTGTAAGTGGAGATTGTGCCATTGCACTCCAGCCTGGGCAACAAGAGCGAAGCTCCATCTAAATAAATAAATAAATGGTACATCTTGTAAGGCACTTACCATGAATGAAGCTTGTAGGACTGGAAGTTGCTCTGGGTGAGTCAGGGAGTAAGTGGTGAGTGAATGTGAAGGCCTAGGACATTACTGTACACTTTATAAACACTATACTTAGGCTACACTAAATTTACTAAACATTTTTCTTTCTTCTATAATAAATCTTAGCTTTCTATAACTTTAATTTTTTTGACTCTTTTGTAATAACACTTAAAACACAATCACATGGCTGGGTGCAGTGGCTCACGCCTGTAATCCCCACACTTTGGGAGGCCCAGGTGGACGGATCACCTGAGGTCAGGAGTTCGAGACCAGCCTGGCCAAAATGGCAAAACCCTGTCTCTACTAAAAATACAAAAATTAGCCAGGCATGGTGGCTCACACCTGTAATCTCAGCTACTCGGAAAGCTGAGGCAGGAGAATCACTTGAACCTGGGAGGCGGCGGTTACAGTGAGCTGAGATCACACCAGTGCACTCCAGCCTGCGTGACAAAGTGAAACTCTGTCTCAAAAAAAAAAAACAAAAGGCCGGACGCGGTGGCTCACCCCTGTAATCCCAGCACTTTGGGAGGCTGAGGCAGGTGGATCACGAGGTCAGGAAATTGAGACCATCCTGGCTAACAGGGTGAAACCCCGTGTCTACTAAAAGTACGAAAAACTAGCCGGGCATGGTGGCGGGTGCCTGTAGTCCCAGCTACTCGGGAGGCTGAGGCAGGAGAATGGCGTGAACCCGGGAGGTGGAGCTCCCAGTGAGCCGAGATCGCGCCACTGCACTCTAGCCTGGGCGACAAAGTGAGACTCCGTCTCAAAAACAAACAAACAAAAGAACAACAACAAAAAACACAATCACAAACCCTGGCACAGTGGTGCACACCAGCAGTCCCAGCTAATTGGGAGGCTGAGGTGGGAGGGATCATACTTGAGCCCGGGAGCTCAAATCCAGCCAAAAATAAAAGAAAAGCCAAAAATCCCATACCTACATTGTATAGATATAGAGAAGTATTTTCCTTATTCTATAAGCTTTTTTTTTTTTTTTTTTTTTTTTGGTAGAGACATGGTCTCAATCTGTCACCCAGCCTGGGGTGCAGTGGTGTGGTCACAGCTCACTGTAGCCTTGACCTCCCAGGCTCAAGCGATCTTCCCACTTTAGTCACCTAAGTAGCTGAGACTACTTAGTCACCTCAGTAGCTGGGACTACACATGTGCTCCACCATGCCCAGCTATTTTTTTCTATTTTTTTTTGTAGAGACAGGGTCTTGCTATGTTGTCCAGGCTGGTCTCAAACTCCTGGGCTCAAGCGATCTGCCTGCCTCGGCTTCACAAAGTACTGGGATTACAGGCATGAGCCACCATGCCCTGCCACCAGGCTGTTCTTAGACTCCTGACCTCAAGTGATCCTCCCACTTTGGCCTCCCAAAGTGCTGTTTTCTATTTTTACCATGTAAATTTTATTTTAGTTTCTACACTTTATTGTTAAAAACTAAGATACAGACTGGGTGCAGTGGCTTATGCCTGTAATCCCACCACTTTGGGAGGCTGCAGTGAGCTGCGATTGCACCACTGCCCTCCAGCCTGGGCAACAGAGACCCTATCTCAAAAAAAATAAAAATAAACACACACACACACACACACAAACCCAAAACTAAGATACAAACATACACATTTGCCTAGGCCTACATCAATATCACTGTCTTCCATTTCCACATCTCGTTGCACTGGAAGGTCATCAGGGCCAATAACACACCCAGAGCTGTCATCTTCCATGGTGACAGTGCCTTCTTCTGGAATACCTCCTGAAGCACCTGCCTGAGGCTCTTTTAACTTTTTTTCCTGTTTCAACTCTTTTTTTTTTTAATAAGTTGAAGGAATCTAATAAAAAATATAGTGTAAATACATAAACCAGTAGCATAGTCGTTTATTGTCAAGTATTATATACTGTACATAATTGCATTTGCTGTATACTTTTATTAGTCCCTTATTGACTGAAATGTCTTTATGACTTTGTGACTGTAATTCTAGAACTCTAAGTTCCTTTGGAGACTGAAAAAGCCCAAAAAATTTCCTTTCAGCTAGTTTGAATGTCTATGTTAAAGGTGTATCTACTGGAAATAACTTTTTTGTTACTTCGAAGTGTTTTTTTGTTTGTTTTGTTTTTGAGACGGAGTCTCACTCCGTTACCCAGGCTGGAGTGCAGTAGTGTGATCTCAGTTCACTGCAACCTCCGTCTCCTGGGTTCAAGTGATTCTCCTGCCTCAGCCTCCTCCTAGTAGCTGGGATTACAGGTGCGCGCCACCATGCCTGGCTAATTTTTGTATTTTTAGTAGAGACGGGGTTTCATGATGTTGGCCAGGTTGGTCTCGAACTCCTGACCTCAGGTGATCTACCTGTCTTGGCCTCCCAAAGTGCGGGCATTACAGGCGTGAGCCACCGCGCCTGGCCTGCTTTGAAGTTTTATCCCCAATGCCCGACTCCTGATTAGTGGGCCATGATATATGAGATTTACTCTGAGTGCATAGTTGTTTTGGTATTCAGACTTGATCTTGCTGTTGATTTCAATTGTGAATGATTTGGAGAAAGCACATTTTCTCTGTTCTTCTCTTTGGATTTTGACAAAAACTAAAGCACTTGAGAGTGTTAGGGACAAGGGTACGCAAGAGAGATGCAATCCTTCTAAGTTTTTTTTTTTCATCATTTGTTTGAGATGCTGTTTCACTCTGTCGCCCAGACCTATAGTGCAGTGGTGTGATCATAGCTCACTGTGACCTTGAACTCCTGGGCTCAAGCAGTCCTCTTGCTTCATAGCTCACTTTAGCCAGGACCACAGGTATGTGCCACTATGGCTGGCTAATTTTTTATTTTTATTTTTGTAGAGAAGGGGTCTTGCTTTGTTGCCCAGGATAGTCTTGAACTCCTGGCCTTAAGTGATCCTCCTGCCTCAGCCTCTAAAATTTTTAAGCTATGATTTGCAGAACTTTTTTTTTCTCCTTTTTCATGTCAGATGGGTAATGTGCCAATATTGTAACAAGATTTGAGGGTGGGACATTTCACACATGCGTGTGAACACCCAATCATCATGCTCATCAACTATAAAAGGACCAATTTGCAGAACTTTCATACATACAAAATGTATATCTATACTGCATCTTGGCACCAGCTGTTCCTCTAAATTGTAAGGCCTGCGTGGTTACACAGCATTCCCTGGTGTTGTCCCTTTTCACAAAAACCAGGATAGTTTCACAAATTCATTTGAAATTAATTTGAAAGTCTTATTCCTTAAGTATTAATCTTTCTTATTCTTGAATACTTTATGTAGTGGAAAATTTAAAAGGGACAAAAGGTACCAGCTAGCTAGTTCCTCTCCCCAGAGGCAACTAATGTCATCACTTTCTATTTCTCCACAGATTTTAAAACATAAAGATACTGGCCAAAGTACATTGATTCCCCCACCCCCCCTTAAAATACTAGCATACCAGAGCTGGGCACAGTGGCTCATGCCTGTAATTCCAGCACTTCGGGAGGCTGAGGTGGGTGGATTGCTTGAGCCTAGGAGTTCGAGAACACCCTGGGCATTATTGCTAAACCCCCTCTCTACAAAAAATATAAAGATTTGCCAGGTATGGTGGCACATGCCTCTAGTCCTAGCTACTTGGGAGGCTGAGGTGGGAGGATTGATTGAGCCCAGGAGGTCAAGCCTGCAGTGAGCCAAGACCGTGCCACTCCACTTCAGTCTGGGTGACAGAGTGAGACCCTGTTTCAAAAAAAAGAAAAAGAAAATATTAGCATACCAAATGTATCATTAGCAATATATTTTATCTTGGATATTGTCCATATCACTATGCAATGAGTTGCCTGATTCTGTTTTATTTTTTTAATTATAATCAAGAAGAAGCACTATTGTGTTTTATAGCTGTATAATATTCTACCAAATAGGTATACTTTATTTATTTTATTATTATTATTTTTTGAGGCAGAGTCTCGCTCCGTTGCCCAGGCTGGAGTACAGTGGCGCGATCTCGGCTCACTGCAACCTCTGCCTCCCAGGTTCAAGTGCCTCCCGAGTAGCCTGCCTTAGCCTCCTGAGTAGCTGGGATTACAGGCACCCACCACCACGCCTGGCTAATTTTTAGTAGAGATGGGGTTTTGTCATGTTGGCCAGGCTGGTCTTGAACTCCTGACCTCAACTGATCTGCCTGCTTTAGCCTCCCAAAGTGTTGGGATTACAGGCATGAGCCACCGCACCTGGCTGGTATACTTAATGTATTAATCCTATATGATGCACACTTTCCCCCAATGTTTTGTTATTACAGACCACAAATGTATAAGGAATAACCTTATACATTTATCACTTTATACATATGTGAATGTATCTGGAGGCAGAATTGCTGAGCTAAAATAAATGTGCATTTTTTCATTTTGATAGATGTAGTAAAAGTTTTATTTCTTAAGGATTGTACTAGTTTCTACTCCAAACTTATGCCCCAGAATTTTTTTTGAAGGTCTGGAAAGTGCAAACACGATGCTTCATTTTAGAACCCAGATGAATGGGTGAATGGGAGTGGTACTAAGAGATACTAATGCACAATATCTCCCCCAGAGCATGGTAATGATGGAAGGATTTTACAGCCTCTGGGGGGCAATAGAAATTGTAAAGTGTTGTTCATAGTAGAGTACTGAGTGCTATAGAGGATTCAGAGGACACCCACTTGAATGGGAATAAGAACACATAAGTCATAGCCTGTCTTTCCTAAGGCATTCTTGCAAGTGCTTAGTAACCCATGAGCACCTCTCTTCCTCACCATGCTAGTGGATAGAGAAGGAATTAGATGGAGAACATTGTGTCCATCCACCCATCCGTGCCAAGGATGAGGTAAATCAGTATTAAGATGTTTTTTTCTCCCAACGCGTAATGTACATTCCATAAAAAGAGCACTAATCTTGAGTATACAGCTTGATGAGTTTTCCCATCTATGACCACTTAACTCCCACCACCAAGATACATTTTGAGCCCTACATAAGGTCCCCATGTGCCCTTTCTCCATCAATACCCACCCACACCCACCCCAAGGTAACAGCTATTTTGATGTCTGTCACCATCTGTTAGTGAACGTGTTATTATTGGACTTTAAATAAAATGGAATAATGCAGTTTACTCTCATATCTGGTTCCTTTTGCTTATAATGTCCCATACCTTAGAATTTTAAGGCAGTCAGCTCTGAGAATTAATCCTGCATCAGGGGACACCAGAATTTAGCTGAAGATGGTTGCCTCTCCAAACCTACTAAACGAACTTGGGAGAGCCCTATTAGGTACACTCTCCACTATCCTGTCCACACCCAGGTTGAATTACCCTTCATAAATCAAGGAAGTTGAATGTTGCTGCAATGCAAAGCTTTCAAAGAAGGCTGACTCCTTGCATTGCTAAATGAGACCATTGTTTGGTAGTAATAGGCTGGTAGGATGATGTTAGGACTTTTATGCAAGTTAGAGGAGTTATAGAAGCCCAGTTTAAACTAGTTTAAGATGGGGCATGGTGGTTCAGGCTGATAATCCCAGCACTTTGGGAGGCCAATGAGGTGGGAAGATTGCTTGAGGCCAGGAGTTTGAGACCTGCCTGGGCAACATAGGGAGACCCTGTCTCAATTAAAAAAAAAAAAATCATGAAAAAAAATAGCTTAAGTGAAAGGAGGAATTATCTGAGTCACGTGAGGCCCAAGGACGTCTGTAGCTTCAGTCATGGCATAATCGAAGGATTCAGAAGATAGCAGGGCTGTTATGTGCTCTCTTTCATCTGTCGGTATGTTGGCTTTCTTCTCAGTTCAGCTTCTGTTGTGACAGGATAGCCATCTACATTTATTTATTTATTTATTTTTACTTTTTAGAGATAGGGTCTCACTGTTTCACACAGGCTGGAGTCCAGTGGTGTGATCATAGCTCACTGAATCCTCAAATTCCTGCACTCAAGTGATCCTTCTGCCTCAGCCTCCTGAGTAGCTAGTACTACAGGTGCATGCAACCATGCCTGGGTTTTTTTTGTTGTTTTTGGTTTTTTTGAAATGGAGTCTTGCTCTGTCATCCAGGCTGGAATGTGTTGGTGCAATCTTGGCTCATTGCAACCTCTACCTCCCAGGTTCAAGCGATCCTCCCACCTCAGCCTCCTGAGTAGCTGGGATCACAGGCTTGCACCACCATGCTCAGCTAATTTTTGTATTTTTAGTAGAGACAGGGGTTTCAACATGTTGGCCAGATCGGTCTCAAACTCCTAACCTCAAGTGATCCCCCTGCCTCAGCCTCCCAAAGTGCTGGGATTATACAAGTGTGAGCTACCGCACCTGGCCGGCTTGTTCTTTTTATTCTTCAGTCATTTGTTTTATTCTCTCTCACACTCCTTCACGCTGCCTTTATTGCTCCTACCTTGCCCTGACTCTCAGCAGAATTGTTGTGCACTTTCCTCCACCCCTGTTTTGCAGCCTCCGTGAGAACATGGACCTGGTCTTCCCAGGGTCACCTGGCTCAGTACTCTATGCATGTCAGGTGTTCAGGACAATTACTGAATTGAAAACACATGCATAAGAATCCTTCTTTTCTGATTACACACAGCATCAGTGAAGGCAGAGAAACAACCCATGATCAACAATGCCATGACTATTAGAATGACGTTTGTTGTACACACTGTATTTTAGAGCTGCTACCATTATTGGGAGGCATATCTAAGTCTTGCTAATCAGAGAACATTCTCCTGGCTTCAAGGATGACAGTGACCCAAAAAGGGCCAATCAGAATCTTTTTGCTATGTAAGCTTTGGGAAAGAAAACTTCATGCTGGGCTGGAAAGATCAACGCAGCTTGGGAAATGTGGAAGGCTCAGCCTGGGCAACAGAGTGAGACCCTGTCTCTACAAAAAAATTAAAAATTAGCCCAGTGTGGTGTTGCTCACACCTGTAGTCAATACTTTTCTTGTGAAACATTTTGCTTTTAGCTTTCATGCTAGATCAAGTATGTTAATATTTTAAAGGGGTGTAGGAGGAGGGGAGGAAAACTTCGAAGTTAAAGATATATCAATATCTAATATCATAAAAATTCTGGCAGGAGGCCTACTTTGATGTTTTACTTTTTGTTTTTATGTTTTTTTCTAATTTCTTTTGCCCTTTAGTTCCCTCCCTCTTTGGCCCCACCCCTAAAATGAATCCACTGCATTCTAAAGGTTTTGTTTTTCTACCTCAAAGAAGAGGCATAGTACCTGGCAGTTTTGGCAGAGTGTCTAGGAACTTGTTAATCATTGACTCATGGAGAAAGTCACATTTTCTCTCCATTAGAAGTAACATTAGCATAGCACACAAAGCCATATTACCTGAATAATTTTTTTTTTTTTTAGACAGAATCTCATTCTGTTACCCAGGGTGGAGTGCAGTGGTGCGATCTCAGCTCACTGCATTCTCTGCCTCCTGGGTTCAAGCAATTCTTCTGCCTCAGCCTCCCGAGTAGCTGGGATTACAGATGCCTGCCACAGTGCACTAATTTTTGTATTTTTTGTAGAGATGGGGTTTCACCATGTTGGCCAGGCCGATCTTGAACTCCTGGCCTCAAGTGATTCGCCCACCTCGGCCTCCCAAAGTGCTGAGATTACAGGTGTGAGCCACCGCCTCCGGCCATAAATCTTGAAAGAAGAAATAAATACTACCCCCACCTGCATCTACACACACATACCCCAAAGTTTAGAGTCTGCAAGAAATTGTGTGCTTAGAAATCTAAGACTCTGACAACAGTTACAGCAAAGCACATGTGGATCACCTAGAAAAGGGACTAAACCTGGAAGAGCTCAGTATGATAGTTTATGTAAATTGGCAGCAAAAAGAAACGCTTCAGACATTTTAAATAGTTGATTGGAATGGCAAGGCTGATGCTTGGAAAGTCTTAGGCCCATTCTTTGGTGTTTTCATTTCTGTTCTTGCCCTTTTCTACAAGAAAATGAAACTTCGTATTTCTTTTACTCAGAAGTAGTTCCCACTTTCAACTTTGGTATTTTATTCCTCAGTTAGGGTTATTTTCATGTTTGTGTCCGAAACATGCAATTGTGATGCAACTTTAAATAATTGTATTAGAAGAAAATAGTAAGTGTGTAATGGTAACCCTTCTATTCATTCTACGTGGCTTCAGGATTAACAGCAATTTTAAAAAGAATCCTAAAGGAACTCTTTAATTTATTGCAATGTAAAGCTTTTTACTTTTTTAGTTTAGATATTTAGTTTATTTTGCAAGATTTTATCTTAATATGATAATTGATATATGGTAGTATAAGATCAATATTACAAAGAGCATGTGTGCATTCTTCCCCATGCAGCATTCCAGGGAACTAGAAGAGCCTGTAGAAAAGAATGATCACTGTTTTCCTGACAGCCTTTGTAGAGTAAGTCCCTGGCACAGGTCAAGTAAACACCTCTTATAGATCAGCCTGAACTTTTTAAAATGAAATCTGAGATCCATTGTACTTAGAAGGTATAAAAATGGCTACTCCCCTTTAAATTGGAACCTACTACTTGTGTGTATTAGAGGACTCTGAACTGCTGTCAAATTGAATGCAGAAAACGAGGCATCTGCTCAGTGTTGAACATCTGAAGTCCTCGCGTGAGTGCACCTGCGTGCAGATGTCTGCTGGTGTTTATTATGGCTGTGCTCTGTGATTACAGTGCACTGGCAAAGGGCTGTAGTGTACTGAACAATGATGCCTGTTTTTATTAGGGTTCCTGAAGTGGTTCAGGAGCTTCCATTAACTTCGCCTGTGGATGACTTCAGGCAGCCTCGTTACAGCAGCGGTGGTAACTTTGAGACACCTTCAAAAAGAGCACCTGCAAAGGGAAGAGCAGGAAGGTCAAAGAGAACAGAGCAAGATCACTATGAGACAGACTACACAACTGGTGGCGAGTCCTGTGATGAGCTGGAGGAGGACTGGATCAGGTACCGACTCAGCTCTCCTTTCCTGGCCCACGTGCTCCTTCTGATAATTAAAGGAGACCAACCAGGTGTTGGAGTTATTGCCTCCCAAATTGAGGTCACTGGTGTAATTTCATTCTTTGCCAACCAGGACTGGAGACAGTTTTTTGTGTGGTGTTGGCTGGTTTTTTCCTTAGCACCCTTTTGTGACAAAGTTTGAAGTGGAGAGAATGTTTGGCAGTAACCATGTCTTTGAACTTTGGCAGTAACCACTTTGAACTTTCCACAGTGTGGCTGGTGAACTTCACCAGTGCTCTTTCTTATACCAATAGTCACGGAAGAAAGATGTCCTAGCACTTTGGGAGGCTAAGGCTAAGAGTTCAAGACCAGCCAGGCATAGTGGTGTGGGCCTGTAGTTCCAGCTACTCGGGAGGCTGAGG
Organism: Homo sapiens; assembly: GCF_000001405.40. Lineage (NCBI taxonomy): Eukaryota > Metazoa > Chordata > Mammalia > Primates > Hominidae > Homo > Homo sapiens. Next base: position 71,082,360 of record NC_000005.10, on the reverse strand, counting down.
CTGAGGCAGGAGGATTGCTTAAGCCCAGGAGTTCAAGGCTGCAGTGAGCTATAATTGCATCATTGCACCCCAGGCTGGGTGATAGAGCTAGACCCTATCTCAAAAAACAACCAAAGGCCTTTCAAATAAATAAAATCCAGGTATAGAAGAACTTTGTTTTACTAATTATAAAATTCCCAAACCAGTGCTATGGTTTTCCTTTGGCATTACTTTTTTTTTTTGAGACGGAGTCTTGCTCTGTCGCCCAGGCTGGAGTGCAATGGCACGATCTCGGCTCGGTGCAACCTCTGCCTTCCGGGTTCAAGCAATTCCTGCCTCAGCCTACCAAGTAGCTGGGATTACAGGCGCCCACCACCATGCCCGGCTAATTATTGTATTTTTAGTAGAGACGGGTTTCACCATGTTGGCCAGGCTGATCTTGAAAATCCTGACCTCAGATGATCTCCCTGCCTCGGCCTCCCAAAGTGCTGGGATTACAGGAGTGAGCCACCGCGCCTGGCCGGCAATTATTTTTTAAATTAAGCTTAAAATGATAAGACGAGAGTTTCTTTTAAAGTTTAATCCAAAGAGTTCCGTAAACAATTGAGGTAACAATTTAGTGTTCAGCCACAGTTGTGGTTAAGTTTCTTTGTGTTTTGGTGGTTTTGTTACAATCCATCCACCATCACCAAATGTATTTGTGTATGATGTGTAGCCTTCCTATGCCCAAGTATTCTGAGGACTAAGACGCACATCAGAAACATTTGCAATGTGAATGGTAATCAAAACATCGCTTCTCAGAGAGTGAGGAATGATAGGCGGGGCATGGGTAGCTTGAGATCCCCTATTCACTGATGATTCTGATACTTTATCTTCCCCTCTCCCCTCAAGAGTTTTTGGCCTGGCTTAGCCATCTATCTGTAAAATATTCACCTAACTTGTATCACGGAAGATTTAACTGAAAACTTTATATATTTTTTTGAGATAGAGTCTCACGCTGTTGCCCAGGCTGGAGTGCAGTGGCACGATCTTGGCTCACTGCAACCTCCGCCTCCCAGGTTCAAGCAATCCTCCTGCCTCAGCCTCCCGAAGAGCTGGGATTACAGGCATGCGCCACCACACCCGGCTAATTTTTGTAGTTTTAATAGAGACAGGGTTTCACCATGTTGGCTGGGCTGGTCTCAAACTCCTGACCTCAGGTGATCCACCCACCTCGGCCTCCCAAAGTGCTGGGATTACAGGGGTGAGCTACCATGCCCAGCCTGAAAATTTTCAAAATCTGAAATTCTTGTTTCCCTTTTGATCAAATCATTTAAATTTCTCCCCTCTGTAAAATGAAGATGTTAGATTGTTAGATCTAAAATTTGAAATTCCACATCATTGTGAAACTCCAGTCCTGTGAAAGGATTCAGAGTATTTTCTCTATGGATTATGGGTTAATGGCATCGTCTTCCTATGTAAGGAGTGGCTGGTATATTGAGAAATAGGTGTGATACAAAATTTCAGTTTTTCTTCTTTATACTTTAATGAATTGCCAGATTATTTTAACAGTGAGCACATGTTTTTATACATGTACATTTTTAATGTCTATTTTTATTGTGAAAGAAGTAGATAAGCTATTTCCACTTCGGAAAAACAAGAGCAAAAAATAAATAAACCAGTCTGAAAACTATGGGTGGTAGCAGGAAACAGCCACTTCCAGTCAGCTGTGCTGCCACTGTGGTGATCAAAGCGGACTTTGTGTTCCAGAATTCCAGTTTTAAGACTTTAAACAGGCCAGGCATGGTGGCTCACTCCTGTAATCCCAGCACTTTGGGAGGCTGAGGCAGGTGGATCACCTGAGGTCAGGAGTTTGAGACTAGCCTGGCCAACATGGTGAAACCCTGTCTCTACTAAAATACAAAAATTAGCCGGGCGTGGTGGCAGGCACCTGTAATCCCAGCTACTGTGGAGACTGAGGCACGAAAATCGCTTGAACCCGGGAGGTGGAGGTTGCAGTGAGCCGAGATTGTGCCACTGCACTCCATCCTGGGTGACAGAGCAGGCTTTGTCTCAAAAAAAAAAAAAAAGAAAAGAAAAACTTTATAAACATAAGTAGTCCATTATTGATATTGTGTATGGGAAATAAGTGAGTTCCTATGACTTGTACCTTCAATTTTGTAAATGATTTTCAAAATTATTTCTGCAAATTACGTAGGCATAGTTTTTATTTTTTAAAAAATGAGCAGTAATATATAGTCACTCTTAATAGAACTTATTTGTATTCTCTCTCTCTTTCCCCGTAAGAAACAAAAACGAAACAAGAAAATGTCATTCTCCATACCCAACCAGCTTTATTATCTTTGAGGAAGGAGCATTGAATTTTATGTCTGCTAAGGATACATATGTAGTCATTTTCTCTCTCACCTTTTAGGGAATATCCACCTATCACTTCAGATCAACAAAGACAACTGTACAAGAGGAATTTTGACACTGGCCTACAGGAATACAAGAGCTTACAATCAGAACTTGATGAGATCAATAAAGAACTCTCCCGTTTGGATAAAGAATTGGATGACTATAGAGAAGAAAGTGAAGAGTACATGGTAAATTCAACCTGATATTTATATATTAAACAGAATTTGAATCTAATCTGTGGAGGTACAGCATCCTTTATATTAATGTTGATAAAAATGTGCTAGTAGTTATCAAACTGCAGTTTCATTGAAGAATAGTTGAGATTGGGTTTTGGATGAAATTCTTTCCTAATAGAAGATTGTACTAATGTATAATAGTTAATAATTACAAAGCACTATTCTGTTTTTTTTTTTTTTTTTGAGGTGGAGTCTCGTTCTGTTGCCCAGGCTGGAGTGCAGTGGCGTGATCTCAGCTAACTGCAAGCTCTGCCTCCCGGGTTCACGCCATTCTCCTGACTCAGCCTCCCAAGTAGCTGGGATTACAGGTGTCCGCCACCACGCCCGGCTAATTTTTTGTATTTTTTTTTTTTTTAGTAGAGACGGGGTTTCACCATGTTAGCCAGGATGGTCTCGATCTCCTGACCTCGTGATCTGCCCGTCTTAGCCTCCCAAAGTGCTGGGATTACAGGCGTGAGCCACCGCGCCCAGCCCCTACAAAGCACTATTCTATGTACATCTATCCTTTCCTATTTAAAATAAAATAGCCAGGCTGGGCATGGTGGCTCATGGCTATAATCCCCACACTTTGAGAGGCCAAGGCAAGTGGATCACCTGAGGTCAGGAGTTAGAGAATAGCGTGCCTAACATGGTGAAACCCCATCTCTACTAAAAATACAAAAAATAGCAGGGCATGGTGGCAGACACCTGTAATCCCAGCTACTCGGGGAGGCTGAGACAGGAGAATTGCTTGAACCCGGGATGGGGGAGGTTGCAGTGAGCCAAGATTGCGCCATTGCACTCCAGCCTGGGCGACAGAGTGAGACTCCATCTCAAAAATTAATAATAATAATAATAAAATAGCCTTATTATCTTTCCTATTTATAAAGCCATTCATTCTTTCTGTAGAAAAGAACTTAAGCGGCCGGGCACGGTGGCTAATGCCTGTAATCCCAGCACTTTGGGAGGCCGAGGTGGGTGGATCATGAGGTCAGGAGATCGAGACCATCCTGGCTAACACAGTGAAACCCCGTCTCTACTAAAAAAAAAAAAAAAATACAAAAAATTAGCCAGGTATGGTGGCGGGTACTTGTAGTCCCAGCTACTTGGGAGGCTGAGGCAGGAGAATGGTGTGAATCCAGGAGGCGGAGCTTGCAGTGAGCCAAGATCGCGCCACTGCACTCCAGCCTGAGTGACAGAGTGAGACTCCATCTCAAAAAAAAAAAAAAAAAAAAAAAGAACTTAACACAGAACTGTATACAGAAAAAGAAATCATCTTAAATCCTACCATCAAGAAATCCTTATCACCAAAATATTAGTTAAAACAATCTCTCCAAGCAGGAGTCACCAAGGCACATACACCTTTCTTTAAGGAAACATCATCTTCCATGTTTCACTTATTTTCTTCCTGTCTTTTAAATCAACAGTTTATGGGTTTTTTTTTTCCCTCCCTTGATCACCTGGCTGAGATAGAATTTGTCCATGTAAAGTTACTGGATTTTTTTTTCAATCCATCCTTTTCATACTGTATTTTGTATACATACTGAAATTAATGTAGTTACACCACCTTTTAGAGGGAGATTAATCTCTTCTTGTTAATTTGTTCCTTTATTGATCAGTCAATCACTTACGTAAGTATGGACTTTACAGATACCTGTTTTATACTGTGAATTATAATCCAAGGCTGCTTTATTTTGTAGCTCTAATTGTTCTCGCTTTGACCGTTGGGAACTTTCAGTTGCTTCCCGTGTCCCTTTGACATACTCTTATTGTGGGGTTTTATCTTTAAAAAAAAAAACAAACAAAAAAACTTCCTTGCACTGCTTATTTCTGTCTTTTCTTAACAGCAAGTTTTTTTTTTTATATCAATAATAAAGACCTACTTACTTTTAAGTTTTTTATGTGTAAAATTAGGTAAACAACTTTCAAATTTATGGTTGTATCATAATTTAAGAGTCATTTTCTATGGATAGACATTTAAGTATGTCTCCCCCTACTCCAGTAGTACCAGTATATACTGGTGAACCTCTCTGTTTTTGCACTCTTGTCTACTTATCTAATTTTTTTTTTTTTTTTTTTTTTTGAGACGGAGTCTTGCTCTGTCGCCCAGGCTGGAGTGCAGTGGCGCTATCTTGGCTCACTGCAACCTTCGCCTCCTAGGTTCAAGTGATTCTCCCGCCTCAGCCTCCCGAGTAGCTGGGATTACAGGCATGTGGCACCACACCTGACTAATTTTTGTATTTTTAGTAGAGACGGGGTTTTGCCATGTTGGTCAGGCTAGCCTCGAACTCCTGACCTCAGGTGATCTGCCTGCCTCGGCCTCCCAAAGTGCTGGAATTACGTGTGTGAGCCACAGCGCCCAGCCTGCTTATCTAACTAAAACTAATTCCAGAATGTGAAATTGCTGAGAGTCAGAGGGTACGTACCTTTGCAAAGTTGCAAAATTGCCCTCCAGAGAGACTGCACCAACTGTGTCTCCCTCTTGATACAATACAGGACTCATTTGATGCACATCTCATTAAATATTCTGCCATTTTTCAGTTGAGGTGATCTACTTTTTAGTTTTGACGTATTCACATCTTTATATAGTTAGATTTATGTATTTCTTTTATGGTTTCTATAGGGTGTTATAGATCTTTCTTAATTTAGTGAACATTTATTGATCACTTATTTTTCTTTGATGATGTGGAAATGCTGGAGCTAGAGACATAAAATCTTGTCCCCACCCTAAAAGAGCTTATATTTTAAGAAAAAAAACCTGACATCTAAACAATTTAGACAGTATGATTAATGCTGTATTTGCATCATGTGTAGAAAGCACTATAACTAACTGCTCATAGAAGAAATAAAGTCTTTGGAGGCTTCACAGTGAGGGAATCGTTAAGAGCTTTCCAGACAGAAGGGTGCGGGGAGGTGCATGATTACAGCCATAAGGAAAACATGATTGAAATCCTGAAGCATTTAACATGTCTCAGTTTTTAAAGGAGTTGCTGATGATGGGTACTGAGACTGGAAAGGTAGGAAACTGGATGAGGGGAGAAGTTAATGGGAAGCTCAGACCAGTTGTGTAGTGGGATATTACCTGATCAGCGAGCGCTCTGTGTTATAAAAGATCTTCCTGGTGTCAGTGTAGCATGGGGACTGGCATGAGGAGAGATGAGAAGTAGCAGAACAGATAGTTACCTGCCTATGTGAGTGAAATGTGAAAGATACAGTATCATAAATGTCTCTTCACTGAATTCCTTCAGACCTTCCTGCTGATCATGAGTTTTAAGAGCTTTACGACTTCATTCTTTTAATTGCTTATATTTTTGTCATAAGCTGTCATTTTTAGCTCCAAAGTATAACATCAGGAATGTTACTTTTAAAAGAGAAAATGCCCCAGTAAACATATTCCTTTGTGTCTGTCGTTAATAGGCTGCTGCTGATGAATACAATAGACTGAAGCAAGTGAAGGGAGTAAGTATCCGAGATTGTTCTTTTAGGAAGAACTTTCTTTCTTCTTCTTTTTATTTTAATTCCCATACCTACTCATCTGGAGGAAGAGCTTTTCTATTACATGTTTTTCATTTTTTATTTTATATATTTTTTAAAAGTTGAAGTATACATACAGAAAAGTGTATAAATCAAAGTGTATAACATGGTGAATTTTCACAATGTGACCACATACCTGCGTATGCAGATCAAGAAATATATTTCCCAGTACCTCCCCACCCCCAGCACCCCCACCCTCACTTGTACTACTTTCCAGTGTTTACACTCTCTCCAGAGGGGTCCATCATGCTCACTTCTAACATCATAGAGTTTTGTCTATCTTGCACATTACATAAATGGAACCACACAGTATGTATTTTGTGTGTGATTTCTTTTGCTCAGTATAGTGTTTGTAAGGGTCCATTTGTAGTTCATTACTATTATTTTTTTTAGACGGAGTCTTGCTCTGTTGCCCAGGATGGAGTGCAGTGGCGCAGTCTCAGCTCACTGCAACTTCCGCCTCCCAGGTTCAAGCAATTCTCCTGCCTCAGCCTAGCTGGGATTGCAAGCACGCACCACCATGCCTGGCTAATTTTTGTATTTTTAGTAAAGACATGGTTTCACCACATTGGCCAGGCTGGTCTTGAACTCCCAACCTCAGGTGATCCCCCTGCCTTGGCCTCACAAAGTGCTGGGATTACATGCATGAGCCACCATGCCCGGCCATGGTTCATTAATTTTTTTTTTTTTCCTGAGACAGTGTCTCGCTCTGTCGCCCAGGCTGGAGTGCAGTGGCACAATCTCGGCTCACTGCAACCTCTGCCTCCTGGGTTCAAGCAATTCTCCTGCCTCAGCCTCCCGAGCCACTGGGATTACAGGCAAGCACCACCACACCTGGCTAATTTTCCTATTTTTAGTAGAGATGGGGTTTTACCATGTTGGCCAGGCAGGTCTCAAATTCCTGGCCTCAAGTGATCCACCTGCCTCGGCCTCCGAAAGTGCTGGGATTACAGGCGTGAGCCACCACGCCTGGCCGGTTGATTAATTTTTATTGCTTTGTAGTGTTGTATATAAAATGCAACTTTATTCATCCATTCTATTGTCAATGAACGTTTGGGTTGTTCCCAATTTTTGGCATTTAAAAATATTGCAGCTTCATACATATTTGTAAATGTTTGAGCGTAGAAGTGATGGGCATTTGTCTATCCAGCCTTAGTAGATACTGTCAAATGGCCTTCCAAAGTACTTGTACCAGTTTACATTCCCACCAACCACTACAGACTCCTGTTGCCCTATATCCTTGCTAACACTTGGCATGACAGTCATTATTGACTTAAAACATTAAAAAAAAATTATATTAAAATTTTTGTAAATTACTTATCCAGGTGCTGTGGTTACATGCCTGTAGTCCTAGCTACTAGGGAGACTGAGGCAAAAGGATCCCTTGAACCCAGGAGTTCAAAGCTGCAGGGAGCTATAATTGTACCACTTCACTCCAGCCTGGGCAATAGGATGAGACCCTTTCTAAAATAAGAAAAAAAAATTATAAATTACAGGCATCATGATTTGAAATAAGAGTTTAAAGGGTATACAGTAAAATTTCCCATCTCTCTTATCCCCTATTCAGCTTCCCTTTCCCCAGTCAAATGAGATCACCAGTCTCTTGTTTTACTTACAGTTTTAGATGATGTGTTAGCAAAAAGGCTGGTAAGTTTTCTTGGTCATTTTACAGATTTTTAGAAATGAGGGTATCCTTTGGAAAAACCCAGGTTAGAAGACAGAACTGAGCAAATAGAATCAGCTGCCTGTGTGGTTAGTGATACTGCCAGGCACCTTGCGTATTTTACTTCAATTAACACTCCCAGCAATTCTCTTGACTAAATATTCCATTTCTGTGTTCAATTCTGCCTTCCCAGCAGACCTGTTTTCATTTTGTTGAATTTATGTGATTCATTTTCTCCCTTTTTAGTCTGCAGATTACAAAAGTAAGAAGAATCATTGCAAGCAGTTAAACAGCAAATTGTCACACATCAAGAAGATGGTTGGAGACTATGATAGACAGAAAACATAGAAGGCTGATGCCAAGTTGTTTGAGAAATTAAGTATCTGACATCTCTGCAATCTTCTCAGAAGGCAAATGACTTTGGACCATAACCCCGGAAGCCAAACCTCTGTGAGCATCACAGTTTTGGTTGCTTTAATATCATCAGTATTGAAGCATTTTATAAATCGCTTTTGATAATCAACTGGGCTGAACACTCCAATTAAGGATTTTATGCTTTAAACATTGGTTCTTGTATTAAGAATGAAATACTGTTTGAGGTTTTTAAGCCTTAAAGGAAGGTTCTGGTGTGAACTAAACTTTCACACCCCAGACGATGTCTTCATACCTACATGTATTTGTTTGCATAGGTGATCTCATTTAATCCTCTCAACCACCTTTCAGATAACTGTTATTTATAATCACTTTTTTCCACATAAGGAAACTGGGTTCCTGCAATGAAGTCTCTGAAGTGAAACTGCTTGTTTCCTAGCACACACTTTTGGTTAAGTCTGTTTTATGACTTCATTAATAATAAATTCCCTGGCCTTTCATATTTTAGCTACTATATATGTGATGATCTACCAGCCTCCCTATTTTTTTTCTGTTATATAAATGGTTAAAAGAGGTTTTTCTTAAATAATAAAGATCATGTAAAAGTAACAAATGTGTGAAATTTAAAGATTGTAAATATATATTTACTTTTTTAAGATCAAAGTTTAAACCCGGTGGTTAGAATTTTGTGTGTTTTTAAATACTTTTTATCTTTTTGCATGCCTTTTTTTAAAAACCAACTAGAACTTTTCATTATATCAGAATATCTGATTACATTTATAATTCAATTGTGACTTGAACTGTATCTTACAGGAATGTTCAATTTCTATACATATTTTATAAGGTATTAAACCTGGTGTTTTCTTTCCATAATAACCTGTTTGATGTTATTAGTGCTGTTAACACACAGCAATGGAAAACCACACTCAGGAGTTGTATCTGTTGTTGTTTATACTCCTTTGGATGCTGTGCTGGTTAGTCGTTTCCCATTCCTTTGGCTGTAAGAATGCTGATATGTCTGGGAATAGAATGCTATACCACGAAATACCAAATAATTTCAAATGGTGCCCTTAAATTGTATCACTTTTTTAAAAATTCAGATTCTTATTAGTAAAATTACTTGATAGCACTGTGCTGACCAAGTTGATTGTGATCATCCCAGCTTAGACTTTTCTAAAAACTTTTTTTTAGAATAATCTATAAACTGAACTTTAGTATGCATTTCAGATATTTAGGTATATAATTTTTTTTTTTTTTTGAGACAGAGTCTCACTCTCACCCAGGCTGGAATGCAGTGGCGCTATCTTGGCTCACTGCAACCTCCACCTCCCGGGTTCAAGCAATTCTCCTGCCTCAGCCTCTCGAGTAGTTGAGACTACAGGTACCCATCACCATGCCTGGCTAATTTTTGTATTTTTAATAGAGACGGGGTTTTACCATATTGGCCAGGTTGGTCTTGAACTCCTGACCTTGTGGTCTGCCTGCCTCGGCCTCCCAAAGTGCTGGGATTACAGGCGTGAGCCACCATGCCTGGCCTAAGTGTGTGTGTGTGTGTGTGTATTTTTTTTTTTTTTTTTTTTTTTTGAGATGGAGTTTTGCTCTTGTTGAACAGGCTGGAGTGCAATGTCGCGATCTCAGCTCACCACAACCTCCGCCTCCCAGGTTCAAACAATTCTCCTGCCTCGGCCTCCCGAGTAGCTGGGATTACAGGCATGCGCCACCACACCTGGCTAATTTTTTTTTGTATTTTTAGTAGAGATGGGGTTTCTCCACGTTGGTCAGGCTGGTCTCGAACTCCTGACCTCAGGTGATCCATCCACCTCGGCCTCCCAAAGTGCTGGGATTAGAGGCGTGAGCCACTGCGCCCGGCCTATAATTTTTGATAGATGATTTTGGATTATTTTCCAGAGATAAAATTTTAAATGTTTCCATTATATCACTGATTTATTTCTGCAAATTGAATAAATTCTTAATTTTCTGCATGCACATAATACAAAAGGTATTTTCATAGTTTTGGATTTATACCAAATGAAAAGGACTCTCTTGATGAGCACCTTTAACTGATTTTTCTGTTAAAGTTTTAACAATTTGTTCTTGGAAGTCAGTTCGTGAAGGCAAGTTTGTCAGTATTTTCACAAAACTATTCAGCTGAATCCAGAAAGTGAAACAGCAAGAATTTGCATTGTAAAATTGTGTTATAAAATTGGACTTTGAAATTTCAAAAATAAGAAAAATTTTCATGTGTATTTATACTAAATACCGTTTTAGGAAACTAGGATCAGGGTGTTTCTGTTGGCGTTGGCATTAACTAGCTGGATGTAAATTTGAAAAGCCACTCAAGCAGCTTCCTAGTCTAGAAAGTCAGAGGTTTAGATTAGATTTCCGACATCCCTTCCATTTCTGACCTGTAGTTCTTGTCTGGAATTCTGCTTTGTTATAAACTATTGTTCTAAGGAGTTTGTTGTGATAGCACATAGTTCATTTTGTAAAGATTCCCTGCGTATAAAGTGATGCCCTACATATGTGATTTTGTATTAAAAGTATATAGGATCATTATTTTATTTTGAAAAATTTAAATACAGAAAAGTATAAAATATAAGTACCATCCGCCCAGAAATAACATGTGTTAATGTTTTGTCATATGTGCTTTATATTTTTTGAAATAAAGTGAAGTCAACTAGTATTTATAGTAAATAAGTTACATACACATAAGTACATATATGATATTTAATCCTCACAACGATCTTTTGACATGTGACCATTTCTTATTCTTCTTTTATAGACAAGGAACTAATGATATGATAGATTAACTGGCTGTTGTCACACTAGCAAGTGGCAAAACAAGGGATTAGGATCTTAGTCTCTTCAACTGTTAGATTCTATACTTCCATCCTGTGTTGACTTTGTTAATGGATTGGATAATGTGAGATCACTCTGATGTAAATAAAGTATCCTATATTAATTTCGAGTGCATTTTAAGTACTTGTAACATAAATGCTTCCTGTGAAATATCTGTAAAGACCTGAATGGGTACATGTGTGTAAAGAAGAATCAGGGCAGAAAAGTGCTTTTATCATGGCTCCGGGGACCTTAGCTTCAGTTGGTGTTGTGAGAATTCCTCACACAAGGACATTCTCCTTGCTTCAGCATCAGGATGGAAGTGTTTCTCATCTGGACTTTTTCAAAGACTCAGCTGGAGGAATCAGAATTCATAATTTCCTGGCAGCTCATGATTCTGCTACACTACACCATGCCATCTCTTGTGTGAAAGGACAGATTTGATGGAGGACTATGTCATCCCTCATGCGTTTCTTATTGTCTACATTTATTCTAATGGGAAGAAGTGAGCAAAAACACCACAATAATTTGGGTAGTTTTTAGAAAACCTTGTTAGTAAATTAGAATAGTGCCACTTTGGCATTATGAGAAAGAAGCATGGATACATAACTAGGGTTTTGTGTATGACTACAACGAAATGCAGAATGGTGTCTCCAAAAGGTTTCCAGTTGCTGCCACAAGAACTGCTTGGTATTGCCTACATGTGTTGTCCTATTTTTGCTTTGCCCTTCTGCAGTTACTTGCTGTGGGACCTTGGAGAAATTAACTTAGCCTCTCTGTACTTCAGTTTTTTGTATTTGTAAAAATATATTTGTAATAATCTCATAGTTAAGAAGGTAGTTAATGTGTGACTCAGTCCTTGTCTAAAAGTAAATATGCCTAGCTACCCCCATCTTCCAAAGCCAGAAGGTGAAACTTTAACAAGTTTTCTAAAAGCAAATTGTGTTTTTTAAAAGTGCATGTGTCATCCAATCCCATATGATTGATCTGTGCTGGGTGCAGCCTTAGAATGTAAATTCTTTTGAATTCTAGGCAGAGAATGCAGGATTGGCATTCTAAATATTTGTACATGATAAACAAATGCTTCTTTAGGTTACAGCAAATAGTTTACTTATCAAGATCACGATTGTTAGATACTGTTGTCAATTACAGAGGTTTTAGATGAGGCTTTCTGGAATGATTTAGTTTCCCTGTAAGGGAGCCTGTCTATTGGAATAGACAGGTTCACTTCTCCCAGTCTTTCAAGTTGCATGCTTTTTATATCTGATTCCACTGGCTGAGCTGATTGTGAATGTCCTAACCCTGTTGATTGTGTCTGGCCACTCATGGGCAAAGAACAGATTATCCATTCTTTATAGTTGTCTTTTAGTTTTACAAGTTGAAAAAACATCTGAGTAGGTTAGATAATTTATTCTACCACTTTGTAAATGATTAGAATATGTCAGTCATAATCATGCCAAGAGATTATGGATTTATGCATATTTTGTTTTGCTGTAGTACCATTCCTAGTTGAATCTTAACATCCATGTCTAAAATCTATACAGAGCAAATATTACAGTTGGGAAAACTGTTTCAGTCTCCTCTCTTCGCAAATATGCTTTATATTTATTGGGGAGTCCTCTATCTTTTTCCTGGTTTTCCTTAAAGCCTTCCCAGGCTGATGGATAACAAACATATGCAAGAAACTTGGGGCTTGGGATTCCTCTAGGCTGTTTGTCCTAGAGGAATGCATCCCGTCTTGCAAATAGGATGGTCAATTAAGATGGAAGGAAGCAAAAGTGTGGATAGGAAGGAAGGGCACAAAAGGAAAAGTGTGGAATTTGTGTGTGAGTCCTCTAATGAGGTCAAAGGTGGGAGGGAGGCAAGCATGGAAGCTTCCTGGCACTGCGATACTAATTTCCCCTCCTCTCCCTTTTAAAATCCTGTCTTCTGGGAGGAAATGAGACTGATTATGGAGTTCCCACTAAGCCCTGCAGGGTTGGTGGAGACAACCCCATTTTACACATTAGTTCATAGACTTGGGTTGTGACTTGCTTGAGGTCACCCAGCCAGTGTGTCAGAGCCTGATTTTAAATCCAGGGCTGTTCTTTCCACTGCTATGCAAGATACCTTCTGTTTATATTTTTGAGGGAGACAACAGAGATGGGAAAAATTTTTAACAATAAAATAAAGGCAATGGAGGGGATGAGTATGCTGATGGGGAAGGAAAGAGGCCCTAGCTTCTGCAGTTCCTTTGTGTTATTCCTAACCCTTTTCTCATCTGGGGGTGCACTGCCTCTCCATTTCTCAAGTATGGGAAATGCCAGTAATTCCACTTGTGTTAATTGGCAGTCAGACAACTTGTCCAAAACTGAATTGATCTTACCCACCCCGCCAACATTTTAATAATTGCAACCCCAACCTTTCAGTTGCTCAGCTAAAGACTATGGAGGTATCCTTGATTCTTTTCTCATAACACACATCCAGTGTATTGGTAAGATTTAGAATTCAGTCACTTCTCACCAGCTGCTGGTCCAAGCCATCACAATTCCCCCAAAGTTCTTAACAGTGCTCACAGCCTCTCCTCCCCACCTTACCCTTCTGATTGCAGCTGCCACCACTCATCCCCTGCTCACTCCTGCAGTCGTCAAAGACCCCAATGCACTTCTACCTCAGGGCCTTTGCACTTGCAGCTCTCTTTGTCTGAAGAGCTTTTCCCCTAGGTATCAGTAGGGTTAACACCCTTCCTCATTCAGGTCATGGCTTAACTGTCTTCCCAGCGAGGACTCCTCTGGCCACCCTATTTTATTTTTTGAGATGAAGTCTCTGTCACCCAGGCTGGAGTGCAAGGTTGGCTCACTGCAACCTGTGCCTCCTGGATTCAAGCGATTCTCCTGCCTCAGCCTCCCGAGTAGCTGGGATTACAGGCGCCTGCCAGCACGCCCGGCTAATGTTTTTGTATTTTTAGTAGAGACGGAATTCACTATGTTGGCCAGGCTGGTCTCGAACTCCTGCCCTCCGATGATCCACCCCCGCTCGGCCTCCCAAATCACCATGCCTGGGATTACAGGTGTGAACCATCGCACCCGGCCTGGCCACCCTATTTTAAACTGCAAACTTTTCCCCTTCAGTGCTTAGTTTTTCTCCACAGCATTATCACCATTTCATATAGTATATGTTTTTCTTCATACTGACTCCCCTTGGAGAAGGAAAACTCCACGAGAGCAAGGATTTTTGACAGTTTTTCATTGTTATTTCTTCAGTGCTTAGACATGCATCAGGCTCAAAGTAGATGCTCAATGTTTGTTGAATGAACAGCAAGAGCAATGGAGGAGTCCTGAAATACACAGCAAGAAGCAAGGATAATTCTGGCTTTACTTCTGTGGCCAGGGTCCTTCATCCCAACCTTTTAGAAGTAGAAAAACCAGATCGAGCTCCTCAGAACCCAGGTCGATGGCTGCAGAGCCTTCGACCTTCCGAGAGCGAATGGCGATCACTCTTTCCGGTTCTCTGTGAATTCCAGCTGGAACACCGTCCCTTTCCGCGCCCCAACTCAGCGGAGGCCATGCCCTGCACCTGAGCGCCCCGCTCCGGCAGCTGCACTCTGCAGCATCCGGAACGTTTCGGCGTGGCCGCAGGGCGCGGCGGAATGACTTCCGGGGCGCCCCTAAAGCGGCGGAGAGGAGTGTCGGGCGGAGTTTCCGGCTGAGAGTCCTTCTAGCGGCGCCGGTGAGTCCGCGTGTGGAAGTCTGTGAGGCGCAGAGGTGGGGCAGGCCGTCTGGCTAGCTAGGCGGCTGGGAGCGTTTTCGTGGCGGGGAACGGAGGTTGAATTGCCCTGCCTGGGCTCATAGGGAAGGAGGATGTGAAGGAGCTTGTGAAGGCAGAGGAAGGTAACTTTCGTCTGGGGAGCCGCAGAGTAGGGAGGGAAGCTGCAGGCCGTCTCTCCCTAAGTAAAAGCGCGACTTTTAGAAATGATGGTTCAGGGTTCGAGTTTGTGACCCGCTTGAGAAAGTGACCAACCTCTGAGCCTGAATCCCATACCTGAAAAACAAGGACAGTAATCACCCTTGCCAGTTTCACATAGCTTGGTAAGGTGTGAAGAAAAGCTTCTTAAATTGGGATGTTTGGTGCTCTCATTTGTTGGCAGATAGCATTCCGAGCTCATGTAACGGGAATCACACCAGTAGGCTTATGCTGAGGAACGTGGATTGTTTGGGGTTGGATTCCAGGAAACAGATCACTTAAAAATTTTTTTTTTTCTTCGAGACGGAGTCTCGCCCTGTCGCCAGGCTGGAGCGCAGCGGCGCGATCTCGGCTCACTGCAACCTCCACCTCCCGGGTTCAAGCGATTCTCCTTCCTCAGCCTCCCGAGTAGCTGGAACTACAGGCGCGTGCCACCACGCCCAGCTAATTTTTGTATTTTCAGTAGAGACGGGGTTTCACCATGTTGGCTAGGATGGTCTTGATTTCTTGACCCCGTGATCCTCCCGCCTCGGCCTCCCACAGTGCTGGGATTACAGGTGTGAGCCACCCACCTGGCCTCGCTGATATTTTTAAGAAGAAAATGGACTGACGGGAAGTGACAGGCCATTGGAGATCTTTACAAAGTCCATCTTCAGGATGCATGAATCCTTTAAACAGCATGCATGTTTACAATCAGACTTCCCATTGAACGTCTGCAGTTTTAGGGACCTTAATACCTCCTGTCCAGTCGGATTTCCCGTTGCAGGCAGCTCTAATTAAGAAGTCCTTTTAGCCGGGCGTGGTGACTCATGCCTGTAATCCCAACACTTTGGAGGACCGAGGTGGGCGGACCAGTTGTGGTCAGGAATTCGAGACCAGGCCTGGCCAACAGGCTGGTGAAACCCCGTCTCTACTAAAAATAAAAAGGTTAGCTGTGGTGGCGTGTGCCTTAATCTCAGCTATTCGGGAGACAGAAGAGACAGTAGAATCGCTTGAACCCTGGAGGCGGAGGTTGCAGTGAGCCGAGATTGCGTCACTGCACTCCAAGCTTGGGCGACAGAGCAAGACTCTTGTCTCAAAAAAAAAAGAAAAAAAAGAATTCCTTTGATATGGTCAGCCAAAAGTCTCTCAGTTGCTATTTACTTTTATATTTATAATATTTATTATATATTTGTAATTATTTTATTTATTTTGAGATAGGGTCTCACTCTGTCACCCAGTCTGTAGTGCAGTAGTGAACATAGTAGCCTCGACTCTCCTGGGCTCAAGTCATCCTCCCACTTTTGCTTCCCAAGTAGCTGGGACTCAAGTACTCGCCACCTCGCCCAGCTAATTTTTTGATGTTTTGTAGAGACAAGGTTATTGCCCAGGCTGATCTGAGCGCCTGAACTCAAGCAATCCTTTTGCCTTGGCCTCTCAAAGTGCTGGGATTACAGGTTTGAGCCACTGTGTGCCCTGCCAAGAATTTGAGTTTAAAAACGTTGAGAACGTTATGCGAGTTTTTCATTTTTAAAGTTCACAATACGTAACAGAAAACAGGGAGGAGCAAAATGTTCAGTTGAGGCTGGGTGTGGTGACTCACGCCTGTAATCCCAGCACTTTGGGAGGCCGAGGTGAGTGGGTCACCTGAGGTCAGGAGTTCGAGACCAGCCTGGCCACCATGGCAAAACCCCATTTCTACTAAAAACACAAAAGTTAGCCAGGTGTGGTGGCGGGCTCTTGTAATCCCAGCTACTCGGGAGGCTGAGGCAGGAGGATCACTTGAACTCGGAGGCGGAGGTTGCAGTGAGCCGAGATCGCGCCATTGCACTCCAGCCTGGGTGGTGAGTGAAACTCCGTCTTAAAACAAAAAAAGAAACAAAAATATTCTGTTTACAGGCAGATCACTTGAGGTCAGGAGTTTGAGATCAGCCTGGCAAGTCAGGTGAAACCCTGGCTCTACAAAAATATAAAACATGGCAAAACCCTGACTGTACTAAAAATACAAAAATTAGCTGGGCATGGTGGCACGCGCCTGCAATCCCAGCTCCTTGGGAGGCTGAGACAGGAGAATCACTTGAACCCGGGAGGTGGAGGTTGCAGTGAGCCACGAGGTGGTGGAGTTGGGAGGGAGATTGCATTGGGGAGGATGGAGGTGTGATGAGGACATTTATTTGTGCATGAATGAATGAATGACAGAGTCTCGCTCTCTCACCCAGGCTGGAGTGCAGTGGCACAACCTTGGCTCGCTCCAGTGTCTACCTGCCAGGTTCAAGTGATTCTCCTGCCTCAGCCTCCCGAGTAGCTGGGATTACAGGTGTGCACCACTAGGCCCTGCTGATTTTTGTATTTCTAGTGGAGACGGCATTTCACTATGTTGGCCAGCCTGGTCTTGAACTCCTGACCTGAAATGATCTGCTGGCCTCGGCCTCCCAAAGTGCTGGGATTACAGGATGAGCCACCGTGCCCGTTTCTCTCTCTCTCTTTCTTTCCTTTCTTTTCTTTCTTTTTTGAGGCAGGGTCTCATTCTGTTGCCCAGGCTGGAGTGCAGTGACCTGATCTCGGCTCACTGCAGCCTCCGTGCCTCCTGGGTTCAAGCAGTCCTCTTGTCTCAGCCTCCCCAGTAGCTGGGATTACAGGGGCCCGCTCCCACCAACCTCCTAGCTAATTTTCAAACTCCTGACCTCAAGTGATCACCTGCCTTAGTCTCCCAAAGTGCTAGAATTACAGATGTCAGCCATCATACCTGGCCTGGTTTTTTTTTTTTTTTTTTTTTGAGACGGAGTCTTGCTCTGTCACCCAGGCTGGAGTGAAGTGGCGTGACCTTGGCTCATTGCAGCTTCTGCCCTCCAGGTTCAAGGAATTCTCCTGCCTCAGCCTCCCTAGTAGCTGGGATTACAGGCACCTGCCACCATGCCCAACTAATTTATGTATTTTTAGTAGAGACGGGTGTTGCCATGTTGGCCTGACTGGTCTCGAACTCCTGACCTCAGGTGATCCGCACCTTGTCCTCTCAAAAGTGCAGGGATTACAGGGATGGAGCCGCTGCACCTGGCCCTGGCCTGTGTTTGTTTGTTTTGTTTTGTTTTCAACTTTTATTTTCACGGAGTACGTGTGCATGTTGGTTACATGGATAAATTGCTTGTTGTTGAGGTTTGGTATACAAATGATCCCGTCACCCTGGTAGTAAACATAGTACCTGATAGGCAGTTTTTCAACCCTCACTCTCTCCCATCCTTCCCTGTCTAATAGTCTCCAATGTCTGTTGTTCTCATCGTTATGTCCACGTGTACTCAGTGTTTAGTTTCCACTCGTAAATGAGAACATGCCGTCTTTGGTTTTCTGTTGCTGTTTTTTTTTAGGCCAGAGTGCAGTGGCACGATCTCGGCTCACTGCAACCTCTCTGCCTTCCGGGTTCAAGCAATTCTCCTGCCTCAGCCTCCTGAGTAGATGGGATTACAGGTGCTCGCCACCACATCTGGCTAATTTTTTTCTATTTTTAGTAGAGACAGGGTTTCACCATGTTGGCCAGGCTGGTTTCAAACTCCTGACCTCAGGTGATCCACTTGCCTTGGCCTCCCAAGTGCTAGGATTACAGGCGTGAGCCATTGCGTTGGGCCTCTGTTCGTGTTAATTCAATGAGGATAATGGCCTCCAGCTGTATCCATGTTGCTGCAAAAGACAGGATTTCATTGTGTTTTTTTTTCGTTGTTTTTTTGGCTGCTAGTATTCCATGATATATTACGTACCACATTTTCTTTATCCAGTCCACCATTTATGAGCATCTAAGTTGATTTGATGTCTTTGCTATTTTGGATAGTGCTGTGATTAATATGAGTGCTCTTGTACTTTTGGTAGAATGGTTTTATTTTCCTTTGGGTTTATACCCAGTATTGGGATTGTTGGATCGACATACATGTGTCCAATAAATATATGAAAAAATGTTCAACATCACTGATCATTAGAGAAATGCAAACCAAAACCACAATGTAAATCAAAACCACAAACCCATCTCACCACCAGTTAGAATGGATATTATTAAAAAGTCAAAAAATAACAGATGTTGGCAAGGTTGTGAAGAAAAGGGAATGCTTATCCACTGTTGGTAGGAATGTAAATTAGTTCAGCCACTATGGAAAGCAGTTTGGAGATGTCTCAAAGAACTATGTTTAATTTTGTGTCCTTTTTTTTTGAATTATGAGCTATAGCATTTACCCATTTATAAATAATAAATGTGATTTAAAAACTTTTGATTATGAGAAAACTGAGACATACACAGAGAGATAGTACAATGAATCACATGTCACTCAGCTATAATAGTTCAACTACGCCCATACTGACTCCTCACAAGTCTACAGTTTGTCATGTGACACATCTATAAAGCATTTTTGTTCTTTTACAAATCGTAAAAAGACGCTTATTTTTATTGGTACCAAGTTTGTGTATAAGTTCATATTATTTCTTGGAAATGAGAAATGGAGTTCTATGAAGATTTTTAAGACAATTATTGAGTAAAATACAAAGAATAAGATGACCTGGCATTCCATTTTTTTTTACTTCATATATGTGTCTAATTTTCAAATTTAATTGGATGAATTTTGTAACAAACATCTTTAGATAACTTACATTCTAATGGTTTTTACAGATTATTGAATAATAAAATACAGTTTTGAAAAAAATGGATGAAGAACCTGAAAGAACTAAGCGATGGGAAGGAGGCTATGAAAGAACATGGTAAGGAGAGCTTTATTGCCCTGTCTTTTCTTTTAGACAATGTCTTTTTTTTTCTTTACAACTTTATTAAAGTATATTTTACATATGTTAAAATTCACCCATTTCCAATGTACAATTCAGTGATGTTTTATTAATAATTTACTGAGCTGTGCAGCCATTATCATAAACCAGTTTTAGAATATTGTAACCACTCCAGTAAGATCCTTCACATTCATTTACAATTAATTTAAATCTTAATTTAATTCCACCTGTGGGCAATCATTAGTCTACTTTTTGTCTCCAAATTTTAACCTTTTCTGGACATTTCACAAAAATGTGATCATATACAATCATGTGCCACATAATGATGTTTTGGTCAAAGACAGACTGCATATATGACAATGGTCCCATAATATTATAATACTGTATTTTTACTCTACCTTTTCTATGTATGTTTAGATATACAAATACTGACCATTGTGTTACAGTTGTCTTAAGATATTCAGTATAGTAACGTGCTGTACAGGTTTGTAACCTAGGCGTGGGATAGGCTATACCATCTAGGTTTGTGTAAGTATACCCTGTGATATTCACACAATAATGAAATTGCCTAACAATGCATTTCTCAGAATGTATCCCTGTCAGTAAGCGATGCATGACTATAATAGTTGGTCTGTTGTGGCTGGCTTTCACTTATTTTTAAGACTCATCCATGATGCAGTGTGTATTAATACTTCATTCCTTTTTTATTGCTGAATAGTATTCCCATCTATGGTTATGCCACATTATTGTTTATCCATTCACTAGTCTGTGGATATTTAGGTTCTTTACAGTTTTTGACTGTTAGGAAAATGCAGCCATGAACACTTACATGCAAATCTTTGTGTGGACATATATTTTCATTTCATTTGGGCTAGTAATCATTTTAGCTTGTCTTTTCAAACAAATAATTATGACTTATAGGGAGATTCTTAAAGAAGATGAATCTGGATCACTTAAAGCTACAATAGAAGACATTCTATTCAAGGCAAAGAGAAAAAGGTATGTAACCTTCCTATGTATCTTAAAAAGGTAAAATATATTCATTTTAAGCCTTTCTATCTATAAATACTCCTCAGTACTTCATTTTAGCTGTGTTTCAGGGTAACTGACCTATTGCCTTCTGACTATGGGGAAAGAACTAGCCACCTACCCTTGCCCCAGCAGGAAATGGTCTTTAGAGACTGTCTACAATACCTATAATTGTGTGTATTGTATTCCATAAGTTAATTATTTACTCCACTAAAAATGCACGTTATGACATTCTTACTCAGAATTAGAAAAAAAGAAAAACAAAGGAGGTCAATTGGAAAGTTGTATTTTTTTTGTGGGGGGGGATAGTATATGGAATTACATTAAAATGTTTGTATAATTTTAACAGAGTATTTGAGCACCATGGACAAGTTCGACTTGGAATGGTATGTCATTATTTTTTCTTTTACTAGTACAGAACTAGTTTAGGTTAGAGAAACATTCTGTCTTGCTAGAAAAAACAATAGCAAAACAACAAAGTTTTTAAAAGAATATGTTAAAAATACGTGCATAGAATATGTAATTATTAAATGCCATTTTTACTAGTCAAAATGGCACTTGAGGCTGGGCACAGTGGCTCATGCCTATAATCCCAGCACTTTGGGAGGCCAAGGCAGGAGGATTGCTTGAGCCCAGGAGTTTGAGACCAACCTGGGCAACAGAACGAGACCCAGTTTCTACAAAACAAAACAAGTACTTGAAATTGGCCCTTTCTTTTTTCCGATAGATGCGCCACCTTTATGTGGTAGTAGATGGATCAAGAACAATGGAAGACCAAGATTTAAAGCCTAATAGACTGACGTGTACTTTAAAGGTAAAATTTAAGTTTATACTAAATCATTTAAATTTGTACCAAAATCACTTAAACTTTTACTAAAAAAGTGGGGAAGAACACTGGATTCTAAAGGATATTTTTAAAGAATGCAATATTTTTTATTTTTTGCCTTGTATTTTTAGTTAATGCTAATGATAGCTAAGTAGAAGTACTGCCAGGTTATTTAGGGAAATTTTAAACCAACATAGCTAATTATTTGTGTTTTTAATTTCTATCCTCCCACCCCACATCAGGATCTTGGTTTATCAGTTATCCCTTTTCTTTCTTGAATCTTCATTCTCCTTTGCCTTACTTAACTCTGTCTCCTCAGATTACAAATATGTTCGTATTCCTAATTTATCAAAACCTATTCTCAATTCTGCTCGTTCTCCCATCTCTCTTCATTGGATCTTTTCCTCATTGAAATTTCTTCTGACACATCCAAATGGTTCCATCTTTTAAAACCTAGCTCAAACCTATCTCATCACCCACCATTTCAAATTAACGTTTTTACTGTTTAATATTTTTATTACTTAACAGTTTTTGAAAATCTGTAAGTTTAAAAGTCATGAGAAGTGATGCTTGATTAACAGGTTTCACAAACATCAGTTGGACGTGTTCTTTATGATTGTTATTTTGCCTTTATCTAGTATGTCTTTTTTTGTTTAAACAGTTGTTGGAATACTTT
Source organism: Homo sapiens (assembly GCF_000001405.40). Classification (NCBI taxonomy): domain Eukaryota; kingdom Metazoa; phylum Chordata; class Mammalia; order Primates; family Hominidae; genus Homo; species Homo sapiens. The sequence goes on along the minus strand of NC_000005.10, from coordinate 71,060,155 downwards.
GTAGAGGAATATTTTGATCAAAATCCTATTAGTCAGGTACGTATCTAAGTGATAGAATTCAGAATTAGATTCCTATTTTGCTTCCAAATGTAATTTATTTTTAAAAATTGGACATGTATTTTGTGAATTACCCAAATTGTTTAACCAGTTTCTGGTATACTTAAAAATGAAAAGCGTAATAACTCTAAAAGTTAAACGTAATGTGAACTCATAGCTAAATTTATTTGCCAAAAACAGCATGAGAAAAAGTTTCTCACCTGTTGCTTCTTTCTTTTGTAATTACTAGTTTATTTTAGCTATATAAATTATTTTTTTTTCTGCTCCAATATCATCTACAGGAATAGTTATATATATTCTTAATGGGAGGAAATAACTTGTTATATTAATAATAATTTTTGTTTTTATTTCAAGATTGGAATAATTGTAACTAAGAGTAAAAGAGCTGAAAAATTGACTGAACTTTCAGGTATGCATAAAATTACCTTTACATGACTCAAGGACTTTGCTTTATTTACCCAACCTCGTAGCCCTGTTTATATGGCTGCTTAATAAGTAACGTGAAGGGTGGTTCCTCTGTCTTCTCTAGGTGAAACAATTTAATAACATCTCCCCCACCATTATATTCTTAGGATACAAGGTTAACTATTCTAAATTGAGTTCTGCGTAGTGGTAAATAATACTACATTGAATATAAATGTTTTTATTTAAAATCTATATGTGCTTATCCTGAAATTTTTTTTCTTTCCTTTTTTTTTTTTTTTTTTTTGGAGATGGAGTCTTGCTCTGTCGCCAGGCTAGAGTGCAGTGGCACAATTTCGGATCACTGCAAAGTCCGCCTCACGGGTTCAAGCGATTCCCTGCCTCAGCCTCCTGAGTAGCTGGAACTACAGATGCCCGCCACCACGCCCTGCTAATTTTTTGTATTTTAGTAGATACGGGGTTTCACCATGTTGGCCAGTATGGTCTCAATCTCTTGACCTTGTGATCAGCCCGCCTCAGCCTCTCAAAGTGCTGGGATTACAGGCTTGAGCCACCGCATCCGGCCTTATCCTGAAAATATTAAAATACAGTTATTGTAATCATTTATAAAATCCAGTTAATCTTAAAATTAAATTCTTATAAAGTTAAGCATCTAATTTAAAAGGGAAAAAGTATAAAAATTAAACTGTAGCTATTGCTAATGAATCAATTTTTCTGCTTCCATGACATACCTAACTGAATTTTAGTTTCAAAACGTAGTAATGGCATTTTTTATTTGCTTTGGTATATATGCTGTTACAAATTTGCATCACTGATTCTATTTTATTTTCTGTGAAATACACTCTCCCTTAAATCTGGTTTTCAACCTTTTATCCTTGCCGGCACACATAAGGGAAATGACATACTTTCTTCATTAGTAGTTTTTCATTAAATGCAGTGAGGAGTGAAATGTACATTGGCCTGGAGTGATTCAAGAAACTCAGTTGTGAGTAACCAAAAGAATGTCACACTAGCTTAAGTGCAGAAGGAAAATTTTGGGCTATGTTCAAAGGTGGGCCAATTCCATATATAGTTGCTGCATATGTTGGGGTCCTGGCTTTGTCTGGCTTCATTCTCTGATAGATTTTCTGGAAGTTGAAAAGATGTCTCTTAATTGTCCCAGTCTACATTGTACCCGTAGCCTATAGCTTCAGCACACGTCTAGGGAGAACTCTGATTGGCCTGAGTTACGATCTGCCCATCCATGAACAAAGTGGCCAGGAAATGAAGTATTTTGTTTGTACGCTTCGATTGCCTGCTGATGCCCAGAGCAGGATAGAAGTAGGGTCAGCACCACATGAACTAAGCAGGATTATTATATAGTGGAAGAAGGATGGTTCCTCCAAGGTAGGAATATAAGGTCAATATTTTCCTCTCACTTTACCCACCCCGAGTTACCAGCAGTTTTCTATTACTTCTTTTTTTTTTTTTTTTTTGAGAAGGAGTCTCTCACTCTGTCGCCCAGGCGGTGCTGTCTTGGCTCACTGCAACCTCCGCCTCCCGGGTTCAAGTGATTCTCCTGCCTCCCCCTCCCGAGTAGCTGGGATTACAGGTGTGCGCTGCCACACCTGGCTAATTTTATTTTTAGTAGAGACAGGATTTCACCATGCTGGCCAGGCTGATCTCGAACTCCTGACCTCAGGTGATCTACCCACCTCAGCCTCCCAAAGTGTTGGGATTACAGGCATCAGCCACCATGCCCGGCCCCAGCAGTTTTCTATGGATGTTAGTGAAGTCATGTATAAAGATGAAAAATATTCTGGAGATTCTGACAGGCCTCTTGAAGCCACCTTTTTTTCCCTCCAATCAGACCACTGCTGTAAACCACACTGACACTATTGTAGTATGCTTTTTTCCTATACCCATAACACAGTGGGAGATTAAAAATAATTTTGTAGGGTAGGAAGAGAAGTGGATAGAGAGCCAGGAGATCTAGGTTTGGGTGCTGCTGGTCCTGCAGTTAAGCAGGCATATGTCTTTGGGCAAGTCATTTCACTTGTTTAGATTAATTTTCTCACTTATGAAGTGAGGGATTTGGACTGCTTAGCGAGGTACTTTTCATCTCTAAAATTTATGAATCTAAAATACTTGCAGTAAATATTAAATATTACAAATGGTTAATATTTTAAAACTTACTCAGATGAGTAAAAACTCAAGGGAGCTCCAAGTTGATGAATAGACAAAGAAGACATGATTCACACAGAAGAAACCCAGAAATTAAATCAGGGAAACTAGTAATCCAAAAAAACTCCACCCAATTACATAACATTTTATTTTTTAATATATTTTAAATGAGCAAAATTAAGTTTCCAAAGCAATATGTTGCTTGTGGAACCACAGAGAAACTGTTATTTATAGTGCTGATAGTCTTACAAATTAGTTCAATATTTTTTAGAAAAGCATAAAAATTGTTCCTGAAATTATATTTAGGGAATGTTATGGAAGGAGAATGATCACTCTACAAAGATACTCTTTGTAACATTATGTATAATAGTGACAGATTAAAAATTAAATGTTTAATAGTATGCTTTGATGGATTATATTTTATGACAAAATCAATTTAATGATACTTAGGTTATTGATTGATACGAAGACAGTGCTGAAATGGAAAATGTTTACGGAATACTATATTTCATTGAAACTCAGATTCCATCAATTACAAGATACTTTTATAAGCCATTAAGAAGGAAAAGTCCTAGTAGTTAAACTTTGACACAGTATCAAATGATATATGAGTTGGCTATACTAGCTTCTTGGTAATTTGACATGTACAGACATCTCAAATTTGGGGGCCAGGCGTGGTGACTTACACCTGTACTCCCAGCACTTTGAGAGGCTGAGGCGGGAGGATTGCTTGAATCCAGGAGTTCAGGACTAGCCTGGACAACATGGTGAAACCCTGTCTCTACCAAAAATATACAAAAAAATTTAGCCAAGTGTGGTGCTGGGCACTTGTAGTCCCAGCTACTTGGGAGGTTGAGGTGGGAGGATGGTTTGAGCCTGGGAGGTGGAAGTTGCATTGAGCCAAAATTGCCCCATTGCACTCCAGCCTGGCAACAGATATATATATAATCTAAATATAAATAATATAAAAAAATATTATATTAAAAAGAAAAAAAAGGATTTGGCAGCTTCTCCCCCCTTCATTTGAATTGCTTAGCATAAGATAGACAATCTTTTCAGATGCTATTTGGTAAGATAACACAGCTTCGTCTGTTTGTGGGAATATTCGTTTCTTAGGTCTTGTAAAGTTCTTGATTTCTTCCCTCAAGAAAAATACGGAATTGCATGCATTCTTCCATCAATATTTGATTCATTATAATAAATTTATGCCTCACTGCTGTGTTCCACACCTTTCTACATAAAAATATAGCCTTTTGTATTAACAACATTTCTAAAAACATTTTATTGTTTGTTTTTTGAGATGGAGTTTCGCTGTTGTTGCCCAGGCTGGAGTGCAGTGGTGCAATCTCAGCTCACTGCAACCTCCACCTTCTGGGTTTAAGTGATTCTTGTGCCTCAGCCTCCCTAGTGGCTGGGATTACAGGTGTATGCCACCATACCCAGCTAATTTTTGCATTTTTACTACAGATGGGATTTACACCATGTTGACCAGGTGTGTCTTAAACTCCTGACCTCAGGTTATCTGCCTGCCGTGGTCTCCCAGAGTGCTGGGATTACAGGCGTGAGCCACCGCGCCTGGCCTTAAAAACATTTTAAATGGCAGTTAAACTCACCATGAAGAGGACAATGTACATAATGCAATTGAAGCAACAACATATGAAGACCTATTTGTAGGTTCACATATGAACAGGCAAAGACTATGTTACAAGTGCTGCTGGCTACCAGTGATTATTAAACACATGCTGATTTCAGAGATGTTAAATGTGAAAATGTATTGGTCTTAAAAATGATGAAATATGGAAATATTAAGAGTAAAAAAATGCACTCTAGGTTAGCATTATTTTAAAATATGTATGCTAGTCTATAAGGAGATTATTTGTATTCTGTTTTTCAGTATGAAGTGAGAGTGTTTACAAAATATTGCAGATAAAATTCCAACAGAAATATACATTGAAAGGATTCTGTTCTTTAACATCATAGATATGTAAATTTTGAGAGAAACATAAACTTTTTTAATATATAGGATTTTATTTAAAGATCTTATTTCTATTTTAGGAAACCCAAGAAAACATATAACGTCTTTGAAGAAAGCTGTGGATATGACCTGCCATGGAGAGCCATCTCTTTATAATTCCCTAAGCATAGCTATGCAGACTCTAAAGTTAGTATTATACATTATGTATAATTGAATTAGAAGTTTTTTAAATGAGTTAAGCTGAAGTGATGTGTTAATATGGGGCCCATAAACCCAGCTATAACAAAATTGTTAAGTACAAGAATTATGTAGTGTTATTTATGATGTTTAGTGTGGTGTTGGTTAGTAATCTTTATTTTACATTTTAGTAAGATATTGTTAAAGGTTTTATAAAAATATAATTTAAAACTGTCGGCAGTATCAATAGTACAAAAATATGTTGATGAAAAAATATTTTATTAAAATGAGATTTAATATAGTATAATAATTGTAAGTTGGTTGTACCTTTATTAACATTTATTAATTTATTTTGAAAGTAATGGCCAAAACCACAGTTCCTTTTGCACCAATGTCATATATCTGTAAATTAATAGATATGGCAAGTTCAGCTATATGGAATAGAGCTAAGACCCCAAAGGAAATACTTGGTATAGTTAAAGCTTATATATATATATAAGCTTTATATACATATTATATATATAATTTATTATACATATATATATAAAGCTTATATATATGTTAAACTTACATATATAAGTTAAAGCTTATATATCTATTATATATATACACACACACACACACACACACACACACACACACACACACGTATATATATATTTTTTTTCGAGACAGAGTCTTGCTCTGTCACCCAGGCTGGCATGCAGTGGCGTGATCTCAGCTCACTACAACCTCCACCTCTGGGTTCAAGTGATTCTTGTGCCTCAGCCTCCCTAGTGCTGGGATTACAGGTGTGTGCCACCATGCCCAGCCAATTTTTGTATTTTTAGTACAGATGGGGTTTCACCATGTTAGCCAGGCTGGTCTTGAACTCCTGGCCTCAAGCGATCCGCCCACCTCAGCCTCCCTAAAGCTTATATATTTTATCTCTGGATAGTCCGCCCTGGCTCAGACTTATACCTTTATATAATAGATATTTTTCTAGTTTTGAAGTGGATGAGAAGGAGGCAACACATGTAATAGAGGTAAGTACAGTAGCAGGGTCTACCAGTGAGAGCTGAGAAGATAACAATGAAAATATAAGCAGGAAAGCTATAACTAACTGATAAAATTGCTGCAGAAAGCATAAAAAGGTCTATTTAGTGTAGGTGAAAACTGGTCACCACAACTTAAAAATCTACAAGCTATCATTTTAATTAAATGGTATGCAATATTAATGTTCATGATTATTATGACTCTGAATTACTGTGAGGTTAAATTATAGTAATCCCCCCTTATCTGCAGTTTCACTTTCCAGTTTTAGTTACTCTTGGTCTGAAAATATTAAATTGAAAACTTCAGTAATAAATAATTCATAAGATTTAAGTTGTGTGCCATTCTGGGTAGCGTGATGAGATCCTACACCTTCCCTCTCTGTCCTGCCCAGGACGTGAATCATCCCTTGGTCCTGTAGATCCTCACAGTATATGCTGCCCACCCATGTAATGGCCTAAGTCATCAGATTAACTGTTGTTATTGACTGTCAAAACTATTGCAGTGTTTGTGTTATTTTACTTAATAATGACCTCAAAGTGCAGGAGTAGTGATGCCGGCATGTTGTTATAAATGTTCCATTATTAGTTATTGTTGTTAATCTCTTATTGTGCCTAATTTATACATTATTGATCATAGGTGTGTATGTAAGGCACACCTCATTTTGTTGCACTTTTATTGCACTTTTCAGATAACTTTTTTTTTTACAAACTGACAGTTTATGGCAACTCTGTTGAGCAAGTCTGTTGGTGCCATTTTTTTTTAACAGCATGTGCTCACTTCTTGCCTCTATATCACACTTTGGTAGTTCTTGCAATATTTCAAGCTTTGTAAATTATTGTTATATCTGTTATGGTGATCTGTGATCAGTGATCTTTGATGTTACTATTGTAATTATTTTAGGGCACCACAAACTGCGCCCATATAAGACAACAGACTTAATTGATAAGTGTTACGTGTGTTCTGAGTGCTCCACCAACTGGCTGTTTTCCAGTCTCTCTCCCTCTGTTCGGCCCCCCCATCTCCTAAGACACAAAAATATTCAAATTACACCAATAATAACCCTCCAGTGGCCTCTGAGTGTTCAAGAGTAAGGAGGAGTCGCATGTCTCACTTTAAATCAAAAGCTAGAAATGATTGAGCTTAGTGAGGAAGGCATGTCAAAATGCAAGACTGGCTGAAGGCTAGGTCTCTTGTGCTAAACACTTAGTCACATTGTGAATGCAAAGGTAAAGTTCTTGAAGGAAATTGAAAGTGCTGGGCTGTGCGTGGTGGCTCTTACCTGTAACTGCAACACTTTGGGAGGCTAAGATGGGAGGATCACCTGAGGCCATGAGTTTGAGACCAGTCCTGGTAACATAGCAAGACCTCCACCTCTACAAAAAAAAAAAAAAAAAAAAAAAAAAAAAAAAATTAGCCAGGCACAGTGGCGAGCACCTGTATGTAGTCCCTAACTTCTCAGGAGGCTGAGGCAGGAGGATTGAGCCCAGTAGTTTGAGGCTGCAGTGAGCTACGATTGTGCTACTGTACTCCAGCTTGTATGATAGAGCAAGATCCTGTCTCAAAATAAGAAAAAAATAATGGAAATTCAAAGTGCTGCTTCAGTGGACACATGAATGATAAGAAAGTGAAACAGCTTTATTGCTGATACAGACAAAGTTTTAATGGTCTAGATAGAAGATTAAAGTAGCCACAACAGTCCATTAAGTCAAATCCTAATCCAAAGCAAGGCTCTAATTCTCTTCAATTCTATGAAGGCTGAGAGCAGTGAGGAAGCTGCAGAAGAAAAGTTTGAAGCTAACAGAGCTGAGCTCATGAGGTTAATGAAAGAAGCCATCTCCAAAACATAAAAGTGTAAGAGGGGCTGGGCGCGGTGGCTCACGCCTGTCATCCCAGCACTTTGGGAGGCCAAGGTGGGCAGATCATGAGGTCAGGAGTTCAAGACCAGTCTGGCCAACATAGTGAAACCCTGTCTCTACTAAAAATACAAAAAATTAGCCAGGTGTGGTGGTGTGCGCCTATAATCCCAGCTACTCGGGAGGCTGAGGCAGGAGAATCGCATGAACCCAGGAGGCAGAGGTTGCAGTGAGCCGAGATCGCGCCATTGCACTTTAGCCCAGACAACACTGTGAGACTCCGTCTCAAAATAAAGAAAAAAAAAGTGCAAGAGGAAGCAGCAAGTGCTGATGTAGAAGCTGCAGCAAGTTATCCAGAAGATCTAGCTAAAATAATTGATGAAGGTGACTACACTAAATATCAAATTTTCTTTTTCTTTTTTGTTTTTGAGAGAGAGTCTCGCTCTGTCACCCAGGTTAGAGTGCAGTGGTGCAATCATGGATCACTGCAGCCTCAAACTCCCAGGCTCAAGCTATTCTCCCAGCCCCACAAGTAGCAGGGACTACAGGCATGTGCCACCACACCCAGCTAATTTTTGTTGTTGTTGTTGTTGTAGAGGTAGGGTTTCGCCACATTGCCCAGCTGGTCTTGAACTCCTGGGCTCAAGCAGTCCTCCGCCTCTGCCTCCCAAAGTGCTGGGATTACAAGCATGAGCCACTGCACCTGGCCTCATATTTTCAATGTAAATGAAACAGCCTTCTGTTGGAAGAAGATGCCATCTAGGATTTTCATAGCTAGAAGAAGTGAATGCCTGGTTTCAGAGCTTCATGGGATAGGCTTCTTCTCTTGTTAGGGGCTAATACAGCTGGTGACTTGATGTTGGCACCAATGTTTGTTACCATTCTGAAAATCCTAGAGTCCTTAAGAATTATTCTAAATCTATTCAGTCTGTGCTCTGCAAATGGAATAACAAAGCCCAGATAACAGCACATCTGTTTACAGCATGGGCTTACTGAATATTTTAAGCCCATTGTTGAGATATATCTCAGAAAAAAGATTTATTTCAAAATATTATTGCTCATTGACAATGCACCCAGTCACCCAAGAGCTCTAATTGAGATGTACAAGAAGATTAATGTTATTTTCATATCTACTAACATAGCACTCATTCTGCAACCCTTGGATAAAGGAATACTTTGAACTTTCACGTCTTGATTATTTAAGAAATACATATCATAAGGCTGTGACTGCCATAGATGGATCTGAGCAAAGTACATTGAAAACCTTCTGGAAAGAATTCACCATTCTAAATGCCATTCATAGAAAGAGGTCAAAATATCTACACTGGCTGGGCATGGTGGCTCATGCCTGTAATCCCAGCACATTGGGAGGCCGAGGCGGGTGGATCACTTGAGGTCAGGAGTTCAAGACTAGTCTGGCCAACATGGTGAAACCCCGTCCTCACTAAAAATACAAAAATTATCTGGGCATGGTGGTGCATGCCTGTAATCCCAGCTACTGGGGAGGCTAAGGCAGGAGAATTGCTTGAACCCAGGAGGCAGAGGTTGCAGTGAGCCGAGATCGCACCACTGCACTCCAGCCTGGGTGTCAGAGCAAGAATCAGTCTCAAAACAAAAAAAGAATAGCCCATAAACTTAGTTGGTAAAGCATCAGTGGGGTTTCAAAGGAATGACTCCCATTTTGAAAGAGGTACTACTATGAATAAAATGCTACCAAACAGCATTTGCATTCCTTTCATGAAAGGAAGAGTTGACCCATGTAACAAACTACTTTGTCTTATTTTAAGAAATTGCCATAGCCACCTCACCCTTCAGAAAGCACCACTCTGATCAGTCAGCAGCCATCAATATCAAGGCAAGACTCTCCTTCAACAAAAAGATATTATTCACTGACAGTTCAGTCGATTTTTAGCAATAAAGTATTTTTCATAAAGGTGTGTACTTTTTTTTTTAGATATAATGCTGTTGCACACTTACTAGACTACAGTATAGTGTAAACAGAACTTTTCTTTTTCTTTCTTTTTTTTTTTTTTGAGATGGAGTCTCGCTCTGTCGCCCAGGCTGGAGTGCAGTGGCGCAATCTTGGCTCACTGTAAGCTCCGCCTCCTGGGTTCACACCATTCTCCTGCCACCACGTCCAGCTCATTTTTTTGTATTTTTAGTAGAGACGGGGTTTCACCGTGTTAGCCAGGATGGTCTCGATCTCCTGACCTCGTGATGTGCCCGCTTCAGCCTCCCAAAGTGCTGGGAATACAGGCGTGAGTCACCATCCCTGGCCGTAAACAGAACTTTTATATACACTAGGAAACCTGAAAGTTCATGTGACTTGCTTTATTGCAAATATTTATTGTGATATTTGCTTTATTGCTGCGGTCTGGAATCCAACCCTGCAGTATCTCCAAGGTATGCCTGTATAGGGAAAAACATGGTATAATCAGCCCTCTGAATCCTGGGTTCTGCTTCTGTGAATTCGATCAACCACGCATCAAAAATTTTTGGAAAAAAATTGTACCTGTACTGAACAAATAGACATTTTTTCTTGCCATTATCCCCTAAATAATAGAGGATAACAATTACTTACATAGTATACATTGTATTAGGTATTATCAATAATCTAGAGATGACTTAAAATATATGGGAGGATGTACATAGGTTATATGCAAATACTACGCCCTTTTGTATCTGGGACTTGAACATCTGCAGATTTTGGTATCCATAGGAGGGCCTGAAATCAATCCCCCAAGGATACCGAAGAACGACTGTATATATAGGGTTCAGTACTATCCTTGATTTCAGGTATCCACTGGGGGTCTTGGAATGTATCCTCTGCAGATAAGAGGGGACTACTATAGTCTTTGAGAAAGAAGTGTGTGTTACTGTTTTGAAGCCACATCTCTGCACTTTAAAGCTGATCCATATGATATTGCCACATTTTAGTTTAAAGTTTATCCATATATTGTTGTATTTTTTATTGTATACTCTAGACTTTGTATGAAACAAACCTACTAGAATGTAAGCTTAATGATGTCGGGAACATTGTCAGTCTTGTTTATCACTCTACCCCCAGAACTTGAGAGTACTTGGTAAATATTAAATGAATCAATTAACAATTTTTTGAAGTGCATAGCTCATTTTAGAAAAATTTGCATTAAAGTGTTTAAAATATACTCACAACCTTTCTTTGCATTGTTGAAACAAATGAGATATTCTATAGTCTAAATGTGTAATCCTATGTTTACTGTTCTTTCTGGGTAAATTTTTTGGTAGTATAATTTGTTGTACCTAATTGGAGTGTATTTTATCTTTCTTTTAAGACACATGCCTGGACATACAAGTCGAGAAGTACTAATCATCTTTAGCAGCCTTACAACTTGCGATCCATCTAATATTTATGATCTAATCAAGGTAGACCAAAAAATCAAAACCAAAGTTATAACTGTAAAGAGAATTCTGTAGCAAATTGATTTATATATATATGTATTTTTGTATGTGTGATTCATCTTTGTGGTAGATGTATTGAATTTATTACTAGTTTTCAGAGCATTCTTTATTTTTCAAATACATTAAATCTTAAATGTTTTTCTTCTTTCCTAAAACTATCTATCTACTTGGATTTTATGAAGACCCTAAAGGCAGCTAAAATTAGAGTATCTGTTATTGGATTGTCTGCAGAAGTTCGCGTTTGCACTGTACTTGCTCGTGAAACTGGTGGTATATATATAATTTATTTAATATTTGCTTATAATTACTGTGTAGGAAATAATTTATTAATTAAATTAGGATGTTTTAATCTGTTCTGAGCTACTAAACTTAAAGTAGTCTAAAATATGGGCAGTCATCTTAAATATATCATTGATTCCATAAGAAATCATCTCCAAATGCAAAGAGTTTTCAGTACTTATGTCAGTATTTAGAGGAGGTATTATAACTCTTGGAAAGCTGGAAATTTTACTGTATGTAATTCTTTATAAAGATTTTATAACTTGTCTTTAATTAAATTGTAATTACAGGCCAGGCATGATAGCTCATGCCTGTAATCTCAACATTTTGGTAGGCCAAGGCAGGAGAATCACTTGAGGCCAGAAGTTTGAGATCAGTCTGGTTAACATAGTGAGACCTGTCTCTATTTATATGTTAAAATAATAATAATAGTAATAATAATCAATTGTAATTATAGTTATTCCTAGAGAAGTTGATTTAGATATATTACTTAAATAAGGTTTTAAAAGTGATAATTTAGCTAAAATCATTATTTTAAAAATGTACATTTTCAGATGATACAACTTTTACAGAATTACATAGAACGTACAGTTCGTTATGTCTATGAAGGTGTTTTTTTTTCCCTTTTCATCTTGTTAGGCACGTACCATGTTATTTTAGATGAAAGCCATTACAAAGAGTTGCTCACACATCATGTTAGTCCTCCTCCTGCTAGCTCAAGTTCTGAATGCTCACTTATTCGTATGGGTAAGTGTTTTTATGTTTTTAAAAAATACATATCTAGGCTCTCCATTTTCATTTGCACAAGTTATTTTAATATTTAAGAATTTTTAAAGAAAAAATATGCTTGTTGAAGCAATTTTGGAAAGTACAGAGAAGTGGAAAAAAAAAATTAAAACTACCAGTAGTCCTGTCACCCAGAAAATACTGTTGGCTTTCTTTATTTTTAAGGCTAGAAAGGTATAAACTGTGTTTATAGAAAAATACTTATATTAAGCCGGGCTCGGTGGCTCACGCCTGTAATCCCAGCACTTTGGGAGGCCGAGGTGGGCGGATCTTGAGGTCAGGAGATCGAGACCATCCTGGCTAACACGGTGAAACCCCATCTCTACTAAAAATACAAAAAATTAGCCAGGCGTGGTGGCGGGCGCCTGTAATCCCAGCTCCTCGGGAGGCTGAGGCAGGAGAATGGCATGAACCCGGGAGGCAGAGCTGGAAATGAGCCGAGATCACACCACTGCACTCTAGCCTGGGCGACAGAGCGAGACTCTGTCTCAAAAAAGAAAACAAAAGAAAAACACTTATATTAAAAATTTTTTAAAATAAGCTACAAAGGCCGGGCGTGGTGGCTCATGCCTGTAATCCTAGCACTTTGGGAGGCCGAGGCTAGCGGATCACCTGAGGTCAGGAGTTTGAGACCACCCTAGCCAACATGGCGAAACCCTGTCTCTACTAAAAATTACCAAAAAATGGCTGGGCATGGTGGCAGACATCTGTAATCCCAGCTACTCAGGAGGTTGAGACAGGAGAATTGCCTGAACTCAGGAAGCGGAGGTTGCCATGAGCTGAGATTGCGCCACTGCACTCCAGTCTGGGTGACAGAGCAAGACTCTGTCTCAAAAAAATAAAATAAAATAAAAATAAAATAAGCTACAAAATTCTCTGTACTGGATGATCAAAGCTGTGTAATGCAAACTGTGCAAAGACAAAGCTTGCAGGGAAGTACACCAAATTGCTCAAAGGAGGGGAAATTATTGGTTTTGGATCACTTTTTTTTTTCTTTTTTTTTTTGAGATGGAGTCTCATTCTATTTCCTAGGCTGGAAGTGCAGTGGTGCGATCTCAGCTCACACTGCAACCTCCGCTTCCCAGGTTCAAGCAATTCTCCTGCCTCAGCCTCCCGAGTAGCTGGGATTACAGGCGGGCACCACCATGCCCAGCTAATTTTTGTATTTTTAGTAGAGACGGGGTTTCACCATGTTGGCCAGGCTTGTCTTGAACTTCTGACCTCATGATCCGCCTGCCTCGGCCTCCCAGAGTGCTGGGATTACAGGCTTGAGCCACTGTGCCCGGCCTTGGATCACTTTTTTAAAATGTTATTTTCTTCTATTTTACAAAAATGTTACAATGAAAATTTATTACATTTATATTGAAAAAAGTATAACTTTTAATAGAAAAATAATCTCCTTATTTAATATGTATATTTTTAAATGTTAATGAAATAAAATGCTTTTCTACTTTTGGCCTTTTATATTACCAGTCGACCTCTCTTTTCCACGGTCTTCTCATGTGTTTAATGATGTCAGTAACTATCAACCTTATTGTGTGTTTCAAGGATTGAGTTAATACAGATGATGCGTTTAGAATAATGCTTGATGTAAACATTCAATACATTTTAGATCTTATGTTTGGCTAATCTTTTTGATTTACTGATATATTTTCTTATTTCATTTTAAAGTTATTTAAATTTATAATTTATTTATTAGAGTCCTTTAGGAATGTTAACCCTTCTCAGTCACCCGATGCAAATATTTTTCTTGTTGGTTATTTGCCTTTACTTTTATTTATTTGTTTTGATATGTAGATACATTTACATTTTTTATGTAATATATCTTTTTAAAAATGGTTTCTGCTTTTCCTGAACATGTTTTCAGAATTTAAAATTGTATATGGAAAACAAATTACATGAAAGATTTGAGCATTTCAAAATTTTAAACATAAAAGCATAAACGTAGATAAAATGGTGTACTATGATATCTTCAGTTTTATCAGAAATGATGTAAAAATTACAACCTCTTTAAAAAGTAGTGTTAATCATTAAGTTAGAAAATATATAGCTGGGCATGGTGGCGGATGCCTGTAATCCCAGCTACATGGGAAGGTGAGGTGGGAGAATCGCTTGAACCCAGGCAGTGGAGGATGCAGTGAGCCAAGATCATGCCACTGCACCCCAGCCTGGGTGACAGAACAAGACTCCATCTCAAGAAAAAAAAAAAAGAAAAATATATATATGAACTTCAGAATCTGAGGTCATATATAGACAGGTCTTTCCCCCATTTCCTCTACTTTTTCTTGTAGCTTGGAATTAGTCAGTTTCATCATGCTATAATAAGCTTATCTGAAAGGCAGTAAAGTGATATTTTGTACAACTTCATTGGCTTTTTGAGAAGAACATTTTTAGGTTCTTAGTCCTAGAATTCTGCTGTTTGCTTGGAAAAAGAAAGTAATACATTTTCTTCTATGAAGGATTTCCTCAGCACACCATTGCTTCTTTATCTGACCAGGATGCAAAACCCTCTTTCAGCATGGCGTAAGTAAAGACCTTGAAAATATCAGTGATAATGTTTTTACATTTTTAATTCCTTCTTTTAAGTTATAAATTCAAAAGATAGGCAATGAAGACTATCTCTATATACTTGTATGGAGTGATCTTCAGGATAAATTACTAAGTAAAACAGTAGTTTGAGAGAATTTTGTAGTATGCTGCTAATCACCTAAGAAGAAAGTAGAGATGTAAGTGGATGTATATACTTGTTTATGTTAATAATAAAAACAATAGTATGGAAATAATAAAAACTTAAAAGGGGTGGAGGGGGAAATTTTTTTTTTTAATGTTTACCTCAGTGAGTGTGTAGGGAAAAGCAAAGGGTTAGACCCTAGACTTTTCTGAATGCATCACTTAATGATAGGGATACATTCCGAGAAATGTGTCATTAGGTGATACCATCATTGTGCAAACATCACAGAGTGCACTTACACAAACCTAGATAGTGTAGCCTACTAACATCGCAGTTATATAGTATAGCCTATTGCTCCTAGGCTGCACACCTGTACAGCATATTGTGTACTGAATAATGTAGGCAGTTGTAATGTAACACCTAGTGTTTGTTTAACTAAACACAGAAAAGGTACAACTAAAATGTATTATTTTATGGGACCACTGTCATATATGTGGTTCATCACTGACCAAAATGTTATATAGAATATTACTGTACCTTGTTTTAACTTCAGAGCTTTGTATTTTACATAATTATAAAACAAAATTAAATTTAAGAGAGTAATTCTTAAAAATCACAAACAAGATTTCTGCCTCCAGCCAAAAAGCTGTAACAGGGACTAGATTTACCCTCCTGTCAAAAAAAGCAGACAAAATATATAAAACAGTGGTTTTCAGACGTTGGACAGCAAGCCTTGCTGATAATGATCCCTGAAAGAAAGGAAACAAATGAGATGGGCCCTAAGAGCACTCCACCTTACTGCCTGGATGGAATTTCCAGGCTGCACACAGAGGCTGGAGATGTTGTTGAGTTGAAGAAACAAAGTTCATCTTTCAAGGAGGCTGAGATGGCGATAATTTTGCAGGTCAGAGTACTGGAGAGGAAAGATCTGCACAGAGAGAACTCTCTGGGGAGCTGCATAGACTTGCTCATGAGTCAGCAGCTGAGCGTTGATCAGCCCTTTTGTGTGAGGAGACTACTGGAAGTCAGGGAAAAAATCACTGGAAAGCAGCAGACAGAACAGTTTCCAGAGCTCACACAGAGAACATTCATGTTCTCACCAGTCTGTATGGAAATACCTCTTAACATGACAGGCATTGAATAGAGTCCACAGTAATGGGATCAAATTAATTCTATCACAAGAACTGGAACCAGAGGCAAAAAGAAAAGAAAAGAAAAATCTAGACTAACAGCTGTTCTAGACCAGCCTACCAAAGTTTAAAAGCAAATTTTGAAGAGATTAAACTATTTCCAAGTTAATGAAGTATATTTCAGAACAAACCCTTAAATATTTGAGGGAATACAAAAAAAAAGAAAAAGAAAAAATCCAGCCCCCAAAACAAAGCAAAATTCACAATGTCTGGCAAAGCAAAATTCATAGTCCCTGGCAGAAATTACCAGGGATGCAAAGGAAAATATGACCCATAAAATGGAGAAAAATCACAGAATGGAAACATACCCAGAAATAACCCAGTTGGTAGAATTAATAGACAAAGGGTTGGGTGCGGTAGCTCCTGCCTGTAATGCTAGCACTTTGGGAGGCTTAGGTGGGCAGATCACTTGAGCCCAGGAGTTCGAGATCAGCACAGCCAACATGGCGAAACCCATCTCTACTAAAAACACAAAAATTAGCCAGGCCTGGTGGCACACGCCTGTAATCCCAGCTACTTGGGAGGCTGAGGTACAAGAATGACTTGAACCCAGGAGGTAAAGGTTGCAGCGAGCTGAGATCGTGCCATTTCACTACAGCCTGGGTGACAGAGCGAGACTCTTATCAAAAAAGAAAAAAAAGAATTAGTAGACAAAGATGTTAGGACAACAATTATAAATGTACTCTGTATGTTCAGGATGTTAGAGAACATGAGAATGGTAAGAAGAGATATGGAAGGTATAAAAAAGACCCAAATCAAACTTCTAGTGATGAAGAATACAGTGTTTTAGATGAAAAATATATTGGCTGGGATTAACAGCAGATTAGACACTGCAGAAGAAAAAATTAGTGAATTCAAAGATAGTAATAGAGACTTTAAAAATGAAGAGAAGGGCTGGGTGTAGTGGCTCACATCTGTAATCCCAGCACTTTGGGAGGCCGAGGCAGGCAGATCACTTGAGACCAGGAGTTTGAGACCAGCCTGGCCAACATGATGAAACCCCATCTCTACTAAAAATACAAAAATTAGCTGGGTGTGGTAGCACGTGCCTGTAATCCCAGCTACTCAGGAAGCCAAGGCACGAGAATTGCTTGAACCTGGGAGGCGGAGATTGTAGTGAGTTGAGATTGTGCCACTGCACTCCAGCTTGGGCAACAGAGTGAGAATCCGTCTCAAAAAAAAAAAAAAAAAAATGAAGAGGGGGAAAAAAATGAATGTAGCATAATTGAGTTATAAGACATACTCACAGATTTTAAAATAGACTTTTAGACCAGGCATGGTGGCTCACACCTATAATCCCAGCACTTTGGGAAGCTAAGGCAGGTGGATCACTTGAGGCTAGGAATTCAAGACCAGCAATATAGTGAGAGACCCCCATCTCTACAAAAAGTTATAAATTTTTTTTTTAAATATAGACTTCTTTTGTTTTTTTTTTGAGATGGAGTTTCACTCTTGGCACCCGGGCTGGAGTGCAGTGGTGCAATCTCAGCTCACTGCAACCTCTGCCTCCTGGGTTCAAGCAATTCTACTTCAGCCTCCCAAGTAGCTGGGATTACAGGCGCCTGGCTAATTTTTGTATTTTTTAGTAGAGATGGGGCTTCACCGTGTTGGCCAGGCTGGTCTTGAACTCCTGACCTCAGGTGATCCACCCGCCTTGGCCTCCCAAAGTGCTGGGATTACAGGTGTGAGCCTCTGCGCCCGGCCAAAAATACAGACTTTTAAATAGATTTTTAAATAGTGTCAAGATTTTAAGGTCAAGATAGCATGCTTTCCCGCTCTAACTTTTCAGATCATTATATATTACCCTTTTTCCCCCTACAGGCATTTGGATGGCAATACTGAGCCAGGGCTTACATTAGGAGGCTATTTCTGCCCACAGTGTCGGGCAAAGTACTGTGAGCTACCTGTTGAGTGTAAAATCTGTGGTAAGAAAACAACTATTCATTATTCAGTAAATCTTGAATGACTTCTTAATCTGTATTGCTGCTAAAATTAATGTAAATGTTAAGTTATTCCTATGTTTCTGGATTTAATCTGTGCAAAGAAAAATAGATTACTTTTTAAATTGAGTGCCCAGTACTCCACTTCCACGTATAAATGTAGCATTCTAGTTTCCTGATCCTCTTTCTGAAAAAAGTATATTCTTTAAAGGCAGTGCAGTAGATGTAGTAGACATTTTTCCATCTCTTACCTTTATAAAGTAAATATATATAAGAATGAAGAATTAAACTAATAGAATTGTCGAATTTTATTTCATTTATAATATAAGTAAGCAAATAGACCGAGACAGGTTGGTTACACACTTAGTGACAGAACTAAGACTCCATCCTACAATCTTCTGTTATAGCCACAGGTAAAATTAATAACTGCCATCCTAAAAGAAACTGAACATATTCTGCTGAAGTTACATCTTTTGGCTTTTCAGCCGTTGTCTTCATGAGGTTTGGACTACTCAACATGTCTCTCTGCTTAATGTGTTAGGTCTTACTTTGGTGTCTGCTCCCCACTTGGCACGGTCTTACCATCATTTGTTTCCTTTGGATGCTTTTCAAGAAATTCCCCTAGAAGAATATAATGGAGAAAGGTATTTCAGTTTGGACTAATTTATATCTGTTATAAGTGGTAAGCTAATGTTTGAATAGATTGTTACTACCTTAAAAAATAATCTGATTAACTTGGACAAGAGTACTTCTAATATGGAAGATGAGATAAAGAATGCCATAGTTATGATTGAAATGACTCGTTGCTAAATAGATCTGAATCTCCAGAAACCAAATAATTTCACTAAACCCACCTATGTATAAATAGGGGTGATGATTGTACTACTAAATCAGTTTTCCAGAAGGAAAAGAAAAAAAGCCCTGATTGGTAGTATTTGCTGATTTCCATGGTTTGAATACTCCCACCATGGCCAATTTTTAGCTACAATTAACAACCAGCTTTCTTGAATACATATTTAACAATATATCCTTTTGATCCAGTACAATCCAGTCCTAGCACACTACTGAAAATAAGAGGCTCATTCAGCACTTTGGGAGGCTGAGGTGGGAGGATCACTTGAGGCCAGGAGTTGAAGACTAGCTGGGGCAACATAGTGAGACACTGTCTCTTAAAAAAGAAAAAAAAAGCTGGACATGGTGGCTCATACCTGTAATCCCAGCACTTTTGGAGGCCAAGGCAGGCAGATCACCTGAGGTCAGGAGTTCAACACCAGCCTGAATGACATGGAGAAACCCCATCTCTACTAAAAATACAAAATTAGCCTAGTGTGGTGGTGCATACCTGTAATCCCAGCTACTCGGGAGGCTGAGGCAGGAGAATCGCTTGAACTCGAGAGGCAGAGGTTGCGGTGAGCCAAGATCGCACCACTGCACTCCAGCCTGGGTAACAAGAGCGAAACTTCGTCTCAAAAAAAAAAAAATCTGGCATAACATAATTTATCTAAAATCTTTAAGTATTTTTACGAATGCTATTTGTGTGAAATACAACAAATAAGGTCTGAAATAGAGGTAGTCAATCCTTTAGAGAATAGTTTTCAGAAAATAAAGATTTACTACTTTTAAGAACATCTAGGATCGGCTGGCACGGTGGCTGACGCCTGTAATCCCAGCACTTTGGGAGACCGAGGCAGGTGGGTCACCTGAGGTCAGCAGTTCGAGACCAGCCTGGTCAACATGGTGAAACACCGTCTCTACTAACAATATAAAAATTAGCCGGGTGTGGTGGGAGGTGCCTGTAATCCCCAGCTACTCAGGAGGCTGAGGCAGGAGAATCCCTTGAACCTGGGAGGTGGAGGTTGCAGTGAGCCAAGATCACACCATTGCACTCCAGCTGGGCGACAAGAGCGAAACTCCATCAAAAAAAAAAAGAACATCCAGGATTTAGGAATCACATTAAACACTTACTGGCTAGCCAAAAACAATTATGTATCCATCTTGCTTTTCACACTTAAATCATTTAGAAGTCATTCAATATCACCATATCTAGATCAATGTTGTTTTTGAAATTGTTGCATATTTCAGGTATAATTATGGTTTATATAATCAATTGCTTCCTGTTGGATATTTAAGATTTTCTTTTTTTGCTATTAACAAATAATGCTTATATCTATATTTTTGAACATTTGTACAAGTATAAATGCATGGTAAATTCCTAGAGGTAAAATTACTGAGTCAAGAGTTTTACATGTTTTGTGAATTTTGATAGATATTGTAAAGTTGTTCTTCAAAGAAGTTTCATTTATTGTTTTCCCACATTTAGCCAACATTAGGTATTATGAAACTTTTTTATATTGGCCAAAACTCACAGGCAAAAGAAAAAGAAAAAAGTCTCATTGTTTTAGCTTGGTATTTATTTGCTTATGGTTGAGGTTAAATGTAGTAAAAATGAAAAACCCAGTACTATAGAAGATAGAGTTGAAGAAATATTCCAGAAAGTACAATAAAAGGAGTAAAATAAAGAGGTTCAAATAGGAGAGTAAAGATAAGAATATTCACTGGTGGAATTATCCAGAAGGTCCAATATGAGAATGATACGAGAAAAAAAGAAAAAAAGTAGGATAGAAAATCATCAAAGACATAGTTCAAAGAAATTTTATATTGAAGGACAGAACTTTCTAGATTGAAAGGGCCTGTTGGCTGGGAAGGGTGGCTCATAGCTCTAATCCTTGCACTTTGGGAGGCTGAGACTGGGGGATCACTGGAGGCCAGGAGTTCCAGGCCAGCCTGGGTCACACAGCAAGACCTCATCTCTGCAACGAAGATAAAAGAAAGGGACTGCCAAGTGCCTAACGTATTGAAGGAAGGCAGACCCCATAATTGTGAAATTTCAGAATACACAATAAACCATTAACCCTAAACATTTCCAGAGAGGAAAAACTAGGTCACACACAAAGGATCTGGAATTAAAATTGTTTGGCTTCTCATTAGCAACACCGGATGCAGAGAGGGAGCAGTCACCTTCAAAGTTTGTGGTGAAAATTGTTACCAACTTAGATACCCAGCCAAACTATCAGTTAAGTGTAGGTAGAATAAAGACATTTTCAGACTTGTAAGGTCTCAAAAAGAGATTTTTCTGGGGAAGGTCTGGAAGAGGTAGGTGATTCAAAGGAACTGAGAAGGAGAATGACATGGGATCTAGTAATATGTATCTAATTCAAAACAGGCTGAAGAACGGCCTAGGATGATGGTAAGGAGAAATTCCAGAATGATACCTGTGTGTCACATATGGGGAACCGTCCAGTTTGGAGACAGTCAGGATGCTCCAGGAGAGAGATCACCAAGGGGATGAAAACTGCAGAACTCCTGATGTATTTGAACATATCGAGAGGACAGTTAGACTATTCCGGAGAAGATTGGGCCTGAATTAGTGTCAATTATATAGGAAACTAACCTTGGGAATAGCAACACAGTATTTCCAGGAAAAAAAAAATGTTTTAAATAGGGGAAAACTTATGGCTTAGCTGAGAATATTTTTATAGGCATAGTAAACTAAACATTGATTATTGTTCTATCCAAAAGGAAGACTTCACTATGTAGAAAGAATTGAGAATGACACTAGTTAAATATTTATGCATTACTGGGTTCAAGATGATTGAAAGATAATTAAATTCTCTTCTTTCATAGTTGGAGATTCATAGCCAAAAACTGTGAAGAATCACAAAGTAGCACTTATTAGAGTAAGTGACTATCAAACAAACGTTAGAAAGTGCTTCTGGCTGGGCATGGTGGCTCATGCCTGTAATCCTAACACGTTGGGAAGCCAAGATAGGAGGATTGCTTGAGCCCAGGCATTCGAGACCAGCCTGGGCAATAT
The DNA here is from genome assembly GCF_000001405.40 of Homo sapiens. NCBI lineage: Eukaryota > Metazoa > Chordata > Mammalia > Primates > Hominidae > Homo > Homo sapiens. Next base: position 71,038,291 of record NC_000005.10, on the reverse strand, counting down.
AGCGAGACCCTGCCTCAATAAAAAATTAGCCAGGCATGGAGATACATGCCTGTAGTCCCAGCTACTCAGGAGGCTGAGGCAGGAGGATCACTTGAGCCCAGGAGGTTGAGGCTGCAGTGAGCCGTGATAGCACCTCAGCACTCCAGCCTTTGAGACAAAGCAAGACCCTGACTCGAAAACAAAGAAAAATAAAGCATGCTCACAGTTAACCTTAATGAAAATAAAAACTAAATTTTGGGCTGTCAGATGACCTTGTATATACTGTGGAATTTTTTTTTTAATTATTGCTATTCTTTTTTTTTTTTTTTTTTTTTTTTGTGAGTCAGAGTTTTGCTCCCGTTGCTCAGTGTGGAGTGCAATGACACCATCTCGGCTCACTGCAACCTCCGTGTCCTGGGTTCAAGCGATTCTCCTGCGTCAGCCTCCTGAGTAGCTGGGATTATAGGCGCCTGCCATCATGCCCAGCTAATTTTTGTATTTTTAGTAGAGATGGGGTTTCGCCATGTTGGCCAGGCTGGTCACGAACTCCTGACCTGAGGTGATCCACCCGCCTCGGCCTCCCAAAGTGCTGGGATTATAGGCGTGAGCCACTGTGCCTGGCCTATTGGTATTCTTAACTCTTTTTCCTGAAAGTCATGTGTAAAGACAAGTACATATTAATTAAAGGATTCTAGTTAGTGAGATTTTGTTGAACTATTTTAATGAGTAAATTCTAAGAAAAAACATTGTTAAACTTTTTTTTCAGATTTTGTTATGGATGTCAGGGGGAATTGAAAGACCAACATGTAAGTTCTTTGGCTTTCTAAATATTAAGTAATGTACAAGAAATATTGAAATCAATGGTACTATAAGTTTTCAACAGGTTGTTAAAGACCAGGCTCATATCAGTTTATTTCTTGTAAAGATAATGACAATAGGTGAAGGTAAAATAGGAACAAAATAGTTTAAATAGTAGTTTTGTTATTCTGCATTCTAATTTTTGCTATAAAGTATTTTGTAATTCATCTTTTTAAAACTTTTTATTAAAAATTTTTTAATTTTTTTCCTCTTTTTTTAAATTCTTTGATTGTTTTGTCTACTTTGGTACACCCTTGTAAAACATGTAATTTGTCTTTAGCTTTCAAGCTAAACTGCATTTAGTCTGAAAGTATTTAAAATATTTTCTTCATATTATACTTTAAGCTGTGTGATAACACATTGAAATTGTTTAAGGTGGCCACAGATAATAGGTGATTCTTCCATTATGCCAATGAGAAAATACTTTTTTAAATTTTGAAGAGGGCCAACTTTAATAAATAAATTTGTATAGATGTAAATAATATGGATCACTGTCTAGCTTTAATTTTTAATTTAGTTACATGTTCATATTTAAAACTATATATATTATATAAAATAATAATTAGAAGTATTGCTCTTCCACTGTCACAATTTATAAAGTAATTTTATTAAGTTTTATATACCTCTTTGACATCAGTAGTTTACTCTTAACTGGAACCACTTTTTGAATCATTTGACAGTTTTTTGGTTTTATTTTCTGAGACAGACTCTTGCTCTGTCACCCAGGTTGTAGTGCAGTGATGCAATCTTGGCTCACTGCAACCTCTGCCTCCCAAGTTCAAGTGATTCTCATGCCTAGCCTCCCAAGCAGCTGGGATTATAGGCGTGCACCACCATGCCCAGCCAATTTTTGTATTTTTAGTAGAGACTGGGTTTCACCATGTTGACCAGCTGGTCTTGAACTCCTGGGCTCAAGCAATCCACCCGCCTTGGCCTCCCAAAGTGCTGGGATTACAGGTGTGAGTCACTACACCCGGCCTCATTTGAGTTTTTAAGAATAGGTCATTGTCTGTGTTGTTTGAAATTTATTTATTCATTCTTTTTTTTTTTATTATTCAAAGCCAAATACTTCTGAGATTTAGTGATTTTTGAATCTGTGTGTGAAGCTGCCCTGGAAATTTTATCCCAAGGCGCAAGTACTCGTATATGTAATGCTGAAAGAACAAATGTAGTTTTTTCCTTTCTGCTTGTCTTATCTGTGTCATTTGACATATTTTTTTAAAGGTTTACTTGAAAGGGAAATATGTTTGCAATTGTGAGGTCATTCCCTAAGAATAATTAAATCGATGTTAAATTTTTATGCTTCTCTTTTTAATTGAATCAATCAGGTGGTCTTGCTAAGCATTCAAAAGTAGCGCTGGTTTGAAGCTCATATGTCTTTCCTAAACCTAAGAATGAAATGATTGAGAGCGAACTGTAATAGAATAGACTTTAAAGACTCAAAAACAAAACCATTCCCTCATTTCTAAGGGATAGTTTTGGGGAAAAAATTAATTGCCTTAGATTTGAGAATATAGAGTACATTGGAAGTAATAAAGTAGGTAGTGGGAAAAAATTGGTAGAGATATAAAAGAGCAAAGCACACCTTGAATGTCATCTAGCTGTGCTGTAATTAACTTTTGGAAACTAGTTTATCACTTTTCTTCTTTTCACTACAGGTTTATGTTTGTGCTGTGTGCCAAAATGTTTTCTGTGTGGACTGTGATGTTTTTGTTCATGATTCTCTACACTGTTGCCCTGGCTGTATTCATAAGATTCCAGCTCCTTCAGGTGTTTGATTCCAGCATGTAGTATACATTGTATGTGTTAAAAAGAAATTTGCAACTGTGAATAAAAGGACTTCTTTAGAAGAAGCTTCATTTAAAACATGAAAGGATAATCTGACTTAAGAAACTTTTTGCTAAGAAAAGGTAATATTTTATTAAATTTTAAATTTGTGTTGTCACAGAAATACCTGAAATTCAGTAGTACTTCATTCAATTAATTTTGTTTTCTATTATTTTGAGTTATACTGTTTTCAAAGTCATTATGCAGTATGTATAAACTTATAAGAATTAAATTGATGTGATAATTTTATGTTTTTATAATTAAATATAGAATCTTTATGATTTATGTTAATTCATTAATTTAGTGTAAGAAGAAAGTTAAGTCTGAATGTAAATTCAGTGTAAGATGAAAATTTATCAATACTTATGAAATTAGGCTGGGCGCTGTGGCTCACACCTGTAATCCCAACACTTTGGGAGGCTGAGGTGGGCAGATCACCTGAGGTCAGGAGTTCGAGACCAGCCTGGCCAACATGGTGAAACCCCGTCACTACTAAAAATACAAAAAATAATTAGCCGGGCATGGTGGTTCACGCCTGGAGTCCCAGCTACTTGGGAGGCTGAGGCAGGAGAATCGCTTGAACCCAGGAGGCGGAGGTTGCAGTGAGCCAAGATTGTGCCACTGCACTCCACCCTAGAGTGAGACTCCATCTCAAAAAAAAAAAAAGTTATGAAATTAATACATATGAAATGATGTACTGCTACATCCACCAGAGAGGTCTTTTTAGGTTTAACCAAACATCTGGAATATGTTTATCAAGTTAGTACATCTGAAATTATTTGTGGCTATGACCAACAGAAGTCACTTTACATTAAACATTCAAACTCACAAGACTGCCATGGCCATACTTGGTACCCGCTTACTCAGAAGGATATTAAACAGAAACAACAGCCTGCCAGCACAGCATCAAGCAGTCCTCATTAGCAGTGGAAGTCCTTGTAGCAGTCCACTAGTACAATTTGGGTGCAAGGAGATAAGATCCTCCACAGGCATCAAGGAACCAATATCTCTTAACAATTCCATAAACACAGCTTCCAGGTATCCACAAGGGATGTGTCAATTTCAAGAGTCACTACACTCAGGAAAGCCTAAAGCTTGAAGACTCCATTTATTTATAGTGCATCCCAATCCAGATACGTAACAATTAACGAGTTATTTTTACTATAAGCAAAGTTGCCTAAAATCATAGTTGATACTAATCATGGTTAACAGAGCTCTAAAGTTTGACAGAAAGTGAGATTCAAATCCTTTCACTCTCATATGCTAAACCTTTTGCCTTACTCTGGGTCATCAGAGAAATTTAGGTGAGAATGTATGATGAAGTCTGTGTTTTAGATTCAATGCAGATATATCATTGTGCGCAGAACTCTTTCTGGTTATATCCAGTTAAGAGTAAATCAGGCTTTCAGCCGGGCGCGGTGGCTCACGCCTGTAATCCTAGCACTTTGGGAGGCCGAGGCGGGCAGATCACGAGGTCAGGAGATCGAGACCATCCTGGCTAACACGGTGAAACCCCGTCTCTACTAAACATACAAAAAATTAGCTGGGCCTGGTGGCGGGCGCCTGTAGTCCCAGCTATTCGGAAGGCTGGGGCAGGAGAATGGTGTGAACCCAGGAGGCGGAGCTTGCAGTGAGCCGAGATCGCTCCACTGCCCTCCAGCCTGGGCGACAGAGCTAGACTCTGTCTCAAGAAAAAAAAAAAAAGAGTAAATCAGGCTTTCATAGCAAAGGTATGTCTATTTTATGTATATAAACTTCAGGTACTCTAACTTGAGTTTCACTATGAAATTTGTGATTTTTTTTTTTTTTTTTTTTGAGATGGAGTCTTGCTCCATCGCCCAGGCTGGAGTGCAGTGGCCTGCTGTTGGCTCACTGCAACCTCCGCCTCCCAGGCTCAAGCCATTCTCCTGTCTCAGCCTCCTGAGTAGCTGGGACTACAGGCGCCTGCCACCACGCCTGGCTAATTTTTGCATTTTTGGTAGAGACGGGGTTTCACCTTGTTGATCAGGCTGATCTCCAACTCCTGACCTCAGGTCATCCACCCACCTCCGCCACCGTGCCCGGCCGAAATTTGTGATTTTATAACTAAGAATTTTTAGTTAAGAACATTATCAGTAAAGACAACGTAATCCCACCCTGGAGAGTTTATTGGGAGCCCAGGAATATTCATTTTTAATACACACACACACACACACACACACACACACACACACACTGATCAGAGTAACAGGAGTTTCTCTCAGGAGTCATACTCCATGAGCCTGGACCCAGTGGTTCTTTACGTGGAAACAAATTTCACCTATAGGTAACCTGGTAACTGCTATTTTCTTCTGTGTGCTCTGTCAACAAAGTTATCAGTGGCTTGCAAGAGATGCCTTTAATACTCAGAGCATTCTATCTCCCCCTATCTGGTTTAGAAGGAAGGCCTTCATTAGTTACCTTTTGAGAAGTTACTAGAACTCTCTATTAGAGACTTACCCTCCTGACCTGATAAAAAGGGATACCCATGTCTCTATTAACAGCTTTATCTCTTTCTACAGTTTTGGGTATTTGATAAGGTTAAGGCAAAATTTTAGTTATGCTTAAGGAGGAGTTCTTTTTTCACAATTACAGAGAAAATTTTGGTTTGTTGAAGATTGCAGAAACAGCAATGGTAATGTAAGACAGTTTTGGCCTTTAATTTTTTTCTTGAAACTCTACAGTATACTACAATAGTGAAGGAAACTATTAACATGAGAGATCCTTCTGAATAGGATGTCTTTCTGAGTTCCACTATTCAGTTACAAAACTCCTTAATGCTTAAAATTCATTATGAAAATTAGATTTATTTTAAATACTTTCAAGTGTATACATTTTTATTTCATAATTTTTATTGTCTTTTAACTAAAGCATTTAGTTCATTTATATTTACTGTGTACCTTTTATATTTAATAAATATATTTACTTATTAAAAGATTACCACTGATATATTTTATTTATTATAAATATTATATTTATAAATATATTATTTATATTTATATTTATATATTTATATATATTTATATATAATATATTTTAATATATTATATATTAAAATATATATAAATATATATAATAAATATAAATATTTATTAAAAGATTACCACTGATATATTTGGGTTTAAGTCTATTATCTTTGTGTTATTGGTTCCAACAATTCCATCTTTCGTTTTTTTAAATTTTTTTAACTACATATTTGATACGATCTTTTCCTTCTTGCCTTCTTTTTGATTACTTACTTTCTACCATTCTGTGTTTTTCGTCACTAGTTTGAAAATTGTATACTTTGTTTTTATTCTTTCAGTGGTTACCCTAGAAATTACAACAAACAAAAATTGCAACAACAATAAATTACAACAAGAAGAATTTTTTTTTTTTTTTGAGACAGAGTCTCCCTCTGTCGCCCAGGCTGGAGTGCAGTGGCGCGATCTCAGCTCACTGCAAGCTCCACCTCCCGGGTTCATGCCATTCTCCTGCCTCAGCCTCCCGAGTAGCTGGGACTGCAGGTGCCTGCCACCACGCCTGGCTAATTTTTTGTGTTTTTACTGGAGACGGGGTTTCACTGTGTTAGCCAGGATGGTCTTGATCTCCTGACCTCATGATCCATCTGCCTTGGCCTCCCAAAGTGCTGGGATTACAGGCGTGAGCCACCACGCCTGGCCAACAACAAGAATTTCTTAACTTAGGTACCCTAGGAAGTAGAACCTGAGGCAAAGATGAAAGTATTGTTACTTTATTAGGGAGGGACAGATCTAGGGGGGTGAGAGTGTGGAAGAAAAGGGAAAGCAAAGCAAGGAAAAACGTGATGCATTGTGTTACTGCAGTGACCAGGCTTCATGACAAGCTGTGACGAGATACAGGAGCCTTCCAGCAAGTGTGTTCACTTAGAGTGTGGGGCTTCTCCAGAAGGTTTATAAGGAGAAACTGCCCCTCTGAGCAGTCCATTGAAGGGAGGAAGGAGAAGTAACTTAGTTTCCTAAGTTCTTCCATTTCCCGTTGATCCTAGTTTGCCCACAGGGCTGTGTCATCTCGTCCTTTGGTAACTGCTCAGGAAGCCAGATCTCGTGCTCAGTGGTGTGGCATTGCATCTACTTCTAGAAGGATTTCTCAATACTTTATAACTTCCTCATGTTTCTGGTCATGTTTGTGTTCAGCTATATCTCTAGAACGGTTGGCCAATTCATAGCATGAAATGATTTCATGAGTGGTGACAAAGAAAGGGTGCAATCAGCCCTTGGGGAGTGGGTTAGTGGAATCCCAGTCCTGAGGCCATTAGTGGGTGGCAGAGTTTAGGAGAAAAGGTAAGAAGTTTCAGTCCTTGGGCCCTGTAGTAAGGAGAAAAAGGGTACAGGAGGTTGTCACACTTCTGAGAAGTAGTCTTAGAGTGCCCTAGTGCCTGCTTTGGATCCAGTTCTGTAAGGGCAGAGGATTCATTATTTCCAGGTAATTTAAGTATGTTCTGGGGAGAAGTGTTACAAGATGGACTGGGGACTCGGCTGGGATCCTGATGGGATCTAAATTATTGATTTCACCTGACTGAATTGCTATTTGCGTCACACCTCAGGACCCTGGAAACAATACACAATTTGCCCATTCATTAATTTATTAATTCACTCAACAAACTTGTACATCTGCCATAAGTCTGACACCATCCTAGTTATCAGGGATGTAGATAGTCAAAAGAAGATGTAAACCTAACCTCATGCATCTGTGAATCTCCCCATCTAAAAAGACACAGCCTTGTAAAGAAGCTTGTGTGAAAGTGCTAACGACAGACATGCCAAGTGTTAAGGGGATGCAGGAGAGGCGTGGTAAAATGGGTTGGGAGGCAGCTCAGATGTCTAAAGGGGTCAGGCAGACAATGCAGATAAGTGAAAGAGGGCCAGTTGATGCAGAGTGGGGACATCTGGAAAGCACCCGCCCCATCTAAAGGAGGCAGCCTCTGAGAGTCTGGGGATCAGGGATAGAAGGGAGATGTACTTTTCACTGTACATCCTTTTGTATTTTTTAAATTTTGTTACTTAATTCAAAAAAATGTAAAAATAAAGTGAGGTAACCATTATTTGGCCCCAGCCTATTTTTTTCTTCTGGGAATGATACTTAAAGAGAAACTAAATCTGGATTTTTTTTTTTTTTTTTTTTTTTTTTTTTTTTTTTTTTTGAGACAAAGCCTTGCTCTGTTCCCCAGGCTGGAGTGCATTGGTGCAATCATGGCTCACTGCAGTCTCGACCTTCCAGACTCAAGTGATGGTCCCACTTCAGACTCCCTAGTAGCTGGGACCACAGGTGTGTGCCATTGTGCCTGGCTAATTTTTAAAAAGTTTTTTTTTGTAGAGACAGTGTCTTCCTATGTTGCCTAGGCTGGTCTTGAACTCCTGAGCTTAAGTAATCTGCACACCTCAGTCTTCCAAAGTATTGGAATCACAAGCGTGAGCCACCATGCCCAGCCGTAAAAACTGGATTTTTAAAGTGAATTCTCCCAAGTTTGAGATGTTAGCCTCTAATTTAGAAAAACACAGAGGCTAAATAAAACTTATCTTCAGTCCACCAGTTGACAAACTTTGGCCTGGCCTGTCTCTTTTCTATCGTTTATCATCAGGGCAGATAATCTTTTAAGTTTCAGGTGTTACACTTTCCTGGGATATACTCCTCTTAGGGGATAATTTATTTACTTTTTGTTTTTGTTTTTGTGACAGAGTCTTGCTCTGTCAACCAGGCTAGAGTGCAGTGGCATGATCTTGGATCACTGCAACATCTGCCTCCCGGGTTCAAGTGATTCTCCTGCCTCAGCCTCCCGAGTAGCTGGGACTACAGTCATGTGCCACCATGCCTGGCTGATTTTTGTATTTTTAGTAGTGACGTGGTTTCACACCATGTTGACCAGGCTGGTCTCGGAACTCCTGACCTCAAGTGATCCACCCACCTTGGCCTTCCAAAGTGCTGGGATTACAGGTGTGAGCCACCGTGGCCAGCCTTAGGGGATAATTTAGGTTTTTTGTGTTTCTGTTTTAAATTTAAATTTTTGTTTTTTTGAGGCAGTATCACTCTGTCTCTCAGGCTGGAGTGCAATGGCACAATCAACTCACTGCAGCCTTGAATTCCTGGGCACAAGTGATCCTCCCAATTCAGCTTCTCAAGTAGCTAGGACTACAGGTGTGCACCACCATGCCTGGCTGAATTTTTTTTTTAAGAGATGGACTCTTGCTGTGCTGTCCAGGCTCGTGTCAACTCCTGGCCTCAAATGATCCTCTCTCCTAGGCCTCCCAAAGTGCTGGGATTACAGACGTTAGCCACTGTGCCCAGCCTAGTTCAAGTTTTAAGCATTAAGAATTGACTCTTTGGAGGAATAGGGATCTTTTAAGGATCTCTACAGTCAGTGACTCTAAATGTAGTGTTTGGACCAGTAAGTAGCATTAGCATCACCCAAGAAGTCATTAGAAATGCAAATTCTTGGCCAGGCGCGGTGCCTCATGCCTGTAATCCCAGCACTTTGGGAGGCTGAGGTGGGTAGATCACGAGGTCAGGAGTTCGAGACCAGCTTGACCAACATGGTGAAACCCTGTCTCTACTAAAAATACAAAAATTAGCCGGCCGTGGTGAAGGGCATCTGTAATCCCAGCTACTCAGGAGGATGAGGCAGGAGAATCACTTGAATCCAGGAGGCGGAGGTTGCTGTGAGCCAAGATCGCACCACTGCACTGCAGCCTGGGCAACAGAATGAGACTCCATCTCAAAAAAAAAAAAAAAAGCAAATTCTTGAGCCCCATCACAGGCCTGTTGAATCAGAAACTCTGAGGATGGGTCTAGCAGTCCGCTTTAACAAATCCTCCAGGTGGTTACCATAAATGTTGAAGTGTGAGAGCTACTGCCTGTAATCCCATTTAGAGAGGTACATAGGTAACTTAAAAACAGGTCCTGATAAAAGAATTCTACTAAACTTAAAAAACAAATTCAGGTAACTTTATAAACAAACAAATCTCGGCCGGGCGCGGTGGCTCACGCCTGTAATCCCAGCACTTTGGGAGGCCGAGGCGGGCGGATCACGAGGTCAGGAGATCGAGACCATCCTGGCTAACACGGTGAAACCCCGTCTCTACTAAAAATACAAAAAATTAGCCGGGCGTGGTGGCGGGCGCCTGTAGTCCCAGCTACTCGGGAGGCTGAGGCAGGAGAATGGCGTGAACCCGGGAGGCAGAAATTTCAGTGAGCCGAGATCACGCCACTGCACTCCAGCCTGGGTGACAGAGCAAGACTCCGTCTGAAAACAAACAAACAAACAAACAAAACAAATCTCAAACATGGAATTATTTTTTCACTTCTCTCTTTTGTTTTGTTTTTTTTTTTTTTTTGAGACAGAGTCTCGCTCTGTCACCCAGGCTGGAGTGCAGTGGCGCGATCTCGGCTCACACTGCAATTTCTGCCTCCCGGGTTCACACCATTCTCCTGCCTCAGCCTCCCGAGTAGCTGGGACTACAGGTGCCCGCCACCACGCCCAGCTAATTGTTTTTTTGTATTTTTAGTAGAGACGGGGTTTCACCGTGTTAGCCAGGATGGTCTCGATCTCCTGACCTCGTGATCCGCCCGCCTCGGCCTCCCAAAGTGCTGGGATTACAGGCGTGAGCCACTGCGCCCGACCTTTTTCACTTCTCTTAATGCTCTGTAAACATTAATGTATTTATATATGTACTTAGAATTTTAAAAAATCAATTTTATTGAGTTATAATTAACATACAGTAAAAATGCTCCCATCTTGAGTAATTCCATGCCTTTTGACAAGTGTTCTGTACCCATGCCATGACCACCACAATCGAGAGAGAACATCTTCATCACTCCAGAAGGGCTCCTTTGCAGTGAGTACTCCCTAGGAGTTCCAGCGGCCGGTGACATTGATCTGTTTTCTGTCACTGTAGATGAGATTTGTCTGTTATATACAATTTTTAAAAATTAAATGATATGTATGGCTTCTTTTGCTTAGCATAATGTTTTTGAGCTTATTCATTTGTTGCATATATCAATACTTTGCTTCTTTTTACCACCTGTACTTCATTTATGGATACGTTGTTTATCCATGTGTTTATCCCCAATGGACATTGGGTTGTTTCTGATTTTTTGGTTATTATTATGAATAAAGTTGCTATGAACATTATTGTATAAATCTTTGTGTGTTCATGTGTTTTCATTTTTCTTGGGTAAATATGTAGGAATGGAATTGCTAGATTGTATGGCAAGAGTATACTTAGCTTTCCATGACACCAGTGAACTGTTTTTCCAAAGACATTGTATTAATACCATTTTACATTCCCACAACTAATGTATGAGCTTCCAGTTGCTCCATATCCTCAACTAACAGTTGATATTGTACAATACAAATGTTAACTTTTAGAATATCTTCACAACTTTAGAGTAGATAGTGATTTCTTAGGACACAAAAACTATCAATCATAACAAAAATTAAAATTGGACTTCATCAAAATTAAAAACTTCTTTTTGAAAGACACCATTAAGAAAATGAAAAGATGGTTAACAGACTGAGAGAATATATGTGCAATGTAAATATCTAACAAAGGACTAGTATGCAAAATATATAAAGAATCCTTATAATTTAGTAATAAAAAGGAAAACACGCAATTTTTAAATGGGTCAAGAATTTAATTACGGCCAGGTGCAGTGGCTCACACCTGTAATCTCAGCACTTTGGGAGGCCGAGGTGGGTGGATCACGAGGTCAGGGGTTCGAGACCAGCCTGGCTAACATGGTGAAACCCTGTCTCTACTAAAAATACAAAAATTAGCTGGGCGTGGTGGTGGGCGCCTGTAATCCCAGCTACTCGGGAGGCTGAGGCAGGGGAATCGCTTGAACCCAGGAGGCGGAGGTTGCAGTGAGCTGAGATTGTGCCACTGCACTCCAGCCTGGGCGGCAGAGCGAGACTCTGTCTTTTAAAAAAAAAGAAAAATATTTAATTACCTTACCAAAGAAGATACATGAATGACCAATAAGCCATTAAATTAAAACTTCAGTGAGTATACACATATGCCCTGAAGTAGCTAAACTTTAAAACACTGCCCTATGTGTGTGTACTTTTTAGCTAAAAAAGTGTTTGAAAACAGTATTATTTTGAAACTCAAAATTCCAAATCCTCTCTTCAAATTAGGTAGTAGTGTCACTGGAAGTAAAAGAGAAGTTACTTTAACTGCTAAAGAGTATCCACTAAGAATCTACATCAAACATCATGTTTAATGCTCAAACTTTAGAAGAATTTATACCAAAAGTCAAGAATAAGATAGGATATCTATCTTCATTATTAAGCAACATTATATTAGAGGACCTAATCAATGCAACAAGGCAATAAATAAAAGACAAAACTGTCATAATCAGATACTACAAACATCTAAGAAAATTCAGGGGGATTTACAGTCATATATTAAACAGTCCAGAAGGAGTCCTATACATCATCAATGAATATTGAGAATAAAAAATAGTTTTTAAAACCCCTCCAATTTATAAGGGCAACAAAATGTACAAGGTACTAAAATAAATGTAATGTGTATTTGGGTATAAATACAGCAACATAATGAAAAGGTTTATTGGGGAAAAAATTACAGGGAGAAGGGTCAACAACGTGAAGAGGTTCCCCTGCCATCTGGACTTCTGGAAAAAGACCTGCTGGTCTAGGCACAGCTGGATGCACCATGGAAAGTGGTTCCAATAAACACTGGCACTGTAACAATTGTGTATGTTGATACAAAAAGAGGGAGCCAATGAATACTTGGTCGATTATTTAACAATTGCTTCTCTGCTGAAGAAATGGCCTTGTTGGACTAGAGCTTAACTGTGGTTCACATACTAATGCTGCTATAACAGCTAGAAGCCTTACTAAGAAATTTGCTAAACCACCAAAAAGAGGAAATGAACCTTCTAGGATATCTGGATTGCCTTTTCTTAAAAATCTAGTCTTGGCTGGGTGCTGTGGTTCACGCCTGTAATCCCAGCATTTGGTGAGGCCGAAGTGGGCGGATCACGAGGTCAAGAGATCGAGACCATCCTGGTCAACATGGTGAAACCCTGTCTCTACTGAAAATACAAAAATTAGCTGGGCGAGGTGGCATGTGCCTGTAGTCCCAGCTGCTGGGGAGGCTGAGGAAGGAGAATCACTTGAACCCAGGAGGCTGGGTTTGCAGTGAGCTGAGATCACGCCATTGCACTCCAGCCTGGCAACAGAGCAAGACTCAGTCTAAAAAAAAAAAAAATATATCTAGTCTGTATGGCAGCACAACATCAGGTAAAAGTACAGACTAGCCAGATCACTGGTTAACCTTAACCCCTATGTGCTTGAGTTTCCTTATCTGTAATATGGAGATGATATAGCAATAGCTGATTTTGGACTGTTAAAGGAATTAAGTGGACACATGTAAAGTGCTTAGAATTGTGCCTGGCAAGTAGTAGGCTGCAATATTGTGATATAATAAATATATATATTTGATCTTCATCCAGTTCCTGGCACAGATCTCCAGAAACCCTTGTAATTTCCTGAGTGACAGGGGTGATAGAAACATCTTTTATTAGAATACTTGGTCTTGGTTCCTGACACAAGAGCTTCTAAGACCTTTGGAATCTCCAAGTGATAAGAGTGTATGACAGTGAGCTAACTGGTGGCTGGGATCCTTTAGACAACTTCAGGATGGGGGCTATCCCCTGAAAGACTAAGGCATGATTAGAGGTCTGGGATTTGCAGCCCCACGCCTCGACCTCCAGAGAGGGTAAAAGGGCTGGAGATTGATTAACCACCAGTTGCCAGTGATTTAACCAATCATGCCTAAGTGATGGCACCTCCATTAAAAAATAAACCACAGGTTTGGAGAGCTTTCGGTTTGGTTAACCCCAACCACATACCAAGAAGGCGATGCACCTCAAACTGCATGAAGACAAAAGGTCCTGTGCTCACCTGGGACCCTTCTGGACGTTGCCCTGTGTACCTCTTCGACTGCCTGTTCATCTGTATCCTTTATAATAAAGCAGTAAACATAAGTAAAGTTTCTGAGTTCTGTGAGCCATTATAAGAAACGATCGAACCTGGGATTTTCCTTTCGGAAGCCGCTCTCTCTCACAAGGGAGAGAGCTGTTCTCCTTTTTCTTTTGCGTGTTAAACCTCCGCTCCTAAACCCACTCTTCGTGTGTATCGTGTCCTTAACCTTGTTGGTGCGAGACGACGAACCCCGGGTATTGACCCCAGACAACAATGCCACTTCATATTGGGGACTTCGTCTGGGATTCCAAGGTGCATTCATTGCAAAGGTGAGTAAAGGGGCGGACCTCAACTCTGTCCTTTGATTTCGAGGCTCTTGGCCTCCATTTTAGAATCAAACCAAACCAAATACTGGGCCCCCTTCTGCTTCTGTGAATGAGAAAACTCTGCCTTCACCAATTAGCCATTTAAAAATTATGAGCGTGGCTGCCAGCCTTACAAGTTTTGGGGGACAGGCTTGCTGGGGAGAACATGGAGAACCCCCCAATACCCACGGGCTGCTGGGCATATTGGCCATGTTTGAACCAGTTTCCTTTCACGGAGGACCAAGCTGTCGTGTGGGGCTGGAAGAGGTCCTGGAGCAACTGAGGATTTCTGGCTGGGGCTACCTCCTGGTGCCATCCGAAGGCTTCTGGACTGACCCCAGCCTCCGGCCACCCTAAGGGGTGTCGGCAACAGGACCTCCAACTTTCCTATCATAATTCCCTCATTTCCTATCCACGACCACCATGTCTCCTAACCTCTCTCTGTATGCAGTACTGAGGGAGTTTTACAGTTCAGGGAAGTAATCTTGTTAGGCAAGAACAAAGACTGCTGTAGTAACCAGGGATATAGCACAGGGGCATGCTGTTGTGATTTTCTAGGAACAGAGGGTCTCCTCTCCCACCACAGTGAGCGTCACTCTCTGCCCTTGCTCTGGAAAGCACATGGCATGTCAAGGTCACTCTGCCCTTTGTCATAGTAAGATTAGGGTGGGGCGCCCAACCTTCCCCGCGTGCTATGTAAACGTCACACCTGTTCAAACCAACCTGTGGGCTCTGCGCAAATCAGACGCCGCCTCCTCAGGCCTACCTATAAAATCTGGTGCAGTCCACCGCAGGCCGGATTTTCCTTTCGGAAGCCCCTCACAAGGGAGAGATCTGTTCTCGTTTTTCTTTCTTTTGCCTATTAAACCTCTGCTCCTAAACTCCCCCAACCCCCAAGAAAGAAATTATCGAACCTGAGGGGGTTGCAGATACCCATGATTTGTAGTGAACTCAGACAGAAGTGTGGGTACCCTGAGGTCCTAATAGTTGTGGCTGGCATCTGAAGTAGGGGGCAGTCTTGGGGGCTGAGCCCCTAACCCGTGGGGTCTGCACTAACTCTGGTTAATTAGCATCAGAATTGAGTAAAATTGTAAGACACTCAGCTGCTGTCTGTGGAGAATTGGAGAATTGGTTGGTGGAAAACCCATATATTTGATGTCAGAAATGTGAGTAGAGAAATGGTTTTTCCTTGATAGGCTCTATGTAAATTTTAGTTCATGTTTTTGGTAATAAATACACAATATTACTGATTCTTAAAAGTATAAACCCAGGAAAATTAAGAAAACAAGAATGTCAAGTCCAACAGAGTTTAAAGGTAAAAAAAAATAAAATAGAACAGAAATGGGACCAGTAGCACATAGAATATTTTAACACATTCTTGGAAAGTAGAAACTATATGGACTAGTAGTCAGGAAGGAAGCAGCTCAAGGAAACCGCTTCCTGAATATGGAGTCTCCTATGAGAGACTATCTGCCCTATGGAGAAGCTTGGAGTAACTGCGGACACAGGATGCCAGATAGGAAGGAGGGCTGGAGTGACATGAAGGGCTGAAAATTGAGGGACTAATTGGAAGCCCGTGCACGGGACAGTCAGCTCTCTCTACCTCATGATCAGAATATTTGACACACAAGTGTTTACCCTGGGGCAAAAAATTACAGGAGTCTTCCCTGCTTCCCCCAAAATTGAACACATTGCTTTCTCTTAGCTGACCTAGAGAACCAGTGTGGGCACTGGCACCCCAAAACTAAGAATCCTTTTAAGAAATGGTGATTTTATGTCCAAGGAACGTTCCAAGTAAGTTTTCGGCTGCTAGCTTTGTCTTTACAAGTAACGGGCCAGGCCCAGTGGCTCATGACTGTAATCCCAGCATTTTGGGGGACTGAGGTGGGCAAATGGCTTGAGGTCAAGAGTTCAAGACCAGCTTGGGCAACATGGCGAAACCCTGTCTCTACTAGAAATACAAAAATTAGCCAGGTGTGGTGGTGCATGCCTGTAGTCCCAGCTATTGTGGGGCTGAGATGAGAGGATCACTTGAGCCTGGGAGGTAGAGGCTGCAGTGAACCGAGATTGTGCCACTGCACTCCAGTCTGGGTGACAAAGTGAGACCCCATCTCCAAAAACAAAACAAAACAAAAAAAACCCCAAGTAACTTGAAATCATTTTCTGAAATCTTTCTCTGACATTCTGACATTAGGGTAATTCTTGTTCTCCATAGAGGGAAAGGCTCAGGTTCAAGTCCCACTCCTGTGGCTCCTGATTTTTTAATGATTAGTTTGACCAATGTGTTTTTAAATGACTTAATTTTTAAACATGAGTTGAAAACCCAGGATCACTACACATTTGAGGAAAGTTGATAATATGAAAAGTAAACACCAAGGTAAGTGGTAAAAACCTTTGAGGAAACATAATTCAGGAAACAGGAACTTAAACATTAGTATCGTACAGCAGATTCAGGAAGATGGCACTGGTTAAAAAAATTGACACTATGAAAATAAGGCACAGAGAAAAGAAAGAGCTGTGGGAAATTATAATTGCTGAAATTTTAAACTAGATTGGAGAACCGGAATATAAAGGAGAGGACAGCTGGGTGCGGTGGCTCACACCTGTCATCCCAGCATTTTGGGAGGCTGAGGCCGGCAGATCACTTGAGCCCGGGAGTTTGAGACCAGCCTGGGCAACAAGGTGAGACCCCCATCTCTACACAAAATAAAATATAAAATCAGCTGTGCATGGTAGCACACGTCTGTAGTCCCAAAACTTGGGAGGCTAGGTGGGAGGATCACTTGAGTCCAGGAGGTGGTGGCTGCAGTGAGCTGTGATTGTGCCATTGCACTCCAGCCTGGATGACAGAGCGAGACCCTTAGAAAGTAGGAAAAGAATATATGAAAAAAAAATAAGTGATCAATTAATTACTCACCTGAATAGTGGGAATACCAAAAGAGTAAAAAGAGAGTAACAGACAGTAGGAAGTTATCAAATAAATAATAGAAGGTAATTTCCCAGGCTTGATGGGAGACCCAAGAGCTCAGATTGAAAATGCCCATTGAATACCCAGCCCAATGAATGTAGAGAGGTCTACACTTAGGAGAAAAGATCCTAAAAGCTACCAGAAAGATAGAAACTGTTACTATAACAGAAATAAGACACTAGCACCTTAACTATTAACCAATCTTAACAAACTAGAATAAAGGCCGGATGTGGTGGTTCATGCCTATAATCCTAGCACTTTGGGAGGTCGAGATGGGAGGATCGCTTCAGCCTGGAAGCTTGAGGCTGCAGTGAGCTAGGATCGTGCCACTGTACTCCAGCCTGGGCGACAGAGTGAGACACTGTCTCAAAAACAACAGAAACAAAAAAACTAGAATAAAATACTTCTGGTGTGAGACTCTGTAGGTTTCATTACTCCTTTTGGGTCCTGATTAAATCCTGTTGACTCAAGACCTTAGAGCATTTACTGGTAAAGTCTCTGACTGCGCGATTTTTTTTTTGCATTTTAGTTCCTTAAATATTTTCTCACTGCTTCCTACTAAAGGACGGACAGAGCATTTGTTCTTCAGCCACATACTTTCCTTCCACTGGCCAGCATTCTCCTCTATTAGACTAGAACTGTGGATAAACCTCAGGTAAGTAAATTACTATCCCTGGCAAAGGTGCTTTTCTTCCACACCTAAACCTATGGTCCCTTCTTTGTCTTGCTATTGTTTCTCTCTTTGGAGGCAGGATGGTATGGAGGAAAGAGGACAGACACTGGAGTCACACAGACTTGGGTTTAAATCCTAGCTCCATGGCACAGTTGCCTCAATGGCACTCTTAGCACTGTAGTCAAAGAATATTAGACCTGGAAAGGGCCTTGGAAATTACTTCTCCTCCCCCAGAAACAGCCTCTAGACTGGCATGATTGACCACCAAACTTCGTTGTGTCAGACAGGATCAATGTCTGCTGGTCTGCTGCAACTCTGTACTCATTTATCTCTGGGGAGGCCTGAAGCCTTGGTGCTGTTCCTTGGCCAAACCTAAATGAAATGTACTAGCCAGTGATTAATAGAGTCCTGTGCTGGGGTGGGAGACAGACCAGGGAGCAGCCTGTTTCTTGCTTCTTTCTTTCTTTTTGGAGATGAAATCTCATTGGCTTTGAACTTCTGGGCTCAAGTGATCCTCCCACTTCAGCCTCCCAAGTAGCTGGGATTACAGGTGCATGCCACTGCCCCAGCTTGACTATACCAGCTTGTTTCTGGTTTTGAGCCCTGGTATGCAAGCTAGTGTTGGCTACCTGATCAGAGGAGTATAAAAGAGCCTCAGATGAGGTTACAGTTCTCTTGAGACCAAGGTGTCTTGCATGTATCATCTAGCTGGTTCATTGCTTAAAGATGAAGCACATCTTCCACATCCTCTGTGGCTGCAAAAGGACCCTAGGAACTGGGTGTGGTGTTTCACTTGCCTTTTGGTTTGTTGGGTTTTTTTTTTTTTTGTATCTATCCTTTACCTTTATTAAAGCCTTATGTGAGGATACTATGCGGAGTCTTCTAAGTCTTTTCAATGATCCAAACCTGTGTAATTGATGAAGAGGGTACTGTGAATAGGATCATTACTTTTTTTTTGTTTTTGAGACAGGGTCTCTCTCACTCTGTCACCCAAGTTGAGTGCAGTATCTTGATCACAGCTCACTATAGCCTCAACCTCCTGGGCTCAAGAGATCCTCCCACCTCAGCCTCCCGAGTAGCTGGGTCTATAGGCGCACACCATCACGGCTGCCTAACTTTTAAAAAAATTATTTTGTAGAGCTGGAGTCTTACCATGTTGCCCAGGCTGGTCTCGAACTCCTGGGCTCAAGTGATTTGCCTGCCTTGGCCTCCCAAAGTGGTGGGATTACAGGTGTGAGCAACTGCGCCTGGCCCCAGGTTTTTTTTTTTCTTTTTTTTTTTCGAGACAGGGTCTCACACTGTTGCCCAGGCTGTAGTGCAGTGGCACTGAAGCCTGAAACCTCTGCCTCCTGGGTTCAAACAGTTCTTGTGCCTCAGCCACCCGAGTAGCTGGGATTACAGGCATGCACCACCACGCCCGGCTAATTTGTTTGTATTTTTAGTAGAGATGGGGTTTCGCCATGTTGGCCAGGCTGGTCTTGAACTCCTGAACTCAAGTGATCCGCCCGTCCCAGCCTCCCGAAGTTCTGGGATTACAGGTGTGAGCCACTGCGCCTGGCCCCCCAGTTTTTTACTTTATAATTTAAATGATAGCTAAGGCTTTGTTTGGGAGAAAGATGAAAAGTGGGGAAAGATTTAGAGCCACTGGTGCCAGGCTAGTTGCTGGGGAATCCCTGTTTGAATTTGCTGAAGTGCTACAACTCTCAATGGGAAGAAAGGGATGACAATGGAACTTGAAGGTGGTTGATGCAGAGCAAGAGGAAATCGCTAAATAGATTTAAAAAGAAATCCAGACACAGAGGAAGTCAGCCAAGAATACAGTTCCCTGGCTGGTTAGGCTGCTTTGGCAAAAATGAAAGTAACTAAAAAAGAGCCTGTGTTGCCAAGTCCACCAATTTCCTTCTGTAAAGGGAAGGAACATGATGCCAAAGAGGAGTTGGGCAGATATTTCTTCTGATGGGAATGTGACCCTCATCGGGTAGATAATCACCAACGAAACTACAGTGGGAGGGCATCAAGAGACAACTGAAACAGGGAACTACACAAGAGTGAAGTTGCCTGTGGACTGACAGAGCTTCCTGCAGAACCACTGCTGGGTTGGATATACATGAATGACAAAGGAGCTCTTTTCCTTGTATTAGGTACTGTCAAATGTACCTTCAAATGAAAGGGTGTGTTTGGTCTTAATTAGCTGAATTCGTTGAAGATCTTCAATTAGCTGCAGCTTTTGCCGGAATGTGTTTAGCTGGGCAAATTCCAAATCGGTTGAGCTGCACAAAGGTGGCAGTACATAAAACATATCTTGTAAAGGGGAACTGCCCAATTCCACCCATAATTGTTAGAAGAAATACTCCCTAGAGGTTACTGAAATGTTGAGAATGCAAACAAACACATTTGGACTGGTTCTGTGATGAAACTAAGGTATCCCTTAATTTTATGTCTTTGACTTAAGTGATGATTGTTGCTGTGATAAGAGGGCCTCTACCTTCGTAGACTTTTTGTATGACCCTACTACTGGGGGAGCAGGATGAAGTGAAAGCCTGTTGAAGACTTACTAGTTCCTTTGCTCCAAATTGTGCTGAATGATGAACAGATTAATATCATTCAAAAGAAAGGAGGCCGGGTGTCCTGGCTTACACCTGTAATCCCAGCACTTTGAGAGGCTGAGGCAAGAGGATTGCTTAAGCCCAGGAATCTGAGGCTGCAGTGAGCTAGAATCATGCCACTGCACTTGTACTACAGCCTTGGCAACAGAGTGAGCCCTTGTCTCCTATAAAAAAAAAAAAAAAAAAAAGGAAAGGGCTGGGCATGGTGGCTCACACCTGTAATCCTAGCACATTGGGAGGCCGAGGCGGGTGGATCACCTGAGGTCAGGAGTTCGAAACCAGCCTGGCCAACATGGTGAAACCCTGTCTCTACTAAAAATAAAAAAATTAGCCGGGCATGGTGGCACATGCCTGTAATCCCAGCTACTCAGGAGGCTGAGGCAGGAGAATTGCTTGAACCTGGGAAGCAGAGGTTGCGGTGAGTCAAAATTTTGCCACTGCACTCCAGCCTGGGTGAACAGAGCAAGACTCCATCTCACTTTGTTGCCCAGGCTGGTTTCAAATTCCTGGGCTCAAGCAATCCTCCCACCTTAGCCTCCCAAAGTGCTGGGATTACAGGTGTGAGCCACTGTGCCCAGTCAAGATTTCTAATGTATCCTAGTCTTGATGAATTAAACAAATAAACCTTTAGGATGATGCAAAAGCAGAATCTACAGTCACTTTAAAGCAGTGTGATGTAAAGAAAAGGGTGGCAGAGTCTCTTGGTGCTATGGGACCCAAGGACATTTACATTGGTGTGGATAAAATGCCCGGAGTGGTGAAAAACTTTATTGTCATTGTTGGACCATGGTGCATAATGTATTGTTATACCTGCTAATAAAAAATTAAACAGCAATTAACTTAGTTTAGTATGACAATACAACTGTAAGTTTAAGAGTGAAAAATGGGCCAGGTGTGGTGGCTCAGGCCTGTAATCCCAGCACTTTAGGAGGCTGAGGTGGGAGGATCACTTGAGCCCAGGGGTTTGAGACCAACTTGGCAACATAGTGAGACCCCCCCCACCAACACCCCCAACACGCTTGTCTCTATAAAAAATGGTGGTGTGCTCCTGTCGTACGAGCTGCTTGGGAAGCTGAGGTGGGAGGATCGCTTCAGCCCTTGAGGTTGAGGCTGCAATGGATGGTGATCAAGCCACTGCACTCCAGCCTAGGTGACAGAGCAAGACCCTGTCTCAAGAAAAAAAAAAAGTGAAAAATGTCCATATAAAAACTTGCACACTAATGTGCACAGCGGTATTATTTATAATAGCCAAAAAGCGTAAACAATCCACACATCCATCAACTGGGTTGAGGAATAAAATATGGTATATGTGATAATAAAGTGTGGTATATCCACATAATGAAATATTATTTGACAATGAAAAGGAATATGAAGTACTAAAACAATACAACATGGATGAATTTCGCTTCCTTTTTTTGTTGTTCTTTTTATTTTATTTTTTAAGCACCTCTACCAACATGAACATTTTGCAAAGTGAAAGCAACCAGACACAAAGGACCACGTACTGTATGATTCAATTTAAATGAAATGTCCCCAGTAGGCAAATCTATAGAGACAGAAAGTAACATAGTAGTTGCCTAGGGCTAGGAGGGTAATGGGGGACATGGAAAGCAACTGCTAATGGGCACAGCGTTTCTTTCTGGGGGGATGAAAATGTTCTAAAATTGATTGTGGTGGTGGTTGTGCATGTTTATGAATATGCTGATATTTATTGAACTGTACATTTTATTTACTTTTTTTAGAGACAGAGCCTCACTCTGTTGTCCAGGCTGGAGTATAGTACTGCAATCATAGCTCCCCGCAGCTTCATATTCCTGGGCTCAAGAGATCCTTCCACCTCAGCCTCCCACGTAGTTAGGACTACAGGCACATGCCACCATGCCCCGCTAAGTTTTCGTTTTCTTAAAAAAAAAGTTTTTTTAGAGACAGGGTCTAGCTATGTTGCCCAGGCTGATCTCAACTCCTGGTCTCAAGCAATCCTCCCGCCTTGGCCTCAAGAGCATTGGGGTTATAGGTATGAGTCACCGCACCCTCAGTTGTTCATTTTAAATGGGTGAATTTTATGATGTGTGAATTATATTTCTTTCTCTTTTTTTGAGATGGAGTTTCACTCTTGTCGCCTAGGCTGGAGTGCAGTGGTGCGATCTCGGCTCACTGCAACCTCTGCCTCGTGGGTTCAAGCAATTCTCCTGCCTCAGCCTCCCGAGTAGCTGAGATTATAGGCATGCGCCACCATGCCCAGCTATTTTTTTTGTATTATTAGTAGAGATGGGGTTTCACCATGTTGGCAAGGCTAGTCTTGAACTCCTGGCCTCAGCCCCCCAAAGTGCTGGGATTATAGGTGTAAGCCACCACAGCCAGCCCCAACTAGCTGGGACTACAAGCACGTGCCACCACACCTGACTAATTTCTTTTTTTTTTTTTTTTTGTATTTTTAGTAGAGATGGGGTTTTGCCATGTTGGCCAGGCTGGTCTCAAACTCCTGACCTCAGGTGATCCACCCACCTCGGCCTCCTAAAGTGCTGAGATTACAGGCATGAGCCACTGCTCCCGATGGATTATATTTCAATATAATTCAATTATGCAATATAATTGCATAATTGTTATCATCTCTCCCTGATATATTATCGGAATGGATGTGACATCTGAATGGGGATGCTGTTGAGGAAAGAGATTTCATGAAATGTACAGTGAGTGGCATAATTGTGGCTCACTGTAACCTTGAATTCTTGGGCTCAAGTGATCCTTCTGCCTCTGCTCCCCGAGTAGCTGGGACTACAGGCATGTGCCAACACATCTGGCTAATTTTTAAAATTTTTTGTAGAGACAAGGATCTCACTAAGTTGCCTAAACTGGCCTCAAACTCCTAGCCACAAACAATCCTCCCACCTTGGCCTCCCAAAATGCTGGGATTACAGGTGTGAGCCTCCACACTTGGCCACTTACTTTCTTTTTGATTCCTATTTCAGGAGAAAATCATAATCAATTTGCATTTGTGTGGAAAGGCCACCAATGCACATTTAAGCTGCTCCCACAGGACATTTAAATTATCTTGCTTATTGCTACAACCTAATGAGGAACAACTTAGATTTGATTGCACTGGAAAATACTATATCTTTTTTTTGTTTGTTTGAGATGGAGTCTCACTCTGTCACCCAGGCTGGAGTGCAATGGCGAGATCTTGGCTCACTGCAACCTCTGCCTCCCAGGTTCAACTGATTCTCCCGCCTCAGCCTCCTGAGTAGCTGGGATTACAGGCACCCACCATCATGCCCGGCTAATTTTTTTTATTTTTGTAGAGATGGGGTTTCACCATGTGGGCCAGGCTGGTCTTGAACTCCTGACCTCAGGTGATCTGCCCGCCTCAGCCTCCCAAAGTGCTGGGATTACAGGCATGAGCCACTGCGCCCAGCTAATACTATGTCTTATTATATTGATGATAATAATGTTAATCTCTCAATCCAAATATCCAGCTAAGACTGAATTGGAAGTGCTTGTTAATCATATAACCACCAGGGAGGGATGATTAACTGGCTAAAATGCAAGGCTTAGAATAAATGGTAAAATTCTTAGAAATTACTTGGGCTAGGCTGGGTGTGGTGGCTCACGTCTGTAATCCCGGTGTGGGAGCTGAGATTGCGCCACTGCACTTCAGCCTGGGCGACAAGGACAAGAGTGGGAAGCCAAGGCAGGCGGATCACTTGAGGTCAGGAGTTGGAGACCAAGCTGGCCAACATGGCAAAACCTTGTGTCTACTAAAAATACAGAAATTAGCCGCAATTGGTGGCACGTGCCTGTAATCCCAGCTACTCAGGAGGCTGAGGCAGGAGAATTGCTTGAACCCAGGAGGCGGAGGTTGCAGTGAGCCGAGGCCACGCCACTGCACTCCAGCCTGGGTGACAGAGTGAGACTGTCTAAAAAAAAAAAAAAAGGAGGAATTACTTGGGCTAGAGCCACTAGAAACATTCCCAAACAACCAAAATTAAGTTGCTAGCTACAAGACAGAGGAAAAAGGCACGAAAATTAGTTCAATTTCTTGGTTCCTGGAGAAATCACATACCATGTTTGGGAATTTTATCAACCCTTATTCTCGAAGTTAAGAGGGAATGGGGAGCTAATTTACATGGGGCTTTGAAAAATGAACAAATGGGAGACTTTTTGGGAACTTCGAAGAGATTACTTTGGGGCCATAGCACCTCAGTGTTCAAATGATGTTAGCAATGTCAGCAACCGACTCACGCTGATGGAGCTTCTTACCAAAGCCCGTGACTGCCCCTCAGGGATGGTCATGGGGATTTGACACTAGAAAGTTACCCGAGGCTTCTGGCAGGTATATGTCCTTTGAAAAACAGTCATTGGCCTGTTACTGAGCTTCTTTTTTTTTTTTTTTTTTTTAAGACGGAGTCTTGCTCTGTCACCCAGGCTGGAGTACCGTGGCGCGATCTCGGCTCGCTGCAAGCTCCACCTCCTGGGTTCACGCCATTCTCCTGCCTCAGCCTCCCGAGTAGCTGGGACTACAGGCGCCCGCCACCACGCCCGGCTAATTTTTTTTGTAGTTTTAGTAGAGATGGGGTTTCACCTTGTTAGCCAGGATGTTCTCCATCTCCTGACCTCGTGATCCACCTGCCTCGGCCTCCCAAAGTGCTGGGATTACAGGCGTGAGCCACCGCGCCCGGCCAGAGCACCGAGACTTAAAACATGAACACAAAATAATGATTTTTTAAAACTGAGTAATTCGATCAAATTGTTGCTGCCAGGCTATACAATTTTGTCTATGTTTTTCTTTAATATAAATGTTCAGTATATGCTCATGTTACCACATTGTGTCCATAACTGATATCTGGAAAGCTTCATGAATGGAGGCAGATGGGTGTCTGTCTTGTTGGTTGCTAGATCCCCAATGTCTAGCACTGTACCTGATATATAGTAGGTGCTTAGTAAATATTTGTTGATTAAGTAGATGAATACTGATGTTTCATAATTTTCCAACAATTTATCTTTTGTGTTGAAATTCCAGGCATTCCTTTAATTCCTGGTTTCTTCGGAAACAGTGGGAAATGCTCTTCTAAGAAAAATCTTACTATAAGGGATCAACCTGCTTTATTTTCCTTTTCAGAAAATGGCCACCCAGCAGAAAGCCTCTGACGAGAGGATCTCCCAGTTTGATCACAATTTGCTGCCAGAGCTGTCTGCTCTTCTGGGCCTAGATGCAGTTCAGTTGGCAAAGGAACTAGAAGAAGAGGAGCAGAAGGAGCGAGCAAAAATGCAGAAAGGCTACAACTCTCAAATGCGCAGTGAAGCAAAAAGGTTAAAGACTTTTGTGACTTATGAGCCGTACAGCTCATGGATACCACAGGAGATGGCGGCCGCTGGGTTTTACTTCACTGGGGTAAAATCTGGGATTCAGTGCTTCTGCTGTAGCCTAATCCTCTTTGGTGCCGGCCTCACGAGACTCCCCATAGAAGACCACAAGAGGTTTCATCCAGATTGTGGGTTCCTTTTGAACAAGGATGTTGGTAACATTGCCAAGTACGACATAAGGGTGAAGAATCTGAAGAGCAGGCTGAGAGGAGGTAAAATGAGGTACCAAGAAGAGGAGGCTAGACTTGCGTCCTTCAGGAACTGGCCATTTTATGTCCAAGGGATATCCCCTTGTGTGCTCTCAGAGGCTGGCTTTGTCTTTACAGGTACCTTGAAATTATTCTCTGAAGTGTTTCTCTGGCGTTTTAAGTTTAGGTTTTATTTTTCAATTGCTTTTGCAATATTTTGCTAAACTTTCTTCACTGGTTAAATGTGTTATATTAGGTATAAGGTCTAGTTTATTAAAATTCAACATCAATATTTTTATTTTTGCTTCATTTTCTATTTAGTACAGCCTGTGTTAATTTGTCAAATATATATAAAATAAGAAAGTTACGTCTCCTTAAACTTGGACCTTAGAAAATACTGGCTGTATTCTTAAGGTCCTGAAAAGATTAAATAACTCATGCGGTCATCCTGATCCCAGTCTCCTCACCCACCCTCCTTCTACTGCTCTTACATGATCTTTCTTTGATTCTTCTCATTGCTGCAGTATTGGAGGGTTTTGTTTGTTTGTCCTAGCCCCGCCATAGGGGTTATGATATATAAATCAGAGTTCTAACAATAACAACGATCATTTACTGAGTACTGTACCTACTTTATGCTAGGCATAGAGTGAGTACTAATTCTTATCCAATGAATTTACCCCTTTCTCTCCCATTTCACAGCTGAGTTCATGGAGGCTCAGAGACTTTAAGAAACATGCCTATGTTTCTACCGAAATGTCATGGCAAGGCTAAAACGTAGGTTTTCTAATTGCACGTTACTTCAGCTGGTCCTGGTGTTAGTCGGCTTCCCTATCACTTTGACCCTGAGAACTCAAAGAGCAACATACCAGCTCTGGGGGGCAGCTGGGGCAGGATATTGAGTTACACAGCTTAGGGTTCTGTACCTAGAGCACGGCTGTGGTGGAGGGGCCCATTTTGGGTGGTGGGATTGAGGATGGAGACTCAGGCCAATGAGATCGGGAGTGCACAGCCACGCTGGAGCTTGTCTTGCTCCTGAACAAAACAATCAACTCTGTGTA
This sequence comes from Homo sapiens, assembly GCF_000001405.40. NCBI lineage: Eukaryota > Metazoa > Chordata > Mammalia > Primates > Hominidae > Homo > Homo sapiens. The sequence goes on along the minus strand of NC_000005.10, from coordinate 71,011,427 downwards.
CATACCCCCTGGTGCCACTGCCAGGCAATCTAAATATTTTCCTTCATATATAGGTAAACAGGACACGGTACAGTGTTTTTCCTGTGGTGGATGTTTAGGAAATTGGGAAGAAGGAGATGATCCTTGGAAGGAACATGCCAAATGGTTCCCCAAGTAAGTAGATAATTTTTGCTTAAATGTTTCTTTCTTTTTTTTTTGAGACAGTCTTGCTCTGCCACCCAGGCTGGAGTATAGTGGCATGACTTCAGCTCGGTGCAAATTCTCCCTCCCTGGTTCAGGTGATTCTCCTGCCTCAGCCTTCTGAGTAGCTGGGATTATAGGTGTGCACCACCAAGATGGGCTAATGTTTGTATTTTTAGCAGAGATGGGGTTTTGCCATGTTGCCCAGGCTGGTCTTGAGCTCCTGAGCTCAGGCAGTCCACCCACCTAGGCCTCCCGAAGTGCTAGGATTACAGGCGTGAGCCACTGTGCCTGGCTAAATTTTTCAGTTCTTTAAAAGACAAAATGAAAGACAAAAGAGCCACCTTTCTGGAGTAGCACCTTCAGTTTTGATCTTTCCCTATTCAAAATTGGACCACTCCAGGATTTATTCAAGCAGGAAAGGCCTAATTACATTGTGAAAAGTTTGAATTATAGAATTTTAAACAGTTTTTAAGTATTTCATTATCCCAAATTCTAAGATAGGTTTTGCCCAGTAGAAGTTTCATGATCTGCCTTAATTAATAAATAAGGCTGGAAGTGGTGGCCCACACCTGTAACCCCAGCACTTTGGGAGGCCAAGGCAGGAGGATTGCTTGAAATCAGGAGTTTGAGACCAGCCTGGCATGTAGAGACCCTGTTTCTACAAAAATAAAAAAAATTGGCCAGGCGCGGTGGCTCACACCTGTAATCCCAGCACTTTGGGAGGCTGAGGCCGGTGGATCCGAGGTCAGGAAATCAAGACCATCCTGGCTAACACGGTGAAACCATGTCTCTACTAAAAATACAAAAAATTAGCCGGGAACGGTGGCGGGTGCCTGTAGTCCCAGCTACTTGGGAGGCTGAGGCAGAAGAATGGTGTGAACCCGGGAGGCAGAGCTTGCAGTGAGCCGAGATAGCGCCACTGCACTCCGGCCTGGGCGACAGAGTGAGACTCCGTCTCAAAAAAAAAAAGTTAGCCAGGCATGGTGGCGTGTACCTGCAGTCCTAGCTACTTGCGAGGCTGAGGCAGGAAGATTGCTAGAGCCCAGGTAGTCAAGGCTGCATTGAGCCGTGATCAAGCCACTGTGCTCCAGCCTGGGTGACAGAGTGAGACCCTGTCTCTAAAACTAATTAAATAAGTAATAATAATTTCCATAGGGGTGGTGTAAAATGGTGTATGCTGGAAGGTAAAAAATATTTAAACATTATTACAAATGGTTTCATGTACTGCTAAATATATACCAAATGAAAACACTGTATTTTTAAACCTCAGAAAGAGTTTTTATTACTGCAGTGGTCTTTAGTTCCTGGCTTAGAAAAGGAAGTACATTTTAATTATTTTTAATGCTATATTTACTAGTATTTTCTACATGACTTTCTTTGTTTCTACCAAGTACAGATTCATTCCTTTAACAAGTTTTTAAACTTTCACTGTGTAAAATTTCATACAAAGATAGAATAGTGTAATAAATACTTGTCAACACATAGCCAAATCATATTTCATCCATCTCCTACCCACCTTTTTTCCTGGAAATAATAACAATAACTATATTTTTATTTTATTTTATTTGAGACAGAGTCTCGCCCTGTTGCCCAGTGGTACGATCTTGGCTCACTGCAACCTCCACCTCTCAGGTACAAGTGATTCTTGTGCCTCAGCCTCCGAGTAACTGAGATTACAGGCATGCACCACCACACCTGGCTAATTTTTGTAATTTTAGTAGAGATGCGGTTTCATCATGTTGCCCAGGCTGGTCTGAAATTCCTGGCCTCAAGTGATCCACCCACCTTGGATTCCCAAAGTGCTAGGATTACAAGCATGAGCCACCTGTGCCTGACCAAGATTTGTTGTTTTCTTTCTTTCTTTTCTTTTTTTTTTTTTTTTGAGAGTGAGTTTTGCTCTGTTGCCCAGACTGGAGCCCAGACTGGAGTTTAGTGGTGCAATCTCAGCTCACTGCAACCTCCACCTCTCAGACTCAAGCAATCCTCCCACCTCAGCGTCCTGAGTAGCTGGGACCACAGGTGCCTACCACCATGCCCAGCTAATTTTCATATCTTTTATAGCGACAAGGTTTCACTTTGTTGCCCAGGCTGGTCTGGAACTCCTGGTTCTACAAACTCCTGGGCTCAAGTGATCCTCCCACCTCAGCCTCCCAAAGTGCTGGGATTACAGGCATGAGCCACTGTGCTCAGCCCCTTAAGATTTTTAATTCGTAGATTTCCTCTTTATCCATCTCTTTTTTCTTGTCACTTATTTGTTAAAGAAGCCATGTAATCTGTCCTGTAAAATTCCCTCTACTCTAGATTTGGCAGAATGTGTTCCTCTGGCATAGTCTAACATGTTCCTCTACCTTCTGCATTTCCAGGAACCTGACACTTGGATCTAGCAGTTTGGTCAGGCTCAGATTCTATTTTCTTTCTTTCTTTCTTTTTTTTTTTTTTTTTTGTGACAGTCTCACTCTGTTGCCCAGGCTTGAGTGCAGCGGTGCAATCTTGGCTCACTGCAACCTCTGCCTCCTGGGTTCAAGCGATTCTCCTGCCTCACCCCACCCAGGTCTGGGATTATAGGTGCGCACTGCCACACCTGACTAGTTTTTGTATTTTTAGTAGAGACGGGGTTTCTCCATATTTGCGAGGCTGGTCTCGAACTCCTGACTTCAGGCAGTCCACCTGCCTCGGCCTCCCAAAGTGCTGGGATTATAGGCATGAGCCACCGTGCCCAGCCTCAGATTCTATTTTCTTTAACAAATATTTGTCACACACCTACTACATGCAAAGTTGTTGGTTGGATACTAAATTAACTACAAAACTGGACACAGTTATTTACATTTATAAGTCATCTTGCACATGGACAGCCATGCCCACAAAAGTGAATGGAGGCCCGGCATGGTGGCTCATGCCTGTAATCCCAGCACTTTGGGAGGCTAAGGTAGGCGGATCATTTGATGTCAGTAGTTCAAGACCAGCCTGGCTAACATGGTAAAACCCTGTCTCTATTAAAAATACAAAAATTGGCCAGGCGTGGTGGCAGGCACCTGTAACCCCAGCTACTTGGGAGGCTGAGGCAGGAGAATTGCTTGAGCCCGGGAGGCAGAGGTTGCAGTGAGCTGAGATCGCACCACTGCACTCCAGCCTGGTCAACACAGCGAGACTCCATCTCAAAAAAAAAAAAAAAAAAAAAAAAGGCTGGGCACAGTGGCTCACACCTGTGATCCCAGCACTTTGGGAGGCCAAGGCGGGCAAATCACTTGAGGCCAGGAGTTCATTCAAGTGATGAACTCTCCTCTCCCCTCTTCCCTCTCTCCTCTCTCCTCTCCTATCTCCCCTCTTCCCTGGCCAACATGGTGAAACCCCATCTCTACTAAAAATACAAAAATGAGCCGAGCGTGGTGGTGCGTGCCTATGGTTCCAGCTACTCGGGAGGCTGAGGCAAGAAATTGCTTGAACCTGGGAGGCGGAGGTTGCAGTGAGCCAAGATCACTCCACTGCACAGCAGCCTGGGCAACAGAGTGAGACTCCATCTCAAAAGAAAAAAAAAGTGAATGGATATCTTTGATATGTTTTGATACGTTGTGTGGGAAAGCAATATGCACAATAAGTGCAGTGTGAGACTTTGAAAATGTTTAAAACCACTCAAACTATATATGGAGTTGCTTGAAAATATATAGAAAACCTTATGAAAATATGTAAACCAAACTGTAGATACTTCTGGATCTGGATTTGTCAGGGGGTGAAGTAGTGATGGATTTTCACATTTATTTTGTTCATTGCTGTCTTGTTTAAATTTTTGGAAACAAGTATATATTACTTTCATAGTTGAAAAGAAAGTGAGGAGATTAGGAGGGAGGAAGTAAACAAGGGAGGAGAGGAGAAAGGCAGGAAGAGGAGAGAGAGAAAGTTAGACAAGTAGATGAGATAGTTATAGGGACGAATGAAGCTAGAATTGTGAAATCATTTGACAGTCACTCTGGCTCCCTGACGAATCAAAACAGCCACCCAGGCAGTCCTTGTCCATGCTGACAGTGCACCATATATGCATATGTAACAGGGAACAGCAGCCCCGGCTGGAGCACAAGCCGCTGCTCGTGGGCACCTGTCTCAGCTCTAGCCTCAGCTCAGGCTTCACTTAGCCTCAGGGTCACTGTGTTTAGTGTCGCTGGGTTATACACTGGACAAGTACCAGTGGCACCACTCACACATGATCACATTATCATGTGACTAGCACCTACTAGAGCCGCACATCCTGTCTGGAGGGGCCTTCATATGCCTTCTCTAACATAGTCAGAGGGTAAGGTAATAAGCACAGGGAGGGGAGACAGCAGTCCAGCAACCACTCCTAGAGAGGAAGGAGTTCAGGCCAGCAAACAAGGGCAGGGGGTAGTGCAGAGGCTTAGGAGATAGAGCCAGGCTTGAATCTGCTGCTACCTGACTACCAGACCCTAGGCAGGTGACTGACCTTGTCTGAATCTCATATGTAAAATGCAGTGTCAACAACAACAAAAAAATTAGAGACAGATATCCCCAAATATGTCAAATTTATTCAGGAATAAGAAAAGAGGGTTATGATTTGGAATGCACTACTGTAAACCACAGGCACGTGCAGTGAGGGAAGAGTAAAGGGAATTTTTCTTGGCAAAAGGGAGAAGTTCACATAAGCTGCTTAGAAACAGAGTTCATAGCTGGGCATGGTAGCTCATACGTGTAATCACAGCTATGTGGGAGGCTGAGGCGGGAGGGTCTTTGGAGGCCAGGAGTTTGAGACCAGCCTGGGCAATGTGATGAGGCTCCAGTTTCTTTAGAGAGAGAGGAGAGAGGGGAGAGGGGAGAGGAGAGAGAAGACAGGGGACGGGGGAGAGGGGAGAGGAGAGAGGGCAGAAGAGAATTCCTTGGTTCTGAAGGCTCAAAGCCAGAGTTCTTGTGTGTTCATTGGTGGAGATGCTGTTCCTGGGCAGGTGTTCTTTTGACAGCATCTCATCTCATGTTATCTTATCTGAATTGCTGCAGTCCAAAAGAATGTGCAGTGATAAACCTTGCCATAGAAATATGTGCGTACATGCAAGCAATGCAAAGCAGGAGATGCGTGACAGGCGTGAAGGGATTTCTTATGGGATTCTTAGAAAGTCTTTGGAACCGTTCCTGTCTTGGACATGAAAGCCTGAACCCCACTCCTTCGTGCCTTCCCAGCCCTATTTTGTGTGGGTCTGATAAAAGTGATTTCATCTTGGTATCTGCGACTTCCACAGCAGATAATAATGTACAGCTTGTCTGGTGGTTGTAAGGATGAGAAACAAAGTATATGGATCAAATGCTTTGTAAAAATTACCATGTATAATGTGAGGATGACAGATGACCCACTGTTTTGCCTTTCATTTGTTTGTCGTCATAAGCACATGGTCAGTCAATAAAATCTAAGAGCTGGAATTAGAGCAAGAATCCCCAAGTTTCTTGTTGGGTTACTCTGTCTTTAGCTTTCTGGACTTCAATTTGTTGCTTCTTTTTATCAACTGTCAACAAAATGAGTATACCCTTACACTTTTTAAAATGTGGCACTCCATAAATGTAAGATGATTTTATGGTAACTTTTTAAGGTACTGAGTTCCTCCTCAATCCATATAAATCATGAGGACAGGGAACCACCCCGTGCATTGTGTGCCATGTAGGTTATGTGCAGACTTACGGCAATCCTTGGAAACATTTATACACCTGAAAACTGGGGACCCTGGCTGCCTATCACATAGAATCATGGCCCTGGGGAAATATGCAGATCATCTGATGGCATCCATGTTCTCCTGTGATTATAAGAGAACATGGCAAGGTTGGTCACATCCCCACTGGTGGAAGAGCGGGTACTAATGCTCCAGCCTTTGGGTTCCCAGCCCATTCTTTGCTACAGCACCATAGAAAGAAAACTTAAATTTGAATTGGAGGGATTTTTATTTTTATTTTTATTTTTTTTGAGACAGAGTCTCTCTCTGTTGCCCAGGCTGGAGTGTAGTGGTACAATCATGACTCACTGCAAACTCTGCTTCCCAGGTTCAAGTGATCCTCCCGCCTCAGCCTCCCAAGCAGCTGGGATTACAGGCGCCCGCCACCATGCCTGGCTAATTTTTGTATTTTCAGTAGAGATGGGGTTTCACCATGTTGACCAGGCTGGTCTCAAACTCCAGGCCTCAAGTGATCCACCCGCCTCAGCCTCCAAAAGTGCTGGGATTACAGGCATGATCCCCCATGCCCAGCTGAATTGGAGGAAATTTTAAAAGTTAATTTTAAAACTGCTTCTCTTTTATGGGAAAGGAATATGTTTTTAAATGGTATTCAGTGTGCTCTTTTTTAAAAAAATCAAAAATTATCCATTAACATCCGTTACTTTTTTTGTTTTTGGTTTTTTTTGAGATTGAGTCTTGCTCTGTTGCCCAGGCTAGAGTGCAGTGGCATGATTTCAGCTCACTGCAACCTCCACCTCCCAGGTTCAAGCGATTCTCCTGCCTCAGCCTCCCAAGTAGCTGGGATTACAGGCGCCCGCCACCACACCCAGCTAATTTTTGTACTTTTAGTAGAGACAGGGTTTCACCATCTTGGCCAGGCTGGTCTCGAACTCCTGACCTCGTGATCCACCTGTCTCGGCCTCCCAAAGTGCTGGGATTCCAGGCGTGAGCCATCACGCCTGGCCTAATAGCCATTACTTTTTAATGCATGGTAATTTTTTGTTCAGTAGATAAATATATTGTTATCTTAAAAAGATTTTTTGTATTTACTTTTGAGACTGGGTCTCAGTCTGTTGCCCAGGCTGGAGTGTAGCAGCCTGATCATGGCTCAGTGCAGCCTCTACCTCCCCGGGCTCAGGTGATCCTCCCCCTTCAGCCTCCTGAGTAGCTGGGACTACAGAGGTGTGGCACCATGCCCGGCTAATTTTTGTATTTTTTGTGGAGATGGGGTTTTGCCATGTTGCCCAGGCTAGTCTTGAACTCCTGGATGTGAGCCACTGCGTCTGGCCTATTATTTTAAATATAGTTCTCTTTACTGCCAGTAGCTTTCATATAACCCTAGCGACTAGATTTAGTCACCACTGCTTAATTCCAAAAAACAAAAGCTCCATCCTATATTTACTGTAAATCAGTCTCTTTGATTGTATTGCATGTTTTATTTCAAGAAAAAAGTTAACCTGAAGATTTAATTTTAAATAACTACACATGTTGTCACTAATAGAAATAACAAATAATTATATGAGAATAATGGTAATTCTCCTAAGTTTTGTGGTAAATTTTTTGGCAATTTTATTGAAGTATAATAAAATTCAACAATTCAATACGTCTTTATAAATGTTCATTGTGATATAGGACAGCTCTATCACAGTACTGGGGTAAATTTTAATTATATTTATTAATTACAGATGTGAATTTCTTCGGAGTAAGAAATCCTCAGAGGAAATTACCCAGTATATTCAAAGCTACAAGGGATTTGTTGACATAACGGTAATGTATAACAGCAATTTTTTTCTCAAGTTTTTGGATTACCTGTAAGTGTCTGACTCAGAAGGGCATAGGCATTCTTTTTATGTCATGGGTTTGATTTCTTTCTTCCTTTCTCCTTTCATTCCCCTGGCTCCCATCTTCAAAGTGAAAAATATCACATTCACTTGCTGACCTAGAGCCTTTTTCTTTTTCCAGGGCTGGCTTCTGACGGGCTCTGCTTGCCTTCCTGATAGTCTTCCCCTTTATGAATGAAGCCACTTGCCCCAGCTTCCCTCTGCTGCCCCTATCTGCAGGCTTGCTAAGATCTCCTGACCTAGGCGCTGTCACCCACAGTGGGCTGCAGAGCTGGCTCTTCCTAGCTGGCTAACTATCCTGAATCAGTAAAAATTTCCTAGTGGAGAGTGATGGGAAATCGAATCCAAACTGGCTTAAACAAAAATGAGAATTTATTGATTAACATGACTCAGGAGACCAGAACTCTATAGAGAACATGGCCTGACAGTGGGGGAAGAGAGGTGTTTCCTCAAAAAGAAACTGGGTGCAGCTTTCCCAGAAGAATCAGTTGCTCAATATATAATACCCTGATGAATTTAGTTACCATTCTATGTCTCTTACTTCCTCATTCGTCAAAGTACATCTGTGATATTTAAATGCAGGTCTGTTTTCAAGGTCAGTTTCCGGAAACAGTGACCCTGAGAAGGCTTCCTCCTGAGTATGCATAAACATTCACAGCTTGCATGCGTGTGTGTGTGTGTGTGTGTGTGTGTGTGTGTGTGTGTGTGTATGTTTGCTTGCACTGCATAAAAACAATTGCAACATCAACAGAAATAAAAATTAAAGGAATAATTCTCCTCCGACTCTGCCGTTCCATCCAGTGAAACTCTTCATTCTGGGGTAAAGTTCCTTCAGTTCTTGTTCATAGATAGGTATATACTTCATAAGTCAAACAATCAGGCTGGGCGCAGTAGCTCATGCCTGTAATCCCAGCCCTTTGGGAGGCCGAGCTGGGCAGATCACTTGAGATCAGGTGTTCGAGACCAGCCTCAAGACCTCCAACATGGGCCGGGTGCAGTGGCTCACGTCTGTAATCCCAGCACTTTGGGAGGCCGAGACGGACGGATGATGAGGTCAGGAGATAGAGACCATCCTGGCTAACATGGTGAAACCCCATCTCTACTAAAAATACAAAAAAAAAAAAAATTAGCCCGGCATGGTGGCAGGCGCCTGTGGTCCCAGCTACTCGGGAGGCTGAGGCAGGAGAATGGCGTGAACCTGGGAGGCGGAGCTTGTAGTGAGCCAAGGTCGTGCCACTGTGCTCCAGCCTGGACGACAGAGCGAGACTCTGTCTCAAAAAAAAAAAAAAAAAAAAAAAAAGACCTCCAACATCGTGTCTGTCTCTACTAAAAATACAAAAAAAAAAAAAAAATTAGCCGGGTGTGGTGGCACATGCCTGTACTGCTCGGGAGGCTGAGGCAGGAGAATCACTTGAACCCAGGAGGCGGAGGTTGCAGTGAGACGAGAACCTGCCACTGCACTTCAGCCTGGGCAACAGAGTGAGACTCTGCCTCAAAAAAAAAAAAAAAAAAAAAAAAAAGTCAGATAATCAACAACTTGAATTTTAATTTCCCTCAGGGAGAACATTTTGTGAATTCCTGGGTCCAGAGAGAATTACCTATGGCATCAGGTAAAAACTCAAACATTTTCCAAAGGCTTTGCTTGTTTATTTCTTCTTTTGATTTTTTGTCCCTATCTCTTTTTGTCGTCCCCCCCGCCCCGCCCCGTTTATTTTGAAGCAAACTCTAGACATCATTCCATCTGTAACTGTGAAGGGACAACTTGAACGCTGATACTTGCAATATCAAAGCCTACTGGTCTCTTTAATTTGTGCAGCAGCAATAAAGATATAGAAAAAAAAAAGACTAAAGCCTGCTGGTCTCACCTTGTGCTTTTTATTCAAGCTTATTGCAATGACAGCATCTTTGCTTACGAAGAACTACGGCTGGACTCTTTTAAGGACTGGCCCCGGGAATCAGCTGTGGGAGTTGCAGCACTGGCCAAAGCAGGTCTTTTCTACACAGGTGAGTCAGTAGGTTGTGCCCACTTGCTTGCTTGACCTTTAATTCCCACATAGACTTTATGCTCCTGGGCTTACGTTTAGCTACACTCAGCAATGTCCACTAGCTTCAGCGTTTCTTTTTCTTTTCTTTTTTTTTCCCCCTTGGAGACAGAGTTGCCCAGGCTGGAATGCAGATCTTGGCTCACTGCAACCTCCACCTCCCGGGTTCAAGAGATTCTCCTTCCTCAGCCTCTGGAGTAGCTGGAACCACAGGCGCCTGCCACCACGCCCAGCTACTTTTTTGTATTTTTAGTAGAGACAGGGTTTCACCATGCTAGTCAGAATGCTCTTGATCTCCTGATCTCGTGATCTGCCCGCCTTGGCCTCCCAAATGCTGGGATTACAGGTGTGAGCCATCGCGCCAGGCCTCTCTTCAGCATTTCTTATAGATTCGTTTTCTTTTCTTTCTATTTTTTTTGAGACATGGTCATCCAGGCTGGAGGGCAGTGGCGAGATCATGGCTCACTGCAGCCTCAACCTCCTGGGCTCAAGTAATCCTCCTGCCTTGGCCTCCCAAAATGCTGGGATTACAGGTGTGAGCCACTGCACCTGGCATACATCTCTTTTCTTTCCTGCATCATAAATCCTCTCCCAGTTTTCTATTCCTCCCTTAGGTGGTAAACCTTCAAATTTGAAACCTTAAGGTCTGGACTAACAATGAATACAAATATTCTATTTGTGATAATTATCATGTCTTTTCTTTCTACACATTACTCTCCTCACCTCTTGTCCCCTGACAAAGTGCTCCTAGAAACTGTCACAGGACACTTCTGCTTATATTTCTTTAATCAGAACTTAGTTGGATGGGCCGGGCATGGTGGCTCACGCCTGTAATCCCAGCACTTTGGGAGGCCGAGGTGGGTGGATCACCTGAGGTCAGGAGTTTGAGACCAGCCTGGCCAATATGGTGAAACTCTGTCTCTACTAAAAATACAAAGAATTAGCCAGGCATGGTGGCGGGTGCCTGTAATCCCAGCTACTTGGGAGGCTGAGGCAGGAGAATCGCTTGAACCTGGGACGTGGAGGTTGCGGGGAGTCAAGATCATGCTATTGCACTCCAGCCTGGGCAACAAGAGTGAAACTCTGTCTCAAAAATAATAATAATAATAATAATTATTATTATTATTATTATTATTATTAGTCAGATGACCATACCTAGCTGTAAGAGGAGCTGGGAAACCTAATCTTTTTCCTGGGTGACAATGTGCCCAGCTAAATATTGGGATTTCTATTAGTATGGAAGGATTTGAGATAATAGGAACATGGATAGCAATCTTTGCCACATTCTGCCTGCAGGAGAAAATCAGGAAATTAATTTTCATGATTCCTAAACATGTAGAGCCTTCCACCAGATTGTGGCATTTTCTCTTTAGCTGCTGGTCATTAGGAAGCACCTCTGCAATCTATAAATGATGGGCTGGTTCCTGTCAGCTAAATCTCTGCCTGAAATACAAGATGATCAGGGAAAGGTTCCTAGGTACCTTGCTGGTCTTGCTCAAACCGAACACATGCATAAGTTACAGTGGAGGTTAATGCAGATCTTTAACTGAGAGATCAAGTAGTTGTCACAAATACCATAGAGCAACACAGAGAAGCAGAATATAGTTGTCACTCTACCTAACAGACATGTGCCATTGGAAAAAAAAAATCTGACTGCCTCACAATCTTAAGCCTTTGGAAAGAGTGTTTGCCATTTCTCCCTACTCTACTGTGTCTTCCTCTTGTCAGCCTTCCGCAAGACCCCTCTGACCAGTGTGCTCCCCCTCTTCCTTTCCAATCCTCCACCACTCCACACAAATCCTAATCATCTCTGACTGTTTTCAGATCTTGCAAGCTCTAGGATCTCATATTTCTGGGAGGCTTTCCTCTGCCCCAGCTTTCCCAGAGTGGAAGGAAGATGAGAAATGCTCTGTTTCTAGTTTGATCCTTTTGCAGAGCTAAATACCAATTTCTTTCCAAAGAAATATAATTTCACAAAGAGACTTAATCCTATTTCTGGTGTAATAAACATGGCAATAATGTGGTAAGAGGCAATTAATTCTTCATGCATTCACTTACATAAGGGCTGCTAGATTTGCTGGTATTTTTTTTCCGTGAGCTCTAAATATATTCTTTCTGATTCATTCATTAAACGAATACTAATTGAGTGCCACATGAGTGTCAAGCACTTTTCTAGGTTCATGTCATTCATTAGTGAGCAAAAACCTCTACCCTCATAGAGCTTATTTTTATTTTTATTTTTTGAGACAGAGTTTCACTCTTGTTGCCCAGGCTGGAGTGCAATGGCGTTATCTTGGTTCACTGCAACCTCCGTCTCCTGGGTTCAAGCGATTCTTGTGCCTCAGCCTCCTGAGTAGCTGGCATTACAGGCATGTGCCACCATGCCCAGCTAATTTTTGTATTTTTAGTAGAGACAGGGTTTCACCGTGTTGGCCAGGCTGGTCTCAGACTCCTGACCTCAGGAGATCCGCTGGCCTTGGCCTCCCAAAGTGCTGGGATTACAGGCATGAGCCACTGCGCCCAGCCCCCTCATGGAGCTTCAATTCCAGATTCTGGTTGCCAATCTGTTTGTTGATCAAAGGAGAATGGGGCAGAGGGATGGTGTGCATCAAAGTGCATGGTGTGTAGGAGCATTCAATGACTACTTGCCAGTTACCCCATTGGTGGACAGAGTCTTATATAGAAAATTGCCTCACTGGTAACCAACTTCTGACTGTCACAAAACCCAACTGGAGACTGAATAGGCTTTCACTATTACAGGTCTGGTGGTTATTATCTGCATGTTAATGGACAGATGCCCATGCCAGTGGCACTGATCAAGTTTCCTTACTTTTAGGTATAAAGGACATCGTCCAGTGCTTTTCCTGTGGAGGGTGTTTAGAGAAATGGCAGGAAGGTGATGACCCATTAGACGATCACACCAGATGTTTTCCCAAGTGAGTGGAATGAATGTTAACCATCTGCAACTTTGGATGCACTTCAACAGTTTTTTTCTTTTTCCTCATTTCCTGCCTTATTTTATCTTTAGATTGAGTCTTTATCCACTCCTCGGATTCAGGCTATGAAGGATGAGTCTTCATGTCTTTCATCCCTTTGCTCCATGACCCCCTTCCTGTACTAGCCTTCCCCTCTTTATAGTTATGGCATAGTTTTGGCTAGATTCATATATTCACATTACATGTTTACATTATCATGACTATACAAATGCTATGTGGAGCTGAAGCTTGTGGTAAATTTTTATTTATTTTTCCCTTCCTGTATATCCTTTTATTTTTTTAGGAAGTAATAACTGTCCTGTTGGTATGTTAGCTTATTTTTTTTTCCTGAGGTAAAATTCAGGTAGTAACCATTTTATTTATTTATTTATTATTTTTTGTGACAGGTTCTCTCTCTTGCCCAGGTTGGAGTGCAGTGGTGCAATCATGGCTCACTGCAGCCTTGACCTCTCTGGCTCAAGCAATCTTCCTCGCTCAGCCTCCCAAGTAGCTGGGACTACAGGCACATGTCTTCACACCCAGCTAATTTTTTTTTTTTTTTTTTTAAGAGACAGGGTCTCTCTATGTTGCCCAGGCTGCTCTCAGACTTCTAGGCTCAAGCAGTCTTCCCATCCTGGCTTCCCAAAGTGCTGGGATTATAGGCGTGAGCCACCATGCACAGCAATTAAACCATTTTAGAGTACACAATTCTGTGGCATTTATTATAGTACATTCACAATGTTGTGCAACCACCCCCTCTATCTAGTTCCAAAACACTTTCATCGCCCCCAAAGAAAACTCTGTATCCATCAAGCAGGCCCCCCTCCTCTCTCCACCCCACTCCATGCCCAGCCCCTGGGATACACCAACCTAATTGGTGTCTATGGATTTATTTGTTCTGACTATTTCCTCTAAATGGAAGCATACCGTTTGACCTTTTGCATTTGGATTCTTTCACTTGGCATATTGTTTTGAAGTTTATCCATGTTGTAGCTTGCATAAGTACTTCCTTCCTTTTGAGACCAAGTAATATTCCATATGGATACACTGCATTTTATTTATCCATTCATCTATTTGTAGATATTTGGGTTGTTTCTACCTTTTGGCTACCATGAGTAATACCGATAGGAACATTTGGGTACAGGTATCTGATGGAGCATGTAACTGTATTCAAGTCTCTGGGGCATATACCTAACAACGATATTGCTAGCTGTATAGTAATTCTATGTTTTTACTTTTTTTTTTTTTTCTCACACAGAGTCTCACTCTGTCACTCAGGCTGGAGTGCAGCGGTGCGATCTCAGCTCACTGCAACCTCCGCCTCCCAGGTTCAAGCAATTTTCCTGCCTCAGTCTCCTGAGTAGCTGGGATTACAGGTGTCTGCCACCATGCCCGCCTAATTTTTTGTATTTTTAGGGTTTCACCATGTTGGCTAGGCTGGTCTCAAACTCCTGACCTCAAGTGATCCACCTGGCTTGGCCTCCCAAAGTGCTGGAATTACAAGCGTGAGCCACAGCGCCTGGCCTGTTTTAACTTTTTGAGGAAATGCTAAACTGTTTTTTCCACAGTGCTTGCACCATTTTAAATTCCCACCAACAACAATGTTGTGCAACCACCCCCTCTATCTAGTTCCAAAACACTTTCATCGCCCCCAAAGAAAACTCTGTATCCACTAAGCAGGCCCTCCTTCTCTCTCCACCCCACTCCATGCCCAGCCCCTGGGATACACCAACCTAATTGGTGTCTATGGATTTATTTGTTCTGACTATTTCCTCTAAATGGAAGCATACAGTTTGACCAACAATGTATGAGGTTTCCCATTTCTCATCAACACTTTTCTATTTTTAAAAAAATTATAGCCATCTGCTTAATTTTTTTTTTTTTTTTTTTTTGAGATGGAGTCTCACTTTGTCGCCCAGGCTGGAGTGTAATGGCGTGATCTCACTCACTGCAACCTCCGCCTCCTGGGTTCATGCCATTCTCCTGCCTCAGCCTCCCGAGTAGCTGGGACTACAGGCACCTGCCATCACGCCCGGCTAATTTATTTTTTATTTATTTTTTTAGTAGAGACGGGGTTTCACCGTGTTAGCCAGGATGGTCTCCATCTCCTGACCTCGTGATCCACCCGCCTCAGCCTCCCAAAGTGCTCTGATTACAGGCGTGAGCCACCGCGCCCGGCCAGCCATCTGCTTAATTTTTATGTACATTGCTTATTTTTGTTTCTTGAGATAAAATTCATGTATTAATAATTTTATTTATTTAAATGAAATAAATGAAGACGAACACCAGCTCATCTTCAACTTATCCCAAATGTTTAAATCTCCTCTTAAGTCATTCAGACCTACCAGATATCTCATCATTTTCATTTCTTGAAAGAGTCATCATTTTTTTTTTCTTTTTCTTTTTTTTTTGAGACGGAGTCTGGCTCTGTCACCCAGGCTGGAGTGCAGTGGCATGATCTCGGCTCACTGCAGACTCTGCCTCCCAGGTTCAAGCAATTCTTCCTGCCTCAGCATCCCAAGTAGCTGGGACTACAGGCATGCACCACTATGCCTGGCTAATTTTTGTATTTTTAATAGAGATGGAGTTTTGCCACGTTGGCCAGGCTAGTTTCAAACTCCTGACCTCAAGTGATCCGCCTGCCTCAGCCTCCCAAAGTGCTGGTATTACAGGCGTGAGCCACTGCGGCTGGTCCATTTTCATCTTGAAATGAGTTTCCCTGGAAGTCTTCTGGCCTGCTGGATTATGAACAACTTGTCCTATAATCATCCTGGGATCCAGGGATCTTTCTTCACAGGCATCCTGGAGATTATCTCCTCTGTTGTATCTCCTGGATCTAATGTCATCCTCTTCTTGGTTCACTCGCTCATTTTGTTGGAACACTTCATCGGAGTTCCCTGGGAAAGACTGCATAAGAAATACACACTTTTAGTTGCATATAATGCATATACAGACATATAGATCTATCTAGATATATGTTTTTCCTGTATTCTCACACTTATTTGATAGTTTAGCTAGGTGTAGAATTATAGGTTGGAAGTCATTTTAATTCTAAATTGTAGAGGCACTGCTACATTTCTACTGGTTCCTAATGTGCTGTCGAGAAGTTCCATGCCTTTCTGCTTGTCAATCCTTTTACTGCAAACAAAATTTTTTTTTTTCCTGTGCTGGAAGCTTTCAGAAAAATATCTGTTCTAAAATTTTATGAAGAAATATTTCTTTTCTATGAATCTTTAAACTTAATTTTTTTTTACCCATCAAACTCTTTAGAAATGTTTAATTGCAAGAAGAAATTTGTGTTTTCACTATGTAATTAGTAAGAGTTTTTTTTTTAGAAATGAATATGAACACATACAGATTTTAAAATGAATGCTTCCTGCTCATTTGTATAGTGGTAAAAACAAAAATAAAACAAAATGAATACTTCTATCTAATTTTATTGCCTTGAAGGTATTTTGATAGCAGTAGTTACCTCATTTTTCTTTCTTATTTGGGCTTAGTGTATAATAAATTATTGAGAACAATGGGGACATTCTACTTAATTCTTGGAAGGATAAGCTAGGATGCAGTCTAGTCTTATTTAGAACTTACTCTGGAATCGATCAACTCCCTTTTATACTATTATTATTATTATTAGTTTTAGTGTTTTGTTGTTGTTGTTTTTGAGATGGAGTCTCACTCTGTCACCCAGGCTGGAGTGCAGTGGCGTGATCTCGGCTCACTGCAACCTCCGCCTCCCGGGTTCAAGCGATTCTCCTGCCTCAGCCTCCCAAGTAGCTGGGATTACAGGTACCTCCCCACCATGCCTGGCTAATTTTTTGTACTTTTAGTAGAGACGGGGTTTCACCATGTTGGCCAGGCTGGTCTTGAACTCCTGACCTCAAGTGATCCTCCTGCCTCAGCCTCCCAAAGTGCTGGGAATACAGGTGTGAGCCGCCACACCTGGCCTTTAGTGTTTTTTTGTTAAGAGACTGGGTCTCGGCTCTGTCACCCAGGCTGGAGCAAGTGCAGTGGTACAATCCTAGCTGACTGTAGCCTCAAATTCCTGGGCTCAAGTGATCCTCCCACCTCAGCCTCCCAAGTAGCTAGGACTACAAGCATGTGTCACCATGCCCGACTAATTTTTTAAAGTTTTTTTTTGTAGAGATGGGGTCTTGCTTTGTTGCCCAGGCTGGTCTCAAACTCCTGGCTCCAAATGATCCTTCTGCTTCAGCCTCCCAAAGTACTTGGATTACAGGCATGAGCCACTGCTCCCAGCCAACTCCTTTTTGGATTTTTACTCTTCCTTTGCCTCTTAAAAAAACTGCAAACCAGTATGTCTCCAAATGATTACCTAAAATTTTTATGTATGCTTTAAAGAATGAATAAAAAGCAACCTATGAACCTCCTAGTAAAGTCAAGAAATTGGACATTATCAATGCCTTAAAAGACCCCTGCGGCCGGGTGCAGTGACTCACGCCTGTAATCTCAGCACTTTGGGAGGCCGATGTGGGCAGATTGTCTGAGCTCAAGAGTTCGAGACCAGCCTGGGCAACATGGTGAAACCCCATCTCTGTTAAAAAACAGAAAAATTTAACCGGGCCTGGTGACACACGCCTGTAGTCCCAGCTATTAGGGAGGCTGAGGCAGGAGAATGGCTTGAACCTGGGAGGCGGAAGTTGCAGTGAGCCAAGATGGCGCCATTGCACTCCTGGGCGACAGAGCGTGACTCTGTCTCAAAAAAAAAAAATCAAAAAACAAAAAACAACTCTGCATGCCAACCACCCCCTAATTCTGATTATATCCCTGTCCCTCCAATCCAGAGGTAAATGTGATGCTCAGTTTGGGTTAATTATTCCCTTGCTTCTCTTTGTGGTTTTACCAACTACATATACATCCTTAAACATATTTAGCTTTGTCTATTCTTGAAGTTCAAATAAGAAGCATACTGCATGATTCTTCTTGTAATTGGCTGGTTTTACTCCACGATGTTTTTGAGATTCATCCATATTTATATGTACTACACAGTTGTAGTTCACTTGTTTTCATTGGTAAATAGTGTATTATTTTATGAATATATAATAACTTATTTTACTGTTGATTAACCTCGTGGGTCGTTTTCAGAGTGTTGCAAATTCAAATAATGCCCTATGAACATTCTTGTACATATTTTCCAGTGCTCATGTGTGTTTCTCTAGGATACATAACAAAGTAAAGAATTGCAGAGTCATAGAACTTTGCGGGTGTTCAACTCCACTAGATAATGCAAAGCTTTTTCCCAAGTGGTTGCACTGATTTACATTCCCATTGGCCTAGATGCGTTTCTATTGATTTGCTTCCTCACTAACTTGGTATTGCCCAAATTTTAATTTTTGTCAGTGTAATTACTAATAATGTTAAGCTTATTTTCTTCTTCTTTTTTTCTTTCTTTTTTTTTTTTTGAGACGGAGTTTCACTCTTGTTGCCCAGGCTGGAGTGCAATGGCACGATCTCGGCTCACCACAACCTCCGCCTCCCAGGTTCAAGTGATTCTCCTGCCTCAGCCTCCCGAGTAGCTGGGATTACAGGCATGTGCCACCACGCCCAGCTAATTTTGTATTTTTAGTAGAGATGGGGTTTCTCCATGTTGGTCAGGCTGGTCTCGGACTCCCAACCTCAGGTGATCCACCCACCTCAGCCTCCCAAAGTGCTGGGATTACAGGTGTGAGCCACCGCGCCTGGCAGTTGAGCTTATTTTCATATTTTCCTGCAGAATAGTCTTGTTCTTTCTCTTCAAGAGTGTGTCTTAGCTATTTTTTTGCCCTTTGGTCTTTCATATTCCAGAGAATATATTAAATATCCCAAGCAGGCATGGTGGTTCACACCTATAATCCCAGCACTTTGGGAGGCTGAGGTGGGAGGAGTGCACAAGGCGAGGAGTTTGAGACTAGCCTTTGCAACATAGCTAGACTCCATTTCTACAAAAAATTTTTAAAACAAACAGGGTGTGGTAGCATGCATCTGTAGTCCCAGCTACCTGGGAGGCAGAGGCAGGAGAATCGCTTGAGCTCAGGAGTATAGGTTGCAATGAGCTATGATTGTGCCACTGTACTGTGGCCTGGGTGACAGAGTAAAACTTTGTCTCTAAAAAACAGAAATATCCCTCTTTATCCTTGATAGTATTTTTTAGGCCTTTATTAGTTTTTTCATGTTACATCTTTTAGATTATTTTCTTTTTAATCTATCTGTGACTATATTTAAAGTCAATTCTTGTTTTTTCCTTTTCCTTTTTGTGGGTAACGGGGTCTCACTATGTTGCCCAGGCAGATCTCAAACTCCTGGGCTCAAGCTGTCCTCCCACCTCTGCCACCCTAAGTGTTGAGATTACAGGCATGAGCCACTGCACCCAGCCTTAAAGTGAATTGTTATAGGCAACAACACAGTGGGGTCTTTTATTTTATTTTTTATTTGTTTATGAGACAGACTCGCTCTGTTGCCTACGCTGGAGTGCAGTGGTGCAGTCTTGACTCACTGCAGCCTGGACTTCCCAGGCTCAAGCAATCCTCCCACCTCAGACTCCTGAGTAGCTGGGACTACAGGCACATGCCACCAAGCCTGGCTAAGTTTGTTAGTTTTTTATAGAGACAAGGTCTCACTATGTTGCCCAGTCTGATCTCGAACACCTAGCCACAAGCAATTCTCCTGCCTTGTCTTCCCAGAGTGCTGGGATTACAGGTGTGGACCACTGAACCCAGCAGGTCTTGCTTTTTTTTTGAGATGGAGGTGTGAGCCACCACATCCAGCCAGGTTTTCTCTTTTTTTTTTTTTTTGAGACGGAGTCTTGCTCTGTCGCCCAGGCTGGAGTGCAGTGGCACGATCTTGGCTCACTGCAAGCTCCGCCTCCTGGGTTCACACCATTCTCCTGCCTCAGCCTCGCGAGTAGCTGGGACTACAGGCACCCCGCCACCACACCTGGCTAATTTTTTGTATTTTTAGTAGAGACGGGGTTTCACCGTGTTAGCCAGGATGGTCTCGATCTCCTGACCTCATGATCCACCTGCCTTGGCCTCCCAAAGTGCTGGGATTACAGGCGTAAGCCACCACGCCTGGCCAGGTCTTGCTTTTTAAGAGTCTGACAATAACTGCTTTCTAATTGGAATGTTTAGAACGTTTAAATTTAATGCAATTATGAATATGGTTGGATTTAAACCTATTTTACCATTTGCTTTCTATTTATTTCATCACTTCTTTGTTTCTTTTTCTTTTCCTGACTTCCTAGGGTTTAGGGTTTTTTTTTTTTTCTTTTTTCTACCCCTCCTTGAGTATTTTTTTTTGTACTCCATTTTATTTCTGTCAGCTTATTAGCTATTAATCCTTATTTTACCTTTTTACTACTTGCTCTAGAGTTTACCATATGCCTATTTAACATATCATAGTAATCTTCAAAAATATTATAACAGCTGGGTGCAGTGGCTCATGCCTGTAATCCCGGTAATTTGGGAGGCTGAGGCAGGCAGATCACTTGAGGTCAAGAGTTCCAGAGCAACCTGGGCAACATGGTGAAACCCCGTCTCTACTAAAAATACAAAAAAATTAGCTGGGTGTGGTGGCGCACACCTGTAATCCCAGCTGCTTGGGAGGCTGAGGCACGAGAATTGCTTGAACCCAGGAAGCAGACGCTGCAGAAAGCTGAGATCGTGCCACTGCACTCCAGCCTGGGTGACACAGTGAGACTCTGGGTCAAAAAAATATATAACACTTGACATAAAATGTATGAACCATACAATAGTATATTTCCATTTCTCCCCTCTCATCCTTTGTGCTATTGTCATACATTTTATTTCCATGTACTTTAATAAATCTTACAATATAATGTTATATCTTTGCTTTAAACAATTTAAGTACATTTTTACAACGGCAAAAGTCTTTCATATTTGCCCTCTTAGTTATCTTATCATTCCTGGTACTTTTCATTCCTTTGAGTAGAACCAAATTTCCATCTGCTATCATTTTCCTTTTAAATGATGTGCTTCCTTTCACTTTTTTTTTTTTTTTTTTTTTTTTTGAGATGGAGTCTTGCTCTGTCTCCTAGGCTGGAGTTCAGCGCCACGATCTCGGCTGACTGCAACCTCTGCCTCCCGGGTTCAAGTGATTCTCCTGCCTCAACCTCCTGAGTAGCTAGGATTACAGGTGCCCACCACCATGCCAGGCTAATTTTTGTATTTTTAGTAGAGATAGAGTTTCACCATGTTGGCCAGGCTGGTCTTGAACTCCTGACCTCATGATCTGCCTGCCTCAGCCTCCCAAAGTGCTGGGATTACAGGGGTGAACCACTGTGCCTGGTCCCTTTCACATTTTTTGTAGTGCAGTTATGCTGGCAACTGACTTTATTTGGCATTTGTTTGTATGAATAAGTTTATATTTTACCTTCCTTCATAGTTCTTTTCCTTGATGGGCCTATTAAAATATTTTTTTTCTTTTGTAAGCCACTTCACCCCTTCCCTATGGGTTTGTTTTTATTTACCTCTACATGGCTGACTTTGGACAGAAACGTTAAAAGTTCTACTTGTTGTTTTCCTGAAGCTATGCTTCTATTTCTGGACTCATCGCCAAGTCACCTGAAGGCAATACAAATGAAGTATCTGGGCCACATGCAGTGGCTCACGCCTGTAATCCCAGCACTTTGGGAAACTGAGGTGGGAGGATACCTTGAGCCCAGAAAAAAAAAAAATTAGCCTGGCATGGTGGCACGTGCCTGTAGTCCCAGTTACTTGGGAGGCTGAGGTGGGAGGATCACTTGAGCCTGGGAGTTGGAGGCTACATTGATCCTTGGTCGTGTCACTACCCTCAAGCCTGGACAAAAGAGTGAGACCTTGTCTCAAAAAAAAAAAAAAAAAAAAAAAAAAGTGTCCCTTTGCTTTACTCCTGCTCTCCAGTGATTCTACAGCATGGAATAGGCCACTGACTTACTCACATGTATAGTTCTCATCTGTCCATTTTAATAATTGCAACTAGAGCTCTTTTTGAACTTTCTCTCTTGTTCTTCAAGCATACATCAAACCTGAGTTTAGAGGGTATTTGCGTCCTAGTTTCACGAGATTGGCAAGTAGTTTTTAGAGAGTATGTTTGTGGCCATTCTTTTCTTTTGATACTGACGGAGGGTTTCTTTTTTAATTTTTTGTTTGTTTAAGACAGGGTCTTACTCTGTCACCCAGGCTGGAGTGCAGTGATGCAATCACGGCTCACTGTAGCCCCAACCTCCTGGCCTCAAGTGATCTTCTTGCCTCAGCACCCCCAAGTAGCTGGGACTATACATGCATGCCACCCTGCTAGCTAATTTTTAGAGGAGGTCTCTCTATGTTGCACAGGTTGGTCTGGTCTTGAACTTCTGGCCTCAAGTGAAACTCCTACTTTGGCTTCCCAAAGTGCTGGGATTACAGGCATGAGCCATTGCACCTGGCAATGGAGTGGTTTGTGGTTGGTTAGTTTTTTGTTTGTTTGTTTGTTTGTTTTTGAGACAGAGTTTCACTCCTGTTGCCCAGGCTAGAGTGCAATGGTGCGATCTCGGCTTACTTCAACTTCTGCCTCTTGGGTTCAAGCAATTCTCCTGCCTCAGCCTCCCAAGTCGCTGGGATTACAGGCGTCCGCCACAACGCCCGGCTAATTTTTGTATTTTTAGTAGAGGTGAGGTTTCACCATGTTGGTCAGGTTGGTCTCAAACTCCTGACCTCAAGTGATCCACCCGCCTCAGCCTCCCGAACTGCTGGGATTACAGGCGTGAGCCACCATGCCTGGCCTTGTTTGTTTTTTGTTTTGTTTTGAGACAGAGTCTCACTCCATTGCCCAGACTAGAGTGCAGTGGCACAATCTCAGCTCACTGCAACCTCCGCCTCCCAGGTTCAAGCGATTCTTGTGCCCCAGCCTCCTAAGTAGCTAGGACTACAGGTGTGCGCCACCACTGCCTGGTTAATTTTGGAATTTTCTTTTTAATAGAGACAGGGTTTTGCCATGTTGGCCAGGCTGGTCTCAAACTTCTGGCCTCAAGTGATCTGCCCGCCTCGGCCTCCCAAAGTGCTGGGATTTTGGGTGTGAACCACCGCACTCACAGAGTTTTTTTCTTTTTTTAATAAATTTTTATTTGAAATTATTTAGATTTGCAGAAAGTGCAAAGTAATACAAAGAGTTCCTATATATTGCCATACCCAATTTACCCTAATGCTAACATCTTACACTAGCATATTTGTCAAAATCATCAGTGTACCAATTCATATACTGTACATTACTATTTACTAAAATCCAGAGTTTATTTGGATTTCACCAGTTTTTCCACTATGTTGTTTTTTGTTCCAGAATTCATAAATAGAGGGTTTTTTTTTTCCTATTTTTGATTCTTTAAGTTCATTTTTGTTGGTTGCATGGAGGAGTGTCATATACGCACTCATTCCACCAAATTCCCTTGATATCCTTTACCGTTACTTTATAAACCATTTACATTTCTCTTGCAGAGAGCCACAACCTAAGTGCCTTACCTGATGACACTGACAGAGAGAATCACTGGAAATGATAGTTTTATACTTAATTCTTGTCACTAAAACTCTAATAGTGTTTTTAAAAACCTAATACAAGGCCAGGCCTGGCGGCTCACACCTATCATCCCAGCACTTTGGGATGCCTAGGGAGGAGAATTGCTCAAGGCCAGAAGTTTGAAACCAGAACAGCCTGGGCAACATAGTGAGACCCTGTCTCTGAAAAAACAAAACAAACAACAACAGCAACAACAACAACAAAAATACCTAACACAAATACTTAAATGCATACAACTATTTTTATAACTTTTAACTTTTACACTTAGTTGTCCATTTCTCCAAAATATGAAGTCCTCTGCGGAAGTGACTCCAGACCTTCAGAGCCGTGGTGAACTTTGTGAATTACTGGTAATGAACACCGTCATCTTGTCTGTTTTACCAGCACATGATCATATAATTGAAAACTGTTTTGAACAGGAATGTCTCATCATAAATAAGTTAATAAATTCTACAAACATCTACTAAACATCTGTTATGTTCTAGGTACAGATTGGGGAAATCACAATAAACCAGTCGGGCACAATACCTAGCTTCATGAAATGTATAGTCAATCTCTTCTACTTCAAGGCCCAGACTCTCTTAGACTTTGTTGATTAGCATCCAGGCTAAATGGATCCTCTCTGGATCTTCATGTGGAGGGCAATAAGGCTGGATTTGCTACTTGGCCTTTTTAGGGGTTGAGAAGATGTTACTTTAACAAAAGCAAGTGCCCAACAAAATCATAAACCCAGGTAATAGGCTGACCACTTTAAGCTGAGAAATCCTACCTAGTTCTCTGGGATATAAGCCACTACTAATTTAATGCACACATATACCACCTTATTTTGAGGCTGTGTGTTAGGTATGTTATGTTTGTCATCCCCCCACCCCCAACACACACAAAAACCAACTTGCTATTCACGTGATTCATTTTCTATATGAATTGAAAAATGGCACTAAAGAAAAAAGTTTGGGGATATAGAAATAGCTTATTTTTTAAGGAAGAAACATAACCTTTCTAAGTACTGGATGTGTAATATTAAAAATGTAGTTAACCAAGGACAGAGGCTGCACCTAATGACTTTTGGAGGAACCTTCTTGCTCAAGACACTATGATTCTCGTTACCTGGATAGTATCACCCATGGATTGTATCATATATGAACCACTGAGGAACACACATTCCTGCAGATGTTTGCAGATTATTAATTGCTTTATATTTGGAGCACCCCTCCCTTCAATCAGCATAAATATTTGAGGGTGGGCTGTGTTTAGAAGATGTTTAGTCTCCAATGATTACAACATGATGCACCACTCTCCTATACAAATTTTGATTTAAGAAAAGATTTTATTTTTCAAAGGAAACCACAAGTGAAAGCAATCTTGAAGATTCAATAGCAGTTGGTCCTATAGTGCCAGGTAAGAACTTTGAAGTAGCACGTGGGATTATATGTATTTGTAAATATATTTGTATACAGGGCAGTTGCAAAAAAAAGAGTATTTATAATTGTCCAAAGAGCTTCCAAAGAGGAGCAGCATTGCAACAGTGTCGTGTATGAGCAAAAGTCAAGATTCTTGTGGCTTCTCCAGAGTGCAGGCAGGACCAAACTGATAGTAGGCAACGTGTCTCAGGTACAAGCAAACCAGTCCTTAGAAGCACCAATCAGTAAACTTCTTTCCTGAGATTTTTATTTTTATTCATTTTATTTTATTTTATTTTATTTGAGACAGGGTCTTACTTTGTCACCCAGGCTGGAATGCAATGGCAAGATCATGGCTCACTGCAGCGTCGACCTCCCAGGCTCAAGTGATCCTCCCATCTCAGCCTCCCCAGTAGCTGGGACCACAAGCATGTGCCACCACACCTGGCTAATTTTTGTATTTTTTGTAGAGACAGGGTTTTGCCATGTTGGCCAGGCTGGTCTTGAACTCCTAGGCTCAAGCAATTCGCCTGCCTCGGTCTCCCACAGTGCTGGGATTACAGGCATGAGTCACTTTGCCTGGCCTCTTTCCTGAGATGCATGGTGCTTATGATAAGCACACATTATGTCTAGGTCCCTGCTTCAAGTGTGGCACTTTGGACACATGCTTTCCACATTCCGATTTTGTGCCAAAACCTATGAGATGATTGCAATGTGGGAATCATGGATGGCTGTGGAAAATCCTAACACATTCGTAGTAGACAGGCAGAATCATGGAATGAAAAGGCATGGCGTTCAGACTGAGGGAGATGTGACTATGAATCCCTGTTGTGCCCCCCTTTCTTTCTCTCCACAGAAATGGCACAGGGTGAAGCCCAGTGGTTTCAAGAGGCAAAGAATCTGAATGAGCAGCTGAGAGCAGCTTATACCAGCGCCAGTTTCCGCCACATGTCTTTGCTTGATATCTCTTCCGATCTGGCCACGGACCACTTGCTGGGCTGTGATCTGTCTATTGCTTCAAAACACATCAGCAAACCTGTGCAAGAACCTCTGGTGCTGCCTGAGGTCTTTGGCAACTTGAACTCTGTCATGTGTGTGGAGGGTGAAGCTGGAAGTGGAAAGACGGTCCTCCTGAAGAAAATAGCTTTTCTGTGGGCATCTGGATGCTGTCCCCTGTTAAACAGGTTCCAGCTGGTTTTCTACCTCTCCCTTAGTTCCACCAGACCAGACGAGGGGCTGGCCAGTATCATCTGTGACCAGCTCCTAGAGAAAGAAGGATCTGTTACTGAAATGTGCGTGAGGAACATTATCCAGCAGTTAAAGAATCAGGTCTTATTCCTTTTAGATGACTACAAAGAAATATGTTCAATCCCTCAAGTCATAGGAAAACTGATTCAAAAAAACCACTTATCCCGGACCTGCCTATTGATTGCTGTCCGTACAAACAGGGCCAGGGACATCCGCCGATACCTAGAGACCATTCTAGAGATCAAAGCATTTCCCTTTTATAATACTGTCTGTATATTACGGAAGCTCTTTTCACATAATATGACTCGTCTGCGAAAGTTTATGGTTTACTTTGGAAAGAACCAAAGTTTGCAGAAGATACAGAAAACTCCTCTCTTTGTGGCGGCGATCTGTGCTCATTGGTTTCAGTATCCTTTTGACCCATCCTTTGATGATGTGGCTGTTTTCAAGTCCTATATGGAACGCCTTTCCTTAAGGAACAAAGCGACAGCTGAAATTCTCAAAGCAACTGTGTCCTCCTGTGGTGAGCTGGCCTTGAAAGGGTTTTTTTCATGTTGCTTTGAGTTTAATGATGATGATCTCGCAGAAGCAGGGGTTGATGAAGATGAAGATCTAACCATGTGCTTGATGAGCAAATTTACAGCCCAGAGACTAAGACCATTCTACCGGTTTTTAAGTCCTGCCTTCCAAGAATTTCTTGCGGGGATGAGGCTGATTGAACTCCTGGATTCAGATAGGCAGGAACATCAAGATTTGGGACTGTATCATTTGAAACAAATCAACTCACCCATGATGACTGTAAGCGCCTACAACAATTTTTTGAACTATGTCTCCAGCCTCCCTTCAACAAAAGCAGGGCCCAAAATTGTGTCTCATTTGCTCCATTTAGTGGATAACAAAGAGTCATTGGAGAATATATCTGAAAATGATGACTACTTAAAGCACCAGCCAGAAATTTCACTGCAGATGCAGTTACTTAGGGGATTGTGGCAAATTTGTCCACAAGCTTACTTTTCAATGGTTTCAGAACATTTACTGGTTCTTGCCCTGAAAACTGCTTATCAAAGCAACACTGTTGCTGCGTGTTCTCCATTTGTTTTGCAATTCCTTCAAGGGAGAACACTGACTTTGGGTGCGCTTAACTTACAGTACTTTTTCGACCACCCAGAAAGCTTGTCATTGTTGAGGAGCATCCACTTCCCAATACGAGGAAATAAGACATCACCCAGAGCACATTTTTCAGTTCTGGAAACATGTTTTGACAAATCACAGGTGCCAACTATAGATCAGGACTATGCTTCTGCCTTTGAACCTATGAATGAATGGGAGCGAAATTTAGCTGAAAAAGAGGATAATGTAAAGAGCTATATGGATATGCAGCGCAGGGCATCACCAGACCTTAGTACTGGCTATTGGAAACTTTCTCCAAAGCAGTACAAGATTCCCTGTCTAGAAGTCGATGTGAATGATATTGATGTTGTAGGCCAGGATATGCTTGAGATTCTAATGACAGTTTTCTCAGCTTCACAGCGCATCGAACTCCATTTAAACCACAGCAGAGGCTTTATAGAAAGCATCCGCCCAGCTCTTGAGCTGTCTAAGGCCTCTGTCACCAAGTGCTCCATAAGCAAGTTGGAACTCAGCGCAGCCGAACAGGAACTGCTTCTCACCCTGCCTTCCCTGGAATCTCTTGAAGTCTCAGGGACAATCCAGTCACAAGGTATACCTGTATATATTTTGGATGACTATTCTGATGTATAATTTCTTTTTCTTACTTTAAGTGGTTGAAAACTTCTGAGGCCATGAAAGCATGCATGCTCATTGATAGAACAGATATAAAATAAACCTTCACTAATTTTTTTTGACAGTAGCATGAATTAGTGAAAAGTCCTTGAATAATAGAATGGTTTTCAAATAACTCAGACAAAATGAATAAAATATTTATATTAAATTATTGAAGGTTCTTAATAAAGACATGAATTATCTGTTATTAGTAAAAGAATTAGCTATATGTAAGATGATGCTTAGAAATTACCTTCACCCTAGCTGCCTAAAGGAAGAAAGGCCTGTAGTCCCTGGGAAATAAATAAATTAATGGGAAATAATATCTTCATCTATTTGTGTCTTAACTCCTCTAAGCACTATTTGATAGTTTTCAGTGTAGACTTAACCCATCTTTCATTAAATTTATTCCTAGATACTCATATCTTTTGAAAGTATTGTAAATGTCATTAAAAATATTTTTTCATTTTCTAATTGTTGCTAGTATTGCTTTGGTCTTAAGCAGTTTGACTGTTATATGCCTAGGTGTGCTTTGCTTTGTATGTATCTTGCTTGAGGTGCACTGAACTTTTTTGGAATGTGTGGGTTGACATTTACCAAATTTAGAAAATTTTTCATCTTTTTTCAAGTACTGTTTTATTATGGTAAAATACATGTAACAAAGCTTACATTTTAATCATTTTAAGTGTACAACTCAGTGGCATTAAGCATTCACTATGTTGTACAACCATCACCACTATCCATCTCCAGAACCTTTTCATCATCCCAATTAAACAATAAATTGGGCCGGGCGCGGGGGCTCACGCCTGTAATCCCAGCACTTTGGGAGGCCGAAGAGGGTGGATCGCCAGAGCTCAGGAGTTTGAGACCACCCTGGGCAACATGGTGAAACCACATCTCTACTAAAATACAAAAAATTAGCTGGGCGTGGTGGCATGCGCCTGTAGTCCCAGCTATTCGGGAGGCTGAGGCATGAGAATCACTTAAGCCTGGGAGGCAGAGGTTGCAGTGAGCCCAGATCATGCCACTGCACTCCAGCTTGGGCTACCGAGTGAGACTCCGTCTCAAAAAAAAAAAAAAAAAAAAAAAATCTTCCCTCCCACCAGCCCCTGATAACTTCTCTTCTATTTTCTGTCTCTATGAATTTGCCTCTTCTAGATATTGTTTATAAGCATTATCACTTGTCTGGCTTATTTCACTTTGCATACTGTTCAAGGTACATCATGTTGTAGCCTATATTGGAATTTCATTCCTTCACATGTACTCCATAAATATGTACAATTATTATGTATCAACTTTGAAAAGGAACTTCATCCTTTTTATAGCTAATATTCCATGGTATGTATATAGTACATTTTGTTTATCCATTCTGCTGCTGAGAGACACTTGGGTTGTTTCTACCTTCTGGCTATCATAAATAATGCTGCAATGAACACTGGCATTATAAGTATCGGTTTAAGTTCTTGCTTTTAATCATTTTGGGTATATACCTAGAAGCAGAATTGCTGATTCATATGGTAGTTCTATGTTTAACTTTTTGAGGAACTTGCACAGTAGCTGCACCATCTTACATTCCCACTATCCATGTACAAAGGTTCCAATTACTCCACATCCTCTTCAGCACTTGTTAATTTTTGTTTTTGTGGAGACAGAGTCTAATTCTGTCACCCAGGCTGGAGTGCAGTGGCGAGATCTTGGCTCACTGCAACCTCCACCTCTCGGGTTCAAGCAATTCTCCTGTCTCAGCCTCCTGAGTAGCTGGGACTACAGGTGTGCACCACCATACCTGGCTAACTTTTGTATTTTTAGTAGAGATGGGGTTTCGCCATGTTGCCCAAGCCGGTCTCGAACTCCTGAGCTCAGGCAGTCCAGCCACCTTGGCCTCCCGAAGTGCTAGGATTACAGGCATGAGCCACAGTGCCCGACCTGTTTTTGTTTTCATTGTTGTTTTTCAGACAGTGTCTTGCTCTATTGCCCAAGCTGGAGTGCTGTGGTGCAATCATGGCTCACTGCAGCCTCAACCTCTTGAGCTCAGGTGATCCTCCTGCCTCAGCCTCCTGAGTAGCTGAGACTACCAGCATGCACCACCGTGCCTGGATAATTTTTTATTTTTTGTAGAGACAGATTCTTGCTATGTTGCCTAGTCTGGTCTTTTTTCTTTTTCTTTCTTTTTTTTTTTTGAGATGGAGCCTCGCTCTGTCCCCCAGGCTGGAGTGCAGTGGCGCAATCTCGGCTCACTGCAAGCTCTGCCTCCTGGGTTCACGCCATTCTCTTGCCTCAGCCTCCCAAGTAGCTGGGATTACAAGCTCCCGCCACCACACCCAGCTAATTTTTGTATTTTTAGTAGAGATGGGGTTTCACCATGTTGGCCAGGCTGGTCTTGAACTCCTGACCTCAGGTGATCCACCCACCTCGGCCTCCCAAAGTGCTGGGATTACAGGCATGAGCCACCGTGCCTGGCCCCTAGTCTGGTCTTGAACTCCTGGGCTCAAATGATCCACCCACCTTGGCCTTCCAAAGTGCTGGGATTACAGGTATGAGCCACCTCACCCAGCCCATTTTGTTTTGTGATTATCATAAAGCCATTCTAGTAGTTGTGAAGTGGTATCTCATTGTGGTTTTGATTTGCATTTCTCTAATGCAAATCATGAAAATGATGTTAAGTATCTTTTCACTTTTTGAAAAAATATGTTTGCTCATTTAAAAATTGTTGTTGTTTTTGTTGCATTGTAAGAGTTATTTGTATATTCTGGATTTCAACCTGTTATCAGATACACAGTTTGAAAATATTTTTCCCATTCCATAGGTTGTCATTTTACTTTATTTATAATGTCCTTTGTGCACGAAAGTTTTAAATTTTGACGAAGTCCAATTTATCTGTTTTTTTCTTTTATTGCTGGTCCTTTTGGTGTCCTATCTAAGAATCCATTGCCAAATCCAAGGTCATGAAGATTAACTCCTATGTTTTTTCTAAGAGTTGTGTGATTTCAGCTTTTATATTTAGGTCGTTGATCCATTTTGAGTTGATTTTTTTTACATGGTGAGGGATAGGAATCCAACTTCATTCTTTCGCATGTGCAAATCCAGTTGTCCCCAACCGTTTGTTGAAGAGATGCTATATTTCTTTTCTCTTCTTTTTTTTTTTTTTTTTTTTTTTTGAGACGGAGTCTCACACTGTAGCCTGGGCTGGAGTGCAATGGCGCGATCTTGGCTCACTGCAACCTCCGTCTCCCAGGTTTATGTGATTCTCCTGCCTCAGCCTCCTGAGTAGCTGGGATTACAGATGCACACCACCATACCCAGCTAATTTTTTTTTTGTATTTTTAGTAGAGACGGGGTTTCACTATGTTGGCCAGACTGGTCTCAAACTCCTGACCTCGTGATCCGCCCGCCTCAGCCTCCCAAAGTGCTGGGATTACAGGCATGAGCCACTGCGCCTAGCCGAGATGCTGTATTTCTTTTTGTGAGTCTGAAGAGTAGCACAGGGCTTCCCATACAGTGCATAAGCTGCAAAAAGCAATATCTTCATATATGTATTCTTTAAAAAAAAAAAAGAATGTTTTATGGTATGTGGAAGGTTTGCATGTGAAAATAGCTGGATGAATCAAAATGACAGTTTTAAAATGTCCATTCAGAACTCTTTAGATTAATAATGGGAAACTGTGCTGCTTTCCAGACCAAATCTTTCCTAATCTGGATAAGTTCCTGTGCCTGAAAGAACTGTCTGTGGATCTGGAGGGCAATATAAATGTTTTTTCAGTCATTCCTGAAGAATTTCCAAACTTCCACCATATGGAGAAATTATTGATCCAAATTTCAGCTGAGTATGATCCTTCCAAACTAGGTAAGGATGGCACTTTAATATACTTGTTTTTACGTAAGTTGGAAAAGCTACTTGGCCAATAATTTATTTAAGAGTTAAAGTGCCTGTGGTTCTAAGGGTGTAGCCTGTATCCATGGTAAATTGTGAGGAATAGCACTCTTTCTCATTAAGAAAGCAGAGTGCTGTTTGTAATTATTGAGCCTTTACTACACACTAGGAAGTATCCTAAGCACTTCACAAATATGAACTCAGTCTTCATACCCACTCTATGAAGTACTATTATTATTATTATTATTATTATTATTTTTTTTTTTTTTGAGACAGTCTCCCGCTGTCGCCCAGGCTGGAGTGCAGTGGCACGATCTCGGCTCACTGCAAGCTCCTCCTCTCAGGTTCACCATTCTCCTGCCTCAGCCTCCCAAGTAGCTGGGACTACAGGTGCCTGCCACCACGCCCAGCTAATTTTTTGTATTTTTAGTAGAGACGGCGTTTCACCGTGTTAGCCAGGATGGTCTCGATCTCCTGACCTCATGATCTTCCCGCCTCGGCCTCCCAAAGTGCTGGGATTACAGGCATGAGCCACCGTGCCTGGCCAAAGTAAAGTACTATTATTAATGCTATTTTGTAGCTGGGAAAACTGAGACATAAAGAGATAAAGTAATTCGTAATATCCAGCTAAGGAAATGTATATCTGTGACTCAAATACAGGAATTTTGACTCCAAAATCTGAGTTCTTAATCCCTAATATAGGCCGGGCCTGGTGACTCACACCTGTAATCCCAGCACTTTGGGAGGCCGAGAAGGGCAGATCACCTGAGGTCAGGAGTTCGAGACCAGCCTGACCAACATGGTGAAACCCTGCCTCTACTAAAAATGCAAAAATTTGCTGGCATGGTGGCATATGCCTGTAATCCCAGCTACTTGAGAGGCTGAAGCAGGAGAATTACCTGAACCTGGGAGGCAGAGATTGCAATGTGAGCCGAGATCGCGCCATTGTACTCCAGCCTGGGGAACAAGAGTAAAACTCCATGGGGAACAAGAGCAAAACTCCATGGGGAACGAGAGCAAAACTCCATCTCAGAAAAAAAAAAAAAAAAAGAAAGAAATCCCTAATATAATGTTGCCACTCCAAAATAATTTGTAGGGTTATTTTATTTTGTTTTTGGTTAGGCTGGTCTTACATTGCAACTTACAGATCTGGCAGCTCAGCAGGAAGGAAATCTGCTAATCTGTAGTCATTGGAAGTATTTCCCTGTTTCTCACCAGCCTATCCTAATAGTTCATGGAAAATGGTGCAGCCATCTTTCTTAAATACATCATTTAGCTAAATGACTTAGGCACCATCATTCCTTAACTTAGTAAACACTGAACACTAAAGATTGAAGAAATATACAACTCTATGGAATTGACATAAAGACTTGCATGCAAAAGCTTCATTGTTGGCCAGGCACAGTGACTCACACCTGTAATCTTAGCACTTTGGGTGGCCGAGGCGGGAGGATCGCCTGAGAGCAGGAGTTCAGCACCAGGCTGGGCAATATAGCAAGACATCGTCTCTACTAAAAAAATAAAAAATTAGCCAAGTATGATGGTGTGCACCTATAGTCCCCAGCTACTCAGGAGGCTGGTAGGATCACTTGAGTCCAGAAGTTCAAGCTTGCAATAAGCTATGATCATGCCACTGCACTCCAGCCTAGGTGATAGAGCAAGACCCTGTCTCAAAAAAAAAAAAAAAAAAAATATATATATATATATATATGTGTGTGTGTGTGTGTGTGTGCATACATATATACACCGAAGCTGGAGGTGGTAGTTATATTTGTCAGCAAATTTTGCAACAAATTTAGGTTTTGCTTCAGAGTTGTCATTCCTTTTATGTTTCTTTTTTTTTTTTGAGACAGAGTCTCAATCTGTCACCCAGGCTGGAGTGCAGTGGCACCGTTGTCAGCTCACTGCAACCTCCGTCTCCTGGGTTCAAGCAATTCTCCTGCCTCAGCCTCCCAAGTAGCTGGGATTACAGGCACCCATCACCATGCCCGGCTAATTTTTTAATATTTTTAGTAGAGACGGGGTTTCACCATGTTGGCCAGGCCAGTCTCAAACTCCTGACCTCAGGTGATCCGCCCACCTCAGCCTCCCAAAGTACTAGGATTACAGGCGTGAGCCACTATGCCCAGCTGTTTCTTTGTATAGTATTCTTTTTTTTTTTTTTTTTTTTTTTTTTGGAGATGCAGTCTTGCTCTGTTGCCCAGGCTGGAGTTTGGTGGCGCAATATCCACTCACTGCAACCTCTGCCTCCTGGGTTCAAGCGATTCTCCTGCCTCGGCCTCCCGAGTAGCTGGGATTACAGCTGCCTGCCACCCACGCCTGGCAAATGTTTGTATTTTTAGTAGAGACAGGGTTTCACCATGTTGGCCAGGCTGGTCTCGAGCTCCTGAGCTCAGATGATCCACCTGCCTCGGCCTCCCAAAGTGCTGGGATTACAGGCATGAGCCACAGCACCTGGCCTCTTTGTATTCTTATTGTGTAAATGTCATGTACAAACTTAGAGTTATTAGGTGTTAAAGCTGAAGGTGATGCTACTGAGTCAATGCTTGTATTTTATAGAAGAGAAAACTGTTACCCAGAGAGGGTCAATAATGTGTCAAAATTCACATTACTTGCTAGTTGCAGAACCTGAAC
This sequence comes from Homo sapiens, assembly GCF_000001405.40. Lineage (NCBI taxonomy): Eukaryota > Metazoa > Chordata > Mammalia > Primates > Hominidae > Homo > Homo sapiens. The sequence goes on along the minus strand of NC_000005.10, from coordinate 70,977,207 downwards.
CCAAGCCCAGTGACCTGATTCTTAGATCATGAGATCGTGGTACCTGGTTTTAATTAAGTATTATTGAAACAAAATAATAAACTACTTGGCTAATTTTGATAGAAATTTGCAGTATTTTCTAATTTCTGAAAATCCTTGATCTTTTACAGTAAAATTAATTCAAAATTCTCCAAACCTTCATGTTTTCCATCTGAAGTGTAACTTCTTTTCGGATTTTGGGTCTCTCATGACTATGCTTGTTTCCTGTAAGAAACTCACAGAAATTAAGTTTTCGGATTCATTTTTTCAAGCCGTCCCATTTGGTAAGAGTTATAATATTACAATGGTGGTTTAAAATGTTTCTATGGACACAGAGTCATATTAAGCACTCTTTAAAAAGGGCCATATTTTGAGGCTGGGTGTGGTGGCTCATGCCTGTAATCCCAGCACTTTGGGAAGCTGAGGCAGGAGGCTTGCTTGAGGTCAGGGGTTTGAGACCAGTCTGGGCAACATAACAAGCCCTCCACCTCTAAAAAGCTTTAAAAAAATCAGTCGGGCACAGTGGTACCTATAGTCCCAGCTACTAGGGAAGCTAAGGCAGGAAGATTACTTGAGCCCAGAAGGTTGAAGCTGCAGCGAGCTGTGATGGTATCACTGCACTCCAGCCTGGGTGACACAGACCTTGTCTCTTTAAAAAAAGAAAGAAAGAAAAGAAAAATTGTTTCTCAAATAATAAAGTATAGGTGTTTCCAGAATTTTCTTTTTTACCTTTACGCTCAGTTGGATTTGAAATTTCTAGAATTTTAACAACATTTCTAGTTATCAGAATTATTTTCTGAGCAAAAATTTGTTTTATCTACTTAGTCATATGAATTCAATCTGAATTATTACATTAATTTCTAATTTCTTCATTTTAAAGATGTTACACTTTGCTGTGAGAGATGTAGCTGACATAACTAAATTTTTATTTTCCCTTTCATAGTTGCCAGTTTGCCAAATTTTATTTCTCTGAAGATATTAAATCTTGAAGGCCAGCAATTTCCTGATGAGGAAACATCAGAAAAATTTGGTATGTTTACAAAATAGTGCTTTTTACGTATTCTTATTCTCTTTCTGCCCAGAATCCTTTTTCTCCTATTCTGAATTAGCCACAAGGAAGCAAGATATGCATTAGCTACCCTTGCTTACCAGAACGAAGTGATAGTCATGCTCAACTTCTACCCACCAAATGCCTTCACTACAGTTTTACCTGCAGACTTGATCTCATTCAAAGCAGAATGACTTCTTAGAGTACATATTTGGTCATTATAGCACTATGCAATATAATTGTCAGGTATCTGTTCCAAATATAAGACCTCATAGTTTCAAAGGTTACTAGAATATAGGTAAAAATCTATCTTTTAAGGTTAGGAAAACTCAATACGTGAAAACGTGTATTTCATAAAATGATAGCTATAGAATTTAAATACTTTTTGATTTTTAAAAAACGATTATGAAAGTAATGTATGCTCATGGAAAACATTCTAACAGGAAAAAAAAAAAATAAAGGGAGGCAGTGGAGATAGGGACTGTAGAGCTGTGCTATTCAAAGTGCTTCTCAAACATAAGCGTACATAAAGATTGCCAGGATCCTCCTCTTCCCTTCCTTGGAGGCAGCTAGGTGGGTGGGGGCTGAGGTGGCAGAGGTAGGATCAGGGCCAAGGGGATGGCTGGCATACATCATAGGTTGATTAAGCAAATAATACAGTGAGTATAGCCAGATGCAGTGGCTCACACCTGTAATCCCAGCACTTTGGGAGGCCGAGGTGGGTGGATCACCTGAGGTCAGGAGTTCAAGACCAGCCTGGCCAACATGGTGAAACCCCATCTCTACTAAAAAATACAAAAATTTGCTGGGCGTGGTGGCACATGCCTGTAGTCCCAGCTACTTGGGAGGCTGAGGCAGGAGAATCTCTCGAACCTCGGAGGCAGAGATTGCAGTGAGCCAAGATCAGGTCACTGTACTCCAGCCTGGGTGGCAGAGCAAGACTCTGTCTCAAAAACAAACAAACGAACAAAACAGTGAGTATAATGAGAGCCACGTTTCCTCACAGTTGGAAAAGGAACTTACAAATATTGAAAGGTGAGGCTAGAAAGAGCTTTGAGGTGTTGGATTAGAATTGGAAATATTGGTCTGGCCTCATGGTTTTTTCTAACCTATGAACATACATAGAGATCTCCATATATATACATTGATCTCCACATGTCTATAGATACACACATACATATTTCTCAGCTCAATGGAGAGACTAGAAGGCACTGCAGTAATAATGAACACACCAAGTGCCTAGATACTGATTTCTAAATCCTGTCCTTCCGTAAAGGAACCAGGGTCCTTGCAAAATTGGCTGATTCAAGAACTGAGACAGGGAAAGAAAATGATAAGCCTGGGACATTGATTTATGCTAGAAATTATTCAATATATTTCCATGTGTGAGGCCTCAGAAGTTACCTTTCTAATGATCAAATGATCTATCGTGTGCCATGCTAGGAAGGAGTCGAAGTGAAAAGGAAGGTTCTAAGAGTGGTGGACTGTGAGGCTTTAGGGCCAGGAGGCCGGTGCAGAATCACTGAGCATGACAGCGGGAGGTGGAATGGGAAAGGAGGTGGCTGAAGGCATTGCAGAGCTGGGAAAGGAACCTGCAGGTCAGGAAAAGCTTCATTCTAAACGAGGAATGGAGATTTAATTGGCAGCCTGGACTTTAGTGCAGGAGAGATTGGTTGGTAGGGTGTGGTGGAGGAATTGTCTGGAGGAGCGAGGAAGACGGAAGCATGTGCTGGCCCTTCTCTTGCTTCCTGGACTGTGCATGATGTTTAGACCATACATGATTTTCAGATTACTGTTGCATAGGAACAAAAAGTACAAAGAGAATAGCTTTTTGGTCTTTTCTGACAGCCTACATTTTAGGTTCTCTTAGTAACCTGGAAGAATTGATCCTTCCTACTGGGGATGGAATTTATCGAGTGGCCAAACTGATCATCCAGCAGTGTCAGCAGCTTCATTGTCTCCGAGTCCTCTCATTTTTCAAGACTTTGAATGATGACAGCGTGGTGGAAATTGGTGAGCTAGTGTTTCAGCTTGCATGGAAGCCAGTGGTATAGCCAAGCTTTCTGCTGCAACATGTCTATGTAAACATTTGCCCCTCTAGAAATTTTCAACCCGCTTCCTCATTTTCACTATCATACTGTTCCTTCTAGTGTCCTTCTGTGGATTTAGGCGCATTCTGGTCAGATTTGGAAGTACAAAAAGGTCTCCCATTTGTGGATATACAAGCCCTCAAATCTGCGTTCTTGCCACCTGGTGTTTTAGACACCTGGCCACATACTCTCCTAAGTACTCCTTTTTAAAACTGAAGATGAATATACACACAGAAAAGTACAAAAATCATGTGTACTGCTCACTGAATTTTATTTTCTTATTTTCTTCTTTTTTTTTTTTTTGAGACAGAGTTTCGCTCGTGTTGCCCAGGCTGGAGTACAATGGCACGATCTCGGGTCACTGCAAACTCTGCCTCCTGGGTTCAAGCGATTCTCCTGCCTCAGCCTCCCAAGTAGCTAGGATTACAGGTGAACGCCACCACACCTGGCTAATTTTGTATTTTTAGTAAACACAGGGTTTCACCATGTTGGCCAGGCTAGTCTCGAACTCCTGACCTCAAGTGAGCCACAGTGCCTGGCCTGAGGAACTGAGATTTCTGTCGAGACCTGAAGGGAGAATGGCCCAGGCATAGTTGGTAGAGGAGGAATTGAGACATCATTTCAAACAGAGGTAATCACTTGTGTCATAGCCTGGAGTTAAAGAGAACCAGATATATTTGAAGAACTTGGGGGAAAAAAAGGAATGTCTGGAGCAAGAGGCAGGAGTGAGTTGTGAGAAGAAGACTGGAGAGGAAAGTAAAAGCCCAATTGGAGAGGCTTTGTCGGGTGTGTTACAAGGGCTGGATCTCATTTTCTTACTGCTCAGCACTGTTATTTTACGTTATTTAAAACAGCTGGGAGCGGTGGCTCAAGCTTGTAATCCCAGCACTTTGGGAGGCCGAGGCGGATGGATCACGAGGTCAGGAGATCGAGACCATCCTGGCTAACATGGTGAAACCCCGTCTCTACTAAAAATACAAAAAATTAGCCAGGCGTGATGGCGGGCACCTGTAGTCCCAGCTACTCGGGAGGCTGAGGCAGGAGAATGGTGTGAACCCGGGAGGTGGAGCTTGAAGTGAGCCAAGATCATGCCACTGCACTCCAGCCTGGGCAACAGAACGAGACTCCGTCTCAAAAAAAAAAAACAAAAAACAAAAAACAATGACAACTTACAACCTTTTTCTTAAAGGCCTTGTTTCTTCCTCCTTATGAGGAAGAATTTAATAACATTAAATTTTGTGGTCTCTCTCATCCTCATTTACTATAAATTATTTGTGTTTTATTCTTCTCACTACATTAGGTCAAAGCCTTCCTTAGAACTTCAATCTCACACACAGATTTGAGCCAGTAACCCCTGTCGCTCTCCCTCCTGAGAGCAGGTGTTTTCTCTTCCCGGCGCCCAGCAGAGTATGCCTGGCCTATAGTGGGAACTCAGTAAATATTTGTTGACTGAATAAAGAAAACTTACTTTTCTGTAGCTTCTTCTGATGGACAGCTGAGAGGCCATTGTTTGCCTATAGTCAGTAATGCTTAAACTTTACCTGTAGGAGACAGCATTCAGACACATCACAGAACCGGCTAATCACACAATATGAAGTGGGAGTTATGCTGAAACAGGGGAAAGAAGGGAATGGATGTGAAAGACCTGAGTCTTTCTTCAAGTCCCTCCAGAAGTGTCTTTCATGTGGGGGAATGAGAAATATCTCTTGAATGTTACTGAAGATACCTATTCAGGACATAGCTGAAGACATTTTCTCAGTACCTCTGTTGTTTAACCTCAGTCAAGCTACAGCCATGGATTCTAGATTGAAACCAAACTTAACCTTTGCCCAAGTTAGAAAAAAAAAGAGGTTTAGCAATTAAAAACAAGGCTGGGCATGGTGGCTCATGCCTGTAATCCCAACACGTTGGGAGGCCAAGATAGAAGGACTGCTTGAGGCCAGGAGTTTGAGACAAGATTGGGCAACATAGCAAGACCTTGTCTCCATAAAAAATTGAAAAATTAGCCAAGCACGGTGGCTAGTCCTGAGTAGCTAGGACTCAGGAGGCTGAGGCGGGAGGATTGCTTGAGCCCAGAAATTCTAGGCTGCAGTGAGTTATAACTGAACCATTGCACTCCAGCCTAGGCAACCAAGTGACACCCTGTCTCAAAAAAAAAAAATTTTTTTTTTTTAAAAACCCCTAAACCAAACAACAAGAACTCTGCTTGGTACCCATTCCAAAGTCTAGTCAGCCTGTGTTCATTGAGAACACAGGGTGTGCCCGGCTTCCATTTCCTTCAGAGCCCTTAGTCTCAAAAACAGGAGGGTCCCTTCTGGGCAACAGAAATAGGGCATAGCAGTGGACAGTCGGATGACATGGCTTTAGGAATGTCACACCCCCTTCTCTATAAAAGGGGAAGACATAATTGCTACACTCTTTGAAGTCCCTTGTAATTTAGTCTGGATTTTTTTTTTTTGTTTTCTCTTTTTGTTTTTTAGACGGAGTCTTGCTCTGTCACCCAGGCTGGAGTGCAGTGGTGGGATTTTGGCTCACTGCAACCTCTACCTCCCAGGTTCAAGCTGATTCTCCTGCCTCAGCCTCCCGAGTAGCTGGGATTACAGGCATGTACCACCATATCCGGCTGATTCTTGTATTTTTAGTAGAGATGGGGTTTCACCATGTTGGCCAGCCTGGTCTCGAACTCCTGACTTCAAGTGATCTACCCACCTCGGCCTCCCAAAATGCTGGGATTACAAGCGTGAGCCACTGTGACTTGCCAATTTAGTCTGGTTTGTAGGCATGATGTGCCTTGGCATGTGACCTCCTGTGAGACCAAAAGAGAAGCTCATATTTGTCCAGGATGGTGAAACTCTCAGCACAATGGCGTCAGTGCTTTAGGCTTGGCTGTACTTCTTTGGTTTCTGCTTCTCCCTTAGATTTTTGCCAGGTGGTTCTTTATTAACCCATCAGCTCTTTGGGGTTTTTAAGGAGATATTTTCAAAATATTATATTAAGCTGGGCACAGTGACACGTGCTTGTAATCCCACCTACTTGGGAAGCTGAGGCAGGAGGATCACTTGAGTCCAGGAGTTTGAGACCAGCCTGTGATGGCCAGGCGCGGTGGCTCACGCCTGTAATCCCAGCACTTTGGGAGGCCAAGGCGGGTGGATCACAAGGTCAGGAGATCGAGACCATCCTGGCTAACACAGTGAAACCCCGTCTCTACTAAAAATACAAAAAATTAGCTGGGCATGGTGGCGGGCGCCTGTAGTCCCAGCTACTCGGGAGGCTGAGGCAGGAGAATGGCATGAACCTGGGAGGCGGAGGTTGCAGTGAGCTGAGATCATGCCACTGCACTGCAGCCTGGGTAACAGAGCGAGACTCCATCTCAAAAAAAAAAAAAAAAAAAAAAAAAGAAAGAAAGAAAAAGAGACCAGCCTGTGTTAACATAGCAAGACCCCATTTCAAAAAACAAAATTATATTGAGTACTTCCTACTAGCAGTAGTGGTGGGAGAGGAGGCTGGTTCAAATAACCTTGTCTACCATTATTGAAATGGAAGTCCTTATGATTCTATTTTCATGAATGTTTTGTTCTTGTAGCCAAAGTAGCAATCAGTGGAGGTTTCCAGAAACTTGAGAACCTAAAGCTTTCAATCAATCACAAGATTACAGAGGAAGGATACAGAAATTTCTTTCAAGCACTGGACAACATGCCAAACTTGCAGGAGTTGGACATCTCCAGGCATTTCACAGAGTGTATCAAAGCTCAGGCCACAACAGTCAAGTCTTTGAGTCAATGTGTGTTACGACTACCAAGGCTCATTAGACTGAACATGTTAAGTTGGCTCTTGGATGCAGATGATATTGCATTGCTTAATGTCATGAAAGAAAGACATCCTCAATCTAAGTACTTAACTATTCTCCAGAAATGGATACTGCCGTTCTCTCCAATCATTCAGAAATAAAAGATTCAGCTAAAAACTGCTGAATCAATAATTTGTCTTGGGGCATATTGAGGATGTAAAAAAAGTTGTTGATTAATGCTAAAAACCAAATTATCCAAAATTATTTTATTAAATATTGCATACAAAAGAAAATGTGTAAGGCTTGCTAAAAAACAAAACAAAACAAAACACAGTCCTGCATACTCACCACCAAGCTCAAGAAATAAATCATCACCAATACCTTTGAGGTCCCTGAGTAATCCACCCCAGCTAAAGGCAAACCCTTCAATCAAGTTTATACAGCAAACCCTCCATTGTCCATGGTCAACAGGGAAGGGGTTGGGGACAGGTCTGCCAATCTATCTAAAAGCCACAATATGGAAGAAGTATTCAATTTATATAATAAATGGCTAACTTAACGGTTGAATCACTTTCATACATGGATGAAACGGGTTTAACACAGGATCCACATGAATCTTCTGTGGGCCAAGAGATGTTCCTTAATCCTTGTAGAACCTGTTTTCTATATTGAACTAGCTTTGGTACAGTAGAGTTAACTTACTTTCCATTTATCCACTGCCAATATAAAGAGGAAACAGGGGTTAGGGAAAAATGACTTCATTCCAGAGGCTTCTCAGAGTTCAACATATGCTATAATTTAGAATTTTCTTATGAATCCACTCTACTTGGGTAGAAAATATTTTATCTCTAGTGATTGCATATTATTTCCATATCATAGTATTTCATAGTATTATATTTGATATGAGTGTCTATATCAATGTCAGTGTCCAGAATTTCGTTCCTACCAGTTAAGTAGTTTTCTGAACGGCCAGAAGACCATTCGAAATTCATGATACTACTATAAGTTGGTAAACAACCATACTTTTATCCTCATTTTTATTCTCACTAAGAAAAAAGTCAACTCCCCTCCCCTTGCCCAAGTATGAAATATAGGGACAGTATGTATGGTGTGGTCTCATTTGTTTAGAAAACCACTTATGACTGGGTGCGGTGGCTCACACCTGTAATCCCAGCACTTTGGGAGGCTGAGGCGGGCGAATCATTTGAGGTGAGGAATTCGAGACCAGCCTGGCCAGCATGGTGAAACCCCATCTCTACTAAAAATACAAAAATTAGCCAGGTGTGGTGGCACATGCCTGTAGTCCCAGCCACTAGGGCGGCTGAGACGCAAGACTTGCTTGAACCCGGGAGGCAGAGGTTGCAGTGAGCCAAGATGGCGCCACTGCATTCCAGCCTGGGCAACAGAGCAAGACCCTGTCTGTCTCAAAACAAAAAACAAAACCACTTATATTGCTAGCTACATTAAGAATTTCTGAATATGTTACTGAGCTTGCTTGTGGTAACCATTTATAATATCAGAAAGTATATGTACACCAAAACATGTTGAACATCCATGTTGTACAACTGAAATATAAATAATTTTGTCAATTATACCTAAATAAAACTGGAAAAAAATTTCTGGAAGTTTATATCTAAAAATGTTAATAGTGCGTACCTCTAGGAAGTGGGCCTGGAAGCCATTCTTACTTTTCAGTCTCTCCCATTCTGTACTGTTTTTTGTTTTACTTTCGTGCCTGCATTATTTTTCTATTTAAAACAAAAATAAATCTAGTTTAGCACTAAAATATTAACTGGAGCTACCTCTGGAGGGCAAGAGTACTAGAAGGTGGGATGGATTGTCTTCTTGCTTGTCTGATTTTATATGTAATACCTTTGTAATTAGAAAGGTTGTTAAGCATTATATCAGAATCCAGTCAGGAGACAGAAACCACACAGAAATTTGAATGGGGAAAGTTTAATATACAGATGCTCGGCCTGACGCAGTGGCTCACGCCTGTAATTCCAGCACTTTGGGAGGCCGAGGTGGGCAGATCACTTGAGGTCAGGAGTTCGAGACCAGCCTGGCCAACATGGTGAAATCCTGTCTCTACTAAAAATACAAAAAAAAATTAAAAAAAAAAAAAAAGCCAGGCATGGTGGTGTGCACCTGTAGTCTCAGCTACTTGGGAGGCTGAGGCAGGAGAATTGCTTGAACCCAGGAGGCAGAGGTTGCAGTGAGCCAAGATCGTGCCACTGCATTCCAGCCTGGGTGACAGAGCAAGACTCCATTTCAAATAAATAAATAAATAAATAAAATAAGATGCTCCTCAACTTACAACAGGGTTATATCCTGAAAAACCCATTGTAAGTAGAAAATATTGTATGTCAGAAATGCATTTAATATACCTAAACTACCAAACATCATCGCTTAACCTGACCTACCTTAAACACGCTGAGAACACTTATATTAGCTTACAGTTGGGCAAAATCATAAACACAAAGCCTATTTTATAATAAAGTATTGAAAATCTCACGCAATTTATTGAATACTGTACAGAAAGTGAAAAATAGAGGTCGTATGAGTACTTGAGGAACAGTTTCTACTGAATGCGGATCACTTTTGCACCATTGCAAAGTAGAAAAATCCTAAGTCAAGTCATCATGAGTTGGGGACTGTCCGTAAGAGTTATTAACAGAGGATTGGAATGGGGATTGGGTAGTAAGGAATAAAGAGAAGCCTGGGCAGATGCAGGGAACAGCCGATATGGGCTTTTCACCCCAGGCTGAGACAGAACAACTCAAAGAAGAAAGCTCAGGGCTGAGATCCGGGCTGAGATCCAGACTTCGTGTGAGAGGACACAGCTGTGAAAGACAGAGGTTTGCTGAGGCTGTGGAGTTGCAGCTGGAGAAGGTGCTGGGCTTGGGGCACTTTGCAGAGAAGGGACCTTGTGCATGTCAAGGGAAGCCATTCATGTGGGGGTACTGTGCGCTGCTGACCATTGGGTGCTGCTGAAGTTAGGCACCGCCCAAGAAGTGTGCAGCCAGAACGAGGTGCTGCAGAGGCAGAGTGTATGTGCTACAGGAGCTGGTATTGCAGATGGCACAGGTGTTGCAGGTGTCTGCCTAGAGGAGCACAATGGAACCAGGAAAAGCAGCCCTTGCCCCTTCAGTGTGTCAGCAGCACCCTCGATTGACAAAGTTTCACTCTGTGCTTACTGTCATGGGAGAGGTATTTACAGGGCCCAGATCTATTATTACAGAACAGACAATGAAGACTGAATGTGGATATAAGAGGCAACAACTAGCATAACTCATTAAATCTAATAGTGCACACATAAACACAAAATAACCTAGTAATTTCTTAATATTGACTGACAGGATATATGCACGTGATGTATTTATAAATTCATGGAAAACTTATATAAAAAACAGGCAACCATAATTGAGTTTAGGGAGGAGAACAGGATGGCTGGTGGACAGAAAAGGGAGAGAGGGAAGTTTGCTTTTTTTCTCCTGCATACCCTTTTATACCAGTTGAGTTTTGTCCCATGTGTGCATACTATTAAAAAACCATAATACTTGACCAGGTGCAGTGGCTCACGCTGGTAATCCCAGCACTTTGGGAGGCCGAGGCGGGTGGATCACCTGAGGTTGGGAGTTCGAGACCAGCCTGACCAACATGGAGAAACCTTGTCTCTACTAAAAATACAAAATTAGCCACGCATGGTGGTGCCTTCCTGTAATCCCAGCTACTCGGGAGGCTGAGGCAGGAGAATTGCTTGAACCCAGGAGGCGGAGGTTGCAGTGAGCCAAGAACGCGCTATTGCACTCTAGCCTGGGCAACAAGAGCAAAATTCTGCCTCAAAAAAAAAAAAAAAAAAAAAAATCATAAGATTCCATGCAAATTATTTTTCCAGAGCTGCTTCTAACAGCGTTTAGTTCAAGCAGCGGTCAGTAAAGTATGGCCCTGGACTGTCCAGCCCTCAAGCTAAGAATGGTTTTCACATTTTTTAAAGCAACAGAGACTCAGTGGCCTACAAAGCTAAAATATTTACTGTGTTCTTTTACAGAAAACAAACTATTTCTATGACAAAATACTTTTGAATCATAAGCTCATCATGCCCTTTATTCTAGTTTACATCAGTCTTCATAGGACTCCCAAGTCATCCCTCATTGACCTAAAAACTGTCCTCATGGTTGTAAGCCCTCCCTCCCTTCCTCCATCCATCTCTCCCTCTCTCTTTTTCTCCTTCCCTCTCTCCCTTCCTTCCTTTTCTTTCATAAAGAAAAGAGGTTTAGTTGACTCACGGTTCTGCAGGCTTTACAGGAAGCATGGTGCTGGCATCTGCTCGGCTTTTAGGGAGGCCTCAGGAAACTAAAATCATGGCAGAAGGTGAGCACACATGTCACATGATGAAAGCAGAAACAAGTGAGAGACAGTGGGGGGGCAGGGGGCAGGTTTCATACACTTTGAAATGACCAGATCTCACGAGAACTCAGTAACAACACAAAGGTAACACCAAGCCATGAGGGATCTGCCCCCATGATCCAAACACCTCCCACCATGCCCCATCTCCAACACTCGGGATAAAATTCAACATAAGTAGAGATAAATATCCAAACCACATCATTCCACCTCTGGCCCCTCCCAAATCTTATGTCCTTTTCACAATGCAAAATACAACCATGCCTTCCCAACAGTGCCGCAAAGTCTTAACTCATTCCAGCATTAACTCAGGAATCCAAAGTCTCATCTGAGACAAGGCAAATCCCTGCCACCTATGAGCCTATAAAATAAAAAACAAATTATTTACTTCCAACATACAATCAGGGTTCAGGGATTGGGGAAATATTCCCATTAGGGAAAAACCTGCCAAAAAAGGGGGCTATAGGCCCCATGCAAGTTCAAAACCCAGCATGGCAGTCATTAAATCATGAAACTCCACAATGATCTCCTTGGTTTCCATGTGGCACGCTGATATGAGGGTTGGGCTCCCAAGGCCTTGGGCAGCTCTGCTCCTATAGCTTTGCAGAGTTCAGCCTGCTGTCACAGGCTGGGTTGAGTGTCTGTGGCTTTTCCAAGTGCAGGGTACAAGCTGCCAGTGGCTCTACCATTCTGGAGAACAGTAGCCCTCTTCTCACAGCTCCACTAGGCAGTGCCCCAGTAGGGACTCTGCGTGGGGCCTTTAACCCCACATTTCCCCTCCATGCTGCCCTAGTAGAGGCTCTCTGTGAGGGCTCTGCTCCTGCAGCAGGGTTCTGCTTGGACACCCAGGCTTTTCCATACATCCTCTGAAATCCAGGCAGAGGCTACCAAGAATTCACCATTTTTGCATTCTGTGTGCCTGCAGGCTTACCACCTAATGGAAGCTGTGAAGGCTATGGCTTATGCCCTCCAAAGTAACAGCCCAAGCTGTACCTAGGCCCCTTTGAGCCCCTGCTGGAGTTGGAGCCATCTGGATGCAGGGAGCAGTGTTCTGAGGCTGCACAGGGCAACAGGGCCCTGGGCTCAGCCCAGGAAAATATTCAGTCTTCCTTGGCTTCAGGGCCTATGACAGGAGGGGCTGCCCCATAGGTCTCTGAAATGCCTTTGAGGCCTTTTCCCCATTGTCTTGGATATTACCACTTGGATCCCTTTCAGTTATGCAAATATCAGCAAGTGGTTGCTCCACAGCCTGCTTGAATTCCTTGGAGAAAATGGTTTTTTTTTTTACCACCTGGCTAGGCTGCAAAATTTCCCAACTTTTAGGCTCTGCTTCCTGTTTAAATGTAAGTTCCAAATTTAAGTCATTCATTTGCCCCCACATCTGAGCACAGGCTGTTAGTAGCAGAAGGCCACATCTTGAATGCTTTGCTGCTTAGAAATTTCTTCTGCCACATACGCTAGGTCATAGTTTTTAAGTTCAAACTTCCACAGATCCCTAGGACACAAGCAGAATGCAGCCAAGTTATTTGCTAAGGCATAACGTGTGACTTTTGCTCCAGTTCCCAATAAATTCGTTTCCTTTTGAGACCTTGTCAACCTGGACTTCACTGTCCCTATCACCATCAGCATTTTGGTCACAACCACTTATCTAGTCTCTAAGAAGTTCCAAACTTGCCGGGAGCGGTGGCTCACGCCTGTAAACCTAGCACTTTGGGAGGTCGAGGTGGGTGAATCACTTGAGGTCAGGAGTTCGAGACCAGCCTGGCCAACATGGTGAAACCCCATCCTTACTAAAAATACAAAAATATTAGCCAGGCATGGTGGTGCATGCCTGTAACCCCAGCTGCTTGGGAAGCTGAGGCAGAAAATCACTTGAACCCGGGAGGCAGAGGTTGCAGTGAGCCAAGATCACGCCACTGCACTCCAGCCTGGGCGACAGAGCAAGACTCCGTCTCAAAAAAAAAAAAAAAAAAAAAAAAGTTTGAAACTTACCCTCATTTTCCTGTCTTCTTCTGAGCCCTGTAAACTCTTCCAACCACTACTCATTACCCAGTTCCAAAGCTGTTTCCACATTTTCAGGTATCTTTATAGCAATGCCCAACTTCTCGGTACCAATTTTCTGTATTGGGGCATTCTTGCACTGCTATAAAGAAATACCTCAAACTGGGTAATTTACAAAGAGGTTTAATTGGCTCATGGTTCTGCAGGCTTTACAGGAAGCATGGTGCTGGCATCTGCTTGGCTTCTAGGGAGACCTCAGGAAGCTTACAGTCATGGTGGAAGGTGAAGGGGTAGCAGACACATCACATGGTAAAAGCAGGGGCAAGTGAGAGAGCTAAACTCCCGCTTTCTGATCACATATCCCAACCTGCTCCAACTCCCTAAATCCTTCCACTGTGTCTACATGGTAGAATCTCCTACATCCACAACTTCTTATGTCAACTTTCCTTCTATTTCTTGATCTAACTCCTCATTCTCAAGCTTTTTTTTTAACCATGACCCACAATAATAAATTTTACATCAAAACACCATACGCACATACATACACACACATATTATATGTGTATACACAACTGAAGTCCCACAAAAACAAACCTTACTAAAATAAAGCTATATCAGATATGATTTTATTAATAGCCAAATAAACAAAAATTCAGAAATACAAAGTTCCGTGAAAGAGTTGTTTACATGCACTGTCAACTGTTCTCTCATTCTTATGTTCTCTCCCTCCAGGATTTTACCTCCTCCATTCCACCAACACAGCTCTTATGAGGGTCACCAATGAGCTCCACATTGCTAAATTGGTGAATACTTCTCAGTCCTCACTTTAGTTGACCCATTAGCAGCATGTGACCTATTGGCTTTCACATGGCCCATCACCCCTCTTCCTCAAAACACTGCCTTCATTTGGCTTCCAGGGCATCCCTCTTGATTTTCCTAACTCAATGAGAGCTCCTCCTTAGTCTCCTGCACTGTTTTTCCTCATATCCTATCTCTAACCACTGAGAGAACCCCAAAGTTCTCCTCTGACATCTTCTCTATTTGAATGCACTTCCTCAGCTATCTCCTCTAGTTCAACAGCTTTAAATTTACTAACTTCTACATTTCCATCTCTAGCCCAGACCTCTCCTCTGAACTATTTTTTTATTTTATAATATAGACGGGGTCTCACTTTGTTGCCCAGTCTGGTCTTGAACTCCTGGGCTCACATGATTCTCCTGCCTTGGCCTCCCAAAGTGCTGAGATTACAGGCATGAGGCATTGCACCTGGCCTGGACTCTTTATTCACATCCAACTTCTACTAATGGGCATCTCAATTTTCACATGTTCAAAACCCAATTTCTTTCCTGCCACAAAAGTACTCCTTATGCAGACCTCCATCTCATTAAATTCTAACTTTATTTTTCCAGTTGCATAAGCCAAAAATCTCGGAGTTACACTTGACACTCCTCTTTCATACACCACATGTAATCAATCTACTGAAAAATCCTGGTGGCTCCACTTGGAAAATATACTCAGATCCAACCACCACTACCCACACTGGCTCTAACTAGTCAGCCTGTTTCCTCCCTTCAAACCTATGGTGTATTTTCAACACAGCAATCAGAAGTCTCTTTCTGTAAGTCAGATCATGCTATACCTTGGGTTCAAAACCTTTCCATGGACTCCCAGCTTAAAAAAGTAAATGCTGAAGACCTTACTATCGCTGACATATGGCCTGGCCCTTGACTACCTCTCTTAGCTCCATCTCCTTAATCTCTCCTCCTTACTTCCACTCCAGCCACGATTAACTCCTTGTTGTTCCCCAAACATGTTAAATACACTTGTGTCTTAGGGCCTTTCTATTTGTTATCTCCCTTGCCTGGGATACTCTCCCTCTAGTTGTACCTAGAACAGTTGAATCATCGCATAATTGCTAAAAGGACAAGTGACCATGTGACAACGTTCTTTCATCTTTTATGCTTGTAACACCAGAATTTACTTGAAAAAGTTTGTAAGTGGACAAGTATGAAAGACAGATATGTACACAAAGTAACAGGAAGGTAAAGATGATGTGAAAAATGAAAACCAATCCACTGAAAGTCATTCTAATTGGTATTTATAAATGTAAAAACAAAAATGTTTTGCTGTTATGTAACAAAGAATATAGCCATCATCTATCACTTCAACAAAACTATGAGCCCTAAAGTTTTCAGAAGTATTGCAGTTTGGACAGGTGTGGTGGCTCATGCCTACCGTCCCCAGCACTTTGGAAGGCAGGAAGATCACTTGAGGCCAGGTGTTCAAGGCCAGCCTGGGCAACACAGTGAGACCCTATTTCTACAAAAAATAAAAATAAATTAAAAAACAAAAAGTATTGCATTTTGACAAAGTGAGTTCATGAAGAATACAAATAATAAGGTAGAACATAGTAGAGATGCATTTGAAATCCAAAATCCGTATTTAAAGGTAGGTATGTTCCAGATTCATGCATAATGACAGCTGCTTTCAAAGGATGTAATGCCTTTTAGGTATACATAAACATTCAAAACTGGGAAAATATGGGAAAAAATGTGGGTCTCCTATATTTGGATTCTCATTAAAATTGCTAACAAAGTTAATTTTCACCATCCCTTTATTCTTCTGTAAATTGTTTATAAAATGACTTGAAAAAGAATGCAGTCAATTCTCATTACTTGAGGTAGTTATGTTCTATGAAGTTGCCACAAACACGCAAATTAGTGAATACTGAGCCATTGCTCCTAACAGAAATACAGGGTTAGGTTCTTGTAAGCCTTTGGTCACATTTTCACCAACTTATAAATACGTAAGCTTGTTTTATATCTGTTTCTGTTTAAAGACACATTATTTAATAAATATAGACCTGGCATGGTGGCTCATATCTGTAATCCCAGCACTCTGGGATGCCAAGGTGGGTGGATCACTTGAGGTCAGGAGTTCAAGACTGGCCTACCCAACATGGTAAAACCCCACCTCTACTAAAAATACAAAAATTATGCTGGGTGCAGTGGCGGGTGCCTATAATCCCAGCTACTGAGAAGACTGAGGCAGGAGAATCGTTTGAACCCGGGAGGAGGAGGTTGCAGTGAGCCGAGATTATGCCATTGCACTCCAGCCTGGGTGACAGAGTGAGACTCCATCTCAAAAAATATAATAATAAATAGTGATGACTCATCATCATCTAACTCCCACTCAACAGCACTATAACTCATGACTAAACAAAGGTTATCTAACACATGTATTCTCTAAGGCACCTCACAGCCCGCATGCACCTTGGAATACCACTATATAGCACTTCAGCACAATGCTTGGGAATCACTTTAAACAGTAAAATCACAAACAGAAGGCACAAAAATGTGAAAAATGTAGAACTATATAAACTGCTTTCGAAAAGGACACTTGTTTATAATAAGAAAGCTACACAAAAAACTGAGCACTGTTCAACCCCAGCTGGGAATATCTGGATAAGGTTCTCAAATTTTTCACCTCTGTGTATGTCCATGAAAAACCATGAAACTGCCATGAGTATTGATGTTAGGTTACAAATAAATTTTAGCAAGTAGGTGCCTTTACAAATACAGATTCTACAAATAAAGAGAATTGACTGTAAATAAAATTTTATAAGCAAAAACTCTGAAAATAAAAACAAATAGTTAAAATGGTAATGGGAAGACGATATAAACAACAGAAAATTAAAAGTTCTTAAACACATGAAAAGGTGCTGAACTTCACAATAAAATAAAAATGTACAAATATGAGATAATCATTTTTAACTATTCAATTGACAAAGATTCAAAGGTTTGATAAATTATTGGCTATTTTGCAGGAAACAAACTCTCCATGTTGGTATAAATATAGATTAATATAACCTCTACTGAAAACAATTTAGCAAACTTTTATTTACAATTTAAATGTAGGTCGGGCACGGTGGCTCATGCCTGTAATCCCAGCACTTTGGGAGGCCAAGGCGAGCAGATCACAAGGTCAGGAGTTCAAGATCAGCCTGGCCAACATGGTGAAACCCCGTCTCTACTAAAAAAATACAAAAATTAGCCGGGCATGGTGGCGTGTGCCTGTAATCCTAGCTACTCAGGAGGCTGAGGCAGGAGCACTGCTTGAACCTGGGAGGCGGAGGTTGCGGTGAGCTGAGATCACGCCATTGCACTCCAGCCTGGGCAACAGAGCAAGACTCCGTATCAAAAAAAAAAAAAAAACAATTTAAATGCAATAGCCTCTTCAACACAGTAGTTCTAATTCTAGATACTTAATCCTAAAGATGCTGACTGTACTATTAAATAACAAATGATTAGAAACAAATTAAACTCTCATCCACAAGAGCTCAATTCATTAAGCGTGGTACACATCTGTAAGAATATCCTGTAAGTGCTTAAAAGAATGAGAGCTTTTTTTTAAATTTTTAATTTTTGCATTTTTCTTATTTTATTTTATTATTATACTTTAAGTTTTAGGGTACATGTGCACAATGTGCAGGTTAGTTACATATGTATACATGTGCCATGCTGGTGTGCTGCACCCATTAACTCGTCATTTAGCATTAGATATATCTCCTAATGCTATCCCTCCCCATTCCCCCCACCCCACAACAGTCCCCAGAGTGTGATGTTCCCCTTCCTGTGTCCATGTGTTCTCATTGTTCAATTCCCACCTATGAGTGAGAACATGCGGTGTTTGGTTTTTTGTCCTTGCGATAGTTTACTGAGAATGATGATTTCCAATTTCATCCATGTCCCTACAAAGGACATGAACTCATCATTTCTTATGGTTGCACAGTATTCCATGGTGTATATGTGCCATATTTTCTTAATCCAGTCTATCATTGTTGGACATTTGGGTTCGTTCCAAGTCTTTGCTATTGTGAATAGTGCCGCAATAAACATACGTGTGCATGTGTCTTCATAGCAGCATGATTTATAGTCCTTTGGGTATATACCCAGTAATGGGATGGCTGGGTCAAATGGTATTTCTAGTTCTAGATCCCTGAGGAATCACCACACTGACTTCCACAATGGTTGAACCAGTTTACAGAACTCTCCACCCCACATCAACAGAATATACATTTTTTTCAGCACCACACCACACCTATTCCAAAATTGACCACATAGTTGGAAGTAAAGCTCTCCTCAGCAAACGTAAAAGAACAGAAATTATAACAAACTGTCTCTCAGACCACAGTGCAATCAAACTAGAACTCAGGAATAAGAAACTCACTCAAAACCACTCAACTACATGGAAACTGAACAACCTGCTCCTGAATGACTACTGGGTACATAACGAAATGAAGGCAGAAATAAAGATGTTCTTTGAAACCAACGAGAACAAAGACACAACATACCAGAATTTCTGGGACACATTCAAAGCAGTGTGTAGAGGGAAATTTATAGCACTAAATGCCCACAAGAGAAAGCAGGAAAGATCCAAAATTGACACCCTAACATCACAATTAAAAGAACTAGAAAAGCAAGAGCAAACACATTCAAAAGCTAGCAGAAGGCAAGAAATAACTAAAATCAGAGCAGAGCTGAAGGAAATAGAGACACAAAAAACCCTTCAAAAAATTAATCCAGGAGCTGGTTTTTGGAAAGGATCAACAAAATTGATAGACCGCTAGCAAGACTAATAAAGAAGAAAAGAGAGAAGAATCAAATAGACGCAATAAAAAATGATAAAGGGGATATCACCACCGATCCCACAGAAATACAAACTACCATCAGAGAATACTATAAACACTTCTACGCAAATAAACTAGAAAATCTAGAAGAAATGGATAAATTCCTCGACACATACACCCTCCCAAGACTAAACCAGGAAGAAGTTGAATCTCTAAATGGACCAATAACAGGCTCTGAAATTGTGGCAATAATCAATAGCTTACCAACCAAAAAGAGTCCAGGACCAGATGGATTCACAGCCGAATTCTACCAGAGGTACAAGGAGGAACTGGTACCATTCCTTCTGAAATTATTCCAATCAATAGAAAAAGAGGGAATCCTCCCTAACTCATTTTATGAGGCCAGCATCATCCTGATACCAAAGCCAGGCAGAGACACAACCAAAAAAGAGAATTTTAGACTAATATCCTTGATGAACATTGATGCAAAAATCATCAATAAAATACTGGCAAACCGAATCCAGCAGCACATCAAAAAGCTTATCCAGCATGATCAAGTGGGCTTCATCCCTGGGATGCAAGGCTGGTTCAACATACGCAAATCAATAAATGTAATCCAGCATATAAACAGAACCAAAGACAAAAACCACATGATTATCTCAATAGATGCAGAAAAGGCCTTTGACAAAATTCAACAATCCTTCATGCTAAAAACTCTCAATAAATGAGGTATTGATGGGACGTATCTCAAAATAATAAGAGCTATCTATGACAAACCCACAGCCAATATCATACTGAATGGGCAAAAACTGGAAGCATTCCCTTTGAAAACACGCACAAGACAGGGATGCCCTCTCTCACCACTCCTATTCAACATAGTGTTGGAAGTTCTGGCCAGGGCAATTAGGCAGGAGAAAGAAATAACGGGTATTCAATTAGGAAAAGAGGAAGCCAAATTGTCCCTGTTTGCAGATTACATGATTGTATATCTAGAAAACCCCATTGTCTCAGCCCAAAATCTCCTTAAGCTGATAAGCAACTTCAGCAAAGTCTCAGGATACAAAATCAATGTACAAAAATCACAAGCATTCTTATACAGCAATAACAGACAAACAGAGAGCCAAATCATGAGTGAACTCCCATTCACAATTGCTTCAAAGAGAATAAAATACCTAGGAATCCAACTTACAAGGGATGTGAAGGACCTCTTCAAGGAGAACTACAAACCACTGCTCAATGAAATAAAAGAGGATACAAACAAATGGAAGAACATTCCATGCTCATGGGTAGGAAGAATCAATATCGTGAAAATGGCCATACTGCCCAAGGTAATTTACAGATTCAATGCCATCCCCATCAAGCTACCAATGACTTTCTTCACAGAATTGGAAAAAACTACTTTAAAGTTCATATGGAACCAAAAAAAAGCCCGCATCGCCAAGTCAATCCTAAGCCAAAAGAACAAAGCTGGAGGCATCACGCTACCTGACTTCAAACTATACTACAAGGCTACAGTGACCAAAACAGCATGGTACTGGTACCAAAACAGAGATATAGACCAATGGAACAGAACAGAGCTCTCAGAAATAACGCCGCATATCTACAACTATCTGATCTTTGACAAACCTGAGAAAAACAAGCAATGGGGAAAGGATTCCCTATTTAATAAATGGTGCTGGGAAACTGGCTAGCCATATGTAGAAAGCTGAAACTGGATCCCTTCCTTACACCTTATACAAAAATTAATTCAAGATGGATTAAAGACTTAAATGTTAGACCTAAAACCATAAAAACCCTAGAAGAAAACCTAGGCATTACCATTCAGGACATAGGCATGGGCAAGGACTTCATGTCTAAAACACCAAAAGCAACGGCAACAAAAGCCAAAACTGGGATCTAATTAAACTAAAGAGCTTCTGCACAGCAAAAGAAACTACCATCAGAGTGAACAGGCAACCTACAAAATGGGAGAAAATTTTTGCAATCTACTCATCTGACAAAGGGCTAATATCCAGAATCTACAACGAACTCAAACAAATTTACAAGAAAAAAACAGACAACCCCATCAAAAAGTGGGCGAAGGACATGAACAGACACTTCTCAAAAGAAGACATTTATGCAGCTAAAAAACACATGAAAAAATGCTCACCATCACTGGCCATCAGAGAAATGCAAATCAAAACCACAATAAGATACCATCTCACACCAGTTAGAATGGCAATCATTAAAAAGTCAGGAAACAACGGGTGCTGGAGAGGATGTGGAGAAATAGGAAGAATGAGAGTTTTAAATACTGATATGGTGTGTTCTCCAAGATATATTGACAGAAAAGCACTTATCTATTGAAGAACATTATATGAATTACCTCTAAAGATAAAAAATTTTAAAAGTTCAAAAAGGGTAATGATGATATATCATGACAGAACTTAATTACTTTTTTTCTTTTTGAGACAGTCACTGAGTCACCCAGGCTGGAGTGTAGTGGCATGATCTTGGCTCACTGCAACCTCCGCCTCCTGGGTTCAAGTGATTCTCATGCTTCAGCCTCTCCAGTAGCTGGGATTACAGGCGCCCACCACCATGCCGAGCTAATTTTTTTTTTGTATTTTTAGTAGAGATGGGGTTTCACCATGTTGGGCCAGGCTGGTCTCGAACTACCGACCTCAGGTGATCCACCCACCTCAGCCTCTCAAAGTGCTAGGATTACAGGTATGAGCCACCATGCCTGGCCTTAATTACATGTTTTTTAAAAATTCACAATAAATGTATACACAAACATTTTAAAAAACACAAAAGGGTACACTGTGAAAAGTGTACAGAAGGGCTGGGCATGGTGATTCATGCCTGTAATCCTAGCACTTTGGGAGCCCGAGGTGGGAGAATGGCTTGAACCCAGGAACTCGAGACCAGCTTGGGCAACATAGATCATGTCACTACCAAAAAAAAAAAAAAGTGTACAGAAGCAGAGTTGCTCTTGTTTTTTGTTTGTTGCTTTGGTTTGGTTTTTTTTTTTGAGACAGGGTCTCAGTCTGTTGCCCAGGCTGAAGTGCAATGGTGTGAACATGGCTCATTATACAGCCTCAACCTCCTGTACTCAAGTGATCCTTTTGCCTCAGCCTCTCCAGTAGCTGGGACTACAGGCATGCACCACCATGCCTTGCTAATTCTTTCATTTTTTGTAGAGTCAGGGGTTTTGCGTTGTTGCTTATGCTGGTCTTGAACTCCTGGGCTCAAGTGATCCGCCTGTCTCGTCCTCCCAAAATGCTGGGATTACAGGTGTAAGCCACCGTGCCTGGCCCAGAGTTGCTCTTAGTAACGTGTTTTGTTTTTTTTTTTTTTTTTTTTTTTTTTTTTTTTTTTTTTTTTTTTTTTTTTGAGACGGAGTCTCGCTTTTTAGCCCAGGCTTGAGTACAGTGGCACAATCTCGGCTCACCACAACCTCCACCTCCCGGGTTCAAGCAATTCTCCTGCCTCAGCCTCCCAAGTAGCTGGGACTACAGGCGCGTGCCACCATGCCGGGCTAATTTTTGTATTTTTAGTAGAGACAGGGTTTTACTATGTTGGCCAGGCTGGTCTGGAACTCCTGATCTCAGGTGATCCACCCGCCTCGGCCTCCCAAAGTGCTGGGATTACAGGTGTGAGCTGCCGCGCCCAGCTGCTCTTAGTAACTTCTGGAATTTGATGTCTAAATTGAATCCATTATTTCAAACATCACAAGACTTAAGTTCATAAAAACTTTTTTAAAAAGTTAACTCTGGGTCAGGCGTAGTGGCTCAAGCTTGTAATCCCAGCACTTTGGGAGGCCGAGGCAGGTGGATTACCTGGGGTCAGGAGTTCCAGACCAGCCTGGCCAACGTGGCGAAACCACGTCTCTACTACTAAAAATACAAAAATTAGCCAGGCATAGTGGCACATGCCTGTAGTCCCAGCTGCTCGGGAGGCTGAGGCAGGAGAATTGCTTGAACCTGGGAGGCAGAGGTTGCAGTGAGCTGAAATTGCGCCACTGCACTCCAGCTTGGGTGAGAGTTAGACTGTATCAAAAACAAAAAGAAATTAACTCTGTAGTTTATTTCTGTTAATGGCAACCCTGCAGAAAAGTTAAACTTAGAATATGTCTCAAAGTAATCTCTGTCTGATCCCTTAATGAAGGATCTCTTCAAACACAGCAACTTTTGTCTGTCTTCTGAATGTAGGTACAGCTGTGGCTGTAGAACAGACCATGTAATTTTCATCTAGATTCCTTACAACCACAAGGACAATTATTACAATGAAAGCCAGAGAACTAGCTCAGTTTTGATTTTATTACTAGGATAAATCCAGCCAGGTAGTGTGGTGGCTTTGATGTTTTCTGTCTATATCTAAGGGGGAAGCTGCTTCATTATTCGATATTAAGATAAATAGGGCCTAAAAATAGTCCTAGGTCAAACACCATTATGATTAACTCAACTTTCAAAACCATTTACCTAATGTAGGATTTGTTAATAAGTCTTCTTCAAAATTAGCAAGAAATACAACTAATGCCTAACCCGTCATGATGAATTAAAGACTGATCCAAAAATAACTGACAGTTCTCTTCCAGTTGCCCTCTTCTTTGACAATCCCACCAGTCTATGCTCTAAGCTCACGCTTGACTTCCAAAAACTGCCAGATATTGTAGACACCATGAAGAATAAGATGTACTACCTTTTCTCTAATGAAAGAGGAAATACAGATATAAACAATATATAAACATAATATAATGTGAAAAGCTATGTATAGAAATAAATAGAGAGGCCGTGTGCGGTGGCTCACGGCTGTAATCCCAGCACTTTGGGAGGCCAGGGTGGTCGAATCACTTGAGGGCAGGAGTTTGAGACCAGCCTGGCCAACATGGTGAAACTCCATCTCTACTAAAAATACAAAACTTAGTGGGGCATGGTGCCACATGCCTGTAATCCCAACTACTCACGTGGCTGAGGCACGAGAACCGCTTGAACCCGGATAGCACAGGTTGCAGTGAGCTGAGATTGCACCACTGCACTCCAGCGTGGGCAGCAGAGCGAGACTCTGTCTCAAAAACAAACAAAAATAAGAATATGTAAAGACATGAAAAATGTGACATTAAGTGGGAATACACATGCACATACACAAAATGCTATGGTGGCATCCATATCAAAATATGGGCCAAAGGGCAAAATAATATGCAAAAAAGAAATACAATCACAGATACAGCTAATTTAAAAAAAAATTAAATATTTTTATTATATACTTTTAAACATATAGAAGATAGAAAAAAACAGTACAATGAACAGCCATGTCCACCAGTTAGATTCTGTAACATTTTGCCACATACGCCTCACATACATTTTGTTAAACCATTTGAAACATTTTAAGACACTCTAACACTTCATTCCTAAATGCTTAAGTATGCAAATTAAGACAGTCTTTTATAAACTACAACACCCTTCTCACAGCTCATAAAATTACCAATAATTATCCAATATCATTCAAAATCTAATCCACATTCAAATTTTCTCAACTGCCTCACCACCGTGCTGGCCTCCCACCCCCACCCCAGTCTTTTACAGATGGTTTTTCAAAATAGAGTCCAGTAAAATATTTCACATTGCATTTGGTTATTACATAACTTTTAATCAAGAAGAGTTACCCATTCCACTTCCTTTTTTCTTTCCCAACACTTGATATTTTGAAGAAATGAGGCCAGTTATCTTCTATAACGCTTCACATTCCAGATCTGTCTGATCGTTTCTTTAGTGGTGTCATTTAGTGCTGCTCTATGCCAGCATTTCCTGCAAATGAGAAATTAGAACCAGAGGCTTGACGAATTCCAGTTAAACCATGTCCTCTGTGGACACCAGTTAAACTTGACTAGAGCACTTCATATGTCAGAGTGTACAGTGCAGTATGCCTAGGTTATCCCATATCACAATAAAAAAAAGTCTGCTGGTCTGCCTACTAGTGATATAAAATGGCATCATATCCTAAAGCTCTTTATTGTGAAAGTATGTTTCTTCCACATAACCAACCAGTTAAGTATGAGAATTCTAGTAGGGATGTAGATTAACCTTTTATCTAATAGTTTTGGCATCAAAATTCTTTAATATTGATTGTTTTACATTAACCTTTCAACTTTTTAACATCTGAACTTTTTAAATGTTCAAAAACATTTGTTTTCCACAAACCATAAAGTTTTACAAAAGTAAGATTCACTTTCATAATGCTGGCAGACTTACTCCTTAATTTAAGGAATGTGAGCACCTTCCTTCTTTTTGATTTTGTCTGAAACCCTGTAAGGAAAATAAAGGAAGTTAAAAAAAATAGCTATATAGACATAGATAGCTATATATAGATAGCTTTATATGGATGTTAAAAAGCATTTTGTTTCACAAGACATTTTACTTATTTTATTCAACAAAATATGATCAGAAATTAAGTTGATAGTCTTTTAATGTACTTTAAAAGTTATCCCAAAGAAAACAATTATTAGGCTGCAGTTAAGGTTTTCTTGCAGTGGCTCATGCCTACAATCCCACAACTTTGGGAGGCGGAGGTAGGGGGATCACTTGAGACCTGGAGCTTGACACCACCCTGGGCAACATAATGAGACCCTGTCTCTACAAAAAATTTAAAAATTAGGCCGGCGTGGTGGCTCAGGCTAGGCACAGTGGCTCACGCCTGTAATCCCAGCACTTTGGGAGGCCGAGACAGTTGGATCACCTGAGCTCAGGAGTTCGAGAACAGCCTGGCCAACATGGCAAAACCCCATTTCTACTGAAAGTACAAAAAATTAGCCAGGCATGGTGGTGGGGACCTCTAATCCCAGCTACTTGGGAGGCTGAGGCAGGAGAATCACTTGAACCCAGGAGGCGGAGGCTGCAGTGAGCTGAGATTTACACCACTGCACTCCAGCCTGGGTGACAGAGCAAGACTCTGTCTCAAAAAAAAATAAATAAATAAAAATAAAAATTAGCCAGGTGCAGTGGCATTATCACTGTAGTCCCAGCTACTCGGGAAACTGAGGTGAGAGGACTGCTTGAGCCCTGGAGGTCAAGGCTGCAGTGAGCTGTGAATGTGCCCTTGCACTCCAGCCTGAGCAATAGAGTGAGACCTGGTCTCTAAAAAATAAAATTTAAATTTAAAAAATTTAAAAACATTGCCGGTCACAGTGGCTCATGCCTGTAATGCCTTGCACTTTTGGAGGCCAAGGCGGGCGGATCACCTGAGGTCGGATTTGGAGAACAGCCTGACCAACATGGAGAAACCCCGACTCTACTAAAAATACAAGACTAGGCCGGGCACAGTGGCTCACGCCTATAATCCCAGCACTTGGGGAGGCTGAGGCGGGTGGATCAAAAGGTCAGGAGATCGAGACCATCCTGGCTAACACAGTGAAACCCCATCTCTACTAAAAACACAAAAAAATTAGCCGGGTGTGGTGGCGGGCACCTGTAGTCCCAGCTACTCGGGAGGCTGAGGCAAGAGAATGGTGTGAACCTGGGAGGCAGAGCTTGCAGTGAGCCAAGATCGCGCCGCTGCACTCCAGCTTGGGGGACAGAGCAAGACACCCTCTCAAAAAAAAAAAACAAAAAACAAAACAAAACACAAAACTGGCTGGGCGTGGTGGCATATGGCTGTAATCACAGCTACTCGGGAAGCTGAGGCAGGAGAATCACTTGAACCCAGGAGGCGGAGGTTGCAGTGAGCCGAGATTGCACCATTGCACCCCAGCCTGGGCGACAGGGCAAAACTCCATCTTAAAAAATAAATAAACTAATTAATTTAAAAAAATATTTTTCTTCCTTTTTTTTTTGAGACGGAGTTTCGCTCTTGTTGCCCAGGCTGGAGTGCAATGGTGCAATCTTGGCTCACCGCAACCTCCGCCTTCTCAGTTCAAGCAACTCTCCTGCCTCAGCCTCCCAAGTAGCTGGGATTACAGGCATGCGCCACCATGCC
Source organism: Homo sapiens (assembly GCF_000001405.40). Taxonomy (NCBI): domain Eukaryota; kingdom Metazoa; phylum Chordata; class Mammalia; order Primates; family Hominidae; genus Homo; species Homo sapiens. The sequence continues at coordinate 70,950,274 of NC_000005.10, read as the reverse complement.
CGGCTAGTTTTGTATTTTTAGTAGAGACAGGGTTTCTCCATGTTGGTCAGGCTGATCTGGAACTCCCGACTTCAGGTGATTCACCCGCCTTGGCCTCCCAAAGTGTTGGGATTACCGGCGTGAGCCACTGCGCCCAGCTGATTTTTCTTCTTTCAGTATGTCCAATGATGTTCCTGAGCCCGCTTATACCTTATTTTTTTTTTTTTGAGATGGAGTTTTGCTCTTATTGCCCAGGCTGGAGTGCAATGAGGTGATCTCGGCTCACCGCAACCTCCACCTCCCAGGTTCAAGCAATTCTCCTGCCTCAGCCTCCTGAGTAGCTGGGATTACAGGCATGCACCACCACGCCCGCCTAATTTTGTATTTTTTTTAGTAGAGACGGGGTTTCTCCATGTTGAGGCTAGTCTCTAACTCCCGACCTCAGGTGATCCGCCTGCCTCGGCCTCCCAAAGTGCTGGGATTACAGGTGTGAGCCACCGTGCCCGGCCTATACCTTATTTTCATCAAATAAAATATATGACCTTAAACTACCTGTGTCATACTTATTAAAATGAGACCATTAAACACCAGTATTCACTAAATAAAAAAAAAATTTAAAGTCAAAAATTAATACTAAAACATTTGTTTTTCTTGTCAGATCTAGCCCAAATGTCCTCTGTCTCTCTTCTGGCTTCAATGCTTTCTATCTTTCCCTACATGTATACTAGCTTGCAGTGGCTTCCCACTTCATTACTAATCTACACCTAACAGACCGTAAGATGTATTGAAAGATTTGTTACTAATGAGTATCAAAGTTATAACCTATTTTATGTTATTTCAACAACATTATTCTTAGTCATTTGCATTCTGCTTAGATTTCTAAGACAAAAAGATAGAGGTTAAAAGCTAGACTCAGAGCCTATCTCAACCACGTGGCTTCAGTAGAACAAAGGTTAAGAATTGTTAGCTTAAGGCAATGACGTATTAAAAACACTTAAGGCCAGGTGCAGTGGCTCACGCCTGTAATCCCAGCACTTTGGGAGGCCTAGGCAGGCAGATCACGAGGTCAGGAGATCGAGACCATCCTGGCTAACACGGTGAAACCCCATCTCTACTAAAAATACAAAAAATTAGCCGTGCATGGTGGCACACGCCTGTAGTCCCAGCTACTTGTCGGGCTGAGGCAGGAGAATGGTGTGAACCCGGGAGGCAGAGCTTGCAGTAAGCCAAGATCATGCCACTGCACTCCAGCTTAGGAGACAGAGCAAGACTGTCTCAAAAACAAAAACAAAACAAAAAAAACCCAAAAAACCAAAAAAACAAAAAGAACACAAACGAATGTTCATAGCAACATTATTCATTATAGCCCAAAAATAAAAACAACCTAAATGTCCATGAACTGATGAATGGATAAAATGTGATATAACCAAACAACAGAATATTCAGCAATAAGAAGGAATGCAGTACTGGTGCATTCTACAGCATGGATGAATCTTGAAAATAGCATGCTAAGTGAAAGAAGCCAGACACAAAAGACCACATATCGTATAATTCCGTTTATATATAATATCTAAAATAGACAAATTCATAGAGACAGAAAGTGTACTGACTGCCTAGGGCTGGGGAAAATGAAGGTAACAGGGTTTCTTTTTGGGGTGATGAAAATGTTCTTAAATTGTAGTGATGGTTGCATAACTGAAAACCAAAACCACTGACTTGTATACTTTCTTTTTTATTTTATTTTTTGAGACAGAGTCTCGCTCTGTCGCCCAGGCTGGAGTGCACTGGCACAATCTCGGCTCACTGCAAGCTCCACCTCCTGGGTTCACGCCACTCTCCTGCCTCAGCCTCCCGAGCAGCTGGGACAAAAGGTGCCCGCCAACATGCCCGGCTAATTTGTTTTTGTACTTTTAGTAGAGACGGGGTTTCACCATGTTAGCCAGGATGGTCTCGATCTCCTGACCTCGTGATCCACCTGCCTTGGCCTCCCAAAGTGCTGGGATTACAGGCGTGAGCCATTGTGCCCAGCCAACTTGTATACTTTCAAAGGTAAACTGCACACCATGTGAATTATTTCTCAAGAAAGTTATTTAGAACATAAATTATACCAATACTTTATATATACATTATGTATTTTTTTCAAATATTTCATAATTTAAAAAACACAAAAGCCTACAGTGTTACAGTCAGATAACTGATCTCAAAACAAATTACAAGCTGTTGATTTATTACTTTTTGGTCATTAAAATGAGGAATTCATGATACATACAATATACCAAGGTTATACTACAACAACTGAAGCGTGACTTTTTTTTCCCTCCGCAAATTCTCACTCTGTTGGCCAGGCTAGAGTGCAGCGGTGTGATCTCGGCTCACTGCAACCTCTGCCTCCCAGGTTCAAGTGATTCTCCTGCCTCAACCTCTCAAGTAGCTGGGATTACAACTGCCCGCCACTGGGCTAAGTTTTGTGTATTTAGTAGAAATGGAGTAGTCACCATGTTGGCCAGGCTGGTCCTGAACTCCTAACCTCAAGTGATCCACCTGCCTCTACCTCCCAAAGTACTGGGATTATAGGTGTGAGCCACCGTGCCAGGCCTTTTTCTTTTTTTGAGATGGAATCTCACTCTGTCACCAAGGGTGGAGTGCAGTGGCACAATCTCAACTCACTGCAACCTCTGCCTCCCAGATTAAAGCAATTTTCCTGCCACAGCCTCCCAAGTAGCTCGGATTACAGGCATGTGCCACCATGCCTGGCTAAATTTTTTTTGGTATTTTTAGTAGAGACAAGGTTTCATCATGTTGGCCAGGCTGGTCTCAAACTCCTGACCTCAAGTGATCTGCCTGCCTCGGCCTCACAAACTGTTGGGATTACAGTTGTAAGCCACCATGTCTGGCCTTAACTTTTAAATAAGAATATTAATGGGGGCACACACAGATGATACATTTAAAAACATACACCTTTAAGTCAGTTGTTTCTTCTATATTAATTTACTAAAAATACAAGTGCCTACAATATCACATCATAATTTTAGCAGGGCACAAGAGCTTACTTTTAAAAATAATTTTAGGCCGGGCGCGGTGGCTCACGCTTGTAATCCCAGCACTTTGGGAGGCCGAGGCGGGTGGATCACGAGGTCAGGAGATTGAGACCACGGTGAAACCCCGTCTCTACTAAAAATAAAAAAAAATTAGCCGGGCGTGGTGGCGGGCGCCTGTAGTCCCAGCTACTCGGAGAGGCTGAGGCAGGAGAATGGCGTGAACCCGGGAGGCGGAGCTTGCAGTGAGCCGAGACTGCGCCACTGTACTCCAGCCTGGGTGACAGAGCGAGACTCCGTCTCAAAAAAAAAAAAAAAATAAAATAAAATAAAATAATTTTAAATGTTCTGACTAAAATACAATAGAACATGTCCGTAGGAGACTAACGTATAAAGTGACAAGTTTGAAGCCATACTCCCCAAGGTTCAATGTGGTACACATTACCCCAGATCTTTGTGCATTAAAAAAATTTCATTTCTCTTGGAAGGCCGAGGCGGGTGGATCACGGGGTCAGGAGATTGAGACCATCCTGGCTAACACAGTGAAACCCTGTCTTTACAAAAAAATACAAAAAATTAGACAGGCGTGGTGGCAGGCACCTGTAGTCCCAGCTACCTCTGAGGCTGAGGCAGGAGAATGGCGTGAATCCAGAAGGCAGAGCTTGCTGTGAGCCAAGATCACGCCATTGCACTCCAGCCTGGGCAACAGAGCAAGACTCCGTCTCAAAAAAAAAAAAAAAAAAAAAAGAATTTCATTTTTCATTTATGAAAAATTATCCCATCTTTTCCATTCCCTACAATCAATTTCAAATCAGAGATTAAAACATTATTTAGAAAAAGTATAATTTCAATTCAAAAGTGTATAATCAAAATAATCTAACAATAGCATGAAAGCTTTTTAAAATTAACTAAAATTATACTTAGGGACAATGCAAGAGTAATTTAAGCCTCAGACAGTTGTATTTTTTTATTTTTATTTTTTAGTAATATAAAGAGAGAAGCAAGTAGTATTTTATAAATTTACAAAACAAAGTCACATAACTACAAAAAAATTGTCAGGAAAAGATGCTGAGTGATTACTTACCATATAATAGCCAGTATGATAGCCACTCATGTACCATGAAATTAACATACTTCCCAAAGCATCAGCATCATCAAGAGAATCTGGACATATGGGAGGTGGTGGGGGAATTATCTGGAGACAGAAAAAGATATTGTTTATATCCAGTAAACAAAAAAGTAAAGTCTGGAGATTTATATTATATAGTGAATGCTGGAAATTAATTGTATTTTTGCTTATATAATCTCCTACTTAAATTTCTTTTTTTTCCCCTAAACAAAGACGAGGTCTTGCTATGTTGCCCAGACTGGTCTCAAACTCCTGAGCTCAAGTGATCCTCCTGCCTCAGCCTTCTAAAATGCCGGGATTACAGGCATGAGCCACTGTACCTGGCCTTAAATTTCTTAACATAGCTAGCATTTGGAGAAAACCAACCAATAACAACAAAAGACCAACAAAATTAAATTTAACGAGGACGAAAAGACAGCAAGTGACATAAAAAGTTTAAACATTTTGATTTAGACTATGTATCTGTTCCACTATGAAGCTATGAGTAAAAAAAAAAAATCAAGCATAAATACTTTCATGCTTTTCCTTAATACACACACACACACACACACACACACACAGCTCACATAGCATTTCGAGGGCGATTTTAAGTAAATGTCTTGGGTAGAACACCTGTTCTAACCCCATCCCAATACACAGTATGCCAAAAAGTATCTTTTTATCTATTGTTAATACCTAAAAATCTACCATTAGAAATCCAGTTTACAGCTGGGTGCGGCAGCTCACGCCTGTAATCCCAGCGCTTTGGGAGGCCAAGGCGGGTGGATCACCTGAGGTCAGGAGTTCAAGATCAGTCTGGCCAACATGGTGAAACCCCATCTCTACTAATAAAACAAAAATTAGCCGGGTGTGGTGGCAGTCGCCTGTAATCCCAGCTACTTGGGAGGCCGAGGCAGAATTGCTTGAACCCAGGAGGCGGAGGTTGCTGTGAGCTGAGATCACACCACTGCACTCCAGCCTGGGGTACAAGGGCAAAACTCTGCCTCCAAAACAAAAAAAAAAAAAGAGAGAGAAAGAAAAAGAAATCCAGTTTACATCAGAAGCTAACATCCAACTATACCTAGAAGGGCAAACACTAATTCCTTATATAAGGTATAATTAAATCCCTTCTAACAGGAACTACCTCCTTATGGCATAGACACCAACTTCTGCCAGGAAAGAAGGCAACCTAGAGCTTAGACTTGGGACTACAAGAGCACTGCATCTGGGTAACAGAAAGGCATTAAAAACAAACAAAACCCAGAGGTTTAGTTCAAATTTCTACCCATTAGAATCTGGCCCAAGGGATGTTCTACAATGACATTTTACAATCCTCTATTCTGCTAATTATCAAATTGTATGTGAAAGCAAAATCTAACCTATACTCTTTTTTACTTACTGGTGGTCCAGAAGGAAATGGAGGCAGCCAGCATGATAGTAAGTGGGGTGGTGGTGGTGGCGGTGGCGGTGGTGGGCCATTGAATTTTAGACCTGGCTATAAGGAATATTTCAAAGGAAAATTAACTTACCAATTTCAATATGATAGGAATAAAAAGGACTCAAAACCAAAAGGATAAAAATAATTACCCAGAATATTTGTTTTATACATATCAAAAAGATTAAGTGAAATTTCATGTACCAAATCCTGAAGTCAAACAGACTCATAAGTCAAATGACAACCTCTGGATTTTTCTCATTTCCTTTCTATGTAGACATTAAGGAAGTAAAACAAAATAAGAGTGGTGATTACCTAATAAATCAGAGACAGTCTATTTAGCAAAATTATTTCAATCATAAAAGACTATATCCCAAATTTCATTAACTAAATTGTATATTTTTATGAAAGCCTGTTTAGCTATACATGCCAACTTAGAGGACATATTGTGAAAACTAGCAAATCTCTCCTTATAAAAATCAGCCCCCTGAGACCAATGAAGCATGATGTATATATCCTAAGAGGGTACATCATTTTAGATTCAAGAAACTGTAATATAATGTAAGCCTCAATAAGAACATTATCACAGAAAATCTTAAAACTTTTGGTGAGTCATGCTTGTTTTTTGAAAATGACTGCCTAGGCTAGGCGCCTGTAATCCTAGCACTTTGGAAGGCCAAGGTGGGGAGATCACTTGAGGTCAGGAGTTCAAGACCAGCCTGGCCAACATGGTGAAACCCCATCTCTACTAAAAATACAAAATAAGCCGGGTGTGGTGGCGGGTGCCTGTAATCTCAGCTACTTGGGAGGCTGAAGCAGGAGAATCACTTGAACCCAGGAGGTGGAAGTTGCAGTGAGCTGAAATGGTGCCACTGCACTCCAGCCTGAGCGACAGAGCAAGACTCCATCTCGAAAAAAAAAAAAAATTGCCTAAATACCATTCCCTCCATGGAAGAAATCACCGCTTTACACAAAAGAACTAGAAAGGGACAAGCCTTAAGGTTCCATGACATAATCTAACCTATAATAAAAATCTTTTTAGAGTTGATTTCTGTTACTTATAACCAAAAGGACCATAAATGAAAACAATATTTACATTTGAACTCTACAAAACAATCTGAGAGCGCCTCAGGATTTTATCTATATTAGATGTAAATAATGTGTTCTTATTTTACATATCTTATACAGGTGACATGGGAAACAACAGCATATCATCCAGCTAATGATAAATTATTATTACACTTTTTTTTGTTTTGTTTTGTTTTTTTGTTTGAGATGGAGTCTCATTCTGTCGCCCAGGTTGGAGTGCAGTGGCACGATCTTGACTCACTGCAAGCTCTGCCTCCGGGGTTCACACCATCCTCCTGCCTCAGCCTCCCGAGTAGCTGGGACTACAGGTGCCCGCCATCACGCCCGGCAAATTTTTTTGTATTTTCAGTAGAGATGGGGTTTCACCGTGTTAGCCAGGATGGTCTCGATCTCCTGACCTTGTGATCCGCCCACCTTGGCCTCCCAAAGTGCTGGGATTACAGGCGTGAGCTACCGCGTCCGGCGCATTATTATACTTTCTAACTTAAGTAAGTGTGCTAATTATTAGTCTAATACCTAATACTCCACAAAAGTTAACTGGATAAATCTTTCATATAAAGTATTTTGTTGCATCCACTGCAGTGTCTAACATTTTTTTAAAAAATTAACTATTTTGCATCATTATCTTATTTCCTTTTCAAAAAATTCTTGTGTATTTAAGCTACAAAAGTTTCATGGGAGAGCTACAAATTAGTTAACAGAGAGGTTAAATGTCCCGACATTAACTATTTTCTGGAAAACTTTCATAGAAGGTTTACCTTTCCTGGTCCCAGTCTTGGCCCTGGCATGGGGGGTGGTGGAGGGAGAAAAGAGTTCCATGGAGCAGATTTGGGCTTGATGTTATCTGATTTATTTCCAGGAGACCTGGAGTTCTCACTTTCATCTGTTGAAACTTGGCTTTCATTTTCATTCTTTAAAAAGAAAAAATATGCAGGTTTTTGTTATAAGGGTGTGATTAAGAAAAAATTAATGCCTCGGTGGATCAAACTGACAACTGTGTATACTGTTTAACAGTTTCTCATCTAGTCTCTGCTTCCAGAAATTGAATTTTTTTTTTTTTGTATCCTTACCTCTTGAGCATTTTGTTCTATATTATTAGCTACTTCACAGATTGGGGAAAGTAGATCGGACAGATTTTGCTCCTCTCTATTTCCATATCCAGTGTAAACCACAACACAGGTTTCTCTCTTAAAATCAATTGAAGCAATGGTAGCTGGGTAAATGCAACCGTCTTCTGACCAAATGGCAGAACATTTGTCCCCAACTTTCCACTACAAAAGAAATCAAAGATATATACATGCACACATTTCTTTTGAAGAGGGCAAACTATCATCTCGTTTTGATCAGTGGGGAGGTGAAGGATAGAGGGTAGAGATTTGGAAGGCAAAATGATGTAATGAGAAAGGCTTGGGGTCTAAATACATAAATCTGAATTCCAACTCTCTTACATTTATAATCATGGACAAGTTTCTGAATCTCTTTGAGTCTTAGTTTCCCCATCTTATTAGATGGCTATAATATAAACTACCTCCCATATTTGTTGTGAATAGCGGGAGGGAGATAAAATGCGTATGGTGCCCAGCACTCTGGACTGGCCTAGAGCAAGTGCTCATCAACTGTTAGCTCTCTTCCCCCTTGGTAATGATGAAACTAAAGTTGGCTCAAAAGACACCAAAATATTCAGCTTTCAGGACTACTGCTTTTAACTAGCAGAAATAATCTACCTAGACTTCTGGGTTCCTTGGAATTAACAGTTTTAGAGTTTTTAAAGAAAAAGGGGAAAAAAAAATCTATCTCTCAGCTTAAGATGTAAAACACTGCCAATTCAGCTTACGGCTCTTGGGTACTCCTTCCAAACGGCACCTTCTCCCTGCCTTCCATTCACAAATGGAACACATGTCCTGATTTTAGCATTTATCATTCCCATCTAATTCTTTATACTTTCATGACTAATATGCATGTTCCTAAATAACAGAAAATTTAATAGTTGTTTTTGAAGTTGTATAAGTATATGTCAATAGAAACACTGTACTAATCACTTAAGTTAAAGACATTTTACACTATTAAATAAGGACTAATGAGACATCCTTTGAAGTTAAATCTCAACATTTTAAAATAACCTGTTGTAAGGAAGCTGCAGTATTCTTCTTTTGGCTTTTATTCTTCTTAGCAGGTTTTCTTTTAGGTGTGGTTTTTGGTTTACCCGAAGTTTCACAAATGTCACCATTCTTTAGAGCATGCTACGAAAATAGGAATAAAAATGTACATGTTACAGGGTGGTGCACAGAATAAAAGTCACGACATAACCCAGTTACTACTATAAGCTAGTCTCAAGGCTCCGTCACCTCAGAAAGCACCTATTTTCTCTTTTGACCACCCCCTGCACTATAAAAACTGCTCTTAAAGGCATCATACACCTGACATCAGCTCTAAAGACCCTTTTAATCAAATCTCCTTGCTCTCAACCTCTCTGTAACATTAGACCCTGTTAATTATCTTTCTTCCTGATATTCATGGCCCTTTGGATGTCATAGCAATGTAGGGCCCCAACGGTTTCATTACTTCTGATCAAGCCTTAGATTTAGGCATTCCCAATAAGAGCTGGCCATCCTTCTTTACTTGCTTACGGCCATTATTTTATTTATTTTATTTTTTTACACAGAGTCTCACTCTGTCACCGGGCTGGAGTGCAGTCACACTGATCTCAGCTCACTGCAACCTCCACCTCCCAGGTTCAAGCGATTCTCCTGTCTCAGCCTCCCGAGTAGCTGGGATTACAGGCGTGCACCACTGTGCACAGCTAATTTTTGTATTTTTAATAAAGACGGGGTTTCACCATGTGGGCCAGGCTGGTCTTGAACTCCTGACCTCGTGATTTGCTCGCCTCAGCCTCCCAAAGTACTGGGATTACAGGCGTGAGCCACCGCGCCCGGCCAAGGCCATCTATTCTTATTACTTTAGTTGCAACTGTCTGCAAACACACTTCTGAAGCTATTAATCCAGCTGTGACTTTTCTCAATCTAACATTTCCAATGATCAATTTCACATCTTAATTCATACCTCAAACTCAACCTCAACTTAATTCATATTCAACCTCAACTTAATTCAAATTCAATCTCAACTTAATTCATACTCAAACTCACTACTAAAACTATCGTTTTCCCAAATCAGTTCTTTTCCTCCTTTACTCAGATTACTTCTCCCTGCAATATCACCAACCCATCCCACATCGAGCCCCATTTCAATCTCTATTTTATAGAATTCTCTTGGTAATTCTTTAGTCGACTTCTAGTTTCAGTGTATACTGGAAAGCACATTTAAAAATCTAGGCCGGGTGCAGTGGTTCATGCTTGTAATCCCAGCACTTTGGAAGGTCAAGGCGGAGGGATCTTTTGAGCTCAGGAGTTCCAGGCCAGCGTGGGCAACAGGGTGAGACTGCATCTCTACAAAGAATACAAAAATGAGCTGGGTGTGGTGGCACACACCTGTGGTCCCAACTACTCAGGAAGCTGAGGTAGGAGGATTGTTTGAGCTCATGAGTTGAAGGCTCCAATGAGGCATGATCACGCCACTACACTCCAGCCTGGGTGACAGGGCAAGACCCCATCTCAAAAAAAAAAAAAAATCTAGAAATCAGTTACAAAGGTGACATAGAGGTCTGATCTTTAGCTCATGTTACAAGAGTAACTATGAGAAAGACATGAAATCTGTATGCTTGGTGCTCTTTATACACTGTATGAGTATATGCTCTGTTTGCTCAAGGTAGTCTGGACTATTGTTTGCTCAAGGTAGTCTGGACTATTGATGACCCATATTTAGTGCTCAGTAAGACTAAACATCTCAGAGAATGGAGAAGGTGATGATGTTGGCCAACTGTGTAAGTGTCCTGTTTGAGACACAGAACCATACTACATTTCCTAAAAGAACTGTATATTCCTACCCAATAGGAACACTTGAATTGATACCCAACTTACAGGATTTGGGATGATTAGAGTAATTTAATATATGAAACGCACACAGAGCACTGTCAGCATGCTACAAATATTAATTGCTGTACTAATGCTATTTATCTTCATCATTATTTTACTACATGCTTGTTAAATGTTTAAAATTATAATTCAGATTGTCTTTTTCTTATTAATCTCAATTAGAGGACTTCCATAGTTTGATACAATGTAAAAATACTAAAAGGAATACATTGTTTGTTCGTTTTCTGAGATGGAGTCTCACTCTATCGCCCAGGCTGGAGTGCAGTGGTGCAATCATTGCAACCTCTGCCCCCCAGGTTCAAGCAATTCTCCTGCCTCAGTGTCCCAAGCAGCTGGGATTACAGGCACGTGCCACCATGCTTGGCTAATTTTTGTATTTTTAGTAAAGACGGGGTTTCACCATGTTGGCCAGGCTGGTCTCAAACTCCTGACCTCAGGTGATCCACCCGCCTCAGCCTCTCAAAGTGCTGGGATTACAGGAGTGAGCCACCATACCCAGCCAGGAATAAATGTTTTAAATTTTATTTAAATTGCCTCCACAAAGGATGACATATATAGGCTATCAACTTCTAAAGGAGGATATCACCTGATTTAACTAACTCATACTACCATCTAATCTTCAAAATGAAAACTGAATAACATGTACTTTAACACTTTATCGTATGTTATCAATTCCTTTCCAAATGAATAACGAGAAAATAAGAAAACGACTAAGCAAGCATTTCATACCTTAAATGAAGCCACAGCTTTATCATATGCTTTTATCAGTGCTGTATCATCCCAAATGTCAGAATCATCGCTCTGGAAAGGGTAAGAAATAAAAACAACTCATGTTCAGATAGGTTTAATCAGAAAATGTATGTTAGTACCAAGAGTCATCTTAATCCACACATAACAAAATTACACTGAAAATGAGTATTTAAAATCCTAAATAAAGCCACAGGAAACTTACCTGGTTAGAGGTTATGTGACTTTACTCCAAAAGCTAGACATAGGTAAATGTTCTAAGAATGAATGCCATCAAGTGAATGCCCCTACAATTTAATTCCTATCCACATACCATGAGTAGATTTGTTCAAGGCCAGCTATATTTATTTCAATTAAGATCAGATAAAACTTGACTTCATCTAGACTACGGGAATGCTGTTCTGACCTCAGAACCTATGATCCAAAGAATATTTTTTCTTTTGAAATTATAATGTTTCCAGATTATAAGGATACAAATTGTTAATAGTGACTAACCAATTTTCATTTTATTATTATTATTATTTTTTTACTTCCATTTCCCTTTCCTGCTTTCCTGGTACCAATTTTCTTTCCTTCCTTTTCTTTTCCTTTCTTTCGTTTCTTTCTTCTCTCCCTCCCTCCTTCCTTTCTTCCTTCCTTCACTTCTCTTTCTCTCTTCTTTTTTTCTCCCCTCAAATTCCTGTGTTCAAATGACCCTCCCACCTCAGCCCACTGAGTAGTTGGGAATATAGGTGCATGCCACCATGCCTGGCTAGTTTTTAAAATTTTTTGTAGGGACGGGGTCTCGCCATCTTAGCCAAGCTGGTCTTGAACTCCTAGGCTCAAGTGATCCTCCAGCCTCGCTCGGCCTCCCAAGTGTGGGAATTACAGGCATGAGCCACTGCACCTGGAAATATTTTTGTCCAGACATGGTGGCTCATGCCTGTAATCCCAGCTACTTGGGAAGCTGAGGCAGGAGAATTACATGAGCCCAGTTGTTGGAGGCTGCAGTAAGCTATGATCATCCCATTGCCCTCTAGCCTGGGTGACAGAGGAAGACCCTGTCTAACAACAACAACAACAATAACAAAATAATAATAATAATAAATAATTTTTTAGCACTATCTGCTAGCACTGTGCAAGTCACTGAGAGATATATAGAAACATGGTACTCTCCAGTTATTATCTAACTAGGGATTTAAGACTATCACACAAGACAAAACAAAAAACAATATAAAACAAATCTTAACAAACATCAAAATGTGAAATACAAACAGTATTTTAATTAAAAAGGAAAGAAATTAATGTCTACTGCAAGATCATATGGAGGAAACCGGCCTAAGAAATAAAAACCACTCACGCCTGTAATCCCAGCACTTTGGGTGGCCGAGGTGGGTGGATCACGAGGTCAGGAGTTCGAGACCAGCCTGGCCAACATGGTGAAACCCTGTCTCTACTAAAAATACAAAAATTAGCCGGACATAGTAGCACATGCCTGTAATCCCAGCTACTTGGGAGGCTGAGGCAGGAGAATCACTTGAACCTGGGAGGCAGAGGTGGCAGTGAGCCAAGATCGCGCCACTGCACTACAGCCTGAGAGACATAGCGAGACTCTGTCTCAAAAAACAAACAAAACAAAACAAAACAAAATAAAACAAAACAAAACAACAGGATTTAGGCCGGGCATGGTGGCTTGTAATCCCAGCATTTTGGGAGGCCAAGGCAGGTGAATTGCTTGAGTCCAGGACTTCCAGACCAGCCTAGGCAACAGGGTAAGAACCTTGTGTCTACTAAAAATACAAAAATTCTGGCCGGGCGTGGTGGCTCATGCCTGTAATTCCAGCACTTTGGGAGGCAGAAGCAGGCAGATCACGAGGTCAGGAGTTCGAGACCAGCATGGCCAACAAGGTGAAACCCCATCTCTACTAAAACTACAAAACTTAGCTGGCGTGGTGGCAGTCACCTGTAATCCCAGCTGCTTGGGAGGCTGAGGCAGGAGAATCACTTGAACCCGGGCGGCAGAGATTGCAGTGAGCTGAGATTGTGCCACTGCACTCCAGCCTGGGTGACAGAGTGAGACTCTGTCTCAAAAACAAACAAACAAAAAAACCAAATTTAGCTGGGCATGGTGGCACATGCCTATAGTCCCAGCTACCTGCAGGGGCTGAGGCGAGAGGATCACCTGGGCCCAGGAAGTTGAGGATGCAGTGAGTGGAGATGGCGCCGCTGCACTCCAGCCTGGGTAACAAATTGAGACCTTGTCTGGGAAAAAAAAACAAAAAAAAACAAAAAAAACCCCCAAAAAAAAAAAAAACCCAACAGGATGTGCATAGGTAGACAAAATAGAACGCATTCCAAGTAAGAGCATGAACAACAACAAAAAAGGCATGGAAGCAAAAATAACACTAACTATAAGAATTTATTTATGTAAGGTAACTAAGTAGTCAAATTTATAGAATTAGAAAGAATGGGCCAGGCGCAGTGGCTCACGCCTGTAATCCCAGCACTTTGGGAGGCCGAGGTGGGCAGATCACCTGAGGTCAGGAGTTCGAGACCAGCCTCAACATGGAGAAACCCCTTCTCTACTAAAAATACAAAATTAGCCGGGCGTGGTGGTGCATGACTGTAATCCCAGCTACTCGGGAGGCTGAGGTAGAATTGCTTGAACCTGGGAGGCGGAGGTTGTGGTGAGTCGAGATTGCACCATTGCACTCCAGCCTGGGCAACAAGAGTAAAACTCCATCTCAAAAAAAAAAAAAAAAGAATGATGATTACCAAGGGCTAAGTGTAAGGAGAAATGGGAATTTGCTAATGGGTAGAGTTTCAGGTTGCAAGACGAAAAACTTCCGAAGATCTATTGCGCAACAACATGAACATACTTAATATTACTGAACTATATACTTAAAAATGGTTAAAATGACAAATTTTTTTACTTCAATAAAAAATAAAACACACTGTATGAGGGATTAGTGAGACAAGTCCAAATAGAATCCAATTTATACTATAGGGTAGAGTTGGATTTGGTATACTAGAGAGTATTTTGGATTTGGTATAGTATTAGTCAATGAATTCCAAAAAAGTTTGTTATAAAATTCACTGAGTTGTAATATTACTTTTTGTCATTTTCCTGTTTTTTTTTTGTTTTGTTTTGTTTTCTCTTGAGACAAGAGTCTCGCTATGCCACCCAGGCTGGAGTGCAGTGGCATGATCTCGGCTCACTGCAACCTCTGCCGCCCAGGTTCAAGTGATTCTCCTGCCTCAGTCTCTCAAATAGCTGGGATTATAGGCGCCCACCATCAAGCTGGGCTAATTTTTGTATTTTTAGTAGACATGGGCTTTCATCATCTTGGCAAAACTGGTCTCGAACTCCTGACCTCAAGTGATCCTCCCACCTCAGCCTCCCAAAGTGCTGGGATTACAGGCATGAGCCACCGCACCCAGGCTTGTCATTTTCCTGTTAATCTCCGTTATATAGAGACAAATGTATTCCAATATAAAATGTCAATCTTGCTGTATGATAAAAAGTACTTAATAATCCCAGCCTGGGCAACATGGCAAAACCCCATCTCTACAAAAAGTACAAAAATTAGCTGGGCGTGGTGGTTCACATCTGTAGTCCCAGCTACCCAGAAGGCTAAGGTGGGAGGGCCGCTTGAACCAGGGAAGAGGAGATTGCAGTGAGTGGAGATCAGAGATCGTGCCACTGCACTCCAGCCAGGGTGACAGTGAGACCCTGTCTCAAAAAAAAAAAGTACTTAAGATCATTAAGTCACTTTGCAGATAAGAAAAGTAATCACAAAGAGGTTAACTGACTTAAGGTTACATTCGCACTTGGAAGGGAAGATATTCCTTGGAGATTTGGTAAAAGGAATAAAAACAGGCTGGGTCCAGTGGCTCACACCTATAATCTCTGTCTCGAAAGAAAAAAAGGGGGGTAGGGGGGAGGCTGGGCACGGCAGCTCATTCCTGTAATCCCAGCACTTTGGGATGCAGAGGTGGGTGGGGTGGGTGGATCACTTGACATCAGGAGTTTGAGACCAGCCTGCCAATGTGGCAAAACCCCGTCTCTATTAAAAATACAAAACTTAGCCGGGCATGGTGGTGCACACCTGTAGTCCCAGATACTTGGGAGGCTGAGGCAGGAGAATTGCTGGAACCCGGGAGGCAGAGGTTGCAATGAGCCAAGATCACTGCACTCCAGCCTGAGTGACAGAGTGAGACTCCATCTCAAAAAAAAAGGAAGCAAACAGTAGAAAATGAAGGGTGGTCCTGAAGAAATAAAGAAATCACAAAATCAAGGCCAGTGATATCAATAGAAGAGTGCAGTCTTAAAGCAAGATACATAGACAGATGGCAGCTCAAACTCCTCATATCTCAACTGTTATTGCCAGACCAGGAAACAAGTAATTTCAAAACGAACAGAAAACAAAGCGACAGAAGAAAAGGTAATACTGATTACAAGGTACCCAAGGACAAATACATCTGACTGAAAATCTAAGGAGCACCAAAGCAAAGCCATGAAAAAGAACCAAAGGAACAAAAATAAATAAGAAGCAAAATGGTTGATACATTGGCAAACAGTATTTATTTAACGTATGTATAAATGGGGTCCCTGAAGAATAAAAACAAAACAAAACAAACAATCTTCCTGGTGGTCTAGTGATTAGGAATTTAAAAAAAAGAAAAATTCCTAGGGATGGGAGGAAGAACCCCCTCCCATCCTCAGAGAGCCTCTAAGCAAAAAGACTAAGTTACAAAATAAAGAAAATCAGTTATCATTAGACTTTCTCATAGAAATTTATGGGGAAAAAGTATGAGCCAAGAATTTTATATGCAGCCTAGCTGTCCTTGAAGTAGCAAGACTAAGAAAAGTCTAAAATGTAGAAGAATACCGTACTCACTAGCCTTTCCAGGGTAATCTATTGAAAATACGCTTCATCCAACCAAGATATGACCAGGGAAACTTGGGTTTTAAAAATAACAGAACTGGCCAGGCATGGTGGTTCACGCCTGTAATCCCAACACTTTGGGAGGCCGAGGTGGGTGGATCACCTGAGGTCAGGAGTTCAAGACCAGCCTGATCAACATGGTGAAACCCCGTCTCTACTAAAAATACAAAATTAGCCGGGCGTGGTGGCGCATGCCTGTAATCCCAGCTACTCGGGAGGCTGAGGCAGAAGAATTGCTTGAACCTGGGAGGTGGAGGTTGTGGTGAGCCAAGATCGCGCCACTGCACTCCAGCCTGGGCAACAAGAGCGAAACTCTTGTCTCAAAAAAAAAAAACGAAAAACATAAAACAGAATTGTTAGCATCAAATATATTTAATTGTGGATCTAAGAGGAAAGTAGTGTATTAAATTGAAAAGCTGATTCTAAAATTTATATGGAACTACTAAGGACAAAAATAAACCAAAGCTGGACAATTTACATTATCTAACTTTAAGACTGTAAACCAGAAGTAGCTAAGACAGGTTTCAATCAATTTAGAAAGTTTATTTTGCCAAAGTTAAAGACGCTCCTATGACACAGCCACAGGAGGTCCTGATGACATGTCCCCAAGGTGGTGGGGTACAGCTTTGTTTTATACATTTTAGGGAGACATGAGGCATCAATCAATATATGTAAGATGTACATGAGTTCTGTCAGGAAAGGCAGGACAACTCAAAGTGGGGGTAGGGAGGTTTCTAGGTCATAGGAAGATTTAAAGATTTTCTAATTGGCAACTAGTTGAAAGAGTTATTATCAACAGAAAGGAATGTTTGGGTTACCATAAGGGGTTGTGGAGACCAAGGTTTTATCATGCAGATGAAGCTCCCAGGTAGCAGGCTTCAGAGAGGGTAGGTTGTAAATGTTTCTTTTCAGACTTTAAGAGTCTGTTCTATCAGTAATTCCAAAAGGTAGTAGGGTGTGATGAGACATGTCCAACTCCCCCTTCCCATCATGGCTTGAACTAGTTTTTCAGGTTAATTTTGGAATGCCCTTGGCTGAGAGGATGGGTCCATTCAGTTGGTTGTGCAGGGGCGGGGGGGGCCTATAATTTTATTTTTGGTTTACAAGACATACCCTGAAGCAATAGTAATTAAAAGTGTAGTACTGACATCAATATACACTAATAGACAATGTAACAGAATTGAGAGTCAGAAATAGCCCTGTGATATATGTGACTGATTTTAACTAAAGTTACAAATGTGGTTTAATAGAGAAAGCATAGTAGTTTCAAGAAATGGTGGTAAAACTATTGGAAATCCTTATGCAAAAACAAACCAAATTTCCACCTACACTGAGCCACATATAAGAATTAATACAAAATGGATTACAGACCTAAGTGTAAAACTAAAACTCTAAACTGTGTAAAAAAAAAAAAGAGAGAAAAATCTGTGATCATGGATTGCCTATAACAAAAGAACAAACTGAAATGGCCTTGTTGCCTGGGGTGGCACCCGAGGTTCTTGGTCTCACGCTGAGGAAATCAAGGACGCTGACACACCAAGGGTGTGAGGCTAGAGCAGAAGTTTAATAGGCAAAAGAAAGAGACTAGCTCTCTCCTGCAGAGAGAGGTCCTGAAAAGAGTTCCCATTCCACAGTGAAATGCAAGCATTTTTATAAATGAGCTAATGGGAAGGGGGTAGCTTATCTACACATAGGGAGCAAAAAACCAGTTAGGACCAGGTGTTGCCATCTGCACAGAGCGTGAATCTCTGGCATCCCCCACCCCAACCTTTTATTATGCAGGCAGGTCCTTGGCCTGAGCTACTCCACATTGCTTATCTCTTTCCTATTGTGCATGTGCTAAATAAGGGGAGGTGGAGCCACCATGGTGGACATGCCTGGCCCCAGGTACCCCTTTCTCTCCGTGCAGCTGCAGGCAACCCCAACAACTCACAACATGCAAGCTTCCAGCTTCCTTATCTGAGTATGTACTAAGGTCCACTGTGTTTACTTCACATACTGTGTTTACTTCACATACCCACCTTACGTATGTGAAGCTTGCTGATTACCCAGGAAGCTCCCCCTCTGTGCCAGAGCTGCTTCCTTATACATGTTTACAGCCCGATCTTCCAGGCTGCTCCTTGTTAGAAGAGAAGTGATTTCTTGGGCTGCTTTTTGTTAGAAGGGAAGTTCTACCGAGGACTCTGTCTAACTATCGGCTTACCTAGTCTTTTTTTACCTCCTCTCTCAAAACCATCAAAGAAAAAACTGAAAAATTAGATTTCAGCAAAATTAAGATTTTCTGTTCTTAAAAAGACGTTGTTAACAAAATGAAAAACCAAAGTGTAAACCGGGAGAAAATACATGCAAGTTACCTATCTGATAAAGATATTGTACCCAGCAAACATGAAGAACTCTCAAACCTCAACAACAAAAAAATTCAATTAAAAGATGGGTAAGTTGGCCGGGTGCAGTGGCTCATACTTGCAATCCCAATCTTTGGGAGGCTGAGGCAGGAAGATTGCTTGAGCCCAGGAGTTCACGACAAGCCCAGGCAACATAATGAGACCTTGTTTCTACAAAATTTTAAAAAATTAGCCAGGCATTGTGGCGTGTGCTCGTAATTTCAGCTACTCAGAAGGCTGAGACAAGAAGACTGAGCGCAGGAGGTGGAGGCTGCAGTAGGCTGTGTGATTGCACCACTGCACAACAGCCTGGGTGACAGAGTGAGACACTGTCTCCAAAAAAAAAAAACAAAAAAAAAAAAAACCCAAATGATTTGAATAGACACTTCACCAAAAAAGATATACGGATGGCAAATACACTCATGAAATGATCAACAGCAGCACTGGTCATTAGGAAATGCTAATTAAAATCACAAGAAGCCACTATATCTATTATAATGCCTAAAATTAAAAAGACTGACCATACCAGGTGTTTGCAGGGACACTGAGCAAATGGAACTTTCATACATTGCTGGTCAAAATGCAAAATGGGGGAGCTGTTCTGAACCTATTTAGTTGTGGGGGCTGTCCAACTTTTGAATTTTTCTTTGCTCAATTAATCTCTGTTATATTAAAAAGTAACATGGTACAACCACCACTTTGAGGAAGAGTTTGACAGCTCCTTAAAGACTTAAAATACATCTACCCTGAGACCTAAGTATTCACTCAAGAAAAATGAAAGCGTATGTCTATACAAAGTCTTCTTTAAAATTTTTTATAGAAAATTTTTAATTTTTGATTTTAAAATAAAAATAGAGGTTTCACCATGTTTCCCAGGCTGGTCTCAAACTCCTGGGCTCAAGCGATCTGCCAGCCTTGGCTATATGAAGTCTTATACACTAATATTCATAGTGGCTCTACTTGTTAACAGTCCCAAACTGGAAAAAGCCCAAATGTTCACAAGCAAGCGAATGAATACAGTATAGTATATACATGCAATGGGATACTACTCAGCAATAAAATGGATGAAAATCAAAATAGCTATGATAAATAAAAGAAACGTGACAAAAAAGGTACTCTATCATTCCACGTTTATAAAAATTCTTAAAAATGCAGGCTAATCTATGGTGACAGAAAGTAGATCAGTGGTTGTCTGGGGACAGGACAAGGAGGGATGAAAAGGATCACAAAACAGCAATCCAACTGAGGCCACCATGCTATAAGGAAATCCAAACCAGCCCACACATTGAAACCACATAAAGAAATCTTCATGAGACTACATGAAAAAAAGAGATAGCCTGCCAATCCCTAGCTGCTCAGTCCCCAGCTACTGTAGCTCTAGCAACTATGTAGGTGCAACCACGAGACAGCCGCACGAAAACTGCCCAGCACGGCTCTCACAAATTCCTAACCCACAGAAACAATGAGAGATAATAAAATGTTCTTTGTTGTTTCAAGCCACTAAGTTTTGGCAGATTCGTTACACAGCAACGGCAGCCAGAACGGACCACCAGGACTGCCTTTATATCTGATTCTCAGTCATTTCCAGTAGCTCAGATTTCTCAAATTATTCCCAACACCCTGCCATCTTCTACCTTCTCCTACCACTTCCTGAAACTTCCACTGTGCTCCCTTGAGTAATTCATAAAATCCACTCTTTTAACCTCTGAATCATCCCTTCATTTCTTGCTCTAAGTAAAATCTAGCTCCCTGAGGATGCCTTTTCCTTTCGCAGCCATCTCAAATGATAGATGTTTCCTCTTTTCTCCTCCACACACTTCATATCACTGTACCTACTGGAGATGTGGGGAAGAAATCTTCCCTGCTCTGGCTGGCGCGGTGGCTCACGCCTGTAATCCCAAGCGCTTTGGGAGGCCGGGGTGGGCGGATCACAAAGTCAGGAGATTGAGACCATCCTGGCTAACACGGTGAAACCCCGTCTCTACTAAAAATACAAAAAAACAATTAGCTGGGCGTGGTGGCGGGCGCCTGTAGTCCCAGCTACTCGGGAGGCTGAAGGAGGAGAATGGCGTGAACACGGGAGGCGGAGCTTGCAGTGAGCGGAGATCTCGCCACTGCACTCCAGCCTGGGCGACTGAGCCAGACTCCGACTCAAAAAAAAAAAAAAAAAAGAAAAAAGAAATCTTCCCTGCTCCTTACTTGCACTTTCAGATTATTCTCCTCCATTCCCCTCTCAAAATTCCCAGCCTTGAAAATCCTGACAAAAAGTAGCCAGGCATGGTGGTCAGCACCTGTAGTTCCAGCTACTTGAGAGGCTGAAGTGGGAGAATCCCTTGAGCTTGGGAGGAGGTTGTAGTGAGCCGTGATCGCGCCACTGCACTCCCACCTGGGCAACAAAAAGAGGCCCTGTCTCGGGGGGGGGGAAAAAAAGAAAGAAGGAAAATCTTGTCACCAGACTCACAGTCTATTATCGTTTCCTATTGCAGTCACCTACAGCCTACCGAGTCACTCTTCCTCATTCCTTAATGTTTACATCGCAGTTCTCTCTCCAACACTACTCCTGTCATAATTTTTGGTGATTTAAATATCCATGTAGATGATCCCTTCAATTACCCTATATTTGCAGGTCTCTAAACTCCTCTCCACCACAATCTTGTACATCCTCTGATGTGGTGCAGCTCTGTGTTCCTACCCAAATCTCATGCTGAATTGTGATCCCCAGTGTTGGAGGTGGGCATGGTAGGAGGCGACTGGATCATGGGGGTGATTTCTAATGATTTAGCACCATCCCCAAGTGCTGTTTCCTGATAAGCGTTCTCACAAGATCTGGTTGTTTTAAAGTATGTAGCACTTCCCCCTTCTCTCTCTCTCCTGCTGGCCATGTGAAGACTGTGCTTGTTTCCCCTTCACCTTCCACCATGACTGTAAGTTTCCTTAGGCCTCCACAAGAGAAGCCTGTACAGGCAGCAGAACTGTGAGCTGATTAAACCTCTTATCTTTATAAATACCTGGTCTCAGGTATGTCTTTGTAGCAGTGTAAGAATGAACTGATACATCCCCAAATCTCAGCTACTCACTCACTTCAACTGTATTTATTTATTATAACCAATAACCACAACCTCTCCATAAATGCAGTTTCAAGAATCCCACTCTCTTAACCATCACCTTCTAGGCTCTGCAACTTACTCCTACTAGTGATTTGATGGGGACAATCATTCCACTTCATTAGGACTGGCAGTACATTGATCCTCCCACTTTTTTTTTTTTTTTTTTTTTTTTTGAGGCAGAGTCTCATTTTGTCGCCCAGGATGGAGTACAGTGGCACGATCTCGGGTCACTGCAAACTCCACATCCCGGGTTCAAGTGATTTTCCTGCCTCAGCCTCCCTAGTAGCTGAGACTACAGGCACCTGCCACCATGCCCAGCTAATTTTTTTTTTCCAAGAGGAGTCCTGCTCTGTCGCCCAGGCTGGAGTGCAGTGGCGCAATCTCGGCTCACTGCAAACCTCGCCTCCCGTGTTCAACTGATTCTCCTGCCTCAGCCTCCCAAGTAGCTGGGATTATAGGCACGCGCCACCACGCCCGGCTAATTTTTGTATTCTTTTTTTTTTTTTTTTTTTAAAGACAAAGTTTTGCTCTTGTTGCCCAGGCTGGAGTGCAATGGAGTGATCTCAGCTGTCTGCAACCTCTGCCTCCCAGGTTCAAGCAATTTTTCTGCCTCAGCCTCCCGAGTAGCTGGGATTATAGACACGTGACACCATGCCCGGCTAATTTTTGTATTTTTAGTAGAGACAAGGTTTCACCATATTGGCCAGGCTGGTCTCGAACTCCTGACCTTGTGATCTGCCCAACTCGGCCTCCCAAAGTGCTGGGATTACAGGTGTCAGCCACAGCGCCCGGCCGATCCTCCCACTTTTTAAACTGTCTCTCAGGGTCTTAAAATCCTCACTTCCTTTCTTTTTTTTTTTTTTTTGAGGTGAAGTCTCACTATATCGTCCAGGCTGGAGTACAGTGGCGTGATCTCGGCTCACTGCAACCTCCACCTCCTGGGTCCAAGGGATACTCCTGCCACAGCCTCTTGAGTAGCTGGGATTACAGGCACCTGCCACCATTCCCGGCTAATTTTTCTGTATTTTTATTAGAGATGGGGTTTCGCCATATCGGCCAGGTTGGTCTCAAACTCCTGACCTCAGGTAATCCACCCACCTCAGTCTCCCAAAGTGCTGGGATTACAGGCGTGAGCCACCGCGCCCGGCCTCTCACTTCCTTTCTTAGCCAGCTTAAATTCCATGGTCAATCATTAAGAGAACTCCTTTGTACTTCTCCCCCTCACTTCTTCATATCCACGTGGTAAAATCACAACTGCATTAATTTCAACTCTCCATTTACTCTGTGGGTGCCCTCATACACAATCTTGCTGTCTGGTCTCCTTCAACTCATGACCACGAATCTCAAGTAGGCTCTTTATGTTGCCTAGCAATATTTCCACTAAACTTCCCTAGTCCAACCCTTGCCCACTCTTCTAAAGAACTATCTACTTCCCATCTTCTCTTTCCTCTCCCATCCCAGCTTCTAGCTGATAACCTTGCTTCTTTCACTAAGAGAACAGTAAGAATCAAGAGAACTTTCAAAATCTCCTGCCATCCTATCTGCCCATTCACGTATCATAGATGTGTTAACTATATAGCTGTCACCAAAAGAACCGCTAATGTTTCCAACAAAGGCCAAATCCATCCCTTCTTACCTACTCTAGGACATTGCTCTAGCCATTGTCTTCTTTCCGACATCAACTTTCCCATTCTCATCTTTCCTATCAACCCACAAACATGCTGAAACATGTTGCTCCTATCTTAGTGCAGTGGCTCACACTAGTAATCCCAGTACTTTGGGAGGCAGAGGTGGGAGGATAGCTTGAGGCCAGGAGTCCAAGGCTGTAGTGATTCATGATTGCGCCACTGGCACCCCAGCAGCCTGGGCAACAGAGCAAGACCCCCCTCTTTTAAAACCACACACACATAATTAAAATTCCTCTTAACTCACTTCCCCCTCCATTTATTGCCCAATTTCTCTACCCTCCATTTATAATAAAATTTCGTGGTGGCTCACTCCTTTAGGCCCAGCGACTCCAAAGGAGGGTCGCTTGAGGCCAAGAGATCAACGCTGCCATGGGCTAGGATCATGCCACTGTACTCCAGCCTGGGCCACAGAGAGCGAACTTGTCTCTAAAAAAATTTTTTTTAAATAGAATTCCTTGAAATATGCCTACCGATGTTTTTATTATTTATTTATTTATTTATTTATTTATTTGAGACGGAGTCTTGCTCTATCGCCCAGGCTGGAGTGCAGTGGCGCGATCTCGGCTCACTGCAAGCTCCGCCTCCCGGCTTCATGACATTCTCCTGCCTCAGCCTCCCGAGTAGCTGGGACTACAGGCGCCCGTCACCACGCCCGGCTAATTTTTTGTATTTGTAGTAGAGACGGGGTTTCACCGTGTTAGCCAGGATGGTCTCGATCTCCTGACCTTGTGATCCGGCCGCCTCGGCCTCCCAAAGTGCTGGGATTACAGGCTTGAGCCACCGCGCCCGGCCGTTTATTTTGTTTTAAGACAGGGTCTGGCTCTGTCGCCCAGGCTGGAGTGCAGAGGCGCAATCACAGATCACTGCAGCCTCCACCTCCCTGAGCCTTCCAAGGCCTGAACCTTCCAGGTAGCTGAGACCACAGACGCGCACCACAACACCCGTCTAATTTTTGCAGACTCGGAGTCACACTATGTTGCCCAGGCTGGTCAAATGTTGCCTTGGATTTCTCTTCTCCTACTCTCCAACTCACTCCAGCCAAATTCACCCCTACCATGCTATGCCCAAGACTGAACTCCTGAGAAACCTGCTCTACTGGCAATCTTCTCTTTCCCACCTCAGCAAAAGGCAACTTTATCTTTTCAACTATTCAGGATAACCTCCGTTATCGAATCTATCTGAAAAACCTGTTGCCTCCGATTTCAAAATATACCCAGAATCCAAATACTTTCACTCTGTTAATAACATCTTGTTCTGAAGTTCAGATCATCTTAACAGACTCCTAAGTGGTTCCCCTGCTTCACCCTGGCCTAATGCCCCCACCTCCCCCACACCAGCCAGAGAGGAGTGAACAAAATAAGCTACTGCCAAGTCGCGGCAGGGCCTCCACTCAACGCTATCAAGGAGCCCAAACTGCTCGAGGAAGGAGCTTGCGGATGTGGTTCGCAGGGAACGGAGTGGGAAAAGACGTAGAAAAACGCGGACCACAACTCCAGTGAGCGGATCGACTTGATGCTGTCCCGAGGCTGCGGAAGGAGAGTTGGGCCGGAAGAAGGGTGCTGAGAGCGCTAATAGGGAGACTGCACTGGCTGCGACCTCACCTGGCCTGTGCCGCGCCGGAACAGCACGGAATCCTCCTGCTCCGGGACGCCGCCACCACTGCCGCCGCTGCTCATCGCCATAGCAAACCCGCGGGTGCGCAGCGTGGGGCCCCGTCCCTTCTTAAGAGTGACGACTTCCGCCGCCCGGGGCTTCTGGGAGCGGAACAGTACGGTGGCCGGGAGGACCGCTTGTAGTAACTTCTCACGCTTTCTACGAGTGGTTATCGCCCTCCCACATTTGTGGCGTGTATATTTTTCATTTCTCTCAATCCTTTCATTTCACTGTGTTATATTTCCTTTCCTTTTTTTTTTGTTTGTTTGTTTTGAGACAGAGCCTCGCCCTGTCGCTCAGGCTGGAGTGCAGCGGCGCGATCTCGGCTCACTGCAGCCTCGACTTCTTGGGCTCAAGCGATCCTCCCACCTCAGCCTCCCCAGTAGCTAGGACTATAGGCGTGCGCCACCACGCTCAGCTATTTTTTGTATTTAGTAGAGACGGGGTTTCGGCATGTTGCTTAGGCCTCGTCTCGAACTCCAGTGTGTGTGTGTGTGTGTGTGTGTGTGTGTGTGTGTGTGTAGATATTTATTCCCCCTCCCCCTTGGAAAAGTAAATGTAAGCTCCTACTAGGAATTTAAAACCTGCTTGATCTATATAAAGACAAACAAGGAAAGACAAACATGGGGGCAGGAAGGAAGGCGGCAGATCCTTAAACACTAGAAGATATTTGATCCCCCAACCTTATTTGTTGTTTGTTTTGAGACGGAGTCTCGCTCTGTCGTCAGAGTGCAGTGGCACCATCTCGGCTCATTGCAGCCTCGACCTCCCGAGCTCAAGCGATCCTCCCGCCTCAACCTCCCAAGTAGCTAGGACCACAGGGGCACGCCACCACACCCGGCTAGTTTCTGTATGTTTTGTAGAGGCGGCGTTTGGAGCATATTGTGTAGGCTGGTCTCGAACTCCTGAGCTCAAGATATTCCGCCCGCCTCTGGCATCCCAAAATGCTGGGATTACAGGTGTGAGCCACCTCGCCCAGCCTCCAGTATTCTTTTTTTTTTTTGCGACAGAGTATTGCTCTGTCACCCAGGCTGGAATGCAGTGGCGTGATCTCAGCTCACTGCAACCTCTGCCTCCCAGGTTCAAGCAATTCTCCTGCCTCAGCCCCCCGAGTAGCTGGGATTACAGGCGCCCACCACCACACCCGGCTAATTTTTGTATTTTTAGTAAAGATGGGGTTTCACCATGTTGGCCAGGCTGGTCTTGAACTCCTGACCTCGTAATCCGACCGCCTCGGCCTCCCAAAGTGCTGGGATTACAGGTGTGAGCCACCACACCGGGCCTCCAGTATTCTTTATTAAGCATCTAGGGTTGCTAAATGGCTTATATGTACATAGTATATATATATTTTTAACTCCACGAAAGGAACTTTGAGCTCTTCCCCCAAAATACCCTTGGCTTCTATATAGTATACAAGAAATATCTGTGGAGGAAGGGGAGAATGGGATGATGTTGACCAAGTGTACAAAAATGGTAACTCCGTAGAGGTAATATGTGGAATGTAATCATTTCACAATGTATATCTAAACATCAAATGGTACACCTTAAATATATACAATTTTTAGGGGTCTGGTACGGTGGCTCATGCCTATAATCCCAGCACTTTGGGAGGCCAAGGTGGGTGGATCACTTGAGGTCAGGAGTTCAAGACCAGCCTGGCCAACATGGTGAAACCCTGTTTCTCCTAAAAATACAAAAATCAGCCGGGTGTGGTGGTGCAGGCCTGTAATGACAGCTGCTTGGGAGGCTGAGGCAGGAGAATCTCTTGAACTCGGGAGGCGGAGGTTGCAGTGAGCCAAGATCACGCCACTGCACTCCAGCCTGAGTGACAGAGTGCGACTCCATCTCAAACAAATAAATATGTACAATTTTTATGTGTCAAAAAAGTTAAATTGTCACAAGATAAAAAAAAAAATTTTAAATCTCATGTCAGGAAAGTAATGTGCCAAAGGTACATCTCACAGATAAACATGAAAACCTGCACTCCAGCCTGGGCGACAGAGTGAGGCTGTGTCTCAGAAAAAAAAAAAAAAGTAAAAAAAAAAGTATGTTTTTATAAAGCTTGCTTAGATTTTTCTGAATCATAAAAATTCTCACAATTGCATTTGATGTCAAAATTTAAACAAATTACGTGGACATATTACATGATGGTTAAAAAAATAAATTTAAACAAAATATAGAACCAGGTTTCTTTTTGTTTTTTAATTTTTTTCTTTTTGAGACGGAGTCTCGCTCTGCCACCCAGACTGGAGTGCAGTGGCTCACTGCAACCTCTGCCTCCCGGGTTCAAGTGATTCTCCTGTCTCAGCTTCCCGAGTACCTGGGATTACAGGCGTGTGCCACCACGCCCAGCTAATTTTTGTATTTTTAGTAGAGACGGGGTTTTGCCATGTTGGTCAGGTTGGTCTCAAACTCCTGACCTTGTGATCCGCCCGCCTCAGCCTCCCAAAGTGCTGCGATTACAGGCATGAGCCACCGCACCCAGCCATTTCTTTTTGTTTTTATTATTTAGAGATATAATTGATATACTATAGAATTAATCATTTTAGAGAGTACAATTGAATGGTAGATTGAGCGGAAACCTTAATATATTCACAAGGTTGTGCAACCATCACCACTATCTAACTCCAGAACATTTTAATCACCCACCAAAGAAACTCTGTTTCCTTTAACAGTGCGCTGCCATGCTCAGCTATTTTTTGGGAGAGAAGGGGTCTCCCCATGTTGTCCACGCTGGTCTCAAACTCGGTTGCTTAAGCAGTCCTCCCACTTGAGCCGCTGTGCCCAGGCCTGAGTTACTATATTTATAAAAGTTATTTCATATGATAGACAAATCATTCAAAACATAATGAGGTAAACTGCCAAAAGAAACCATTTTACCATATTTGAAGGCATTTAATGTAAATGTTGAATTTAATTTCATGTACTGGAATCAGTCTTTTTGCATATGTAATTTTCATACCAAAAATCTGTCTTCAGTTGACTCCTGGAACTCTCTCATGATAAAATAAAAGTTTCAAATAATGTCGGGGTGGTGGCTAACACCTGTAATCCCAGCACTGTGGGAGTCCGAGGCAGGTGGATCACATGAGGTCAGGAGTTTGAGACCAGCCTAGCCAACATGGCAACACTAAAGATATGAAAGTCAGCCAGGCATGGTGGTGCATGCCTGTAATCTCAGCTACTAGGGAGGCTGAGGCACAAAAATCACTTGAAACTGGGAGGTGGAGGTTGCAATGAGCTGAGATCGTGCCACTGCACACCAGCCTGTGAGACAGAGCAAGACTCTGTCTCAAAAAAAAAAAAAAAAAAAAAAAAAAAAGGGCCAAGTATGGTGGCTCATGCCTGTAATCCTAGCACTTTGGGAGGCTGAGTGGGAGAGGATCATTTGAGCCCAAGTAACATGGTCAGGCCCCATCTCTACAAAAATAAATTAGCTGGGCATGGTGGTATGGGCTTGTGGTACCAGCTACTCAGGAGGCTGAGACAGGAGGAGTACTTGAGCCAAGGAGGTCAAAGGCTGCAGTAAGCCATGTTTTTGCCACCGTGCTCCAGCCTGGGCAACAGAGCAATATGCTGTTTCAAAAACAAACTAAAAAAATGGTAGTACCTACATGTGAAGATTGCATATAATAAAGATTGTAAAGCAGAGAGAAAAACTGGACAGTTCACCAAAAAGAAAATCCAAATGTCCACTAGAGATCTGAGAAGATGCCCAACCTCTAGAGCCAAGGAATTGCAAATTAATAACTAAGATAACATTTCAGGGCCTGGCACGGTGGCTCATGCCAGTAATCCCAGCACTTTGGGAGGCTGAGGCAGGCGGATCACTTGAGGTCAGGATTTGAGATCACCCTGGCCAACATGGTGAAATCCTGTCTCTACTAAAAATACAAAAATTAGCTGAGCATGGTTGCGGCGCCTATAATCCTAGCTACTTTGAAGACTGAGGCAGGAGAATCGCTTGAACCTAGGAAGCGGAGGTTGCAGTGAGCTGAGATCGTGCCAGTGCACTCCAGTCTGAGTGACAGGGTGAGACTTCATCTCAAAAAAAAAACAAAAAAACAAAAAATTTCAGGAATATACCTGCCTTTGGTAAAAACAAAAAGAAATTGTGAACCAGGCGTGGTGACTCATGCCTGTAATCCTAGCACTTTGGGAGGCTGAGGCAGGAGGATCCTTTGAGCCCAGGGGTACAAGACCAGCCTGGGCAACATAGGGAGACCTTGTCTCAAAAAAAAAA
Organism: Homo sapiens; assembly: GCF_000001405.40. Classification (NCBI taxonomy): domain Eukaryota; kingdom Metazoa; phylum Chordata; class Mammalia; order Primates; family Hominidae; genus Homo; species Homo sapiens. The sequence goes on along the minus strand of NC_000005.10, from coordinate 70,920,889 downwards.
AAATAAATAAATAAAATAAAAAATAAAAAAATCGTGAATAGTGTTGCGATGAATAAAAAAGAAAAAAAATTAAAAAGAAAGAAAACCCAGAAAAACTAACATACCATTTTCCTCTCAGTTTGGCAAAACTATTAGGAATTAATAACATTTGATGTTAGCAAAGTATGGGGAAATGAACTTTTATCCTCTTATTGAAAATATCTGTTTGTAGCCAGGCATGATGACTTATGCCTGTAATCCCAGCAATTTGGGAGGCCAAGGTGGGAAGATCCCTTGAGGCCAGAAGTTTGAGACCAGCCTGAGTAATAAAGTAAGACCCCATGTCATTAAAAAAAAAAAAAAAAAAAAAAAAAAGAAGGAAAGACTGCCGGGCGCAGTGGCTCACGCCTGTAATCCCAGCACTTTCAGAGGCTGAGGTGAGCAGAACACTTGATGTCAGGAGTTCAAGACCAGCCTGGCCAACATGGTGAAACCCCACCCCATCTCTACTAAAAATACAAAAATTAGCTGGGCGTGGTGGCGGGCGCCTGTAATCCCAGCTATTCAGGAGGCTGAGGCTGGAGAATCACTTGACCCTGGAGGCGGAGGTTGCAGTGAGCCGAGATCACACCACTACACTCCAGCTTGGACAACAGAGTGAGACTCCGTCTCAAAAACAACAACAACAAAACCCAAAACATCTGTTTAAAGTTTAAGACATGTATACCTGTGAAAGTTGATTACATAAATTGGGTCATTCTTGAAATACTCAACTAAATCAGAGTTGAAGGGCCAGGGGGAAGAAGCATTCGGGGCACACAGCATCTGCTTCAAGAATTAAATTTTCCACAAGTCCAACTGCTGAACCAGCCTTCTGTATCCCTAAGACCAGTTTTACCTAATAGCTGCTAAAATGAACTGCCATGACTCTAAGACTGGTTTTACCTACCACCATCGCTCACCAATCAGAGCTTGCTAGCTCCCACAAGCTCTAGTGTGAATGAGCTTTCTTCCAAAACAGTATGTAATACTGTTCTTTCTCATAAAACCCGGAACCTTCTCTTTTTTTTTTTTTGAGATGGAATTTTGCTCTTGTTGCCCAGGCTGGAGTGCAATGGCGCGATCTCGGCTCACTGCAACCTTCACCTCCCGGGTTCAAGCATTTCTCCTGTGTCAGCCTCCTGAGTAGCTGGGATTCAGGCATGCGCCACTATGCCCAACTAATTTTGTATTTTTAGTAGAGACGGAGTTTCTCCATGTTGGTCAGGCTGGTCTCAAACTCCTGACCTCAGGTGATCTGCCCGCCTCGGCCTCCCAAAGTGCTGGGATTACAGGCATGAGCTATCACACCTGGCCGCAACCTTCCCTTTATTCTCCTGATCATACCAATGATCAGCCTGGTCTGTGTGTATGCCATGAATTGCAGCTCTTGCTTACCAAATAAAATGTTTTTAGAGATTTGTCTCTATATTATATTTGGCTTTGACATAACTATTCCCAAGGAATTCTATCTTTAAAAATCCATTCTTATAGAAATGAAAGCACCAATAAATGGGAATAAGTACGATAATCCACATCGCAGAATTGTTTGTAGTGGCAAAAGTTGCAACATCCTAATTGTCTATGAGTAAGGAAATGATTGAATAAATTACTGTACATCTATACTAAAGTTAAATTTGTAAGTACTGAAGTACAGGCACGGCTATTTTTTTTTTCTTTTTGTGGAAACAGGGTCTCACTCTGTCACCCAGGCTGGAGTGCAGTGGCACCATCTTGGGTCACTGCAACCTCTGCCTCCTGAGTTCAAGTGATCCTCACACCTCAGCCTCCCAAGTAGCTGGGACTACAGGCACGTGCCACCACACCTGGCTAATTTTGGTTTTTGGCTTCTTTCTTAATTGGTATGTTTACTTAAAAATATAGACTAATGGGCTGGGCATGGTGACTTACACCTATAATCCCAGCACTTTGGGAGGCCAAGGCGGGTGGATCATGAGGTCAGGAGATCGAGACCATCCTGGCTAAAACAGTGAAACCCCATCTCTACTAAAAGTACAAAAAATTAGCCGGGTGTGGTGGTGGGCACCTGTAGTCCCAGCTACTCGGGAGGCTGAGGCAGGAGAATGGCGTGAACCTGGGAAGCAGAGCTTGCAGTGAGCCGAGATTGTGCCACTGCACTCCAGCCTGGGCGACAGAGCAAGACTCCATCTCAAAAATAAATAAATAAATAAATAAAATAATAAAATAAAATATAGACTAATGATCCTGTGCTTCAATGTCATTGTGGTTATGTGCTGATGTCCATAAAACATAAGTTATAAGGGACTCTTCACAAATACACTCCAGACAGAAGGGTAAACAGAAATGACTGACAAGACAGTGCCATTTCAGACATACTTCCCTTAATTATTAATACTTGCTAGAAAATGGAGTTTGACATTATTTACAATTATACCAATATTCACAGAGGCCAACTGTCACAGGCATTAAGGGCACACCAGGGCCAGGAGACCTCATTTCAGACTTCCCAAATATTTTTATATTTTAGCTATTAAGATCAGTTACCAGAGCTCAACTTGTTCTTAACAAGCAGAATTTTTATGTCCATTCAAAGAGTCTCTTATACCTTTCTGGGCCTATTTACTTGCAGAGAACAGTAGAAACTGTAACCAGGCTCTTCATATCATGCATTCACATGTGATGTCCAATCTTCATATGCTGTCCAATTTCTTTAAGATAAATGGAGTGACTCGCAGCAGGGCCACGTAGATGAGAAAGTTCTGTATGGAGATCATATCCTCGTGCATCTTCCGTTTCATCTCCGTGAGGTCCAGCTTCCGGGCAAGGCCCCCAATCCGGAAGATCAGCTGCCTCGCTCTGCTCTCCCTAATGGCCCCCTTACACCCGGAACTCGGCCTATCCCCTCGCCCCAGCTAATTTTTGTATTTTTAGTAGAAATGGGGTTTCGCCATGTTGCCCAGGCTGGTCTTGAACTCCTGGGCACAAGGGATCTACCCGCCTTGGTCTCCCAAAGTGCTCAGATTACAGGCATGAGCCACCACGCCTGGCCCAACATGGCTATTATTTTTTAAAGTGCTAAATTATGGCCGGGGGCTGTGACTCACGCCTGTAATCCCAGCACTTTGGGAGGCCGAGGCGGGTGAATCACGAGGTCAGGAGATGGAGACCAGCCTGGCCAACATGGTGAAACCCCATCTCTACTAAGAATACAAAAAATTAGCTGGGCGTGGTGGCAGGCGCCTGTAATCCCATCTACTCAGGAAGCTGAGGCTGGAGAATCGCTTGAACCCGGGAGGCGGAGGTTGCAGTGAGCAGAGATCACGCCACTGCAGTCCAGCCTGGGCAACAGTGCGAGACTCTGTCTCAAAAAAAAAATAAATAAATTACCTGGGTGTGGCAGCGCGTGCCTGTAATCCCAGCTACCCAGGAGGCTGAGGCAAGAGAACTGCTTGAACCCAGGAGGCAGAGGTTGCATGGAGCTGAGATGGCACCACTGCACTCCAGTCTGGTGACAGAGTGAGACTCCATCTCAAAAAAAAAAAAAAAAAGTGCTAAGTTACATCTAAGTTTCCTATTTTTGTTTAAAAAACTCCTTGTAGTGGGTTGAATGGTGGACCCCAAAATGATACATCTGTCCATCTGATATGCGTGAATGTGACCTATTTGGGAAAACAGTTTTTGTAGATGAAATTAAGGATTTCCAAATGAGATCATCCTAGGTTAGAATGGAACCTAAATCCAACAGCAAAAGTCCTCATAAAAAGAAGGGAAGAAGACAGAAAAGAAGACCACAAAGACAAAGGCAGAGATAGGAGTTATGCTGCCATAAGCCAAGTAATACCTGGAGCCACCAGCAGCTGGAAGAGGAAAGCAAGGATTCTCCCTTGGAGCCTTCAGAGGGAGGTGTGGCCCAGCTGACATCTTGCTCTCAGATTTCTGGCCTCCAGAACTGTGAACAGAAATATTTCTGTTGTTTTAAGCCACTAAGTTTGTGGTAATTTGTTACAGCAGCTCTCAGAATCAAATACATTCCCACACCCCTTATTTATGTGTATGTGTGTGTATGCATGTTTGCATGAGCACTGAGAGAAGCATACCATTATTAACATTGGTTAGTTCAGGGGAATGAGACTGGCTTACTGAAGGCTGAGAGAGTATACGTGTGTGTATATAAATTGAGTGTATTTAAATTAAGTATATGGAAGTAAATTAAGACTACAATGAGATACCACTACCTCCCACCAATATGGTTAAAGATAAAAGGACTGATAATACCTAATGCTGGTATGGAGCAATGGAACCTTCCTTTATTGCTGGTGGTAAAATGGTATGGTCATTAAAAACAAACTAAAACAAAAACAACAAAAATGCAATTGTTTGATGGTACCTACTAAAAAATGTGTGTATGTGTGTGTATAGACACACACCCTATGACCCAGCAATTCCATTCCTGGCATATACTCAGTAGATAGCGTGTTTAAGACCATCATAAGATATACAAAAATGTTACGGTAGCATTATTCATAACAGCCCCAAAGTGGGAGCAATTCAAAGGTCCATGAAATGTAGAGTAACTAAATTATGGTATATTCATATAACAGAATGCTACACAACAGTGAAAAAGGCTGAACTGCTGCATAGCAGCAAAATAGAGAATTCTTTTAGACGTAACGTTGAGCAAATCAAGCTAGGCTCACTACAGCACATACCGTGTGATCCCATTTACAAAAAATTCAAAAACAGGCAAAACTAATCTATGGTGATAATCAGATGGGAGGCATTATCTAAGAGGGTGCTGGAAATGTCCTTTATTGTGATCTGAACATAGTATTCATATACGAGTCATTGAAATATACATTTCAAATGCTGGCTGTTTATTATCATTTCACTGGGATAAATGCCCAAGGAGTTAGTTTTCAAAGAGATGCTATTTAGAATTTATGGAAATTTAGAACTTACTGTATTTTCCCAGATTTTCTATAATGAGCAAGCATTGCAGTTTGAGGGTTTGAAAGATTGGTAGAGACAAAAACTGCATAAGCTGCATGATTATTTCTCACACTTCAGATGCTTACCACCTTTATGATTTGCCATATCATGTATTTTAAAAAATACATTTTTTTCTTTTTTTAGATGGAGTCTCATTCTGTCACCCAGGCTGCAGTGCAGTGGTGTGATCTCAGCTCACTGCAACCTCCTGGGTTCAAGTGACTCTCCGGCCTCTGCCTCCCGAGTAGCTGAGATTACAGGCACCCATCACAATACCTGGCAAATTTTTGTATTTAAAAATACAGCCAGGCTCGGTGGCTCACGCCTGTAATCCCAGCACTTTGGGAGGCCAAGGCTGGCGGATCACCTGAGGTCAGGAGTTCGAGACCAGCCTGACCAACATGGTGAAACCCCGTCTCTACTTAAAATACAGAATTAGCTGGGCGTGGTGGCTCATGTCTGTAATCCCAGCACTTTGGGAGGCCAAGGTGGGTAGATTGCCTGAGGTCAGTTCGAGACCAGCCTGACCAATATGGTGAAACCTCATCTCTACTAAAAATACAAAAATTAGCTGGGCATGGTGGTATGCTCCTGTAGTCCCAGCTACTCAGGAGGCTGAGGTGGGAGAATTGTTTGAATTCGGGAGGTGGATGTTGCAGTGAGCTGAGATCGCGCCACTGCACTCCAGCCGGGCGACAGAGCGACACTCCGTCTCAAAAAAACAAAAACATACAATTTTAAAAATTTAGTCTTAGCTTTTCAATAAGAGGGATTAAAATATATTATTTTAGTCTGCTCAGCATCCATTCTCCCTTCCTTTTGGCAAAGAACCCTAAATTTTTTGGGGGATGATATAGTTTGGCTGTGTCCCCAACCCAAATCTCATCCTGAATTGTAGCTCCTATAATTCCCATGTGTCATGGGAGGGACCTGGTGGGAGGTAATTGAATCATGGGGGTGGTTACCTTCATGCTGTTCTCATGATAGTGAGTGAGTTCTCAGGAGATCTGATGGTTTCATAAGGGGCTTTTCCCCTTTTGCTTTGCACTTCTCCTTCCTGCCATCATGTGAAGAAGGATGTATTTGCTTCCCCTTCTGCCATGATTGTAAGCTTCCTGAGGCCTCCCCAGCCATACACAACTGTGAGTCAATTAAACCTCTTTCCTTTATAAATTATCCAGTCTCGAGTATGTCTTTATTATCAGCATGAGAACGGACTAATACAGGGGACCACCTACTCCTTACTAGAGTTGGTTTTACCATCAACTTGCCCTCCTCTTGCTGAGGGATGGGTACCTAACCCATGTAACTTCAGTTGGAGGCACTCCAAGTGACATAAAAACTAAATATACATGTCAGAAGTTCAACCTGATATCAGCACTGTAAGAAAAAAAAACAAAAACAAACACCTCATAACACCTACTCTTAAGATACCTGAAACTGTTACAATTCTTGACCTTTCCAAAGCCTTGAGTCCTCAACTTTTCCATGACTCTGGAGTCTCTCATTCTTTCAAATAAGATTTTTATCAGTAAGTTCATTAATCTGATCCTGTTGCTTGCAACCAAAAATTCCAATATATCATGAAATCAGGTTAGATGTGGTTATATTACTTCAAGTATATACTAACCCATTTCCCGTTTGCCCCAAGAATACTCTTGCCTCTAATCCTAATGTAACATTATATACATTTCCATTATATTAGGATTAGAGACAAGTTCTGTTTAGAAATAACTCTAAGAACAGTTTGTGTATTTTCACATTGAAAATTAATTTGCGTCAACCTCAGAGTGTGTTTATGTAAAATTAAATGAGCGCTGGCAGCCAGCTGCACTTTTTTTTTCTTTTTTTCTTTTTTTTTTTTTGAGACGGAGTCTCACTCTGTCGCCCAGGCTGGAGTGCATGGAGTGCAGTGGCATGATCTCGGCTCACTGCAAGCTCCGCCTCTCGGGTCTATGCCTTTCTCCTGCCTCAGCCTCCCGAGTAGCTGGGACTACAGGCGCCTGCCACCATGCCCGGCTAATGTTTTGTATTTTTAGTAGAGACGGGGTTTCACCATGTTAGCCAGGACGGTCTCGATCTCCTGACCTCGTGATCCACCCACCTCGGCCTCCCAAAGTGCTAGGATTACAGGCGTGAGCCACGGCGCCTGGCCACTTTTATTTTCTAAACAGGAAATGGGTTAAATACGTAACTCTGTATGAAATATCCATTCATAAGCTACCCTAACAGCCCCCTTGAGTGGTATAAGGCTACAGTCTTTGACCAAAAAAAAAGTATTTGACAAAAACTTATGTCATGTGATATATGTTCATAAAAGGCAAGTATTTAATAGGATTATGTCAATTATAGCCAGGCTGGTAGGTAAATTTCTTTTAAATACCAAGGCTCAGCCAGACTGCTGCAAGGAAGTGTTCCAGAACTTATGTACCAGCAAGCAGTCTTGTCCAAGTGGTAAAACAGCAAGAGTAGTATGTGGAATGGAAATTCGGTTTGTATGTTTTTTTTTTTTTTTTTTTTTTGAGACAGAGTCTTGTTCTGTTGCTCAGGCTAGAGTGCAGTGGTGCAGTCTCGGCTCACTGCAACCTTTGCCTCCCAGAGTCAAGAAATTCTCTTGCCTCAGCCTCCCAAGTAGTTGGGATTACAGGCGCCCACCACCACGCTTGGCTAATTTTTGTATTTTTAGTAGAGACGGGGTTTCACCATGTTGGCCAGGCTGGTCTTGAACTCCTGACCTCAGGTGATCTGCCCACCTCAGCCTCAGCCTCCCAAAGTGCTGGATTACAGGCATGAGCCACCATGCCCGGCCTTGTTTTTTATTTATTTATTTCTTTGAGATGAAGTCTTGCTCTGTCACCCAGACTGGAGTGCAGTGGTGCAATCTCGGCTCACTGAAATCTCCACCTCCTGGGTTCAAGCGATTCTCCTGCCTCAGCCTCCCAAGTAGCTGGTATTACAGGCACACACCACCATACCTGGCTAATTTTTGTATTTTTAGTAGAGACGGGTTTCACCATATTGGCCAGGCTGGTCTTGAACTCCCGACCTCGTGATCCGCCCGCCTTGGCCTCCCAAAGTGCTAGGATTACAGGCACCTTTTTAAAATTATTATATTGAGACAGGGTGTCACTTTGTCACCCTGGCTGGAGTGCAGTGGCATGACCTTGGCTCACTGCATCCTCAACTTCCCAGACTCAAACCATCCTTCCACCTCAGTCCCCCAAGTAGCTGGGACTACAGGTGTGCACCACCACATCTGGCTAATTTTTGTGCTTTTTGAGGAGATGGGGTTTTGTCATGTTGCCCAGGCTGGTCTCAAACTCCTGGCCTCAAGCGATCCTCCCACCTCAGCCTCCCAAAGTGCTGAGATTACAAATGTGAGCTACTGCACCTGGCCGTGTATTTCTACAAAAGTTATGTTATAATCAAATTTGAAAATCTCAACTTTTCCAAGCAAATGATCCAATAGCAGGCTATTTATAAACTTTTAATGTGCATTAGTTACTGCTATGTAAAAGTTTTTTTGTTTTTAAGAAGTGAAGGTGTGAAAAAAACAAACCTGTAGTAAGTTTCATGTCTTTTGGAAATTTATAGGGAAGTACATTTGAGCATACACATTGTCATTCTCCTTTTCTCAGTGACAGTTTTATGACTTGGCCATCTCTAAAGATAATATATTCCAATATGTAATTGCTATATAGCAAATACATTAGCTGATGAAGTTGTAGGAGGCAATGTAATAAATGTTCTTACTCAGCTTTGGTCTAACAGATAACTATGACTGACAATTTCGTAAAAATAACAGACCAAGTGTTTTTGAGAGAGAGAGAGAGAGAGAGAGAGTGTGTGTGTGTGTGTGTGTGTGTGTGTGTGTGTGTGTGTGTGTGTATGTTTTGAGACAGGGTCCCACTCTTATCACCCAGGGTGGAGGGCAGTGGTGCAATCTCGGCTCACTGCAGCCTTGACCTTCTGGGTTCAGGTGATCCTCCCACTTTAGCCTCCCAAGTAGCTGGGACTACAGGCGTGCACCACCACACCCACCTAATTTTTTTTTTTTTGGTAGAGATGAGGTTTTTCTGTGTTGCCCAGGCTGGTCTCAAACTCCTGAGCTCAAATGACCCACCTGCCTCGGCCTCCCAAAATGCTGGGATTACAGGCGTGAGCTATTGTGCCCAGCCTATATAAAAATTTTTTAAGTTTTTGGAAAATGTCAGAAATCAACGTTTCCTTTTAGCCCTATTTTCAAAAACTGGCTAGTTTGATAAATGGATCACAATTTCTTACACATGCTACTAATAGAAGAGGCATTCAAAAATAAATGACTGATGGCCAGCGAGTGGATAACTTGAGATCAGGAGTTCGAGACCAGCCTAGCCAAGATGGTGAAACCCCATCCCTACTAAAACTACAAAAAATTAGCCAGGCACGGAAGTGGAGGTTGCAGTGAGCGGAGATCGCACCATTGCACTCCAGCCTGGATGACAAAGCGAGACTCTGTTTAAAAAAAAAAAAAAAGTAACTGATAAAACTGACCACAGTGTATCTTGGGCAGTAATGGCTGCTGCTTCTCATTTTCAGCAGGACTTAATGAAAATTGCTAATGATAACGCACTACCTCCTAAGAATGATGCAAAATACGATTTTTGATGTTTAAAGGGAGGGTTCCATGGAGTTTGGTATTTTCCAAATTATATTCTAAATCTGGTACTATCTCACCTAATAATTTTATCTTTCTTTAGCAACAAGCCCTAACAATATCCAAACTAAATAAAATCATTACATGAATTTACTTTTTACAATCATTCTCCTAAGGCTGGGCGTGGTGGCTCATGCCTGTAATCCCAGCACTTTGGGAGGCCGAGGTGGGCGGATCACCTGAGGTCAGAAGTTCGAGACCAGCCTGACCAACATGGAGAAACCCCGTCTCTACTAAAAACACAAAATTAGTCGGGCGTGGTGGCTCATGCCTGTAATCCTAGCTACTCGGGAGGCTGAGGTGGGAGAACCCGGGAGGCAGAGGTTGCGGTGAGCCAGTATCACGCCACTGCACTCCAGTCTGGGCAACAAGAGCGAAACTCCGTCTCAAAAAAAAAAAAAAAAAATAATAATAATAATAATTAAAATTATTCTCCAGGGATGGGCATGGTGGCTCATATCTGTAATCCCAGCACTTTGGGAGGCCGAAGCAGGCAGATCATTTGAGATCAGGAGTTTGAGACCAGGTTGGCTAACATGGTGAAACCCTGTCTCTACTAAAAATACAAAAAAACTAGCTGGGTGTGGTAGTGCACGCCTGTAATCCCAGCTACTTGGGAGGCTGAGGCAGGAGAATTGCTTGAACCCGGGATGCAGAGGTTGCAGTCAGCCGAGATTGTGCCACTGTACTCCAGCCTCAGCAACAGAGCAAGCAAGACACAGTCTCAAAAAAAAAAAAAAAAAAAAAAAAAAAAAGCTATTCACCTGTATTTTCCCTTAGTATCCTATAATTGACCTGTTTCCCTCTTTATAAGTTCAGCTACTTTTAGTTACCTTAACTATACCACATGGTGGTGTCATGATTGGTGTCAATGTATTGCATATATATATATATTACAATATACCACATGATAGGTGTCAATATACTCCAACAATTAGACTTAATTTTCTTCCTCTCCGATAATTTTTCCGCCTGCTTTGAGGAAACATCTGGTCATATTGCAGTTAAAAATCAAACCTCTTAACAATAAATTTATTTAATTAAATGCCATAAAAATTAATCAAGAATGGCCAGGCATGGTGGCTCACGCCTGTAATCCCAGCACTTTGGGCAGAGGTGGAAGGTGGCTCACTTGAGCTCAGGAGTTGGAGACCAGCCTGGGCAACATGGCAAAACCCCTATCTCTACCAAAAATATAAAAATCAGCCTGACGTGGTGGCATGCGCCTGTAGTCCCAACTGCTTGGGAGACGAGACTGAGGCAGGAGGATCACTTGAGCCCAGGAGGTTGAGGCTGCAGTGAGCCACGTTCGTGCCACTGCACTCAGCCGGGGTGACAAGGCGAGATCCTGCCTCAAAAAAAAAAAAAAAAAAGTACTAATGATTGATTACAAACTAGAGATCTTCCTTATTCTAATATCCATTTTATTTTGGAAACGTAGCTTTCCCTCGATTTATAAGAATTAAAAGGTCTAAAGTTCTTCCATTCCACAGGATAAACTAAAGAAATTATTCATTTAAAAAAAAAGGCAAAGAAAAGAGCTTAAAGCATGAAAAGTTTTTTTGTACTTATGGCTTATTAGTCTGTGTAGAAATTCTGGAGACAGAATTACAGAAACCAGGCCCACAAAGAATCTTTGTGGTACAATCAGATTTCTTTATTATTTCTTTTATTAGAATGTAACTTAAGCTACTTAATTTTTGCCTTTGTGACTACCATCATAGAATATTCTGAAGACTAAAGTTAACCAAAGATCCAGAACAATGTTTTAATTTAATGAAAAATCTAGGCTAATATGAAGATAGAAACTCAGGCTAAAAAACTTCAGCCGGGTGGGATGGCTCACGCCTGTAATCCCAGCTCTATGGGAGGCCAAGAAGGGTGGATCACCTGAGGTTAGTAGTTTGAGACCAGCCTGGCCAAAATGGTGAAACCCCATCTCTTCTAAAAACACAAAAATTAGCCGGGCGTGGTGGCGGGCGCCTGTAGTCCCAGCTCCTCAGGAGGCTGAGGCAGGAGAATCGCTTGAACTCAGGTGGCGGAGGTTGCAGTGAACCGAGATGGCACTGCTGCGCTCTAGCCTGGGCGAGAGAGCAAGACTCTGTCTCAAAAAAAAAAAAAACACCCCACAAAAACCCAAAAAACTTCCTGGTTGTCGAATTCAGTATTAGACACAAAAAATTCTAGCCTATTTATGGGTGGTACCACTGGTAAGAGACAAATCACAAGATATTGTGTTAGGCTAACTTCAAGATCTGTCCATTCAGATAGTGGTTGACATATTGGGTGATCAGAAAAATTTGTTAAATTGCATTATGTGAAAAATCAAGTATTTGTAGAATACTTTAAGTTATTCTATTTACTACTACAATGGCATTTTTATTCTCTCTGACATAGTTTTGTGTTTACTTCAGAGTGCAGCAAGGTCTCAAACCTTAATTTCTCTAGGTTACATATTTCCAAATTTATAACTACCATCAAGACTCAAGTTTTAGAAGAGGCTGAGAACAGAAAATATGGTACTCATTCCAAAAAATGTTAAAGCTATAAGTAGAACTGAGACCTCAGTTTACATCCACTTAGTTTCTATTCCAGTGGTTTGAAGTATCTGTTGTAAATTGTTCAAGCAAGCTTTGTAAGTTGATTTTTTTTTTTTTTTGAGGCAGAGTCTTGCTTTGTTGCCCAGGCTGGAGTGCAGTGGTGCAATATCTGCTGACTGCAACCTCTGCCTTGGGTTCAAGCGATTTTCCTGCCTCAGCCTCCCGAGTAGCTGAGATTACAGGCATGTGCCACCACACACCTGGCTATTTTTTTTTTTTTTTTTTTTTTGTATTTTTAGTAAAGATGAGGTTTCATCATGTTGGTCAGGCTGGTCTCAAACTCCTGACCTCAAGTGATCCGCCCGCCTCGGCCTCCCAAAGTGCTGGGATTGTGGGCATAAGCCACCGCACCTGGCCCTTTAACTTGATTTCAAAGCAAAATTATACAAATGGACCCTAACTTCTATTATATATTTAAGTTTACTTCAAAGATCTATTTTATCCTTATCCTTAGAAACTGTGAGGAAAAAAAAACTATGTTAACAAAGCTGATGACAAAGATTCTTTATTATATAAGAGATCCTATTATCTGATCATATTACCTAATAAATTATATATGAATGTTCAATAATAAAAATAATGTTCACCAATATGTCACATGCATGGTTAGTGTTTTATTCTTTGAAGACTGCTTCTAAAACATCGCACTAAGTAAAGCTGAAAGGATAAAGTTTAAAATAGTTTTTAAAGGATAAGTTATAACATATGTAATGACTGTCCACTCTACAAAATCTTGATCTTAGAGCTTATGATACACCCAGTTGGCAGTAGCACCCAGGTTTTCCAAATAGCCAGTCATCACTTTTCTCTTGTCTGCATAGACTTCTTCTCATTAGCTGCCTTCTGCTTTTCTTGCATGATCTCAGAGTCCCTACAATGAGGGAAAAGTCTATAAGTTGTTACAGAAAAACCAATTATATATTCTCACTTGGTTTCTACACATAACCCATTCAGTGTATTAGAAGACAATTTAAAAGAGGATATAAACTTTTTTGTCTTTCCATTTTCATGGCTGGAGATAAAATGGAAAGACAGACTGGAAAGGCTTTGAAGTCAGATCTTATTCTGAATACCATCTCTGTTATCATGACCTTGGGCAAATAACCTCAAAGCCCTTTCAAAATCCGGGCAATATGTATCAAGGTTGTTACAAGGAATCACTATGAATATATAAAAGTGTGTGACATTAGGCAGCTACATGTAGAAATAATAGCTATTACTCTTGGTTGTTAACTAGTTAATTCATTCTAATTTTTTTCCTTGAAAGAAGAGGCATTTAAGAACTCTCCTAGGTATCCTAACTGGTATCTACGACTAGAACATAGATATTATGAAGGATTTCAGTTTCTTACAAGCAAAAAAGCCCAAAAGCTAGTCACTAAAACTGGATTACAATAAAGAAAAGCTGGATGTTCAGGGTACTTTTTTTTTTTTTTGAGACGGAGTCTCGCTTTGTCCCCCAGGCTGGAGTGCGGTGGAACGATCTTGGCTCACTGCAACCTCCACTTCCTGCTTGCAGTTCTTCTGCCTCAGCCTCCTGAGTAGCTGGGACTACAGGCATGCGCCACCACACCCGACTAATTTTTGCATTTTAAGTAGAGACGAGGTTTCACCATATTGGCCAGGCTGGTCTCGAACTCCTGACCTTGTGATCCGCCTGCCTCAGTCTCCCAAAGTGCTGGGATTACAGGTGTGAGCCACTGCGCCCAGCCCTTAACCCTTCTCATCTCCAGTCAAACTGACACATGCCATATAAACTGTGAACTATGACCAGACTACCTGGGTTAGGTGATTCATGAGTCCATGGACCCATATTTTAAAAACAGACTAAACGGCCATGCATTCAACATCTACTGTGTGTCAAGCACTCTACCAGCTCTGGTTAAAGTCCCACAACTCTGACTTATTAACCTCATGTTTCAAACTTTTTAATTTTTTATTTATTTTTTTGAGACAGAGTCTTGCTCTGTTGCCCAGGCTGCAGTGCAGTGGCACAATCTTTGCTCACTGCAACCTCCACCTCCCTGGTTCAAGCGAGTCTCCTGCCTCAGTTTCCCAAGTAGCTGGGATTACAGGCATGTGCAACCAAGCCCACCTAATTTTTGTATTTTTAGTAGAGACAGGGTTTCACCATGTTGGCCAGGCTTGTCTCGAACTCCTGGCCTCAAGTTGATCCGCTCGCCTCGGCCTCCCAAAGTGCTGGATTTACAAGTGTAAGCCACTGAGCCTGGCCTGTTTTAACTTTTTGAGGAAATGCTAAACTGATTTCCACAGCCATGATGGTAAGATATTTCTGTAAAGCCAATAGCAAAAACAAGGGAATAGAAGAAAGGCAAAATAGGCCAGTGGCTCACATCTGTAACCCCAGCACTTTGGGAGGCTGAGATAGGCGGACCACCTGAGGTCGAGAGTTTGAGACCAGACTGAGCAACATGGAGAAACCCTATCTCTACTAAAAATACAAAATTAGCCAGGCATGGTGGTGCATGCCTGTAATCCCAGCTACTTGGGAGGCTGAGGCAGGAGAATCACTTGCACCCGAGAGGTGGAGGTTGCGGTGAGCTGAGATTGCGCCATTGTACTCCGCCTGGGCAACAAGAGCGAAACTCCGTCTCAAAAACATAAAATAAAATAAAATAAAAATAAAGAAGAAAGGCAAAATAACACAGCTACAGGCTGTTCTGCCTATAAAGTAGCCAATATTTATTTCTTTACTTTCCTAATAAACTTGCTTTCACTAAAACAAAAACAAAAACATAGCTATAAAGAAATGAAGTACAGTGGAAAAAGAACCATGACAGTTACTTCTCTATTTGAAACCAAGCTCTGTTGTGCTTGCTGTGTAACTTTAGTAATGTTACTGAAGTTCAGAGCCTCAGTTTCCTATTCTACAGATTAGTGCTAATACCATTTTTCAGAGTTATGATGAATAAAGAATAATGTATATAGAATGTCTAGCATAGAATTTTATAAGGAGTGCATATCTGGTAAACAATGACAATTTCTGAACCAAGCTAGACTAGGTTCTCCAATAAAAATACTATTGCAGGGTCACTGATTCATACCATGTTCATTTTTACTCTAATGTGAGTCAACAGAAATTGAAGACAAAGCTTATCACTTTAATAATAAATGTTAGGGCCGGGCATAGTGGCTCACACCTGTAATTCCAGCACTTTGGGGGACTGAGGTGGGCAAATCACTTGACCCCAGAAGTTCAAGACCTGCCTGGACAACATGATGAAACCCCGTTTCTACAAAAAATATAAAAACTATCTGGGCTTGGTGGTGTGCCCTTGTAGTCCCAGCTACTCAGAAGGCTGAGGTGGGAGGGTCACTTGAGCCTGGGAGGCAGAGCTTGCAGTGAACCGAGACTGTGGCACTGCACTCCAGTCTGGGTCACAGAGTAAGACGCCATATCTGGGAAAAAAAAAAAAAAAGGTGTCAGGACCTTTGCCGTAAATTAAGGTCTTTAATCTCATTTATCAATGACTCTTAATAGTGGCTGCACATTAGAATCACCTGGGAGCTGTTTTAAGTTCAGTTTAAGGTATAACTGGGTGTGCTGGGAGGCTGGGGGAGGGATAGCATCAGGAGAAATACCTAATGTAAATGATGAGTTGATGGGTGCAGCAAACCAACATGGCACATGTATATCTATGTAACAAACCTGCACGTTGTGCATATATACCCTAGAACTTAAAGCGTAATAATAAAAAAAAAATTCAAAAAAAAAAAAAAAAGGTATAACTGGGCCAGCGTGGTGGCTCACGCCTGTAATCCCAGCACTTTGGGAGGCCGAGGCGGGTGGATCACTTGAGGTCAGTAGTTTGAGACCAGCCTGGCCAACACGGTGAAACCCAGTCTCTACTAAAAATACAAAAATTAGCTGGGCATGGTGGCGGGCGCCTGCAATTCCAGCTACTTGGATTGCTGACGCAGGAGAATCGCTTAAGCCCAGGAGGTGGAGGTTGCAGTGAGCCGAGATCACGCCACTGCACTCCAGCATGGGCAACAGAGTAAGACTCTGCCTTTAAAAAAAAAAAAAGGCATAACCTAAGTACAGTAAAATTTACCTAGGGTGCTTTTTAATGCTCGACCTCTGACCAATTAAATCAGAACTGGATGAAAGTTAAATGTTTGAGCATAGAGATATCCCAATTACCCCGATTTGATCATTACACATTGTACACATAAAGGTTTTTTTTTTTTGACGGAGCCTCGCTCTGTCGCCCAGGCTGGAGTGCGGTGGCGCGATCTCAGCTCACTGCAAGCTCCGCCTCCCGGGTTCACGCCAGTCTCCTGCCTCAGCCTCCCGAGTAGCTGGGACTACAGGCGCCCGCCACTGCGCCCGACTAATTTTTTGTATTTTTAGTACGGACAGGGATTCACCGTGGTCTCGATCTCCTGACCTCGTGATCTTCCTGCCTTGGCCTCCCAAAGTGCTGGGATTACAGGCATGAGCCATCGCGCCCGGCCGGAGTTTCACTCTTGTTGTCCAGGCTGGAGTGCAATGGCGAGATCTCAGCTCACCGCAACCTCCGCCTCCCAGGTTCAAGTGATTCTCCTGTCTCAGCCTGCCGAGTAGCTAGGATTACAGGTGTTCGCCACCACAGTTGGCTTTTTTTTTTTTTGAGACGGAGTCTCGCTCTGTCACCCAGGCTGGAGGGCAGTGGCACGATCTCGGCTCGCTGCAAGCTCCGCCTCCCGGGTTCACGCCATTCTCCTGCCTCAGCCTCCCAAATAGCTGGGACTACAGGCGCCTGCCACCTCGCCCGGCTAAGTTTTGTATTATTAGTAGAGACGGGGTTTCACCGTGTTAACCAGGATGGTCTCGATCTCCTGACCTCGTGATCCGCCCGCCTGGGCCTCCCAAAGTGCTGGGGTTACAGGCGTGAACCACCGCGCCCGGCCACACACTTGGCTAATTTTGTATTTTTAGTAGAGATGGGGTTTCTCCATGTTGGTCAGAATGGTCTTGAGCTCCCAACCTCAGGTAATCCACCCGCTTCGGCCTCCCAAAGTGCTGGGCTAACAGGTATGAGCCACCACGCCAAGCCAGTTTCTTTTTGTTGTTGTTTTTTTGAGACAGGGTCTCACTCTGTCACCCAGGCTGGAATGCAATGGCAGGATCTCGGCTCACTGCAACCTCCGCCTCCCAGGTTCAAGTGATTCTCCTGCCTTAGCCTCCCAAGTGGCTGGGACTACCCAGCCCACATACAGGTATTAAAAGATCACATGTACCCCCAAAATATGTACAACTATTGTAATTCAATTTTTTAAAAAAACAAAAAATCAAAACTGAGCATAACGCAAGGCTTGAGTAGCTGTCAAGGTTTCCCAGGTGATTCTAATGTGCAGCCAGGATTGAGAACCCCTAACAAGCCACACTGAAGCACATGCAGTCAGTTATTCGCTTAACCTCCAAGTTCCATATGGACAAAATCATTTGAGAATAAAATTAAGCTTTGATTAGCTCTTTTAGAAACATGAGTGTACTTTTTTTTACTTAAGCTGCAGTCTAAAGTATTTCTGTAGCAGTTTTACATTGGCACATATAGTCATATATTAAGGCTATGTACATGAATTCTCTCCAATGCAATGGATCTTCAGAAATCAGCACAGCTAGCTATTATGCATATACTTTTTTGTATCTTCTTGAGAACTATTATCATTATATATTAATAATTGAGTCCCTTGTCATTCAGAGTAGTTTGGGTAGGCTGTCTACTTTGAAAATGTTGTAACTCTAGCACCTCACAGTGTTTTGCATATAGAAGATGTTATTTTGCTGAATAAAGTTGTTTTTTTTTGTTTTGTTTTGTTTTTTTGATACAGAGTTTCCCGCTCAGTACCCAGGCTGGATTGCAATGGCACAATCTTCACTCGCTGCAACCTCCCCCTCCCGGTTTCAAGCGATTCTCCTGCCTCAGCCTCCCAAGTAACTGGGATTACAGGCATGTGCCACTGCACCCAGCTAATTTTGTATTTTTAGTAGAGATAGGGTTTCACTATGTTGGTCAGGCTGATCTCGATCTCCTGACCCCAGGTGATCCACCCACCTTGGCCTTCCAAAGTGCTGAGATTACAGGCGTGAGCCACCGCGCCCAGCCTATAAAAAGTTCTTATGGTTGTGGAGGAGCTGCATGAGTCTCTGTGAAACAAATAATAGCTTCAGAGCTTTACGTTTTTATCTATATGTTGGGATGTCTACCCCACGTGGTTTTAGTCCGCCTGGCACAAATCATTAGGCCCTGTTCTACCAAGGGCTTAACAAAATGCTTTCTGTTCCCCAAAATGAGGCCTTCTTTTTTTTTTTTTTTTTTTTTTTTTGAGACAGGGTCTAACTCTGCCATCCAGGCTGGAGTGCAGTGGTGCAATCGCAGCTTACTGCGGCCTTAACCTCCTGGGCTCAAGCGATTCTCCCGCCTCAGCCTCCAGAGTAGCCGAGACCACAGCCATGTGCTACCATGCCTGGCCAATTTAAAAAAATATTTTGTAGATACAGGGGCTGGCTATGTTGTCCAAGTTGGTCTCAAACTCTTGGCTTCAAGCAGTTCTCCCGACTCTCCCAAACTGCCGGGATTACAGGCATGAGGCAACACACCCAGCCCAAAATGTTGCTTCAATCACAACGTCAGTGACTTTAGAATTAAATTAGTACCACGTACCTCTGCTTTCTCTGAGAGGCAGTCAAGCTATCCTCTTTCCTCTTTCCCTTGCTAATTTCCTGGGTTTTCTTCATGTTTTTCTGGCGGGCAAGTTCTCGTTGATTTCCACCTACAAAGTCAAACAGTCATGCTCTTTTCCCATCTCCAAAATTATTAATAATTCCAATAAACAGGCCTTATTTAAATGCATCTTTAGTTTGTGTTTTCATAGATAAACTAGCAGAGTAACAGATTGATGGTGCTCCTAGATCTGACAATAAGGAAGTGGCTTAAACACTTAAAGACTTAAGAGTATTATCATACCAATCTAGGTGGTCACTAGCTATAAATACCAGATATTTTAAAACAGATATTCGAATCTTGGGCCGGTATCCCAAAATAAGTTCTGGCTTTTGAGGGGAGTGGGTGGAAGAGAAAGCTAGATACAGAGATCACAAGTTCAGCCCATCATTTGAGAGTTACCTTTATCCCCATGCAGAGGCGGAGAGGGGTGGATGGAGACTGAACAGATTGAAGGTAAGTCTGCGAAAGGCAGTGTGGGCCTTTACATCCTTATTCTAGCCACAACCCTGCAAGGTAGGCTTCATTGTTTTCATTTTGCAGAACAGACTGACCTAACACCTAGGACTGGTACAAACGAACATCAAATTTAGGACCGGCTCTAAAGCCTCCTGTTTATTCGGCTACTACCTGCGAGCGCCAAACAAAAGAACTAGGGAGGCGACTCACTGGAGTTCCCGGTCCTCATTAGGCCTTAAGACTTGAGGTATCAGCTATAAAGTACCTCCAAACAAGGACCCTCCTGGGGCGGCCGTGTCCACATCTCCGGGGTGTGTTCTTTACCGCACAAACTCGCACCTGAGGGGCAGGCACCCGTCCGGCCTGAAAAGCCGGACCGGAACCACCCGCGAGCTCTCTCTCTGCCGACTGAAGCGGGGATCCCCGCACTGCGCGACCCAGGGGGATTCTCCAGCCGGACTCCGCCTCCCCCGCCCGCCGCGCCTCAGCGCTAGGCTCCCACGCCGGACGCTCGCCGCCGCTTCCCACCCCCACTCACGGGCCATGCCGACCACCAACGGAGCCTGGAAGAAGAGCAACTCGGAAAAGCAACGGTTCTCTGGCACTCTGGGATACCGTCACCACCGCTGACCGGGAAGGCTGAGCCCTCGTGGGCCCTCCGCCCGGCTGCGCCTCCCCTCTGCTCCGCCAACGGCCCCGCCCGCTGGAGGCCCGACAACAGCCGCCGGCATGGCCGGCGCGTCACTGCGCGTGCGCGGCCGGGGCTGGGCCGGGGCTCCGAAGCTCGGCCGGGGCTCCGAGCTTGTTGAATTACATTTCCCTCATGCTACATTAGCACTAATTTTAAAAGGGATATACAATATGTATATCTCTATTATGTGATAAGTTAAGCTGTTGTATTCTGAAATTTAAAAGCATTATTTTCAGTGAAAAAAACCACACAAATAGAAATGTGTACAAAAAACTCACTGAATGATATTTCTTTAATAGTAAAGGCACAATATGTCAAAACCTCCTCTGTCCTTTTTGCAACGATGTAGAACTGCAAAGTTAGCTAATGTCATCTCCTAATTAAACAAAATCAACTGTGAGAAAATTAAACTGATTGCTTCACAATTACGGTTGAGCAAACACTCAGTTTGTCCCTATTTCATCTCCTGCTTTAGATCTTTGAGAAATTTCCCATTGTTTTGCTTCCTTAGATTTACAGGGAAGAATATCTTAATATTCTTTAATGAACTTGCATTTGTAGCATCTATACTAATGTTACATCAACTAGGCCTTATGCATACATATTTATAACTTAAAATATTCTGCACAAATATGATATATTTTAAAGTCTATACCTCTTATAAGTATTATCTTTTCTGCTGAAATTCAAGGCTATCAAATAAGTGTATGTTTTTAGAGTTGTACAGTGAGATTTGAAAGCAGTCATGATATAATCACTGTAATTTTTTTAATTAAATGGTGGCAGATAGGCCAGATAAATTGCGGGAAAGGGTCAGATAAATGATGTTATGAATGAGGTAAACTTTTATCATATTTTGTATTATTTGTTATCTATGCTTCTGTTTACATAGCAGGATGACTCTATTGCATTCTGTCATTAACACTGATTTGTCCATATCAGTGCAAGTGAAATCTGCCCTACCCTAAATGAACCAGTTATTTCTAACCTACACCATCAAGAAAAGGTTATGTCTATCAACCTCCATTACATATTATATAGAATATACACAATATACATTCTAGATATATGAAGTCTTTGCATACATCTGAGTTATGCGTATGAGTATACATTTATATATACTTATATATATGTTTAAGATATATATTTCTGAGGATCCATATATGTCAGTGAACATGTACTCAATGAACTTTCATTATTGTGCAAACATAAACAGTGCAGTGTTATGGGATATTCCAACCAATTATAAGATCAAATCTCTTCACTTATTCTATTTGTTTTTGTTGTTATTGTTGTTGCTTTTTGAGACGGAGGAGTCTTGCTCTGTCACCCAGGCTGGATGGAGTGCAGTGGCGTGATCTCAGTGCACTGCAGCATCCGCCTCCTGGGTTCAAGCAATTCTTCTTCTTCAGCCTCCCAAGTAGCTGAAATTACAGGTGCGTGCCACCACACTTGGCTAATTTTTGCATTTTTAGTAGAGATGGGTTTTCACCATGTGGGCCAGGCTGGGTTTGAACTCCTGACCTAAAGTGATCTGCCTGCCTCAGCCTCCCAAAGTGCTGGGACTACAGGTGTGAGCCACTGCATCCAGCCTCTATTTGTTCATTTTTATAAGGCAATTTCTCACTCAAGATGTAGAATCCCTTTTCTTTTCTTACTTCATTATTTTTTTCTAGAAGCCAATGTTAAAAAGAGAAGTGTATTAAGAGACACTTTAAAAAGATGAGATTTACAAAAACATCTTGATAATAAGAAAAAAAACCATATGTCATTTATATCTAAATCAATCAGATACCTTTAAGGCTTGTCTCATAGGATCCTATAACCAGGGTTTTTAAAACTGCTTTATATTAAGAATAGCTAAGAAATGGGAACTTAATCTGCCTTCCTCTTATGAATTCTACACCACAGCCAGTATGAGCTGAGATAATATTAGATACTCTTAATGTTATTGTTCCTGCACCTCATATTCATGAAAATTGCATAGATATTTAGAGAAATCTACATTCCACTAAACATCTATTTATCTATTTATATATGTATTTACAATTTTTGCATTTAAGAATATGCATGCATTCACTCAATGTGATATAGTTAGGCTTTGTGTCCCCACCCAAATCTCATCTTGAATTATTATCTCCGTAATCCCCACCTAGCAAGGGAGAGACCTGGTGGAGGTAATTGAATCATGGGGGTGGTTTGCCCCTTGCTGTTCTTGTGATAGTGAGTGAGTTCTCAGGTTATCTGATGGTTTTATAAGGAGTTCTTCCCCGCTTTGCTCGGCACTTCTTCCTGCCACCTTGTGAAGAAGTTTCCTTGCTTCCCTTTCAACTTCTGCTATGATTTCCTAAGTTTCCTGAGGCCTCCCCAGCCATGCTTAATTGTAATTCAGTTAAACCTCTTTCGTTTATGAATTACACAGTCTCTGGCAGTTCTTTATAGCAGTATGAAAACAAAGTAAAACAGCATGTTTTGACATGTCCGTATAATTTGGTTGACTCACCTGGCCCCTTGCAGTTTGGTATAAATTGTAATACAATTTCCATGTTTATTTATCTCTATCAAATAATGAAAACATGGCATCTGCATTCAGAGATAAAGTTTCTCATTTTTATACAGGCACAAGTTTTACCTAGTAAATAATGTTTAAATAACTTAAAACCAAGTTCTAGTTATACTATCTATTACTCCAATTTGGTCTCAATAAATCACATGAAAGGAAGGTAGATATTGTTATTTTCATCTAAGAGGAAACCCAGTTTGAGAAAAATGAAATAACTTGCTTAAGGTCACAAATCCAGTAAGTAGTGGAGGCTAAACTGAAATCAAGGTTTTCAGGCTCCAAATTCTCTATTTTTGAATGTTATATAACTCAACCAAGTAAATATCATATATTAAGGTAAAAAACATCTTTCACACTTTTATACTACTAAACTCTATTACAATTCTCTATAGAATAACACATGGACATTTTAGCAGTTCTGTAAAACATCAGAGTAAAAGCTTTTCACCTGTAACTCACTGTCAACTGAAAGACAAATTTTACTCTCTTAAAAATAGAAGAAATATCATTTGCAAGTAGAAAAGACAATGATGCACTTTT
The DNA here is from genome assembly GCF_000001405.40 of Homo sapiens. Lineage (NCBI taxonomy): Eukaryota > Metazoa > Chordata > Mammalia > Primates > Hominidae > Homo > Homo sapiens. The sequence continues at coordinate 70,897,620 of NC_000005.10, read as the reverse complement.
TCATTTTCTTAACTGGAATTAAAATTATATTAACTCATCATTTTTCTCTTTCATATCACAAATAACTTATTCTGCTTCTCACTATTGTAATGTGTTTTTTTAAAGTCTAACAACTCTTTCACTTATTTGACAACATTATATTAGAGTTAAAGTTAAAAACATTTTTTCTTTTGATGTTTAAAAATACAATACAAACAATGGAAAATGGAATTTGCATGTCATTGTACGTTGCAGACTCCAAGTGGAATTTGCTAATCACAAATTCCAATAGCATATATATTCTTATATCTCTAGTTGTTAAACTGATCGTTAATAATTAAACTTTTCAAAAATATAGTGTATATTTTAATTATATAAGAATATGTAAATTTTGGATGCAATTAATATTTAAACCATTAATCTGCACTTCAATAATACAGAGTTGACTCTTTTGAGATAAAAGTCAGCCAGGATTACAAACTCTAGTAGTATTTTTTAATAAATAAAAAATATTGAAGAAACAGCTTTGTTTTCCAATCCCTAGTTTTCTTCATTTGGTAAATAAATGTTTGCTGAACATGTATAAAATGTCAAGTATTGTGTGTGCTTTGATAGTTATGTATAAGCATGAGATATGAACTGTTCATAGAATATTAATCTTTTTTGCATATTTGCTTATTTCATGTTCTTTTTTCAGTAAGACTTTGTGCCTTATAATTGCATATAACCCAACAGAATGAAATACAATAAAATTAATTAGATGAGGACATCAAAATGAAAGAAAAATAAAAATTCTTTGAAACCAGGGACTAAGTTAGTATACAAAGTCCATGCCAAGAAGAATTAGTTTCTAGCAATGTATTCCACATGTGGCTCTAAGTGTTCTGTCTATCCACAAATAGAAAAAAACAGATACAATTACATGATTCAGATCTTCCAGAAGTTAAATGAACATACACACAATTGTTTTGTTCAATAAAAGGCAAAACTATTCCTTTTAGCTGCATAATAAAAAAATCTCTCATTATTCTTTTTCTAAGAGTACTGAAAATAATGGCCATCAACAATAACTTTAAGTAAATAATCTGATGTTTCACAGAATATTTTCTTGTAATTTCCCCCTCTGAGTCTTTGTAAGAATATTTTGTAAAAGCACTTCTGTAAGATCTGAATTTTGTGTGGTTGAGTATTAATACTCTATGCAGGTCTGGCTTCATTACAGGAAGAATTTCCAGTATCCAGAGAAAATGGCTGGCCCATAGTCCTTCTGGCATGCCTTCATAAATGCTGCTTATTTTCACTAACCTCTCCATCTGTACTGAGTGGCAGTATGTTTATGGTTATTTCCCTCGAAAAGAGACTAAAGTTCAGAGAGCCTTTATTGTGTGTTAATTGCAAATCCTACACTAAAAAAGTCAGCTAAACCTGGGCTAGTAATGACGCAAGCATGAATCAAAAGGCATCTCACCTTTGCTCAGAGGGAAACTTCAAGGAATCCTTGAAGTCAAACATCCCTTCAAAGACTGTTAAGACACAAATGAATAGGGATTGGGCCCCAAAATTCTGAATCAGAGCATTACAGGATGTAAATCTCATGGAGAAAAGAACACGTACGTCCGGCAGAATGGGATAGGCACATATAATTCTAAACAGCACATAGTTTGAGATTTACAGTTAAATAGTAGAGATGACTGAGAATATTGTTGACCCAGGGCAAGGAAAATTTTGTCATTGGGCACAATTGAGAATAATGAATTTATAATAAGCTGGATTCAGACAATTCTGTATCCTTACCCATGAATGGATAAACCAGAGAGTGGGACTAATAAAGTGTTCACAGATTGCATATTTTATTTGGAAAACTATCAAGGATAATTAAAGGGGCAAGAGATTAGCTAAGATATAATTGGTTCTGGGAACAAAAGCAATAGAGTTCCATGAAGCAAAGAGCATTCATGATTTGGGTGAAGCGGGGCATTCACCCAGAATAAAAGACTTGCTAAGTTTGCTCAGGTTACATCAGGGACACATGTAATATAGGTGGTTAAATAGATGGGGAGGTTAATGCCCATAAATTCTTAGTCCAGCATTCTCATGATGACAGGAAAAGTAAGAAGATATTGTCCTATTTATGTGAAAACTGGCATGGAAAAGGGAGAAGCAAAAGAGAAAATTTTACAATCCATTAATTAGTTTCATTAGCTTAAGATATACTCACATATAGGCCGGGCGCGGTGGCTCACGCCTGTAATCCCAGCACTTTGGGAGGCCGAGGCGGGCGGATCACGAGGTCAGGAGATCGAGACCATCCCGGCTAAAACGGTGAAACCCCGTCTCTACTAAAAAATACAAAAAATTAGCCGGGCGTAGTGGCGGGCGCCTGTGGTCCCAGCTACTTGGGAGGCTGAGGCAGGAGAATGGCGGGAACCCGGGAGGCGGAGCTTGCAGTGAGCCGAGATCCCGCCACTGCACTCCAGCCTGGGCGACAGAGCGAGACTCCGTCTCAAAAAAAAAAAAAAAAAAAAAAAAAAAAAAAAAAAAGATATACTCACATATATGCATCATCAAAATTCTGGAAAATTAGGCCACTACTAACACAGCTTCCAATATGTTGGTAAAGCAATAGTTCATCAAGATTAAAAATAACTTAGTATATACATTTCTCAGGTACATTTTATATTTTTAGTCAAAGAGCCCACACAATTGTTTTATGTTGATATGGAAAAGACAGTGCTGACCCATTTCTCGTAAAGTGAGAAACTAGAACTTTTCTTTCTTTCTTTCTTTCCTTCTTTCTCTTTTTTCTTTTTTTTTTTCTTTTTTTTTGAGACAGTTTCTTGGCTCACTGCAACCTCTGCCTCCCAGGTTCAAGCAATTCTCCTGCCTCAGCCTCCCAAATGGCTGGAATTACAGGCAACCGCCACCACGCTCAGCTAATTTTTGCATTTTTAGTAAAGATGAGGTTTTGCCATGCTGGCCAGGCTGGTCTGGAACTCTTGGCCTCAAGTGATCCACCTGCCTCGGCCTCCCGAAGTGCAGGGATTACAGGCATGAATCACCGCGCCGGGCCAACTACAAACTTTCTTCTAGAACACATAACGTTAAAAATAAAAATGTTAAAATTAATGATTTATTTATTTTTACTGCACAGTTGAGTTGATGTTAATGTAAAGTAAATTCTTAAAAGATACAATCAACAAGTAACATTCCTTTTGAAAAGTATGCTTGTCCTAGATTAGTGTTTGCTACTTACTCGTCAGTTCTAATCACCAAGTTATAATTATATGTTGGAGAAATTTGGGGGGGAAATTTCTGTGAAGGATCAATGGGAAGGTGCCAGAGAAAACAGGCAGAGCCTTTGGATTTTGATGCAAGGCTGAAATTTGTGAATGGAAGTAGGGCGTGCAGGAAGGCCCTCATATAATAGGGCAGCTCTGAAAACAGTAATGTTGGCCAGAGAGATGGTGAGTCCTGTAGCCAAAGTCAGAGGAGTGCACATCCTACAAGGATGAGCTGGCATTATTAATTCTGTTTCGCTTATTCATTAGCTGGGAAGCCTGAAAGAACATGGCCTTAGTGGTGGTAGATCCAGAGTGTAAGAACAGGGAATATTAGTCACCTCAGCTTCTTGCATCATGTTCTCTTGATGGCATTAGAAGTACACCACTGGGGTCCCATCGATGCAGAGTTTGAGATTTAATAGGCCACACCCAAGTGTGAGACAGTAAACAAGGACTATGGCCACATAGTCCAGGTAGAGCTTAGATTAGCACCCCTAAATGAGACTAAAACATTCAAAAAATTAAGCAAGTTCTACCCCATAGAAGAGGATGGAAGATAACCATGACTGTCTCAGAGACTGTTCTGTGTAGAGAAGGGAAAGAGAAGACTCCTGGCAGAATTCTTCTCCATGGGCTCTCCTTCACACCGGGGAAGGGTCCCAGAAGACCTTAAAGTCCCAAATGTGGTTTTAAAATGGTCTCAGGTCAGGAGCAATCCCAGATATCTGGGACATGCAAACCCAAATCCTATGCTGAGGAATGTACCCTAAGCCCAGTCCTCAAATATTCCCTCAGATAAAGTTCTATGGAAATGAGTTCCCAACAAAACTATCACAAACAGATGGAGAGGGAAGTCTCTTTGAGCAAATTTATAGATAAAACAAAGGATATGATCAAACCTCAAGTGGCTGTGAAACTTGAGGGTCTTCATAATAAAAATACAATTTAAGGAGCTTGTAGGTTGGGTGCAGTGGCTCACGCCTGTAATCCCAGCACTTTGGGAGGCAGAGGTGGGCGGATCACTTGAGGTCAGGAGTTGGAGACCAGCCTGGCCAACAAGGTGAAACTCCATCTCTACTGAAATACAAAAATTAGCCAGGCGTGGTGGTGGACGCCTGTAATCCCAGCTACTCTGGAGGCTGAGGCAGGAGATTTGCTTGAACCCAGGAGGTGGAGGTTACAGTGAGCCAAGATCATGCCACTGCACTTCAGCCTGGGTGACAGAGCGAGACTCCATCTAAAAAAAAAAAAAAAAAAAATTGTATAGTTCATGTGAGCAGAATTCTAAGTGCTTTTATAAGTAACTCATCTCCTCCTCATAATTCCGAAAGCAGGGAATGTCATTTCACGACACAGCCAACAAATATATGGTGAGTGCCAAAAGCATCAAGATAATACAAAAATAACAGCAGCGAGGAAAGCAGGACGTCTACCACCTTCATGGGGCTTGCCTTCTAATGAATACAAAATCAGTATGAGCTCCTGTTTTCTCTCTTTCTGTCCCTGTGTGTCTGTCTGTCTCTTTTTCTCTCAATCTCAAAACATGCATGTACACAACACATATACAACACAAACATTTCCTTTGCAACTGAAAATAGACAGATGAAGGATAATGAAAAAAACCAGAAAAGCCGCAAAATAACAAAATGATATGTGTAACAGGCATTGAAATCATCAGCCAAAACATTATATAGCCTAGCTACTGTGTGATTTTGTATAAATGAAAGGAAACTAGGAAGAATTTCTAACTTCACCATCTTCTTCCTGGGAAACCATGGGGAGAAGGTTTAGTCCCTGTTATTTTCAGTTTGCATCTCTATACATTTATTTACATTTCTCAACCTAACAATAACAGTGGAATTAAATGAAACCAGAAAGTGTTATGATTTAAACGGGAATAATTTTTCTGGATTTTGCAGGCCAACTGATACAAACAACAGAATGTTTTATTTTTATAAAATAGGCTTAGTGGAAGCCACACTATTACTTCCTGGTCTGTGTTTGTCATCATCATTTTACTATTTTTTTAACTAACAAAAAAGTTGTATATATTTATGGTGTACAACAGTATGTTTTGGACTATGTACACATTGTGCAATGGCTAAATCAAGCTAATTAATATATGGCTTACCTCACATACTTACCAGATATTAAAGTGAGAACACTTGAAATCTACTCTCAGTGATTTTCAAGCACTCTATACAATACATTGCTATTAACTATGGTCGCCACGTTGTATAACAGATCTCTTGAGCTTGTTATCATCCTCATTTAATGTTAATACACGAGAAGATAAGTCCAGGATCTGTCTTTTATTACCTTTATTGGTTTCCCTATATAGTGCTATCTACTGTTACACTAGATTTTTCCTATGCAATCCAAGAATAGAGATTTTCTAAAACAATTAATTTAGTGACTTGAATGCAACTGGTTGGTAATTCTGTTTTTATTGTCAAAAGTGTAAATAAATAATTTTAAATAACATGAGTTCATTCTCTTTAATATTGGCCTATGAATTATTTGTTTATGATTCATAGGCCAATATTAAAGAAAATGACTCATATTATTTATAAAGTTTATAATTTGAGATAAACAGGAAAATAAAACAATACTAATTTTAATAATAATAAAAAACTGTTCTGAGGGATTAATGCAAGGTTGTTACAGTGTGAACACTTCACATGCATTACCTATTTTCATGCTTAGAGCGACCTAATGTGCTAGTTACTGTCAGTGATCAGATTATACCGATGAGGACCCTGAGAAATAGAGAAGATAAGAAAACTAATGAAGTTAAAAAGAACAGAGCATGGACTCAAACCAATATCTGACTCAAAGCCCAATCTCTCACCTATTAGTTTGCAAATGTTATATCTATAGGTGAACTCACTAAAGCCTTCAGACATAAGATTCAAAACTGTGGTGTTTTCACAGTTAAATTATGAGTAATGTTTACTATTATATAATTTCTAAATAGATCAAGTTCTTGTTATTTACACATTTATAGACATAAAGTTTTGAGACATCTGGGTAGAGACTGAAACAATAGACTGGAACTTAAAAGCAGAAGTTTAGATGAGAGGGATATTTAGGTGTATTAATAAGGATTGAGGCTGTAAAAATGAATGAAATTACCCGAGAAAGCATTTCAAATAAGCAGAGAGGTGGGCTTGGCTGGGCACAGTGTCTCATGCCTGTAATCCTAGCACTTTTGGAGGCCAAGATGGGAGAACTGCTTGAGGCCAGGGGTTTGGGACCACCTTGGTCAATATAATGAGACCCCCATCTATATTTAAAAAAAAATTAAAAGTAGAGAGGTGGCCTGAAACACAGACATAGAGTTACCCAATAAGTGGGGCAAGGAAGTATAACCATGCAAAGGAAACTGATAAAGAGGGCCAGATGAGGAGATAGAAAATCTGGTCTGTGGGATGCCTCAGAAGCCAAAGAAAGATGTTTCCAAAAGAAAATGATAAACAGCTTTAGTAGTTGGTAGAAAGAGGATAGAAAGCTTTTCCATAGGATTGAGCCAACCTGAGAACAAAGGTGACCTATAAGCTGCAAAGGTAAAGGGATGGCACTAGAAGTTCTAAGGTAACCAGAAGTTTGAATACATTTGAAAACCCATTGCAGAGAGTAGGAGAGTAAGCTGACTAGGTATACAATTTCAGGCAATTTAGGAAAAAATAATTGAAGGACTGATTATAAATTTATTCATTAATTCAAAAAGTGTCTGATAGTGGCAGTAAACACAACACTGTTCTGAGTGGTTTGGGTATATTTGCAGTGTAAAACAGACAATATCCTCTGCTCTCATAGAAATTAAGGTCCAGTAGAATGATAAAGAAACAATAAATATCAGGTAAAAATGTTTTAATACAATACATTAGAAAATGGCCAGTGGGTTTTTTTTTTTAAGTAGATCACAACAATTAGAAAGATCAAGAGTGTTTGAGGTCAAAGCAGGTTGCATTTTAAAATGGGATTGACCCACTGCTGTATATCTACACCAAGGAAAAGGAATCATTTTTATAAAAAGACACCTGCCTGCTATGTTTATTGCAGCACTATTCATAATAGGAAAGTCATGAAATCTACCTCAGTGCCCATCAATGGATGACTGGATAAAGAAAATATGGTACATACTAGGGCCGAGCACGGTGGCTCATGCCTGTAATCCCAGCACTTTGGGAGGCCGAGGCGGGCAGATCACCTGAGGTCAGGAGTTCGAGACCAGCCTGGCCAACATGGCGAAACCTTGACTCTACTAAATATACAAAAAAATTAGCCAAGTGTGGTGGCAGGTGCCTGTAATCCCAGCTACCCAGGAGGCTGAGGCAGGAGAATCGCTGGAACCCAGGAGGCAAAGGCTGCAGTGAGCCTAGGCTGCGCCATTGCACTCCAGCCTGAGTAACAGAGCAAGACTCTGTCTCAATAAATGAATAAATAAATAAATACAGTAAAGAAAGAAAGAAAAAAGAAAATATGGTACATATACCAGCCATAAAAAGAATAAAATCGTGTGTTTTGCAGCAACACATATAGAGCTGGAGGCCATTATCTTGGGTGAAATAACTCGAAAAATCAAGTACTGCATATTCTCACTTATAAGCGGAAGCTAAACAATGAGTACACATGGACATAAAGAGGAAAATAATAGGCATTGGGGACTCTAAAAGTGGGGAGGATAGGAGAGAGATGAGGGTTGAAAAATAACCTATTGGGTACAATGTTTACTTTATGGGTGATGGGTACATTAGAAGCACAAACCTCACCATTACCCAATACATCCATGTAACAAACCTGCACATGTACCCCCGTACTTATAATACAAAATAAAGTGGGATTGACAACAATACTCAATTTGGTTGATATTTCAGCAACAATGTGGACTGAAAGAAGTGAGAATTAGCCATGCGGATATCTAGGGAATAGCACTCTAGGTATGGGAACAGCAGTGCAAACTCCCTGAGGTGGCAGGGCAGCGTGCATGAACAGCGAGAAGAGAGTAATAGGAAATGAGGTTAAGGAAACAGTGGGAATGAGTGTAGGGGCCAGAAAGTGTAGGAACTTGAAGGCCACTCCAAGGATTTAGGTTTTACTGAGTGAAATAGGAGCCTTCCTATTGCTAACAATATACACTAGTCCCCTCATTTCTCCAGTGGGGTTCAGTGTAGGATTTCTATGCACTGAGAGTGGCTTCATAAGTAGCTTTGACAATTACCACAAAATAACAGCATGAGGAAGGAATAGTTTACAAGTGTCTTATGAAAATGCAAACCATATGTGTTCTGCTTAATAATGAACAGAGGTAAGAAATTAATGGGTGGCTGTTTTAGAAGAATGGAAGAGAAATGGACTGAGGTTTAATGCGTACATTTGTATTCTCATTCACTGATATAAAGATAAATACATTGAATCTGGATCCAGGATTTGAGGCTTTTTCTGCATCAGACCCTCCTGTTCTTAGTCAAATCATTTCCATTTGTAAAACTAAATTACTATTTCAAAGTGCTCAGACAGAAATGGGACAAAAAAAGAAGATAATTTTGAGCCAAAAATGTTTTAACATAGCATGAAGCTTTAAATTAAAAAAGACACTTCTTAGTATTACACTTCTGGAATTTAACCTAAATGTAAATCCTTTTTTTTTTTTGGAAGCAGGGGCCTACTGATCATTTATTCTTTCATGAAACGAAACAAATAAACATTTATTTATTGACTATGAAGATGGGTCTCGGGGAAATATTCCCTTTAGAAGCTCACAGTCCAGTGTGCTTCTTCTCCACTTTCTGTGTGGTAGTGAAGTATTTTTCCTTTTATAAGTACAAATGAATTACTCACTTTTTGATTCCAGTCAATGCAACACTAGAATTATTCAATGAAATTACATTTTCTTATGGTGCTCAGAGGACGGCCCACTGCCAATGTAATTGAGGCCCTTTCAAAACGTAATTTCCATTAACAATGTTTACTCTGAAATTGTCTCTTTGGCTTTCTTCATATGACAGAATCTATGATTGAATGAAAGTGCTAGGTTTGAGATTACTGCATCTATAAATGTAATATTTACTTTGAGTATTAATGATTGTAATGGTTGGCTTTTAAGATCATTTCAGTTGCTTTGATAACGGAATAGCAAGGCAAGAAATTAACAGTGACAGATGACTTCATTAACTAATTCCAGTTAAATAAACCTCTGATTCTCTTCCCAGCTCACATGTTGTTCACGTAAATGCTTGGAGAAAATGTGACGATTATAGTTCTTTTTATACATTTTAATATACATGCATCATACTGAAAATTTTATATATATTATATAAGGTAAGAATTATTCATAAATTTATAAAAGCAAATTCCATTCTCTGACTGGCAATAAGATCCCTTAACACCCATATATATTTCCCATACAGGTATTATTAAAATGAAAAATATACAGTTTTTAGGCATATATCCACTAAATCAAAAGCCCATTTTTGTTTAAATAATTTTCTTTAGCTATATATCATTTTTGAAAGCACAATTTATAATGTTCAAAATAGAATGTGTTCCAAACTTTCTCTTAGAGTGCTCAGTGAGAAAGTACTTATATTTATATCCATTTTGAAGCAGTCTTCAGAGAATCATACTTTAATCAGGAAATCTGAGCTTATGAAAATGTTCATTATATTGATTTTTTTTTTCCATATTGCTGTGCACACTGAATCTTGTCCCAGCAGGCTAATGAAATACTTTATTTCATGATGTGTCTCTAGGCTATGGAGATATGTGACGTGTTATGGCCAAATTTTGTGTGATCTTCTATATTGAAAGAGTCACCCACATGTCCCTAAAAGATACCCATACTTGCAATTTTATAAAAAAGTGAATTTTGCTCAAACACATTATTTACAGATGTTCAATCAGATAAGTTAAAACCAGACAATTTGTAAATGATTTAATTGAATTTTAAGGGATATGGAGAATAAATCCAATGAATAAATATCATTTTTAAATGCATCTCATATTTTGTAAGAAAATATATTTACAAAATGGAAAACTGCATTATTAAAATACAAACTTTATAGCAGTTTTATGCAAAATAGTATATAGAACAGTTACCTGATTTGTAACAAAAGGGTAGCTCTGTATTCTCAATACAGATCATTTCCCTTTAAATGTTCTTGTCTTTTTAAAATGCTTTACAAAATAATTGTTTCATTATTTATTAGAGAGTTCATAATAAGTTTTCTTTGCATAAAGTATTCATTTGTCATTTAAAAATACAAAATTAATTGACTATCAATAAAAATGTTTGGAATATTTTTCATTTTCTATTTACTGACTAGTATAGAGCAAACTAAATGAGTTTTGGAGTCTCTCTTTTACATATGTTTTACATTGATATGATTCTTCCTATAAAGTCATAAATAACTTTTACAAGTATAAACACTGCTGCATGAAGAAAAATACTGACCTAGTAATCTCCTAGGTCAGATTTGGATTCAGCAGCACAGAATGGAAATCCAATTATAATCTCTTAAACAAAGAAGGATTTATTTTTCTCGTGGGTCTTATACAGCAACCCAAAGATTGGCATCCTGGGTCTTATACAGCAACTCCATGATAACATCAAAAAAGGACCTTTTAATTTCTCAATCAAACATGTGGCTTTCTTTTTTATGATCGTAAACCAGTTTCTGCATCTCTAATCATTATTTTGGCAAGCCATGGAAAAGACAAAGGAAAAAATGGGAGAGATTAAAAAAAAAAGCAGCAAAAAGTACATGCAGTATGAATACAGGTGGATACAAAGAAAGGAACAACAGACAGGGCCTACTCGAGGGCAGAGGGAAGGAGGAGGGTGCAGAATGAAAACCTAGCCATTGGGTACCATGCCTATAACCTGGGTGATGAAATAATCTGTACACCAAACCCCCATGACACTCAATTTACCTATATAACAAACCTGCACACGTACTCCTGAACCTAAAAGTTAAAAAATAGAATAAAATAATTAAAAAAACTTTTCCTAAAAAGCCCCAAAAGATTTTTCCCATGTTTACTGCATAAGGTGAAATGAAGTCACATGTGTACTCTAGCTCTGAGGCATTCTGGGAGGAGTGAGCATTTTAATTGGGCAAAACACAGCCATTGATGATACATGCTGTGACTATGGAAGGATTCTATTAATAAGGAGAAGGGGAACGGGATATCAGGTAGGCCTCTAGCGGTGGCTGTCATGCTCATTAACAACTTTGCAATCAGATCCCAAAAGGCTAAGAAACTGTTAAAGACATTGCTTAAAATAGATGTTCACTAGCTTCAGTGAAATAAAAGATAGTGTATCTCATTGTCTTATGATTTAATGTTCTGAAGTAATCATTTGCTGAAAGCTACAACAATTAATGGTGACAAATTTAGAGGGTGAAGTCACGTCTGTGTTTTTACTCCCTATGTTCCAGCTACCTAGGATTGGGCAAGTTATTTAATATGTCTTGGCCTTTATTTTCTAATTTATAAAATATTCAGGAAAAGGAAAACTGCATCAATGAAATTTTCTACAGTACTGATTACTTCTTTTTTCTAATAATGTAAGTAAACAACAAATGCAAAGTAAAAAGTCTATTGATTTTAATAGATATGATAGGCTTTTTTTCGAGCTGAATAGATATTAAAGGAAGTATAAGTACCCTTTTGCAGCTGAAGAATATTGTAAACTAAATTGCACATTGGCTGAATTTATATGTATGGCAGGTAAAATATTTGTGCACTATCCGATCATCACTTGAAGACAGAATGTAATAATCTTTAATTCTTCTACATGGTAGAAATGTGAAGGTCCTCCTGGTTGCTGCAGTATTTCCAGCCAGTAGCAATATATACTTTCTAAGTGGAGATTAATGAGTAATTATGTCATTTTACACCTGGAAACAGTCATGGTGATGGACTGATTCCAGATTGCTACAGTAAGAATGAAGAGGTTGAGTCCCACCCCTTGCTTATTTGTTGAGATTAACTAGATAAAGTGATCACCAAAGTTGAGTCCTCCTACTCTTTCTGAGACTTATACATATAGCTTTATCTGTTTGGTCTTGCAGATATCATTTGCACTCAGGCCAACGGCTGATGTGATGCCAGGCTCAGTGTTCTGTGTGGCATTTTCCTAGTACACATAGATATTGGCTCAGGCTGTCAAAGATAAAAAAAAAATAACCAAAAAACATTAAGCATAAGAAACAGCACATGGGGCTGAGTGTGGTGGCTCACACCTGTAATCCCAGAGCTTTGGGAGGCCAAGGCGAGAGACTAGCTTAAGGCCAGGAGTTCAAAACAAGCCTGGGCAACATAGCAGTATTCCATCTCTACAAAATAATTTTAAAAAGAAAAAAGAAAAGAAAAAGCAAATAGCAGGAGTCACATTTCTACACTGTGACTGAACTTCATTAATAACAGCAAATGAGCAGATCGGCTCAAACAACCATGGGAAAAAGAAACTAGACACAAATGGGTGGAAGGAAATACTAGGTAATGCCTAGTAGTGCAAAGTATTTGCATTGTACTAAACTCTTAACTTTTTATTATTTTATTTAATTCTCCCAACTGCCACAGTTATTTCCCTTTTACACATACAAAGTTAATTATTTTGCCCAAGGTCATAGCACCAAACCCAGGCAGTTGATTTTAAAGTCTATGCCTTTAAGTGATATTCTACATTATATCCACCTGGAGATACAAAATAAATTCTAAAAAATAAAACTTCACTAGTGCTGAGTATATATACTTGTTTGAGGAAAACCTTGATAGATTGACCTATCGACATTTATGACTGGAAAATCCCATTGCAGATGCGCACCTGTACACTAGACTTGAAGTTCCAAAGAGATGCCTTTAACAGATATTGTTCACTAATACTCAGATTTATCACGAACATTATGGAAGACATTTAATGGCTACAGTACTCTGAGAGACATGATCTGGGAATATATGTTTCAGGCTGCTGCAGTTCTTCTCAGGTCAAATCATATTTCTTGTGAAGATAGTGCAGTGTTAACTGATAGCGCATCAAACCTGAAGGGACAGTTCAATGGGTTTGTGTGCCGAGCTGGAAAAGAAAGTCAATTTTCATTTGCTTTTAGACCCACATTTTGAATCAGACAATATTAGATACAATGGCAGTCTCAGAAGAGATGGTCTCATGTTTGCCTTTTAAATGTTGGTGCTTCATTTTTAAGACCAAGATACAAGTATGTGAGAAAAAGCACCCAGAGAATACTGAATGGTAATTCTCTCATGATGAATAATATGTCTACCTTAATTGATACTTGAAGAAAAATTGGTAAGTCTCAGCTAAAGCATAGTAACTAAGGGTTGGTTTGTAAAATAAATAAAGAAAAAAGGAAAGGGCTACTATTGCTTTAATAAAGATTTCCTGCCAGTATGTCCTGCTGCAAATTGTAAATGGTGGAAGCACTTCACCTCTAAGCACTGTGAATGGAAATGGAGACCGTTAAGGCAAACTTTAAGATTAAATACTTTCGTTTGTGGTATTTAATTTTCTCTGTATGATGTTTTAAAACAATTAAACATGCATAAGTTATAGTAAATATAAGATCCTTCTTTATCTATGCCTCATTTTGAAGGAAGAAACCTTCCCTTGAGAAGGAAAAGAACGAAGAAAGACAGAGCCTAGGGTACTGTGTATCATGAAATGAAGGGTAGAACAGTTTCTCAGGAGACCAACTGTGGTTCCCTCATTCAAATGACACACGAGAAGACACTGTCATATGTTTAAGTTTGCTTTTATGTAAGGAACTATTTACTGCTATTCTGCTTAAAATGCTGACCCTTAAAATATTTTATAAAGATCTAACATCAATGCAACTTTACCCAGCCAATTATAAAGAAGTAGGCTGATTTTTCTGATATTTTGTACAGACATTTTTAAAAATTTTAATGTAAACTTTGATATTGTAATTATTAATAACACAAAAGGATTAGTTCTCATTTTAAGCAGGGAACTATTTGTGTCCTCTGTACTACGTAAACTCAACATAAGATGCAAGAGAAAACTAACATTATGCTAATAGATAAAACCACACATGATCTGTGGTGGAAGGACTGGAATTGCACTATCACTGAAGTGCAAATGTATATATATATTTAAAATTTTGAAAGCTTACACTCTTCTCAGATTTAGTTTAAAAAAGATTCTAGTTTCATTCTCTCCTTTATTGACTGCTGTTTCTGCTACATGACCAAAAGTAGTTTTCATTGTTCATGTTTGGTTTGTTTTGCTTGTAGGTAAAGCTTATTATAATTAAATACATAGAGCCAAGGAAGGGAAAAATTAACAGTTACATAAGAGAATAAGGAGAAAGTAAGAATGAAGGTCAATATATACTCCAAACATTGATGTTTCTGTCTCCTTCACATACAGATATTGGCCTCGTGTTGTAGCCTTAAACCATCTGATCCAGACAGGTCAAAGCAAGAACTTTTTAAAAAATCTCTCTTCTTTTCAGCAAGTTTTCCCGCTAAGGAAACACATTCTCATCCCTCAAATCACTTGATGTCATACAATAACTTTTAGCTCCTACCCCAAATTGGAAAACAATATTGTGAGGAATAAAATCATTGTAGATTTTGCAGGCAATCCTAAATAATCAGGTGAATTACTTTAGATATAATCATCTCTTAGCTTGGAAATTTGCAGATCGATTTCGTTTATCTATTTGCAGTGCAAACAACTTTAAAATATGCATATTATTTGACATTTTCATATCTTTTGAGTATGAGAGAAAGAAGGTAAAAGAAGAAAGTAGAGAATCTTCTGTCTATATTTAAGTGATATAATTTCAGTTATATTCATGGCATCTCTAGTATTTATCACATAGTTTTCCATGGAAAAATATCATTTTTAAGTCTGGTCTATTGTTTACTTCAAACTGTATAATGTATAGTAAACTATTTATGGATAAGATGAATTACACCGCAGCTTTAATTTTTCAGGTTTACAGCTGTCACTTTTGACACAGAAAATGAAGAGATTTAAAATCCATTTCAGGCATGTAACTATAATTTCATAAAATTTTATGCCCCACAATATATAACATGTGATAAAAGATGTGAAATGCAGAAAATATTCATCATTTACTGCTTCTTCATGACCACAACTTTGGGCCCTTTAAACAGGGATAAATATTGGAGGAACAGTATTCTTTTTCATTGTTGAAAAGCTTCCAAAATAGATTACAGTAAAATTTAAAATAAAACCAGAGAATATGTATTATTGAGACAAAGTCAGGACACCTGAGTTTTGTTCCCAGACTCTGAACCTGTTTGCTGCAATATGCTGGACAAATACTTTAATATCCCAAGGTTTAGCCCCCTCATCTTGATTGCTAAGAAGAAAACGATTATTAATAATGTCAAAGAAGATAATATCTATAAAATAATTCACAGGTCTATAGCAATTATTCAAATAGAAAATATTAATGTCATTATTAATAAACAAATAATCCCATTTCTTTTGATTTACATTTTTCTCTTCAAACATACCCAAGTCAGATAATGACGCTTCTATCTACTAATTTTACTCCATGTTATATTTTTCTGTGTTGCTACTGGAGCTTGAACTTGATGTCATCCTTTCTAATCCTGGCAGCCATCAATTCTCAGTTCCTAATGCTTTCTGGTAGAACTTTTTCCTCATATAAATGCGGTAACACATTTACATATGAAATCCATTTAATGTAATGTATTTTATCTGAAACCATCAGAAAACAAAACTTGTTTTATTTTTAACTGTTTTAAATTTTATAGGAACATAATATTTTGATTTGTGAAACATTAAAAGGCTCCTATAATGAGCCATCTAGCCCAAATAGCAGCAGGTAATTTTATTTGGTGTAATGGAAAGAACCCTGGGCAGAGGATTGGATAACCCAGTTTCTATTCTGATTTCTGTAATTAACTAGCTCTATGATATTGGGGAAATCACTTAGCCTTCCTGATTCTCAATTTCCTCATTTGTGAACTGAAGTAATTGAAACAATGTTCTCTAAGGAACTTCCTAGTTCCAGCGGCCTGATTTTATGCCGACAGAAGCCATGCATGAAGACCATTTGGTTTTCTTTTAAAATCTATACTTTCTTCTTACCAATTTATATTACACTAACATTATTTTTGCAATACCTGATCACAAGTATAATTTGGTTTAGGAGCTACCTATGGCTGGGAGGCAGCTGGCATGGCCAGGGCCGATCCCTTCAGACAAGGAATGTGCAAAGCTCTAGAATGGCCAGCTCAAGAATCGTAGTAGAAATAGTTCTAGTACGAGAAAGACATGGTCTACACTTCAAGCAGGCATTGGAAGAAAAAAAAAAAAAAAAAAAACACGTGTGTGTGAACTTATAAGTACCTGAGCCGACTGCTCAAATATCTTATTATTCTCCTTCTTACGAGAAGGTCAATAAATTTCAAGCTTCATTAGCACCAACGTGTACTCAGAACCAACAAATGTTATGCCGACTACTCAGGGAAGGATTCAAGACATAAAATGGGCGGCAATTTTTATATCTGTAAGCATAGCATGATCACGGAAGCAAAAGTACTCAACATTTTATAAGGCAGTAAATAAAGCCTGTTTTAAACTAAAAATACAGCAGTACTTGTGGGCTGTTTTTTATGCAATCAGCATCAAAACTTGGAATGAAACAAAAATTATGTTGAGCACAAAGTGTTTCCCTCAGAAAAGGATAGGAGAGAGGTTAGCTTGGAGTAGCCAAATAATGGTACCACAAAGTTTCAAGCAGAAGATTTAAATGTGTTCTGTGAATTACAGTGATACCTCCTGTGTGTGCCTATGATTATGAATTGGGAAAGGGGAGTGGGGAGAAACTGAACCCTGGCCCCGCATTTTTCCACAGACATTTAGCATAATGAGGTGGCTGCTAAGCTTTCATTTTCAAAAATCCCCTGTTTTAAAAAATGCTTAGGATGGCTGAGTTGGAGAATACTGGCATGGAGCACAGTAAAACTAATGAATCTATACATTTGTTTAAAATTTAATTAACTTCCATTATTTGAATGGCAGAAAAAGAGGCCTATACCCTGACGCATCAGTAGGAAGTACACACCACGTTTCATTTGCCTTTGCATATCAATTTACATGATGAAAGCTCTGTCCTCTATATTGAGCTCACTACACACTAGATCAACAGCCCAGAATTCCCTCCTTCATAAGTTTGGATTGGCTGACATTTTGTGTGTGGAATTGGTTCCTTCCGGTAGGTTCTTGGTCTCGCTGACTTCAAGCACTAAGCCGTGATGGCGGTGAGTGTTCCAGTTCTTAAACATGGTGTGTCCAGAGTTTGTTCCTTCCCATGTTCAGATGTGTCTGGAGTGTCTTCCTTCTGGTGGGTTCCTGGTCTCACTGACTTCAGGTGTGAAGTGGCAGACCCTCACCGTGAGTGTTACAGCTCATAAAGGTAGTGCAGACCCAAAGAGTGAGCAGCAGCAAGAGCAAAAGAACAAAGCTTCCACAGTGTAGAAGGGGACCCCACTCGGTTGCCGTTGCTGGCTCAGGTGGCCAGCTTTTATTCCCTTATTTGGCCCTGCCCACATCCTGCTGATTGGTCCATTTTACAGAGTGCTGATTGGTCCGCTTTTACAGAGTACTGATTGGTGTGTTTACAAATCTTCAGCTAGACACAGAGTGCTAATTGGTATGTTTACAATCGTTTAGCTGGACAGAGAAGTTCTCCAAGTCTCACCAGACCAGAAGCCCAGCCGGCTTCGCCTCTCAATTTCACTTTGACCTAGTAGAAGAAACAGAGTTGTTTCCAACTGTATAAATGATGAAGCAGTAGCAAAACCTGCTGTACTGACTTTGATGTGGAACAAGGTTTCTCTTCCCAGGTTACCTTTGGGGACGTAATGATGAACTTGTTCCAAATCTGTGAAACTTGAATACAATGAGTATTCAATAAATGCCAGTTGCATGGAAAAGAAAGTAGGAAATTGTGTTTTGGGGGTCACTTAGGCCGAATATTGTTTTTCTTTTTTGTTGTTGTTGTTCTTTAGAGTAACAAAAACAAATTCAGAGTAAGAGATTGATGAGTACATTATATGTGGAAAAGTCAAGAATACTTGTTGGAATTGACATCATGTGGTCAGAACTCCTTTCTTTCTCCTTTTCTTAATTTTCTTACCTCTGTCTCCCTTTGTGTGTAGTCTCTATTTTCTCCATTTTTAGAGGGAACTCTATTACATTGTCCAGTGCACAAGATGAGGTGGGGACCATCTGAGTAATGAAGCAACTACTCTTTTTTCTAAAAAGCTGCCCATGATTATTGGCCAGACCTAAGACTCTTGCTCAGCCTGTGGGTAAGGGACAAAATACAGTAATTACCAATATCACTGTATTCACAGAGAGGATAGGTATCAAAACACTGATAAAACGAAGGGGCAGAAGTGTCAACCAGAAATAGTGGAGAGAGGATACTGGCAGGGAAAAATAAATAAGCAAACAAATTAAAATGTATCAGAGAACTATAGCACATAACCGAGAAATAAAAATTCTCTTTACTCTTAAGGCATGATTTCTTTTTAAGTGAAGTAATGCAAATATTAGATTTCAGTATTTATCTGTACTAGTATTCTATTGCTGCATTTCAAATTTCCATAAACTTAGCAGCTGAAAATAACCCTTATTTATTAACTCACAGTTCTGCAGGCAAAAATTCAGCCCAGTGTGAATGAGTTCTTTGCTCAGGGTCTCACAAGATTGAAACCAAGGTGTCAGCAGGGCTGTGTTCATCTCTTGAGGCTCTTAGGGAAGAAGCAGCTTTGAAGATAATTCATATTGTTGATAGAAGACACTTCCTTGCTCTCTTAAGGTTGAGGTTTCCTTTGTTACTGCCAGCTGTGAGCTGGGGTGTAGGTAGTTCAACTCCTGCAGGTGGCTTCTCTGCATCCACAGCTTTAACACATGTATTTGCTTTCTTCCAAGCTGGCTGGAGCATGTGTTTTGGACTTCCTTTTCTTACACTTGGAAAAAACTTTCTGCTTTACAGGTCTCATGTGATAGGGTTAGGCCCACCCAAATAATCTTATTTGAAGATTAACTGTGTCATATGACATAGCATAAGCATAGTAATAAAATCCATTGTCCTGACAGTCCTGGAGATTATGCAGGATATGGACACTCAGGGGAGAGAAATCTAGGAGTCTGTTGTAGAATACTTCCTACTACTCTGTAGGTTACATTTCAGTCATAATTGAAAATTCATGTTTGATTTTGATTTAGTTCAGTATTGATAAGCTAAAGTGATATGGTTTGGCTCTATGTCCACCCTCCACCCCCCGCCAATCTCATCTCGAATTGTAATATCCACATGTTGGAGGAGGGGCCTAGTGGGAGGTGATTAGATCATGAGGGCAGATGTCCCCCTCATCGTTCTGATAGTGAGTGAGTTCTCATAAGATCTGATGGTATTAAATTGTGGCACTTCACCCCTGGCTATCTCTCTCTCTCTCTCCTGCCGCCATGTAAGATGTGCCTCGCCTTCTGCCAAGGTTGTAAGTTTTCTGAGGCCTCCCCAGCTGTGCAGAATTGTGAATCAATTAAACTTCTTTTCTTTATAAATTACCCAGTCTCAGGTAATTCTTTACAGCAGAGTGAAAATGGACTAATACATCAAGTTTTATGATGTAAAATAATACACTGAAGTATGTTTGGACCCTGGTTAGTCTTGGAAATTCCATCTATAAGTTCTGTCTGTAACTTACCTTAATAAGAAACCAACGATAAATGGAGAAGGAAAAATTGTAAAAACCAGTGGATGATCAGTAAGAAAACTAATTTTTTTTTTTTAATCTCGGAAATAATGCACCTCTATGGTCAATAACATTCATGTGTCAGTTTTAAGAAAATGTTCTACGAACATGTATGCACACACATAATTCCATGGACTCCAAGAATCATTAGGAGAACCTTAATAATAATAATAATAAATTAGTAGCTTCTGAAAAGCAACCAAACTTTAAAAGAAATATTCAACATTTAAGGCTTCAATCAATCTCTACTTAAGCACCTGCTTTCATAATCCTGAAACTCATTTAAAAAAAAAAAAAAAAAAAACTTTCTGACCTTTAAAAATGCAACAGCCTGAAATCAATTTATTTCAGTCAGGCATTCAATAGTATATACTTGCTAAAACAGTCAAAGTTCAAGTTATAGCATCTGTGACATCTATTTTTTTCGTTTTTGCATTTTTGCCTTCTTATTTTATTTTTTTCTTTTAAGTTAAAGTCAAAATGGAACTATTATCTCTTTGGCAGTTTCTTGGGAATCCTATTAACCTATTGGGAAATAAGTAAACTCTGAGAATGATTCCTTTCTTAATATGTTTATAATGAGAGCTTTAAAAAAATGATCTCTCACTAACCTGTATTTAGAAACAAGATGTAACTTACTGCATTTCTTACACAGGATAGTTAATATTTATCTTTGGGATTAAGATTACTCATTTTCACACTATGGGGCAGAAAATAAATATTATGTATAAATTATTATGCAAGTAAGATAATATTTATGATACTATTACAAGATATAAGACCATGAAATATTAATTCTTAGCAGTAAATTTGACAAAAAAACTTGACTCATAATGCAAAGAAAACAAGCTAAGTTCTTGTATTTATTTTTTCTGCATTTGTGATATTACACATTCAAATCCATTTGAAGTAGTTACTATAGAATGAGGAAAGGAAATAGAAGACTTCGGTAAGGCGGCTTCATGCTTTAACACACTAAGCAATCCCCACAGTGATGGATGCTACAAAAAATAGGTCACCTTCAAACCACCCTTGAAAATAAGCAGACACTGTAATTTCAGATTGTGTTCTTATGAGCATTGTTAAGAGCATTGAGATATATATACATATATATAAATGTTATATATTTAACAAATTATATATATATTTGTTATATATATAACAAATATATATATAACCTATATATACATATATAACAAGTATATATATATATAAATAAATATATATATTTGGCCTTGTATTTATTTTGCAAAAATTGTGCTTGTCTGAGCACAAGAAAATACCATTTTTTCATTTTTTTCTCTCACATAAAACACATATAAACGTCTTCATACACATGCACAAATCTGTGTAGTTATTAGTTCATTGTGAGAAAGAATGTAGATATTTTAATGACATTTCTGTTATTAAATGGAGTTACTCTATTACCTTTTTAATATGATGGATTTTATGTCTTTCAAAGCAAATTATGGCACAATGTGCACAACCATAGAAAAATATTTTATTCAAAAAACTGACTCCCTGGGAGCGATTACTAAATTGTGTTTTCTAGTACCTAGTACAATTACTAATGGGCAGTCGAAAGTATTTTTCAATGATACTATTGTTATTAATGCATTCAGGGTAATACAAATCTGGCTTTGCTCAAATTGATGTCACAAAACGAAAACTTGGGTAGTTTATATCTATTGCTAATTCAATTCTCTGAACATAGATTCAGCTTTTTTGGTTTTTTTCTCTCAAGATATTTCAAAAGTTTTTTTTCCTGTTAATGGCATTGTATTATCAAATTAAAAGTGAGATGATTCAGTTTAAATGCTAGTCCCAAAGACACGTGGGGTTAGACAACCTGGTTTAATCTCTGCTCTGAATATTTTTACTTGTGTGTCTTGAGCCAAGTTAGCCTGCCTGTCCCTCAATTTCTGTATCTACAACATGAGAATGCTAATAGAAGGATTGTAATCATAGTGTTTTTCTGAGTATTAAAGTGGGTTTAGACACATAAAGCCATTAGAAAGTTGCCTGGCAAAATATAGAAGCTTGATAGCTTTTTCTACCATCTTATTGAATCCAATCAGTTTTCTCATGCACATTTATATAAGTTAATATAAATAGAAAGGAATATTGCTATACTGGGCTTATTTGGATATGAAGGGAGAGAAATGAAGGAAAACAAACTGTGAAGCCAAATTCTCTACAGTATTCTCCAAATTTATGATATAAATATTATAGTCTACATTTTACATATGAAGACTCTGAGGTATGAAGAAATTCAGTAATTTACACAATAACACAAATGTAATAAGTGATCAGTTTCGGATTCTAACCCACAAATATCTGATGTTCAGGATCATGGATTTTAACTCTTTTTATGTTGTATACACCCTATATGCCAAACAAAAATTCAAACGACAACAACAACAAAATTTAAAGATGGGCTTGCTATATGTGCATGCATTCGTTCCTTTATAAATTCATTAGTTCATTAAACCATTGCTGAGCATGGACCATGTGATCTGTGTTTGATCTGGTGAAAACACAGAAATCACTAAATATGGTATGATTGTGTCTAATTTCATATCCCTGTGAAAAGAAAACTTCGACCTCTAAAGTTAGACCAACTCTGATAAAAATCCACAGCAAATGACAGAAAGAAGGATACAAATTAAATATGAGGTGGTGGAAAAGTGTACAACAGCCAGAGAAAGAATAAGATTACACAAAGGGATTTGATATAAGTGTATCATATTGCTCCATTCTCAAATATTGTGAATTGAACACATCTCTCAACTAATTTAACATCCATTTAAGGGTAAAAGAAAGCCACTGATAGAATTAGTATTATCTAAAACAAATTTCAGTGGAAAAAAAGGATTTTATATTATCTCCACTTTGTAGGGTCATTTCATTCTGGTGCAGGTTTTGCAAAAACAAACCATTGATTTGGAAATCATAAATATATTCTAAATTTTAATATAGTTACTTATGTTAAACATAATGTGTTAAAGTTTTAGCATATTCTTTTTGACTAATCATTAGTTACTTATGTTAAACATAATATGTTACATTTTTGACATATTCTTTTGACTAATTAATCATTTCCTTTTTAAACTCGGAGAGGCAATGGGGGGTACAGAGTGAGACAGGAAGGCAGCCTCTGTAACAACCTGAGGACTCATGGTTGGGGAAAGATGTCATCTACTTTTAGTCAAGAGATAAATGTTTTACCTGCTAATAGGGAAACCCACCCAAAAGCACAGAGAAAAGTCTGGTCAAAACATTGCATTGCATCTAATAAAAACTAATTAACTGGTTTAAAAGCAAAAGATCCCTTGGTACTGCAAAACTCAATCGCTTTCACAATAAATAGATAAACTGCTTTGTGGGAAGAATTTACTAATACATGGAAGAACTTCCATTAGAAACTACATGTTTATTTGATTTCTTAAAACGTATTTAGGCATAATGTGTGTTCTAATTATTTTCATTTCTTGAAGAATATGTATTCTTATACAATTCTTATTGTTGACAACTTTGTGGCTACACTTTTGTCTTTTCTTCTTTCCTTCCTTTCTCTCTATTATGCCTTCTTTTTCCCCTTTTTTCTTCGTCAAAATTCTTAAGCCTTCTAAAGTCAATCCTGTCACAATGAAAATACATTAAAATGGCTATAACGTCCGATCCATGAACTTCAGTGAACTCTAAAGACTCCTCAAATATACGCAGATGTATAGGATTCTTACGTTTCTCCTAATTTCTACTAGAGAACCTGTCTCTTATCTCTTCTTCCCCAGCTGTTCCTTCTATTCACCCCATATTAACCCAAGCATGAAGCACAGCCCTAATATTTGTTAAAAAATCCAAAAGCTTGTGAAGTTTTAATGAAACCCTAGAACTTGGAAAGTA
This sequence comes from Homo sapiens, assembly GCF_000001405.40. Lineage (NCBI taxonomy): Eukaryota > Metazoa > Chordata > Mammalia > Primates > Hominidae > Homo > Homo sapiens. The sequence continues at coordinate 70,873,633 of NC_000005.10, read as the reverse complement.
TTATATCAAACTACAGAAAGTTGAAAATTTAATGTTTGTCTCCCTCTTCTTAAGGGTCCTCTACTCAACCTTTAGACTGACAAACTCCTCACGGCTTGCCTCAATGTCTTAAATGCTTTTCCCACCGCTTTTTTTGTTCTACTTCCGATTTTCTGTTTTTAGCAAACCTTGATGTTTCTGGGAATGCCCATGGATAGCCTAGATTTCTTCTTATACCCTGAAAATTAGGAAATCAAGCAACTTTTCCTTATTTCTAATCTACTGTAGGCATTTTTTTTTTTTTTTTTTTTTTTGAGATGGAGTCTCGCTCTGTCGCCCAGGCTGGAGTACAGTGCAGTGATCTCGGCTCAATGCAAGCTCCACCTCCCAGGTTCACGCCATTCTCCTGCCTCAGCCTCCCAAGTAGCTGGGACTACAGGCGTCCGCCACCACACCTAATTTTTGTATTTTTAGTAGAGACGGGTTTTCACTATGTTGGCCGGGTTGGTCTCCAACTCCTGACCTCCAGTGATCCGCCCACCTCAGCCTCCCAAAGTGCTCAGATTACAGACATAAGCCGCAGCGCCAGGCAGGCATTTTTCTGATATTGCAGAGCTATTGTCATATCCTGTAACCAAAGTAACCTGTTGTAGTGTTATATGGGGGGAGGAGGGGAGTAGTTTTCACTACTACGTTTGGAAACCTTCTAGTCTCTGTTATTTATTTACCTTTCCAGTTACTAATACAATAGGTGATACAGGTGAGGCAGATATCAATTTTGGATCTATTCCCCTGTATGGTGTATTTTTTTTCTAGCTGTCCTTAGATTATTATTTACATAAGTTTGTCGCAAAGGGCTTTGTGAAGGAGATTTTTTTTCCCTTTCTGATGATTACAAGATCAACTGGGAGAAAAGATGGTAAATAAAACCAATGCACTGAATATTGATCTCTGAAGTAACATGAAAAAGTGATACTGATTCACAAAGAGTTCAGAAACTGCAGATGCTTTTCCCTAGTATGTGTAAACATTTGAGATAAAGTGGCGCTCATCAATATACTTAGATGGCAAAAATGTTTGACTTATTAAAAGAGTCCCATTAAGAACAATCAAGGAGTTTAATCATAGCAACCAAATTTGCACTTCCCTCAGTATCAGTCAGAAATAAATACAGGAAATTTAAGACTCAACTTTTCTGTTCTGATCAAGAGATCCTATTTATGAAGGGAAGATTATGAAAAGTCTCAGTGATGGACAGAAAGCCAAATAGTTGCGATTGTTGATATCTTTGTCTTCTTCAGATGATGCCTTTAGATCCAGCATTATCCCTCTTGTTCTCTCTTGAGAAAGAAGCTGTTTCTGAGACATACAGCTAACAGTAGAGACCGTGGAACAAAATGCTTGATTCGTAGGTCATTTTGTCTATACTGCAATTAAGAAATGTGAATATATCAAATATTTTTTAAAGTTTTACTCCCAATGTATTACATTTTACTAATAAATCATGTATACTTCGCATGTGTTAAAAATGTAGAATTTTTAGCTAGATTTAGCTTTTTTTGAAATCGTACTTATATTTATCTTATCGTAATTGATTTGATTTTATGTAGCCAGACATTTTATACCATTAAATAAAAGGGTATTTAAAATAAAAAAAATTAAAAAATAAAGGAGAAAATAAAACATAAATAGAAGTGACTATGATAATAAAGACTAACAGAAAGAAATTAGGTTAGATGGAGTTTTACATTCGAGTTCAGATTTGGGTTAAGCTGCTTTATTGGGATTATTAAGTGCATATGCAAATAAATTAGTGTAGGACATATAGTTTTTAAAATTTTATTTTGCACTTGGGACTATTTGAATTCAGTTAAAAAGATTTTATTACTAGATTTTTCATGATAGCATATCAGTGGTTAGTCAAAATTAAATAAAACCTATAAGGCATTTAACATAGTATATAATATTCGATAAGAGCTAATAATGGAAATAATGAAGAAATGCTAACAATAAATTAAGAAATGATATCTAACTATAGTAATGTATTGTTATTAATAACTGATTATTATTGGCATTTATTTTTAAATCTAGACTAAATCACATACATTTATGTAGTATTCTGAAAAATAACTACATTGTTTGAAATGATACATCAAATTTACTGTTATTCAAAATAGAGATTCCATTACTGAAAATTTGATATGAATGGTTTATTGTCTGGAAATTTTTTCCCTAAAACCGAGCTTGTGAAATATGTTTTACAATGTTGGAAAAGTAAGAAAGAAGTTATTTTAACCTTCTCTCATATTTTTCTTCCCAAATCCTGGGTCCAAGCCAGTGACCTCTCCAACTTTTATAGAAGTTCTTATTCACATATTGTGACACTTTGAAATGAGAGATTATAATTGGAGTGAGCTAAAGTTGTAAAATATGACAATCTGAGAAAATAGGATGGCTTTTATATGTAGCCATGAAGGCAATATTCGAGCAAAGTAAGAAAGATAAAAGACAGCATTGGGGGAATAGCATATTTTTTTTTCTATAACAGGATGTATAATATATCCTAGCACATAAGCTTTTTTGCTCTTGAGCATTGCAAATATTCTTTTTTCTTCTGTGAGCTTCTTTGGCATACACTGGGGATGCTTGGGGGCCTTTTTGAGATGGATTTCTGCTCTCTTCAATATAAGGTGAAATATTTCCAGATGATAAATAGCTCTGGGTCTGTTACTCAGGCAGGGGAGTTCTCAAAGCACATTGGGCTGTTAGAGGGAATTCCTAACCTTGTAAAGTGGTATCCCTCTTGCTCATATAGCAACAATTAAACTAGGGAGAACAAATGAGTCACCTCAGGAGAGTAGACTAGCATAGAATGTTAAATATTCTTGGGCATTCGGTGACTTTGAAAAGAGAACAATTTGCATAACATTACTCAGGCAGAGTTATAGATCATCTTTGGGTCTGATCTTCTTTCATCTATAAATACCTTAAGTATAATCTAATGGCTTTGTAGTTAATATAATGGCCACTATGATGTTCTTGAGCTCAGAATAAGTATTAGCATGAAACTAGGCAACTTCAAAAAAGGAAACACTAAGTGTTTTATAAGTTTACCAGGAAGAATCTAGCAAAAGTAGTTTGTGTTGTACATAATAAAATTATTTCAGACAAAGAAACTCACGCAAAATTTTCTTATACTCATATTGGCTGGTTTAAGTGAGTAAATCCTGTGTGTAAGTAAACAAATCAGTGACAATATTACTTTAAATCTCAATCACTAACTACTAAACCATTCTACATCACTTATAATCATAGATTTCAAGAATGGTAATGGGTCTTACCACTTATACGTGATTATTATAACAAAATGTACTGAGAGTATCCTGTACAAGAAACATATCCCTTACATCTGAATGTGTGTATAGATCTATCAGAAGATTCTGTAACTGCTTTTATAAAGATGTCCGTATTAAGTAGGACAGACCTTTATGTGATTGCTTTTGTCCATATATGTTTTGAGACTGAAGAAGAGCGATAGTAAAACAGATAGAGCAATAAAGATTTAGACCACATGTCTGGAAGTTTCTCATTCCAGCAGAAAAATTCAAAATGGGGACCTAGTTCCATGACAAAAGATAATGACAAATAAATTGTTAATATTTAAATATGTGATCCGTCTATATTAAGGAAAGTAAAGACACTAATCCAAATGCAATGCTTGAAACTTATGGGGCTTCGTGTTCAGAAAACAAAGAAAGAAAATGCTACAAAGATATTTGGAGAGAGAAGTGGGGGTATTGAATATGACCCATTATTAAGTGATAACAGGCATTTTAATTAATTTTCTTAACTGAAACTGTGACAATGTGGTTATGCAGGAAAAGGTCTTATTTTCAGAAAACTGGTGCTGAAATATTGTGTAGTGAGTTGGTATGATGTTTGTAAATTATTTTCAAATCATCCATATATGAAAGTAAAGCAAATACAACAAAATGTTGAGAATGGTTTAATCTAGATTGTGAGAATATAGATTTTCATCATATAATTACTTCTATTTTTTCTGTTGATTTCAAGTTTTACTTAATATGATTTTGGTACAGGGAAATGGTGTACCTCCCAAACACCTTTAACTCCTCTTCAGAGAGCATCAGTAATTTATAGCAGAGGAACAAAAATAACAACCCGTAATTCTGATGGGAGGGAGTGGCGTAGAGGTCATCAGAGAAGATGGCCAATTTCTGTAACATTGCACATAGGTGAAGGATTGGTGACTGTTTAAACAAGCCCAAAGGAGCTATATGCGAGTGTTTACACTGAGAGGGCTCCAGCAATGAAGGCACAGCTCTGAAAGAGACCCAGATTTGGCAGTGATTCCAAAGAAAAGGCATAAAATTTGCCAGGAAAAACACAGAGATGAACTAATATTCTATATACAGAATTTCTCCTATATGCTTGAGAATGCATAAAATATAGGCATTAATGACCAGAATGTAAACAATAAAGAAATAATTTTTAAAAGACGTTATTCTGTAGGTAACCTGTAAAGAATTAGGACAGTGTTGGGACACCATTGTGCTTAGAACACCCCCAACCGAATATCTGAAAGTAGAAGAAATGATTGATTCTTTTATTCATTCTAGGCCAAAACTCTGATCAATAAATACAACTCAAAAACTCAAAACTTCAAATTAGGTTATTTATTCTTAAATATGAACAGGAAACTCAGAGTTATCTGGTATTCAAGGAAAGCCCGCCTTATGAATGGCAAAGACTCAAATTCAAAACACAAAAGTAATTCTGAAGGAAGAGATAATTTAAAGAAACCACACAAACACAGACTAATGAGAGTTTTCAAAAAGTTTCAAGAAATCCCACAGTTCACAAAATAAGAATATGATTATTTTTAAAATAACACTTAAAGAAATCCTGAAAATGAATATATCTGTGGTATATGTGTGTGGGTATGCACAATTTGTGTGTATTAAATTTGAAAATGAAGAGCATTACCAATAAATAAAGTAATATACATTTATTGCTTTCACACAATAGTCCAAAAGATATGACAATAAATAATATGAGTGAAATATATATGATACATTGAAGATGTGTAAGGTCTAACATTAAACAATTGAATTCTAGGTTAAGAACACGAAAAACCAAGGACAGGAAATAATCGTGGAAATAATCATTGATAAAAATTTCTGAGTGCTGAAGGAAAATAGTTTTCGAATTGAGAAAATTTTCTAAGTGTCCAACCTCAAATAGGAAACATAAACACACATAAACTCGCACCTGGAGGCAATGTTCAAAACACAAACCCAAATAAACACATACTCGGAGACAGTGTTCTAAATAATTAGACTACATTCATAAAAATAAGATTATAAACACTAGAGAAAGAGAAGATGAAAATAAAAAGGGAAAAAAGAGGCTCTTTACCAACAAAGAAAATATAATCAGACGGATACCAAGTCCACTCTTGGTTTCTAGAAGATAATGAATACAATTTCAGATGCAAATGTATAAATTCCTTAAAATGTATGAAAAGAAATGATTTCTAATCTGGAAATATATGCCCAGATGAAAATTAATTATATATGAGGGTAAAATAAAGGCATACTGTGATATGAAAAGACTCAAGTAAAATGTCTAACATACACTCATTATTAAGAAATCATATAAAATTAGTGCAAGCCAACAAAATAGTAAACCAAAGTAAATATAACATCCAAGAAAAAGTGTTTCCAAACCAGGAGATTAATAAAGTAAATTCCAGGTTGACAATTGTGCAGATGTTCTTGTTTGGATTAGCAAGAAAGAAACCTCCCAAAGAGAGGCATGTAGTGAAAAGATGTGATGTCTGACCTCAGAAGTGGGATGAATCTAAGGATATTAAAAAAATACATAAATAAAACCACTAACAGACAAAGATGTTACGGAAAAAAAATCTATATGCAAAATAAAACTGCAGCAATTACATAGGAAATACAAATTATTTGGTAATAAAACAAAAAGGCTTACATTGTTCTAATTAGTGTAAAAAGAGTATTAGTTGTTCTCTTTTTTTAATGTTTTAGCATCAACTGATAGACAAAACTTAGAAACTTATTTATCAGTAGGTGTTCTCAGAGAAAAAGAACAAATTGGATGTTGATATAGCTATAGATGTAGATGTAGATATAGTTATAGATATAGAGATATTTAGAGAGATCTCTCTATATATAGATGTATCCATATATAGAGGATATATATGGATCTCTATATATCTATATATGGATATAGACATATCTCTCTATATAGGTATAGATATCTATATAGATATATAGATATATCTCTCTATATAGGTATATATATATATATATCAATATATATCTCTATATATCGATATATAAAGATTTGTTATAAGGAATTGGCTCACACAATTATAAAGGCTGACTAGTCCAAAGGTATGCAGTTGGCAAACTGTAGACCCAGGATAGCTTCTAGTTCTAGTCTAAAGACGGGCAGGCTCAAGACCCAGGAAAAGCCAATGTTTTAATTGAAGTCAAAAGGCAGAAAAAAAATTCCAGTGTCTCAGCTTGAAGGCAGTCAGGCAGGAAGAGATCTCTGTCACTCACGGAGGGGTTTGCCCTTTTGATCTATTCATTCCCACAGCTATTGAATGAGGCCCATCCACATTAGGGAAGGCAATCTATTTTATTCAGTCTACTGATTTAAATACTAATCTCATTCAGAAACACCCACAGAGGCACACCCAGGATAATGCTTGACAAAATCTCTGGGCAACTTATGGCTCAGTCAAATTGACATATAAAATTAACTATCAGGCTTATTTTTAAAAAGAGGCCTGGCCACACAGGGTGTCTCACACCTGTAATCCCAGCACATTCAGAGGCATAGGCAGGTAGATTGCTTGAGCCCAGAAGTTTGAGACCAGCCTGGGTAATATGATGAAACCCCATCTCTACAAATAAAAAAATAGAAAAATTAGCTAAGCATGGTAGTCTGTGCCTGTAATCCCTGCTATTCAGGAGGATTACTTGAGCCCAGGAGGCAGAGGCTGCAGTGAGCTGAGATTGTGCCACTGCACTGTAGCTTGGGCCACAGAACAAGACCCTTTAAAAAACAAAAAAAACCTAAGGCCTACTTCAGAATTTTTTAGGACAGATTCTGTATAATACAGATGATGGAAGCTGGTGGCGGACGGGGAGAAGAAATGGAAGGAGATGTAAGGGGAAGTGTAAAGGTGTTAATGCTATGATCCTATGAAATAGAGAAACCACAGATACATTCCAATGTCAAAAAAACAACTGTAAACATTGTATTGAAGGGTGTTAGGGTGATGGTTATTTGTATCTACAACCTACTTTTAAATGCATCAAAAATTAAGCTGGGTTAACAGATAGACAAATGGGTAGAAAATAATAAAACAATTATAAACAGTATGTAAAAAATATATAGACTAGGAGGTAAGTATACAGATGAATACTATATACTTTTATCATGAATTTGAAAATTTCATAATAAAATGTTGGAGGCAAGAAGAAAAAAAAGGATACATTCTATGAGTGAACTGAAATTTAGAAACTCAGATATCACTTAGTGTTTTATTGACAACACAGAGAATAAACGATGGTACAGTTTTACTTGGACAAGGCAAGGGGTATGCAGTTTGGAAGTCAACAAATATTATTCAAATTTATAATTAAAGAACTACTATAACATTTAATCATTTAGCCAATTTTATATATGTATTTTTATAAGAACTGAAACAGAAAGAATGAAAATAGAAACAATTAAAAATGTCCCCAGCTGGCTAGGAAAAGAAAGAGTATGGTTTGGGATTATAAACTCTTCGATTCCCTATGATATTTAGCAATTTAATTGTATTACTTTGATTAAAATGTTTTTGATCAGTTTAAACTGATGTAATGAATTCATATTTATTGATACAGAAAAATATGATATAATCCATCTAAAAAGCAAGTTACAAAACAGTGTACAGTGTACCATAGTACCTATGAACACAATTAGTGAAGTAATTTGCAGAGCTATAATACCAAATCAGAAATTATTTTGGTAATGAATTTATGATTTTCCTCGTTTTCTGATTTTTTCCATGATCTCATATACTTTATTCTCAGAAAACAAAAGACAAAACCCCACACATACACAAAAATAAACGAGTAACTTCTTTACAACCCCAGAGGCTAAGTCAGTGGGAAAAGAGGGAAATGAATGGTTATGAGCATAAACACAGGGACAAATAAAAGAAGTTTGGAGCACAGAGAACAATTCACAAATCAGAAGTCATTTTAAAGGACACAGAAATCATGGTTTTAAATATCATTCCATAAGCAAAGAGAATATTAAAATCATTTTTTGGAAAATTCCTTGAAAAATGTTTTGTAATAACTTTTTTATTTTTTACCCTTCTCATCACAACCATCCTCATTACCTCATAAGAGCCATATGTGGTAACTGTCCAGGGTTGTTCATCTCTGCCTCTCGCCAGGAAATACACTGAATTGCAAGAATTAGGTACTACAAAAAGATGCATATTTTATATTAAGCAGTTACATTTAGAAGTAAACTGGTAACTTGATGGCATTTCTATAGCATATATATATATATATATATATATATATATGCCATACATATATGTATGTTTTTTTTTTTTTTTTTACTCATGTATAAAACACATATATCCACATATGGGTTAGTAGTAGTATTTGTTGAACACAATTTTTGGTTTTCACACAAATGCACCTTTTCAAAAATCAATTGTTCCTTCTCCCAACATACCCCAGGCTGGCAAATGACAAATGAAAATAAAATCCCTGCTGGAAATAGTGGTATAAAAAGCATTTTCCATTTTATGTGCACTTTTCAACCCAGAGAAAATAAGAAATTTGTTTTATTTTTGTGCAGTAGTTTCTAAAATATAATCGGAGAGATGCTAGTAAACATTTAACTTTAGATTAGCTTTCTCAAAACTTTTAAGCGCTGGAATGAAAGATTTGCTTACATTCTGAAGCTGGTGCAGGGTATCTTTTTTAAGCCTTCTTTGGCATCTCATTTTCACGCACCATCTGAGATGACTTGGAAAACACCAGAAAATAACAACACTACTTCCACAAAACAACTGCCTGGACAGTGCCTATTTCTACAGCCATCATTTATAGAACTCTTTTTCTGGGGAGAAGTTTTATTTTAAGTGTCAATACTAAAAGATGGTATATTTGGAGTTGGCTGCTTCAATCAGTAAATGTAGTCAGCACCGACTCAGAAACAGCTTATTTTTAATAATTGGAAGAAGAAATATTTCTAGCTGTTAGTTTTAAATGGCTACAAAGGAAAGAAATTATTTTTTTGGAATTATTAGCTTGCCGTATGTGTAGATTAAAAAGGCTGTGTAAAAATGGCATCTTGTGATTTTTTTTTACAGTGAACATGACCCAAAACTATGGAAAAGACTATGAGTTCTTTTTATCTTTAGCCCTCCTTCCTTCTTTGTGCAAATGAGACTAAGAACTTCCTTCACATTGTAAGCAAAGCCTGAATCCCATTGCTGACGTATTTGAGAAAGCAGTTTCATCGATAGAGATCAATTTCTGGAATCACTAAAAATTCAACATTTTCTAAGATTCATAAAAATTATTATAGCTTTAGTCTTGACAGTTGCCTTTTTATTTTAAGGAAATTAACCCCAGAAAACACATAAACACGTGCATATACATACATACACACACGCACATTCACCACACAGTTTATGAAGGAATACAGAGTGCCCACTGGATCATTCAACTTCACTGAATGAATATGCAGAAATTTTAAAAAAGTAATTTTGAAAAATTTCAAATGATACTGAAAAATTTGGTATTTTGTTTTAAAAATCTTGACTCATTTATTTATAAAGTGTGTATATAGATAGATACAAGCAGAGAAATATATATCAATATAAATGTGCAGTAAATATGTATTTATATATATTTACCCTTTCAGTTATATATTTACATAACCGAAACATATAAAATTAACAAAGAAGGCAGGGCGCAGTGGCTCATGCCGATAATCCCAGCCCTTTGGGAGGCTGAGGCGGGCGGATTATTTGAGGTAAGGGGTTTGAGACCAGCCTGACCAACATGGTGAAACTCTGTCTCTATCAAAACTACAAAAATTAGCCTGGCATGGTGGCATGCGCCTTGTAGTTCCAGCTGCTCTGGAGGCTGAGGCAGGAGAATTGCTTGAACCCGAGAGGTGGAGGTTGCAGTGAGCCGAGATCACGCCACTGCACTCCAGCCTAGGCAACGAGAGCGATACTCCGACTCAAAAAAAGAGAAGTTATCTCTAGGTAAGATCATGATGGAAATTTTCATCTTACTTTATACCTTTCACTGTTGAAATTATTTTACAGTTGAAGTAAAGGAAATTTTACAATATCCAACAAGAGCCGATGTCATTTATTTAATATCAAAATTAATATTGGAAAAATGTCTATACTTTAGGCTACCACCCATCTGCCTGAATTAATCAGCATTAATACTTAATTTTAAATATTACCTGTCAACGCAGGTCACTGAATGTGATCTCCTTTAAGGTATTATCATGTAATAAACTGCTACAAAAAGTCTAATTCTCTCAAGAGTTTTATAGTCATCCACTTCATTTTCAGGTCAACATTTTAACATATTTTCCCATATTTTTTTCTGAAGCTTTAATCTCTGCAAAGCCCATCTTTAAATTTGAAGGAAAAGGTAGAAGAGTGAGGAGCAGCAGTAATTAACTTGAATTTGGAACTTGGATATAACTAAAGACACATTTTGCTTCTTCATTTTTATGTCAGTTTGCAAAGGAAACAGTTATGATTTTAGCTAAATACAGAAATTTTTTTCTTTTTTCTTTTTAAAATTCTACTTGTATCACATTTCAAAACCTACTCTGAATTTTCACTCAGTTCCCACAATATTACCATAATTCTTTGAGCTATTGGCAAAATGGATCCATTTTATAAAGTCATGCCTTTTGCATTGAGCTTTTGCCTGTCTCATATATTTAGATAAATTTGAAAGCAAAAGGAATATCCACTGTGTTGAATATCTTTAATAGCATGGTTGAAATTTATAATTTGAAATTCATAAGTTCAAAGAACATTTATCTACTGCTTGATTTTATGCTTGAAACTTCCTATGCTTCACAGCAGTTTTTTTTTAATAGGTGGACAAAAATCCTTCCTCCTATCATTCATAACAATTTTCTTTATACTTAAGTAAAATATACAGAAACTTTTAAAGGAACGTCAAAATCTTGTTCCCTCTTATTGTTGCCACATTATTTTTATTATATTACCCAACCAGGTTTTTATGGTTATGCTTATACTCTCATACAAAACAGTTTTAGAACAAATATTGAAGGAAATGCAGGGTCACAAAATGAATAAGTTTACCTTAATAACATTAATATGAACAATGATATTATTTTATTGAACTTAAAGCACGCTCTTGAGCTTAAGAGCAAAGATGTAGCCACAGTTGAACTTGTATTTATTTGGGCTATAATTACTCATACTAATACACAGGAAGCTTATTTGCAACAGGATATTTATATAATTTAAAATATTTTCAGAGTTTTTGTGTGTGTTGAAATGTTAGGAAAACAGAACTCATTCTTAAGCAATGATTTGCAAAGAGCAGTGCTCATATGCAGATTTTTAAGGCGTAGCCCAAATGGTTAGAAATGCTGCAAAAGTTTAATTTTCTTTTGGGTGATCTGTTGTCTGGAAAAAGCTGTTACATGTAAAAATTTGGATGCTGAAATCAAATGGCTATACCCAAATGAGCAAGAATAGTTTAAAACATTTAAATCAGCATCTGCATAAAAATTAATATAAATATTATTTATGACTGTTATGTATATATAATTATATTATGCATAAGAATATATTTATACAAATATATACTACTAGAAAATTGTATATGATGTACTATTTTATTTTATGTAATATTTTATGTATATATTTATTTACACATAATTTATATACTTTTAAGACTGTGTCCATTTTTCATTTATTCTTGGTCTCCGGTTTGAACAACGCTGCTTTATGGCATTACACTGATAATTCTCTCTACTCTTTAGTTCTCTTCCTTATCGCTTATTCATGTGTATCTTATTCCATGCTATAATGTAATGTACCATACATGTGTTTAATTTAAAAAAAAAATTAGCAGAATTTCAATGCTTTCCTATATTACTCAACATAAATATTCTCTATATAGAATGAATTGGAACAAGCTATTTGTGAATCTGAAAGGATAATCAGTGATTCTACCAATCATAGTGGTAAACTCATTCAAACTCAGCCTGTTAAAATGAGACGCTCTGCCCTATATCACTGAAAACCTCTTGATTTGCCAGATTTTTCCCTTCTTTACAAATGAAAATGCTTAGTGTTTTCTGAGTTCCTTTGCACTATCTCCCACTGGATTCAGGTCATTGATTTCATCTTCAGAACACTTGGAAAGTTTATTTTGTGGTGTTTATGAGCTAATTTATTTTTATTGCAATGTTTATTTAAAATGAAACAATAAGTACACTGAAGTTTTGTGCATTTCATTTTATGAAAATGTTATCCCAAAGGGATACAGAAGAACTAAATACAAATTTTCAAAATTTATTGTTTTTTTTTTTTGCCTGCTGCTATATCTGAGGTTGTACTTTTGTTCTGATCTTTGTAACACCTCAAAAAAAAAAATGGGTTAAGAGAAGGATGAACAGAAGAATGGATATGAGACCTATCTGATAAGGCAAGCAGATTAATAGACGAATGGAGGAATGTTTGGATGTATATGTATATGTGTTCATTGCAGTTTTCAACTTTTTGTGTTGAAATTTTTATAAAAAGAAGTTGGAGAAATAAAAAACAAGAAAACAGAACCATAAGATTTTTATTTAACATTTTTGATTAAAGGAATTGTATTGCAAATTATGACTTTTTAATTTGGCAACATCCTTTTAATGGTGTTCTTTCTTTGTCCTTCTCTTTCTCTTCCTCTCTCTCTCCCTCTCTTCCCTAAAGCTCCATTCCGACTTAGACAAGGGAGAGGGCACTGCGAAATACACCCTCTCAGGAGATGGCGCTGGCACCGTTTTTACCATTGATGAAACCACAGGGGACATTCATGCAATAAGGAGCCTAGATAGAGAAGAAAAACCTTTCTACACTCTTCGTGCTCAGGCTGTGGACATAGAAACCAGAAAGCCCCTGGAGCCTGAATCAGAATTCATCATCAAAGTGCAGGATATTAATGATAATGAGCCAAAGTTTTGGGATGGACCTTATGTTGCTACTGTCCCAGAAATGTCTCCTGTGGGTGAGTAGGCAAATCAAAATTCTGTGAGATACAATGAGACCTCTTCAACATTGACTTTTTGCAGGTTGATGTAAACATCTTATCTATCATCTAAAAGAATTATTTTTCAATTCTAGAAAATACAGTTCTTTTCATTTATTTTTGTAACTTTTTTGTTTTTCTTTCTGCTTCATTATGAAGATAACTACAGGAATATATAACATTAGTTCCTGTTTTCCACCCTGTGAATTTACCTGAATTCATAGAATCCTTGCGTGCTTTAAGCAAAAAATGTATTTTGTATTGAAATTGATTCTTATCTCAATTCCAGACACCTATACAGTGCTGGAGACACCTACCCTACACCACGAAATGCCAGACAGTAATTCCTAGATCAAAGTAAATGATCTAAAGCATGCATCACATCTGATCTGGAAGTGGTCCAGAAACAGGTGTGTTGCATCTTCTGTAGCTGTAAATAGAGATTCTGGAAGGGTGATACTGTTTCCTTTTCAGGGTAAATAACCCATACTTGTTATGCCATCAAGCCAAGCAGCAAATGAATAATGTCATGAAAATATTATTAGAACAAATTAACAAATTACAATTACAATTATCAAATTAACAATTAGAATATAGTAGCACCATCATTCTAAAAATTTAAATTTGATATAAATATACATTTCCATATCAGCCTAAATTTACAAAGTCCTATAATATGTAGGATATAAGGTCAATAAGTTAAGAATTCCAGCCTTAAGGACAATTTTAAATTATAATTTTTATTCCTCAGTCACCACTGCTAATCCTTCAATTTATTTCAAAGTAACTTCTGGTTTTTATTACATTTGGAAGATAAAGCAACTTATCACATGTAGGTTACAACTTAAAATTCGTGTATGAGCCATTGCTTATATTTTCTAAATCTGACATGACCCAGGGGGTTTCTACTGCTCCTACCACCACCCAGGACATGCGATGAAGATTGTGCACGCTACCGTGAGGGCAGAAGCAGGTTAGTAGCTGTAGGAGCTGTCACATGGATTTACTATAATGCACTTGAAATTGTGTATGTGACCTTATCAGGCATTTAAGGACCATAATCTCTCCTTGACCTAAGAAATCAGCTTGAAGTAATTCACTTAGATTTCAAATTTTAATGTGGATACCCAAGGCTGCAAATCTGTTATTCAGTACCTGCTACACTTTTGGGGTTGCCTCTTTTATGCACTGTTAGAATTGCTAGAAATTTAGAAGTCCAATTGGAAAGAAGCATATCTTGTTAGAAAGTATTCCCAGAAAATGAGGAAGGCTACATTTTAACTGTGTCTTGATTTTACAGGGAGAAAAATAAAGTTAATATTTTGAGGAAAAAATAAGGCTTTTAAGATGACATGCTATATAGTAGACAAATAGTTTAACTCGGTGCCTACTTCATGTACACTGGATGTGTTAACATGAATTTATGACCCTCAGTGACTTTTTATTACCAAAACAGCTTCCTTAAAGCAAACACACACACATGCCTCTACAGTATTGGAAAATTCCGTCTCCTTAGATAAAACAATTAGGATTTTTCTTGGGCCAACTAGAATAATTAGGGCTGCAGAGTTGGAGCCTTTATATAAGGAGTTTGCAGCTCATATCCGAAGAGAGAAATGTATTTCGAAAGTCAAAAGTGTAGTTAAGTGAGAAAGCAGAGTAGTTTCAGCTTTTGCATTTGGAGTGGGTATAATTTACTGTGTTGTCATAAGATACTGGAAAGATCTTTGGAAGAATAGGTTCTTAAAGTGTTTTCTCATGTGCCCTTACTGACATTTCCCATTGGGCCTTCAAGACAACTCCAGTAAATACTTAAATTGATTTTCAGTGCACTGCTTTCTTTCATTTTTATTTATTTATTTTGAGACTGGGTCTTGGTCTGTTGCCCTGGCTGGAGTGCAATGGCCCAATCTTAGCTCACTGAAGCCTTAAATTCCTGGGCTGAAGAGATCCCTCCACCTGAGCCTCCTTAATAGCCAGTCATGTGCCACCCTGCCTAGCTATTTTTTTTTTTTTTTTTTTTTTTTTTACTTTTTGTAGAGAAGGGATCTAGCTATGTTGCCCAGGCTGTTCTCAAGTAGTCCTGGCCTCAAATGATCCCTCCACCTTGGCTTCCCAGAGCACTGGGATTACAGTCATGAGCCACCCTCCTGGCTCCTTTTTTTTTTTATTTTTAATAACAGAAGGGTATTTCTTTTGAATGTGAAATTTTACCACATGGTATGAATTAGTCCAAGTGTTTTTATACTAAATTTACATAATATACACTTTTCAAGTAAGTACAAAGAGGTATAAACACTGCTTATGAATTGAATGTTAAAAAATAAATCTCTATGCATTACTTTTGTCTTTCCCCATAATCTCACGTATACACATAAAACAAAAAACAAGGAGACCCAGTTATAGTTGTGGTATCTGCTGTTTCTGCCTTGAAATTTCCAGCTTACAGCTAAGCAACAACTACTGTGCATCCAGAACTTACATCTATGTTCCTAGAGTACTTGAACCCCATTCTCAAGTGCACCCTTCTTACCAGGTGGAAATAGTTCACTGCTGTAATAATCTAAGAAAACATTATGTTTCTCTCTACTTTTTTTTCTCTCATATAATCTAGGCAATTCTCCCTCTGTATCATTTTCCTGAGAAAACTAAAATAATTTTTAATCAAGACCAGATGGAACTTTGTATGGTATATTGACAGTATACCAATTGTTGTGACGAATCTTACTGCCTGTTGTAGATATCAGTGTTTGAAGTATTCCCTATGAAATAACTTTTCTGTCCCAATAATTGAGAGTGCTGTTTCATTTCCAAAAAAAGGGAAGAATTAATCAATTAAACATACATATAGTGAAATAACCTGTTTTGTAACATAAAACATAAGATGAAGAAATATCGGAACATTGATATGAAGTTTAACAGTAATGGATTATATATCCAGAAATATGAACAAATAAACCTGCAATGAAAATTTACTAATGTTACTAATTTTCACTTGTGTAACATGAACATTACAAAGAACATAGTGTACAAAGGGAGAATGTTGGTGGGTAGGATGAGTCAAGATTTCAGAGGAAAATCAATATTTAAGACTTACAGCACTGTGGAATATATTTAATTTTCCTAAAGTTGAAGAAAATTTCAGTGAATCTATGAATTGTTTAAGAGAAAGGTCACTCCGTTACTGACTTCTGCTACATCTAATATTCCAGGGAAGTAATATTTAGAGATAAAAAGCTTTTACTCTGACCTCCGGAAATTACTTAATGATCCAGATACTCCCAAAGTCAAAGCAAATCCTTGGAGACAAGTTTGGACTTTATGAATGTGGACTTAATTCTTTAAGATCACTAGAGCAACAATAAATTACAGGAATGTACCCTCTTTATATCTGATGATTATGCATAAGTGGGGTGTGCAGTTTTAAGTTACTTTTCCTACAGTGCTGACAGGTTTAGAGTGTTAAATCCATACTCAACTTGTATTATCTTCCTCTGCTTGAGCTATGCCACCTTGAGTCAGCTGATTTGACTATTTATAATTAGATACCTAACCTATGATATGATATAGTAGATGTCAATAGTGACTCATGATTTATGTAGTAAGTCTTACCATTTTCTAAGCAGTAGTCAGGTGCCATGTGATCTAACTAAAGATTTGTATTTCTTATTTTACTTAACAATTACAGTAACCCCAATGCAGTATTATTCACTGTTGGATTTTTTTTAATGTGAAAACTTAATAACCGCTGTGGATAAGAAAGTAAGAATGATTCTTAGGTGCTTTAGGACCAAATTAATCAGAATTTAATATACCACTTTGTCTAGGTGTCATGGCGGCTAAAATATCTTTGAGAAAGTTAAACTTAGCTTTCAATCTCAGATGATCTACTTAAGAATTTGGAAAGTTTATATTATATTATTTGAGAATGGGGATTCTTGCTTAAACGAAACCTGAAGGACGGGCATCTTTCATTCAATATCTTAAAAAGAAAGTTTAGCTGACATTTAAATAAGAAAAGATACACCTAAAATAAAGTAGAACACTGGTTTAATAAAAATAGTGAACAGGTACTCCCTTGCCTTTCTATTTTTCTCTCAACTCTATTTTATTTTACCTGAAGTTTGGGGAGAAATGCTAAGATGAAATTTTTGGTGGAGTCTTTCAGAGGTTATTTAACCAGAGACTATTTTCTTTTTTCTTTTTCTTTTTTTTTTTTTTGAGATGGAGTCTTGCTCTATTGCCCAGGCTGGAGTGTAGTGGTGCGGTCTTGGCTCACTGCAACCTCTGCCTTCCAGGTTCAAGTGATTCTCCTGCCTCAGCTTCTCGAGTAACTGGGATTACCGGTGTGCACCACCGCACTCAACTAATTTTTGTATTTTTAGAAGAGATGGGGTTTTGCCACATTGGCCAGGCTGGTCTCGAACTCCTGATCTCAAGTGATTTGCCTGCCTCGGCCTCCCAAAGTGTTGGTGTTAAGGACATGAGCCACAGTGCCCAGCCAACCAGAGACTACTTGTTTCGTGGCCATATTTAAACGGTCTAAGAAGGAAAAGTGAAGACTGTGTCTGTACTTTACATTAATGAACTATTATAATTTAGAAACATATATAAGTCTCCACACTTCCTTATTTTCACAAAAATGCCATAGAGAGACAAATTGAAACATAAAAAACTAGATATATTCTCTCATCCCATGAGCCAGCCATGGAAACAGAGAGCAGCTCAATTAGTAGCAGAGGAACAGGTGAATTATCATCCACTTCTATCTATGCCCTAAAAGCAGAGTTTTTTCAGAAGCTTGAAGACAGAATGTTGACTATTTATTTTCCACACATAAAGACATTCTCCTTGTGCAATCAAACTACAATGTTTAAAATCAGGAAATTTGCATTAATGTATTATTATAATCTAATCCTTCAGCCCTATTCAAGCATTAGCACTTGTCTCAATAGTGTCTTATATAACAAAAAGTTCAAGTTCAAAATCAAACATTGTATTAAAATGTTAGGTCTGTTTAGTTTCCTTTAATCTGAAACAGGTTCATATTTTTTCTTGGTTTCCGTGACTTTAATATTTTTGAAGATTTCTGCCTAGTTATTTTTTAGAATGGCTCTCCCATCTTGAGTATGTGTGATGTTTCCTCATGTATGAATGAAGCATATACATCTTTGTCAGAAATATCCCAGAAGCAATTCTGTACTCTCCTCATTATGTTCTATTGGGTGGGCCATGGTTTTTGATTTGTCTCATTACTGATGATGGTTACTTTTATTATTTGATAAAGGTTGTATATAACTTATCTATTATGGCATAATACATTAGCTAAAACCTTAGCGGTGTAAAACAGCAGATACTTACGTTTCTCATAGGAATGGCTCTATTGAGTACCTCTGTCTCAAGGCTTCTCAAGAGTTTGTAGCTACCTTGTTGGCTGGGGTTGCAGTCTGATCTAAAGGCTTAGTTAGGGGGTGGTAGAAATCTTCCATATGTTCTTTGCTACGTGGACCTCACAGGCCTACATCATAACGTGGCAGCTGGCTTTCCTCAGAATGAACTACCCAAAAGAGAGCTAGACAGAGAGAAAACCCTCTGATTGAAGCCATAGTCTATTTATAACCTAATCTTGAAAGTGACATCACATCCCATCTGCCATATTATACAAGTAAGTGCAACGCGAATACAAGAAAGCCGGGATCATTGAGGGCTCTCCTACAGTCTACCTACCACTCTCTATACTCTGGCTCTCAATGATTCATGTTGCTCTCTCATGCAATATATCCTCATCCCCTTCTGAGGACCCCAAAATTTTCAACCCACTATAGCATCAGCTCAAAGTCCAGAAGCTTTTCATCTAAATCAAGTCCAGATGGGGTAGTGATTTTGGGTTTAATTCTTTTTTTTTTTCTTTTAGATTTTTTTACTTTTAGTTTTGGAGTACCTGTGCAGGATGTGCAGGTTTGTTACATTGATAAACATGTGCCAGGGTGGTTTGCTGCACCTATCAACCCATCACATAGGTATTAAGCCCAGCATGCATTAGTTATTTTTTCTAATGCTCCCCATCCCTCCCCTCCACCCCCCATCAAGCCCCAGTGTGTATTGTTCTCCACCCTGTGTCCATGTGTTCTTACCGTTCAGCTCCCACTTCTAAGAGACAACATGTGGTGTTTGGTTTTCTGTTCCTGCGTTACTTTGCTAAGGATAATGGCTTCCAGCTTCATCCATGTCCCTGCAGAGGACATGATCTCATTTCCTTTTTGTGGCGGCATAGTATTTCATGGTGTATATGTACCACATTTTCTTCATCCAGCTTTGTGATACTAAAGAGGCCAGTTACTTACTACACATTCACCAAAAATACAGTGGCAAAACAGGAATAATGTCTCTAGACATTCCTGTTGAAAAAAATGGGAAAATGCACAGACTAAAAGAATGATTGGTCCACCACATTTTAAAATCCCAGTGGTAAATGTTGCAAGTCATTTGATTATATTCAACGCCTGTGAATAATTATTCATGCCTCTCATCTCTGACCTCTAGGCTCTTCGTTCTGCCTTTTGAGTTATTCTTTTTTTTTTTTCCATGAAATACAGCTGGTACTTGCAATAGTACTTGGGTGTTGAACTTGTTAAGAGTGCATATCCTTTTTTTCAGATCCATCTATCATTTCCTAGTTGTATGTGGTTGTGTGGGTTATTTCTCCTCTTTTACATTGATTTTCTCACCTGCAAGTGAATAATAGTAACACTTTATGAGCAGGGTTATTGCAAGTAGCAAGGAGAAAATATATATTTACCATTTGCCACAATCCCTGGGGAAGTGCAGTCAATACATTGGAAAGGGTCCTCATAAGAGTTTGATGATCATTCTCAGAAAGCTAGCCAGAGAAAGTCTAAATGGTAAAGGTTCCAGCTCATTATCTTCTTCCCTTTTCTCAAGTTTTCTCTCCATCTGACATGTGAGCTCAGTATTTACCATTGCCCTTTCTACAAATTTAACCAAGTTTATTTAAAAACATAATGACCTTCTATCCCAATTTACATTTTCTTTGGTGTAGAGGACGCCTTTACCTTGATGTGTGGAGACAAGCCGTTGATTTGTAAGAAACACCAATTATCAGCTTCCACTTGTGCTTCACAATCTGCTGAGTCGCTTTAACACTTTTGATGAAATTGAGCAAGGCCTTGTGATCTCTCCTGTGCCAGCCGTGAAGTGTCCACTGCACGCAGCTTGGCGGAACTATTTTCAGGGCCATAGGATGTTATGGCTGTGTGGGCAGGGAGCATTTTATTCGTCTGTTTGATTCCTATGTTTTTATTAGTGGTGCAATTGCAAAGGTAATGCTATTGACACTTTTTGTGTAGCCTTGAGAGAAGAGTATGAATTGTTTTAGTAGCAGCACAGCGTGTCCCTAAATATAAATCATGCTGTACTGATAGTTACTTTAGCAGCCACTGATCAGCAATAAATGTTAAAAATTAACAAGAAGTTTCTTTTTTTTCGAAACCACCAAATGACTCTAAGCATTAAATATATTTTAGCCGGAGTTGCTTCTCGGCCACAGAGTGGTTCACAACATTAAACATATTTTCAAAGTATTACTCCTTCCCCAGCCTCCAAGTGGTTGTAAACATTAAATATGTCTTATAAAAACTGCTTTGCCAGCTACTGGCAAGACAGCTATGAACATCATTTTTCTTTAAAGTTGCCTTCCAGCTGCGGGACTATTTTTCCTTATTTGCTCTATTCTATTTATATTTTGTACACAAAAGCAGGCAAGAGGCTACATTGGCCCAATTGTCTCTGGCTTTATGATAAGTGATCGTGGGAGAGCAGTTGCACCTCCGTAAAACCCTGCTGGCCACAGGAGCTTGCTGAAGTTCAATCACTGATACTGAATATTTCATATAGATGTCAGCTGTGTCTTCCAAAATAATTTTTGTTTTTCATTGTGCAATGTGTTGAGGCATAAAGATGGGCATGCATTAACATCAGCATTAAGAAAAATAACTTGAAGCAACCAGACACTGATGAATTATACCCACTGATTCAGGTGAAAATATTCCGTGAAGAGAACAGACTCAAATGGCAGGACTAGTATGTTAATGAGGTCTTTAACCCAAACATGATGAAAGACTTGGAGCCTCTGTCTGGAAATCATCCAGTGTGACAACTGCATGTGATTCAAAAAGAGTGAAGAGTATGCTATTACATAAAGGTCTATCCAGGACTTAGAGCAGGAAATCTTTTCATTTTAACCAAATTCACAGTGAAAATAACGTGTGTCCCCTGAGTGAATTGAAAAATAAATTAGCTCTATCATCTCAGGCACAGTAATTCATCATCAGGCCAAATAATTAATTACTCAGGAAGGCTTTGATTTCTATGGGAGCCAAGTGTTCTCCAAATTGTGTAGTACTGTATCTTGCCAAATGTTTTATTTTAGGTGTATGTTCAACAGGTTCAAATATTCATCAATACCTACGTGACAGGCACTATTTTAGGTACTGGAGCTAGAACTTGAGCAAAAAAGACAAAAAGTCCTCCTCTCAGGAAGCTTTTACTCCAAAGGCCTCCTGCAGGGGCAGCAAGCTAAACTCTGTGAGCTAAATTCAACATATCATCTGTTTTTATTGGAACAGTTACACTTATTCATTTCTGTGTTGTCTATGGCTGCTTTCACACCACAATGGAAGAGCTGGCAACAGAGACCATATGGCCTGCAAAGACTAAAATATTTACTATCTGCTCCTTCACAGAAAAGTATGTTGACCCATTACATAGTGGATTGAGTTTGAGAGAGGAGATTAAGGTAAGGCCAACATTTTAAATCGACCTATGAGGAAAAAGTGTTTTTTTTCTCCCTAAAAATTACCTCCTCCAGAAGAAAACAAAACACAAAAAAACATAAAAATAAAAAGAAAGAAAATGGCAAGACCCAAGGTAAAATGAAGGGTAAAAGTGAGCACCACACTAATACATATGTATCAGCGTGAAATCAGATGCTGCCATTTAGTTCCTGCTGAAAGTGTTGGTTTGGCTTTATTAAAATAACTTAAACACAGTCTTTCAATGTTATAGACTCATGGTAAAGGTTTCTTTTTCCTTTTGTGAATTTTTAAAAATTTCTCTGCAAAAATTATTCCTCACACAATTATGTAACTTTATATTTTCGATTAAAACTAAAACTAAAAATGTTGAAAGAACAACTCGATATTGGATTAAAATATTCATTTTCCATCTTCATTCTCAGGATTCATATTTGGTTGCCTCATTGCGATATAAGTATGTTGAAAAAAATGGAAAATTGCTGAAAGCAAAAATTTTAAAACTCACCAGTATTAATAATTATCACCAAATAACTATTACAGAAAACTTCCTCAGAAAGTAAAATTAGAGTGAAGGTATCACAGGTTGGCACTATTTTCATTCCCGACCAAGAAACTGACACCTGAAAATTAAAAAAAAAAAAAATCAGAGTCTACAGTTTTACAAATAATTAACAAAATGAACATCAAAATAGGGTGCAATTTGTTTAATTGGCAAAGGCACACAACGAAAAAGAAATATGTCAATTAAACTGTCAACCATGTTAATTTTGCCTCTGAGAAAAACATTGTAATGGGATAATTTCACGAAATGCTTTGATGACAAGAAAATGCCAAAATATGATTAGCTACTTCAAAATTCAGCTGAAACAAGAAAGCAATTGGTGGCAGCCAGAATAACCAAAGGTCTTTTTTTTAATATACCTTTTTTTTTCCGTCTCTTTTTGCCTGTGTTTAATCAACAGCGTACATTTTGTTTGACAGTGAAATGATTCATAATGAAAACACTGGCATCACAAAAACTTAGCAGAAACTTTGCTATAAGATTAGAGTATACACTTCTATTTTCCCCAAACTCTTTAAAAATATAATTACTATTTCTGAAAGAATTTGTTATCTTTATGAAATAATGTATTTTTCTTACTAGCATTAAGTGCTTATTTAGCTAAAAGCCAGAATTAGAAGCAATTCACTCATATGAGTATGTTTATATTTATATTGTCAAATATATTTACTTAGAATTTAAACCAAGATATATTTTATTTATTGTTCTCATCACTGCCTGTTAGTCAGAATGGATATTTTAAATTTTACCAGGTCATGTAAATTTTACTACCTATATTTCTTATTCCTGTTTGTTTAGAAAAATAATCTAGTCTATACCTAAGCTAACAAATAATCCTAAACATTGAAAATACAAACATGAGTATGAAGAATTCACTTTCTAATAAGTTTCAGCTTTTTACAAATGGCTGCTTAAATATAATGCATAAATATGACGTATTTTTAAAAATACATCTTGTTTATGCATTACTTGAACCATAACTAATCCCCATTTCCAGTCAAAAAGAACACTGTCTACATATGTTAATCTCTAATACAACAAAAGCAGGCTTAGCTTAATGGGAAACTTATTAGAGTAAAATAGTTCTTTTTATTTTTTATTTTATTTTATTATTACAATAAGAAGATTATAATTTGGTAACTAGCAGGAGAAGAAAGACTTCCAAAGATTATTTTATGGGTCCATGTATTTGCTTTTCCTGAGGGTAACTAGTGCTAATTCTAGAAAGGCAGAATGCTGTAGGAAAAACAAAATAAGCCCTGGAGTACAAAAGATTTGGATTCAAACTTTGAAGAAGGATGGGGAAGTGTTTAGGAAAGTGCTTCCCTGTGTAAAACTTAGCTGGTAAGTACCATATTTCACTGAAATTGCTGTTATAATAATTGAAACAGATTATTATTGGAAAAACAACATCAGCAAAACTAAAACCTAGATGAGTTTAAATAAGTGCCAGCCATTTTTCTCCTGTGGGGATTTAGAGTTGAAGTGGGTATCTTCGATTACTTTTCTTTATCCTCATTCTTATTCTTATAATTTTTCCTAATAAGTCACCTAAGAAGGGCATTTAAATAAGTGCTAGCCTTTTTTCTCCTAGGGGGATTTAGAGTTGAAGTGGATGTCTTCAATTACTTTTGTTCTCTATTCTCGTTCTTATTCTTATAATTTTTCCTAATAAGTCACCTAAGAAGGGGATTCTAGAAACATCTCTTTCCAAGAATACATATTGTTTTAAGAAATATCAGTTACCCCAAATACTTGAATAGAAACTAGGAAAACAGGAGAGGGAGATTATAGGTGTAAACAAGGAATTACTGTGCAGTAATATGTGTAGTGGACGTGAAAAGTAATGACTTAACAGTTTGAATACACAAAGATGGACCAAACAAATACATTTATTTCTCCTTTATTCCAAATTGCCATTGAAATAGGAAAATATAGTACTTATTAAAATAACTATGGAAAGTTGAGAAGAATTCTACCAACAGACTAAAGAGTAAGCAATTTCTGAAGGACATAAGTCATATCAGAGGCACTTTAGTCTTTGGCCATAATAGAATTATTGGAGGGACTTGCCTTTTCACTATAAACAATGATAAAACTGGGCAACATATATGAGGAACCAGATTTTATGCATCAAACAAGAAGTACAAGTTTTTCATACTCAAGAGAGAAGAAAGCTGTGAGGTAAGTACCACATTTAACCAGAGAATGTGACTAGGGGCACTTTTTCTCCCATTAAACAAGGAGGCAGACTCTAAAAATAATGAGTTTAGAGGAAGAAATTAAAGCTTAAAGCTCTCATTTTGTAGGTTGTCTGCTTATTTGTTGATAATTTCTTTTGCTATGCAGAAGCTCTTAGTTTAATTAGGTTCCAAAAAGAGGTAGGGGTAGAGGGACAAGAGCCAAGGAACTTCCTGTTAGGTATTCAGTTCACTACCTGGGTGACAGGATCAGTGGAAGCCCAAACAGTAGCAGCAAGCAATATAACTTTGTAACAAACCTGCACATATACCCCCTGAATCTAAAATTACAATTAAATCTCTATCTATATCATCTCTCTCTCTCTCTATCTATCTATCTATCGATATTTGTAAATAGCTTACACTTGCTTAAGTGGTTGTTATTTAAGAGCTGCTGAAGTGGCTGAAATTTGTATAGGAAAGGAAAAAGAGGCATGGGGTAGGCCTACAGAAGCCAGAATAAGTATTTGGCACCAATTTCGTCAAAAGCTGCTCTATACCTGAGCAGGGTTAACATCTGCAAGACCTGCTGAAAGCAGATACTGTGGGAATAAGATATCAGTAGTAACAGGACAAGGAGATGTTTGGGTTACTGACTAGCCACAGGGAAGATATTTTACGGAATATTCCAGGCATTAAGAACAAGGACTATTTCTTTCAGTAAAGACTATGTCCTATCTTTAAGAACAAAAATGAAAGAGATTTTCATTAACAAATAATGAAACCAGGCATGGCAGATCAAAAGGATCTGGAAGCCACTTAACAGCTTTCAAAGGACTATCTTAGGGCCTTTTACAAGAAGACAACGTCTAGATTTTCTACAGTGTATTAGTCAAAAATACAAGTTACGCAAAGGAGCAGGAAAATTTAATAAATAATCAAGGGGAAAAAAGCAGTCAATAGAACATACATCATAATGACCCAGGCATTGAAATCAACAGATATATATTATGAATATGTCCTTAGACTATGGAGATATTGTCACAATGATAGAACGAAAAAGGTAATTTTGAGAAATGAACATTGTTGAAGTAACAAGTGCAAAATATACAATGAAAGAGTCACTGGCAGGGTATACTCTCAGATTTCAGCTCTCTGAAAAGCAGACAAATAACCTTGAAAACCATTTTTGAATTTATCTAATCTCAAACAAAAG
Source organism: Homo sapiens (assembly GCF_000001405.40). Lineage (NCBI taxonomy): Eukaryota > Metazoa > Chordata > Mammalia > Primates > Hominidae > Homo > Homo sapiens. Next base: position 70,847,471 of record NC_000005.10, on the reverse strand, counting down.
AGGAAAATGATTAAAATAAGAGATTGAATGACATGGGATATCAAGCCATCAAACCTATACACAAATGAAGTCTCAAAAGGATGAGTCAGAAAATGGGAAAGAAAAAATATATTTGAAGAAATAATTGCCAGTGTTTTCAAATTTTGATGAAAAATTTCAATGCAGAGATCCAAGAACATCGAATCAACAAGAACACATGTATGAAGGGTATAAAGCCAATAGCATAATTAAAATGAAATATTGAAAAATATCCATTTACTCTAAGGAAGGTAACACTGAACCGGTGAAGAAAGAAATATCAACAACCAAGGGAAGAGAACAACACCCAAATAAGAAAATAGTAGGCAAATAGTAACATGGTAGATTTAACAACACTGACATCACTGATTAAATGTAAATGGATTGAACATTTATATTAGTTTCCTAGGGTTATATAACAAAGTACCATAAACTAGGTGCCTCAAGCAACAAAAATGTATTATCTCAAGTCCTGAAGGCTAGAAGTCTGAATTCAAGGTACTGGTTCCTTCTAAAGGCTGTGAAGAAGAATCTGTTCTAGACATCTCTCCGTGGCTTTTAGATGGCTTTCTTCATGTTCATATGTTGTGCTTTCTGGTGGCATTTTTGTGTCCAAATTTCCCCCTTTCATAAGGCCACCAGTCACATTGGATTACAGGCCACTCTAATGATCCCATTTTGACTTGATTACATCTATAAAGATCCTATCTTTCAATAAGGTTGCATCCTTAATTACTGGGGTAAGGACTTCAACGTATGTTTTTTTTGGCAGACAATTCAACCCATAACACACTTAAATTAAGAGCTAGCAATTTTGAGACTGGATTTAAAAAGGACAAAACTATATGCTCTGTATAATGAATGCATTTTTTTTTTGAGATGGAGTCATAAAATTGGTTGAAAATGAAAGGAAGTAAAACTGATGTAGCTGGCTAATACCAGAGAAAGTAGGATTCAAAATAAGCTGAAATATCAGAGATGGAATGATAAAAGGTTAAGCTCATTAGCAATGCATTATAATTCTCAATGTTTATACAACTGATAACAGAGTGTCAAAATGCATGAAGTAAAAACAGACAGAACTAAACAGAGAAATAGACTTTCACTCATAGTTGAAGATTTTAATCATCGGCTCAAAATAAACAATAGATGAACATATAAAAATTAGTAAGGATTTGGAAGATTCTAATAATACTATCAACTAATGTAGTCTAATTTCAAGTTTTAGAACACTACACAAAAAATTTCATGGAAATATTTTTATCAAATTTACATGGAATGTTTACGAAGGACTGTGTAGTCTCGGTCATTAAATAAGTCTCAATAATTTGCAAAAGATTAAAAATTATCTTCAGAGGTGAAACAATGGTTTTTGCGTTGATTGAGATATTGATTAAATATGTACATTTGTGAAAACTTACTAAATTGAATGCTTAATTTCTGTGCATTTTGCTGTATCTCAATTCTAATAGAAAGACAGGCAAACATATAAATACCTATTACAGACATACCTACACACACACACGTGTGTGTGTATGTGCGTGTGTGTATGTGTGTGTATAAGTCATTTGCATATATACTGGCAGTGAATCCCAGTAAAGGTGAGGAATACATATTCTCACACTGGTAGAAATGATGACTTTTTACAGTCTGATTTTTTTTGTGTTTTAATCCAGAAATAATCCCAAAATTAGAGATACAAGGGAATGGTAATTGGTCCATAGAATAAGAACTGTCCAAGAAGTTTATAGCACATGACTCCCTGTCCCACGCTCAATTGAGGTTTGTTTTATGTCTTTGCTCTGGGAAGAAAGCCCCCAGTTTAGCTTTCTAAATGATGAGTTCAGAATCTACTCACAAGCATTAGAGATTAGTAAAGTTCCTTGTATTCAGTAGAGTTCCTTGCAACAAGCATGAGCAGTAGAGATGCTGCCACTTTCAAAAGACTTACATATGGACCACTGAAAAGAAAGGCATTATGTGGTCAATTTTAGAGCATGTGTCATGTGGAGATGAGAAGAATGTATATTCTGTTGTTTTTGGATGGAGAGTTCTGTAGATGTCTATCAGACTCATTCGGTGGAATGTTGGGTTCAGATCCTGAATATCATTGTTAATTTTCTACCTTGATGATCTGTCTATGACTATCAGTGGTGTGTTAAAGTCTCCTACTATTATTGTGTGGGAGCCTCTTTGTACTCTAAGAACTTACTTTATGAATCTGGGTGTTCCTGTGTTGGGTGCATATATATTTAGGTTAGTAAGGTCTTCTTGTTGAGTAAAACCCTTCATCATTATGTAATGCCCTTCGTCTTTTTTTTTTTTTTTTTTTTTGAGACGGAGCCTCACTCTGTCGCCAGGCTATAGTGCAGTGGCATAATCTCAGCTCACTGCAATCTCCGCCTCCCGGGTTCAAGTGATTCTCCTGCCTCAGCCTCCCGAGTAGCTGGGACTACAGGCACACACCACCAAGCCCAGCTTATTTTTTTTTTTTTTTTTTGGATTTTAGTAGAGATGGGGTTTCACAATGTTGGCCAGGATGGTCTCGATCTCCTGACCTTGTAATCCGCCCACCTTGGCCTCCCAAAGTGCTGGGATTACAGGTGTGAGCCACCACTCCCGGCCCCTTCTTTGTCTTTTTTGAACTTTGTTTGTTTGACGTCTGTTTGGTCTGAAATTAGGATGCAACCCCTGCTTTTTTCTGTTTTCTACATGCTTGGTAGATTTTCCTCCATTCCTTTATTTTGAGCCGATGGGTGTCATCACATGTGAGATAGGTCTCAAAGACAGCATACCATTGAGTCTTGCTTTTTTATTCAGCTTGCCCCCCTTTACCTTTTAAGTGGGGCATTTAGCCCACTTACATTCAAGGTTAGTATTTGATATGTGTAGATTTGATGCCCTCCCTCATGACTCCTATTCAACATAGGAAATCCCAGCCAGAGTAATCAGGCAAGAGAAAGAAATAAAGGGCATCCAAATAGGAAGAGAGGAAGTAAAATTATCCCTATTTGAAGCTGACATGATTCTATATCTAGAAAACCCCATAGTCTCAGCCGCAAAGCTCCTTCTGCTAATAAAAAAAACTTCAGCAAAGTTTTAGAAAGAAAATCAATGTACAAAAATCACTAGCATTTCTATAAACCAACAGTAACCAAGCTGGCAGTCAAATCAGGAAGGCAATCCCATTCACAATTTTCACAAAAAGAATAAAATATCTAGGGTAAAATACAACTAACCAGGGAGGTGAAAAATCTCTACAATGAGAATTACAAAACACTGCACAAAGAAATCAGAGAGGATACAAACAAAATGGAAAACATATCATGCTCATGGATAGGAAGAAGCAATATCATTAAAAGGCCATACTGCACAAAGCAATTTACAGATTAAATGCTATTTCTATCAAACTACCAATGACATTCTTCACAAAACTAGAAACAACTGTTTTAAAATTCATGTGGAACCAAAAAAGAGGCCAAATAGCCAAGGCAATCTTAAGAAAAAGAACAAAGCTGGAAGCATCAGGCTATCTGACCTCAAACTATACTACAGGGCTATGTTAACCAAAACAGCATGGTGCTGGCACAAAAACAGGGACATAAACCAATAGAACAGAATAGAGAACCCAGAAATAAAGCCACACAGCTATGATTATCTGATCATCAATAAAACTGACAAAAACGAGCAATGGGGAAAAGACTGTCTTTTCAATAAATGGTACTGGGATAACTAACTAGCCATATGCAAAAGATTGAAACTGGACCCCTTCCATACACAATATACAAAAATCAACTCAAGATGGATTAAACACTTAAATGCAAAACACAAAATTAGAAAAACCCTGGAAGACAACCTAGGCAATACCATCCTGGACTTAGAACAGGCAAGGATTTCATGACTAAGATGTCAAAAGCAATTGCAACAAAAGCAAAAATTCATAAATGGGAACTTCATTAGTCCATTTTCACACTGCTATAAAGAACCACCAGAGACTGAGTAATTTATAAAGAAAAAGGTTTAATTGACTTGAAGTTCAGCATGGCTGGGAAGGCCTCAGGAAACTTACAATTATAGGAGAAGGTGAAAGGGATGCAATGCACCTTTTTCACAAGGCGGCAGGAAGGAGAAGTACCAGGCAAAGCTGGGAAGAGCCCCTCATAAAACCATTAGATCTCGTGAGAACTCATTCACTATCACAAGAACAGCATGGGTGAAACCACCCCCAGATTCAATTACCTCCACCTGGTCTCTCCATGTGGTGATTATGGAGATTATAATTCAAGATGAGATTTGGGTGGGGATACAAAGCCTAAACATATCAGGATCTCATTAAACTTATTAAGAGCTTCTGCATAGCAAAAGAAACTATTAACAAAATAAACAGACAACCTACAGAATGGGAGAAACTATTTGCAAACTATGCGTCTGACAAATGTCTAAAATCCAGCACCTATAAGGAATTTAAACAAATTTACAAGAGAAAAACAACCCCACTAAAATGTGGGCAAAGTACATGAACAGACACTTTTCAAAAGAAGATGTACATGTAGCCAACAAGCATGTGAAAAAAAAAAAAAACTCAATATCACTGATCATTAGAGAAATGCAAATTAAAACCACAATGAAATATAATTTCATACCAGTTAAAATGGCTACTATTAAAATGTCAAAAAATAACAGATGCTGGCAGGTTGTGGAGAAAAGGAAACACACACTGTTAGTGGGAGTGTAAGTTAGTTCAACTATTGTGGAAAGCAGCATGGCAATTCCTCAAAGAGATAAAAGCAGAACTACCATTCCAACCAGCAATCGCATTACTGCATATATACCCAGAAGAAAATATATCATTCTACCATAAAGACACATGCACACAAATGTTCATTGCAGCAATATGCACAATGGCAAAGACATAGAATCAACCTCAATGCTCATCAATAAGAGTTTAGATAAAGAAAATGTGGTATATAGACACCATGGAGCTATAAAAAAGAATGAGATCACGTTCTTTGCAGTAACATGGATGGAGCTGGAGGCTATTATACTGGGCAAATTAACACAGGAACAAAAAACCAAATACTAGAAAATACTGCATGTTCTCACTTACAAGTGGGGAACTAAATTATGAGAACACATGGACACAAAGAAGGGAACAGCAGACACTGGAGTCTACTTGAGAGTGGAGGGTGACAGGAGACAGAGGAGCAGGAAAAATAATTGTTGAGTACTTGGTACCTAGGTGACAAAATGATCTGTACAACAAACCCTGATGACACGAGTTTACCTATATAACAAACTTTCACAGGTACTCCCAAACCTAAAATAAAAGTTAAAAAAAAAAGAAGAAAGCAAGCCCAAACCCATGCTGTACCACATGGCAGCATGGCATTGCAATTTTCAATTACTTGGGGGAAATAAAGATTCTCATGTGATTAGAGGAAATAATCTTTATTTAATAACAATGCTTAATAAGAACACTTGACAATAGATGGCTGAGAAAACCAAGAATCACCAAATATTTAAATAAAAATAAAAAATAAAGAATATCCTATCTATGAAATGATATAAACACTAAGAAAATAGAATTAACAGAAGAAACTAAAGAAAATGTCAATAGCCTTGGTGTCCATACAGGAATAGGAATCACAAAAATAACCATAAAATATCTTTAAAAATACCTTTTACAAGCAATACTCCAGAATGTCAGAAATTAAAAATATCATTAGCAAAATAAAATGTAGTAAACAGAATAAATAATATAAAAGATAAAACTGATGTCTAAAGATTACCCCAGAATCTGAACTGCATGAGGGGGAATAATAATTACATTACTGGATATGAGAACAACTATTTAATAGACACATCTACTTGGACGACAATGCTTTTTTTTAAATGTCAAATTTCCAGTTTATTAATTTTAATACATTTCTGATCAAAATTACTCATTTCTTTTTGTGCCCTTATTTTTTGCATTAATTTTCATTTTTTACATCTCCATGCTGAATTGAAAAAAACTTCTACTGACCTGTATTTCAGTATATTAATTATTCCTTCAATGGTATCTAATCTGGTGGTAAATTATCTATTATATTTAATTTAAGTAATCACATTTGTATTTTAAATGTTTTGCTTATTTCATCCACAATATAATACTAACACAGTTTTTTCTCTACAATTAGTTTAAGCTTTTAACTAAATTTTTAAAGAGTAAAATATTTATTATCTTTCTCTGATATTGTCCAATGTTTGAAGTCTTTGTGGGTCTAATTATGTTTCATGTTGTTTTTGTTGATTTTAACTTATTTTGCCTTGTTTCACTGTGTTCTTGAGAATATTGTAAGATTTAGCTTCAGGGTATTTTTATAAAGCATTCAGATTTGCTTCTCCCTAACACCTGGGCATACGAGTAGGACCACCTTAAAAAAATGTTCAATTTTTGAGATTACCTGAGTCACGCAGTCACACAAACCCAAGTAGTGGATCCAAGCTACCACTGCTTTAGGTCTGTCTGGTTCACCTTATGCTGAGGGTATAAGATTTGGTCATCTCAATCTTTTAAGGGAGGGCTCCTTAAGAAGACTTAACATATGCTAGTCTTCGGTTTTGGTTTCTTTCTCATTCACCCTGAAACTGTCAAAATAAATATTAATATTTGTAGAGATCGGCAAATTGCAACTGGTAAGGTTATATCCTTACCTCTCTGGGTTCTTCTTTTCTCTTCAAATTTGGTTTGATCACTTATTAAAATTTTATAAGCTCTCAATGCTTTTTAAAAGGTGTTTTAAATGTGCAATCACTAGCATTTTTTAAAGTTTTTTCATTGGGAATTATAGTCTGAATAATATCCCACCATAACTAGAAAATGAAATACCTACCTATTACAAATGCAATACATTTTATATATTGAGTAATTTGCCTTTTTCTAATTAATTTTATTTTAAAACTCATATTAAAATCTATATTTTATAAGAAAAAAAAAAGCTTGACATTTGATTAAGACCAACTTAGCTTCACAAATCTCTACCCGAATGACCACAGGCAAGTGATCTGACATTTGCAAGTGCCTATTTTTTTTTTTTTCATTTATAAAATGGAAATACATAACTGAGCTTAATGTGGATCAAAGAAATTAATATGTAAAAAAAATCAAACACAGAACCTGAAAATGATAGGAAGTCAATTATTCAGCCTACCTATCCACTACTAAAATAATTCTTGGTTATGAACTTCACAAGGGAACACACTGTATTACTACTCTACTCAATAACATGAATTTCATTGTGTATCTTCTGGGGCAAGTGCTTCTTCCAAACAAATTAAACCATGCCACTCACACAATGTTCATCTATCTCATAAGTTTTTGCTATTCTCCTGTTGATTTTACATTTAATGAGGGATAAATTCTATTTTCACAATCATAATCAAATAGTACCTAGAGAATAAAAGCTACTAAGACAAGACAACCCTCAATTCAATTAATAACTAATCCCTCTCTTTTTCAGAGGTACATCAGTTGTTCCTCCAGGATTAAAACCCCTCCTGTTTTACAATAAAAAAGCAGACAGATGACAGGATCTCATTAAACATCTATTGTGCACCCACACAAAAAAAATTAAGTAGGCAGATGCTCTGATTATTTAAAGCAACACACAGAGTTTTAGGATGAAGTTTTATTTCTGAATTTTAACTTATGCACAACTTGTAAAATGTTACTTCATTTATAAATAAAGCAGCACTAACTTGGTAACTTGGAATCACTGTATTTTTCTTCATAAAGAATAAAGTCAGGATAACAGTTAGCTCTCTTTGTTTCTGAATAATGATTCAACATTAATTTAGATATTAGAAGCTCTCACATGCAAGTGTGTGTGCATGCACTCACACACACTACTCTGAAGAGGTAGAATATGAGGAAATAAGATACACATACACAGAGAAGGAATATGTAACATTTAATTTTAACCTCAATGACAGGAGGAGGAGCACCAATAATCTAAAAAAAAAAAGAAATCCCAAAAGTTTTGGATTAGCTGCCTCTCTAGCTAAGTATATATTTTATTGCTAATCAATATGGCATGACCAAAATTATAGCAATGAAAATAGTCATAATTATCATCAAGTAATGAAAATAATATTTATGTGCTCAACAGTATTACTTATATATTCTGATTAAATCATGTGCTATTGAAAGCAGGATGAAGTAGAGCTTATTTTATATCTTAGAATTCTTTTCCATCAATGTCAGTTTAGGAAATGAAAGTTATTAGAATTTCAATGTAATTAATTCATTTGCAATTGGTGTCTATTTGGTTATGTATTTTTTCATAGATATAGTCTGAGAGACATTATCTGGTAACTTTTATCATGTCTCTGAGAAACCAATTTTCTGTAAGGCCTAATTTTTTTTCTTAAATAAATATGTATCTGCTCATGCATATACCAACTTCATGGATTCCAAACAATAAAAAAGTTAATTGTAAGGATTGGACAGAATCTACATTTTAAATGCTATTTAAAACATTATCACACTGTAGTGGAGGAATCATAAACTGCAGAAGTTTTTCAACCATGCCACCACAAACTACATCTCTACAAAATGTTTTGTACTTTTACTTTAAAGAACTAAAATTGGAAACAAAGAGTGGAGAATTATTTCTTCCCTTTCTCTTCCCTTCATCCTCATTCTAGCACCAGTCATACCTGACCATGATTTTTAAAGAGTATAAATTACTCCTCTTCTCAGAGGTAGAAATACACAGAAAAATACACAAAAACCAAATTCTGTCAAAATATATTTAAAGAGGTTTATTCAGAGCCAGTATAAGTGACCAAGGCCTGGGTTACACTATCTCAAGAGGTTCTGAAAGCGTGCCCAAGGCAACCGGGTTACACTTTGGTTTTATACATTCCAAGGAGACAACCAACTGCAGGTAATTGCAGGTAGGTCAGGGTAGGAGCTTGTACGTCATAAGGGGCTTTTAGGGATCCTTTAGTTGACAATTGGTTGAGAGAGTTATGCTATCGTCTAAAGTCTTGAAATCGATAGAAAGGAATGCCTGAGTTCAGATAAGAGTGGGGGAAAGACCAAGGATCTTATTAAGTAGATGAAGCCTCATAGGTGGCCCTCAGAGAGAATAGATGGTAAATGTTTCTTTTCAGACCTTTAAAGGTATCAGACTCTCAATCACTCCTAGGTCCTGGAAAGGCATAGAAAGGGGAAGCATGGCTGCATTAATGAAGATTCTCCATAGATGCAAATTTCCTCTACCTCAGTTTGCTGGCCTTGCAACAGCCATTTCAAAAGACATCAAAGAAATATATTTTAGGGCAAAATATTTTTATATCCTTCAGGGTCTGCTGTCTGTTATGTGATGCTGTACCAGAGTCAGGTTGGAAAGCAAGCCACATTATATAGGGTTAATAAAAAACCCATGTAAAGAGATGTTATCATTCGTAGGGCTGACTCCCAGTTTCTTTAAATAGGAATTTGGGCAAGATGAAAAAAAAAAATCAGAATTTAGTCCTCAACTCAAATATTTTATTCATTCAAACGCTTATTCAAACTACCGAATCCTCCAATAACAGAAAGTATAGTGTCCATCCTGAAGACTTTCATCCCATCTCACAGCATGTTTTCTCCTAGTACACCCTGATTGTCCAAGGACTTCTGAGAACACCATTCCAGAAGAGGTCATGATCTCAACAACTGTCACAGAAAGAAAGAATACAGGAAGACAAGATGCGAAAGTTATGTCAGTGGCTTTCATTCATCACACCACTACGTACTGGTTCTCTAGTACTGTGCTGTTATGATCCTCCTGACTTTTACCCTGTGAATATCCTAGTGCTTTTATATCAGTCTCACATCCTCAACACGCTGGTTTCCATAAAAACGCAACCAAGTCAGATGGCTGTGATCTGGTGGGATTCTAGTTCCATTTGCAGCCTCCAAAGCAGTCTTTTACCTAAGAACACTCAGGCCTCCAAGGTTAAGATAACAGTATACTCCAATGCAAAATTCTCTACCTCCCTACTTCAGGTCCCAGGGACTCTCAACTGCCAGTCACTCTTTGAACAATAAGAACAGACACTTAAATGATGATAACTAATGGCAGCAGCACTAATGTAAGAACGCTGGAACTATTAGTACTCTCATCTTCCAGATGAGAGAACTCAATAACATGATTTACATAAACTGCCTGAAGATACAGTAGAATAATAATAATGAAATCCAGGCATTGTGGACCTGAATGCTGCTACCTAGCTACTCCTCTTTGTGGCTTCTCCATTGTCTTTTCCTGCCAGTTCAGTTCTAACAGGAATAAACAGACGCTATTCAAAAGCTTTTCAAGTCTGAATGAAGATGTACCTAGGGTTGGTGTTGATGAACTTTCCCTCACTCTTCCTTAAGGAAATTTGTTCTTTCCTGCCATTTGAGAGACATGTTCTTCCTCTTCTTCTTCAAAGAGCTAAAATGCACCTTTATTTGCATAATGAAGATAGTGCAGTGAAGTACTTTCTTGCATTGTCAAGGAAATGAGCTCCAAAGGAACTTCCTTTTAGCATAGAGAAAGCTGCTGTTTTTATTTACTTGCATTTTGCATATGAATATATTTTAATTTAGTTTCAACAGGTAACTGAATTAGAAAGTGAAATTATAAAGTCATTTCTCCAAGAAAGAAGGTAGAGCTTATAAATATTAGTAATCTTAGCTGGGCACGATGACTTACGCCTGTAATCCCAGCACTTTGGGAGGCTGATGCGGGCCAATCACCTGAGGTCAGGAGTTTGTGACCAGCCTGGCCAATATGGTGAAACCCTGTCTCTACTAAAAGTACAAAAATTAGTCTCTACTAAAAATACAAAAATTAGCCATATGTGGTGGCACGTGCCTGTAATCCCAATTACTTGGGAGGGTGAGGCAGAAATTGCAGTGAGCTGAGACTGCACCACTGCACTCCAGCTTGGTGAACAGAGTGAGACTCCGCCTAAAAATAAATAAATAAATAAATAAATATTAATAATCTTTTAAATGGCTATTTCTAGGTCTAATGATACTTGCTTAATCGTATTGAAAACAATGTTATTTCTTTGAATGGCAATGGAATGTAAAATATTTAAAAACGCAATTTGACTTTTTTTACTTTTTAAAATTTATGTAGCTGGGCCGGGCACCCTGGCTCATGCCTGTAATCCCAGCACTTTGGGAGGCTGAGACTGGAGGATCACAAGGTCAGGAGATCGAGACCATCCTAGCTAACACGGTGAAACCCCGTCTCTACTAAAAACACAAAAAAATTAGCTGGGCGTGGTGGTGGGCACCTGTAGTACCAGCTACTCGGGAGGCTGAGGCAGGAGAATGGCATGAACCTGGGAGGTGGAGCTTGCAGTGAGTTTGAGATTGCTCCACTGCACTCCAGCCTGGGTGACAGAGCGACACTCTGTCTTAAAATAATAATAATAATAATAATAATAATAATAATAAATAAAATAAAATTTATGTAGCTGATATATTACTATAACCTCACTTGCATTTTTAAATTATTTTACTGGTTCTCTCTTTTTACTTTTATCTTACCTATGCTGTATTTGAAGTTAGTTTTATATAGACAGAATTTTAAAAATTATTTATTTATGGGGTACAAATGCAATTTGGACAATATTGTTGGCCATGGTTTTTCGTTTTTGATTTTTGTTTTTTTAACTACTCTGCCAATCTATGTTTTTTAGTTGGTTTCTATAGGCCTTTTATGTTTAACAATTTGTATGTTGTGGTTGATGTCTACCACTTTGTTATTTGTTTCTGTTTGTTTCTGTTTCTTATTCCTCTGTGTCTTTTTCTTGCTTTCCAATGGGTTACATAAACATGTTAAGTTTCCATCTTAATTTATTTATAGTGTTTTAAATACAATGTTGCATCACTTAATGACAAAAATTACATTCTGAGAAATGCATTAGGCAATTTCTTCACTGTGTAACATCATATAGTGTATTCTATGTGTAAATAGAGATAGCATAACCTACTACTCACCCTAGGTTATGTGGTACAGCCTATTGATCCTAGGCTACAAACCTATACAGCATGTTACTGTGCTGAATACTGTAGGCATCTGCAACACAACGGTAAATATTTGTGTATCTAAACATAAAAAAAGGTACAGTAAAAAATCCAGTCAAAACATCAAAAATGGTATACCTGATTAGGGCACTTACTATAAATGAAGTTTGCAGGGCTAGGAGTTGCTCTGGGAGAGTTAGTGAGTAAGTGGTGAGTGAGCGTAAATGCCTAGGGCATCATTGTACAAAACTGTAGACTTTATAAACACTGAATTTATAAAATTTATAAAGAAACTTATTTCTTTCAAAATACATTAAACTTATCCTACAGTAACTTTTTTACTTTATAAACTTTTTAACTTATTTTTAACTTTTTGACTCTTTTGTAACAACACTTAGCTTAAAACACATATTGTACACAGAAATACTTTATTTCCTTATATCCTTATTCTCTAAGATTTTTTTGTAATTTTACATCTTTTAATTTTTAATTTTTTTGTTGTTGTTGTTAAAAACAAAGACACAAATGCACATACTAGCGTAGGCCTACACAGGGTCAGTATGATCAACATCACTGTTTTCTACCTCCAGATCTTGTCCCACTGGAAGCTCCTCTAGGCCAATAATGCATATGGATCTGTCGACATCTATGATAACAATGCCCTCTGAAATGCCTCGTGAAGGACCACTGTGAGGCTGTTTTACAGTTGCCTATTACTTTTTTTTTTTTTTTTTTTTGAGACAGAGTCTCGCTCTGTCGCCCAGGCTGGAGTGCAGTGGCGTGATCTCGGCTCACTGCAAGCTCCGCCTCCTGGGTTCACGCCATTCTCCTGCCTCAGCCTCCCGAATAGCTGGGAATATAGGCGCCCCCAACCAGGCCTGGCTAATTTTTTGTATTTTTAGTAGAGATGGGGTTTCACCATGTTAGCCAGGATGGTCTCCATCTCCTGACCTCGTGATCTGCCCACCTCGGGCCTATTTCTTTTAATAAGTAGAAGGTGTACACTACAATAACAATAAAAAATATGGTGTAGTAAATACACAAAAATGTAATATATTTGTTTATTATTATTACTAAGTAAAATGTACTTGTATTAGTCCATTCTCACACTACTATAAAGACACTACCCGAGATTGGGTAATTCATAAAGGAAAGAGGTTTAATTGAGTCACAGTTCTGCATGGCTGAGGAGGCCTCATGGAACTTACAATCATGGTGAAATGGGAAGCAGTCATCTTCTTCACAAGACAACAGGAGAGAGAAGGATTGTGTGTAGGAGGAGCTGTGAAACACTTAACAAAACCATCAGATCTCCTGAGAACTCACTCACTATCGTAAGAACAGTATGGCAGAAACCGCCCACATGATCCAATCACCTTCCACCAGATCCTGCCCTCAACACATGGGTATTATGAAGATTACAATTCAAGATGAGATTTGGGTGGGGATATAGAGCCAAAATATATCATTCCACCCCTGGCCCCTCCCAGATCTCACATATTTTTTACATTTCCAACCCAACATCATGCCTTCCTAACAGTCCCCCAGAGTCTTAAATCATTTCAGCAGTAACTCAACAGCCCACAGTTCAAAGTCTCATCTGAGACAAGGCAAGACGTTTTGGCCTATAAGCCTGTAAAATCAAAAGCAAGTTAGTTACTTCCTAGATACCATGAGGGTACAAGAATTGGATAAATGCTCCCATTCCAAATGGGAGAAATTAGTCAAAACAAAGGGGATGCAGGCCCCATGAAAGTCTGAAACCCAGCAGGGCAGTCATTAAAACTTAAAGCTTTAAAATAATCTCCTTGTCTCCATGTTTCACATCCAGGGCATGTTAATGCAAGAGGTGGGCTCCCATGGCCTTGGGCAGTTCCTTCACAGGCTGGCATTGAGTGTCTGTGGCTTTTCCAGGTGCACAGTACAAGCTGTTGGTGGATCTTCCATTCAGGGGTCTGGAGAACAGTGGCCCTCTTCTCATAGCTTCACTAGGCAGTGCCCCAGTGGGGAATCTGTGTGGGAGCTCCAACCCCACATTTTCCTTCTGCACTACCCTAGCAGAGGTTCTCCATGATGGCTCCACCCCTGCAACCAATCTCGGCCTGGACATCCTGGCATTTCCATACAACCTATGAAATCTAGGCAGAGGTTTCCACACCTGAATTCTTGACTTCTGTGTACCCTCAGGCCCAACACCATATGGAATCCTCCAAGGCTTGGGGCTTGCACCCTCTGAATCAACAGATGAGCTGTACATTGGCTCCTTTTAGCCACGGCTGGAGCTGGAGTAGCAGCAGCTGGGACACAGGGCACCAAGTCCTGAGGTTGCCCAGAGTAACGGGGCCCTAGGCCCAGCCCATGAAACCATTTTTCCCTCAGAGGCTGCTGGGTCTGTGATGAGAAGGGCTGCCATGGAAGTCTCTGATACGCCCAAGAAAAATTTTGCCATTGTTTTGGCTACTGTAATAACATTTGGCTTCTTGTTATTTAGGCAAATTTCTGTAGCCAGCTTGAATTCCTCCCCTGAAAAATGGGTTTTTCTTTTCTACTGCATGGTCCGGCTGCAAATTTTCCAAACTTTTATGCCCTGCTTCCATTTTAAACATAAGTTCCAATTTGAGATAATGTTTCTCAAATTAAAAGTTCCACAGATCTCTAGGACAGGGGCAAAATGCTTCCAGTCTCTTTGCTAAGGCAGAGTAACAGTGATCTTTGGGCTCTAGTTCCTAATGAGTTCTTGTCCATCCAAGACCACCTCAGCTTGGACTTCACTGTCTATATCACTATCAGCATTTTGGTCAAAACCATTCCACAGGTCCCTAGGAAGTTTCAAACTTTCTCATAACTTCCTGTCTTCTTCTGAGCCCTCCAAACACTTCCAACCTCTGCCCGATACCCAGTTCTAAAGTCACTTCCTCATTTTCAGTATCTTTATAGCAGTGCCCCACTCCCAGTACCAATTTACTCTATTAGTCTGTTCTCACACTGCTATAAAGATACTACCCAAGACAGGGTAATTTATAAAGGAAAGAGGGTTAATTGACTCATAGTTCTGCATGGCTGGAGAGGCCTCAGAAAACTTACAATCATGGTGGAATAAAAGCAGTTGGCTTCTTCAAAAGGCAACAGGAGAGAATGAGTGTGTCTAGGAGAAATTTTCAAACACTTTTAAAACCATCGGATCTCATGAAAACTTACTCACTATCATGAGAACAGCATGAGGGAAACTGCCTCCAGGATCCAATCACTTCCCACCGGGTCTTGCCCTTGACACGGGAGGATCATGAGGATTACAATTCAAGATGAGATTTGGGTGGGGACACAGCCAAACAATATCAGTACTAGACAGAATTTTATGTGCTACACTTTTATATAACTGGCAATGAAGTAGGTTTGTTTACACCATCATTGCCACAAACAGGTGAGAAATATGTTAGACTATGATGTTAAGACAGCTCAGCTGCAATGTCACTAGGTAATATTCATCTCCATTATAATCTTATGGGACCACCATGATATATGCAGTCTACTGCTGAGCAAAACATCGTTATGCAGTGCATGATTGTACATGATTTTGTTTGGTTTTATTAATTGCACTGGTTAAAATAATATATGTGTAATGTCAAGATCTACTGTTAATGATGTTTTACCTCTTTGAGTGAAGTGTAGAAAACTTGTTTCCATATGAGTCTCTTTACTATCACTACTTTTTAGATATAATTATCTTAAATACTTCCTCTATGTTCCTTGAGCATCTAACCAGATAGGTCATTAATTTTTGCTTCAACTATTAGAAATGGCTTAAAAACTCAAGAGAAGTTTGATTATACATTATATTTATGCTTAATTTTACCCATTTAGATGGATGTTTGTAAAAGCTGCAAACCTTCTTCTTTTATCATTTCTTTTCTGTTTAGAGAACTTATTCTTTAAAGGTAAGTTTGTTAGCAACACATTACCTTAGCATTCTTTCATTAGACAATGTTTTCTATGTCACTTTAGTGCCTGAAGAATATTATTGCTGGGTATTGAATTTACAGTTCACAGTTCTGTTCTTTCAGTACTTCAAAAATATTATCTGTTTCCTTCCAACCTTCATGGTTTCAGATGGAAAATCTGCTGTGGTTTACATTATTGTTTTTCTGTAAGAAATGTGCCATTTTTCTCTGTTTGCTTTCAAGATTTTTAATTTTTTTTTTTCATTTCCAGAAATTGAATGTATTTGGGTGTATTCTATTTAGGGTTTGCTCTGTTTCTTGAATATTTAGGTTTATGTCTTCCATCTAATTTGGGAAGGTTGAAGTCATTATTTTTTAATAGTTTTTTAGTCCCACATTCTATCTCCTCGTCTTCTATATCTCCTGTGATTATGAATGTTAGCTCTTTTATTATTGTTCTAAAGTTTCCTGAAATGCTGTTAAATTTTTTTTTATCGGTTTTCTTCTTCTTGTTCAGACAGTAAATTCTGTTGGCATGTTTTCAGATTCACTGATTCCATCTTCTGCTCTGTGCTCTCTTCTTTTGTGACCATCCTCTGCATCTATTATTTCCATTATTGTATTTTAATTTTATTTAGTTCATGTTTACTTTTTATAACTTATAAGTCATTATTGAATTTATTTTTAATTTTAACTTTTATTTGTTCCAAGAGAATACAATATATAATTGCTTATTTAAACACTTTTATGATGGTTTCTTCAAAATCCTTGTTAGATAATTCCAACCTCTTTTTTTTTTTTTTTTTTTTTTTTTTTTTTTGTCTGAAACAGTCTCACTCTGTTACCCAGGCTGGAGTGCAGCGGTATGATCTTGGCTCACTGCAACCTCCATCTCCCAGGTTCAAGTGATTCTCCTGCCTCAGCCTCCCAAGTAGCTGGGATTACAGGCATGTGCCAATGCACCCAGCTAACTTTTTATATTTTTAGTAGAGGCGGGGTTTCACCATGTTGGACAGGCTGGTCTTGAACTCCTGACCTCAAGTGATCCACCCATCTTGGCCTCCCACAGTGCTGGGATTACAGGTGTGAGCCACTGCGCCCAGCCCCAACCCCTTTTTTATGTCTGTGTTGGTGTCTGTTGTCTTTCTCTCATTCAGGTTATGATTTCCTAGTTCTTTTGTCTTATAAGTGATTTTTATTGTGTCCTGAATTTTTTTTTATATTACGAGAATTTTTCTCTCTTATTATTTCGTAGATGGTTCCCTATTGATGTGTAACCTGAGAGCTGGGTGGGTGTGCGTGTTTATCTTCCTGATGGGACCTACTAATACCATCCTACCAAAAGTAGAGTACTAACTTATACTTCCTTCTTGCAGACTGGTTAGGTGGAAGTTTGTCTTCTCCCTCCACCCACTGGCAACCTCATGGCAAAAGTAGGGTACTGAGTTACATATCTTTGTTTCCTCCAAGTGAAAAAATAACCTCACTTCCCTGATGTGGTCCACTGACACCAGGGAGGGGGTGAGTAGGGGCCAACTCATACCACTTGGTTGCTTCCAAGGAGTAGGAGTGGGGAGAAGCTGTGTAAGAACAGAACTGATCATTAAAGACCCTATTATAAATTCTTGCTTTTATAGTACTTATTCTCGTGGCTTAAATATTCCACACCAATTAATCACCACGGAATATATGAGACATTATATTAATTATTAAATTTTACATGGCAACACTAACAATATTAACTCCCATTTTCTATCTCTTTAATTGAGGTCATTCTTTAGAAGTTTAAGTACAATCCATTCTTCTGTCCTACACGACTGAGTGAAAGAGCATGTAGCAGCAACATATAGTACCAGTATGTAATCCTAATGCAATGGCACACCCCAGATGACCCTTTTGTGTATTGGGATTGACCATGGTTTTTCAGTTTAATCAAAGTTTAATTGATTAAACTCGGGGTTCACATTTTCTTTCTACACACCAATATTGAAGAGAAGTACTACAAAATACATAGGAGCACTAAACTGGTAGTAATAAGAAAAACATAAAATATTTAAGATAATGTGTTGCTTTTATTTCTAATATTAGCTACTGATACAATCAAAGCACTGCGGCTCAGTTTTCTCTTTTGTAAGAGGACAAGTTTGTATTAGTTAATCTTTAAATGTCTCTACAATCTGATTCTGAGATTGTGAATAAATAGATCTAAATACTGTTACAGGTATATAAATACAGATATAAATGCAGGTATGGGTAAAATTATGGCTATGGGTCCCAGCCTTAAATTCTTATTTTTTTATAACTAATTGATGTTCAGGGATAGATTTATGTGATCTGCTCATTTGCAGGGGCCCATCACTTGGCTAATTCTTTGGTGTCATTCGTGTCAAGTTTTAAATAATTTTTGAGTAAGATGTCCTATATGTTAATTTTGCACTGAACACTGCAAATTTTGTAGCTGTTCCTGTTAATTTGTTAATGAAATTTCTGTTTAGAAACTATTAAATTAATAAGACAATAATTAAGCAAATAATTATTAAATTTTACATGGTAACACTAGCAATATTAACTCCCATTTTCTATCACTTTAATTCAGGCCATCCTTTAGAGGTTTAAGTATAATCCATTCTTATGTCCTACACAACTGAGTGTGTAGTACCAGTACGTAATCCTAATGTAATGGCACACCCCAGATGACCTTTTTGTGTGTTGGCATGGTTTTTCAGTTTAAGCAAAAGTTTAATTGATTGAAACTTGAAGTTCACATTTTTTTTTCTACACACCAATATTGAAGAGAAGTCCTACAAAATACTTATTCTATGGAAAAAAACAAAGTCCACTTTAGATCTAAAATGGTTGCATAAAATTTTGAGAATAACTTAAATGTTATATGAATGTAAGTAAAAATTTTACTGTAAACTTTGTAATTGCTAACTATAAACAGAAAACAAGTATATCTTATATAAAGAAATGTGTAGACTCTCTGTATTAATCCATTTTCACATTGCTATAAAGAATACCCGCGACAGGGTAATTTACAAAGGAAAGAGGCTTAATTGACTCACAGTTCTGCACGGCTGGGGAGGCCTCAGGGAACTTACAATCATGGTGGAAGGGGAAGCAGGCACGTCTTACATGGCAGCAGGGGAGAGAGAGCATGTGAAGGAGGCACTGTCAAACACTTGTAAAACCATCAGATCTCATGAGAACTCATTCACTATCATGAGAACATCTAGGGGAAACTGTGCCCATGATCCAATCACCTCCCACCAGGCCCCTCAACACATGGGCATTATGGGAATTACGATTCAAGATGAGATTTGGGTGACAGCACAGAGCCAAACCATATCACTCTCTGTGCCTTGTATTTCTCATACTAGTCAATGCCAACTCATTAAAAGTTATCTGGAGATATAACATTTTTGGGGGATTATATATTGCCACTACTGTTATATTTTTGTCAGGATAATGTAGCAATTCCCAAATAAATCATACTTAAACCTCCACAGAAAAGATAAATAGAAATGAGAATTCCATTGCCAGCATTGCTTTGAAAAACGTTTCAGAACTTTGAATATATATACTCATAAACACACACACATACACAGATATATATTTCTGCATGTGTATATACATATATGGATACATATGTTCTTAAACTTTCTTTTAACAGAAAAATTAAAATAGAAGGAAAATAACAGAGCACTAGTTATATAACTAGTATTATATAAATAATGTTATGTAACTAGTTATATAATTAAAAATATAAGAACCTAGGTGAGAATGAGAAAGTCTAGATTTAGATTTACTACTTTTCCTAATACACACCCACACACATATATGTGTGTGTGTGTGTGTGTGTGTGTGTGTGTGTGTGTGTATACTGTATTTGTCTCATAGTGGCTGGAGCACATTACTACCAACTTAGTGGATTAAAACACCACAAATCTACTATCTTACAGTTCTGCAAGTAAAGACTAAAATAGAGTCACATAGGTGAAAATCAAGAGCTTCTACTCTCTTGAGGCTGCTTGGATTCTTGGCTATAACCCCTTTCTCCATCTTGAAATTCTGTCACTCCAACCTCTGCTTTCATAACACATCTCCCATCTCCTTCCTAACTCGAAGGCATCTTCTCAGTCTTACAAGAACTCCACTTGGGTTCACATTTGGAACACCCAAATAACCCATCTTAATATTCTCATCTCTAGATCCTTAAATAATTGCTTCTACAATGTCCTTTTTGTCATGGAAGGTGACATTTTCACAGGTTCCAGAAATTAGGACGTCGACATTTTAGTAAGCCATTATTCTGTCTACCACAGTGGCCTTGAATAGAAATCCTTCAGTTTTCATATACAGAAACAAAACATTCTTCCAAATGAGGAAGCTAGATTGGGAAAAAAAAAAGTCAGCCACACAGGTCTCCCCATTAAAACTTAAAGATGGTTACATATTTTATTCTGAGTTAAAATGGAGAGTCTTCCTATATAACTCTCTTTCCACTGTATGATTTATCACTTAATAGCTCTCCCTTTCCGTTGTATGATTTGTCACTTAATATCTCTCTCTTACTTGAAGTCAGAGAACAGCAAACAGTTTGCAAAATATATAAATAGTCTATAAGTTGTGGTCCAAATAGTTCTTAGAATTCAGCTACATCTAAGTACACAATTACTTATTTAAGCTTGATTCAGTGAAACAGATTTTCAGTTGAGTTTCTTAATGGGAATGACCAGTCACATTTTTCAAATTTGGCTTTATGCATAAATTGACAAATTATTTATAATTTGAAACATCTGGGCTCATTTTTTAAAAACAACTCATAAAATAAGAAATCATTTTATTGGTTCAAGCACGCATGCTATTAAATGACTCATCTTAATTTTTATCTTTTCATAAATGTTGGAAAATCTCAAGAAACCGTTATGTTGTCCTAAAAATGGGCAAGCAAGGTTAATTTGTTTTTGATGTTTAGATAGTTAGGTTATTTCTCATTTTTCTTTTAGGGATTACGTTGCTATCCTAAAGCTTGACATTGGTTAGAGTCAGCCAATGTCAAATTTTTACCTATAGATAGTCTTAGAAAGATATTGCAAATTAGTGCTGCTTCTAGTAGCTAAAATAACCTGCAGCTAGCTGGCAGGCAGCAGTGAATATTTTAAAAGGTGTACCAAATTACATTTAGATTTTCAGTTCCTTTTGAAGTGAAAAGAATATTCAAAGCTTGGAAGTCTTTGACTCTCATAAGCCTAGTAGATTTCAAGTATAAACATAGATTTAAAGATAGTTTACAGACAAATTGTGGATTTTATGTTATAATCTCAGATTAATGATTTTTTCCTTTTTGTGATTTTTTTCCCAAAGTAATTGTAAAGGACTGTGTGTGTGTGTGTGAGAGAGAGAGAGAGAAACAGAGAGAAAGAAACAGAGATAGAGACATTGTCCAAATGTACACGTAAGATTTTCTGTGACAATTACACATGGATTATCTAGTAACAAGTTGAACTACATGAAGCAATTGTATATCATCAGATATATACTATATGAAACAACTGTGTATAATCAGATTTATACTACATGAAGCAACTATATATAATCAGATTTACACCACTTTCTGAAGAAAACTACAATTAATTGGATACTAAAGTGGTTTCTGAAAGCCTAATTATTCTCAAGTCCATATGTGTGTTTGGTGGGATGGCAGTGAGTTTTTGGAACAAGCTTAACTGTTTTTTGAAATAGTTGTGAACTTCACAAGTTAGATGAAATACATGTCACAAGAAATTTTCCATGTGGAGACAATTTAGTAGTATTTCCACATTTATGTTCAATAAGTGTAAATTATAAAATGATATTTTTGCTCAAAAATAAATGAAAATAACACATTTGAAACAAAAGTAGACTCACCCACCCTCCAGAATGATATCCAAAGACCAAAGGAAGTTTGGCCTTTTTTAGGCATTTGAGACTTGCTTTCAGTAAATCATATCATCATATTTATTTCTATAACTTTTCTTTTTTTTTGAGATGGAGTCTCGCTTTGTCACCCAGGCTGGAGGGCAATGGCGTGATCTTGGCTCAGTGCAGCTTCCGCCTCCTGGGCTCAAGTGATTTTCCCACCTCAGCCTCCCCAGTAGCTGGGATTACAGACGTGAGCCACTATGCCTGTTTATTTATTTATTTATTTATTTTTTAAGTAGAGATGGAGTTTCACCATGTTGGCCAGGCTGGTCTAAAACTCCTGACTTCAAGTGATCCACCCACCTTGGCCTCCCAAAGTGCTGGGATTACAGGCGTGAGCCACTGGGCCCGACCTCTGTAACTTTTTATGTTACTGTTTATCATGAGTACGCACAAAAAACCACTTTTTGAATATCTTTTTCTCAGATATTTAATTATTAAGAACAAGGCAAAAATGTGTATACATTAGGTAAAAACTGCGAAAGCATGTCCAAAGAAGAAATAAAGTTCTGTAAATACTCAGAATCAACAGTTGAATAGGTATTCAGGTTTTCAGAGTTAAAAGCACAAATGCATATTTTAGTCTCTTTTCATTTTATTTTAAATATGACTATCCATAGAATGACTATTGCACAGTTTCATATAACTCCCTTATTTGTGTATTTAGTAACTGAGATTCATTATTTTTTAATTAGTACCTAAATAATTACTAGTAATCTGAAACTAATTTTCTTTTATGAGGGCAAAATGCTTTTTCTTTTAATAGGAAAAACCAAAAAGGAAGTTAGTTTAAGTATTTTTTAAATAAAAGAAATTGACAAAATAAAAAGCATGTTAAATTTAATTGTAACCCTGATGTATGTAAAACCTTTATTAAAAATATTTTTCCAAAGTTCTTATTAAGCTTTAATTAGCTATTTGTATATATTACCTTACTGGCATTTTAAAAGTATAATTATTACATATTGTGTGGAAAGATTTAAACATTCAGAAAATATAAAACTCAGTGCAACTATTTTTTCCTACTCTTCATGTATTATAATTCAGTCTTTTTGATAATTTTATATATATAGAAGGTATGATATTTATATTACATTTAAAATTTAGTACAACTTTTATTAAAGTGTACATATTATTTATACAATGCTTTTTTCTTTTCTATATCTATACAGCTTACCCATTTTTGAGAAGGCTGCATTTTTTTCTATAACATGTATATGTTGTACTTTACTTGTCTATATCCCCATTAAGAGATATGTTGCTTCCAGGTTTCATTATTATAAATACTGTTTCAGTGAACAGCTTTCAATATACATCTTTGTGCCCATGTGACAATAAAAGTATTTTTGTATGCATCTGCAAGTATAATAGTTATAGTGTCCATGCATTTTCAATTGGGTAGTTGTTTCAAAATAGCCCTACATTTTTCAAATAATTCTAATTCAAAGGACTGCTCCCCTTTCAAACCTGGTAAATATTGAAGTCCTTAATGCTTTTGCCAGAATTAGGCTGAATTGACAGAGCACTGATATGTAGAAGATATATATATATATATATATACACATGTATATTTTATATATATAATATATTATAAATATAATATATATATATAAAATTCTTAAAATTTAGCAAGTAACTGAACAACAAAAATGACAGATAAAAGAAGCAGGTCATGCATAGCCTATCTGCCTGAGATTTATTTAACCCTTCTTCAGAAGAGGCTTTGATTCTTGTCTCTCTGTGTCTACCTATAGACAGCATTTCTCCCAGGAAGCTTGCCCTGACCTCCTAGAATTGGTTATGTACCATTTATATATTTTTCATATTCCAATGTACATAACTCATAACAGAAATTATCACAAGGGAACAGCTGTGGTTTTATTGTTATGTCTAGCTATCCAGCTATCATCTTCACCAGACTGTAAGCTCCTTGAAGGCAGAAGCCAGATTTATCTTCATGACCTCTGTGTTTTAGATGAGGTCTCAGAGATAGAGGTCAGAATTTTCCCTCTAGGTAAATTAATTAGATTAACCTCAACTTATACAAAACAGTAGTCATTAAATTTATCCCCAGCCATCAGGAGCTTAACTACTCTGGAGAGAGAGCCAGGTGTTGGAGTAGGCAATTAAGACATCAAGACAAAAGGACATTAACAAACCTTTGAGGTTAAACTGGAAAAAGCCCTGACGGTCCAGTCCCCATCCTTTTTTTCCTTCATGAAACAGCTCTATCAAGGATCACATGGGTCAGCACAGATGTGGAGTTGTCTCACTATCAAAGGAACCCTGAACAACAGGCTCCTGCCTGCAGTTTTATGGAAGGTCAGGAAAAGGCTGGGAGCGGAAAAGCACTGAGTATTGAATCAGAAGGAAGACAATTGTCTTCAAGACTCCTCCTCCTCTCCCCATGAAAAGGAGGTCTTGGGCAAACATGCCTGGGGAAGGTCTGCCAAGGTCCCACAGTGGAGAGGCCTCCAGGGGAGGCACCAGTCAAGTGATGCTGATCTGTGTGTGAGCATGGCCCTGCAGCCCTTACTGAAACTGCCATTAGAGGACTATGCACTAGTGTGGGGAGGGCAGCTCTCCCTGTGGGACCCACTTGGTCAAGTCTTTGTCATTGTTTATGGATGGGCCCAAAAATCACATATAGGATTGAGTCTGGGGCTGAACTCTTTACTGCTCTGTCTGTATTCCCTGTCTTGGTTGACACCTAATACATGACTAAGAAACTAAGAAATCATTTTAGACGTCGTTTTTGTGTCTGTGTTTTATGCTTTGTTGGCTTGAAAACTTCATCCAATAAAACTTTAGTTATTTTTATTACCATTTCTTCCTTTATGACCCCACAGCATCCTCCATGTGCCAGGGTCCAAATCATCTTTAACCCGGACTATTCTATCAGTACCCAAATATATTCTTTCATCAAAATATATTCTTTCTCTTCTCTGGCTGTAATCTCATTCATTTCCAGGCTACTTCTTTTCAAACTAAAAAGCAAATATAATCACACTATTCTCTTTCTTCAAACACTTTCCCAATTCCTAGAGTAAAATCCCCCTTTTATAACATATAAGGCCTCAGTGACCTACCCTCAGGACTTCTTTAATTATTCTCCCATATTGTCCTATTATGTACCTGTTCCATCATCCTTACAACCCTCAGAACTCCCTAATCTGTTTTAATGCCACATTGTTATGCTCTTAATTTCCTTTGATAAAATGATTCTTTCCATTCATAAACTAGTTGATTACCACAATTTCTTAAGTATTCTATTGAAGTTTATCTTATTAGTCCATTTCACACTGCTATAAAGATACTACCTGAGAATGGATAATTTATAAACAAAAGAGGCTTACTTGACTCACAATTCCACATGGCTGAACTTATAAGTGAACTTATAATTAAACTTATAATCATGGTGGAAGGTGAAGGGAAAGCAAGGCAAGTCTTACACTGTGGCAGGTAAGAGAGAGAGCATGCAGGGGAAACTGCCACTTATAAAACCATCAGATCTCCTGAGAACCCCCTCACTATCACAAGAACAGCATAGAAAACCACCCTTTTGAGCTAATCACCTCCCACCAGGTCCCTCCCCATGACACATGGGGATTACAATTCGAGTTGAGATTTGGGTGGGGACACAGAGCCAAATCATAACATGTATCTTCTTTGCCAAGATTTTCCTTACAACGCAAAGTAGATTGACATATTTTAATTTCTTCCATCCCACCCCACCATAATATTCTTACCTCTATGACAGTGCTCATCAAAATTTGTAGCTATTATTTGTTTAAATGACTTCATTATGCTTCTTAAGAGGCATAAACTTTCTGCTATATTCATCTTTGTATGCCTGTCACACATTACATTGGCTGAGACAAGGTAAATATTTAATACATATCTATTAAATAAGAAACTTAAAAAAATAAAAGAGTGAATGAATAACTGTATCTAGGAAGTATGAAAGTGACTTATCTTTTAGCATTTTTCATCAAGGAATTAAGAAATGTGTGGGGAAAAAGTTAAGAGGCCCCAGTTAAAATGGCTTTTATCCCAAATTCAGGCAATAACAAAAGTTGGCGAGGATATACAGAAAAAGGAACCCTTGCACACTGTCAGTGGGAATGTACATTAGTATGACCCTTAAGGAGAACAGTCTGGAGGTTTCTCAAAAAGCAAAAATTGAGCTATCATATGATCCAGCAATCCCACTCCTGGGTGTATAACCAAAAGAAAGGACATAGTATATCAGAGAGATATCTGCACTCCATGTTTATTTCAGCACTACTCACAATAGCCAAAATTTGGAATCAACCTAAGTATCCATCAAGAGATGAATGAATAAAGAAAATATAGTACATATACAAAATGGAATACCATTCAGCCATAAAAAACAATGAGTTCCTGTCATCTGCTACAATGTGGATAGAACTGGAGGTCATTATGTTAAGTGAAACAAGCCAGGCGCAGAAAGACAAACTTCGGATGCTCTCACTTATTTGTGGGAGCTAAGGCTTAAAACAATTGAACTCATGGAGATAAACAGTATAAAGGTTAACAGGCTGAGAAGGGTAGTGAGGGTTTGGGAGGAAAGCGGGGCAGACTAATAGGTACAAAAACATAGTTAGAAAGAATGAATAAGACCTAGCATTTGCTAGCACAACAGGGTGACTATAGTCAAAAATAATTTAATCGTACATTTAAAAATAACTAGAAGAGTATAATCAGATTGTTTGTAACACAAAGGATAACTGTGTGAAGTGATGGATATTCAATTTACCCTGATGTGATTATTATGCATGTATCAAAACATCTCATGTACTCCATAAATTTTCAAAAGAAGTATGTATAGCATAACGCTTAAAATAATATACTGTAATAGTCTACAACTTGGCAAGAAATTAAGCTTTCGTTTATTTTTGTCACAACAGGTATACTACATGCAGATTAAAATATATATTTTATATATATATATATATATATATATATATATATATACCATCTATTTTTTAAGGGCATTTTTCATAACCTTGAAATATAAACAATAAAAATTATGAAGCAATAATTTATTTTTTTAAAAAAATCCACTTGCCAAACAAACAAGATACTCCTTCCAGGATGTCAGTAATATCAAGATAAAATGCCAGAGAATTTTAGCTCAGTATAGGAAATCAAACAGCTAATTTTTAACTTTGATGGAGGAGAAAATTAGATAAATTCTGAAAATTCATCCATTTATTTTTCTCTCTCCATATATGTTAACAACAAGCAAACACATTAAATCCTTAAATTTGGTTACTAAGTTCACAAATGTCATGGACACAGTGAGGTAATATTTACAGACTGAATACTGATTTACTATCCTTTGAGTTTATTTCTACATTTCATAGAGTAGATGCTCTTTATAGATAAACTCTTTTGGAAAAAGTCCAGATAACTGGATAATTAACTATTAATATCACTTTTTGAAAATTAAATAGTAATATGTTTCTTCCAGGAAAAATTATTTAACAGGTTTTATTCAGACTACTAAGACATATGAAAACCTGACATTAACTCTTTGGTTTTCTAAAGATTCTCTTCAGGAAAATATGCCATCAGTCTTTCTAAATGTATTCAATTTTATCTCAGCAGTCTTGAGCCTCCATCTACATGATGTTAATATACCTCCAAACAGCCATTCACATTTCTTAAGGTGATGAAATATGTATTACCTATAATATTCTTAACTAAGTTATTGTAAGGCATATTTATCATGCCACATAATCCTGGGCGAAAATTGGATATAATAACAATTCCCAAAAATGCCTCTTGACAAAGAGTTGGAATTCAACTTTTTTCTTCTACTGCTAAGGATGTTTGCATCATGTCTTTGGAAAAATGTATCTCATAATTGCAAAGCCCTAATTCCTGATGCTCCATTAACAATATTACTCAAGATATTGTTGCTGATGTGGCTGCTTATATTATTCCCAAGTGAATTTGTAGATATTTAGCAATAGCTGAGGCCATCTACAACGTAAATTCCTATCTATGTTACTCCTCTTGAGAATCTACTCTTGGTACATTTAGCAAAGGAAGACACTTTTAGCAACACAGCAGTCCCCCCTTACCAGCGGTTTCACTTTCCCCAGTTTTAGCTATCAGGGGTCAATCATGTTTTGAAAAATATTAAATAAAAGTTATAGAAATAATAACTTTGAAATTGTGTACCATAACGTGATAAATTCTCAGGTTGTCCATCCTACTCCCTGTTTTCTTTATCACAAAAAGAAAAGTAGATAATAATAAGGTATTTCAAGAGAAAGAGAGACCACATTCACATAACTTTTACTACAGTATATTGTTATAATAATTCTATTATTAGTTATGTTCATATAATTATTAGTAAAAGGAATATAATTATATTCCTATATAATTATAGAAGTATACTACTCCTATACATAATATATTAGTATAACTAATATAATTCTATTATCATTAGTAGTGTTAGTTTAACTAATAAACTAATAGAATTATTAAACTAATATAATTAGCCTATTAGTTTAATACTACTCCCATAATGAGTATATTAGTTTAAACAAATACTACTACTATAATAATTAGTAGTAGTTTAACTAATAAACTACTATAATTATTAGTTAAATTTCACTATGCCTAATTTTTAAATTACAGTCTATTATAAGTATGTATGTGTAGGAAAAATAGTACATGTTTACTATCCACTGTTTCAGGCATCAACTGGGGGTCTTAATACATATCTTTTTACAGATAAGGGTGGAGCTACAGTTACCTTCCAAAAGGTAGTATTGCCACTGCCATTGTTGCCTGCTAATGTAAATTCCAAAGAAATAGATGATTTTGGGAAGGGCAGAAAATAAAAATTTTCATCAATATTAATGATTTTGCCATTAATGCAGATTACCATTGCCATAGTCTGAGAAGTGACATGAAACTTGAGATTGCTAGAGCTCATAGGACAGTAGAACAGTGAAGACATTGAGGTTTAAAGTGTTAATGTTATGAAGATAGCTAAAAACAGGACTTGATCAGTATAATCCTCTACCTGACACAACTTGGAATGGGGCAGAGAGTAAAGAAATGGACCTCGGTAAGGACGTGCATGAGCACTAAGAGATAGTGCTTGATGCAAGAGCAATAATAACAACAATAACCACAACAAAGGTATATTATTGGGAGCATTAGAGAAGAACAACAGAAAACTAAAAATGTTGTGGATGTTACCTCCAAGCAAGAAAATGGGACTAGGGACACAGGCCCTTTTTGTTTTTTGCTTGCACATTCTGTAATTAGAAAATGTTATTTTATAGACACACATATCAAATAATAGGAGAAAAAAGATATTTCATGTAAGATTAGTTTATTCTCAATATTCTGAATTAGAATATTGGATTAAAACAATATTTAGAATGATAGAAGCTGGATTAAAACAACTTTAAAACAAGCATTTGTACTGCATTGACATCTCTATACAAGTTGCTGTCATACTAGTTGAGAAGAGCTTGGGGACCTGGACTTGGGAGATTTAATGGACCGATAAAATTACTCAGAGGGGTAACCTTATAAAGAATTCTGAAACCAAGAATTTGGAAGTCTAAGAAAAGAAGGGACAACAATGCAAGTTGTCCAACCAAAACCTCTCTTCCCTACTTTCTTGTTTCTGAATGCCATTTTTGTTTGAAAGAGCAATGTGTCCTGCCAAATAACTACAATGCCCAGTCTCCTTGCCCTTGTGGCTGGTGACATGTTATAGTCCTGTAGAAAGATACGTGGGCTGAAGTTCTTGAAAAGGACACTTTGTTCTTCAACTTCTCCCTTCCTGCCCTGATATAAAAACATGATAACACACTACTTATTACTCTAAATATGCATAACTTTTATATGCACTAGGAAGTGTATATATCAATACTTAGAGATACAATTTCAGAAATGGTCAAATTAAAGAAAACAAGTTAAAAGTTTACAAGTTCTTATAATAATTATAGAGGCAAGATAAATTACAGATTCAATTTTTTAAACTAGTAATTTAATTAATCAAATCATGGATAATGTTTAGAGCTAAAATTTATTCTGTATTTACATAATCAATATTGTAATTAAAAACCACTGAGTATTTTTTGTTGCAACTGAATGTTGTGTCCCCTCAAAATTCATGTGATGAAAACTTAACCTTCAGTATGATGGTAGCAGGACCTATAAGCTGCATATTTATAATGAACTTTGGGAAGTAATTAGCTTATTATGGTGGAGGCTTCATAAATTAGATTGGTGCCCTTAAAAATGACTCTTGAGAGCTCTTTCTGTCCACCATGTGAAGCTGCATTGAGAAGGCAGCAGTCTGAAACCCAAGAGAGCTCTCTCACCAGAACCCAATTATGCTGGCACTCTGCTGTTGGACTTCCAGCCTCCAGAACTGTGAGATGTGCATTCCGTTATTTAAAAGCCACTCAGGTTATGGAACTTTATTAAAGCAGCCTGAACCGCTGAAGATGGAAATTGATCATGAGAAGTGGGAGTGCTGTTATTATAAATACCTAAAACAAAGTGAAAATGGTTTTGGGCTCAGTGATTGGCAGAGATTGATGAGGTTTTATGCAAAATGCTAGATTACTGTGGAAGAAATTTAAAAGCCAATTCTCGTGAGGGCTCGGAAAGAAATATAGAAGAAAACGCTGTCTTCTCAGAAAATAATTAAATAATCATGAACAGAATATTGATAAAATATGGACAGTAAAGGTCATTCTGTTGGAGTCTCAAATGGAAATGAAAATGTTATTGGAAAATGGAGCAAAAGCAATCCATGTTGAAAAGTGGAAACAAACTTCTTTGAATTGTATTCATGCTCTTGTGTTTTGCGGAAGGTGGAACTTGTGTGCAGTGAAATTGGACATTTAACCCAGCAGATTTCTCAGCAACATGTAGAAGCAGCAGCTTGGTTCCTTCTGAATCCGTAGAGTCAAATGTAGAAAAAGAAAAAGGTTTGAAGATGGAATTGTTAAGGAAAAAGTAACCATAATTTAAGATCTGGGAAATTCTCAGCCTGTCCATATTGCAAAAAAAGTGAGAAAGTGTGTTCTGAAGAGAACATGAAGAGTGTTTCGGACCCTTACTGATTTGATTAATATGGGTGTGAACCACAGGCTTAATCAAACATCTCAACACAAACCATGACTAGAAATGGGATTATACCAGGAGAAACACTGCCAGTTGGGACTAAAGGAAACAGAGATAATGGGACGAAATAAAGGAAGACATTCGGAATGCTTAAGCCCTACAGGCCCGGACCCGAGAGCTATTCAGTTGTGGATGTGTGCTATTCTCTCCTTCAAAATTACGGAAGAAGGGGCGCAAAGGGGATTTGGAGACAATTACAGCTGCTGCTTTTACCAAAAATCCAGAGGGTATGGCAAGGTGGGCCAAGGTTGCCTCCATTTTGATTTCAAAGGACAGAAATGATGCTCAGAGGAGCTGTGTGGGAGGGCCATCCAGTGAAGCCCTGGGTGAGTGACCTCAGCCCTGACAAAAGACTGTGCCATAAGTGGGTCCAGTGCATAGAGTCAGCAGCGAGCAGTGCCTCACTGAGCTGTCGGGGACTGTCTGGAAGGTGAGTCATCAAGCCAAAGAGGATGCTTCTTGAACCTTAGGGTTTGATGGAGTTTGCCCTGTTAGGTTTTAGATTTACTTGGGATCCAGCATTCATATATTTTATTTTTTTCGAATAGTGGTTCTTTTTGGAATGGGAATGTTTATCCTATGCCTGTCTCACCATTGTATTTTGAGAGTTCATGTTGTTTGATTCCACAGGTTCACAGATGAAGAGAAATTTTGTGAGAATGAACTGTACCGTGAAGCTCACCTGCATCTGATTTAGGTAATATTTAAATAAGACCTTGGACTTTAGACTGGACTTGAGGCTGGAATGAGTTAAGATTTGTGGATTTGTTGGAATGGAATGACTGCATTTTGCATGTGAAGACATGAATTTTGGGGAACCTGGGGCAGAATGTTACGGACTGAATTTTTAAAGTGTACCCTCAAAATCTGTATATTGAAATCGTAACTGTCAATGTAATGGTATTAGTAGTGGGACCTTCAGGAGGTAATTAGGTTGTCATAGTAGAGGCCTCATGAATAGGCTTAGTGTTCTTATAAAAGGGACCTAAGAGAGCTCTCACTTCTTTCCCCATGTGCTTATACAAAAACCCAACAGTCTGCAACCGCAAAAGGGCCCTCCCCAAAACCAGAACATCCTGGCACTCTGACTTTGGACTTCCAACCCCTAGAACAGTAAGAAATACTTTTTTTGTTATTTGTAAGCCACTCAATCTATGGTATTTTGTATAGCAGCCCAAACTAAGACACTCCTCTACACTACAGTGTACACCACATTCTTCTGCCTCTTGGTATGCTTCAGTCACATTGAACTATATTTTGTTTACTAAACATGGCAAATTTATTACTGCACTATGGTTTTGCCATATAATTTTTCCTGTCTTTTCAAACAGAAATTATTTCACAGCATACGCAGCTATAGGCAATTATCTAGCTTATGTATAAAATTACTTTCCTGATATTTGTCTCATTTTTTGTTTTTAAATGTTTTAAATAAACAAATAATAATTGTTTTGAGGGGTACAGTATTATGTCTTCGTATATATTTATATTGTGGAATGATTAAATCAAGCTGCTTAACACATCTCTTATGTCACATATTTATCTTTTTGTTGTGAGAACACTGAAAATAGACTTTTTAGCAATCGAAAAAAGGCAAACCCTTAAAAGTAGAGAGTAGAATGCTAGTTAATGCTGGAGGCAAGGGATAGGGAATGGGGAGATGTTGTTCACAGGGTACAGTTTCAGTTAGACACAAAGATTGAGTTTTAGAGATTGACTTTATAGCAGAGTGACTATATTTAAAAATGACTTCTTGTACATTTCAAATTTTCTATTTAAAATACACGTAGTATCTGTATTCCCAGTTCTTAAAACATGACCTATTAAATAACAGATTTGCAAGACTGAATGATTTTTTTTTACCTTGTCCTGATCTCGATTTTTTTTAAACTTTATCTCATTAATTGCTAATTCTCTCTTTATGAATGTTAAATACTTAAAATAGCACCAAACATAACAAAACAAAACAAAAACAAAATTTGTTTTTTATTTCAAATGGCATGTTCCATTGCGTTCTAAGACTGGACTGTCTTGGAGATAAAGGAGACTTCATTATTTTATGTAATATTCCTTTGAGAAATCCTGAGCTTTGTGCAAAAATGACATACTTCATTTTTTTTTTGCATAATTTTGTCACTCCATAGAGCCCAGATCGAGTTCCTAAGTTCTCACTAAGGCACATGGGTCTAATTCCATTACATTTTTGGCCTGTGTCAATTAATTTTCTTTTCTCAGATAATAAATTTACACTCCTATTCCACTTCTGAGCAGTTAGACATTTTCAGCATGGAACATTCTATTAAAATGAAATGGCAAATTGCCTTGTAGCACACACATTTTCAAAGAATGTTTTGTCTGATAATGTAGTTCTTATGAGTTTCTTTCCAAAGTAATCCATTTACACAAAATACATTATTAATTTTGTGCATTTACAAACTACACATAATTTCAAAGTGATGTCATTGTTCCACAAATACATCTAGGTTTCAAAGTGATTGATTAAATTCTGTTTAAAATTTTGCACAGAAGTGCAGTATATAATCACATTTTATATCCCTCTGTGCAGGATATAGTTTTCTAAATCATACTCCGTTGTCAGGAGCATGTTCATCTTCCATACAGAACACACTGACTGAAAATAAGATCAAGTCTACACATTTGGGATATAAATTTTTGAGATTACTGCTCTTGGTATAATATATCTCTCTTGTACTTGAGCCTCTAGATCTTGCTGTTTTTAACACTTTTGTGCTCGCAAGATTTACGCTTCTGTATACTTTGTTTATATTCAGCAGCTAAGTATATTTTGTCCTGTTATCATGACTCAACCTGTGATTTGTTTCAAAAGTACAAGTAAGATTTTAAACATAATTATAGTGTAATCTCTTTAAATTTTGCTGCATTATCACTCAGAATGAGAAAAATATAAATTAAAAGTGTGTGCACATGTATACACATTGTTCAATATACAAACTTAGGTATCATGTTAGATTCATCACGATTTGAAAATGAAATCTGATTATAATACTTGCAAGATGACTTACAAGTTAATATTTATATGTACACTTACAATTTTTATAATTTTTAAAACCATCCAATATGTTAGTTTTCTTTGATTTCTAATGATAACAGTAGAAATATCTGGCCCTGGTTATCACATCTGGTTGTTATGATCAATAGAAACGATATATGCAAAAGCAAATACATTTTAAAACTTTTTAATATTAATTTTTATTGTTACATATTCTGAATAATGCAGTTTTATAGTTATTATTATAACATGACACAAATGGTAGAGATTTTGATGCCTACATTTTTAATAAAAATGTTCAAAACCATATTTCACAAGATGTATCATGCTGTAAGGTTGCAACAGCCCTCTCAAATAGAGTTCTGCCTTTCTCTTGCCATTTAAACTAATGCTATCTGAGAGTGCAACAGAAGGCCCTCATTACATGCTGGTATCTTGATCATTGACTTCCTTGCCTACAGAACTATCAGAAAATAATTTTCTATTTTTTATAAATTACCCAGTCTCAGGTATTTTGTTACAGCAGCACAAAACAGACTAAGACATAAAGTGTAAAATTATCCTTCCATATTGCTGCAAGTGAAATGATGTTATTTTTTATAGCTGTGTAGTATTCATTGTGCGTGTATGTGTGTGTATATATGTATATATGTATATCACATCATTTTCTTTATCCAGTTATTTGTTGATGGACACATGTTGATTCAATATCTTTGGTATTATGAATATTGCTGCTATAAATAAATGAGTGCAAATATCTTTTCTGGTATAATGATATTTTTTCTTTTGGGTATACACCCAGTATAGGATTGATAGAGTGAATTGTGGCTCTTTAATACTTGAAAAAATTTTCATACTGTTTTAATAGAGGTGGGACAAATTTACATTCCTTCTAATTATACTATAAGGCTATAGTAACAAAAACAATATGATAGTGATATAAAAATGGACACAATACTCAATAGAGCAAAATAGAAATTCCAGGAATAAAGTGACAAAGGCACTTTGTCACTTTATTAGTGGATATTTATAAAGGGACCTACCTACAGTCAATGGATGTTTGACAACATTGAAAAAAACATACACTGGGAAAAGGATATCCCCTTCAATAAATAGTGCAGGGAAAATTGGAAAGCCACATGCAGAGGAATAAAACTGGGCCCCTATCTGTTGCCATCCACAAAATTAACTCAGGATGAATTGAAGAATTAAATATAATACCTGAAGATATAAAAGTACTCATAGAATACCTGGAAAAACTCTTCTAGACATTGGCCTTGGCAAAAAATTTGTGACTAAGACCTCAAAAGCAAATTTAGCAAAAACAAAAGTAGACAAATGGGACTTAATTAAACAAAAAAGTTTCTGCACAGCAAAAGAAATAACTGAGAAAACAGATAACCTGAAGAATGTGAGAAAATATTTGCAAACTATGCATCCAACTAAGTACTAATATCCAGAATCGACAAGAAATTCAAACAACTCAACAACAACAACAAAATAGATAACCCCATTAAAAAATGGACAAAGTACATAAACAGGCATTTCTCAAAAGAAGACATACAAGTGGACAGCAAACATATGAAATAATGCTCAGTCTCATCATCAGAGAAATAAAAATTAAAACCACAACGAAATGTCACCTTATACTAGTCAGAATGGCTAGTTTTTAAAAGTCACAACACATCAGGTATTGATGAGAATGCAGAGAGAAGTGAGTGAATCCTTATATAGTATAGGTGACATTTTTATTTATAGAATATCAAAATAGTTACTTAAAATTCATTTGAATTATAAAATATTAAAATGTAGATTTATGAATACTTTGTACTTTCTAAAAGTTTAACCACAATAAAAATCCAAACTACCACTGTTGTGTCCATAATAATTCATAATTGTATGTGATGATGTTGAGAAATCTTCCTAAATATTAGGATGAGTCCCTCATTTATTTTAATGAAAATATCATTCTTAAAAGCATGTCAAGGAATATAGCTCAATAATTCAACAAATAACATTTGCAAATTGATAATCCATGGTTCAAAGATGTCAAGATGAACTCAAAGTCTACAGGGATACCCTTTTGATTCAAGGAAATAATGTTACCCTAAATGAGAGAAGATAGGGAAGACCATGTCAAATGAATCACTTTTTGATGTGGTTTGGCTGTGTCCCCACCCAGATCTCATTTTGAATTTTAGTTCTCATAATCCCCATGTGTCATGGGAGGCACCTGGTGGGAGGTAATTGAATCATGAGGGCGGTTACCCTCCGTGCTGTTCTTGTGATAGTGAGTGAGTCTCACAAGATCTGATGGTTTTATAAGGGGATTCCACATTTGCTCGGCTCTCATTCTTCTCCTTCCTGCTGCCATGTGAAGAAGGACTTGATTGCTTCCCCTTCCACCATGATTGTAAGTTTCCTGAATGTTCCCCAGCCGTACGGAACTGTTAGTCCATTAAAGTTCTTTTCCTTATAAATTACCCAGTCTCGGGTATTTCTTCATAGCAGCATGAGAACAGACTAATACACACTTCAATATTGATTTACATTTCTATGATCATCAGTGATCTTGAGTATTTTTTAATGTTTGTTGGCAACCTGCATGTCTTCTTTTGATAAATGTTTGTTTATGTCATTTGCCTACTTTGTAATGACATAATGTGTTTATTACTTATTGGGTTCCATGTAGATTCTGGATATTAGTACTTCGTTAGATGCATAATTTGTGAATATTTTCTCCTGTTCTGTAGGTTGCCTGTTTACTCTGTTGATTATTTCCTTTGCTGTGCAGAAGATTTTTAGTTTACTTAGGTCCCATTTGCCTATTATTATTTTTGTTTCATTTGCTTCTGATGACTTAGTCATAAATTCTTTGTCAAGGCTGATATTCAGTAAAGTTTTCCTAGGTTTTCTTCTAGGAATTGTATAGGTTTTTACATTTGAGTATTTAATCAATCTTGAGTTAATTTTTATATATGGTGAGATATAGGAATCCAGTTTTACTCTTGTGTATACGGATATCCATTTTTTCTAGTACAATTTATTGAAAAAGGTATCCTTTCCACATTGTTTATTTGTGCACGCTTTGTTGAAGATTAGTTGGTTGTAGGTATGTGGCTTTATTTCTTGGTTCTCTATTTAATTTTATTAAACTATGTATCTGTTTTTGTATTGGTACCATGCTGTTCTTGTTACTATAGGTTTGTAGTATAATTTGAAATGGGGTGAAGTGCTGACTCCAGCTTTGTTCTTTTTGCTTAGAATTGCTTTGGCTATCTGGGTCATTTTTTCAATTCAGAATTTCATATACACTTTGGGATTGTTGTTTTCTAATTCTGTGAAAAATGACATTGGTAGTTTGATAGAAATTGCACTGAATCTTTAGATTGCTTTGGACACCATGGTCATTTTTAATTTTTTTTAATCCATGAACATGGGATATTTTTCCATTAGTTTGTTTTATTTCAGGTTTCTTCCACCCATCTTTTGTAGTTCTTATTGTAGAAATATTTTACCTCCTTGGTTAAACGTATTTCTCAGTTATATGTGTGTGTGTGTGTGTGTGTGTGTGTGTGTGTGTGTGTCTATTGTAAATGAGATTGAGTTCTTGATTTTGTTCTCAGCTTGAATATTATTGCTATATAGAAATACTACTGACTATTGGACATTGACTTTGTATTCTGAAACTTTATTGCAGTCTTTTGCCAAGTCTAGGAGTCTTTCAGAGTCTTTAGGGTTTTCTTTGTATAAGACCATGCCATCTCTTAATGTAACTTCTATCCCAACTTTTGTGGTAATTTTTTTCTTGCATTTTTCATAATTTTATTTTCTAATTTGTTTATCCAGAAATACCATTTAGTTCTGTTTGGTATTAGACTTGAAAACAGTGCAAATTTTCTTTCTTAATAAATAATGAAAATAAATTTCGTTTTTGAAATTCATCCATGTTTTTGCTTAGTTCATTCATTTTTACTGATGTATTGAGTAGTCTTAAGTTACCAATTTCATTTTTAATAGTTATGCTTTTTCCAAAAATTTTATAATAATTAGTAGTTTTATCATGACTATTCCTATATACATATTCATATAAATGCATAACCAAGAGTGCAATTGCTCATTTGGAGGGCATGCCATCTTTAGCACTATGACTATTAAATAAATTGTTTGCATTGATTAAGAGAGTGATATTCCACATCATCACCAGGACTGTGGATTGTCAGACATTTTAAGTAACTGTGGCTCCCCATACAGGATAACTTGGTTAAACTTGCTATTCACTTGGCATCCCTAGCATTATATTATTGTCATCATAAGAATGGAACCCAAAGTTCTGGAGTTTTTAATCAATTATTAAACAACAATTAATCGAATAGCGTGTAAGTTCCTAACCTTGTGCTAGCCGTTGTCCTACGTTTGTGATAAGAATAGATAAAGTGCCCTTCTACCTAGCAGTTTAGACAATAAACAAGGAGAAAAGAAATTAAATGTGTATTGTATGATAGCAGGTTAGTGATAATCACTAATAATCCAATGAGTTTATATGATACCAAAATATTGATTAGATCAGGAAATCACTGCTAAAGAGGAAACATTATTTATCAGTATGTTTATAACAGATGGAGCAATGAGTATAAAAGTCATGTGTTAGGGTATGCAAGATGATGATATAGAGCAGAGTAATCAAGGCAAAGGATAATGGTAGGTGGAGAAGCCAGCTTATAGTTCTGAGCAAGATTATATCTTTAGCTTTTATTAGGCATGTAAATGAAATACTTTTGAGATTTTCAGCTGGAAAAATGAAACTAATGTGAAATGCATTATATTGCCAGAGATGACTTCCATTGCCTGGTGGGGAAGAGACTGGAGGAAGGATGGATAATGGCAGCACACAGATGCTGCTGAGAAGCTATTTTAGTAGTTCATGTAAGAGACAATTGTCAAATTTGCAATAAACTTCCAGGTGAAATGGAATTGACTTTCTAATGGCTTGGAATGGTGTATATAAAACAGCTGGTAATGACTCCATGTTTTGAAGCTTTAGAAAATAGATTAATAATGGCTCAAATTACTGAGTGAAAAATTACTGGGAAAGAAGCAGGATTGGCAGGATGCAGATAAAGAATTCTCTTTTACTTACTAAGGTTGAGATGCCTATTTGATATTCAAGGCAGTCGCAAATGAGATGAGTGTTCAGGAATGAGATATCAGCTAAAGATATAAATTTTAGTCTTGTGCCCATATCTTAGCTGCAAGGAAGGATTTTATGAACTGCTGGTGAGACTGTAAATCAGTGCAATCAACGTAGACAAAGAAATAAATGCATACACCATGTCATCTTGTAATAACTCCCAACCCCCAACACCTAAAGAAGAGACTGTGTGTTTAAGTTGGGAGTGTATTGTGGAGTAAGAATAAGAAACAGGATGGGTGCTATAGGGAGAGAGAGTAAAATCTAGAACACATTATTAAGTTAGGTGATGGAATACTATATGACCATTCACTGAAGTGAAACAACGGGGGAAATATGTATCCATCAGCTCTAGGAGTTCCATTTTTCAAGCATAGCCTCATGGATGCTAACTTCTCGATGTGTCTAGACAGTGCATTTATGAGTAACAAGCAAAATGCCTACAACAATCCACACAACATTGTCTGAGAAATCCCACAGCAGAAAGTGAATTCTTGCTCTGGTCTGAAGCCACATACTATCACTTCCATCTTTATGAAACTGACCAAAGTCTACATAAAAATAGTAACCAAGGCTCTGACTGGAACAAGAGGTAATGCTGAGAGGGTCTGCAGTGATGTAAGATCCAATACACCCTATGATTTTTAAATTTTGTTCCTGGGTTTATAGCCTAGAGAAACTCTGACATATATATGTGTATATATATAT
Source organism: Homo sapiens (assembly GCF_000001405.40). Taxonomy (NCBI): domain Eukaryota; kingdom Metazoa; phylum Chordata; class Mammalia; order Primates; family Hominidae; genus Homo; species Homo sapiens. The sequence goes on along the minus strand of NC_000005.10, from coordinate 70,807,368 downwards.
ACATTCATATATATACACATTTAATATATATATACACACATACACATTCATAGCAGCTTTTTGTTGAAATAGCAAAAAATGAGAAAAAAACTAAATGGCAATATAATGAACAAAAGGGAGCTGTGTTTTGATATTTTTATATAGTACAATGCTAAACAGCATTTAAAATAATTGATAAGAATTATATGGGCCAACATAGATGGACATCATCAATGTCATATAAAACAAAATAAAGCAGAAGGTAGATAGACACTTTTTTTTTGAGTCGGAGTTTTTGCTCTGTTGTCCAGGCTGGAGTGCAGTGGCGTGGTCTTGGCTCACCGCAACCTCCGCCTCCCGGGTTCAAGCAATTCTCCTGCCTCAGCCTCCTGAGTAGCTCGGATTACAGGCACCCTCCACCACGCCTGGCTAACTTTTGTATTTTTAGTAGAGACAGGGTTTCACCATGTCGGCCAGGCTGGTCTTGAACGCCTGACCTCAGGTGATCCACCCACTTAGGCCTCCCAAAGTGCTGGGATTACAGGCATGAACCACCACGCCCTGATGATAGACACGTTTTTAACTTCTAAAAATATATGATCATGATTGTGTCTGTGGAGACTTGCACATATACTAAATTTTAAACAATTAGAGATATTTGTTCATTACCACATTTTGGGAGTCATTATTTCCTCTATGAAGAGAGAAAGGAATTTGATACAAGTTCACAGGGGCTTCCAGTAGATTGAGACTTTTATTTCTAGCTGAGCTGCTGATGTATGAATTTTTTTTGTTATTATGACTTTCATATGTATTAAAAATAAAATGAAAAAACAAGGATTAGGTGAGGAACCTATACGTCTCTAATATGCAAAATACCACAGAAATAATGACTGTTGGGAAATTAGGCCTTAGCTCTGATGTTTGAACCATCCCCTCAATGTTTCCCAGTGCTTCTTAGAGTATTTTGATCACCTCTGTGTTGGTGCTTTAGAACTAGAGAAGAACGTTTTGTTAACTTTTTTTTTTTTTTTTTTTTTTTTTTTTTGAGACAGAGTTTCACTCTTATTGCCCAGGCTGGAGTGCAGTGGCACAATCTCGGCTCACTGCAACCTCTGCCTTCTGGATTCAAGCGATTCTCCTGCCTTGGCCTCCAGAGGAGCTGGGATTACCTGCCACCACATCTAGCTAACTTTTTGTATTTAGTTGGTCGGGCTGGTCTTGAACTCCTGACCTCAGGTGATCCACCCATGTCAGCCTCCCAAAGTGCTGGGATTACGTGTGTGAAACACTGCACCTGGCCTTTTGTTAACTTTTAGTTTAAGTTCAGCAGTACACGTGCAGGTTTGTTATACAGGTAAACTCGTGTCATGGGGATTTGTTGTACAGGTTATGTTGTCACCCGGGTATTAAGCTTAGTACCCATTAGTTACTTTTCCTCAACCTCTCCGTTTTCCCACCCGCTACTCTCAGGTAGGTCCGAGTGTGTGGTGTTCTCCTCTATGAGTCCATGTGTTCTTATCACTTGGCTCACATTTATAAATAAGAACATGCTGCATTTGTTTTTCTGTTCCTGCGTTAGTGGGAGCTGAGGATGGGTGGAGCTGAGGATAATGGTCTCCAGCTCCACCCATGTTCCTGCAAAGGACATGATCTTGTTCTTTTGTATGGATGAATACTATAAAGTCTTCCAAACTGTTTTGGTTTTCGTTTGTTTTCTTTCTTGAGAAAGGAAAGACAAAACAGAAATAAAAGAGTAGGCCGAGCGGGGTGGCTCACGCCTGTAATCCCAGCACTTTAGGAGGCTGAGGCAGATGGATCACTAGGGGTCAGGAGTTTGAGACCAGCCTGAACAACATGGTGAAATCCCGTCTCCACTAAAAATACAAAAAATCAGTCAGGCATGGTGGCACATGCCTGTAATTCCAGCTACTAGGGAGGCTGAGGCAGGAGAATCGCTTGAATCTGGGAGGCAATGGGTTGCAGGGTGTGCTGGGATGGCACCACAGCCTGGGTGAAAGAGTGAGACTCTGTCTCAAAAAAAAATAATAAAATAAAAAAGGGAGAGAGAAAGAGTACCAATGTATGGCAGAAATCAAGAGAAGAGTTTGCTTTTTTGAATAACTACACCCTGGACATTAGTTTCAAGAAACCGTCTGCTGGAAATATAACTATATGTTTAAGTTGACGGATCATTATTACACGTAGCAGAAAGAAAGTCACTCCTTGCTAGAAAGCCCTGTGTAGGTCATTAGGCATCACAGTGTGGAGTTATCTAAGCAAGCACCAAGGTAGGATATCTGAATAACTGATTTATTTCCATGTTTACTGACAATATTCATTGCAACAAGTCAGTAGAGAAACAGTAAAGAGGGCAGGCATGGCTATGCTTCTATAGAATCTAGTGAAGAGGAGATAATTTCAAATAACCCAAGAAGGTAAATGAGTAGTCAAATTTTCAAAAGGACTATTAACTCACAAACAGGAAACTATAATAGAAAATAGTTGGTTGAAGGCAGAATGCCCAGTTCAGAAAAGATTCCTCTGAAAAGCAATATATAAGCATAGACTTCGAGGATGAAGAGTCACTCATTTTGAAAGAGCAGATGAAGAAAGTTTCAGGACAAAGAAACAGCCATCTGCAAAGACCTCAACAAAGATATCACACAGAAAATGCTGTATTTAATCTGTTGCTAGACAAAAGTGAGCTACGGATCACATGGTCTTGGATGAGGGAGACAGATGATATAGTTTGGATGTCCCGCCCAAATCTCATGTTGAAACCAGATCCCCAGTGCTGAAGGTGGAGCTTGGTGGGAAGTGTTTGGATCATGAGGTCGAATCCTTCGTGACTTGGTGCTGTCTCCATGGTAGTGCACCTACCCCAACACACTCTCTCTCTCTTGTTCCTGCTTTCACCATGTGAAGTGCCTGCTCCTGCTTTGCCTTCTGTCATGAGTAAAAGCTCCCTGAGGCCTCTCCAGAAGAAGATGCCACTGTGCTTCCTGTACAGCCTGCAGGACTGTGAGTCAATTAAACATTTTTATAATATCCAGTCTCAGATATTTCTTCATAGCAATACAAGAACAGCCTAATATAACAGATAAGCAGGGACTAAAGTCATCAAAATTAGAATTGTGCATTTAATTTTGATTGCATTTAATTTTCATTGCATTTAATTTTGATTGCATTGAAAAGGCAGATGCTTTGAGGCTAGAATGAGGTAATAACTGTTTTGTTTTGTTTTGTTTTGTTTGCTCTTAACAAATTAGTGTGACTTCAGTCCATAGTAAATTGGAGAGGAACTGGTAGAACATAAAAGAACTGGTAAAAAGCCATTGTAAACACTCAAGTTTCAAAAACAATTTTGTGGTAAGGGCAAATCCTCAGGTCAAGAAAAGTGTGTTACTAAATTCCGTTAGTTTCCAGAAGAAAGATAAAGTCATATGACACAGATTTTACTCCTTACGTTAGAGAGTGTGCTAAGGATACCACCCACATTTTCCAACATTTATTTCCATCATGTTTTATGATCTTCATCTATATTCCATCCTCGTTATTTCTAGCAAGTCTATGAAATTTCTTACATTAATAGAAATAATGTATTAATATTCAGCAATGTGCTAAACATTGTTGAAACATTGTCTCAATATTACTCTTGGAAGAGCTCTAAGGTAGACAATATTTCCAATATATGAGTCATGAGGAAACTGAGGAATGGAAAGATTAAACAACTTGTTGAGGGTAGCATAATTGTAAATGGTGAAGACATAATACAAATCCTAATATCTATGACTCTAATGCTTTAAAAAATCATTATATACACTACGCTGTCTCTGATGTGTGAATCTACCCACTTCTAATTCATTATAACAAGTATTTGTTGCCAGGTAGCATTCTAGGCTTTGGGGATACATCTTTGGAAAAGCTTACAGAAATCTCTGTCCTCAGGGAACTAATATTCTAGGGACTATACAATAAACAATAAGCAAAAATGTAACATGTATAGTGTGTTAGACTGTAGTAAGTACAATGGCAAAAAATTAAGAATGGAGAATGTCTAAGGGGACAGATTGTTTGGAATTTGAATAAAGTGGCTATGGAAAACCTCACTGGGATAATGGCATCTGACCAAAAGCATGAGGAAGATATAGAACAAACCGTATCTGTTGCATGTTTAGTAATAACCAAGAAAATACTGTACGTGAAGCTGAGTGAGAAAATTACATAGTGGAAGGAGGGAAGTCCATAGAAGAATTGGGGGCTTCATGTGGTGGAGCATCTATAAAGCATTGTGCAAGATTCTGACTTTTACAATGAATGAAACGAGAGATCAGAGTTTTACACAGAAGAAGGTAATAACCTGATACATGTTTTAAAGTGATTATACAAATTGCTCTTTTGAGGATGTACTGAAGGGTGCCTTACGCAGAATCAGAAACACCTGTTTGCTGGCCATTTCAATAACCTGGGCAATAAATGATGGTGGTTAGCACCAGGATGCTAGTGGTGAAAGTAGCAAAAATGATCAGAATTGAGCTGCATTTTGAACATACAGTTAATAAGTTCTGTGGCATGACAGAAAAATGATTCCATAATATTTCTATTGAGCAACCTTGTTGATGTGATATTCAAACTAAGTCCTAATATTAAACAATGTAGGAATTTCAATGAAAATATGACCAAAGGGAGAAAATGGCTCCCAACCTACTGTAATTAAAGTTCCCTTCTGTTGTTTTAAAATGCTACTATGGATAGAGAAAACAAGATATGGATTTGGAAGAAAATTACCCACAGTCTAATTGTCAGATTTATTGACTTAAAGATGTTACATGGCAATAAAGTTGAAAGAAAAATAAGAAGAAATTCTAAAAGCCAGCATGTTAGATTTATTCCCTCCACAAAAAGAATTGCTAATATTTATAAAGTGAGATAATAGGCCAAATACTTGTACTTGGCATAATTGCATTTTCTCAACAAATCCTATATAATCAACATTGTTTTATTTGTATATGTGTGAAAAATCATGACACCTGCAGTTTAAGTTACATTTGTATGAAACAGTCAATATGTGGCAGAGCCAGAATAAAGCCCACGTTTAGATTAAAGGAATTCTCTTTCCATTGCACCCACCCGTATTGCCTGTGGAAACCCTAAACAAGCCATTTAAATTTGTTGGAATTCCGTTTTTCAACTTTTTAAAACCTCTTAAGAGTCCAGTCCTAAATCAAGTTAATGTTTAAATTCTTCACTTATGCTTAGTATGTACATTATTCCAAAATGTGAATTGGTCCCAAATATCATATTCATTCTAACAGAGGACATTAAAAGTTTAAAAGATATCTGTTATATGGCTGAACTGATTATATTTTATCGGAAAGTGAAAGGAACTGAAAGGAACTACTCAGCATATTTCTAATGAGTATACAGAGGAAAAGTACTTTGCCTCATTTAATTTTGTAAAATCTCTCTCTGGCACATAATTCACAGTCTTTTTTTGCCCACAGGAATAGTGAGGCAGATATGTATTAATTCATGTCATAATACAAGAATAGGTAGCGATAAAACACTGGCATTTTCCAAATTGCCAGTATAAAGAATTGCCAGAAGAACATGGGTATTAGCTTCAGATTCTCCAAGGGGTTAACATTTATGTTATCTGTTAAATATGAATTATGTATTAACTTCTCATATTTCATATATAAAACTTTATGCTTTGGTCCTGTTCCTCGGGATGACCTTGATGTAATCAGAAATAATAGTGTTCTTTACCAAAGACATTAATCAATAACTTTATAATACGAAGCACTATGAATATTTAATGGCTTCAGCTTGAATAATTCAAATCCCGTATTACTAAAAAATAAAGTCAGTTGAGTGACTGAGAGTTCCATATTCCACAATTCCTACTCTGCTTACTACCTATTCTATTTACTATTCTCTTTACTATTTGAGAAGGGTATGGAGTTGTGTATGTTGCAAACATCACGTAACTTTTGTTCGACTTTCTTGAACACGTCATATTATTTTTTTTAGTTCATTTTCTGAATATAAGTAATTTTTGGTGAATTAATACTTTAAACAAGAGTTCACCTGGAAAGCAGTAGGCAAAATTTCATTAAAAATATTATTTTATTAACATACCTTAAAAATGTAATAGGACAATGCCTCAAAGAACAATTTCAAAATAAAAACACAGAAAACAAATGACCAGCAAAATTGCTCTGAAGTCTTAAAAACAGAAATAAATACTTCAATAATCATAGGTAATATGGAAATCCAATGTATGACTTACCTATAGAAAACCCTTCTGGAATTTCATTTAAATCTAACGTCAATATGAGCTATGTAGGAAGTCCATTAATAAATAAGAATATTATATAGGTACACATGTATATATTAATTTTAAGCCATATGCAGCCCTATTTGAAAATGTTAAAAAAAATCATCAGGATTAGTCCATACTGATTATTAAAAAATAAAATTGTCACTGCTCATTGTAGAAGATAAATGTCAGCTGTGCAGCAGATGTGTTTATAGCCACCCAGTAATCCTATCGCCTCAATAATGCATTTCCCTTTTTTTAGTTAAAAACTTAATTACATTAAGAAACTGTATGTGTTTAGGAATATGAATATAGAAGGAGTAATCATCGTTTAGTAAAATAAGTTTTACTTGCATATTAAAATTTACTGTGTTTGTGAAGATGCTGATAGTACATTACATATGGAGATCCAAGTGCACATAGTCACTAATTCTTTAAACTATGTTTGATATTAGTAATAATTTACTTTACATATATATCGGAATTTAATTGAAAAATAGTAAATGACTGCTAATATACATTATTCTTCTGAGTTGCATTTTTGCTTAATGAAATAGAATTTTTAAAAAAATTGTTTATCTTTATTCCTACTAGATTATACATTTCATGAGAAAAGCATTATCTCTTTATTAGTATATTTGTTTACCTGTATTAGAACTTGACTTTGAAATAAACCAGATATAATACCATTGTTGTAGATGTATTTATTGTAGTAAAAATAATATTCTGCATCTGAGTTTTGAGCAAGGAGATTTTACAGTCTCCTTTCAGTTAGAAAACTACAAGACCCTCTTAACTGATGTTGGAAATGTAAGTAAAGAAGATAAAAATTAAAATGATAAAGAAAAGCATTTGGGGTATAGTAGCACTGTGCTTCCCAGGAGAATGAGTTGTTAAGTGCTCACTCCGCATTTTTCAGTAACATATACTTAAAGTAAGCACACAGGGGCTACAGACGCTATTTTTTGGTTCAACATGACCTGAGCAGTTAATTATTTGTAAAGGGAAGAAGCAAGAATAGGCTCAGGGAGGGAGACAGAGAAAGACTGGGTAGGGCGGGGAGGGAGGGAGAGTTTCACCTGTATCTAAAACAGATCAGAAGCAATTTCTTCCTCCAACTCCTCACTTGTCTATTTCTACTAATAAAGAGCAAAACCAGACAAAATAGATTATTGTGTCATTTTTGTTTTCTTATTTTGTAATACACAGAAAAACTCAAGCTGGAGACGGAAATGAACAGATGCACATGGCTGGAAAGACTCAGTGCTAATCTCTACAATGTTGTTTTAATAGAATGGAGACAGGACCACATACTTTCTTACAATAATGAGGATCAATAAAGACAAAACTGACACTTTGTAATGAATAATGATCTGAACACTCACCTGAGAAAGTATCTCTTTGTTGCAGGTTTTTGGAAATGGGCTATATTTTTTGAATCATAACCGATATGTACTGCCATAAACAAGAGGATTTCAAGCCAGCTCCATCTGGTCGAAAATTATTTTATTTATTACTAAGAGAAAAGTGTAAGACAAGTCCTGTGGTAAAAACAGATTTATTGCCTCTGCTATTCACCTGTGTTATTTCTTCATATATTACCATTGACATATATTATCCATTCTTCACAGCAATGGCTTTGCCGTGGCAAATTAAATATCTCATTGTCCTTCTCTGTCCATTTTACATTATAATGTTTCTGAGCAGACTTTTATAGCTCTCTCACAGAATTATAGCAAGTCTTTAAATAAAAACAAAATTGAAACAAAAATTTTAGACTCAACTTAAAATCCCTCTTTATTTTATAATTTGGATTTTTAAGTAAAATATGCTATATCCTATTTAACGAGAACTTTCATATGTAATGTATCAATGGAATTATCTAAAGCTCATTTGGTTTTGCATAAAAACACAATTAGAGTAAAAACATTCTAAAATAGACACTGGAATAAAAACAATGAAAGCAAAATTATTAATTTTACATTTTTCATTCAAGTATTTTGATTTTTACTATATTATATTATTATATTAGGTATCAGAGTAATCATTGATCGCTTTCAAAACCCTGCTCCTTTCTAGGTGCAATGAAGAATTTTTATTTTATTGAAAAGTTATCTTAAGATGTAAGACTTGTGAATGATAGTAAAGATTTAGTAGACCCAATGTATTCTCAGATAAATGTAAAATAAGCAAGATATGAATTAAAGGATAAATATAGAGTTTAACAGCATAGATCTTAAAATCCATTATCATAAGGTAGAAGGATGTATAATTTATCATGATTAAAATATACTAAATATTCATATCACAGCATTCTGATTTCTGATATCTACAATTTAGGTGACATATATACATATGTGTGTATGTATATATAACTGTATTATTTGATATTTTAAAAGATAAAAGAGTTATATATTCAAATACCAGTATAGATGTTGCTCTGAAAGTATTGTTAGATGAGATTAACATGAAAATCAGTAATTTCTGAGAAAAGCAGATTATTTTCCAAAATATTGTAGGGCTCATCCAGTCAATTGATTATATTAAAAGACTGAGATCCCTCAAGGAAATAATTCTGCCTGCAGATTGCCTTTCGACTTGAGACTGTAACATCAACTTTTCTCTAGGTCTCTTGCTTGCTAGCCTACCCTGCCAATTTTTTATACATTAAAAAATATTTTTCTCAAATATTGTAGTTCTGCTATTTCCAGAAACGCTTGAGGATTGTACTTCCAAGTTCTTTTAAAGTTGATCATCGTCATGAAACTCATCATCAAATGGCATTTGAGCAAAATCTTTATTAATTAAACATGAGTGGAAGTTTAAAGGCCAAAGCACAACTCACTCAGGCATTGTGAACTATGTGTGCAGACAGATCACAACTCATCCTTGGTCTCTGGGTGTGTCTGCGTCTATTACTGACTTACCCTGGATATGTAAAATGAATAAGAAAAACTTTTTGTGTTAGCCACTGGGATTTTTGGTTTGTGTATTACTTTAGCATATTATCTCATTTTGAATGCTATAGTTTAGGACACTAGTTTAAACTACTGAAGTTAAAATGTTCTCCTTATTTCAGAGGAGAGAAGGATCTTACAGTGACAGACATCCATTAGTAAGAATTAATTTCTAGAGATAAAGTGAATTCAGTAACCACAGTGTCAGTAGAGTCAGCATGGTCAAAATAGTCTACATGGGAAATGTTTGGTGGCTCTTAGTTGATCATGGAGTCTCTAGAACCAAAAGTTATGAATGCCAATTAAGTTTCGATTTGGCTTATATGATCTCAAATCTTCAGGTTTACAAAACATATCTTGAGCCACCACCCAGCTCTGTCACCCAGGCTGGAGTGCAGTGGCACCATCTCAGCTCATTGCAGCCTCCGCCTCCGAGGTTTAAGCGATTCTCATGCCTCAGCCTCCTGAGTAACTGGGACTACAGGTGCTCACCACCATACAGGGATGTTTTTTCTATTTTTTTGGAGAGACACGGTTTCACCATGTTGGCCAGGCTGCTCTCGAACTCCTTACCTCATGATCCGCCCACCTCGGCCTCCCAAAGTGCTGGGATTACAGGCGTGAGCCACGGCGCCCAGCCCATTTTTTCTTTTCACCCACCTCGGCCTCCCAAAGTGCTGGGATTACAGGCGTGAGCCACTGCACTGAGCCTACAGCTCATTTCTTAACACATAAAGCTTTGCACCTCTCCACAAAACTGCCATCAGGGATGTCCCCAGAAACCATTCATCCCAGGTGCCACGCAGAGAAGAGTTGCTTGTTCTCCTTTTCCCTTTACCTCTTCCCTCTCACCTCATCATGTTCATTCATTCATCCCTTTTCCATTCTCACTTTTAAGCTTTAACCTTTCAAAAGCCTATCTTCCCCTATAAGTAATGTATTGTAACTCCCGCCATCACCATATCCTTCTCCAACCAACCAAACTGCCATCCTGAGTTTATGGAAAGTCCATAAACTAAGAAGAAATGGGAAACATTCATTGCTAACTTGGCAGCCCCTCATCCACCCTACGTGAGAGCACAGATCTTATTGTCTTTGAAGACCCTTTCTTTTTTTTTTTTTTTTTTTTTTTTTTTGAGAAGCAGTCTCACTGTCGCCCAGGCTGGAGTGCAGTGGCACAATCTCGGCTCACTGCAAGCTCCAACTCCTGGGTTCATGCCATTCTCCTGCCTCAGCCTCCCGAGCAGCTGGGACTACAGGCACCCGCCACCACGCCCGGCTGATTTTTTTTGTATTTTCAGTAGAGACAGGGTTTCACTGTTAGCCAGGATGGTCTCGATCTCCTGACCTCGTGATCTGCCTGCCTCGGCCTCCCAAAGTGCTGGGATTACAGGCATGAGCCACCGTGCCCAGCTCCTTTTTTTTTTTTAAAGACAGGTCTCACTCTGCTGCCCAGGCTCAAGTGCAGTGGTGTAATCATGGCTTACTGCAGCCTCCAACTCCTGTGCTCAGGCTATCCGCCTGCCTCAGCCTCCCAAGCAGCTAGGACTACAGGCACACACCACCACACCTAGCTAATCTGTTTAGTTTTTGTAGAGATGGGGGTCCTGCTATGCTGAACAGGCTGGTCTCGAACTCCTGGCCTCAAGCAATCCTCCCACCTTGGCCTCCCAAAGTGCTGGGATGACAGGCATGAGCCACCATGCCTGGTCTGAAGACTTTTAAATGCTGCCATATTCAAGACGCGTTGAAACTCACCTGTATTCGATGAGCCTGCTTTTCGCAAATGAGTAACATAAAACAGACTGAAATACCTTAAGCTTCTCAGCCTTTTACCCTCCTCTGGAATAATGAGTGTATCCCAAAAGTAAATCCATAATGAGGTCCAGTTTTTCCTTCATCCTTGGCTATGAAATAGACAAGAAAAAGGCAAGCTAGCCATTTCCATCTCACTATAGCAGACTCTCATGTTTGCTTTTTGACCGTACGTGGGAAGCGGGGGCCTGACTGCTTTCCTACTTCCTAAGCACAACTTACTTTTCCTAGGAAATTCTCAACACAACCTACATGGATTAAACCAGGTTCCCCCCTTTGTTTCCAATATTCTTACAGCCAAAATGTCCAGAATGGGCAAGGCAACCTGAAAAAATGAGGACGGGTACATTATCCCATGCGCTAAACTGCCACTTACACTGGTTAGTCATGAAATCGGCAAAATTCCAGATGAGCTCTCCAACCACGTATTTTCTGCGTTTTTGATCCAGACCCAGATGGTACTGCTCTAGCAGACTTTTCCGGTCCTCTTCACTGAACATCAGAGGTGGATCCTGGGATTCAAGGCAAAGAGAATTAAGAGTAAGAACTGGCAGAATTGTAAATGTTAGATAAAAATAAAGATCCACTTGATGGTGACCAAAATATCTGTCCTCACTGGGGGCTGTAGGGACTGCAGGACTCACTGATGCTAGGGTAAAGACAGCCAGGGAGAAATTGGAAATCATCATTCTCAGTAAACTATCGCAAGAACAAAAAAACAAACACCGCATATTCTCACTCATAGGTGGGAATTGAACGATGAGATCACATAGACACAGGAAGGGGAACATCACACTCTGGGGACTGTTGTGGGGTGGGGGGAGGGGGGAGGGATAGCATTGGGAGATATACCTAATGCTAGATGACGAGTTAGTGGGTGCAGCACACCAGCATGGCACATGTATACGTATGTAACTAACCTGCACAATGTGCACATGTACGCTAAAACTTAAAGTATAATAATAATAATAAAAAAATACAAAAAAAGAAACGACAGCCAGGGAATGATGTAACCCAGAATTAAAAAGGAGGTTTAAAAAAAAACCATCAATTAGCAACTGCTTTATTTATAAATATAACCTGATACTCAATTTTTCTTACTTTTCCGTCTCTGTCTGCTGATACAGTCTTAAGGCTGAACTACACTAGAAGGAAAAATATGTCTTTAGGTCAGGCGCGCTGGCTCATGTCTGTCATCCAAGCACTTTGGGAGACCGAGGTGGGAGGACTGCTTGAGCCTAGGAGTTCAAGACTAGCCTACAAAAAGTACAAAAGTTAGCCAAGCATGGAGGCACACACCTGTGGTCCCAGCTACTTGGGAGGCTGAGGTGGGAGGACTGCTTCAGTCCCGGAGGTCAAAGCTGTGGTTTGCACCACTACACTCCAGCCTGGGTGACAGAACAAGACCCTATCTCATGAATGAATGAATGAATGTAAAATGAAATTAAACTAAACCAGGCTGGGCATGGTAGCTCAGGTCTGTAATCCCAGCACTTTGGGAGGTCGAGGCAGGAGGATCACTTGAGCTCAGGAGTTCAAGATCAGCCTAGGCAACACAGTAAAACCCAGTCTCTATAAAAAGGCTAAATATTCGCTAGGTGTAGTGGCGCATGACTGTGGCTCCAGCTACTTGGGGGGCCGAGGAGGAAGGATCACTTGAGCCCAGGAGGTTGAGCAGTGAGCTGTGATTACGCCACTGCACTCCAGCCTGGGCAACAGAGTAAGGCTGTCTCAAAAAAAAATTTTTTTTAATTAAACCAAATAAATTCAGTTATCCTAGTCATATATCAAGACCTCAATAGCCACATGTAGCTAGTGGCTACCATTTCAGACAGTGCAGACATGGGGCATTTCCATCATTGCAAAGGTTCTTTTTTGAAACAAGGTCTCACTCTGTCACCCAGGTGGGAGTACAGTGGTGCAATTATGGCGGACTGCAGCCTTGACCTACTGGGCTCAAACAGTCCTCCTACCTCAGCCTCCCAAGTAGCTGGGACTAGAGGCAAGCACGACCATACCCAACTATTTTTTTTTTTTTTTTTTGAGACGGACTCTTGCTCTGTCGCCCAGGCTGGAGTGCAGTGGCACAATCTCGGCTCACTGCAACCTCCACCTCCCCAGTTCAAGCGATTCTCCTGCTTTAGCCTCCTGAGTAGCTGGGATTACAGGTGCATGCCACCACACCCAGCTAATTTCTGTGTTTTCTTAGTAGAGACGGGGTTTCACCATCTTGGTCAGGCTGGACTTGAACTCTTGGCCTCGTGATCCACCCACCTCAGCCTCCCAAAGTGCTGGGATTACAGGCGTCAGCCACTGCACCCAGCCACAACTCATCTTAAATATTTTGTAGAGATGGGGTCCATGTTGTGCAGACTGGTCTCAAACTCCTGGGCTCAAGAGATCCTCTGACCTCGGTCTCCCAAAGGGCTAGCATTCCAGGTGTGAGCCAGCACACCCAGCACTGCAGAGGTTCTATCAATGCTCACCTAGACCCTCTCGAGTTTCTTAAGAATTCAGAACTGGGGCTGGGTATGGTGGCTCATGCCTGTAATTCCAGCACTTTGGGAGGCCAAGGCAGGTGGATCGCTTGAGGTCAAAAGTTCAAGACCAGCCTGACCAACGTGGTGAAACCTCATCTCTACTAAAAAAAAAAAAAAAAAAAAAAAAAATTAGGTGAGCATGGTGGTGCATGCCTGTAATCCAAGCTACTTGGGAGGCTGGTGCAGGAGAATTGCTTGAACCTGGGAGGCGGAGGTAGCAGTGAGTCAAGATTGCACCACTACACTCCAGCCTGGGCGACAAGTGAAACTCCTCCTAAAAGGAGAAAGAATTCAGAGCTGGTTACCTTTTCAAAGAGAATGAACAAGGGTGCATATCCACAAATCACTTCCCCCTACTTGACTAGTTTGCAGAAGTGTCATTCTGTAAGCACGATAAATTTAAGGGTGCAAACAGAACAGTGCAGTCCATTGTGGGTGGCTGTTCCCTGTGTGTCAACGGGAGTCCCAGGAGCTGTGCAAAAGAGTGTGAGCTGGCTGGGGAGGGGACAAGGGGCTGGATGGGGTTCAGGAATCCACATGAAAAAAACCCCACAAGACAAAGCAACATATCTTTGGTGAGAAGGACAAAAAATGAGATGGATAAACAAATGAGGACAGGCCAGGCATGGTGGCTCAGGCCTGTAATCCCAGGATTTTGGGACGCGGAAGCAGGCAAATCACTTGACGTCAGGAGCTCAAGACCAGCCTGGCCAACATGGCAAAACCCCACCTCTACAAAAATACAAAAATTAGCTGGGCATGGTGGCAGGTGCCTGTAATCCCAGCTGCTTGGGAGGTTGAGGCAGGACAATCGCTTGAGCCTAGGAAGTGGAGGTTGCAGTGAGCTGAGATCACACCATTGCACTTCAGCCTGGGTGACAGAGTGAGACTCCATCTCAAAAAAAAAAAAAGACAAAGTGAGTGATTAAACATGGCTCTAAGATCTCACCCATGCCCTCAATAGGTATTATTTAGCATGTACTGTGTCAGCTATTGCAGAGTACCTGGGAAACAACAATAAATAGGACTCCTGTCTCCTGAGCCCACAGTCCGATCAAAGAGAGAGCCAAAGAAATAACAACGGTGCCTGGCGAGAATGTTGGGGGAGCCAGGTTCCGGCTGCAACAGGGCAGAGCACGGGGAAGGTTCCCTCCGCCTGGGGCAGGCAGGGTAAACCTCCCCACAGAGGGGACAGCTATGAGGAGACTCAGATGCCAAATAGGAATCTTTTCAGCCACGTGTCGTGACTCATGCCTGTATTCCCAGTACTTTGGGAGTCCAAGACAGGAGGTGAAGACCAGCCTGATAGCGAGACTCATCTCTACAAAATATTTTAAAACTAGGCTGCACATGGTGGTGCACGCCTGTAGTCCCAGCTACTCAGGAGGCTGAGGCAGGAGAATTGCTTCAGCCCAGGAGTTCGAGGCTGCAGTGAGCTATGATGACACCACCACACTCCAGCCTGGGCAACAGAACAAGACCCTGTCAGGAAAAAAATAAAAAATAAAAAAAGGCTAGCACAGTGGATCACACCTGTTAATCCCAGAACTTTGGGAGGCCAAGGCAAAAAGATCAATTGAGTCCAGGAGTTTGAGACCAGCCTGGGCAACATAGCAAGACCCTATCTCTAAAAAAATAAAAAGAAAAGGATCTTTTAGTTGGTGATTATGGTGCCAACTTGGGCATTCCAGGCAGAAAGAATAGCTCAAGCAAGAGCAGGAGAGCAAATGAGGGCAGTGGAAACAGATCAGTGGCCAGGAGTGAGAAGAGAAGAGGATGAAAACCCAGGAGAGAGCAGAGGACACTGAGTGTCCTGACTAGGGGTTAGGACTTTGTCCTATGGGCCTGGGGGAGCCAATGACAGGACTCAAAAATTTTGATTTGTGGCCGGGCACAGTGGCTCACACCTGTAAATCCCAGCGCTTTGTGAGCCTGAGGCAGGAGGGTCACTTGATCCCAGGAATTCAAGACCAGCCCGGGGAACACAACAACGCCCCATCTCTACAAAAGTAAAAACATTAGCCAGGCATGGTGGCCTGTGCCTATGGTCCCAGATACTCAGGAGGCTGAGGTGGGAAGATCGCTTGGGCCCAGGAGGTTAAGGCTGCAGGGAGCAGTGATCGCACCACCGCACTCCAGCTTGGGTGACAGAGAGAGAGGCGGTCTCAAAAACACATAAAAATTTGGATTTCTTAGAAAGACCACTTGGGCACGGGTGATAGGAGGCTGTCTGGAAACAAGGCCAGTAAGGAGTCCACCTTTGAGGACCAAGCGAGTGGGGCAGAGGCCTGGCTGCTGGTGAGAAGGGAACGTGGACAGGGTAGCGGGAGGTGAGCCCAAAGCTGAAGCAAGGGGAGCACTGCAGTGGGCGCAGGGCAGGGTGGGGGAGGCAAGTGGCATCTCTGCCCAGAGAGAATACACAAGCAGAAAGTTCAACACCGCTTACCTGGTGAAGCCTTACAAGCGTTTCCACTCCATACGCGCTCTGAATAATGGGATTGTGATGTCTTACACCAATTCTCAAACTGGGCGGCCAGCTGCAGCTGAATCAACTCCAGGTGCCCGTAGTTGCGATACCAAGAGTAGTAGCTGTTCACACGGATCACATCCACATACAGAGCCTAGGACCAGAGCAGCAGAGCCCGTTCAGCAACCACAAGACCGCATGACTCAGTACTCACATGCTGTGGGGGCTCCTCTGACAGAGAAGGTAAGAAGGGGATGTAATCCCAGCACTCTGGGAGGCTGAGGCAGGAGGGTGGCTTGTGGCCAGGAGTTCGAGACCAGCCTGGGCAACACAGCAAGACCCCAGCTCTACAAAAAATAGTATCAAGAAAATCAGCACGGCACAGTGGCTCATGCCTGTAATCCCAGCACATTGGGAGGCCAAGGTGGGAGGATCACTTGAGCCCAGGAGTTTGAGACCAGCCTGGGCAACATCGTAGGACTCCATTTCTACAAAACAAAACAAAAAGCCTACAACGGGAAGAGCTGCCTCTCGGGGCTGAGAACATCCAACTGCACCAATTTAGATCCTGAAATTACCCTGCCCCACAAGCAAAAAACATGGTCACAAAGTGGCCCAAAGGAGGCAGGCCTGTGATTGCACACTGACGCTCACGACGTGTGCAGCTGGGAAGGGCTGTGAGAGGCAGAGCAGCTGCCAACACGCAGTCCTCAGCCAAAACCCAGGGCCCCTGCCACTGGAACTGACTCCTCTCCAGGCAGCACTCCCAGCACTGGGCATCCCCTCACCTTGCCCTGGAGAAGCCCTCCCACCCAAGGGGCCAATGCAGTCATTCTCGCAGATAATCTTTTTCCGCTTTGTTTGGAAGACAAGAGTCTCGCTCTGTTGCCCAGGCTAGAATGGAGTGGCACAATAATGCAACCTCTGCCTCCCACGATCAAGCGCAGGCGTGGTGGCATGTGCCTGTTATCCCAGCTACTTGGGAGGCTGAGGCAGGAGAATTGCTTGAACCTGGGAGGCGGAGGTTGCACTGAGCTGAGACTGTGCCACTGCACTCCAGCCTGGGCAACAGAGCAAGACTCTATCTTAAAAAAAAAAAAAAAAAAAAAAAAGAATGCTAGTATCAGCCAAGCACGGTGGCTCATGCCTGTAATCCCAGCACTTTAGGAGGCTAAGGCAGGAGGATCACTTGAGCTCAAGAGTTTGAGACTGGCCTGGGCAACATAGTGAGATCCCATCTCTACAAAAACATTTAAAATTAGCCGGGCACAGTGGTGTACACCCGGAGTCCCAGCTACTTGGAAGGCTGAGGCAAGAGGGTTGCTTAGGCCCAGGAATTCAAGGCTGCAGTGAGCTGTGATCACACCACTGCACTCCAGCCAGAGCAACAGAGTAAGACCTTGCCTTCACACACACACACAAAAAAACAAAAAACTCAGGTTCCAACCCTGGAGTTACTAAATCAGGATCTCAGAACGCAGAGATCTGGCATTTCAATAAAACTTCCCCTGGAGATTCTGATCAGCCAGGTTTGGGCCAGATGAACTCTAAGCTCACTTAAACCTTTGACATTTTATGAGTCTATTAAATCGAGTACAAAAAATGCTGAGTCCAAACCGGGCAAACAAATCCCATCTCCCTATGCCCAGCCTCCTTGGATTCAGAAAGCCACACTGCCTGGAGAGTAAGCAGAGAGAGAATTGTCATTAACCCAAAGACCATCTTTGAAAACAGACTGGCTGCGGCTGAGTGCGGTGGCACACGCCTGTAACCCCAGCCCTTTGGAAGGCCGAGGCAGGAGGATCACTTGAGCCCAGGAGTTCGAGACCAGCCTGGGCAACATGGCAAGACCCTGTCTCTATCTTTCTAAGTAAAACAAAATAAAAAGCTCAGACTGGCAGCACATGGTTCTTTCCAGCTGTTCCCATGAGCAGGCTTCAGGACAAGCCCAGGCAAAGGCAGGGAGAAATGGGGTGGGGACCCCCAGGCTCACCCCCTTGTCTGCTGCGTAGGTGGAGTTGGTCACAAAGGTCACAGGCTGGGAGGGGTCCAAGGCTTTGGTGTGAGCAATCACCATCCTGTCCACAAAAGAGAGAAGACACAGGTTCCGTCAGTCCGGGAAAGGCTCAGACACCCTCCCATCCTCTCTGTCCCATCTTCCCCTGCCAGAACACAACTGGGGGCCAGGCACGATGGCTCACGCCTGTAATCCCAGCACTTCAGGAGGCTGAGGCAGGCAGATCACTGAGGTCAGGGGTTCAAGAACAGCCTGGCCAACATGGCAAAACCCCATTTCTACTAAATATACAAAAATTAGCCAGGCATAGTGGCACGCATCTGTAACTCCAGCTACTCGGGAGGCTGAGGCACAAGAATTGCTTGAACCCGGGAGGTGGAGGTTGCAGTGAGCCGAAATCACGCTACTGCACTCCAGCCTGGGCCACAGAGCAAGACCCTGCCCCAAAACAAACAAACAAACAAACAAACAAAAAAAAAAAAAGAAAGAAAAAAAAGGAAAAAAAAAAAAAAAACAAAGCACAGAGCCGCTGCTTTCTTCCCTAACTTGAGATGTATTTTACATAAGGGCACGTTCCTCTAGTCCTAGACCGAGCTCTCTAACAACACTCTTTCTCCCCCACCCCTGAATCCAACTCCCCCAGAGGCGTAGCCACCCTGCCGGGTACACAGAGCTGAGGTCACTGGACTGAACACTGCCAGAAATGAGGTTCACTTCCTGAAATAGCTCTTGAACACAGGAGTGAATGGGCTGTGGATTCAGGTGGAATATTTATTAATGCATCAAGCAAACAGGTAGTGCGAGGTGGGAGGTAGGCATGAGGCTGGGTGCTAGGTGCTCAGTAATGACTCAAATCTAAGTCCACAGGTCCTGGGCAGTGGGAGTGGAGATGCATGCACAGAAAAACGGTGCAAGTGCCAGGCGAGGTGGCTCACGCCTAGAACCCCAGCACTTTGGGAGGCTTACTTGAGACCAGGCGCTTGAGACCAGCCTGGACAACATAGCAAGACCTTGTTTCTACAACAAATTTAAAAATTAGGGCCGGGCATGGTGGCTCAAGCCTGTGAGCACTTTGGGAGGCCAAGGCAGGTGGATCACGAGCTCAAGAGTTCGAGACCAGCCTGGCCAACATGGTGAAACCCCATCTCAACAAAAAATAAAGAAGAAAACTAGCTGGGCATGGTGGCGTGAGCCTGTAATCCCAGCTACTCGGGAGGGTGAGGCAGGAGAACTGTTTGTACCCAGGAGGTAGAGGATGCAGTGAGCCAAGATCGCAACACTGCTCTCCAGCCTGGGAGACAGAGCAAGACTCTGACTCGTGGGGAAAAAAAAAATATTAAAATTTAGCCTGGCAAGGCAGCGCACGTCTGTGGTCCCAGCTATTTGGGAGGCTGAGTGGGGAGGATCGCTTAAGCCCAGGAGGTCGAGATGGCAACGAGCTATGATTGCACCACTGCACTCCAGCCTGGGCAACAGAGTGAGACCCTGACTCTGAAAAACAAACAATGAAAGAAATGTTGCGAATGGAAATGACAAGTGGTGGCAGGAATTGGGCACTCTATGAGACAACAGACACATCCCCGATTGGAGAGTCAGGGACAGGCTCTTAGAAGAAATGGCCTTTATGCTGAGTCAAGTTAACCAGGAGGGATGAAGGGAAGAGGCTCCCAACAGAGGGACCAGTCCGTGCTCAGAGCTCCCAGCATCTGCCCAAGGCCTCCACAGAACAGACTGTTGTGTTTTTGTTTTGTTTTGTTTTGTTGAGATACAGAGTCTCATTCTGTAGCCCAGGCTGGAATGCAGTGGCATTATCTCAGCTCATTGCAATCTCTGCCTCCTGGTTCACCTGAGGCGATTCTCCTGCCTCAGCCTACCTGGTAGCTGGCATTACAGACGTCCACCACCATGCCCAGCTAATTTTTGTATTTTTAGTAGAGACAGGATTCACTACCTGTTGACCAGGCTGGTCTCGAACTCCTGACCTCGGGTGATCCACCCACCTCAGCCTCCCAAACTGCTGGGATTACAGGCGTGACCCACCGCATCCGGCCTAGACCGTTGTTGAAGCTGGTTTTCTTCTTCTTTCCTCAGTTCTTTTCTTTTACATCTTCCCCCCATCATTGCTCTGCCCATCCGAAGGCTGTGGCTGGCACAGGACAGAATAGAACCTCCTAGCCTCAAGTTCCAAACCCACACTCTCCAATAGCCAGGCTCTCAGATGGGAAGCTTCAAAGCCTTGTGACAGCCTGGCTGAACCTCTCCAGCCTGGGCCCTCCCTCCATTTCCTGCCCCGGAAACAGGCATCTCCTCTGGCCACCTCCCAAAGCCTGTCTGGAAGCCTCAGGCACCCGCTCCTGGAAGCCTGTACGATTCACAACAAACGGCCTGTCCACCCAGTCGTGCTGAGCACACCCCTATTCCCCCGAGCTCTGAATTGTCCTTTGCCCAGGCTAGGACAACATCTCAGAGCCTTCTGCCTGCTGCAGACTCGGCTCAGCCCAAATCACTCCATGAAATTGGGGTGTGGCATCTGCCTCAAGGAGCATTTCTACAACCTCTGCTGCCTCTACCGCAAATGAAACTGGCTCTCACCCACTGGCTCTCGGTGACGGGCACAGTGCGGAGCCCCACAGGGAGTGTGTAGAAGTCAAAGGCCCCAGTGACTTCTGTGCAGTCAGCCGCACCTACGACAGCCAAAGCGCCAGGTGTGAGCGCCCCGACAGCCTGAGCCCCATCTGGCCTGCCCTACAGCAGGAAGACCCCTCGTGCATGCACCCCAGAAGTCGCCACTGGGCCTGCAGAGAAGCAGCAACCAGAGGCTCTGCCCTTCACTGGCTGACCCTGGGACCTGCCCTTCAAAATCAGGCCTTCTCCTTGACCAGACGAGGTGGCTCATGCCTGGAATCCCTACACCTTGGGAGGCTAAGGCAGGAGGATCACCTGAGTCCAGGAGTTCAAGACCAGCCTGGGCAACCTAGTAAGACCCCAACTCTATAAAAAGGAGTTTTTTTTTTTGAGACAGTCTCACTCTGTCACCCAGGATAGAGTGCTGCGGCATGATCTCAATTCACCGCGGCCCCTGCCTCCTGGGTTCAAGCAATTCCCCTGCCTCAGCCTCCCGAGTAGCTGGGATTACAGACGTGCACCATCATGCCCTGCAAATTTTCATATTTTAGTAGAGACGGGGTTTCACCATGTTGGCCAGGCTGGTCTCCAACTCCTGGCCTAAAGTGATCTGCCCGCGTCAGCCTCCCGAAGTGCTGGGATTACAGGTGTGAGCCACCATGCCCGGCCTACAAAAAAAATTTTTTTAATTAGCCAGGCATGGTGGCATGTGCCTGTAGTCCCAGCTACTCAGGAGGCCAAGGTAGGAGGATTGCAGCTCAAAGCTGCAGTGAGCTGTGATCAGGCCATTGCATTCCAGCCTGGGTGACAGAGTGAGACCATCACAAAAACAAACAAACAAACAAATAAATAAATAAATAAATAAATAAAAAATCTGGGCCTCCCACCAAGGGTGGGAAACATCAGAAAGCTCAGAGGACCACACCTGCCCGTTCACCTGTCCTGGGCTCCTGCTGAAGCCAGGGCTACCAGATGGGGGCAAAAGACCTCCCTTACGCAAGTCCCAAACCACCATTACCTCCCACGAGTACAGGGAGGCGGGGTGTTCGTGCATCAGGTACGGCCACCAGAGGTTGGCACCCAGCACCTTCAGCTGGCCCTGGGTCCCAGCCTGGTTGTCCACGACTTTGTTTTCTGCATTCAAAAGACACACTTCCAACTTGAACTGGTTACTGCACTTGACGGAGATCTGGTAATTCACCAGCCCTGCAGGAGGCAAGAGAGACCAGGGCTTAGGGAGGGACATGACCTGGGTCACACAAACGGGAAGGCCCCACAATGACCACTCCCAGGCACTCTCATTTGCTTCTGTTGCTTTTTTTTTTTTTTTTTGAGATAGAATCTCGCTCTGTCACCCAGGCTGGAGTGCAGTGGCATGATCTGGACTCACTGAAACCTCTGCCTCCCAGGTTCAAGTGATTCTCCTGCCTCAGCCTCTGGAATAGCTGGGATTACAGGCACCTGCCACCACATCCAGCTAATTTTTGTATTGTTAGTAGAGACGGGGTTTCACCACATTAGCCAGGATGGTCTTGATCTCCTGACCTCGTGATCCGCCTGCCTCGGCCTCCCAAAGTGCTGGGATTACAGGCTTGAGCCACCGTGCCCGGCCCTGAACCAATGCGCCCAGCCCGCTTTTAATTTAATTTTTTAATTTTTTTTTTTTTTTTTTTTTTTTTTGAGATGGAGTCTCACTGTCACCCAGGCTGGAGTGTAGTGCTGCGATCCTGACTCGCTGCAACCTCCACCTCTGGAGTTCAGGTGATTCTCCTGCCTCAGCCTTCCGAGTACCTGGGAATACAGGAATGCACCACCATGCCCGGCGAATTTTTCTATTTTCAGTAGAGACGGAGTTTTGCCATGTTGGCCAGGCTGGTCTCGAACTCCTGAACTCAGGTGATCCACCCGCCTCAGTCTCCCAATAGATTAGATATATTATTAATGAATTGCTTCCTTTAACACCCTATTCATTGAATTTTCCAGTAAACCACAATTACTAATTACTCCTGAAATCAGAAAAGAGGTTAAAAAGATTTTATAACAGTATCCTATGAAATCTACTACTTTCAAGTAATAGTAGTTGAATTACCAAAACCCGTCACTCAAGCCAATGACTACAATTAAGATATGAGTAACATTTCCTAGATAAATAAAGTCAATTAATTATATTTGCATCTGGGAAATAGAGAAAGTACATATAAGCCATGATTTTGAAGTCAAAAGAGAGAGAATATTTGCCAAGGAGGGGTGAGTTATAGTATGTAATTATAACATACAGAAGTTTTTTGTATGCTGGTAACTAATTTTAATTTCCTACATTTTTATGTAGATTTCTGCTATTCTTGTCCTATTTTCCTAATCATCTTTCTATATGAATGACTACATAATTCTGAGAATACCAAAAGAGACAGACACAGAACCAATCGGATTCCTTTCTTCTTGAAGCTTCTGCACAGCAAAAGAAACTATCAACAGAGTGAACAGACAACCTACAGAATGGGAGAAAATTTTTGCAACAATGCATGTGACAAAGATCTAATGTCCAACACTGATAAGGAACTTAAACAAATTTACAAGAAAAAAAAAATCTCATTAGAAAGTGGGCACAGGACATAAACAGACACTTCAAAAGAAGACACACATGCGGCCAACAAGCATATGAGAAAAAGCTCAATATCACTGATCATTAGAGAAATGCAAATCAAAACCACAATGGCATACCATCTCACACCAGTCAGTATGGTTATTATTAAGAAGTCAACGCCGGGCATGGTGGCTCACGCCTATAATCCCAGCACTTCAGGAGGCCAAGGCAGGCAGATCGCATGAGGTCAGGAGTTCCAGACCAGCCTGGACAACCTGGCGAAACCCCGTCTCTACTAAAAATACAAAAATTAGCCCAGCGTGGTGGCGGGTGCCTGTAATCCCAGCTACTCAGGATGCTGAGGCAGGAGAATCGCCTGAACCCGGGAGGCAGAGGTTGTAGTGAGCCGAGATCATACCACTGCACTCTCCAGCTTAGGTGACAGAGCGAGACTCTGTCTCAAAAAAAAAAAAAAATATTTGAATTTTGTTTAAATCGCTAACACATACTGGGCATTTAATAACAAAAAAAAAAGGACATGAGATTGTGATCCTTATGAAGGTTTGAGAGGCATTTCACTAGGGTTCAACATACAGCAGTCTGAAACATACTGTAATAATTTAATCCAATGGCTCATCTACAGCACCTAAAAAGATTACAGCAGATTCTCATTATTCAGTGTAGTTACGATCTACAAAGTTCCATGAACAAATAAAAAGTTAGGTTTCAGCAAGCTACTGGTCACACTTTTGTAAGCTTACCAACACCTACTTTTGTTGTATGTGTGCTTATTTAATATATATTGTTGGCCAGGCACAGTGGCTAACGCCTGTAATCCCAGCACTTTGGGAAGCCAAGGCGGGCAGATCATTTGAGGTCTGGAGTTCGAGACCAGCCTGGCCAACGTGGTGAAACCCCGTCTCTACTAAAACTACAAAAAAAAAAAAAAAAAAAAAAAATTAGCCAGGCATGGTGGCGCATGCCTGTAGTCTTAGCTACTTGGGAGGCTAAGGCAGGGGAATCGCTTGAACCCAGGAGGCAGAGGTTGCAGTGAGCCAAGACTGCACCACTGCACTCCAGCCTGAGCAACAGAGTGAGACTCTATCTCAAAAAAAATAATAATAATAATTAATTAAATGAAGAATAAATAAATAATATACATTGTTCATTCATTAACATTGAACTCACAGCCAACGGCACTACAGCACTCACGCCTGAATGGAGTTTATTTAATGCATGTATTTTCTCTGTAAGACACATCACAGACTTCTTGGACTTGTGAATGCTAAGCAGCACTTCAGCACTATGCTTGGGGGTTAATTTAAATGGCAAAACAACCAACAAACAGTACAAAAACAGGAAAAGCATGGCATTAAACAGACCACAAAAAGGATACCTGACTATTGTATGAGAGCTGAAAAAGAAGGCAGAATATCATCCTGTTCAAACTCAAATTCTTTGACACTCTGCGCAAACACATGACTATGAAAGTGCTGTGAGTACTGATTTGGGGGTTACAAAAAATAGTAGGTGAGTTCACAAATACAAAAGCTGAAAACAAGGAGGATCGACTGTATTTTCGTAGACAATCTAATCTCAGAAGATTTCAGTTCAGACAAAAATCATGATAATTACTGTATTACAAAAGGGCACTAGATAGGGGGAAAAGAGTAAAAATCACAATTAAAACAAAGGTTCAAAATTCTGCAGCAACCATATCCAGTTACACTTTAATATGTTTGTGGCAGACTACATTATTGTTCCCAACTCATCACCCCTCCCTATATCTAAAACCTTTCCCCAAGACAATGCAGTTCCTCCTGCTAGAGATCAGGTATATTTATCTATACTATCAATGTTAGCCATGGACAAGGTATGTGCTTTGGCTGACTGAATGTTAGTGGACATGAGAGAAGCAATGGCTTAAAATGTACTTCCAGAACTGGAGTTTCCTTGTGATTCTATCACTGTGACAAAAACACATTCTCAGGTAGTCCACTGATCCAAGGGGGAACAAACACACAGAAAACATACCTAGACTCTATCTGCAGCTTGCAGCCTCACCAAGCCAAGAACAGTCAACTCACAGATATGTTAGCAAAAATAAATGTTTTTCATACCTTAAGTTTTATATAATTATTGACCTACAGTTAACTGATATACAATATACATTAATCTTAAAATATCATTATCCCATTAAAAATACTTACATTAAAAACTGAGACCACTTTCTTTCCTTTTTTTTTTTTTTTTTTTAAATTAAGAGACAGGGTGTCTCAATGTTGCCCAAGCTGGAGTTCAGTGGCTAGTGGCTATTCACAAGAACGATCATCGCACACTACCTCAAACTCCTGGGATCAAGCAATCCTCCTGCCTCAGCTTTCCAAGTCGCTGGGACTATAAGTGTGTACCACAGCATGTCAGCTCTCTCTCTCCTTCTTGACCTAAAGCCTAGCATAAAATTAGCTAAGTAGAATGTTTCCAAAGATGCCTGCATCAGTATCTCCCATCCCACATAATTTCTGTTTGATTTTGCCATTCACCCATAAAATGGTGGGATCTACCTCCCCTCCTTGCAAATTTGAGCTGGCCCTCTGATCCTGTCTAAGATCTGAAGCCAGATATTAAGGTACTTCATTAATTTCCATGTTTGTCCTCTATGCAACCTAGCAATCAAGCAAGAAGTCAAAACATACTGACATAGTTTGGATGGGTCCCCACCCAAATCTCACCTTGCATTGTAATAATTCCCACGTGTCAAGGGTGGGGCCGGGTGCAGATAACTGAATCATGGGGATGGTTCCCCCCATACTGTTCTCGCGGTAGTGACTAAGTCTCATGAGATCTGATGGTTTTATAAATGGGAGCTCCCCTGCACATGCTCTCTCCTGCCTGCCACTATGTGAGACATGCTTTTGCACCTCCTTGCCTTCCACCATGATTGTGAGGCCTCCCCAGCCATGCAGAACTGTGAGTCAATTCAACCTCTTTCCTTTATAAATTACCCAGTCTCAGGTATGTCTTTATTTGCGGTGTGAGAACAGACTAATACAATAAGTTGATACCAGTAGAGTGGGGTGCTGCTGTAAAGATACCCGAAAATGTGGAAGCAACTTTGGAAATGGGTAACAGGGAGAGGCTGGAACAGTTTGGAAGGCTCAGAAGAGGATAGGAAAATGTGGGAAAGTTTGGAACTTCCTAGAGACTTGTTGAATGGCTTTGACCAAAATGTTAATAGTGATATGGACAACAAGGTCCAGGCGGAGGTGGTCTCAGAGGGAGATGAGGAATTTGTTGGGAAATGGAGTAAAGTCACTCTTACTATGCAAAGACACTGCAGGCATTGTGCACCTGTATTAGAAACGGGCATAAGATAGGCGGGAAAGAGGGAAAATAAGAATTTCTTTCTAGAGTTCCCTACAGATCTGTGGAACTTTGAACTTGAGAGAGATGATTTAAGGTATCTGACAGAAGAAATTTCTAAGCAGCAAAGCATTCGAGAAGAAGCAGAGCATAAAAGTTCAGAAAATTTGTAGCCTGATGATGCAACAGAAAAGAAAAATCTATTTTCTCAGGAGACTGGGTTGTAGAAATTTGCATAAGTAATGAGGAGCCAAATGTTAATCACCAAGACAATGGGGCAAATGTCTCCAGGGCATGTTAGAGACCCTCACAGCAGACCCTCCCATCACAGGCCAGGAGGCTTAGAAGGAAAAATGGTTTTGTGGGTCCAGAACCCCCTGCTGTGTGCAGCCTAGGAACTTGGGGCCCTGCATCCCAGCTGCTCCTGCCATAGGTAAAAGGGGCCAAGGTACACCTCAGGCCATGGCTTCAGAGGGTGCAAGTTCCAAGCCTTTCAGGTTCTAGGTGGTGTTAAGCCTGCAGATGCACCAAAGTCAAGAATTAACGTTCATGAACCTCCGCCTACATTTCAGAAGATGTATGAAAATGCCTGGAAATCCAGGCAAAAGTTTGCTGTGGGGGGGAGGGGAGGGGGGGGCCCTCATGGATAACCTCTGCTAGGGCAGTGTCAAAGAGAAATATGGGGTTGGAGCTCCCACACAGAGTCCCCACTGGGGTACTGCCAAGCAGAGCTGTGAGAAAAGGGCCACCATCCTCCAGACCCCAGAATGGTAGATCCACTGACAGCTTGCACTGTGTGCCTGGAAAAGCTGCAGACACTCAATGCAGCCAGAAGGGGGGCTGTACCCTGCAAAGCCACAGGGGCGGGGCTGCCCAAGACCCTGGGAACCCACTTCTTGCATCACCTAGATGTGACACATGGAGTCAAAGGAGGTCATTTTGGAGCTTTAAGATTTGCCTGCTGGGTTTTGGACTTGCATGGGGCCTGTAGCTCTTTCGCTTTGGCCAATTTCTCCCATTTGAAACGAGTGTATTTACCCAATGCCTGTATCCCTGTGTATCTAGAAAATAACTAACTTGCTTTTGATTTTACAGGCTCATAGGTGGAAGGGACTTGCCTTGTCTCAGATGAGACTTTGGACTACGGAATTTTGAGTTAATGCTGAAATAAGAGTTTGGGGGACTTAGGGGAAGGCACGATTGCTTTTGAAATATGAGGACATGAGATTTGGGAGGGGCCGGGGAAGAATTATATGGTTTGGCTCTGTCCGCACCCAAATCTCATCTTGAATTGTAACAATTCCCATGTGTCAAGGGTGGGGCCAGGTGGAGATAACTGAATCATGGAGGCAGTTTCCCCCATGCTGTTCTCATGGTAGTGAATAAGTCTCATGAGGTCTGATGGTTTTATAAATGGATGTTCCCCTGCACATGCTCTCTCCTGCCCACCATGTCTGACTAAATTTTGTATTTTTACTAGAGACGGGCTTTCACTATGTTGGCCAGGCTGGCCTCCAACTCCTGATCTCGTGATCCGTCCACCCCGACCTCCCAAAGTGCTAGGATCATAGGCATAAGCCACCACACCCGGCCTCTTTTTTTTCTTTTTCTTTTTTTTATCTGGAGACTGAGTTTTGCACTCGTTGCCCAGGCTGGAGTGCAATGGTGCGATCTCAGCTCACTGCAGTCTCCACCTCAGCAGGAGAGCAGGAATCTTCAGTGATCCACGGGCAAATATGCAGCCATTGTGGGCACCTGTTCCTCCCGCGACCTTTGTGCCCACGTCTCTCCCTCCAGTACCTACTGCACGACCCCCCACGTCCGCCTCCTGCCATTGCCAGCAGGTGCCTTGCGCGGGTACCTGGCTGCGCTTATTCATCCATTATGGTCGCTCTGTCACTGGTGCCATTATGTGCTCACATGCCCACTCCCTCAGGTTTAGAAGTCGCGTTGCCCGGCAACAGAACAATCTGCTGGCTTAGCCTTTGGCCAAGTTGGCAGCTGGACGAGGACGCTCAGAGCCCAGCTCTTGAGAGTTCAAGTATCCGACAGTTCCCCACTGCTCCCAGGAGCGGTTACCCGGGCACTCTGTGCCCCTCATTCCTGTTTGGGCCAAGGCCGAGGACCTGCGAGTAGGGCTCAGTTGCCTGGAGCCCCTTCAGCCCATCCCCCAGTTCACTTTGCTTGTGGGATCTCCCCGTTGCTCCTGCCCCTGGACTGAGTGGCAGGCCATCCTACAAACACCCGCACACTCGACATCACTGGTGTCAAGACAACTCTAAGAAGGTTTTCCGTGATCCTGCAAGACCTGTGTTCCATCCTGGTGATTCTGTCTTCAATTTCACTGCACAGGTACCACAGTAAGCCAGTGCTGTGTGCTCCGAGTTCCAGGGCATCCCCCAGCTCAGCCACTACACTGAGCACAAGGACTCTGTGGGGCCCAGGAGCAGGTAGTCACCCCTTTGGGGTCCACAACACCCGGCTGTCCCCAGACTTGTGTCCAGGGAAGATAGTGTTGAGGGCCCTCAAGGAGAGCGGGGCAGGGATGCCTGAGCAGGACAAGGACCCCAGAGTCCAAGAAAATCCTGATGATCAGAGAACGGTCCCCGAGGTCACCGGGGATGCACGGTCTGCATTTTGGCCCCTGCGGGACAATGGAGGCCCCTCTCCCTTTGTGCCCAGGCCCGGGCCTCTGCAGACAGACCTCCACGCCCAGAGCTCAGAAATCAGATATAACCACACATCCCAGACATCCTGGACGAGCTCGAGCACCAAACGAAATGCCATCTCCAGCTCCTACAGCTCCACGGGAGGCTTGCCGGGGCTAAAGCAGAGGAGGGGGCCAGCCTCATCCCGCTGCCAGCTGACCCTCAGTTACTCAAAGACAGTGAGTGAGGACAGGCCTCAGGCTGTCTCTTCGGGTCACACACGGTGTGAAAAGGGGGCAGATACAGCACCAGGGCAGACAATCGCCCCAACGGGTGGCTCCCCCAGATCCCAGGACTCTAGGCCCCGTAGACGCAAGATTCCCCTGCTGCCACGCAGGCGAGGGGAGCCTTTGATGCTGCCACCTCCCTTAGAGCTGGGGTACCGGGTCACGGCTGAAGACCTGCACCTGGAAAAAGAGACGGCATTCCAGCGCATCAACAGTGCACTGCACGTTGAGGACAAGGCCATCCCGGACTGCAGACCCTCACGGCCTTCCCACACTTTGTCCTCACTTGCAACAGGGGCTTCGGGTGGGCCTCCCGTTTCTAAAGCACCCACTATGGATGCACAGCAGGACAGACCCAAGTCCCAAGACTGCCTGGGCCTAGTGGCCCCCCTAGCATCTGCTGCAGAGGTCCCCGCTACAGCTCCCGTGTCTGGGAAGAAGCACAGACCACCAGGACCCCTGTTCTCCTCCTCAGATCCCCTTCCTGCCAACTCTTCCCACTCCCGGGACTCAGCCCAGGTCACCTCGATGATTCCTGCCCCCTTCACAGCTGCAAGCAGGGATGCCGGCATGAGAAGAACAAGGTCGGCTCCTGCAGCTGCCGCAGCAGCCCCTCCCCCCTCCACATTGAACCCCACGTCGGGGTCACTACTCAATGCAGTGGATGGAGGCCCCTCACATTTCTTGGCCTCAGCCACAGCTGCAGCACGTGCCCAGAGGTCAGAAGTGAGATATAACCAGAGATCCCAGACCTCCCGGACCAGATCCTGCCTCAAACGAAATGCCAGCTCCAGCTCCCACAGCTCTACGGAAGGCCTCCAGGAAGTAAAGCGGAGGAGGGGGCCAGCCTCATCCCACTGCCAGCTGGCCCTCAGTTCCTCAAACACAGTGAGTGAGGACGGACCTCAGGCTGTCTCTTCGGGTCACCGCTGTGAAAACAAGGCAGGTACAGCACCAGGGCAGACACTTGCCCCCAGGGGTGGCTCCCCCAGATCCCAGGCCTCTAGGCCCCACATCAACACTGCACTGCACGTTGAGGACAAGGCCATCTCGGACTGCAGACCCTCACGGCCTTCCCACACTTTGTCCTCACTTGCAACAGGGGCTTCGGGTGGGCCTCCCGTTTCTAAAGCACCCACTATGGATGCACAGCAGGACAGACCCAAGTCCCAAGACTCCCTGGGCCTACTGGCCCCCCTAGCATCTGCTGCAGAGGTCCCCTCTACAGCTCCCGTGTCTGGGAAGAAGCACAGACCACCAGGACCCCTGTTCTCCTCCTCAGATCCCCTTCCTGCCACCTCTTACCACTCCCGGGACACAGCACAGGTCACCTCGCTGATTCCTGCCACCTTCACAGCTGCAAGCAGGGATGCCGGCATGAGAAGAACAAGGTCGGCTCCTGCAGCTGCCACAGCAGCCCCTCCCCCCTCCACATTGAACAACACGTCGGGGTCACTACTCAATGCAGTGGATGGAGGCCCCTCACATTTCTTGGCCTCAGCCACAGCTGCAGCACGTGCCCAGAGGTCAGAAGTGAGATATAACCAGAGATCCCAGACCTCCCGGACCAGATCCTGCCTCAAACGAAATGCCAGCTCCAGCTCCAGCTCCCACAGCTCTACGGAAGGCCTCCAGGAACTAAAGCGGAGGAGGGGGCCAGCCTCATCCCACTGCCAGCTGGCCCACAGTTCCTCAAACACAGTGAGTGAGGACGGACCTCAGGCTGTCTCTTCGGGTCACCGCTGTGAAAACAAGGCAGGTACAGCACCAGGGCAGACACTCGCCCCCAGGGGAGGCTCCCCCAGATCCCAGGCCTCTAGGCCCCACATCAACAGTGCACTGTACGTTGAGGACAAGGCCATCTCGGACTGCAGACCCTCACGGCCTTCCCACACTTTGTCCTCACTTGCAACAGGGGCTTCGGGTGGGCCTCCCGTTTCTAAAGCACCCACTATGGACGCACAGCAGGACAGACCCAAGTCCCAAGACTGCCTGGGCCTAGTGGCCCCCCTAGCATCTGCTGCAGAGGTCCCCTCTACAGCTCCCGTGTCTGGGAAGAAGCACAGACCACCAGGACCCCTGTTCTCCTCCTCAGATCCCCTTCCTGCCACCTCTTCCCACTCCCGGGACTCAGCCCAGGTCACCTCGCTGATTCCTGCCACCTTCACAGCTGCAAGCAGGGATGCCGGCATGAGAAGAACAAGGCCTGGCACCTCGGCTCCTGCAGCTGCCGCAGCAGCCCTTCCCCCCTCCACATTGAACCCCACGTCGGGGTCGCTACTCAATGCAGTGGATGGAGGCCCCTCACATTTCTTGGCCTCAGCCACAGCTGCAGCACGTGCCCAGAGGTCAGAAGTGAGATATAACCAGAGATCCCAGACCTCCCGGACCAGATCCTGCCTCAAACGAAATGCCAGCTCCAGCTCCCACAGCTCTACGGAAGGCCTCCAGGAACTAAAGCGGAGGAGGGGGCCAGCCTCATCCCACTGCCAGCTGGCCCACAGTTCCTCAAACACAGTGAGTGAGGACGGACCTCAGGCTGTCTCTTCGGGTCACCGCTGTGAAAACAAGGCAGGTACAGCACCAGGGCAGACACTCGCCCCCAGGGGTGGCTACCCCAGATCCCAGGCCTCTAGGCCCCGCATCAACAGTGCACTGCACGTTGAGGACAAGGCCATCTCGGACTGCAGACCCTCACGGCCTTCCCACACTTTGTCCTCACTTGCAACAGGGGCTTCGGGTGGGCCTCCCGTTTCTAAAGCACCCACTATGGATGCACAGCAGGACAGACCCAAGTCCCAAGACTGCCTGGGCCTACTGGCCCCCCTAGCATCTGCTGCAGAGGTCTCCTCTACAGCTCCCGTGTCTGGGAAGAAGCACAGACCACCAGGACCCCTGTTCTCCTCCTCAGATCCCCTTCCTGCCACCTCTTCCCACTCCGGGGACTCAGCCCAGGACACCTCGCTGATTCCTGCCCCCTTCACACCTGCAAGCAGGGATGCCGGCATCAGAAGAATGTTTCGTGTTCGAAACTGTTTGAGGGGTTTGGGTTTATTTTTGTTGGTTTTTTCTTTTTTTTTTTTGCTTACGTGGGCATCCTTCAGCTTTTAATAATCTGAAAAATTCTATTTACCCATTGTCAATGTGTATAAATTAATCTCAGTCAATTTTATACAATAAAAGGTGAACTTTTATCCATCAAACAATAATTTAACAAAAAATGTACCGGAAGAAGAATGTTCATTACAAATATAGGAAACATAAATATTACCAAATATTGGCAAGCACTAAAATGTTCAGAAATATAAGTCTATTACAGTTATAGCTCTCTCAAGCAAAAAAACAGCAGAGAAAAACTTAGTTTTCCTGAGGGGCTATTTATTTACTTAGGGATTTGTTAAAAGGTCAAATGGGGTCACACAGAATACTAAGAAGAGCTGTTCACCCAGGCCTCACTAAGAACTCTTCTTCATGCAGTAGCTATATAGTAATATGACAACTGCTCCTACGACCCAAAGAGGAACTACAGCAACTACTCTTTAGCATCTGTTGCTCCCAACTCTGCTTTGCAATTATATGACTCAAGCATTCTGGCTCCGTTAACTATTACTGCTGTTACTCCCAAGTAAATTCCCTCTAAAAAATAAAAATTTTTAAAGCTGTAATTTAAGCTCTCTGCTGCCTCATGACTTCAATTCCATCAGAGTTACGCATTGTTTCCTCTGTACATCTTTGCTCTGCTTCCATTGCTAATTCCCTAGTAAAGTGTTGTATATTCAAAGTTCCAAAGAAACAGAATATCCAAGACATCACCAATCATCCAAAACACAGTGTAGGAGGCCACAGTTAAGAGAAGCAACACCATTAGCTCTTTTTATAGGCTCGAGAACAACAGGATGC
Organism: Homo sapiens; assembly: GCF_000001405.40. Lineage (NCBI taxonomy): Eukaryota > Metazoa > Chordata > Mammalia > Primates > Hominidae > Homo > Homo sapiens. Next base: position 70,773,861 of record NC_000005.10, on the reverse strand, counting down.
TTTGGTCCTGTATCAGCAGGACGCTTTTTGGGTAGATCCTACTGCCACCCTACTATCGGGTAGATCCTACTGTCACCCTAGCTATGGGCACATGTCAGAGTCCCATGTAATAAAGGAGACAAAAGGAAACCACCACGAGTATAAACTAAGAAAAGTACTCCAAGGTTTCTAAGAATGGAGCTGTATAACTCACTTTGCCCCATTTGTTACTTCTCCACGGTACTTACCACCACCTATTACATATATTTTGTTTATAGTCAGTCTTCCCCCATTAGAATGAAAGTTCCGTGAGGATAGGACTATACAGTCAGCCCTCAGTATCCATGGGGGACTGGTTTCAGGATCTCCTGAGGGTAACAAAGGATACTCAAGTCCCTGATATAAAATGACATAGTATTTGCACATCACCTTTGCACATCCTCCCATATACTTCATATCAACTCTAGATCACTCATAATATCCGATGTAAATGTCATGCAAATAGTTATTGTACTATATTGTGTAAGGAATAAGGACAAGAAAAAAGTCTGTACATGTTCAGTACAGACGCAATTTTTTTTTCCAATATTTCCAATCCTTGGTTGCCTTAACGGATGTAGAACCCAGGAATAAGTTCTGGTGTCCTATTGCATAGTAGGATGAGTATAGTTAACAATAACATATTATATATTTGAAAATAGCCAGAAGAGTAGATTTTGAATTTTCTCCCTACAGAAAAATCATTATGCAAATTACCCTGATTTGATCATTACACATTGAGTACATGTATTAAAACATCACATTCTACCCCATATATATGTACAGTTATTATGTGTCCATAAAAATTTAATGTCAATGTGTGAAATAAAATGAAAAAATAAAAATTTTTAAAGCTGTAATTATCTCCATCTGGTAGGAATATATACAATCTGAAATAAAAAATATATTTGTAATTGTTAGGACAAAATAGATTATACGTTAAGTCTGCAAATTATAAATTATAAAATTCTCACAGAACCTGAAAAATTATTGATACTGTTAAATATTTAAAAAGCTGTCCTTGGAGAGAAAGAAACCTATCAGATTTACATCAACAAGTGTAATATGTCAGCCTATTACCATCTGCTACAGACTGCATGTTTGTGTTCCCTCAAAATTCATATGATAGGCCGGGCGCGGTGGCTCATGCCTGTAATCCCAGCACTTTGGGAGGCCGAGGCGGGTGGATCATGAGGTCAGGAGATCGAGATCATCCTGGCTAACATGGTAAAACCCCGTCTCTACTGAAAATACAAAAAATTAGCCGGGCGCAGTGGCGGGCGCCTTAGTCCCAGCTACTGAGGAGGCTGACGCAGGAGAACGGCGTGAACCCAGGAGGCGGAGCTTGTAGAGAGCCGAGATTGTGCCACTGCACTCCAGCCTGGGTGACAGACAGAGCGAGACTCTGTCTCAAAAAAAAAAAAAAAAAAAAAAAATTCATATCATAAAGCCCTAACCCCCAAGGTGAGGATACTGGGAGGCGTGGCCTTTAGGAGAGAATTAGGTTTAGATGAGGTCATGAGAATAGAGCCCCTATGGTGGCATTACTTCCTTTATAAGAAGAGACACTAGAGCTGCTTTTCTCCCTACCATGTGAGGATACCGAGAGAAGATGGCCATTTCCAATCTAGGAAGCAGGCCCTCTTTAAGAAACACAATTTGCCAACACTTTGATCTTGCACTTCCAGTCTCCAGAACTGTGAGAAATATCTGTTTTTTTGTTTGTTTGTTTTTGTTTTTTTTGAGACACAGTCTCATTCTGTCATCCAGGCTGGAGTACAGTGGTGCGATCATGGCTCACTGCAACCTCCGCCTCCCAGGTTCAAGCAATTCTCCCACCTCAGCCTCCCAAGTAGCTCAGACTACAGGCGTGCACCACCATGCCCAGCTGATTTTCGTAGAGACAAGGTTTTGCCATGCTGCCCAGGCTAGTCTCAAACTCCTGAGCTCAAGTTATCCACCTGCCTCGGCCTCCCAAAGTGTTAGGAATACAGGCATAAGCCACCACGCCTGGTCAAAATATCTACTGTTTAAGCTACCTAATTTATGGTATTCTGTTTTAGCAGCTGAAGCAGACTAAGATACCATCCTATAAGCTACAGACCAGCACTATCCAATAGAACTTTATATGACGAGGAAATGTTTTATATCTGTGCTATCCCTTATGTTAGCCACTAGCCACATGTATCCATCAAGTATTTGAAATATGGCTAGTGCAACTAAAGAACTTAATTTTTAATTTTCTTTTTTTTTTTTGAGATGGAGTCTCGCTCTGTCCCCCAGGCTGGAGTGCAGTGGCGCCATCTCGGCTCACTGCAAACTCTGCCTCCCAGGTTCACGCCATTCTCCTGCCTCAGCCTCCTGAGTAGCTGGGACTGCAGGCGCCCGCCACCACGCCCGGCTAATTTTTTGTATTTTTAATAGAGATGGGGGTTCACCGTCTTAGTAAGGATGGTCTCGATCTCCTGACCTAATGATCTGCCCGCCTCGGCCTCCCAAAGTGCTGGGATTACCGGCGTGAGCCACCACGCCCGGCCAATTTTTATTTCATCTTATTTAAATAACCACATGTGGCTAGTGGCTAATGTATTGAACACTACAGCTGTAGACAATACGAAATAAATATAAAGCAGTCTCCACTTTGGAAAAACAGAAGACTCTTACTGCCTCATAGTATAGATTAAAAAATGAAATACTAAGACAAGTAAAACGTTCTTTAAAGAACAAAAACAAAAGAAAACCTAATGAAAGCTAAAAAAGTCCATTGGATAATAATGCTACCAGTACTAAGGAAGTACAGCCCCTAAAAGTGACTTGCAGTCACAAATATAAAAATGACTATTCAAGTGAACTCCTAAGGTGAAAATTTCTTATTCACCATGCTCCAAAATGGTCTGTAATATTCTTCAGAGATGGCATGGTAAAGTACGATAAAAGGGTAATATTAACAGTATGCTGTCACAGGTGCCATTCTCTTAAAAAAGAAATCCAAAAATAAATATAAATGGAAAGCAAATAATTAATGGAGTTTTGACGGTCAATCAATGGTAAATATTATTGGCATTAGATTTTTCTATTAATTATAGTTTACCTATGATCATGTATTTTTCCATTTAAAAATTACCCTAAAACTTAATGGCTTAAAATAACAAATATGTATGACACAATTTATAGAAGTCAGGGAAATGATGGATTTGGGTAGGTGGTTCTGACTCGAAGTCTCTCATGAGTAAAGGTTGCTGTCATGTTGTTGACCCAGGCAGCATCCCCTGAAGCCTTTAACTTGTGTTGGAAGGTCCGTGTCTTAGTTTGTTTGCACTGTCGCTACAGAATACCATAGACAGGGTAGCTTATAAACAACAGAAACGTTTCTAATGGTACCGGAGGCTGGATGGTGCAAAATCAAGGTGCTTGCAGATTTGGTGTCTGGTCAGAGCCCATTTTTTAGTTCATAGATTACTGTCCTCTAGCTCACATGGCAGAAGGGGCAAGGACGCTTTTTGGGGTCTCTTTTACAAGGGCACTAATCCCCGGCTGGGCACGGTGGCTCACATCTGTAATCCCAGTACTTTGGGAGGCTGAGGCAGGCAGATCACGAGGTCAGGAGTTCCAGACCAGCCTGGCCAGTATGGTGAAACCCCGTCTCTACTAAAAATACAAAAATTAGCCAGGTGTGGTGGTGCGTACCTGTAGTCTCAGCTACTCAGCTACTCAGGAGGCTGAGGCAGAAGAAACACTTGAACCCAGGAGGCAGACGCTGCAGTGAGCTGACATGGCACCACTGCACTCCAGCCTGGGTAACAGAGCAAAACTCTGTCTCAAAAAATAAATAAATAAATAAATAAAAATAAAAATAAAAAATAATAATCAAGGCACTAATCCCCAACATGAAGACAGACTATCATCTACCAAAAGCTCCACCTCCTACTATCATTACACTGGGGGTTAGGATTTCACAAATTCAGTGCATCATAGTCTGCTTCTAGAATGTTTAATCATTTGGCTGGATATCAGATAGGATGCCTCGGTTCTTCATGTGAGCTTTCTAGAAAAGATAGTTTGGAATTATTTGCATGGTGGCTGGGCTCGTAAAGAGTTGAAGGAGAGAAAGAGAGAGAAACACCAGTAAGGAGCAAATTAGTTCACTCAAAATTAAAACCCTAGCCTTTGTGACCTTGTCTCAGAAGGTAACATTCCAATCCTGTGGTGTTTTATTTCTTAGATGGGAGTCACTCAGCTTAGCCTGCCTTCAAGGGGAGGAGTATGAAGCTCCACTTCTTAAACTGAGAAGAATCAACAAATATGTAGATATATATATTTTTAATAGTATTACAGCTCATGAACCCATTTAAACCCATTTTAGAACTTTAAAGAAATATTTTAAAACGGAATTTTCAATTAAGCAGAAGAAATTGCCAGCTGTGGAACAGTGAACTTTATCGCTGAAATCACACACACATATATACACACACACAGTGCAAACTCATACATGATCAAATCTATAATCTTATTACACAAAGTTTTGTGAGAGGAAAAATGCTTGACTTTTCAAAAGGGCTCATTTATTAAAAATAAAATGACCATTGTGTTCATTTTAGCTGCAACCTTTAAGCAATCAATGACTATATACTTGCTGTAATCATCCTTTAAAATTAGAATTATTGAAAAGCTTTATCACTGATGAATGAAAGAAAGTAATATTGATTTGTGGCCAAGAGAGATAATCTCAGGCAATAAACAGGTGCAGTCTTTGAAGGAATCATTTTATTTTATTACTTTCTGACATTATTGAAGCCAATTTTAAATAAATTCATCATGTTTTTAAATTTAATCACGTATTATTTTATCATACATTAGGTAAAGTTTCAATCTAAGTAACTCCTGGATAAAAAATGAAGTATATCAATTTACAATTACAAATACCCAAATTGTACAGGCATGCATTTTTCAATGACATTTATAAATTGTGTTTTGTTGTTTGTGCCTTGTGTTTGTTTTATTAATCAAATTAATTTATACAGATATATGTATGGAAATGAGACAGATATAACCAGTTCTCTATAAGTAAGCATTATCTAATGGAGTCTTTCCTTTCACTAATGATCATCAGGACAGCTAGGGAAGTGAGTTGAAATTTTCAGGCCATTAGGTTAATAGTTCTAGTAATTCTAGTAATGTTTCGACAGTCATAATATAAATGATACTATGTGGCTTGAATTAATGCATTTTCTTATGTAACAAATAATAAGACAATTTTTAAAAGTGGTAATTACTATTTTTAAATATGACAATTAAAAATAATGAAAGAAAAGAGGTTGTACATTGAGTAGCCATAACATTATCTTTAAACATATTTATTCTTCATTTCCTAACTTTTCCCACCTTTTGGCTAAATCGTATGTTCTTTCTCTAACCTCACTTCTGTTTTATTACTCTCTGGGAAAGATTTTTATATAAAACGTCTAAGCAATCAAACCTAACACAGGATGAATTTCTACACATTACTATACCCTCTGGTCACTATTTTTTTCTTCTCTTTATTGCCCATTTCCCTGATCTTGAAACATTCCAATTATTTGCCTTCCATGACATTCTACTCTTACTTTTACTTTTCTGTCTCTGATTACTCATTTCCAGTTCCTTTTGTCATCTCCTTGTCTTCCTACACCTGCCAATTAAATTTGAATTTCCTCTGCATTTCATCTTATGTCTCCTTTTCTTCTGCCAAATTCTCTCCTTAGACAAATACAGTCATTCCCATGGTTTTATATCCCACTTATATTCAAGGGCTCTAGAATGTATAGCGCCAGGCCAAATCTATCTTAAGAACTTACTTTACTTAACCAATTACAACTGCATCTGCTCAGGATCATGTAACCCACATCAGCATTTGGCTCTTCTGTAGACCCATTTTTTCTTTTCCTGGAAGTCTATTTTGACACCTACTTTCTGTCACTACCCACGTTTTAGCATTTAGCCTTGTCAATTTACTCTCATCCATATGTAACTCTATCCATTTTCTTCTCTCTATTATGAACAGCAGTTTGAGCCATCATGACCAATTTTGCAGTATCCCTTCTTAAATTAGCCTCCTGTTTCGCATTGGACATTTTCACCCCCCAGCAATTCCACCGATTTCATTCTCGGAAAAATATAAATGAAGAGTTACATTTTTCAATAGCCATAATCATTAAATTTCCATGTGTAAGAAAATGTTCAGAACAGTATCAGTGCATTTATAATAAAATTTTAAAACTTGACCCACAAATCTCTACTTGTCCTTCTAGTTTTATTTCATTTGTCTCTCGTCAATCTCTACATTCTGATCACCACAATCTTTTAATTCATCTGAAAGCTAAGCTCTCTCTTAATTTACATTCTCTATACTTGCAATTTTGTCTACCTAGAAGTGTCTTCTTCCATCTTTGGATTGTTATTGCAAATCCATTGAATAGTTCTCATCTGAATTGTTTCTTCCTTGGGATGACTTATAAACACTTCATCCTACAGCCAAATCAGAAGACCAATATCAAAATCTTTCATCACATCCTAAATTTGCTTATATGTAATTATATGGCAAGAATCTCTTTGTCTTTATAATCATGATTCACTTATCTATGTTTTTTAAAAACTCTTCTAGGTGGTGATGCTAAGCTCCGTAATGTTGGGCTTGTTACCTGTCTCAACTATCTTCCACACCTACCACAGTACCTGCTACATAGATGTATTCAATATATATTTTTAGAATTAGTAAATGATGAGCAAGCGTGTACTTTTGTTCTCTTTCATTACAGTGTTAGAAATGCTATTACAGCATTAGAAAAGATAATCAGAAAGAAAATTTAATAGATCATCAGAAAAAAATCCCAAGACTTTTAGGCAAATGAGCCTACAAACACAGGTGGAATGGACTTGCAATTTACCAAGAAATAGGTTTGTCATACTTAGAAACCAACTGTATAAACATGTTTTTATCTATTAATAACTCCATTTTCCAAAACGCTCTACTTTATATGAGACAATTCTTGATGGAAATACCATTTGCTTCTAGGCTCGTTGCTTAAACATAAAGTTAAAAATCTTTGTATGACACATAAAATTGTGGTGACTGCTTAACTTTGCAACTATAGCGCTCCTGAAATGCTCATTTAACCAGTCTGTGTTCCAGACCTACAGAACTTAGATGGTGCTAACATTGCGCAAAAATTGTGTATTTCTTCTACAACTAACTTCTGATAAAAAGGGGGCAGAGAAGGTTAACTCTCTCCCCCTTTAGCTTTATTTGCTTAGTGAATTTCTACAAAACATAATTTAAGTGCTATATTTTTCCAAGGTTTTAATAAGGAAATAAAAACCGCAATAGGTATCTTAAGCAGAAAGTGCATTTCATACATATACAATAGGAAGGGCTAAAATAACTAAAGTAGCTGTGGCATGGAGGAAGGTTTTGAGTTCTTGAATTCAAAGGCACGCAATCATTTCTGCAATCCTGGGTCAAAAAGATGCTCCTGCTATTAAAACTTTAAGCCTCTTATGCCCATGAAACTGGGGATTAGGCACAAGGATATTGAATCCTACCACTTCCACTACTTCTGAACTATTGTCCCCATGATTTCACTTGCCAGAATCAACAATAGCAAGACAGGCTTTGATCTCTTCCATTTTTCTAAGTCTGATTCATATGCAAACAATCGGTAAGTGGTCTAAGCTGCATGCATAAAGCTAGCTCAAGGGAAGCTGCATTGCTTGTTTTGTTTTAATTTTCTAACCTCTTCAAAGAGTGGAACGAAAGTTGAGGAAACCTGTCCAACAGTCTACCACACACCTTCCATGAAAGGTTCCCCAACACCTCCAACAAAATAATGTAAACACATGCTGGAACCTATATTACTCTCGCACCATAACACTTCCCACACTTCCCACAATACTTTTTCTCTTCATGGGAATATCCTTCCAAAACATGCTGATATCTCCTAAGCATTATTCATCTGTCGAATTTTCCCACCTATTGTAAGGTCTTCCAATTGTTAGGTTCTTAATAAATATATTTTAAATTATTAAAATTCTGAACTAATGGGTAATCAACTGTACAACCCGAATTGCTGATTTGCATACAGCTGAAGTCCCTCCTCAAAACTTCTGTAATACATGAAACTTAGGCAAATGGTTGGGTCATTACCATATATTACTTTATATTTTTATTTATCAGTATATGTGATTACAGTTATGCTTATGTTAATTGATATGTATATGTTAACTTTTATACATATGTACATTGTATTATTTTGTTACATAGCACAGCATTTTGTACTCAAAAAGTGACCAATAATAATAAGCTACATACTTTGGGAAGCATTGCAGGCTAGTCGTACAGTTTTGTTTTGTTTTTTTCCCTGCAGCCTGACAACCTTTTCAGTCATTCACTAAACCTCTCTCAGCTTCAGTTTCTTCATCTGCAACATATAGCAAATAATAAAACTTAACTCAGATGGTTCTAGTGTGAAATAATACAGAGTAAATGTGCCACCAAATACAAACCAATGGCTTGATTGACATAACTCACTGCTAATTTTCTTGAAATGATTCAAAGTATTTTCCAGACAAGCACACACTGAGGGAATTCGTCACCACCAAACGAGTCCTATGAGAAATACTCAAAGGTGTCCCAAACACAAAAATGAAAGGTCAACATTCATCATCATCATCAAAACACATGAAAGTAGCAAACTCATAGGTCTTGTAAAACAGTCACACAAAGTAGGACGAGCAATCAAATAGCAACACAACAGATTTCCACCAAACCACAAAGACAAAGAGACACACAGAAAGAAAAACAAAAAACAACAACAAAATAACCCCAAGGAACTTATAAAACAAGTAGAAAACAAACAGCAATATGGCAGAAAGAAAACCTCATGTATTAACATTAACCTTGAATGTAAATGAATTAAACATTCCACTTAAAATATATAGATTGATAGATATTGGGCCAGGTGCAGTTGCTCACACCTGTAATCCCAGCACTTTGGGAGGCCGAGGTGGGTGGATCACGAGGTCAGGAGTTCGAGGCCAGGCTGGCCAACATAGTGAAACCCTATCTCCATTAAAAATACAAAAATTAGCCAGGCGTGGTGGCCGGCACCTGTAATCCCATCTACTTGGGAGGCTGAAGCAGGAGAATCGCTTGAACCTGCAAGACGGAGTTTGCAGTGAGCCAAGATTGCGCCACTGCACTCCACTCTGGATGACAGAGTGAAACTCCATCTAAAAGTAAAAAAAAAAAAAAAAAGAAAGGTAGATTGATGGAACGAACTAAAAAATGATCCAAAAATATTATGCTTACAAGAAACATATAGACACATACAGACTGAAAAGTAAAGACACATACAGATTTAAAGTAAATGGGTGAAAAAAGATACTCCATGTAACGGAGACTAAAAGCAAGCAGGAATAGCTATACTTATATCAAGTAAAACAGAACTTAAATCTAAAACAGTATAACAATGACAAAGGAAGTCATTACATAATGATAAAGGGATCAATTCAGCAAGAGGATATAACAATTCTAAACACATATGCATCCAACACTAGACCACCAAGATTCATCAAATAAATATTACTAGACATAAAAAAGGAATAGACAGCAATACGATAATACTGGGGGACTTTACCATCTCACTCACAGCATTAAATGTTATCATCAAGACAGAAAACAAATAAACCTAAGACTTAAATTCAACCTTAGATGAAATAGACCTAACTGACATTTACAGAAAATACTACCCAGCAACTACAGAATATACATTCTTAATAAAACCGCAATTTCACCCAACAATCCCACTACTGGAGATCTACCCAAAGGAGAACAGATAATTGTATGAAAAAGGTATCTGCACCCATATGTTTATCACAGCACTATTCACAATAGCAATGTGTCCCTCAGTGGATGATTACATTAATAAATCTGGCATATATGCGCTATAGAATACTATTCAGCTATACAAAAGAATAAAATCATGTCTTTTGTAACAACATGGATGTAACTGGTCATTATTTTAAGTGAAACAAATCAGACACAGAAAGACAAATACTGCATGTTCTCACTTATAACTGGAAGCTAAATAATGTATACACATGGACATAGAATGTGGAATGATAGACAACAGAGACTTGGAAATTTCAGGAGGGTGGGAGGAGGGGATGATGAGAAATTATGTAATGAGTACAATGTACATTTTTCAGGTGATGTATATTCTAAAACCCTTACTTCAACACTACGTACTTTATGGAGGTAATAAGATTATATTTGTATCCCACAAATTTACGTAAATAAAAAATTGCCTTCTGTACTTACTTTAGCCCAGTTATTGTTAGGTTCAACATTCAGCACTTTACTTAAATTTTCTATAGCTTTCTGGACCTTTTTTTGATATTTATATATAGTAGTGTGGCACAGAAGTGCTAATATTTACCAAAATAAAAGTTATATTTTTAATTAAAAATTAATTAAAAGGTTGTAGAATCTCAGGATGGAATGCAGACTGTTACAAATTTATCTAGCTCTATTATGAACCATACAAAATAACTTCAGTGAGGGACTTAAGGGAAAGGGTGCTAGTCAAAGTGATATTGAAAATGAGTGCAGTCTCTTAAGATGAAAGGCAAAAGAAACTTGTACGAAGGCATTTAATTTAGTTGATAAAGATGTTCTTCTACTAAGGGCAGGTTATCAATTCTGGTACAGCTATATACATATACTGGAAGTGAACAATTAACTAAATAGATGTCACAAAATAAGAGTCAGGATTTTTATTGTTGGAGTGGGGGTTTAGAGATACAGGAAGGCATTGATGCTTGCGGGACTAGGTTAGAGGTAGTGACATCAGTAAGAACCCATGTTTAGCTTAATATAGACATAGATGGTGATATGGTTTACATTTTGTCCCCTCTCAAACCTCTCGTCCAATTGTAATCGCCAGTGTTGAAGGAGGGGTCTAGTGGGAGGGGATTGGATTATGGGGGCAGATTTCCTCCTTGCTGTTCTTGTGATAATGACTTAGTTCTCACACAATCTGGTTGTTTAAAAGTGTGTAGCATCTCCCCCTTAGTTCTCTTCCTCCTTCTCCAGCCATGTAAGATGTGCCTGCTTCCTCTTTGCCTTCTGCTATGACTGTACGTTTTCTGAGGCTTCCCCATCCTTGCTTCCTGTACAGCCTGTGCAACTGTGAGGCAATTAAAGCTCTTTTCTTTATAAATTACCTAGGATCAGGTAGTTCTTTATAACAATGGGATAATGGACTAATATAGATGTTTACATATAGAAATATTTAAAGATATGTGTCTACATATGTGTAAGAATATACACATTGTTTCTTTGCTCTCTCATCTTAGAGAGCTATGAAAAAATTGATATTCCCTTAGCTACAGGCACAGCTAGCACTTAAATATTGATTTCATATATAGAAAGCAGGGCGTCTTTGAAAGTGGCTGATTCTAAGAATGGGGAAGAAAATACACAAGATGAGCCTGGGACATCCTCTAGTGCCAGAAATTATGAAAATACTAACAAAAATCTATTTGTGAGATATGTCAAACAAGCACAGGGGCCAAGTGAAAGGTCTTTCAATTTCTAGAATAATTTTAGCAACACAATACATTAATTGGTATTATATTTGGATTATACCCAAAAATGTAATTTTCCTTAGTCCATATTGATATCAATAAATGACTGAATAAACAAATGAATGAGATAAAAGAGGTAAATCTCCTCTGCAAATAATTTACATATGTATTCCAACTAAAGGAAGTCAGCTCTTAAAGACATCTTAAGCAATACTGCAACTGAATTAGCTTTCCAAAGATACTGTCACAATTCATCTATTCCAAGACCTATACATTTCATATTTTAATATCTCCTGAAAATATAATGCATTTTACAATTCAGTGGTATGTCTTAGTTTAATTAGCCACAATGCGAATTACTTGCTTAACGGGACATAAAATAGTGCATTATACAATCTATGGGCTCTTGGACTCAAGAAAATACGATAGAAAGGAGTTTATGTTAGAGTCTGCGCACTGACTAAAGATCAGAGCAGAAAGCAGATTCTAGGAACAGTCACATTTGTGGCAGTCACTGGTCTCGGCATGCAACAAAATTCAAAGTAAACAGTGGTAAGGTGGGAAATGGACAAAGCTATGTAGCTAGAATCAGAAGTCCTTGAAATCAAAACATCAAGATTCAAACTATTTAGGGGCAGTGGGGCTGACGTGGTGACCGTGGGCCTGATCAGATAAAACCTTTACAAAGAAACAGTAGCTCTCAGACTCACCTCCTGAGACAGAGTTGTTCTGAGGGGAAAATGGGTAAGTTTCCACAGTAACATACAGTACTTAAACATACAGTAAGATACAGTACTTAAAGCCCTGACCTGTCCAGTTCCCAACACATCTTTCTTGATGGGCACCTAAATGTCACCTTTTGGTTTTATTTTTGTGTTTTTCTCATCTAAGCTCAGAGAGCAAAGCCTGACAGGGTGAGCCCCCAAAGTGTGTTCATGTCTTAAGAGTGTCCAGAAGCCACCTAGGGAGTGTGCAAGTTTTTCATTTTCATGCCAGGGACAATGTCTCTCTTTATTGAGCTAATGGCAAGGTATGGGCCTCAGAATATGTACAGTTTGAACATATTTGCATCTTCCCTTTAATTAACTGTGAAATCTGTGAGGCTAATGAGAAGAAAATTGATGGGTAGTCGGTGGAAGAATTTTTTTTTCATTGTCATATCTTCAACTTTCCTGGGGTATAATAAGAGATGCACAGTCAATTCAGTATACTTGAAATGTGTGATGTGGTCAAATTTGAGATAGATATATATATATATGTATATACTTTTGGAAATATCACTACATTCACAACCATCATTATGAAAAGTTTTCTTGTGCACCTCAGTAATCAGTCTCTCCCTCCATGCTGTCTCCAGGCAGCCATTTGATTTTCCATCAGGTAACATGAGTGAGAAGAAAATGTCTGTTGCAAGCTATTGAAATTTTGTGGTTGTTCACTTTTTAGAAACTCTTTGGAATTTTCTTTCTCATATCTTTATTAACATATAAAGTGTCTGTCTGGCATACTTTCAGATAATGTAAATAATATACTCAGCAATTGTTTTGTGCTGGGCTTCCATTTAATCTTTCAAGATCATATGGATTTTTATAGCTTTATATGTTGTGTTTGGCATCTTAAGCTCACTATCTACCTACTGACTCTTAAATCCCAAACTCTAAAGAGGTTCTGAAGATTCCAAAGATGCTATTCACATCCGGTAAGTTTAGGGCAGGAAAACTGGTAAACCTCCTATAACATGAGGCTAGAGCCCACAACAAAATTATCAGGTCCAAAAATGTCAATAGTATTGAAGGTGAGACAATTTCTAGGGAGATATTACACCTTGATATTCTCATTTAATATGCTGGTAATGTAATCCAGCATTTTTCCAAAAATGAGAATAGCCTGGTGGCCTTAAATGTCATTGTTTTACTCTTACTTACATTGGACTAAAGAATGAGTTCAAATGCAGCTGAATAATTTGGATATTTAAAGCAATAACATTTTTCACTAACGCGCATAGGCTTAATGCCTGGGTGACAAAATAATCTGTATACCTATTTACCTATAGGTTTACCTATATAACAAACCTGCACATATACCCCTGAACTGAAAATAAAAGTTAATAAATAAAGTAATTACATTTGTTTAGAAATAAAATAAATTTAGAAATGGAAAATATTGTTGAAAATATTCTAAGAATTTTAAATTTATACATTAAAATAAAAATAATCTGAATATTATTACCAACAGAAAATCTTTGTCTTGATCTCAAATTCCAAGTAGAATACCTTTAGACTATCTCTAGCAATAGCTAACAGAATAAGATTTACAAATCTTGATAGATCATTTTTCATGCCTGTGTCATTTTAAAATGAATTGATGGCTGTTAAAACTTAATTTAATTTGAGTCTCTTCCGGATCATATACATAGTTTTACAGACAGCCATGTTCAATGAAATTATAATATGTAACACAAGAAATATGCCAGATGTAAAGTAAGAATCTCTTTTAAACGCTCTGATATTCAAAAATCTTTATCAGATTTCCTAAACTAACGATTTTAAACAAAACCTTTTAGTTAAGAAAGCATTGGTCTCAATAGTAAATCTGCCAATATGAATTGCTGCATTTTATTTTTGAACTTTCTAAAGGCCATCTGCCAGAGTAATTAGATATAAAATCCTGCATGCAATCTAATATTAGATGAAAAGTTTAAACTACCAATGATACAATATTGATGCACAGAGGAATGAATTGATTTTTTATGTTATTCTCAAATTGAAAGTCAATCTTTTTATAAAATAAATTTATAAATAAATCCAAATATGATATTTTAGCTCACTTTTGACAGTAGGTTTTCAGTTTCTGATGTTAACAATGGCATAATTATGATTTGCTGAATGACTTTAAAGTGATCGGATAAGGAAACAATTAGGGTTTGCAGTAGCTGGAGAAAGAAAAAAAAGAAATATTTAGATATTGCATACTCAATATGGCACATACTACGTCACAGGCTTTAATATCAGTTGACTACTCTCTTTAGAAGGAGTACGGTTTGACCTAGACCAGTTTATTTATTCATTTTTGTAATAATTTTTCCTCATTCTCTTTGACACATTGGTTAACCTAAAATTACTGTGTCGCTTAGGACATTGACTAAAAATCGTAGTCTTTCAGTTTGTGGCTGCTCACAGGATTTTTTTTTTTTTTTTGCTTTGGCTTACTAAATAATCTTTTATTGGAGTTAAAACAACAAAGCTAGTAAAGATATATAAATCAATGCCAAAAAAAAGGAGACAGGCCTACTTATATGCCATTATCTTCTGTTATTGCCGTTGGATAGAAGACAGACATTATCATTTTTAATCAATTGTATACTTCATAAATATGATACAACAGATATTTTTACTTCCAAGATTATACATAGAGTTTTTATGATTCCTTTGTGAGTGTGAACTATATAGCTGTCCCTAAAACATAATTGAGAACAGAAAGGTTTTATTTTTAATTATATAATTTTCTTGCCCAAGTTATATGGATTCATAGGTTACAGAATGTATAACAATATACATTTTTTGCATTTTTAAATTTACTGTATAATTTATTTCTGAAACCAAATTTGATATACAACTATGTAAACCATTAAATATGATCTGGATTAAAATAATCTTAACAGACAAATCCAAAAACACTGCATTTTATTATTTCTATTTCTAATGTTACCTCCAGGTTTAGACTCCCCTAAGTAATTGACTCTACCTATTATGTTTGTGTTTTGAAACATCACTCTATATTGTAACAAAAAGAAAAATGACACAATTAGTTTCCTATATGTACACAAAAATTTTCAGTTTTAAATAAGGAAATATAGTTTTGAAATTTAAAAAAGTAAATGTTATAATATTTTCTCAAATAATTTACTACTCATATTCCCATTGCTTAGTTTCATTAATTTTTACACTCACATTTTACATATCCAAGATATATTTCCAGCTTTATTTTCAGAATGAACTGCTAGGATCTTAGATGAGTTTATTATTTTGCACGAGGTGCCACTGCTTGACACCTGATTGTGTGTATACCCCCCCCTTTTTTTTTTATATACTTTTAAGTTTTAGGGTACATGTGCACAATGTGCAGGTTAGTTACATATGTATACATGTGCCATGCTGGTGTGCTGCACCCACTAACTCGTCATCTAGCATTAGGTATATCTCCGAGTGCTATCCCTCCCCCCTCCCCCCACCCCATAACAGTCCCCAGAGTGTGATGTTCCCCTTCCTGTGTCCATGTGTTCTCATTGTTCAATTCCCACCTATGAGTGAGAACATCCGGTGTTTGGTTTTTTGTCCTTGCGATAGTTTACTGAGAATGATGATTTCCAATTTCATCCATGTCCCTATAAAGGACATGAACTCATCATTTTTTATGGCTGCATAGTATTGCATGGTGTATATGTGCCACATTTTCTTAATCCAGTCTATCACTGTTGGACATTTGGATTGGTTCCAAGTCTTTGCTGCCCAAGGTAATTTATAGATCCAATGCCATCCCCATCAAGCTACCAATGACTTTCTTCACAGAATTGGAAATAACTACTTTAAAGTTCGTATGGAACCAAAAAAGAGCCCGCATTGCCAAGTCAATCCTAAGCCAAAAGAACAAAGCTGGAGGCATCACGCTACCTGACTTCAAACTATACTACAAGGCTACAGTAACCAAAACAGCACGGTACTGGTACCAAAACAGAGATATAGATCAATGGAACAGAACAGAGCCCTCAGAAATAACGCCGCATATCTACAACTATCTCATCTTTGACAAACCTGAGAAAAATAAGCAATGGGGAAAGGATTCCCTATTTAATAAATGGTGCTGGGAAAACTGGCTAGCCATATGGAGAAAGCTGAAACTGGATCCCTTCCTTACACCTTATACAAAAATTAATTCAAGATGGATTAAAGACTTAAACGTTAGACCTAAAACCATAAAAACCCTAGAAGAAAACCTACGCATTACCATTCAGGACACAGGCGTGGGCAAGGACTTCATGTCTAAAACACCAAAAGCAATGGCAACAAAAGCCAAAATTGACAAATGGGATCTAATTAAACTAAAGAGCTTCTGCACAGCAAAAGAAACTACCATCACAGTGAACAGGCAACCTACAGAATGGGAGAAAATTTTCGCAACCTACTCATCTGACAAAGGGCTAATATCCAGAATCTACAATGAACTCAAACAAATTTACAAGAAAAAAACAAACAACCCCATCAAAAAGTGGGCGAAGGACATGAACAGACACTTCGCAAAAGAAGACATTTATGCAGCCAAAAAACACATGAAAAAATGCTCACCATCACTGGCCATCAGAGAAATGCAAATCAAAACCACGATGAGATACCATCTCACACCAGTTAGAATGGCAATCATTAAAAAGCCAGGAAACAACAGGTGCTGGAGAGGATGTGGAGAAATAGGAACACTTTTATACTGTTGGTGGGACGGTAAACTAGTTCAACCATTGTCGAAGTCAGTGTGGCGATTCCTCAGGGATCTAGAACTAGAAATACCATTTGACCCAGCCATCCCATTACTGGGTATATACCCAAAGGATTATAAATCATGCTGCTATAAAGACACATGCACACGTATGTTTATTGCGGCACTATTCACAATACCCCATTCTTTAGACTTTTAAAATCAATACCCACTCTTCCCCACGAACAAGAGAAAGTAAAAACAACTAACAGTGGATTTCTGTATCACGATGACTCATTTTCAATAGAACACTACCATAGGTCAAATGGATGAATGCATAAATAATGAATGGATTAATATCTTTTATATAATCATGTGCCACATAACAACGTTTACATCAATAAGAGACAGCATGTAAAACAATGGCTCATTAAGATTATAATAGGGTTGAAAAATTGCTATCACCATTATAGATTGATCACTCTATGAAGTTTGCACAGTAAGATAATCACCTAGCCACACACTTCTCAGAACATATCCTCATTGCTAAGTGACACAAGGCTGTATTTCATTTAATGATTGCGTAAATAGTTGTTGAGAAAAATCTGCACTCTAAGTACCAGGATAAAAGAGATTAATAATAAATTAATGATTAAATGCACCATGATCAATCTTATCATTGAGGTCTATATGCTACATTTGGATTACATCGTAAAGGCAGAGGTTAATCATCGCAACTTACACAACAGGATACAGAGTGGATCAGCAGATAATTACATAATAGAATACAGTTTGAAACCTGCAAGATGCATTAGAATTAATTAGAATCAAACCATATGTGTGACTTTGGTTTAAATGTGCAAAACCTATTAATATAGATATAGCCAGGACATTTCTATTGTGTGTGTGTATATATATATATATATATATATATAGTGTGTGTATATATATATATACACACACACATATACATGTATATATACATACATACATATATATATTTTATATATATATATATATATATATATATATTTTGTGTGTGTGTGTGTGTGTGTGTGATGGAGTTTCGCTCTTGCTGCCCAGGCTGGAGTGCAATGGCATGGTTTCAGCTCACTGCAACCTCCGCTTCCAAGGTTCAAGCAATTCTCCTGCCTCAGCCTCCCAAGTGGCTGGAATTACAGGGGCCAACCACCACACCAGGCATATCTTTGTATTTTTAGTAGAAACTGCTTTCACCATGTTGGCCAGGCTGGTCTCGAACTCCTGACCTCAAGTGATCTACCCCCTCGGCCTCCCAAAGTGCTGGGATTACAGGTGTGAGTCACTGTACCCAGTTTGTCTTTATAAATCTTATAGAAATATTTAACTTTTAAAATCAACCACACACAATTAAGACTTTGATAAAAGTAATTAAGAAGTAAAGCAATGGAAAAAGCAATTTTTAAAAACATATATGAATGATTGAAAGCCAGGAGTAAAATTAAGAATTGTATTAAAATATCACTATTAAAATTAGCTACATAAATATTTAATTAATGCAGCTAAATTGTTAACAAAATTTACAGAAGAAAAGTATGTTAACATTACTGAATCATCTTAAAATCTTATTAAAATTTAAAGTTCTTCTCAACTGAAATTATATCACAGAAAAAAATAATGTCACCTTAAAAAGTTTAGGATTAGAAATACATAATTATTTTTAAATATAGTCTTTATATATTAATTATATTTCATTAATGTCTTATTTCTTGAATAAACTTTTTTCATGATACTATTTAAGTGCCACATTCTACAATAATATGGAAAACAATTCTACAAAATGTGGCATACAGTAATTGATAGGTAGTATAGCACACCTTTTATCTCTTTATAGCAAAAACATAATGTGTAAATTAATATAACACTAAGTCCCATATTGTCATTTTTTGTCAAAGAGCTATCTCCTTGAAAACCATCATCCTCAGATGCATCTCTAACTTCAAAAAGACCTTAGAAACTGTAACAATTGTAAATGCGTTATAACTTAAAGAGATATTATCTTCACATTAGAGGCTAACAGGCTTATACCTACTGATAGCTGACAAGTATTATAGGAATCCTGGCAGGCAAATTGTTGCATAAAAATTATGTAATTTACTAACTGTAAAATAACCTTTAGAGTTTAGAATCAGTCAGATAAGTAGAACAGACAATTGTTATCAAAGCCATATAAATGGCTATTAAAATTATTTTTTGCTACCCTCATTTTATCTCTGAAGAGACATCTTGTTAAAAAATGAATAACAGACACATATAAATACCTAATTACAAGCAGAGTTAAGATTAAAATTCAGCCTCATTAGGGGTGGGATAGAAATCAGTACACTAAAGAATATTTTGGTGCAGGTAGTTTGTTTCAAATGATTCAACCTTCAACATTACTTCACTTAAATTTTAGCAAACTTTCTGCTATAATTTAAGCATACAGACCTATGACACTAGACATATGTCCTGTGTAAGCCTGGGCTAGGGGAGCTCTATTTAATACTTACATAAACCCCAAAGATGTCCTAAGAAATAAAATTTGGAAAAACTTTGATGTGCTACAGCACGGATTTTCTCCTACAGCAACAGAGCAGACACTTGAATGTAGTTATACTCCTGCTTTCCACCTCCCTGTCAAAACAATAAAAAAGGCCACAGGCCTGTGGTTCTGGCCTCCAGGGAACTGGTGGCTTCTTTAACCCACACTGCTGCTGCTGAATCCCATTTAGGTTTAGGGTTTATTTTGTATATGCCTTTGTACAGGCTAAATGCTGGTCTAGTTGAAAATCAACCTAAAACAACCTTAATAGCATCTCATTTTATTGTGACTTTACTTTTTGTGTTGTTTGGTGTTTTACTTTTGGAGACAGAGTCTTAATCTGTCACCAAGGCTGGAGTGCAGTGGCATGATTATGGCTCAACCTCCAGGCTCAAGTGACCCTCCCACTTCAGCCACCTGAGTAGCTGATACCACAGGAACATGCCACCACATAAGGCTAACTTAAAGAACATTTTTTTAGATGGGATCTCACTATGTTGCCCAGGCTGATCTTGAGCTCTTTGCCCCAAGCAATCCTCCCACCTTGGCCTCCCAAAGTGCAGGGATTATAGGTGTGAGCCACTATGCCAGGCCTCTCTCATGACTTTAAACTTGAACATGCTTTTGTGCTGTGGCCGAGTTTAGGATCCCAACCAGCCTGTGATTACTGTGGTCACCACACAGATTCCCTCTTGTTCCATCTTTTATATTCCATCTTCTCACTCTCATAACTGTGTGGATAGGAAAACAATTATCCATACAGGTATGATATTGGCAGAGAAAATCACAAAATGTTTTAATGAGCAAACACTTTGGGGATGGTAATAATCTTTCTACCACCTTCATTGTCTTGTTTAAGTATCTCTACATTCTTCTTTAAAAATTAGGAATATATCTTTCTTGCTCTTTCGTTGTTGTTGAACACCAGAAGGGGATATTCCTTAATTCTCTCTCCATAGCTAAGGACAGTACAGCACAATATTCCATTCAGCAGGTGAAGTCAGTATGAATGAATGCATTTCAATCAGCAAATTGCTGGTTGTGTTGCAACTCCTAGTTATGATGTTTTGTGTACTTTGAAGGGCTCCCATTAATTAAGGTATTTCTTATAAGCATTCAGAAAGTTTCTTTTCTTGGCATGCGACTTGAAAATTTGTCCTGATATTTTCCCTGTGACAATGTTTTGTGAATTGTAACTCAGCCACTTAAGTGGCTCCTCATAATAAAGCCACATGGTATCCATGTACACATATTTAACAAATCAAAGAAGTGGTTCTCAACCTAATCTCTAGAGGAGGTCCTTCTTGTTCACTTTCAATAACTATGTTGAAGAATAGATTCTAAAAAGCTATCACCAAATTTTCGAATATGTTTTGAAATTTGTGTCCACAAAATCTATAAATCAATAAATGTATAGAATAGAGCATAATAATCCAATTAACAAATTTAAGATGTCATCTAAGCAGGAATGAATGCAATAAATAGGCCTTCTTACTTCAAAATCAACTGCAGAGGTAATGCATTGCCACTAGACTTGTGTGCTGTGTTGGTAATAAATTAACAAAAACTTTGGGGATAAGAAAAATCTGCAAATAAAATGGTGTGTCATTTGTGAAATATAATCACAAAAATGTTCAGATTGTTATAATTAACAGAAAAACTATTGTTTTTATTATATCCAGTGTTTAACAGACACTATTCATGTATACATACAACATTCTTATAATAACTCTTGTGTCCATGTAAATAGCAGTCTTGCCAAAAAGAATTGATTATCATGTAGTAGTTTGTAAGTATTTTCATGCATAGGCTGCAACCCTTTAGAGTGCTATTCTAATAAATTATTAATATTAACTTGATGAACACAATTCTAAGACATTTCATTTGAGGATATGTTTATTAACTATTAGGTTGGTACAAAAGGCATTGCGTTTTTTGCCATTACTTTCAATAAAAAATAGAACCAGCATTTAGAAATCTACTTTCAGAAACTTAATAAAATGAGAATTTGTCCTCTTTTACATATAGGAAGCCTGCATAATAAGCATTCTGTTGCTAGTACATAAGCTTCCCATTTTCATCAGGAAACTATACACTTACATTTCACTTTTACTAACTTCAATGCATGACTTCTACCTTCAAGGTGATTTCATGCTTCTAGCCACCATGTCTGTACTCCAGGACAGCAGCACAAAGTGTAGAAAAATAAAAAAGACATACCTCCCTAATGAGTCAACTGCACTTAAGGAGCCATCCCAGAAGTTTCACACGGCTTATTTGAATACAGCTATATCCAGATGCAAGGAATGCTGGGAAATGTGGTATTGTGCGCAGCTAAAGTTGGGATTATGTTAGTGAAAATGAGACCACGAACATTGGAAGGTTAAAAGCAATCTCTCATGACATATACAATTACAGAAATTAAATTAAATCTTTAAGCAATGTGATAAACCTATGGAATGTTAACAGGCAAAAATAGCAACATTAAAAATTACAGTGAGGGAATAAGGTATGATTCGTTTGTAGATGGTTTGTGTGTCATTAATCTAGGCAAAAAGTCATAAACTCCTCTAACAGTGACCACATGTATAAAAGAAATAATAATACACACTATGGCTAACAACATTCCATTTTGGCCTATTTACTGTTGTTAAGTCTCTATGGTTAGCATCAGAAATGTACAGTTTTGATAGCCTATGACCTCAACATGTTCAGTTTGATAGTAGAAAGGACAACATAAAGACAAACCAATCAACAAATAAGAATAAAAACTGTTAAAAAAAGGACAATATTATCATAAGAACATAAGGATGTGATAATGTATTTGACATATCGTTTATTTATTGTTTTATAGTTGGATAATACATATAAATTTACTGCTCCTTCAATGTTAGAATCAATAGAATCATAGCAGAAGTAATTAAGCAGATAAAGATCAAAACGTCACCTTTATTACTTACTGTTTGAAAAATAGTCTAAGGCTGGTTTTACAGGGTTGCTCCTATCCATCACCTGATGTGAAGTTTCTTAGGAAGCTTCAGGACTACACCAAAGAAGCAGAACCTGCTCTTTCACTCTGTTGCATTGTGTGGAGTGCAGGCCATCATGACTGCTCTCTACAAGAAAAAGAAAGGAAATAATTAAGAAACGCACAAAAGTTTGTGAATTGAGAATCCCAAAATAGGTATGAAATTGGTTAGCTTTCTAAATTCACCAATCTCATAACTAACACCTGTCCCCATGCAGTGAATGAGTAAAGGATGGACAGACTCCATAATGATTATTCTAGGGAAAGCCTTCTGAGTAGAAAGAGGAGAGTTTTGCAAACAGTTTTGTAGAGTTTACTCTTGTTTATGCACTGATAATAAATAAGAGTTCCTAAAATTCTCTCTAGAACTCTAGGTAAATGAGATATTTCACTGCTCATGCTGTGTGACCTTCATGTCCCATCTGCCTAGACTGTAAATATGCTTTCTGAAGTTTAAAAGAATTAGTATACTATGCTTACATTAAGCAAAAAAGTACCCTTATTATGCAGGATCAAGTAACACTCTAAAGATTCATGTTTATGAAAAAACACTGATGATTCTATTTTATTATGTGTCTTCTAAAGAGAAAAATACTTGTGCTCTGCAGCATAATTTTACAATGTGCTATTCTAAATACTTTCATTTAAACAAGACCATTATGAAAATGTTTTGCACACAGAAATATATTTTGAATACTTTTTTAAAAAGATCACAAAGTATATGGTCTCTGTACGTGTTCAATTATTTTAATGCTTTCACTATAACAGGAATTCTTAAAGAGGATATGTACTTGCATAATGCTGATAATTCTTTCTCATTTCTGTTTGTGCTTTGGCTGTTGTTACAACCACTGAAAGTAGTAATTACATGAGTGTATTATCCATGATTATCTTTAGATATATGTGCATTTTCTTTAATTAAACTATAAACTCTAAATGAAAAATAAAAAAGAAGTCACCTCTTGTCTCTTTGTACAATATTAAAATTTTTTTCTTGTATCCAGAGTTTCCCAAATGCCTGTTGCAAAATTTTACTTAGGGAGTAGAAAGTGGAGAATCAATATGGTAAAAAAAACTGTGTTACAGGGAAGGAGACACAGGGTAAGCATTTTCCTTATCTTCTCTCCTGTATCTACGTGATGCACAAGCATAAATGATAGCAGTCACATGAACGAGTACTTTTCAAGAACGTAGAATATGGTGATGGAAAAAAAAAACCGCTTTGAAACATCGAATAATATAAAAGCCAGAACTACTACAACTATTTTTTACATCCATAGAAGGTAAACTATTTTTAGATATAAAATTCCTTCTGACGGTAGTCCTGATCATTTAACCAATATTTTGATAAATCAAAGAAGGGAAAAATGGACATTCAGTCCAAAGATGGGCATGTATTCCCATGCCCAGTCAGGCAAAACTTGTGGATGTTCTTTAAAATAACAATTCATTCAACAAATAATTTTTAAATGGCTACTGAATACCTGGAAAGGTTCTAGACACAGGGGCTATAGTAAGAAACAAGAAGGAACTAATTGACAAGAATGTGCTCACCGACAATGAAACATCTCCTCATGGAGCTTGAGTTCTGTTTGAAAAGACAGAGAACAAAAAAATATTATTGCACAGAGTGTTAGTTATGTGTGAATTAAAAGACTGGTCAGTACTTGAAGGAGAAGGAGTGACAACAAATCTCACTTCCAGTTCTATTTACCTGAACAGATTAATTCTATTTTGTTTCAATGCAACAGTAGTCCTACGGTTAACAAGATGCACTACACAAAGCAAACAACTTATAAAACGCATTTTTTCCTTATATTGCAAATCAATTTTAAGTGGATCTACAAATATACAATAAATAATATAAATTACGGATCGTTTGTTTCTAAGGTAATAAGTACATTTGTTAATTTCACATAAATAATTTCAGAAGGAGAGCAAATGTAAAAATGTGTTTTAGACAGTGGAGATGCCATTTTATTGTAAGACTATTTATACTCAAAGGACAAAGTAATCAGCTTTCTATGTCAATGATCGTCCTTCTCTATTTCACCCAGTTCCAGACAAACCCAAGTCTTCCAAGTCTCTTCATATATCTGATCCAATAAAATCTATAATGAGTTCAGTTAGCATACACACACACACACACACACCACACACACACAAGCACACAAACACACACACATGACTGCATTGAAATACTTGCTCTAGGGAAGGAACATAGTGTATATGCAACTTGTGTACTTTCTAAGTATGGGAAGACTAATCCTTTAACAACTGCATTTACTTTCTTTCACTTCTATCGTTGCTATCTACTCCTCAGAAATCTACTTAAACAACCAATAAATATATATGATGTTGTTATGAGAGTTTTGGAAATAATTCCTAAAAATTTGCATGGTTGCCTCTTTATATTTGGCAGCTTCTATCACCCATGGGAACAACCCCTACAGAATGATCAGAATATAAAGCATGTGAGCCCTGGGTTTCTCAGGCACTGGAAGGACCTGTCAGAATCCTCTCAGGTGGGTCAAAATGGCCAGGCTTTATAACCTCATCTCCATTCGTGTTTGCATGTCCAGTGCTCCAGGATGCCCTAACATTGAGCCAGACAATGGTTACAGCTGAGGCAAACTTTGAAGGAGCTGAGAGCTGAAGGCTGCTTTGTAATATTGCTCCTAGCAGCCAAGGGGGAAAGAAATCTTTTCTTGAAGAGCGATCTGTGTCCATAGCAAAATGTTTTTTTCTTAGCTCTTGTAAAATCGAAATTGTTTGCTTTTGAATTTTTTTAAATGATTCCTTTAAGATTCTTAATACCAAGATATCACAAGGTCAAGGAATTTTATAAAGAAGTATTTCTATTTATGTAATTTCCTAAATTTATCTATACACAAATCAGCACTAAAACATGCCTTTGATACTAACAACTTGATCGGTTTGTGAACCAAATCTGTCATGCAAATACATACGGCTGTTTTTAGATAAATTCTAAAGGTATTACCAAATCATTTAATTTTATTGTGTATCTCAATATTCTGGTTGATGTATAAGTTTAAATAGAACAAACTATTTGACATTGAAATGTTCTTTATCAAAGGAGAAGGAATACAATTTTAAAGCCACAACGAGTGACACATAGTTCTGAATGATTTATTGGCTGTCTGCCATTCTGAAATGGCTGCCAGTCAATGTTACATGTGACATCTTTCAGATAGTGTGAACTCTTTTATGCAAGCACCTTTCACTATAAAATTACAGCTGGAGATCATGAAGAGAAAAGTGTGGTGTTTATCTTAATGGGCTGAAAGACCTATTTCAACAGTTACAGTAATTCAGAAAAATAGTCTGAAGTCTAGTATTTCAATAATGTTATTTTCATAGATTTTAATCTCTAAAGACAATGCTTCACTTTTGTAGAAAATGACTTTTCTAATCATCCTGGATTTCAAAATTCTTTCCATTACTTAATATTTAAATCACTGGCAGAACTTGGCATGAGGACTAGAGAGCTGTCACCAAGCAGCCAGTCATTTTTCTTGGCTTCCCATATGCCATGCCCAGCAATAGAGCATTTCTTAGTAGCTGAGGAATAGCAGCAGTGCTAAACACAGAGATGACATTAACAGGAATGAGAGGGTCCAAGCTGTTTTCCTAGACTAATTCTCATTCAGCCTGAATTCAAAGCATTTTCCTATCATTATCATAGATATTTCGCTTGTGGTATTATCTATCTTTTGGCAATGTTGATTTTTTTCTGATTATCCAAATAAGTAATGTTAATGGAAAAAATCAGATATTAGGGGAAAAAAAACTCTAGAAATAAATGTTAACCCAAGACAATAACAATTCAATTAATTTATATGATACCTTAGGGATTGTGTCAATTATTTTTTAAATGAAATTCAAAAAATTCAACACCTGTGTTTTCTCCTACGATTACAAATTCAACTAGGGCACAATTGTAAATGGTTGTATTTGGTTGAATTTTTAGATTGTTTATAAGTTTTACTCTTGCAGACAATAATAATGGAGTTTCTTTGAAAATAAATTTAGTTGTTCTATAACCAAGGCATAAATATTCAATTCAATAAAATTAGCAAAAATATTAAATGAAAAGTATATTATATATAAAATGCATAAATAAAATATCCTGCACTGATCATTTTATGTCTATGGTTACCCTATTGATTCTGTGCACATTTGCATATGGGTATATATGCAATTTTATACAATGAAGTATTAATAGTGTACATAAATTTAGTAATTATTTTACCCCTTAAAAGTATATGCAATGAGTGTCACTTATATATAAATTCTGTTAACGTGGAAGAAGAATGTTAGTCAAAAAAACTACGAATTTAACAATTTTCTGGTTAATTCAAAGGGCTTTCCAAAAATGTCTTTTAAAATTCAATTTCATTTATTTTCTCATAGCAGAATATGAGAATGAATCTTTTTTGCTGCAAATTGGCTAGCAATAAATTTTTATTTTTATTATTTTAATTCTGTGAATTTCGGGAATGGAGTCTCATTCAGTATAAATATTATAATACTAATGAGATTGACTCCCTCCTTCTTATTAACAGTGTGCATTTTTACCCTCCGTGATTCAGTGCATGGTGTAGTGCTATAATTAAAAATGAACATTTTTTTTAAATTTTATTATTATTATATTTCAAGTTTTAGGGTACATGTGCACAATGTGCAGGTTAGTTACATATGTATACATGTGCCATGCTGGTGTGCTGCACCCATTAACTCGTCATTTAGCATTAGATATATCTCCTAATGCTTTCCCTCCCCCCTTCCCCCACCCCACAACAGTCCCCAGCGTGTGGTGTTCCCCTTCCTGTGTCCATGTGTTCTCATTGTTCAATTCCCACCTATGAGTGAGAACATGCGGTCTTAGGGTTTTTGTCCTTGCGATAGTTTACTGAGAATGATGATTTCCAATTTCATCCATGTCCCTACAAAGGACATGAACTCATCATTTTTTATGGCTGCACAGTATTCCATGGTGCATATGTGCCACATTTTCTTAATCCAGTCTATCATTGTTGGACATTTGGGTCGGTTCCAAGTCTTTGCTATTGTGAATAGTGCCGCAATAAACATACGTGTGCATGTGTCTTTATAGCAGCATGATTTATAGTCCTTTGGGTATATACCCAGTAATGGGATGGCTGGGTCAAATGGTATTTCTAGTTCTAGATCCCTGAGGAATCGCCACACTGACTTCCACAATGGTTGAACTAGTTTACAGTCCCACCAACAGTGGAAAAGTGTTCCTATTTCTCCACATCTTCTGCAGCACCTGTTGTTTCCTGACGTTTTAATGATTGCCATTCTAACTGGTGTGAGATGGTATCTCACTGTGGTTTTGATTTGTCCTCTCTCACCACTCCTATTCAACATAGTGTTGGAAGTTCTGGCCAGGGCAATTAGGCAGGAGAAGGAAAGAAAGGGTATTCAATTAGGAAAAGAGGAAGTCAAATTGTCCCTGTTTGCAGATGACACGATTGTATATCTAGAAAACCCCATTGTCTCAGCCCAAAATCTCCTTAAGCTGATGAGCAACTTCAGCAAAGTCTCAGGTTACAAAATCAATGTACAAAAATCACACGCATTTGTATACACCAATAACAGACAGTCAGAGAGCCAAATCATGAGTGAACTCCCATTCACAATTGCTTCAAAGAGAATAAAATACCTAGGAATCCAACTTACAAGGGATGGGAAGGACCTCTTCAAGAAGAACTACAAACCACTGCTCAATGAAATAAAAGAGGATACAAAGAAATAGAAGAACATTCCATGCTCATGGGTAGGAAGAATCAATATCGTGAAAATGGCCATACTGCCCAAGGTAATTTATAGATTCAATGCCATCCCCATCAAGCTACCAATGACTTTCTTTACAGAATTGGAAATAACTACTTTAAAGTTCGTATGGAACCAAAAAAGAGCCCGCGTTGCCAAGTCAATCCTAAGCCAAACGAACAAAGCTGGAGGCATCACGCTACCTGACTTCAAACTATACTACAAGGCTACAGTAACCAAAACAGCACGGTACTGGTACCAAAACAGAGATATAGATCAATGGAACAGAACAGAGCCCTCAGAAATAACGCCGCATATCTACAACTATCTCATCTTTGACAAACCTGAGAAAAATAAGCAATGGGGAAAGGATTCCCTATTTAATAAATGGTGCTGGGAAAACTGGCTAGCCATATGGAGAAAGCTGAAACTGGATCCCTTCCTTACACCTTATACAAAAATTAATTCAAGATGGATTAAAGACTTAAACGTTAGACCTAAAACCATAAAAACCCTAGAAGAAAACCTACGCATTACCATTCAGGACACAGGCGTGGGCAAGGACTTCATGTCTAAAACACCAAAAGCAATGGCAACAAAAGCCAAAATTGACAAATGGGATCTAATTAAACTAAAGAGCTTCTGCACAGCAAAAGAAACTACCATCACAGTGAACAGGCAGCCTACAGAATGGGAGAAAATTTTCACAATCTACTCATCTGACAAAGGGCTAATATCCAGAATCTACAATGAACTCAAACAAATTTACAAGAAAAAAACAAACAACCCCATCAAAAAGTGGGCGAAGGACATGAACAGACACTTCTCAAAAGAAGATATTTATGCAGCCAAAAAACACATGAAGAAATGCTCACCATCACTGGCCATCAGAGAAAAACGAACATTTCAAAGATGTGCTTCCAAATGCCAAATCATCACTAAAAAGCTCTGTGGCATAGAGGAAATTTCACAACCTTTTAGTGCCTCAATTTTGTGGAAGAATGGTTAGGAGGCTATTGCAATAACAAAAGAAAATTTGAATAGCTGTATCCAACATGAAAAGATTGCTAGTAGAATTAAATGAGTTACTATAGGTAAAACAATCAGGGAAGTAATTAAAGAGAATCTGCACTAACATTGTTTTATTAATTTAAAATATCTGTACACAATCCTTTGACTCATTTGGAATTAGTTTTAGTGTATTTTAGAAAATAAGGTTTATTTTTTATTTTCTCCCAAAACAATTCTTCAAGACAACTTTTCGAACAGTAAATTCCTTCTTTGTTTATAATATGTATTTTAATAAAGTCACTTATCTTCATGATTTCTAGGACATCGGTTCTATCTAATCTATTGTTCAGCATTCGTCTGAGTATTTTCTGAGCAGCAATTAACCCCTCTGTACCTCTGAGTGCCCACATTTCCTTGATCCATTTCACCTTGCTGATCAATCCTTCTTTACTCATAGTCTAAATTTTTTTTTTAGAACTTCTGAGAGTGCCTCAAACCTTGGTCTTGGGTCTTCCTTCAATCTTATTTGTCTTTCCACCTGATCTTAATTATTTACATCACATTATACCCTATCTTTATGGTGACAAATCTCAAAATTATCTCTCTGACCTAAACTTATCATTAAAGATTTGGTTGCAACTTATTAAGAAGTCAGGTTCAATGTAATACATGCATTGTTGATTTAATATGCTCATCAAAATACTTAAAATTTTATTTGAATGCAAAAAAATAAAGCTTTTAATTTTATCTCCTATTTAATAATTTTGACAAAAACATTATACCAATCATTACTAATTATTGCTGGCTTTTAAAATATTATCTGATTAAATATTTTTGACTTGGAAAAATGGTAACAAATGCTTCTCTCTTTCTTGTCCCCTTGAACCATACTTGATATATTGCTTTTTCCAAATCCGGGCCACAAGTTCAGAATATAGCCTGTTAAAATATCTTCTATGTATAAACTATCTTTAAATTTTCTTGAGAGAATACTGAGTAACCAAAAGCATTGCTCCTTCACCCTACAAAAGAGAGAAAAATTAAAAAATCACATTAATTTGTAATTTTAAATGGTAATTAAAGCTATTGTGAGGGCTCTTTTATCGGCCAAACTTGTGAACAAAAAACAGCTCAAATTTATGTGTAAATAAAATATATTGAGATGAAGCCTTTCATTCAATGTGTGATTTTCAGTTCAAAAAAACACACTGATGTTCAAGAACAAAGACTGGTACAATAACTATCTACAAAATGCTTTTGTTACTAGATTTTAATTCCTTCATCAAACAGACACAGTCAAAGTTGATAGTGTCACTAGATCTAGAGGTCTATCAATATCCTTCCCACCATTTAATATGTTCTTAATCTCAGGGAAATTCTAAATCATATTCTTCTAAATTGTACAGTTGACTCCTGAAAAACACAAGGTTTAGGGCCATCAAACCTCCCTAACCCCTCCCCACCACCCCAGCACAGTCAAAAATTCACATATAACTTTGGACTCCCCAAAACTAAACTAACAGCCTACTGTTGACTGGACAATCCTTAACACATATTTCATACGCTGTATGTATTTTACACCGTAGTTTTACAATGAAGCTAGTTACAGAAAAGAAAGTGTTATTAAGAAAATTATAGGGAAGAAAAAATACGTTTACAGTACTACAGTATATTTATTTCTCTCATAAGTTTACAATCCCGTGTTTACAAGATGGATCCTTCTTCTGAAATGGCAGCACACACAGCTGCAGGCCTCAATCTAGGGTACCTATCAAGCAATTCATTGTTTTCCTGTAATGTCAGGACCCTTCTCTGTTTCCTGGAAGAACTTTCAGCATCACTAGCAGCACTTTTTATAGGTCTGAAGGTGTTATTCAAGGTTTATGGTATTGCACTAGACATCATGAATAATACAGGAGAAACATGAGAGAACACTTTTTACTGTGTTAATTTACTGGAGAGACAAGCTACTCACAAGAAGATGATTAGCATTATGTGGCATTTTAAGTGAATACTCACAACACTTGAGTTCACTGCAAGAACAACAGGTGGAGGCTAGGAAATTATCCCAGTAGTACAGTATGTACTACAGTTAATTTTGTGCAGTTATGATTTACTTTTGTATATTTTTGTTTTACTTTTCTCTAAACTTCAATTGGCTGCATGTATGCTCTGTGTTTGCCTACGTCTTGATAAATTTTAACTTTTTATAATAGACGCATATATATCTCATTGTATTAAATGATCACTAGTATCTACATATGATTTATGCATTCATGACATCGTTTTCTTAGTTTTTTAATATTTCTTGTGTAGATGGGTCACCTGTTATCTTTTTCAATTTTTCATAAATCTCCAAAAATTTTCTAATATATTTATAGGAAAAAATCTACATATGAGCAGACCTGCACAGTTCAAACCTGTGTTGTTGAGGAGTCAACTATATATTATAATTTAAGAGAGGATTCAACTCTTTCATTCTACTGGCAATGGGTTAACATAAACTTTAGTCAGAACTGCTGAGCTTTTCTGGCACAATGAGGACAAATTGACCAATGTATTTAACCAATAGCTGGAGGAAAATTTTGCTAAAATTGGTAAGTATATCTTTATATAACTATATCCTTACAACTTGTCTCAACCTTCGTCAGATTAATCCTAACAAAACTGTAAAATGTCTCAGTAAAAATCTAAATGAATTTTTCATAACAAGTGCTGGCAATAGATTTTAAATATGTTCTGATCATTATTTGTCTCTTGTTGGCATGGAGAAAATCCTTTTTTTTTTTTTCAGCCTGGGGAATCCCAAACTATATCTCTAGTAACAAGGAAACCATTTTACCGGAATTTTTATTAACATGGAAAAGTTCTGTCAATTAATCAGACTTCACTGTCCATATCACTTTCAACCTTTTGGGAAGGTAGAAAGATGGAATTCTGAAACTAAAGTTGGTAAAGTTCACAGACATCGTCAAACTTGCATGGTCTAAGGCATTTCTTCTTTCTGTGGTTCATGAGTTAGTAACAGCTAAACCAAGTGTCTAGGAATATTAGCTCTGATTCTAGAAATCTACACTTATTTAACTAAATGCTGTAAGGACTCAGGAAATCCATTCTTTCAACAAAAGTTACTGAAGACTTTCCCCATTAGTATCCTAAACAATGTCTGCAAAATTGGTTTTCATACCTGGATACCTTGTCTTCTAAGAGACACGGCAGGGAAAGATCATAGGAAAAAAGTCACTATCAGGCACAGCTAACAACTAGCAAACCCATAGTCTTTAAAAGACTGATCCTTTGATTCCTATCTCTCAAGTAAAGAGGTTTAGGTCATCTTCATATTACAGGAAAGTATCCCTACCAAAAACTTCTAACTAATGACTCTTAGGATTCTTCCAAAAGCAAATAGTCTTTGGGAGAAGACAGCTTCCATCAAATGCCTTTGGATCAAGTGAATCACTATATGAGATATCGGTATCTGCAAACCAAGATCCACAAAAAAAGATCCATTGTTTGTCATATTTAATCTGTATATCTTGAGTTTTCATTTTCCTAGTTAACTTTATCTTTTTATGCTTAAGGTTACATTTAATTACTTTACCTATAAAGCTACTATTCCTAATTCCTCTATGCCGTCCTTAGTCACTCTCTAGAAGAGTCCGGAAGCTGGCCGTAATTTGTTCACAATTTGGCTAAACATGCAGTTGAATCAGTGCTAAGCTGCACACATTTTCCTTAGGATGCCAATTAGTGTTTTTTTTTTTTAACATCGATTCCTAAATATGAAACATCTGGGTTTATCAATAATTGGACTCACTATTTATTGTTATTTTATCTGACAAACAGCAGAGTATTAGATAAATAGAAATCTTAAATCCTAACATGCTGCACCCAGGAAAGAAAGCTTATGCCTACAGCAGAACAGCACTTAGGGATCTTTAATAGAATGCAACTTCTGTCACTAAACCTTTAGAAAGAAATGTCTTAAAAAGAAGAGAACAAATGGCACATACTTAATTCATTTCTCACATTTACATATCATAAAAAATTCTTATTACATATTCAAGCTCCTATCACATCTACCTCTTCCTCTATGTGATAAGGTCTTCATTTTATATCCCCAAAAGTGATTAATAGCAGAATGGAGCTGAAAGCAATCAATAAACTCAATCAACCTTAATGACTGCTACTGGATTTGTGGTACCAGAACCTATTGATTATTACAGCAATCTTGACATAAACTAACATACTGATGTGGTAGTCAGAATAATGGCTCTTCAGAGATGATGCGGTCCTAATCCAGATAATTTATAAATTTGTTAGCTTACCTGGCAGGACAGACTTTGCAAATGCAATTAGAGTTAAGGATTTTGAAATGGAGAGACTATCATAGATTTTTAGATGGCCAAATGCAGTCATAAGATTCTTTACACGTAGAAGAGGGAGATATAAAAGGAGAATGTGAAGACTTGCTCCTTCATTTGTAGCTTTGAAGGTCAAGGAAAGGAACTGTTATGAACTGAATATTTGTGTCTCCCTAAAATTAATCTATTGAAGATGATTGGCATTGTTCAAATATTAATAGATTATTTTCAATGATCTATTAATTGGCAGTGTGATAGTATCTGGAGATGGAGCTTTTGGGAGGAACCTAGGTTGAGATAATGTCCTAAGTGTGGTGTTCTCATGATAATGTTAGTGTTCTTATAAGAAAAGGTGGAGATACTAGACCACCTCCCACCCAACCACCCTTCTCTTTCTCTCTCCGTAAACATGTATCCAGGAAAGGCCATGTGAACACAGAGAGAAGGAGGCCATCTACTAACCAGAGAGGGAGTGGGCCCTCACCATGAACCAAATATACCAGCACCTTAATCTTGGACTTCCCAACTTTCAGAACTCTGAGAAATAAATGTCAGTTGTTTAAGTCACCCGGTCTATGGTATTTTCTTACAGTATTCCAAGCTGCCCAAGACAGGGAACATGCATCAAAGAATGCAGCTGGATTCTAAAGCCTGGGAAAGGCCAGGTCATGGATTATTCCACAGAGCCTATAGAAGGAATGCAGTCTTCCAATGCTTTGATTTTAAATCAGTAAGACCTGTGTTGAACTTCTAACCTGGAATACTGCTAGACAATAAATTTATGTTGTTTTAAACTACTAAGTGTATTGTGATTTTTATAACAGCCACAGGAAAATAATACATTTGGCAAATCAGTGCATGTTTCATGATGGTCAATGATATGCCCCAGGGTCCATCTTAGCCATGATTTCTATCCCTTCAAAAACCAAAACAAAATAAAAAAGTAAAACAAAAAGACCAATTTTACTATACTACTTGATTTTTAACAATATTTTATATGTATTTAATCCAGTATATCCAAAATATTGTCATCTCAGCATAAAACAATATTAAAATTATTCAGTTTTACATTTTTTAAACTAAATCTAGTTTGTATTTTACATATAGCATAAATCAATTCAAATCCACCATATTTCAAGTGTTCAATATCTACATGTCACTAGTAATGACTATAGTGGACAGAATTGATCCAGATTTCCAGGTGTATTGCTATAAAACTAACCATATTTTTATCTTATTAAAACAAAACAAAACTCCTCCATAACTATGTCTATGTTCCTTTTGCTTTTATTAACATTGAACATATTCTTGTTTTTAATCTAATTTTGTCTGTATTTAGGTCTATTTTTTGGTGGTGTTATTTCTTGTATGCTTGGCATCAACTTTTTTTTCAATTTCTTAGACTATCTAAACTATTATGCTCTGAGTTTAGCTCAATTTCAATCAGCTACTCACTTTGAAAGACTCATTTAACTCTCTTAAGCCATTCTCCACAAACATGAAAAATCTTCCTCTCACTCTTCCCTGCTGAAACACTGCAAAAGTATGTCAAAATGGTGTACTTTCTTGGCACAGGGTTTCAATAAACTTAGTTTTGCTTTAATAACAAATTATCTGAATATATTTCAGGGAGTTCCACTGGTAAAAGCATAAAATCATGTTAGTTCAGGTCATCTTTTGTAAAGTTATGACAGTGCCATAGTATCAATTCTTGTCAAAATTTATGACTTCAAAATCAACTTAATATGCATCAACATAGATATTTTTTAGTTAATTCTAGACTCCAGGTGCTCATTTAAATAATATGGGTACATAAGACTGAACAAAACCAGTTGCTATTGAATGTACATTTTAGAGAAATACTTCATACACAGCTGTGTTTTGTTAAATAAGGAACTTGATGACATAATCAATATCACGGCAGCATACAACTGTTTGGTTAGTATGTCTCTTTAAACAAGCACATATGCTCATTCATGGAGTGTGTATTTGTATCTGTGTATGGTCTGTGTGGTGAAGCAGCAAGCAACAGTTGGATGTCTTAATTATCTAACAGGAAAAAACACCTAAATAATCAGAAGAAATTTTGATTTATTTATTAGTTCGACTGAGCTTTTCTCTTGAATGTAACACAGATGGTCCCAGATTTACAATGGTACAACTTTACAGCTTCATCATGGTACAAAAGTGATAAACATTCAGTAGAAACAATGCTTTTATTACCCATATACCCATTCCGTTTTTCACATTCAGTATTTAATAATTTACATGTGATATTCAACACTTTATTTAAAAATAGGCTTTAGGTTAGATTTTTTTTTTGGACTGGCTAATGTAAGTGTTCTGAGCACATTTCTTAAGTGTATTTTTTTTTAATACTTTAAGTTCTAGGGCACATGTGCACAACTTGCAGGTTTGTTACATATGTATACATGTGCCATGTTGGTTTGCTGCACCCATTAACTCATTATCTACATTAGGTATTTCTCCTAATGCTATCCCTACCCATCCCCCCACCCCACAATAGGCCCCAGCATGTGATGTTACCCACTCTGTGTCCAAGTGTTCTCGTTGTTCAATTCCCACCTATGAGTGAGAACACACGGTGTTTGGTTCTCCGTCCTTGCGAAGGTTTGCTCAGAATGATGGTTTCCAGCTTCATCCACGTCACTACAAAGGACATGAACTCATCATTTTTTATGCCAGCATAGTATTCCATGGTGTATGTATGCCACATTTTCTTAATCCAGTCTATCATTGATGGACATTTCGGTTGGTTCCAAGTCTTTGCTATTGTGAAGAGTGCAGCAATAAACATACATGTGCATGTGTCTTTATAGCAGCATGATTTATAATGCTTTGGGTATATACCCAGTAATGGGATCACTGGGTCACATGGTATTTCTAGTTCTAGATACTTGAGGAATTGCCACACTGACTTCCACAATGGTTGAACTAGTTTACACTCCCACAAACAGTGTAAAAGCATTCCTATTTCTCCACATCCTCTCCAGCACCTGTTGTTTCCCGACTTTTTAATGATCGCCATTCTAACTGGTGTGAGATGCTATCTCATTGTGGTTTTGATTTGCATTTCTCTGATGACCAGTAATGATGAGCATTTTTTCATGTGTCTGTTGGCTGCATAAATGTCTTCTTTTGAAAAGTGTCTGTTCATATCCTTTGTCCACTTTTTGATGGCTTTGTTTTTTTCTTGTAAATTGGTTTAAGTTCTTTGTAGATTCTGGATATTAGCTATTTGTCAAATGGGTAGATTGGAAAAATTTTCTCCCATTCTGTAGGTTGCCTGTTCGCTCTGATGGTAGTTTCTTTTGCTGTGCAGAAGCTCTTTAGTTTAATTAGACCCCATTTGTCTATTTTGGCTTTTGTTGCCATTGCTTTTGGTGTTTTACACATGAAGTCCTTGCCCATGCCTATGTCCTGAATGGTATTGCCTAGGTTTTCTTCTAGGGTTTTTATGGTTTTAGGTCTAACATTTAAGTCTTTAATCCATCTTGAATTAATTTTTCTATAAGGTGAAGGAAGGGATCCAGTTTCAGCTTTCTACATATGGCTAGCCAGTACCATTTATTAAATAGGGAATCCTTTTCCCATTTCTTGTTTTTGTCAGGTTTGTCAAACATCAGATGGTTGTAAATGT
This sequence comes from Homo sapiens, assembly GCF_000001405.40. NCBI lineage: Eukaryota > Metazoa > Chordata > Mammalia > Primates > Hominidae > Homo > Homo sapiens. The sequence continues at coordinate 70,736,308 of NC_000005.10, read as the reverse complement.
TTAGCGTTATTTCTGAGGCCTCTGTTCCATTCCATTGGTCTATATCTCTGTTTTGGTACCAGTAAAATGCTGTTTTTGTTACTGTAGCCTTGTAGTATAGTTTGAAGTCAGGTAGCGTGATGCCTCCAGCTTTGTTCTTTTTGCTTAGGATTGTCTTGGCAATATGGGCTCTTTTTTTGATTCCATATGAACTTTAGTTTTTTCCAATTCTGTGAAGAAAGTCATTGGTAGCTTGATGGGGATGGCATTGAATCTATAAATTACCTTGGGCAGTATGGCCATTTTCACGATATTGATTCTTCCTACCCATGAGCATGGAATGTTCTTCCATTTGTTTGTGTCCTCTTGTATTTCGTTGAGCAGTGGTTTGTAGTTTTCCTTAAAGAGGTCCTTCACATCCCTTGTAAGTTGGATTCCTAGGTATTTTATTCTCTTTGTAGCAACTGTGAATGGGAGTTCACTCATGATTTGGCTCTCTGATTGTCTGTTATTGGTGTATACAAATGCATGTGATTTTTGCACACTGATTTTGTAACCTGAGACTTTGCTGAAGTTGCTCATCAGCTTAAGGAGATTTTGGGCTGAGATGATGGGGTTTTCTAAATATACAATCATATCACCTGCAAACAGGGACAATTTGACTTCCTCTTTTCCTAATAGAATGCCCTTTATTTCTTTCTCTTGCCTGACTGCCCTGGCCAGAACTTCCAACACTATGTTGAATAGGAGTGGTGAGAGAGGGCATCACTGTCTTCTGCTAGTTTTCAAAGGGAAAGCTTCCAGTTTTTGCCCATTCAGTATGATACTGGCTGCGGGTTTGTCATATATAGCTCTTATTATTTTGAGATATGTTCCATCAATACCTAGTTCATTGAGAGTTTTCAGCATGAAGGGCTATTGAATTTTGTCAAAGACCTTTTCCGCATCTATTGAGATAATCTTGTGGTTTTTGTCTTTGGTTCTCTTTATGTGATGGATTACATCTATTGACTTGCGTATGTTGAACCAGTCTTGCATCCCATGGATGAAGCCAACTTGATCTTGGTGGATAAGCTTTTTGATGTGCTGCTGGACTCGGTTTGCCAGTATTTTTGTTAAATGTACTAAATGCATTTTTTACCTAAAATATTTTCAACTTATGAGTATATCCAGATCCATCATAACACATCTTGGCCTGTGGTTATCAGGATGTAACTCATTATAAGTCGAGGTAGATTTGTATTATATCCCATGTACACACACACACACACGCGCGCGCGCACACACACACACACACACACAGACTTAATCTGTTTACAGAAATAAAAGGAATAAAATACCGTTTCTTTTATACACCAAAACTAGCCATCTTGACAGATACTTCACTCTGAAAAATAACGTTTTATAGCTACTTTACAGATTAGTGTAATAATTTGGTGTTTCTGTTTCAGAGATTCGATTTCACATTTCAATAAGTAGGCCGCTCCCTCTGCTAAGCCTGGGAATGTAATTCTTTTGAAAAACTATCTGTGCTGTAAAATTACATGTCATATTGGGAAAAGGACAATCGCAAACAGTAGTCACACATAAAATCAAGCAACACAGACATCCTTTTCACATACAGTGAAGACCCTTGTCAATTTTGAGATTACACAGGAAAACAGAATGGGGGACAAGTGTCTCTGACACATAGAAAATCCCGTGAAGAAGAACTCAGCTGACACAATCAAAACATACACAAAACTGAAAGAAACAAGGTGAGTGCTTTTTATATTAGTTCAGCTGTCAAGAAAGTGTAAAATAAACCTAACATTTTTTTACTAAGTGAGGATTTTCTTTTTTGAAACATCATCATTTATATTTATCCAGTTTGCAACTTCATCAGCTGAATCTCAGGATGTGTTCCATGACACTGAAGGACAATTAAATCATATCCATGACAATATATGAGAAGCTGACAGGAGAACATGGTGGCATTTGAATTAATGTCTATCATTAGATAGAATTTCTGATCACATAATTTAAGTTGTAGTTTTCCATACAATTTAATCAAGATAAGCACTTATTAGGTGAGTGATATACTTTGGCTCTGTGTCCCCACACAAATCTCATGTTGAATCGTAATCCCCACGTGTCAGGGGAGGGGTCTGGTAGGAGGTGATTTGATCATGGGGGTGGATTTCCCATACTGTTCTCGTGACAGTCAGTGAGTTCTCACAAGATCTGATGGTTTAAAAGTGTGTGGAACTTCCCCCCGGCTCTTCTCTCTACTGACACCATGTGAAGAAGGCACCTGCTCCCCCTTTACCTTCTGCCATGATTGTTAGTTTCCTGAGGCCTCCCAGTCGTGCTTCCTGTTAAGCTTGCAGAACTGTGAGTCAATTAAACCTCTTTTCCTCATAAATTACCCAGTAGTTCTTTATAGCAGTTTGAGAAGAGATAGATACAGAAAATTGGTACCAGAGCAGTGGGGCATTGCTATAAAAATACCTGAAAATATGGAAGTAACTTTGGAACTGGGTAACAGGCAGAGGTAGGAAACAGTTTGGAGGACTCAGAAGAAGACAGGGAGATATGGGAAAGTTTAAATCTTCCTAGAGACCTGTTGAATGGTTGTGAACAAAATGCTGATAATGATTTGGATAACGAAGTCCAGGCTGAGGGGGTCTCAGATGGAGATGAGGAACTCATTGAGAACTGAAGAAAAAGTTACTCTTGCTATGCTTTAGCAAAGAGACTGACAGCCTTTTGACCCGGCCCTAGAGATCTGTGTAATGTTGAACTTCAAAGAGATGATTTAGGGTATCTGGTGAAACAAATTTCTAAGCAACAGACCTTCCAACATGTGGCCTGGCTGCTTCTAAAAGTTTATGCTCATGTCCATGAAGAAAGAGATGGCTTGAAACTGAAACGTATATTTAAAAGGAAAGCAGACCATAAAAGTTTGGAAAATTTGCAGCCTAACCATATAGTAAAAAAGAAAAACCCACGCTCTTGGGAGAAATTCAAGCAAAAATTTGCATAAGTAAAGAGGAGCCAAATGTTAATGGCAAAGACAATGTGGAATACGTCTCCAGTACATTTCAGAGACCTTTGAGGCAGCCCCTCCCATTATAAGCCTGGAGGCCTAGGAGGGAGAAATTGTTTAGTGGGATGGGCCCAGGGCCCTGCTGCTCTGGGCAGCCTCGGGACATGGTGCCCAGTGTTCCAGCTGCTCAGCTCCAACTGTGGCTAAAAGGGTCCAAGGCACTACTCAGGCCATTGCTTCAGAGAATACAAGCCTCAAGCTTTGGTGGCTTCCACATGAGGCTGGGCCTGTGGTTGTGCAGAAGGGAAGAGGTGAGGTTTGGGAACCTCCATCTAGATTTCAGAGGATGTATGGAAATGCCTGGATGTCTAGGCAAAAGTCTGCTGCAGAAGTGGAGCCCTTATGGAGAACCTCTACTAGGGCAGTGCAGAGGGAAAATGTGGGGTTGGAGCCCCCACACAGATTCCCCACTGGGGCACTCCCTACTGGAGCTTTGAGAAGAGGGTCATAGTGCTTCAGACCCCAGAATGGTAGATCCACTGACAGCTTGCACAGTGTGCCTGGAAAAGTCACAGGCACTCAATCCTAGCCTGTGAAAGCAGCTGTGGGGGCTGTGCCTTGCAGAGCCACAGAGGCAGAGCTGTCAAAGCTCATGGGAGCCCAGATATTGCATCAGTATGCTCTGGACGTGAGAGATGAGGTCAAAGAAGATTGTTTCAGAGCCTTAAGATTTAATGACTGCCTTGTCGGGTTTTGGACTTGCATGGGGCCTGCAGACCCTTTGTTTTGGCTAATTTCTCCCTTACGGAATTGGAGTGTTTACCTGATCCCTGTACCCCCACTGTTGTCTTGAAATTAACTAACTTGTTTTTGATTTTACAGGCTTATAGGCAGAAGCGATTTGCCTTGTCTCAGATGAAACTTTGGACATGGACTTTTGAGTTAATGCTGGAATAAGTTAAGACTTCCAGTCTGTTGGGAAGGCATGATTGGTTTTGAAATGTGAGAAGGACATGATACTTGGGAGGGGCCAGAGGAGAAATAATATAGCTTGGCCCTCTGTCCCCACCCAAATCTCATCTCAAATTGTAATCCTCTCATGTCAAGAGAGGGGCCTGGGTGGAGGTGACTGGATCATGGGAGCAGATTTCCACATGCTATTCTCATGATAGTGAGTGAGTTCCAAGAGATCTGATGGTTTAAAAGTGTGTGGCACTTCCCTCCTTGTGCTCTCTCTCTCCTGGTGCCATGTCAAGAAGAACCTTGTTTCCCCTTTGCCTTCCACCATGATTTTCTGAGTTTCCTGAGTCCTCCCATTCATGCTTCCTGTAAAGCCTGAAGAACTATGAATCAATTAAATCTCTTTTCTTCATAAATTACTCAGTCTCAAGTCATTCTTTATATCATTGTGAAAACTGACTACTACGGTTAGCAATCTTAAAGAATACTTGTGATTTTGAGAATCAGGCACATATTTTTTTAATAATCGGACTGCTTACAATTGTTTAACTCCTTGCAACTTATAGTTAGTGCCTAAAACTTTGATGACTTTCATTACATTTCAATGGCTCTGTTCCCTTATAGCAAACTACCTTTTTTACTGTACTTACTGTAACTACAGTGCATTTATTTTCAGCCCAAATAGTATTCAGTAATAAGCATTTCTTCCCACATAAGAATAAGTTATATTCCTATTCACTATATTCTAGAATTTCTATTTTCCTTCCACAGTGCCAGCTAAAATTAAAGTGGAATAATCTATTGGGGCCCTGTGTATTTAATGTTTGTTTTCTTAGTATATTATAAACACTGTGAAGGAAGGAAATCCTTGCCTCTTGTTTATACTTTTATCTCCATTATAGAAACACTCTGCATTATTTTCTTACTGCTGCTGTAGCCAATTACTACAAAGTTAGTGGTTTAAAATAGCACAAATATAGTGTCAAACAATTGTGTTTGTCAGATGTCTGCAATGCATCTTATGAGGCTAAAATCAAAGAGTGAGAACTGTTGTGTTCCTTTCTGAAGGTTTTAGGGGAAAATCAGTTTCCTTGACTTTTCCAGCCTCCAGAGGCTGTCCTGATTTGTTAGCTTATGGTCTTTCATTTGTTCAAACCAGAAATGCTGTGTCTCTCTGACCATTCTTTTGAAATCATACCACCTTATGTTTCTAGCCAAGAATGTTTCCCTAGTTTAAACCCATTTGATTACACTGAACTCAAAAGGACACTTTTTCATCTTACCATCCTTAACATTATAATACTTGCAAAGCCCCTTTTACCAGATAGTTAACATATTCACAGCTTCCAGAAATCAGGACATGCGGTTTTTTTTTTGTTGGTTTGTTTGTTTTGTAAACCATTATTTTGCTTACTATACTGTCTTAATTGGAGGAAGCAACTTCTTCGAATAGGTGAATTAATTTCAAATTGATAATGTGATTCTGAATGAACATTAAAGAAATCAACTATTACACCGAACATTACTTTATTGAGCTAAACAAATATTAACTGACTATATAAAATTCATTACACATTTGGAGATAGAATTTTGTACTCTTTAATAAGACTTTTTACATTTTTTGCAATCCTTTTTCTTATTTAAAAAATCAGTACTGTATTAGTACCCACAATATAAGTTTGTTCTAAGAATCAAATGAGATAAACATTTCAGACACCTATCATAGTATCAAGTTCATATCGTAAGCCTAAAATACCAGATGACTTTTATTATTTTCAGAATGTAGTCAAAATCAACATAAAGTTACATTAACACTTGGTTTACTGTATCATAATGCTAGCTTTGTGTCATATCTATCTAGAGAGTACACTGAATAGCTTAAACCAAGTAGAAGGTGATTTCTTGCTTACATAACAGTTTACCATAAGTAATTTTGGCTAAAGACGCATCTTTCCTGCAAAAAATAATTCAAGTTAACGAAGGATCTACTATTACCAAATTGTATCTTCCCAGATTACTTTGTATATATCACCATTCCAGAAGACAAAAGACTACTCATGAAATACAATTTGCACACTTCTTTATATATGAAAAATTCACTTCTCTTCCCTCTGTAAACAACTTAAAGTTTTGCCCAGTTACTGCCTACAACTTAGAGTTCAGGATGTTTCATGACGTGCAGTTCTCTCCCTCAGGCCACTATATGACTTAACGAGGACTAGTGTCCTATAAAGTCAAAAGACAAATTATCTGTAAAATCTAAGTTACCATGGTGAAGCTCCTATCAGAAGACAAAGAAGTCTGCAGAGCACTGACAAAAATATTTCTGAGCAGTACAAATATTTATTTGATGAAACCATAAACATGTCCTGTGGAAATAACTTTAAGGTCCATTGTCCCTGTGGCTCATAGATTTACTTTCTGAGGTAATTTACATTTTCTCTTATTCTCCATGCCTCCATCTTAAATTAGAACAATGAGTGTTTTCTCAGCATGACTCATCAATTGCACTGATTAGTGCAATTTGGGATGCTTGAGGATATTTTAAGCCTTAATTTTTTTTTCTCACAATAGGCTTATTGTACCTTTGCCAAGTAGTTACGTGGAAACCATTTATTTATTTATTGGATCTAGTTTATAACCAAACATACAGTTCTTTCCTAGGTATAATTCTAAAGTCTGCCTCATTTCCTTCTTTTTTCTCCTCCCCAACACACATATGCTTCTCTGACTGTAAAGATGACCACTTTAAGGTCATTTGAAATCATAGACTTGAAAGAGAAAACAACTTCCCTGATGAGTTCTTTGCTTCAGGGCTGGGTTCCTTGTTTTTTATGAACACAGTAGGATTTAATTTCTGAGCAGCTTTTTCAACCTAATCAGAAAAACCTGAGCTTTTCTGTCACTGTATAATTCCACCATTACTAGACTTTTTGTTTACAAGTGGTTTCCAACAAGGAATGACTTTGTTTCCATAGAACACTTGTCAGTGTCTGGAGACATTTTGAATTATAATGATTAGGTGGTGATGCTACTGGTATGTGGTGGTATAGCCTAAAGATACTATTAATATCCTACAATGCAAAGAATAACCTCCCACAGAATGCAGGAATATCAGGCATAAAATGTCAATAATGCTAAGGTTTAGCAACTCAACTCTATCCACTTTCTTTCCACTCTAAAGACAGGATATTTCTTTTTTCTTTTTTTTTTTTTTTTTTTTTTTGCCTGTGTTTATCTATTTCTTGGATTATGGAACAGAACAAACATGAACACATTACCTTTTGCCTTTCCTCATTTCCCACACTCTTTCCTAGAGGTAATATTAAGCTTCCAATTAATTTTAGATGGTAGTTTCAATAATTTTTTTTCACTGGGTATTACAAGTCTTCATTTCAACCCTCTGAGTTTGGTTTACTTGTCCATTTAATACTAATTTAGTGGATACGTTTTAGGTGCTGTTATGGCAGACCCAACTCAAGCTGGTGATTTCTATATTACTTGGAATCGTGCTAGTTGCTTTGACAACTACACTCAACAACATATAATATCTTAAACAGAACAGAAGTTTCATTCATATAAACTGTTTTTTTAAGATAGGAAAAGCATTGCTCCTTTATGTCCGCATTCAAGAACATAGGCTACTAAGGTATTTAATCTGCAGTATGTTGCTTCCAAGACTACTGTAGAATTGGCCGTTCCAGTCAAGCATACTGAAAAACGTATACAGAAGAGTGCATGTTGGGATTTTGGAGACTAAATTGGATATAAAATATGTTATTTCTACTAATTTTCCACTATTTTGACTTTAATCCCATGCCCTAATATAAAGTATATAAGAATGAGAAACATAGTTTATGTATCTATCAAAATAGAACATAAATGTTTGTGAACATTTGAATCTGTCAGCTTCTCTTGCTCACGTGCCTGTAGTGCCTGTACTCAGGATGCTGAGGCAGGAGAATCGCTTGAACCCAGGAGGTGGAGGTTGCAGTGAGCTGAGGTCACACCACTGCACTCCAGCCTGGGCAACAGAGCGAGACTCCATCTCAAAAAAAAAAAAGAAGTGACTCAACTGATTGATGTGTAAAACCTCATTGTAAAATAATGTTCTATAAATGAGACATTAATACAGTTAAATTTTTGGATTAAAAAAGTCTGCCACTTTGTGAATATGTTTTATTTAGGCTTGATTTAGTTAATTTTCTTTTTTCTTTTTCTTTTTCTTTTTTTTTTTTTTTTTTTCTGAGGAGTTTCACTGTTGCTGCCCAGGCTGCAGCGCAGTGCTGGGATCTCGGTTCACTGCATCCTCCACCCCGCCAGTTCAAGTGATTCTCCTGCCTTAGCCTCCTGAGTAGCTGGGATTACAGGCACCCACCCACCACCATACCCGGTCAATTTTTTGTGTTCTTAGTACACATGGGGTTTCACCATGTTGGCCAGGATGGTCTCGAACTTCAGACCTCAGGTGATCCGCCCACCTTGGCCTCCCAAAGTGCTGGGATTACAGGCATGAGCCACCGCACCCAGCCAGTTAATTTTTCTATTAACTAAGACCTAATTAAGATTGAGGCAGAAGAAATGGGTCCTTGGGATTTGAAAATTACTATTCAATTTGGAAGTTTAATTTGCAACATAGATTGTCTGTTATTAAATTACTAGATATAATATCACAAAGGTGGAAAGAAAGGTTGCTTAGTTAAAGATCTAAGTTACTAGTCATGGTGTCAGATATAGAGAATGATTGAAGGTTATCAGAGTCACACACCAGATGAGTAAATTGTTGTTTTCAAGGAAGAGGTTACATAAAGGTAAGCGGAGTAATATTTCAGCATTTTTGTTAATTAAAAATTTGTAAAGTTATTTCCATTTCAAGGAAATTACTCTCAGTAATTTTACGGGTAAAATGACAAATTCCAAGTTTAATTTTCACATGTAACACCCTCCTTGAGCACTTATTTTTATAAAGCTATTAATCTATTTTGGTCTCAATTTACCTTTCTTTAAAGAGATTTTAAAATTTTCTGAAAGAAGTTGACATCTGGAAGTGTAGCTGTTATATTTTTCAATTTTTAATTACATATTTAATTATCCTTTAATTACTTAAGGTTATTCTCAAAAGTGAAGAGATAGCTGGGATCACACTGCGTAAGATTTTACTCCTGAATGTAATATTCAAAAATGTTACAAAGTCTATCAAAGAGGTTTTCATTCTGTGACAATACATGGTCAATTTGACATGGTCAGGAAGCACCACCCCCACTGAGAGATACCAAATTATGGAGTAAACCACCGTAATTTAGGCAGATCTTGAGAGAGAAAATGCTGAGTGGATGCAGAGGCAGCAATGAAGCTGAGCTGAAGAGGGAGGAAGCCTGTGCAGGGAACCCAAACACTACAGCTAGTTCCCCAGAATGGCTCCTAGGAAAGGGCCTCTGCCTGAGAGAGACCTGTGGCCTAGAACACCTAACACAAGAAACACAGTGATTGCAGGAGACTCCCCCAGGGCCCAGGAGCACATCTGGTGATGGAGGCATCTCTCCCACCCCCACTATAGAGCACACCTGCAAACAAAAGGAAGTATAAAACAGCCATGCCACTGGGTATTAGGCTAGCCACTGGCCATCACTCTTAAGCACTATGCATTGGATCACATCCCAAACTACAACATCAAAATTTATCCTGCTACATATACACCTGTGAAACCAAACACAAGAATTACTCATACATAAAAATCCTGGACAGAGAAAGCCCTGACCCTTTGAAAGCATCCAGAAACAAAACCAATTGCCTATACTCAACATACACTACAGTTAAAGGAACACTAACCCTACCAGAAGAGAAAAAATCAGTGCAAGAACTCTGGCAATTCAAAAAGCTAGAGTGTCCTCTTACCTCAAAATTAGCCCACTAGCTACCAAGCAATGGTTCTTAATCAGTCTAAAATAATTGCAACAGACATAGAATACAGAACCTCGATGGCAGGGAAGCTCATGAACATTAAGGAGAAAGTTGAAACCCTAGCCAAGTAATCCAGTAAAGCAATCTAAGTAAGTGCTGAAAGATGAAATTGCCATTTTAAACAACAGCCACACTGAATTTCTAGAGCAGAAAAAATTCAGTATAAGAATTTTATAATACAGTAAGAAATATTAACAGAAGGTAGGCCAAGCTAAGGAAAGAATCTCAGAGCTCAAAGACTGGTTCGTTGAATCAACTGAGTCAAAAGAAAATTTTAAAAAAGAATTAAAAAAAGAAAATGAACCAAAGCTTTAAGAAATATGGAATTATATAAAGAGACCAAATCTACGACTCATTGTCATTCCTAGAAGAGAAACAAAGAGAAAAGGCAACTTGGAAAATAGATTTGAGAATAGAGTCTATGAAAATTTTCCTAACCTCGCTAGAGAGAGTGACATGTAAATCCAAAAAATACAGCAAACCCAGCTAGGCACTATAAAAGGTGACTATCCCTAAGGCACACAGTCATCACATTCACCAAAGTAAATACAAAAGAAAAAAAAAATCTTAAAGGCAGCTAGAGAGAAAGGTCATGTTTTCATAAAGCAAGAACTCCACTAGGCTAGTAGTAAATATCTCAGCAAAAACCTTACAAGCCAGAAGAGATTAAGGGCCTATGTCCAACATCATTAATGAAAATAAATTCCAGGCAATAATTTTATATTTCACTAAACTAAACTTCCTAAGTGAAGAAGAAACAAATTTCTCCTCAGATAAGCAAATACTGAGGGAATCAATTTCAACTTGACCAGCCTTATGAAAGGTCCTTAAGGGAGTGCTATACATTGAGTAAAAAGAATGACACCTGCTACCACAAAAACCCACTTAAGTACATAGCTCACAGGCACTATAAAGTATCTACACAATCAAGTCTACCTAAAAACCAGCTACAAACGTGATGATAGGATCAAAATCTCATGTATCAACATTAACCATAAATGTAAATAGGCTAAACACCCCCACTTAAATGACATACAATGGCAAACTGGATAAAAATGCAAGGCTCACCATCTGCAGTCTTCAAGAGACTCACCTCATATGTAATGACAGCCACTGGCCCAAAATAAGGGGATGGAGAAAATCTGCCATGCAAATGATAACAAAAAAGCAGGAGTAACTATTCTTATATCAGATAAAACAGACTTTAATCAAAATTAAAAAGAACAATTGAAGAATGAAGAGCATTACGTCATGAGAAAGTATATGATCAAACAAGAATACTTAAGTACCCTAAATATAAATGCACCCAACATGGAGCACCCAGATTCATAAAACAAGTTCTTTTTGGACTACAAAAAGACAGACGACCACCCAATAACTGTAGGAGACTTCAACACCCCCGCTGGCAGCACTGGATCATCAAAGCAGATAACTAAGGAAGAAACTGTGTACTTAAACTTCACCCTTGACCATCTGGACCTAATAAGACATCTACAGAACACTCCACTCAATAACCACAGAATATACATTCTTCTCATCTGCACAGGGAACATATTCTAACATTGACCACATGCTTGGTCATAAAGCAAGTCTGGATAAATTTTAAAAAATGAAATCATATCAAGCACACTCTTAGATCTCAATGTAATCAAAATATAAATAAATACCAACATCTCTCAACACTACACAAATAGATGAAAATTAAACAACTTTCTCCTGAATAACTTCTGTGTGAAAATCAAAATTAAGGGAGAAATTTTAAGAAAGTGAAATTAATGAAAATGGGAACACAAATTACCAAAATCTCTGGGATGCAGCTAAATCAGTGTTAAGAGGAACGTTTAAATGCCTTTATCATAAAGTTAGAAATACTTCAAATTAACAATCTAACACTACACCTAAAGGAACTAGGGAAGAAAAAAAAAAGAACAACCCTACATCAACGCTAGGAATGAAAAGAAACAACTAAAATAGAGAAGATCTGAATGAAATTGAGATGCAAAAATCCATACAAAAGATTAATGAAACCAAGAGTTGATTTAAAAAAAGAGATTGATAGACCTTTAGCTAGATAAACAAAGAAAAAAAAGAGAAGATCTAAATATATAAATCAGAATGACAAAAACGACATTAAAAATGGTCCCACAGACATACAAAATAATCCTCAGAGAATACTAGGAATAACTCTAGACACAAAAATTAGAAAATCTAGAGGAAATGGATAAATTTCTGAAAACAGGCAATCTTCCAAGATTGAATCAGGAAGATACTGAAATACTGAAGAGACCAATATGAAGCTCTGAAATTGAATAAGTAATAAAAAATCTACCAAGCCAAAAAGCCCTGGACTATATGGATTCACAGCAAAATTCTACCGGAAGTATAACGAAGAACTAGTACAATTCTACTGAAACTATTCCAGAAAAGTTGAAGAGAACGTACTCCTTCCTAACTCACGCTGTGAAGCCAGAAGCAGCTTAATACCAAAACCTGGCAGAGACGCAAAAAAAAAGAACATTCAGGTGACCACTGTTGACGAACATAGACTCAAAAATTCTCAACAAAGTACTAGCAAACTGAATCCATCAGCAGCATATCAAAAAATTAATCTACTATGACAATACAGGCTTTATTCCTGGGATGCATGGCTGGTTCAACATATGCAAATCAATAAATGTGATTCACCAGATAAACAGAATTAAATCAAAAACCATATGATCATCTCAACGGATGCCGGAAAAGCTTTCAATTAAATCCAGTGTCCCTTCATGAAAAAACAAAACAAAAAAAAACCCTCAACAGTTGAGGCTTCAAATAAGCATACTTCAAAATAAAAAAGAGCTATCTACAACAAACCCACAGCCAATATAATACTCAATGGGCAAAAGCTGAAAGCATTCTCCTTTAGAAATGAAACAAGCCAAGGACATCCACTCTTACCACTCCTATTCAACATAGTACCAGAAATCCTAGTCAGAGCAATCTTGCAACAGAAAAAGAGAAAAGCACCCAAATAGGAAGTAAAGATTAAGGCAAACTATCTGTCTTCACCCAACAATATCCTTCTATACCTAAAAAACCTTAAAGACTTCAACAAAAGTCTACTAGAAATGATAAAGGATTTTAGCAAGGTTTCAGGATACAAAATCAATGTACAACAATTAGTAGCATTTCTATACAACAACAACATCCAGGTTGAGAGTTAAATTAAGAACACAATCATATTTACAACACCTAGGATGAAAATAAAATCCCTGCAAATACAACTAACCTAAGATGTGAACGATCTCCACAAGGAGAATTACAAAACACAGCTGAAATCTGAAGCTGGATGCAGTGGTTCATGCCTTTGGGAGGCCGAGGCAGGTATATCGCTTGGACCCAGGAGTTTTGAGACCAACCTAGGCAACATAGTGGAACCTCATCTATACAAATTTTTTTTTTTTTTTTAAATAGCGAGGCATGGTGGCACATGCCTGTAGTCCTAACTACCCTGACGGCTTGAGGCCAGGAGTTCAAGCCTGCAGTGAGCTATAATAACTCCACTGCATTCCAGCCTGGGTGAAAGGGTGAGACTCTGTCTCAAAAAAGGAAGGAAATAAGAAAAGGAAGGAAGGATGGAAGGAAGGGAGGAAGGGAGGGAGGGAGGGAAGGAAGGGAGGAAGGGAGGGAGGGAGGGAGGGAGGGAGGGAAGGAAGGAAGGAAGGAAGGAAGGAAGGAAGGAAGGAAGGAAGGAAGGAGATTTTGATAACACAAATAAATGGAATAACATTCCATGTTTACAGATTAAAAGAATCAATATGTTAAAATGGCCACACTGCCCAAAGCAACTTGTAGATTCAAGGCTATCTCCATGAAACTACCAACATCATTCTTCACAGAATTAGAAAAAACTATTCTAAATTTATATGGAACACCCCCAAAAGCCAGAATGGCCAAAGCAATTCTGAGCAAAAATAATAAAGCCAGAGAGGCGTCATACTACCCAATTTCCAGCTATACTATAAGTGTACACTAACCATGATACTGTTACAAAAGCAGACACTTAAGCCAATGGAACAGAATAGAACACTCAAAAATAAAGCTGCACACTTACCACCATCTGGATCGTGGACAAGGCCAACAAAAACAAACAATGGGGAAAAGGCACCCTATTCAATAAATGGTGCTGGGATAATTCGCTAGCCATAAGCAGAAGAGTGAAACTGGATGCTTACCTTCCACCATACACACAAATTAATTCAAGATGGATTAAAGGTTAAAATGTAAGACTTCAGATTATGAAAACTCTAAAACAAAACCTAGGAAATATTTTTCTCGACATTGGCCTTGGCAAATAATTTTTGGCTAAGTTTCTAAAAACAATTGCAACAAAAACGAAACTGACAAGTGAAAGTCAATCAAACTAAAAAGCTTCTGCACAGCAATAGAAACTATCCACAGAGTAAACAGACAACTTACAGAATGGGAGAAAATATTTGCAAACTATGCATCTGATAAAGATCTAATATAACAAATCCATAAGGAAGAAAAAATGACAAGCATAAAACAACCCCAGTTAAAAAGGGCAAAGCTAATACAGGAGCAGAAAATCAAACTCCGCATCTTCTCACTTATAAGTGGGAGCTGAACAATGGGAACACATGGACACAGGGAGGGGAACAACACACAATGGGGAACAACACACAACACACACTATAATTTTCTGTAGGGGGTTGAGGAGAGGGAGAGCATCAGGAAAAATAGCTAATGCATGCTGGGCTTAATACCTAGGTGATGGGTTGATAGGTGCAGCAAACCACCACCACACACGTTTATCTATGTAACAAAACTGCGCTTCCTGCACATGTACCCCAGAACTTAAAATTTAAATCAAGAAAAGGCAAAGGACATGAACAGATATTTTCTCAAAAGAAGACACTCAAGTATATGAAAAAACACTCATCCTTACTAATCATCAAATAAATAAATGCAAGCAAAAACCACAGTAAGATGCCATCTCACATCAGTCACAACAGCTATAATTAAAAAGTAAAAAAATTAGATGTTGGCCAGGCTGCAGAGTAAAGGGAATGCTTATACACTACTGTTGATGGAAATGTAAACTGGTTCAGGTACTGTGGAAAGTATTTTGGAGATTTCTCTAAGAACTTAAAACAGAGATACCCTTCGACCCAGCATTCCCATTACTGGGTATATATTCAAAGGAAAATAAATTATTCTACCAGAAAAATATACATGCACTCGTACGTTCATCAGCATGTTATTCACAATAGCACAGACATGGAATGAACCTAGGTGCCCATCAAAGGTGGATTGGATAAAGAAAATGTGGTACATATACACTATGGAATACTATGCCTCCATAAAAAAGAATGAAATTATGTCCTTTGCAGCAACATGGATGGAGCTAAGGACATAATCCTAAGCAAATTAGTGCTGGAAAAGAAAACCAGATACCACACATTCTCACTTATAAGTGGAACCTAAACACTGAGCACACAGGAACATTAACATGGGAACAAGACATGCTGCAGGCTACGGGGGTGGGGGAAAGAGGGGAGCATGGGCTGAATAACTACCTACTGGGTACTATGCTCACTACCAGGGTGCACTGTACAAAAGTAACAAATCTGCATATGCACTATCTGTGTCTGAAAAAAACTGAAATTATAAAAACCAAGAGAATATGTTTCTAATGAACGTAGACTTTATTTGATGGACTGGATTAGAATATAATTTTTTTTAAGGGGAAAGGCATTGGGGGATGCACAATGTCTACAGGTTTCTAAACCTCTCTGGTTTCTCACCTAATTCATAGTCTCTTATGTCATTTTCATAGTTTTCATATTCTGCCTTTCCACCTCTTCTTTTTAACAAGTAAAATTCCTCATAGCATACAAAAAAACAATTTTATAAAAAACCCATATTATAGATCAGGGACCTGTGGATTATATGCTATTAGAACTATACAAAATGTCTCTATATAGTTTTCTGTATCTTTGGAATATCTTTGGGTGAAGCTGCAGACCTTCTCGGTGAGTGTTACAGCTCTGCGCAGAGCCAAACAGTGAGCAGCAGCAAGACTGCAAAGAGCAAAAGAACAAAGCCTCCACACTGTGGAAAGGGACCCTAGCACGTTGCTGTTGCTGGCTCTGGCAGCTGCTTTTATTCCCTTATCTCACCCCACCCACATCCTGATGATCGGTCCATTTCATAGAGAGCTGATGGGTTCATTTTACAGAGAGCTGCTTGGTCTGTTTACAATCCTTTAGCTAGACACAAAAGTTCTCCAAGTCCCCACCAGATTAGCTAGACACAGAGCACTGATTAGTGCGTTCACATACCTTGAGCTAGACACAGCATGCTGATTGGTGCATTTACAATCCTCCAGCTAGACGTAGTAAGTTCTCCAAGTACCCACCGGACTCAGGAGCCCAGCTGGCTTTGCCTAGTGCATCCCGGCCGCGGGCGGAGCTGCCCGCCAGTCTCTGGCGCGCTGCCGCACTCCTCAGCCGTTGGGCGGTTGACGGGACCGGGTGCCGCGTAGCAGGAGGTGGCGCCCGTCCCCTCGGGGTGGCGCGCGGGAGCCTGCGGTTGGGGGGCGGGGGGCGGGGGGCGGGGGGCAGGGGACGGGGGCGGGGAGGAGGGTGAGGGCTCCAGCATGGCAGGCTGCAGGTCCCGAGCCCTGCCCCCTTGCCCCGCGGGGAGGTGGCTGAGGCCCAGCGAAAATTCGAGCGCGGCGCCGGCGGGCCATCACTGTTGGAGGACCCAGTGCACCCTCCGCAGCTGCTGGCCCGGGTGCTAAGCCTCTCACTGCCCAGGGCCGGCGGCGCCAGCCGACCGCTCAACAGTGCGGGGCGCGCCGAGCCCGCGCCCACCCGGAAGTCGCGCTGAGCCCGCGCCCACCCGGAAGTCGCGCTGGACCTGCGAGCACCGCAGGCAGCCCAGGTTCCGGCCCGCGCCTCTCCCTCCACACCTCCCCGCCAGCAGAGGGAGCCCGCTCAGGCCTCAGCCAGCACAGAGAGGGGCTCCCACGGTGCAGCTGCGGGCTGAAGGGCTCCTCAAGCGCGGCCAGAGTGGGCTGAGGCCGAGGAGGCGCCGAGAGCCAGCGAGGGATGCCAGCAAGCTGTCACCTCTCAGAAATACAGGAAGAACATCAATAATGTTCGAAGTTATAAAGTAGTAGGTTTCTATCAAGAGTAAAACATAAACGAAGTTATAAAGTAGTAGGTTTCTATCAAGAATAAAACATAAACGATCAAAGAATTCCTTATAAAAACATTTTTTATTTCTAGGAATCAAAACATAAATATAAAATTTGAGAGTCCACCAAAAAAAATTAGATGCCAGATTTCACTATAATTATCAGGGAAGCGCCCAAATGGGTTGTTTACGGCGCCTCGGGGAAACTTTCTGTTTCGTGTTAAGGGTCTTGAACCATGATGTTTAGAAAACCATGGGCTGATGCTTTCAGAACCTCTGTGATTTTTGCCTCTGACACTGCATCCAATAGACTAGCATGTTGATTAGGGAAAGCTAAATTCAATAAAAGACGACTGTAAGTGGGGTCACCACCTTGAGGGGTCATGTTAGAAAAGTAGATGATAAGGTGGTATTGATAGAGTATTGAAGTCTGGGCTCAAATGGTTGCCCGGGGCCTTTCAAGACCAATGACTGATAAGAATAGGTAATGTTCAGGACATAGAGTTTAGGATTGGGGGACACTGTGAGTTAAGGGCCATGACAGAAGTCTTCATAAGTAAACTGTTAATTGACACAAGCTGCTACCTGCCCAGGTGAGCAATCTGTTGGCCCAGAGGAGAGTTGCTTACTGACATAAATTGATTTGCAGAAATTTCCTGAAGCAAACAATAAGTTATTTATTGGTTTGCAGCCTTACTTTCCTGAAAAATAATTTTCTGGAATGAATTGTGAAATCATGTTGACACAGATGGCCTCAGGTTTCAGTTCGGATAATTAAGCTGTGTAAATATAGAAAGTCGAAGGTTTCTGGGTGCTGTTGATTCACAGTATGCAACAATGATCATATTACTTTTATTTACTATGAGCTTCAGCTGAAAATCCAAAAGAAACTTTAATTTCAGATATTTAATGAAATCATTATAGCTGTGGTAATTTCCTTTAGCTGGGTGTGAGTGTGTGATGTGAGCGTGTGATGTGTGTGTGTGTGTGTGTGTGTGTACTCTGGCAGCATATTCCAAATAATTTCTGTAAAATTTCAGTTTGAAATTAATAGAAGACATATTAAATTGTTTAAACTCTTTGTTATTTAAATTCTATATTACTTTAGTCGATTACTCTGTATTATTACGGCAAAGCTTTGATATGTTGCCCTGAATTTAAATGAAAAGGCTGTTCGGCCTAAAAACAGGAATATTTTATTACCAAAAAGAATTAACTACCATATGTCATTTACAGAAAAGAGTAAATTCTTCAGGGCATAGAAAATACACATTTCCTTCTGTTTGTGTGGAAATAAGCAAAATACCTGTTATAATAGATTCCTCACAGAATTTTGTGAAGCTTCAGGTAAACTTGAAAGAGAAAAATTAAAATGCTAGAGTTTCATAATTACAAATTGGGATATAAAAATAGAATAATTATTTGAATTTTGTATTTCTCTCCAGGGGATCAAAAGTAATATATAAACTTTTAATAAATATTGATATAGCTTCACGTTGACTCCATATGTGAGCAATTTGCTTTCTGTTAAATTCACAATTGCATAATTTTTTTCAGGCTGGAATGCACTTGGATGCCAGAGATTTTGATTTCTTCATGTGACATAAGATGATAATACATTCCAAAGTATATATTTTTTCAACTTTGAATATATCTGGTGTATTTGGAGTAATATCTGAGTAAATACACTTATATGTAAGAGAATCAAAGGAACAAGATATTATTTTATATCCAAGGAAATTAACACTTAGAACATAAATACGTATTGCATTACTTCATATTAAAGAAATGTTTTACAAAAGAAAATAAAGGAGCTTATTTTATAGCCCCATTTCCACAAATAATAGCAAAGGTACATACACATATCTAATGTTTTACACACTCATTATTGTTTCTCTTAAAATTTGTTGCTTATACTATTTTAAAAGGCAAGCCTATAGATTGTTGTGTGTATATACATATACACACAACATACATATGTGTGTGTGTGTGTGTGTGTGTGTGTGTGTGTGTGTATATATATATATATATATATCAGCAAGCAAGAGAATGGGCCTCTTCCTACTGAGGTTTAACATTTGCATGTATATGTATATTTTGATTCACATAGACTTATTGTTCTTTAATTACATGAACAGTGATTCCTGGTTACATTATTGGAAAATGGAAGCAATGCTCAAAGAGCATCACCTAAATTTCCATCATATTTTGCTCTCAATATGTTTTGTACATCCAAATATATTGTGATTAATCTGCATACATTTTTGCTGTTCTAGGTGACGCTGGTATGAGGCTAGGTAATACACGACCTTAGTCTGCATGTTGTACTTGTGTAACACACATAATTTTACAGTGCTAACAGGTGCTATAATAACTAACTATAGTTAATGATGAATGAAAGAAGGAAGATGTTAAGATGTTAGGGAAGGACTCAAAAGATGCAGTGCTTGAGTTAGAATTTTAAGGGAGATTATGCAAAAGCAGTCACTTAAGGTGGGTCGGGATGATCTAGAATGTGGGAATGATGTATGCAAAGTCACACAGGAGAGATACAGCATGCATGTTTAGAAAATTGTTGATTACATATGGAAAGTTTGCAGGACTTGCATCCTAGAATGTCAGGATTTTAAGCTAAGTAGGGTTCAAATTAAATTTTTCACATACTTCGCTGCATTATAATAACTAGTTTATGTTTAACTCATCCACTAAACTAAGTTATTTGAAAAGAGATGCCAGTGTTCACTCAATCTAGTTGTCTGTCATTAATAATTTAAAAATAATTGAGATTTTAATTTTGGTCTGCTAAGCCTGTTTAATTAAAATTTGACATTAAATAAGATTTTACAGGCCTCATTTTTTTTTTCAGTCATCACAGTTTGAATATTAAACATTACTACTTTTATCTCCCTCAGTCAGCATAAAACATACTACTTATGGTTTTAATAACCAAATTCAATGAGCACCAACAAAATTTGATGTAACTATTAACTTTGAAATTTTGTTGAAATAGAACTATGCCTTGGGTATCATTCAAAGCATTTAATTGTTGCAATAAAAAACTTTGAGATAAATTGAAATGATGGACAATATGGGTCGAAAGCAACACTGGCTTGAGGGAATAGGCTAATGTTTGAGAACAGAATTGTTAAGGACAAGATTGGATGTTTATATTACTTTAGGAAAGACACACTCTAATGGAGTTTAATTCTAAAATGTTTAATATTATGAAAATATTATATGTTATATGATCATTATAGAAAATTAAAAATATAAGAACATCAGAAGCAAAATAGTCAAAGTCTACCTAAACCCAATTAGAAGTGAATACTATTAATCTTGATTTGCATGTTTCTAATCTTATTATTATCAAATTAATAAACAGCTTTCAGATATTCTGCTTCTCCCTGTTACTAGATCAGGATAATGTCATTTATGTACAGGCATCTCCTGCTTACTCAGTTCAGCATTGATCAATAAATATTTTAGACTTCTATTCAAAACACTTCCATTTTTCTTTTGCCCATATTCTTTTTATTCAGTGCTGCCTGTTTTCAAATACACAACACTTTGTCAAACAAATTCCAACATTAGATTGGATATAGTTGGTATCAGAGTAGTAATACACATTGCCATTCCTAATCCTCAGTGCATTGATCCTGAAAATTATTTGTAAGAATAGAAAAATACTGGATATTTCAAATTAAGTCTCATTTTGTTGCTTACCCATGAAAGACTGGAATTAACCAACATAACCATTACAAGGTGATTGAGCAAATGAATAGATGGAAAATATTATAGAAACTTTACTGCAGTTCATCAACCATTGTGGTCATTAGGCCATAGGAAAATACAGTGTGACAGTACCCCTGTCTTCTTTTCCATTTGTTAAGTCTCATATCCAAGTAACAGTGGGTAGACCTTATGAGAACCCAAAGTGAGATAAAAATAATTTTTGGCTTTTCAATGTATCTTATTTGATCTAAGAGGTATTTCCCCGACTTTGATGCAATAATTCTTGTCACAAAATTTGACTTTACTGAAGACCGTTTTAAGGATCTTTGCAGCTGACAGCAGTGACTTTTTTACCTCCTACAAAGTTTCAACTGACAGTCTTATTGTCTCTGACTTTCCCAAATTAATGACATAATTAGTCACCAGGGCTTTGGCTGCTCAATAGGGATTTAGTAAGCAATGAGTCATATGTTGGGGAACACTTCAACAAACAAAATGTTGGCAGAGAAAGATGTATGAATCAGCTAGGAAGAAACACTATTCTATCACTGAGGATCTTTCTAATATTAGATATCACAGAAAAATTTTCATATAGATTACCATATGAGTGAGCCAAAACCTCTAGGAACAAAAAAGCTTAGTATAATTATAACTCCTTGCCATGATTTAACTTAAAATTTCTTTACTTATTTAGCAATTCTATAAACAAGAATCATTTCTGTTAAGGATACTAAGGAGAGTGTTCCTATTGAATCAGAACATTTAAAAGAAATAATTGAGGGAACTCACACATGTAAAACGTCATTAACCAAACTAAAATAAAATGTGAGGGCATAAACTTAACCAGAAATGTTTAAAACCTATATATAAAAAAAACTAGAAAACACTTCTGAATGGCACAAATTTGGACTTGAGCACGGGGAAAGAAATTCCATGCTCTTGAAAAAGCCTTAAAATCATAAATGTGCCAGTTCTTTAAATAAACTTATATCTTCTGTGTCATAACAAAACGACATTTTCTAGAATTTCTTTTTCCAGATTTAGAAAAATAGACAAATTTACTTGGAGGAATAAAGAAGCAAGAATAGCTAGAAATATCCTATAAAATCAATGGAATTTGGAGTCAATACAAAATATTAAGCAATTCTTAAAGCTTCTATGATTAAAATGAGTTATAACTACAGATAGATGAAGATCATATAGAAAATCAAGACATTGACAGATATGGAAAGGTGGTATATAATGAAAACATTTCAGATCAATGAGGGGGAAATGTTAACCGGAAAAGAATATTAAAAAGGCAATGAACTCAATAAGACAACAAGAAGCAAACCACAGAAAAATAACTGGACTGGATTAGAAAGAAAATATTTTAGACACTTCAAAAATAAAATATTCAAATAACCAATGAACTTATTAAAAGGTTTTTATTTATATTGGTTACCTGAAAAAATAATTCAAACCACAATGAGATGTAAGTACTTGTCATTCAGAATCCTGAATTTGAAAGGAATATTTTAGAATTCTAAGTTGAAGAGAAAGTGCAAAGTATTGATGAGAATGTTGACTAATTAGAACACTCAAATTGATGTTATTGGCATAACTTAGTTCAAATAATTTGGATAAAGATATGTATTAGGCCCCAAAATTCTACTTGTAAAGATGGTTTCTCCAGAAATGCATGCATATATATAGCTAAAAAAAATGTGTACTCATGAAAACACTTTTCAGAATAACACCAAAATAACCCCAAACTGTGGCCCAAAAGTGGACTAAAATACTTATAAAGAGTACAGTAAACAAATAAGTTGTAATATGATCACCTAATAAAATATTAGAGAAATAAATATAAATAGTTTCATTTGCAGGTCATATAGTCAATTCGTCTCACAAATATAATATTAAGCAAAAAAATGTGGTTCAAAACACTACACACACTATTTGATTCCTTACTGGTAAAAGTTAGAATAGTGTTATGTTAGGAGGGATGGGTGGAAATCAGGTGTGTGACTATTACATTTTCTTATTCTGGATGATCATAGTATTTTAAAACTCACTAAGCTTTAAACTTATGTGCATTTACCCATGTGTATACAATACTTTAATAGAAGCTTCAAATCAATGAGAAAACATGAAACTGTCTGATGGAAAAATAGCTTGAGGAAATGAACAGGTATAGCAGAAAAGAAGGGCTGCATATAGTTTAAAAACTTGAAGAGATGTTTAATCTCTTTGCAAATAGAAAAACATACGCATTTAAATTGAAATACCATTTTCATGTTCCAAAATTAAAATTATTAGAAATATGATGGTATACAGTGATGGTAATATGGGAGAAAGGAAACATCCTAGGCAATTTGGCTAAGCTTTTCTGAGAAAGATTTAGGCAATATGCCATTAAAAGATTTAATGTGAACAAATGGGAAATTTGCCCACATAAATAAATGGAAAGATACTCTATTTTTCCTAATTTAATCTGAAAATACCTAAGCCCCTGATATTTTAGAGACATAATTTTCACTGCGATGGTCATAATTTTAAAAGGTTGCATCATCCATTTTTAGTTAACATATATTGTACTAACATCACATATCTATGTAACAGAAAAATAGAGTCAACTCATGTAGGGACAGACATGAAAATGACAAATACATATAGAGATAGAAAGGTATCTTGTGCATTATACTGAGAAAGACAATAGAAATAAACAATTTACATGGGTTGATTTATTTTGATTAAGATATATAAGTGGTTAGATAAATGTTAAATAGGTCAGTATGTAATTACAGAAAATGACAAATTGTTATGTATGGTACATTTGTAGGCATAACACAGACATTACATTTTGGAAAATTGTGTTCTATGCAACAGTGCCAAGTCTAATGAAAGTAAGAGGAAGAGGAATTCAGCCAAAGTACCAACCCCTGTTATCCATTCCTTAAGAAAGGAACTTCTTTATACACTCAAAAGAGGGGATTCTTTTTAAATTTGTTTCCAGAGGGGCATCTGCATACACATACACATACACATACACACACACACACACACACACACACACATTTACATTATATTTAAATGTGTGTGCATGATATATATATATACATGTATTTATTTATTTAATATATATGTGTTATCTGGGTCCTATATAGGAACACACACACACACACACACACATTTTGAATCAAACACTCTTTCGTATAATTTTGGTGACAAACGTATGCAATAAATGAGAATACTTTAACTTTCCAAAAAGCTATTCAAAAGTATAATTTTCAAATAAAATATATGTTTGTATGACAACAAATGATTTTTTACAAATAATATATTCTGCATTATCAATCTGCCACTGGTTTTTATTAAATAAAAAAACCTGTAAGTTTGTATGCTCTTAAAATACATATAACATTTGTAAGAATAGTTTTTGTGTAAAAATAATTATAGTTCACTATAACTATGTTAAAAATAGACATAGCCAGGCAAGTCGCTCATGCCTGTAACCCAGCACTTTGGTAGGCTGAGGCGGGCAGATCACTTGAGGCCAGGAGTTCAAGACCAGTCTGGCCAACATAGCGAAACCCCATCTCTAATAAAAATACAAAAATTAGCCGGGCATGGTGGCCCATACCTTGTAATGCCAGCTACTCAGGAAGCTGTGGCAGGAAGATTGCTGGAACCCGAGAGGCGGAGTCTGCAGTGAGACAAGATCATGCCACTGCACTCCAACCTGGGTAACAGAGTGAGACTCTGTCTCAAAAAAAAAAAAAAAGAAAAGAAAAGAAAAGAAAAGAGAAAAATAGACACAGATGAAGGGTGTCTTTGATTATGCAAATAGATTACCCATCTTGTACTCACTGTGTTTATTTCAATAAATGATCCACAGAATATGCTACTTTTGATTTATAGTTTTCTTCTCCTTCACCGCTGTGGACTGGGAAAATATTTCTTATTATTTCTGCTGCAGAGTAGCAAAAAATTATGAGCCAGAAGGAAGACCACTACAACAAGCAAAATCTCTGAGTAATCATAAAATGAAGAACTATTTCCTGTTGGGATTCACTGTGACGAATTTGATTTTAAATTCTTGATGTTGGCATTTTATTTTTAAAACTTAGCTTTCTTGCCTATTCTGAAATTGTCAAAAATTCAGAAAAATAATCATGATCATTTGCTTGCTGACCAGTGGAGACCTACTGATTTTTAGGCTGTGAGACTACAGTAATAAATAAATAAAAAAGTTCATACTTCCTTCTATCGAGGGAAATTGAGCATTTTTCTCATAGTCCTAAATCACCAGATCAAGGGATATATGTAATACTTGAGTGTTGACATTTTATTAATTTTTATATTTAACTAGAGCTGTAAAGTTGAAACAAATGGGTCAATGCAGTAGCCCATAAAATATTTTAAAAACACATAAAAGAAATATCACTAAAATTTAAACATAAAAAAAATACAAAAAAACCCTGAGCTATAGGAAGGGAAGTATCCTCTAAATGCCCAAGTTGAAGGTAGTCCTCTTAGAAAGGCACAGTAAGAAGCAGTGTTTGATGGGAACGTGATTTTTCAAGTATTTGAATTTTCAAACTCACCACATTAACTGAGTAAAATGAAAAAAATATATAAACTTCCTCTGAGGCAGAAAAAACATTTGGCATTTTCAAGATAGAATTATAATAAAAATATCTCGCCCCAATAGAATACAAAGAAGCATCCTTAAGCAAATAGAAGGCATCTACGGAAATATCACACTGAAGTTTGAACTAATAAATTATTCATTTAAGATCCAGAAGAAGACAAAGTGTCCTCTTTCACTATTGTTCTCTCTACTGTATGGGAGGAATTAACCAGTGAGACAAATCAAATAAATAAGTAAAACATACACAGTTAAGAAATGAAAAATACACTTCTAAATTTTTAAACAACTCCATTACCTACACATAAACTTCTAGTGACTGTAAAAATCAGCTGCTGGAATAAACTAGTAATTTTAGCCACATCATAGAAAAAATAAGTCAACCCATTAACTTATTTCTATATATTTCCAATGAGCAATTAATGATAAAAATCAAATCCATGTAAAATACTAATAAAAATAAAATATGTATATATGATTTTAACAAATTACATGCAAGATCTCTCTAAATAGGAAACTAGCAAAAGTGTTGGGAGATGTAGGAAAGTTCTAAATAAATGGAGTCGCATACAATAATTGATGGTTTTGATGTGTGTCCCTGCCCAAATCTGGTATGATGTAATCTCCAATGTTAGAGGTGAGGCCTGATGGGAGGTGATTGGATCATGGGGTGGATTTCTCATGAGTGGTTCAGCATCATCCCTCTTGATACTGTTCTCATAATAGTGAGTGAGTGAGTTCTCATGAGATCTGGTCATTTAAAAGTGTGTAGCAGCTTCCCCTTTCACTCTCTTGCTGTTCTGGCCATGTGACGTGCCTGTCCCCCTTTGCTTTCTGCCATGATTGTGCGTTTCCTGAGTCTTCCCAGAAGCTAAGTAGATGCCAGCATCATCCTTCCTGTATAGCCTGCAGAACAGTGGGGCAATTAAACCTCTTTTCTTCATAAATTGTCGAATCTTCTGTATTTCTCTATAGCAATGCCGGAACAAACTAATACAATAATCATGGCTTGAAAGTTCAGTGAATTTTAGTGTGTAAAAGGTTTTGGTTTTTCCAAATTAATCATTCTAGAAATCCTCACCATAATCACAAAAGATATTTTTATATAAATTGACACACTGATTTAAAAATGTACATCAAGAGAGCAAAAACAAATGATAGAAAGCTGAAAAAAAAGTTGGAATACTCACACTTCCTAACACCATGCAATAACTTAAAGCTATAGTCATCGAGAGAATGTGTTATTAGTAGATGGATAAACAATTAGAGTAATGGAATGGAATAGAGTTCACAAATAGATCCATGCTTATATGAATAATATAATATCAAAGATACTGCAGTTATTCAAAGGGGAAAGATAATTTTATTTAACAAAGTGTGCAGAACTACGAGATAAATGTGAAGAAAACAAACCTCAAGTCCTTCCTCACAACAAAAGCGTGAATGAGTTCAAAATTAAAGGAGTCCAAAATATATTATGGAACAATGTGTAAAAGTGAAAGCATAGGCTTCAAATATAAAGCACAGAAAATGTCTTAGTAAACTACATGAAAGCACTTCTTTTTATCCAAACTGTGGATACATTTCTTTTTATTCAGAAAGCAATAATTATATAATGATAAACTACAGAAATGTGTAAATATATTTATACTTTAATGTTTATTTTTAATTACACAATTATATATACTATTTATTATGAATAAGAGCAAGAATATATAAATATAATGTACAACATAGAAACAAGAGAGCTATAAAAACTAACAGATGCTACACAAAAATGATATAATAGCAAATAAGCAAAGGAAAAATTTCTTAATATCGTTAGTAATAAAAAATAAAATGAGATAATTATACACATCTACTAGAAAAGCTACTATTTTAAAAATTGTGTTACCAATATTTGGCATAGATGTCAAGAAACCAGACTCTAGAGTTTGCATACATCGACGGTGGGAGTGTAACACAGTACAGCTACTTTGGATAACTAAATCTACCTTACATGTACCAATTCTACCCCTAGGCATTTATCCTAGGGGGGAGAAAAGCATAAGTCTGTAAAAAGGCTTGCACAAGTACCTTTATTCATTATTGTCAAAAACAGACACCATGCAACTGTCCACCAAGAGCGGCGTTCTCAAGTTCAGCACTATTAGCTGTTGAAGTGGCTTAATTCTTTGTTGTGGGGAGCTATCCTTTGTGGAACCCTGGCCTGTGGACACTCTATCCCCTCCTCCACAAACCTCTGATAACCAAAAGTGTCCCCAAACATTGGAAATGTCCCCGGCAGGTAAAATGTCCCTCATTTGAGAACCTCTGGTCAAGAGTTTAGTAAATAAATTATAGTGGTATGTCTATGAAATGAAATAATACGTAACAATAAAAAAAGGTGCTACTTCAACATGCAAGAAATTGTTGAATCTCAAAAATATTATGCTTAAGGAAAAAAGACAAAAAGAATTCATACTCTATAATTCTACTGATATATAATTGTAGAAAATAAAAGCTAATATATGGTAATAAAACCAGATTAGTACTGGATTGACAATGTGTTGAAAGTCAAAAGAAGAGGCTTGAGATCTCTTTCTAGTGTGATGGTTTTACAAGTATATACGTATGTTAATGTTTAAAAATTTCACACCTCAAAAATGTGCAGTATACCAGATGTTAATTATATCTCATAAAGCTATTAAAATTTTATCTCAAAATTATAGCTTTATTGCATTTAGGGCATTATCCAATTTTGAATCTAGTCCAGTTATCATAGCTTAATGCAGTATTATGAAAATAATGCCTATAAAGGTCCAGTTCCTCAAACACCCTTGGAACCAATTTTGTCATCTATATTAGTTACCTTGGGCTGCTATAATGAAGTACCACAAGCTGTGTGTCTTTAAGCAACAGAAATTTCTTCCCTCACAGTTGCGGAGGTCAGAGGTCAGAAAACAAGGTGTCTGCAGGACCAACCTCTCCTCTGGATGCTCTAGGTGAGAATCTTTTCCATGCCTTTCTCTTAGCTTCTGATGTTGCCATCAGAACTTCAGATGGTGTTCCTTGGCTTCTGTCAATATTAATACATAAATCCTTTTCAGTCTCAGCTTCTCTCTTCACATGGTCCTCTCCACATCCTATCTGTTTCTGTTCCCTCTTCTTATAAAGACAACCCATGTTATTTTAAGTCCCACCTACAGACATAATTTTAGCTTGATTACATCTGCAAAAACTTTGTGTCCAAATGAGGTTTCATTTACCTTATGTGTATAACTAGGGGTTAGGGCTTGAACATACGGGTTTGGGGAGGGGAACACAGTTCAGACCATGACACTCATTGTTTCACTCATTAATGAGTTAAGGGTGCTTTGATATTATTACATTTGAATGAGAGTGGTCTTTAAAATTACATTTTGTCGTGTAGTTTGTTCCACCCTGATGCTTAAAGGGAGTCACCTGCCTCAGCCAATTAAACTGTGTTGTCTCTGCAGTGCGTTTTATCACAAGAACATGACCTTTAAGCACAAGAACACCTTGTACTCCACCACTAAAAACAGAAATGACATCTACCTTCACTGCTTCCCTATTTCTCTCCATCTTTACTGACTTGGTATTTTGTTGTTGCTGTCATTTCTGGTTGTTGGTCAATTTTCATTTCTGTTCTTATTTTGCTGATAATTCTTATAAATCAGTGCTGAATTTTGTCAAATTATTTTTCTGCATCTCTACAGATGATCATTTTATGTTTTCGTCCCTGTGATAATTTAGTGAATGTCATTGATCAATTTTTAAATAATGAATATCTTTGCATTTAAGATAATATTTTTCACTATTAATGTTATCTCTGAAATGAAAGCTAAACCTAGTCAATAGATATTAGAGGTGCATGATTTTTAAAATTGTATAAAATTAGATAAAAAATACAAAGAAATATATATAATTTTAAAACTATGTAAAAATGTAAATGCCAAATGATAGAGCACTAAATGAAGCTTGTAATA
Organism: Homo sapiens; assembly: GCF_000001405.40. Lineage (NCBI taxonomy): Eukaryota > Metazoa > Chordata > Mammalia > Primates > Hominidae > Homo > Homo sapiens. The sequence goes on along the minus strand of NC_000005.10, from coordinate 70,706,820 downwards.
TTAAATACAATCTTTAGAAACTCTTTTGCAGTGCAGGAAAAAAATAGAACTGAAAACAAAGCAGAAGAAATCACAGATATAAAATTAAAGAGGATAGAATTAAGCACCGGAGTTCCCACATCTAAAGTGAAAATCTAAGAATTTAAATATCATTCAAATGCAGACTAAAATACAATATAAAATAAAATTTCCTGAGCTAATTTTTAAAATACTGCTTAATTTGTAGGTAAAAATGCAGACTAATTTTCTGACTATATTACTATAAAAACCTTCTACAAATATTTTTTAACTAAAATTATAAGAAAAACATCCGCCATAAACACGTAAGATTAGTATTTTCGTTTCTGAAGTATAAAATGTCTGGATAGACTTGAGCTTGTTGCTTTAGTTTTATATGTGAAGACTGGAAAAATTCTGTTTTGTTTTGAAAAATATTTTGAGCTAAAAATGTTGTATTCCACATTTGTTAGGAATGGAAGTCTTTAAAATATGAAATATTTCCAATTGAAGAAAAATAGTGAAAATGAACTTTATCTGAATAAGATTAATGAAAATTACATGTTGAAAAAGTAAAATAGTTATGTGTACTAACAGTGACTACTAACCCAACAATATAAAATTAAGTAAAAATATTATTACCATGTTAAATACAAATTAAAATTAATTATAAAAAAGTTAAGATCTATGATTAAAGTATTAAAATAAAATGAGACTGTATTCACAAATCTAAAAGCAAATTGGTGAATGACATATTTTTTGAAATAATAAATTCTTTGGCATATTTTATATTTTTTATTATAAATGAAAATTATTTATTTGAAATATTTAAAGGAACAAAATATTTGCAGCTCTATTTTATTGAGAAAGGAATTACAAAACAAAAACAAGGAGCTTTTGTAATTACAAAAGAATATATTAATAATATTATTTAGAAGCACAAAACCAGAAAAGCTTTATATTATTTCTAACAATAAATGTAAACCATCTAATTTTCTGAAAAGGGGTGGAAATAAATATTTAACAAAGAAGATGTTATTCTTAAATTGTAATATGTACATTGCCTAAAAATAAAAAGGTAGTTGAAGATATATTGTGAACAACAAAAAATGAAGAGCTGATAATATTAATGTGCGAAGGAAACTCATAACATATTGTACTAATTATAAATCAGTGTATTGACAAAACCTGAGTCCTCAATTATTATTGACTGTCATTGACATGTTAATGATAGAATATTAAATATAGAATATAATAAAGCAATTTAGAATAAAAAAGAGAAAGCGATAGACATGAATAGAAACAAAATGCAACTGTTCAATATTAAAAGCCTTTCTAAATTGCTTGTGTTTTTCTAGTGACCTGTTTCGCTATGCAGTGTAGGCTCAGGTGTCTAGATTTTAGTTGCAGATAAACACAGGTAGTGTTTTCCAGATCTCAGAATGACCAGTTACATAAAAATAGGCCATAAACCATATATTTCATTCTTACGGTTGACAAACCTCTAATTCACCTGAAAATATTAAAAAGAAAGAAGACAGACGTGACAGTGGTTGGAAGTTGAGGATAAGAAGAAGTTGGCAGAAATAAGCTTTCTTCTTTTGGACAGCAATGCATGATAAAAAAAATTAAACTAAATTCAGTTCATTTCCACTAACTGGGACTTATTTAGAAACTTTAAGAAAGTCTGAAGAATTTCAATTGAGGAGTAAATAAGGGCCAATTTATTTCATAGTGTGGACTCTCAAGACAATATACAACAGTGCTTCTCAAAGTTAAACAGTGTATGAGTGACCTGGAAATGAAGATGCAGATTTAATAGGGCTGGAGAGAAGTCTGAGATTCTCAATTTCTAATGAATTAAATTACAAAGAGGAGAAAATAAGGTTATTGCTTACTTTATATACATTCACAAACACAGGCTAATCAAATAATTGTTTAAAGTATTGCTCTGATAAGAATTAAATTACATAGTTCATAGGAAACATTTTCTTTACATTCGGATTTTATCTATTATTAGAATAATAATAGAATCTTGACTTTATGTAACTCTATGTTCCAAACAACTAGAAACTTTTCGATAGCAATTGTTCACCATTTAATAACATTTTTCCAAGATACCTAATGCACTCAAGGACAAAATAGCTGCCTTCCAGTGATTTCCAATTTATTCAATTTTCAGGCCATCTGTCTGCCCACACAATGACAGATTATAGTTACATTCTTGCCATGCTCTGAACAGCTAAGCCAATTGTTTTCAATCTTTTTTCTTCAGCAACTCCATCTCTTAAAGTACTTCAGAGTAGTTCCTGAAAGGATTCCTCTTTAGTTAAATGGCTATACAGCTCTCCCATCATCCAAAATAATCAGTGGAGAGATAGCAATATTTTTCATTACATTAGGCCAAGTTCCATTGCTTCCTTCATCTTGTAATCTGATCAGAAACACCACTATAGATTCAATAATTGAGTTTAGAGTTTCAGAGAATTTGGGGTCACAGAACATCTATGTCTATTTTGTAAAGATTATTGCATATTACTGAAATAGCTTGTCAAACACTGCAGTCTGCTTAAAGTATCAAAATAGAAATGTTGAATGCTGTGTCTGCACAGAGTTCATTTAAGCAAAGAATCTACTAGGCTCTTAAGTCTGTTAATGCAAATTCCTGAATACAGCTGACCCTCCATACCCCCATTGTGGGTGGATTTAACTAACCATGAATCAAACATATTTGTTAAAAGAAATACCAAAAATAATTTTTAAAAAGAAATACAACAATAAAACAATGCAAATAAAAAACAATCCTTATAACAATTATGTGCATAGCATTTATATTGTATTCAGTATTATTAATGTAAGTAATCTGGAAATGATAGAAAGTATACAAGAGGGTGTGTGTAAGTTATATGCAAATACTAGGCCATTTTATATAAGAAACTTGAGCATCTCTGGCTTTTGCTATGAAGGGATGATGGTGGTAGGATTGGTGGTGGTCCTGGAACAAATCCCCAGCAGGTACCAAGGGGGACTGTAGACCCCAAAGCTGTTTAGGAATGGGTCACAGCAGCAGGACTGAGGCAGGAATGCTCCCCACAGAAAACATCAACCACCTGTTGATTTTTGAATCTGCTCCTCTCAGGCATGCCTTCAAATGCTATAACCTGGAGATTCAACTCATTTTCATGCTGCTAAGTAGGAATAGGTGATTCAATTCCCCAAGAAAGTGACAGAGGTCCCTGAAATATAGATTTAAAGTTACATAGTGTCAAATGCTAGTCATTTTCTTTTTGCTCGATGGTATCCTCTCAGAAAAACCTTTTATAATATTTCTAATTCATTTACCAGATTTATAGAATCATCAAATTGTCTATCCATGTGTTTTTCAAATATTTTGTGAAGTGTCTAGGGTAACAACCTAGTGTTCGAACGTATTTTGTGAAGTGGCTAGGGTAACAACGTAATGTTCGAACTTATGTTCGTATTTAAATACAAATGTATTTTGGTTGAGTGATTACTCAAGGTCACTGAGGAATCCACAAGGTTAACCTCCTGACTCTAGAACCATTGTTATATAGAGATATATAAATAGCTGATTTAATATTATAGGCTTAGCAAAATATTTAATAAATAAGGTCTTAGTAAAACAACACACATGTATTTATCCACTTATTTAATTTTGTTTTTCCATTTCTTCTGAACATAAGTTCCTGAGGACACGGGCCTTTTTTCACAGTTCATTTTTGGATTCCAACATCTAGCCAGTACTCTGCAAAGAGCACTGAATTTGAAAGAAATTTCTCAGTTAATGATTTGAATCATATAAAATATTTAGTAAATTTGAAAACTAGTAACCGTGTAAAGCGATTAAAACAAACATACTAGAGGGTAATAATCCCCCGCCCCTTGCCTTCTTCCTTTACATCCACTTCATTCTTATTCTTGTCTACTTCCCCTGCCCCACCCAGGGAACGTGGTTAGCCCATCAGCTGCAAAGATTGTTCTCATATAATATTGTTCCGATGGATAATGAGACTCTGAAAGTGGAACATAAACAGATAAAACAAAAACAAACAGAAAAGAACCCAAAAACCTAAACTCAACTTCAGTTAAAGCAGAAAATATCTGTCCAGCCTAAACCAGGCATACTCCACAGACTTCTGTTAGACGCCTGATCCTACTTCAGTCTGGAACCACCTAGTCTTCAGGTTTGCCTGGTGCTCACCAGCTGAAGAAATCCTTTAACGACCTTTATTCAGTCAAGTAAATCGTTTTCTTTTGGCAACTTGCATGTTATTTTTTAGGTTTTCATTTATTTATTTTTTTATATTTAAAGTCATATTTTCTTCCTTTTATTCACTTTGCTGGTCTTTCTCACTTTGATTTTTTTTTTTTTGCCTTGTTTTGCATTTGTTTACTTTAACATTTTTTGTAACTTATCTCTTTTATTTTGGAAATTATTCACATTATCAGTTTTCTTTTGCTAGGCAATTTTGATATTCTAATAAACATTATTAACATAAAATATAAAGTTTACTAACACCAAGCCCAAACAATACAAAGTCTTAGGGCTCTTTAATTGCAATTATTTAAAAATATTTGCTACAAATTGTTCATTATTTTATATTCATGTTGTTTTTCTTATTCCCACAAATCACATATTGTTGGTGTGTTTGTTAAATAAAATTGTGACTGCTTATATATGTTTTTTCACATCCTTTCTTCTTCTAATATTTTGGAATTTACATCCAGTTAATTATCCTTTATTCTATGGTACATACTGTAAAAGTTACTATTCTTGGTAGTAAACTCTCAGTTTTTGGATTGTCTGAAGATGTCTCTATTTTGATCTGCTCTTGAATTCTAAATCTAATTGACATAAAATTCTAGATTTGCCGTTATCATTTATTAGCACTTCAAAGATATTCCACAATTTTCTGACTTTCAATATTTTTGTTGGTAAAAATGGTGATTGTTAATTGGCTTGCATATTCTGTTTTGGATATTCCACTGTTTCCTTATAATTTGTTTATTTATAAGGAAACTTATAAACAAATTATAAGGAAACAATAGAATATCCAAAATAAAGAGAATAGTTATGGGTTCGTTTAGATAATTCTTCAGAATCTACTAATTTGTGTCTTTCTTCTTTACTTCTGTAAACTTTTCAGCTACTATATATTAGAATATTTCTTAACTTTTTTATATTCATTCTGAAATTTCTTGCTGAAATTTGTTCAGAAGGTGAGTTAACGGAGCTATACATCTTTAGTGTCATGTGCTCTAAATTGCAAAATACATGTATTTTTATTTCAGACAACTTGAGTAACATTTGTGCAAATGTTTTATATACACGGACTTAATTTGGTAAATTTAGGCATGTGGTAGACAAATTTAAAAATGTATAAAAATCATGGGCAAGCATATGAACATTCTATTTTTGCTACTATAAAAAAATAGCAGACTATCCAACTATTTTATGATACTCAACGATACATCTTACTAAATGGTCACGACTCTTGCCTCTCAGGGTCAGAGTTTGCAATAGTGAAAGCAAGAGAAAGCCACGGAAAAAAAAACAGGGAGAGGGAAAATATTAAGCTCTAGAATATGTACATTGTTTTGCTTGTATAAATTTAGAACATTCAACACATGTTTACAATGAATACATATAAAATACCAATGACATGAGGAGAATTAGAATAGAAATAAATACAAGGATTCTTTCATGATAACTAAAAATATCAGTGAAGGTTTGTACATAAAATTTAGGGATTTTATATTATTACCTAATACAATTCTGGCTATAACATCACTAAAGGATTGTAAACGTCTGCTGGGAAACCTATGGGAAAAAAATGCAAGTGGAACTGGTGTCATACAAACACATTTTCTAATGGGAAGCTTAACTGGTGAAATGTAAGTTGGAAACATTACTCAATTTAGGTCTATGAAAATGTTTTCCCAAATACAATCTTTTCTTGTTTGATAGGAGGTTTTACTGTGATGTATTATTTCTGACAGCCTCTTTTTTTTTTTTTTTTAAAGGAAACGAGTAGAATTAAGTGAATTGATTATCATATCTAACCTGTAAGTACAAATTACTTTCCCTTGGAATTACATAATTGATAATTGTACATCCTCAGATGTGTTTGAATCTGAGATTTACTCTAAACTCAGAGGAAAAAAAGTGAAATTTTGTTTCCATTGTGACACCTTTGTTTCCTTTTTAAGTTTTCAAAATTTCTTAAAAATTATTTTTCCCTTTCATAATTTATTCAACAAGTATCTATTGTTAGGTGTTGGGAACACAAGACCTAAAACTCCTGACAAATATATTCTATTTCTGAGGTCAATTTGTACATTAATAAATGCATATATAATACCAGACAAGATTGTAATGCTAACCAGTTTGACTTTGAGGCACGGTATTCAGAATGTAAATGCCCCTGGAAAAAACATTGAATATAAATGCCCCTGGAGAAAGAATGTAGTTGGAAAAAACATTCTGAGGTAAAATTATGCAATATTGGTATGACTAATTAGAGTGACCAGAGGTTCACACATTTTTGTGACATGCCATTGGTAGAAAAAGAGCCATAGCTGAAAAAATATGGCAGTCATAAGATGTCAGTGGAAATGAAGACAAGGATACCTTTTGGTCAATTTTCTTGAAAATATTGGCTTTTTCAACAGTGTAGTTTATTTAAAATTTAGTCCCAGTTCTTAGCAATTATTTATATACTGATGGACTTATATCCAGGGTCTTCTTGAATTAAAAAAAGTCAAAAAATAATTTTATAAATTTAAAATATTATAAAATTATGATATATACAATTCTTGCTCTCTCTGTCATATTTTTCCAATTTTTTGTCTGTCTTGTTTTTTCTTGCCTTTTCTTCCCTGTCCTTTCCCTTTCGTTTCTTTTCTTTTTGTTTCCTTTGTCTGGCCTTGCTTTGAGTTTCTTTTCCAAACGAATTCACTGGAGGTGGTATTTTTATGCATAATATACACAGCAAATGTCTAGGGCCTCTCATTTTTTACAAATCTTTGTAAGAAAAGGCTATCTATTAACCCAATGACATTGTCATAACCTTTTCTAAATTTCAATGATATTCAGTTTCTCGCAGCTATTACATTACAAAGTATACCTCAGTAAAAATCTAGTAAGTCATAGGGCTGATGTTGCTGATTGCTCACTTGCTCAAGCCAGAAGCTTAGAATACATGCTTGATTCTTCACTTTCCTGTGGGTTTATGCCAAATCAATTTCAAATCTATAGATCTTATCCTCTAAATAACATACAGCATGCCTACTTTTTTCTCTCTCTCGACTACTGTCACATTAATTCAAAAGAAAAAGACTGATGATTCCTAACTTCCTGGCTTCAGTAATTGGCAACGATGACATCACTACTAAGGCTTCACTTCTCACCTCTGCTTCCATATGAGTGTAATGTTATTTTCTCCTATGACAGATAAGTTTATTTTTCACCATTAAAAGGTAAGAAACTCACTCATAACCAAAGTTGGAGGAGACAGTTATTTTTTTTCCCCAGCTTGCCTGTTAAAACCATAAGGAATGATTAATCTGCCATGGTGCTTGATGTGGCCCAGGGATGTGCTCAGACTCAGTCATGTAGGGGCAGGTGGTATTAACATTAGTTCAAACATGGAACCATGGCATGTGTTAGAAATAATGGCTTATATTAGAAACTGGACATAAAATTGTCGTGAGCAAGAAAGTTACCTCAATTTGAGTCTACTAGAAGTTTCAGAGTGCCATTTCACATGGCCACAAAGTTCAAAAGTTCCAAAAGAAGCAAAAGTTTGACCAAGAAATCAGTGATTTTTTAAAAAAGAGAAATTGAGCTCAATCATGTTTTTTATATCTTCTACTGTACTAAAAGTTTTTTTCTCAATAATTGACTAAAAGTTCATTAACTACTGCACAGACTTCAATATTTAGAAATGTAATACGGGCTTGCTAACTAAAAGTGAAGTTATTTTATTGTCGGAACTAGCTATTGTTAGAAAGACTCATTTGCTTTTTATAATACAATTTTACATATGATTTATAGATTGACAGATTATAACAATTTATAGATTATTACCTCATTAATTTATTGAATAACCTGACTAAATTACTTAGTCACTGAATTAAATACAACCCAGCCTTAATACTTTGGGTCAAGGAACATTGACCAAATATGTATTTATGCCACAGATTCCTTGAAATTTCTTACCAAAGTAAATTGTTTCATGAAAAATACAGAAATAAATTGGTAACTAAATAAAACATGTTCTATATTTCAACTTGAAAAATTAAAGAAATTAATAATTCTTAAAATCAAAGCAATGATCATTTGTTTCCTAATTATTATTATTGTGAATGTACTTAAAATTTTTGCTATGCTTTTAAGAAAGATGTACTTCTATTAAAAATTATTAAAATAAACAGCAGAGAGACTGACTTTTCAAAATAGTTTATCTGGGAAGAGCAATGAACTGCAATTTGGGATATGTGTACCGTACTGAACCATAGGCACATTTGAAAAAGCTGGGGGAGCCGAAGCTTTTTTAAGGGTAAAAGGTGAAGTTCCCCATCAAACTACCGTTGGCATTCTTCACAGAATTAGAAAAACCTATTTGAAATTTCATATGGAATCAAAGAAGACCCCATATAGCCAAGACAATCCTAAGCATAAAGAACAAAACTGGAGGCATCACACTACCTGACTTCATTACTGCAGGGCCTCAGTAACCAAAACAGCATGGAACTGGTACCAAAACAGACATATAGACCAATGAAGGTGAACATAGACCTCAGAAATACACCACACGTCTACAACCACCTGATCTTCAACAAACCTGACAAAAACAAGCAATGGGAAAGGATCTCATATTCAGTAATAATGTGGGAAATCTGGCTAGCCATATGCAGGAAACTGAAACTGGACCCCTTCCTTACACCTTATACAAAAATTAACTCAAGATGGATTAAAGACTTAAATGTAAAACCCCAAACCGTAAAAACCCTAGAAGAAAACCTAGGCAACAACATTCAGGACATAGGCAGGGTGGGCAAAGACTTCATGACAAAAATGCCAAAAGCAATTGCAACAAAAGCCAAAATTGACAATGGGATCTAATTAAACTAAAGAGCTTCTGCACAGCAAAAAAAAAAAAAAAAAAAAAAAAAAAAACTATCATCAAAGTGAACAAGCAACCTACAGACTGGGAAAAAATTTTTGCAATCTACCCATCTGACAATGATCGAATATCCAGAATTTACAAGGGACTTAAACATGCTTACAAGAAAAAGACAAACAACGCTATCAAAAAGTGGGCAAAGGATATGAACAGACACGTCTCAAAAAAAGACATTTACGTGGCCAAAAAACATACAAAAGAAGCTCAACATCACTGATCACCAGAGAAATGCAAATCAAAACCACAATGAGATGCCATTTCACGCCAATTAGAATGGAGATTATTAAAAAGTCAGGAAACAATAAATACTGGAGAGGATGTGGAGAAATGGGAATGCTCTTACACTGTTGGTGGGAAAGTGAATTAATTCAACCATTGTGGAAGACAGTATGGGCATTCCTCAAGGATCTAGAACTAGAAATACCTTTTGACCCAGCAATCCCATTACTAGGTATATACCCAAAGGAATATAAATCATTCTACTGTAAGGGAACATACGTGTATATATTTATTGCAGCACTATTTACAATAGCAAAGACATGGACCCAACCCAAATGCCCATCACTGTTAGACTGGATAAAGAAAATGTGGTACACATACACCATGGAATACTATGCAGCTATAAAAAAGGAATGAGAGCATGTCCTTTGCAGAAACATGGATGAAACTGGAAGCCATCATCCTCAGCAAACTAACACAGGAACAGAAAACCAAATACCGCATGTTCTTATTCGTAAGTGGGATTCGAACATTGAGAACAAATGGACACAGAGAAGGAAACAACACACGCTGGGGCCTGTTGGAGGTTGGGGGGTGAGGGGAGGGAACTTAGACGATAGGTTGAAAAGTGTAGCAAACCACCATGGCATACGTATACCTATGTAACAAACCTGCACGTTCTGCACATATATCACTTTTGTTTGTTTTTTGAAGAAGAAGAAGAAATAAAGAAAAAAAAAGGTGAAGTTCATGTAAATTATTTTAAAATAAACCTCTTTGGCCCCAGAAGCTTATTGCTTGGTATGGACAAATACTCATCGGTGATACTGGCTATTGCTGGGAAGATGTCTTCATAGAAGCGTCGTATCTAAAATTTTTGTAGTTTTCAGGGAGTCCTTGCAATAGTTCTTTTAGAGACATCCATGCATGAAGGGCCTTCTTTTATACTCTCCCAGCTCCATTTTGTTGTGGTTTGACTTCAGTGAGTCAACTTCTTTGCTTGTAACTTTAACATTTCCCCCCTTTGACCAAGAATTTTTTCTGAAAGCATTGCTGATTAATCAGCCTATAGTTAGGTTTTGATTGTTTCTTGGTGCTGGAGTGGACCTTTCCTAGTTAGTCTGATCCTGCATCAGAGGTGAATGGCCAGCAACTAAGAGCAGATGTCAAAACCCTTTTAGTCACATTTAAGAAACAAAGAGGTTCAGAAGGAGTGGCTCTCAGGATAAATCTGCCTGGAGTTCATTGCTAAGTTCAATTTTGTCAGTTCCATAGGCATTGACTACCATTTGGAAGTTCTGGACCAGTGTTATTCTGTTAGATGCATCATTTCTGCAGAGGTTGGACAGGAAACAGATAAAAAGTTTAAAAAGAATGATGCGGTACAAAATTAATAGTAACATGAAATATTGTCTATGAACATGGACCCAAAGGCAGCCAACTAATGAATCAAAAGTCTATGTGAGACTGAGTGAGATCTGTTGTAGCCATAAAGCCTGTCTTGCTATTTTATGCAATTAGGTCTTGACTTCCCCAGAGAAATATATTCAGGTACAGCATGTAGTTATTAGCAATGGCACAGACATTCTTGTTCAACCAGTAGATAATTGAGAGTTATCTCATCCTGTCCTGTTGTGTTATCTACGGCTACTCAGCAAGATACTTTAATGAGCACTGCTGGGCGGCAATAGCCTTTGCAGTGAAGCCTGCAACGAAACCCAAGGTGGCAAATAAATTAGGGATGTTGCCATAGTTACCCACTGGGTGGACTAAAGGATCCCTTAGGTCATGTAAAGATGTGGGTTTGACACGACAGATCCAAAACTTCATTCAGTTACGGAAGCTACTGAATGTGAAATTCTAACCACAGCGTTATTCTGCCAAGTGAAAAATGTAGGCATAAGCAAGAAAAAAAAAAAATAAGAAGGATAAGAGTCCAGTTTTGTTACAATGTCTTGGGAAAAGCTTTCCACACTGTGATGTCATCAACTTCTTACTCTGGTTTGTAGTTTGAATGTTCCTGGGTATAGCATGGGGCATTTTAGTCAATTCTCTTTGTAGCCCACACAATAGCCATGAGATTTCTCTCTTGAAATTTACATGGAGTTTTCTGGCTCCAACTTATAGGACTTTAGGAACAAGGCAGTTTATGTTCTTAGTTGGAGAATCGTAGCCAGACGTTGGAGGAAATTAGAATAATTAAGTGCCCTGTCTAATTTAGAGATAGATGACAAAAACTTGAAAACAACAAAGAAAACTACAATCTACTAACAGGTGTACTGCAGTTTTTCTTCAGAAACATAATTTTTCTCTGTACAATCATCCCTATTTCTACTAAAGATAATCAGAGTAAGACTAATTTGTCTGCTGAATAAGTTTAGTCTCATTAAACTTGGCATGATTATTGACAACAGTATAGCAAGAAAAGGGATGAAACATGGGCTGTTTTTAAGTTTATTTTGACGGAACTTTTGATAAGAAATCTCAGATTAGACTTTTAAAAGCCTTTCAAGGGTCAGAAGTCAAAGGAGGGCGAACATCAGACTTTGGCTGCAGTATCTAAAAATCTGCATGAATTTCTCTCTTCTTGAGGTCTCCAATATATCTGGAGGTTCCTGGCCTGTCAAGAGGTAAAAATGTTTATTCACTCACTGTGAGCTTGGGAATCCTTGAAGCTAGGCATCCTGTGCATAGTCTCAAATATCACATTCAAGTCAAACCATTTATAATATAACCAATGTTTGTAATTCTATCCTGTTACAAAGAGAATAGATTTTTATTGAATTAATGCAAATAACTATGTTGCCATAAAATAAAAATATCAATAAGAGCTCTCTGAAGACTGCAGCCGCAGGTAGGAAGAAAAAATAAATATTTCCATTTTTATTTATAAAAGTATACTTTACCAAATTGCTGTATGCTATAGATAGCTTTTTAAAAGTTTTCTCAAATCTGGAAAACAAAAAATTTAAAAAAAACAGCAAAATGTTAAACAAAAAGTCACTCGAAAATATTGCCATCAGTTTGTTTAGTCCCATTCATTAAACTTATTCTACTTGATCTGGGTTAGATGTTTTAAGAAGCCATCGTTTCTTCATTAGAGTCCTGGAAATTCTTTCCCAGTCCAGTGGTATAATCTTAAACTCATAAGAAATCTAAATTCCAGCATACTTGTTAGAGTCCTTTTCATGAACCTCCTTGAAGAGGAAGTATTTTTCTTTATTCATTTTAATTTATTCTCTACAATACTTCATTAGGGAGTTCAATGATTTGCACTCAGAAGTTAAATAGCCAAGAGGCAAGCAAGTATAATAAACTTCAGAATTGGACTGAGGTTGTTGCACTGAAGGCCATGTAGTCTTTTGCTTCAGGGAAATAACAACAAAAATAACCAAAATGAACACATAGCTCCCTAGGCTTCTGAATCTCAATAGAGAATAACATCAACATTTAATGAAATTGTAGATATTAACACATCATGGGAAAAAAGATACTGTGCAAAATATTATAATTAACACTTGGCACTTCTTATGTCTAGATTTTTATTATAAACAATAAAATATATGTAATATCTTAACTACAGACCTTTCATGTTGAAAGGGCATCTAACATAACTTGTTTTAACATTATGAAGGGAAAAAGTTTAGAAATTTCAAAGTGGAAACAATCCAACACTAACAAACTATAGTGATCAAAAGTATTAACTTTTAAAGAAAAACAAGGACAATTCATAAAAGTAGAACTACCATTTGATCCAGCAATCTTACTGGTTATCTACCCAGAGGAAAAGAAGTCATTACACAAAAAAGATACTTGCACATGCACGTTTATAACAGCACAATTAGCAATTGCAAAAATGTGGAACCAGCCTAAATGCCCGTGAATCAATGAGTGAATAAACTGTGGTATATATTTATGTGTGTGTGTGTGTGTGTGTGTGTGTGTGTGTGTGTGTGTATGTATATGTATATATATATGCATATGTATATATATATATATATATGCATAAATACATATATGTGATGGAATACTACTCAGCCATAAAAAGGAATGAATTAATGGCATTCATAATAACCTGGATGGGATTGGAGACTATTATTCTAAGTGAAGTATCTCAGGAATGGAAAACCAAACATTGCATGTTCTCACTCTTAAGTGGGAGCTAAGCTATGAAGATGCAAAGGCATAAGAATGATACAGTGGACTTTGGGGACTCAAGGGAAAGAGTGGGAAAGGCATGAGGGGTAAAAGACTACAAATTGAGTTCAGTGTATACTGCTCGGGTGATGTGTGCACCAAAATCTCACAAATCACCACTAAAGAACTTACTCATGTAACCAAATACCTCATGTTCTCCAAAAACCTATGGAAATAAAAAATTTAAAAAATTACAGAAAGGGAATGTATTATGAGACAAGCCACGTTTATAGACCAAAGCATGCTCATAGCTAGGGATGAAACAAACCACAAACCAAGCCAGCAAAGTTGGGTTGATTCCTTGAAAAGAATGGTTACCTATTGTCCAGATTGAGTAGCCCAAAGACAGAGGAAACACTGAGCGTAAAACATTCCCTTTTTTTTAATTAGCCGGGCGTAGTGGCGGGCGCCTGTAGTCCCAGCTACTTGGGAGGCTGAGGCAGGAGAATGGCGTGAACCCGGGAGGCGGAGCTTGCAGTGAGCCGAGATCCCGCCACTGCACTCCAGCCTGGGCGACAGAGCGAGACTCCGTCTCAAAAAAAAAAAAAAAAAAAAAAAAAAAAAACAAAAAACATTCCCTTTTTTTTAAACCTACCACTCACACCACATGCACTGATCACTCTCATCACTGCTTTGGTAAAGCATGTAGGATGCAGTTCAGTTTCAATTTGGAGCTGTTACCTCCCCAGGCAAAGCTGCCACACAGATGATCCAGGCTTGGTGTTTTTCCCGAGAGCCACCTGCCACACATTTTCATAAGGTGACCATGACTATGCACATCCAGGCTACTTCCTGACTAGGCCCTGTTCAGGAAGCATCCTGAGGTGTCCATTCCTCGTGGAGCCAAATAGTTCCCTTGGTTGACTCCTGAGTCCCCTTGGCAAGCCAAGCAGAATTCAAGCATTTCTACTGCTAGCCTTGTGTGGGAGCATGAGCGAATGTAAAGGGAGCAAGGCTCTTCACTCCATAAACCACAGCCTACTTCGGGGTGGTGCTGGACCAGCCCTATTCTTGGGTACTGAATTTCTTTTTCTCATTTGTTGGGATTTTAAATTTTCTATTTATTTTCTTAAATGGCAGGTATCCTACTGCATCTTCAATAAAATAAAATATATACATATATATGTTGTACACTGGAGAAAACAAATAGGGGAACAGTTTGATAGTTTAGCCCCATTTTTTGCTTTTATTTAACCTTTAGAAGTAAAACACAATTATTAAAACAGAATGCTTGAGCAGTAATAAGCGTAGCCCTATGTATCAATATTATTGTACAAATTGGATGTGGGTGCTTAACCCAGAGCTGACCACCCTGATAATAATCCAGAAAAAAACCATTGTTACATCTGTTTGTAACAAGACATTTATTATTCTCAGCACCAGGACATCATAAAATGACTCCTTGATCTTCATTTACTTCACCAAGGGAAACGTGGCAGGCTACAGAAACTCAGCACAGCAGTTAGTGGGGCTGTGCCCTGGGTGCCCTGATGTCACCCACATTTCCCTTGCACGTCTCAGGTCCTAATAAGCAGTGCAGGACAATGTTGAGCCAACCTACTCACCCGTGCCCATTCCTTCCCAGAAACTTAAAGGTGATCCCTATAATAGCACATATGTCCTTTCCCAAATTGTGTCTTTGCTCCCCTAACCCCATTCTTGGCAGAAGAAAAAACAAAACATCTCTTGACTTGAATATTTGCTTATTTTAGAAACCGACACAATCACCATAAACTTAAAAAAAAAAATAAATCAAAATGTTGTTTTCACTGGGTTGACACCTATCTGCTTCAAGAATTCTCTAAGCATGTTGTTGAAAACCAGTGTAACATCTTTAGGATCTTTCTCCCAACTGACCAGTCTTCCTGTGAATCATTTCAGCAGTTCCTTTGTGGCAATGTTTACAAAGCATCTTCTAAGTCCTCTAATTCTATGAGCTTTGCTATCAAAATAGTGAAGAATAGGAAAGGGGGAGGAAAAAACTAGCTGACAGCTGTTTGGAAATCAGCAACAATGTGAAAGAGAAATGTATCTCATGAAAGTTTGAAAGACATGGAATAAATGAGCTCCTTGGAAATTTGCCCTGGCGGAGTGAAGATTCCCACTTTATCTTCTTAGGCAAGATAAAGATCCACCTTATGTAATTACACAGCTTTGTTTAAGCATCCTGTAAAAGACTGAAAAATCAACTGTCTTCCTAACTCTACAGGCAAACTAGAAAAAGGATCTCCCTGCTTACTGGTCCCTCAGGATGTTTTCCTGAAAAGAAAACCAGCTTAGAGATACTGGATTTTCTTCTATGACAAAGTGTCCTCTTAAAGTCCAACCGAAACTTGTTTGCACACTTACACTTCTGAAAGCCTAGGTCCGACTATAGGGCTGATACCGGGAGAGAAGTGAAGTAGCTGGGTGGTGAGGAAGTGGTCTCTCCTTTCACATCTCTGTGCAGTCATGATATCAAGACCCCTTGTGGACATCTCTATTCCATTCCTCAGTCAGTGACACCACAGAGCTCTGTTTGATACCGGGAGACTTAATGCAGTAAAAGTGACAGAAAGTGCAACTGATAGTAGGATGAAAATTATAATCTTCAAGGATTATTGAGCCATGAGATCTGCAATGCTATCGTAGAGTTTCTGATCCTGATGTGGGTCTCTGTCCAGGATCCTTGAAGAAATTATGGCACCCACATCCAACCCTAACATAGCTTCCACTTATGAAACAAGGAGGTTGTAATCAACTCTTGGTATGTAATAAACTGGAAGTTCAAAAATGTAATTTAAAACAATCTAAAAGAATGTAGTGTTGGTCTCCATTGCACAGACTGCTAGGGGAATATATCAACTTGATTTGGGGAGGCTGTAGAGGTATATAGAGGAGTATATGGGTTAAACCTTAATGGGTCATCAGTTTCAGAGAAGAAGCAATTTTTTATTGTAGCTGATGGCAAATGCTTTTGGAAAAGAATGAAAGCAGTCGGTCCCTGTGGATGACAGACTTAGAGTGGCCATGGTTAAAAATCTCATGGAGTTTATTATAATAATAATGTAATTGACAAAGAAATTTGTTTATTTCTGTGGCATACAAAACTTGAAGATAATAACCAAGATTATGACCGATAACATATCAGATTTTGAAGAATTCAATATAATTTTGTAACACATATCAATAACATTCTGAAATACAACTTAAAGAAGGTTTAGCACCACTTAGTATTTGACAATACTCCCTATATAATTTAATATATCAAGTAAGTCTCATTAGTTTAATATATCTCTTTACAATGTGAGATACACATTCTTTGATCTTTCCAGGGGTCCAAATGAGAAATATCAAAATTAACTTGAGGGCAAAAAGAGTTAATTTAAAATATTATTTTGGGAAGTTTGTCAAAAACATCAAACAGTTTAAAACACTTTATCAGAGTACGATAACAGGTAACCAAAATGAAAATTAAAAGATTTCAAAAAATAAATGTAGAAATTTACATAATTGTCAACAAAAACATAGCTTTTTAATACTGAGAACATTTACTTTTCTCTTTTTTTAACTTTTATTTTAGGTTCAGGGGTACACATGTGGGTTACTTACGCATTTATATGGGTAAATTGTGTGTCACGGGGTTTGGTGTATAGATTATTTCATAACCCAGATAATAAGCATAGTACCCAGTAGGTAATTTTTAAATTTTCATCCTCCTTCCTCCCTCCACTCTAAAGTAGGCCCAGTGTCTGTTGTTCCATTTGTGTCCATATGTACTCAATGTTTAGCTCCCCTTATAAGTGAGAACATATGGTATTGGGTTTTCTAGGATAATGGCCTCCAGCTCCACTCATGTTGCTGGAAAAGAGATGATCTCATTCTTTTTATGGCTGCATAGTATTCCATGTTGTATATCTACCACATTTCTTCATCCAGTCTACCACTGATGGGCATTTAGGTTGATTCCATGTCTTTGCTATTGTGAAAAGTGCTGCAATGAACATACACGTGCATGTGTCTTTATGGTAGAATGATTTGTATTTCTTTTGGTATATACTCAATAGTAGGATTGATGAGTTGAATGGCACTTCTGCTTTGAGTTCTTTGAGAAATGGCCACACTGCTTTCCACAATGGCTGAACTACCTTACATTCCCACCATCACTGTATAATCATTCCCTTTTCTCCACAACCTCACTAGCATCTCTTATTTTTTGAGTTTTTAATAATAGCCATTCTCATTGGTGTGAGATGGTATCTCATTGTGGTTTTGATTTGCATTTCTCTAATGATTAGTGATGTTGAGCATTTTGTCATATGCTTTCTGGCCACATGTATGCCCTCCTTTGAAAGTGTCCGTTCATGTACTTTGTGTACGTTTAAATGGGATTGTTTGTTTTTCACTTGTTGATTTTTTTAAGTTCACCAGATGCACTGTGCTGGGGTTCTGTGATAGTCCCTAATTGCTGTGCACCCTCCCAAGCCTGAGAGCAGCAGGAGGGAGGGTTGCGAGACAGCAAAAAGGTGGACTGCCTCTCTCTTTGGGAGCTGCATGCCGGAGAAGTGTAGAGCTGCTCCCAGCTGGAGAACTCAGGAGGACTAGGGTGGCCTCACTAGCATCCCAGGCTAGTGGGCCTTATCCTACAAGGTTCAGTGGTGGTGAGGTCTGCAGTCTATCACTGCTCAGCCCCATGGACTTGGCCCCTTTTCTGGGGAGCGTGCAAGAAAACTTGGCCTTCCCAATTGCTGGAGCTGCAGCCCCTGGTTTTGGGGTACCCAGGGAACAAATGCTACTGGGACTCCACACCTACCTAAGAAGCAGCTCTACCCAGACTCCACATGGCTCTCTGTTTTGGTCTGGAGACCCCAGCTGGGGTATCTCCTGAGCCCAGGGATTCAAAGGTTCGTGGCAGAAATATGCATCCCACGGGACTCTCACTCACTCACCATTTTCTTGTAGGGGGATTCCCCTGGGTCTGTGCCACTCCTGGGTGAATGGCTGATCTGTCTCACTCTTCTCCGTGATCCGAAGGTCACACTATGTCACTGATGAATCCTTATGTGTCCACCTGGATGTTCCGGTTGAAGAGCTAGTGTCTCACCACTCTTTCTGCTATTTGTGAGAGTGGCACACACTAGCTGCTTCTAGTCAACCATCTTGGCCCCACCTCACTCACTTTTCTCAAGTAATCAAAGACCTAGTAAAAGAGAGCATAAAGCATAAGAAATTACCTTGATAAACAAAAAATCTTGGTTTATTAGGCCAGTTATCTAAAAGGTAGAGAAAACATTTCACTATTTTCTATTAAGAGCAGGTCAATACTCAAAGAAAAGCTTGTTGTTTCAGCACAGGGGACAAATTTCAAGTTTTCCATTCCTGTACTTTTGATAATAATGCTCAAGTTTTCAGAATATTTATAAATAATTTCCTTTTAACTTTAGCCAACTTGGTCACACATAAAATTCTTTTCACAAGATTAATCTTCCACAAACTTTCTATAAATTTGTCATCCAGTTATCTTATTCAGTTTTTGTCTATATTTTTTCTCTTTTTCTTTTTGGAACAGTAAGACATTCTACTTTTAGACAAAAAATACTCTCTTTTTCCCTTAACAAAAACACAACCTCTTACTTATAACTTTCTGTATGTGTTTTCCTTCCCTCGCGTACAGATTTGTTTCCCTTCATTATTTCTAGTTTAAATTACTCTAATATTAATTTTAATTAACTCTTAGTAACCTTAATTTCTAGTGAAAATTAGTAAGCATTTTGAAGTGCATCATGTTAGTATTTTGCAGATGAACACCATCTCATAAAATAATTTTTATGCCTTTAATTAACAGGCCCAAATATGTTTAGCTTTTCCATAACATGTGAAACCAAGATGCCAAATTACGTATATTTTAAACTTCTGTTAAGCAATTGATATTTCAGTATTTTCCTTAGAAATGACTCAAATATTAAATCAGTAAAGTGTTACTTAATTTAATATAACATGATTTTAAGATTTCAAGTCACACTAAATTATTTTTGAAATTCTGACAACTTTATTATCAACCTTTTGTCAATGTATATTCACCTAATTCACTTGTTCTTAACAATTGTGCTTCAGTTCCTCCTTAAACACAACGATGAGTGGATTTATAGCTTTAAGACATTCATTATACATCTCAGTAATAGCAAGCTTGTTTCACCAGTAACTTTAGGTTTAAAAACTGTATCTGTACATTGTAATTAATGCTGACAATTCTGAAAATATTTGTTTTTATTTTGCCAACAAATTTTAAAACTAGCTTTGTCTGCCAAAGATTATTTCATCACATAAGCCAAAAGGCAATTGAGTTTCTGTTTTTCTGAGAGAATTCTTAGTTTAAACACTTATGTTTTCTCTGTAAGCCAATTAAGTAGAGCCGTTTATGAATTTTGGTAGAAAAAATTGTACATACGCACACACACACACACACACGTAGAAAAATACAGACAGAGGAAGAACTTACAACTTGCATTAAGAATTGTTATTTGCCTGGCTTGCAAGTAGTTTTACTCCCTCTTTCAGACTATCTGTCTTTTAATGATCTGTTCAATTGGCCCATAAACAAGTGTTAGTTAGGCCACCCAAAATTTGTACTTCCAAAGAGATGATTTTTAGGTGAAGGAATGTAGAAAATTTAAATCTCAAAGGTACAGAACTTAAACACCACTATTTGTTGAGATGAAAAAAAGCATATATAGGAAGCCTTCAAAATGAAATGGTCAAGGGTGAGTTTACACAGATAGATAGATTTAGGTCTCTTCCTTTTGCTTTGTGAAAGCATCTAGTGTTTAGGTGTCAGAGAGGGAGATATCCTTACAAAGCAGAGATTATCATTACAGGTTTACATTTCTTACAAAGAGTTTCAAAATAAACAGGTAAATGCCAAAAACATATATTTTGGAGACGGATTAATTCACTAGTTGGTCTATTCAACTTAACTTGTTTCCTAATGAGATTAAATTCATGCACAAATAACCAAACCAAAAATTAAACCAAAAGAATACTCACCAGAAAGGATGTCCTTTACAAGAGCAGATCCCCCAAAATGTAAGAGTTCACTGAAAAGGTGGGAGCTCAAACCAAGAGAGGACTTATCTCGCAGCATAAAGACAACTTGTACAAGTGAAGATCACAATAGGCTCAGGTGAGTATCATACACAATTTCAAGTATCGCCAGATACTTGAAAGCCTTCCAAAGGCTTTCTTTGTTACTGTTTGGATAACAGTGCTGTAACTGTAAGTAACAAAGAAGGCTTGGAGCCTTTGCATCTTGCTTCTGACATTAGATTATGTCAACTTAAACAACAGAGATACTGACTCTCTAAAATAAAGAGTGGAGTGTATTCAGGAAATAGCAGTAAATTGCAATTTGAAATACACATGCTATGGTGGACCTTAGGCACCAAAGAAGCTGAGGGACTGTATTAGTTTGTTCTAGCACAAAGAACTACCTGAGACTTGGTAATTTATAAAGAAAAGAGGTTTAATTGACTCATGATTTCATAGGCTGTACAGGAAACATGATTGGAGGAGGCCTCAGGAAACTTACAATGATGGCAGAAGGCAAAAAGGAAGGAGGCACGTCTTACATGGCCGAAGCAGGGGGAAGAGGGCAAAGGGGAAATACCACACACTTTTCAACAAGCAGGTCTCATGAGAACTCACTATCACAAGAACAGCAAGGAGGAAATCCACCCCCATGATCCAATCGCCTCTCACCAAGCCCCTCCTCCAACATTGGGGATTACAATTCGACATGAGATTTGGGTGGGGACACAAATCTAAACCATATCAGGAAGGCAAAAATCTTAAAAGAGAAATTTTATGTAAGTTTTGTAATAAACCTCATGGGCCAGAGAAGCTTGTTACAAGAGCTGGCAAATACTCATTGATAATATTGGCTGTTGCTGGAGAGATGTCTTCATAGAATTATCATATCTAACATTTTCGTGGTTTTTGAGAGAACCATTGCAGCAGTTCTTATTATAGACATATGTACATGAAGGCCCCTCTTTCATGGCCTCCCAGCTTCATTTTTTTATGGTTTGATGTAAGTGACTCCATTTTGGTGCTCACAACTTCCACATTTCTCCCTTTTGGTTGAAATATTTTTCTGAAAGCATTTCACACTTAAAAGATATAGATTGGCCGGGCATGCTGGTTCATACCCATAATCCCAGCACGTTAGGAGGCGGAGGTGGGTGGATCACCTGAGGTTGGGAGTTCGAGACCAGCCTGACAAACATGGAGAAACCCCATTTCTACCAAAAATACAAAATTAGCTGGGCGTGGTGGCACGTGCCTGTAATCCCAGCTACTCAGGAGGCTGAGGCAGGAGAATCACTTGAATCCAAGAGGCAGAGGTTGCAGTGAGCTGAGATCACGCCATTGCACTCCAGCTTGGGCAACAAGAACGAAACTCCATCTCAAAAAACAAAAACAAAAACAAACCAACAAAAAATGAAATAATTGTAAAAACCAACCATAGTTCTCAGTAATGATAGTTTCATTTCCGTCAGCTATTAGTAGAGTTAATTAACTCCTATCAACCTCACATTTTCCATTTAAAAAATACAGGAGAAAAAGTTTGATGTGGGTTTAATGAGAAAACTTATATAAAATAGATCTAACTACTATATTTATCACAAAACAGATGCACAAACTATGTTTTTTTCCTCTCACTTGTTCTTATTTTATATATCATTTTAATTGAGGAAATCATTGAGCATAATGTAACAAATATTTTCATAAGTTATTATAAAGAGGGTTTGAAGGACTTGTTAGAAAGTGTCTGGCAGTGGAAAAAACATCTGAATAGAAAAAGAAAATAGCATGTGAATGCTGAAATAGCGTATTAAATAGCTGCAACTCTAATATAATTTACATTTGGATTTTAGTATAGACAGAATACTTAAATTTATTTCTGCAGTCTTTTCAGTTGTTAAACATTTTATTGAACTCTTCATGTGCCTTTCAGATGTATTGTGCTTCAAGTGTGCTTGTACCAGCTTTTTCTGTTTAGAAATGCTTGAGTGTCTCCATTGTCAAAACGATCAGAAGGCAGTAATTGTATTTCCAATGTGAGGACAAACAATACTAGATATCCTGCGATCCTACATTGTAAAAAATATTCCCATCAAATGCCCCAATGGATAGCCACGTAAGTGATCATCTGTAATTATTTAGTCAAGAAATGAATATTTTACATGTAAATACTTTGAATGGCTTAATACAAACTAAATTTTTCAGAATGCAACCACTACGGAAATTGAAGAGAAAAAGTCTTTTTATTGTAGAAACTTCCCAGAGTCTTTCAATATTTACAAAAATTATGTTGCCAATGGCAATACCTTAGTTATTTGAATCACCAGTAGAACACACTATAAAAACATGCATTGTCACATCTGTACCCTGTCACATCCAGGATAACGATAATATTGAGATATATAACTATTTAGCCCTTATTTTAAAACATCAGGTAACAAGCATCAATCAATTTCTATCAAATGTTTCAACTTGGGTATTACAGCATAAGCAGAAATATACTGTTACCAATATCCCAGCCAATTTCTTTTCCTAATGAAACAATAAAACTGAGAATATAGAGACCATTTAGTAAAGCTGATATATATATATGTTTGCATATGTGTGTGTGTGTGTGTGTGTGTGTATATACATATAAATGTAATTAATACAGTAGATGAGGTCAAAGAAGCAAGTGATACACAACTTTTAATTTGGATGGGATGTCCTTGAAGATTCCTGTATTAGTCCTTTCTCACATTCCTATATGAAAATACCTGAGACTGAGTAATTTATAAAAGAAAGAGGTTTAATTGACTCACAGTTCCCTATGACTGGGGAGGCCTCAGGAAACTTACAATCGTAGTGGAAGGTGAAAGGGAGGCAGGCACTTTCTTCACAAAATGGCAGGAAAAAGAAGGATGGGAGGAGGAACTTGCCGAACAGTTGTAAAACCATTAGATCTCGAGAGAACTCACTCACTGTCATGAGAACAGCTTGGGAGAAACCACCTCCATGATTCAATTACCTCCACCTGGTCTCTCCCTTGACATGTGGGGATTATGGGGTTTACAATTCACCATGAGATTTTGAGTGGGGACACAGCCAAACCATATCAACTCCTAAATCTTAATACACTTTATTACTAGCTGATATGATTTGGATCTGTGTCCCTTACCAAATCTCATGCCGAATTGTAATCCCCAGTGTTGGAGGTGGGGTCTTGTGGGAGGTGACTGGATCATGGGGGCAGATTTCCCCCTTTGATGCTGTATCATGATAGCGTCCTCATGAGATATGGTTGGTGAAAGTGTGTGGCACCTTTTCTCTTCCTCTCAGTCCTGCTTCTGCCTCGCAAGATTCGTGCTTCCACTTTGCCTTCTGCCATGAGTAAAATCTCCCTTTAGCCTCCCCAGAAGCAGATGCTGCTATGCTTCCTGTTCAGCCTGCAGAACTGCGAGCCAATTAAACTTCTTTGCTTTATAAATTACCCCATCTCAAGTGTTTCTTTATAGCAGCAGTGTGAGAACAAGCTAATACACTAGCCTTCTTGAATACATCTTAGCAAGCTCTCGAGCAGCGTAACGACATAGATTAGAGAAGGCCAAAACTGACAGATTCCCATCTTGACCAAAGTTTAATCATTCTTCTCCAGTCCCTCTTCTCAGGCCCAGTTTAACAAAGACGCCTGCTAAGCCAGTTCACTGAGAATCACTTCGCCCTGGATATCTTATCACTTTGGCATGCCTTTAGCAATAATGCAGTTTAGCAAGAACCCCGCTCCCCGCCACCCCACCCCCCGCCACCCTTAATATCTAATTAGTTTCTATCCACTGACTCACTCCCTCAGCTCTTTGCTTATAAATTTCCAGCTCCATGCTGGGAGAAATTTTAGTTCAATCTCTCTCTACTATAGCTATATTATTCCCCCATTGCTATAGTCCTGAATAGTCTTCCTTGCTATTTTTAACAAGCAACCAGTGTACACGTTTCCTTTTGACAAAACATAGTGTCCATATGTAGAGGGAAGAGGAAAGCTAACAAAATATAAAGTCATCCAAACCACACACACCTTGGACAAGCTTATCATGTGTGGGAATAAAATGCTGGAGGTGGGTTTGGCTTCCCAAAAAAAAAAAGTGTGTAGTTTGAAATTTCATATCAAGAACAGTTAAATTCCCAGATTCTTTATCATTACTGAATACCTTAGTAATTATTCTTCATTTAACACAACAGGAAATAGGAGATTTATTTTCTGGAGAGACTTGTCCAATTAAAGTGGGGATATGGTTGCTCCGTTGAGCAGAAATTTGGCTTATATAGACCCAAAGCTCAGAAAAAGAGTTATAGATCTAAAATGACAATCATTGAGACAATAAAGTCCATGGAAACCACGATGGGAAGCATCTACGTGGAAATAAAAAGTTGGATTTTCAGTAGAGAAATTGGTAACAATGTAAATTTCCTCTTAATGTCAGGTGAGAACTAATTCTGAAGTCAGAGGAGGAAAGTAGCCTACAACAAAGAGTAAGATCATCTTGACAGGATCAGGGAGAAAGATAATAGTTGCAAATGGAGACAGGTATATTGATTTAGTGCCAGGTAGTTGAAAGACTACGAGTATAAAGACTTATATTTTCTCTGTGTTGCAGTAGCAAAGTCATCTGCAGAGAGAGAGAAGTGAGAAGGGAGAAGAGAGTGTCAGAAATTAGAGGATTGTAGAGATTGAAAAAGTTATGTCAGGCACAATTGAAAACCCGGTTTCCAATGGTGATCATTGTCTTAAAATATTATCAGTTTGTTTTCTTGCATGGCATTCTTCAGCAGCAGTCATGGACTGAGAAATATGCAGAAATCAGATAGTTGAGTTCATCTAGAGAAGAGGTTGCAATGTGCTTCTAAAAAGGACAAAACCAAAAGCAACCGAGGGGGAGAGAGAGAGAGGGAGAAAGAGAGAGAGAAAAATGAAGATGTGAAAGGGGATAGGTCAAAACTCATTAATTTTTTTTAAGCAAAGGGCCAGATAGTAAATATTTTTATTTTGTGAGCCATATTGTCTCTGTAGGAAGTACTCAGTTCTCCCATGTTCTGCAAAAGCAACCATGGACAATAAGAAAATGTGGCTGCGTTCCAATAAGAATTTATTTAAAAAATAGGTGATGGATTGTATTTAGCCCAAGGGAAGCAGTATGTCAATTCTGGTTTTATGTTACTGGCAATTACATTTTAAAATATTCAGTAATTGAATCTACAATATCGATTCCCAACTATTGCTGCATATTAGTATCATAATAGAATGCCAGGTCCCAGAGACACTGGGTCAGCCAATCTCAATTGGGGCCAAGGCACTCATATGTATCTTTGGAACCTCCTCAGGCAATTCTAACATAAAGCCAGTGTTGAGAAGAGCCATTGTTAGTTTGCTTGTGGGAGTAACTGACCGCAGGAGGATCATAATGCTATAGGCAAAGGCTGAGGCACCAGTGGATTGAAAGTCCTAGTGAGGCAGGAGAACAGCTGCAGTGGGAATTGTTGCCACACTGAACAGACAGGAGATTGATCAAAGAGTGGTGTGCTTATTTAGTCATTTAAGAGGAATATCATGTTTTGTCATTATACATTTCATGGGTTTGGTAAGCAGCCTCTAAAATTGCTCCATGTCACTTGTACCCCTGGTAGAGGTAACTCCTTGAGGAATCTTCTACTCTGTTGTCCTAGTTGAATTTATCTCACTTCACTATCAAATAGACTGTGGCAGAAGTGATGGATATCACTTCCAACATTAGATTGCACAAAGACTGTGGCTTCTGTCTTGGGAATCCTCTCTCTCTCTTTCATTGTAAGGGAAGCTGACTTCTATGTTGGGCGCTGCCTATTAAGAAGTCCACATAGCACGGAGCCAGTGTCACCAGTCACAGCCAGCAAGGAAGGACCTGGGGACTGCCCCCAGCCACATGATTAATCTTAGAAGTGAATCTTCCCTAAGTAAGGCTTTTAAATGATGGCAGCCTTATGAGAGTCCTTGAGCTAGAGGGCCTTACTAATTCTGATATAGTTCTTGACCCAGAGAAGTTGGCATAATGAATGTTTGTTGTTTTAATCCACTAAGTTTTGGAGGTAATATGTTAAGCATCAACAGATAACTAATAAAAGGAGTGATTCTGAGCAAGAAAGGCTTAAGTGGAGGGAAGCTAAGGTCGAATAGTTTATGAATATCATCCTGTAAGAATACAGGGCTTGGAGCTTTGAAGGTGGGAGCAGAAAAAAATTTATGTAAGCTTGTCATTAACAATATGACTAAAAAAGTTCATTATACTGAAGGATAAATGCTTACATGTGCCTCAGAGAATAGATGTTTTTATTCCCGGGAAGAAAGATAAACTTTTTCAAAAAACATAAAGATTAAGTAGGATGCAGTTTCCAGCTTTGGATTCTGACATTCAGGACATGGGGAGGGTGATGAGCTTCTCCTGGAGGACTGAATTTAGGACACAATCAAGTTCATGATGGAAGCCCTTATGAGGTAGAGAGGGAGTGCATCTCAGCTCTTTCGATTAATTAAATGATTGCTTGAATTGGAGAAGGTGTGGGTATTTTGTGTTGTTTGGGTGAGTACATTGGAATGGTTTTCTAGCATTCCTTTGAGATTTTCCACAGTATAAGTTAAGGTAAAAGAACATTTTTACTTGTTTCAGAAAGCATACTGAGGAAGCTTTAATGTTACTATTAAGTAGGTAGGGAAATGACCAATATTATAAACGCAGATTTCCAGCCTCTCCTTTTAATGCTTTCAGAATGATTCCACAAGAACCTTGAAAATGTTGAGTATTTATATTTATTTTATGCCCTTTTATTGTGATTTTTTTAATAAATAACATTTTTTTGGTAAATACTGGAAGTTAATATTCTATAGTTCAGAAAAGCAATTTTGAACACTCAACTAGTGAGCCCATATAAAACTACATAACAGCACAGAATATAGTAAAATAATAATATAATGAACTGGGAGACAAACTAGGCACTGTGTGCCAAGTTTTTCAAGGAAGATACAATTTCAATACCAATGAAATAAACTCCCACAAATTGATTTTTCTTTGTGTGCACTCATCAGTGTAAATACAATTAAGTAATAAAGCCTGTACTTGTTCAGGAAAGATGTTTTCTATTCATAGTCTGATATCTGGGTGCTTTGGTTTCTGATAATTTGTTATGTAAAAACCCTGCAAATTAAAAAAAAAAAAATCAGCAGCTCCAAGTTCATGGGCCCTTATCACAGAGGATTTAAAACCTGTGCATTTTCTTTAAACTGAGAATATTATTACATTTTTTAATCCAGTGATGAGACCATAATAGTTTTCTGAAATAATTCAGAATAATTATATACCTAAAAGTTAATTTGCATGTGCTGTAATTTAAATAAAAGGACAGTTAATTTTTGCATTACAAAACATGAAAAATAAAATCAAACGTTGCATCTTTACTTTTATTACATAAATTCCTTTACATTGTAGTGCCCCCTAGCACCACGCAAGTTTATAAACTGCTTTCAATATTAATTATGTTATTATAATAATAACTAATTTAAGAATGTATTATTAAAGTCAGTAATTTAATAATAATAATTTCAATAATATATGTGTCACAAAAATACCTGAAATTACAATTAGTATGTCCGGTTTACTGATGGGAATACTGTGGCTCAAAAACATCATCTCAGGCAGGGTGTGGTGGCTAACTCATGTAATCCCAGCACTTTGGGGGTCCAAAGCAGGTGGATCGCCTGAGATCAGGAGTTTGAGACCAGCCTGGCCAACATGGTGAAACCTCATCTCTACTAAAGTACAAAACCGGTCCGGCATGGTGGTGCACACCTGTAATCCCAGCTACTCGGGGGGCTGAGGCAGGAGAATCACTTGAACCCATGAGGAGGAGGTTGCAGTGAGCCAAGATCACACCACTGCCCTCTAGTCTGGGTGACAGAGCGAGAGTCCTTCTCAAAAAAAAAAAAAAAAATCATCTCACCCAAATCATGTAGCTACAAAGTTATGGTTTAGAATAATTCAACTATTTTACTGAAATCAAAACTTTTACTATTAACCAATCAGTTACACTCAGCTTTGTGTAACTGAATACCAAATAACATCATGTTCCAGTAATTTTCATTTGAGTGAGAAGGGAGCACACTGGTACCCTGGACACACCCAGATACACTAAATCAGAACCTCTAAAACTTGGTGACTGTAAAAATAATTTTATTCTGAGTCTGAAACATATGCTCCGTGTTTCTTAGCAAGTTTCTGCAGCACAGGAGTCAGGTGAGGGAAGGTAGCGCCCCACTCCTGGTTATGGAAGGCAGAGGGTGAGTTCTGCTGCACATATGAAGCTATGGAGAGAGCAAGACTGCATAGGAGCAGGGTACAGTCTCTGGATATAGAAGACAGATAAACCTGGGTTATAGTTGACCCAGTGGAAAATTATAGGCCAAGAATAAGTTTCCAGATACCTTAATAGAACTGGGCATTTGATAAATTTTGAAAGTTCTCTGATAACTCGTATGTGCAGTGTAGGCTAAGAACTCACGGAAACAATATAGACATTTTTTGCCTCTCAGGGATATGCAGACACCCCAGTTCAGATATGATGTCTTCATGATCATCAGAAATCCAGATGGCTATTATCTTGTTGCTTTGCACCTCCAAGTACTGCTGCTTCTCATGTTGCCCCATGGCTGCCCCAGATCTAGCCATCAGAGCTGCCTTTCCAAGAAGGAAGAAAGCACAGAGATAGGACATGCCCCCTGCATGTAAGTCAGCTTCTCAGAAGTTACACGCGTTACTTCCCCTTACACAACATAGGTCAGAAATTGGTCACATGTGTCATGCCCTATGTTAAGAAAAGATTGGGAATATAGCATTTATTCCTGGTGATCATGTGTCCGGCTAAGCATTAGAGGACATTTTTACTGATGGCGAAAGGGTCAATGGAGATTGCAGTGAACCAGCCATCTCTGTCCAATAGGCACTTTATTTGGTGACGATAATTATAGGAAAGGTAGCACCAGACAGTTTTAATTCATTGAAGTTATTTTGGGTTTTTCTTGTTAATTTGTTTGTTTGCTTATTTGTTTTATCCTTCAGAGAAATGCTAGAAATTTAGTAATTAAATTAAATATTTCATTGAACACAAAAGCATAACATTATGGAAAAGAGTAACTGTTGTTTGGTTTTATTTATATATGTTAGTGTTTATACTGACTAATCTCACCAATGGAGACAGACAATTTCTAAGATTTATTATAGGCATTGTGTTTGGATCTTTCTTTCAGAAAAGTAAAAATCAGCTTAACCCAAAAATTATTTTAATAATAATTGGCATATCCAGCTTCATCCATGTCCCTACAGCGGACATGAACTCATACATTTTTATGTCTGCATAGTATTCCCATGGTGTATATGTGCCACATTTTCTTAATCCAGTCTATCATGGATGGACATTTGGGTTGGTTCCAAGTCTTTGCTATTGTGAATAGTGCCGCAATAAACATATGTGTGCATGTGTCTTTATAGCAGCATGATTTATAATCCTTTGGGTATATATCCAGTAATGGGATGGCTGGGTCAAATGGTTTTTCCAGTTCTAGAAGCTGGAAACCATCATTCTGAGCAAACTATCGCAAGGACAGAAAACCAAACACCGCATATCCTCACTCATAGGTGCAAATTGAACAATGAGAACACCTGGACACAGGGTGGGGAACACGACACACCAGAGCCTGTCGTGGGGTGGGAGGAGGGGGCAGGGATAGCATTAGGAGATGTGCCTAATGTAAATGACGAGTTAATGGCTGCAGCACACCAACATGGCACATGTATACATATGTAACAAACCTGCACATTGTGCACATGTACCCTAGAACTTAAAGTATAATAAAAATAAATAATAATTGGCATATCCAGAACCCTTTGCTGTCTTCTGCTACATTTGCACAAATTCACAGCTATTTGAATACCAGTCATTGTCAATCCTGGTCCTCTTTGAAAATACTGTTCCTTAGTTTTGCTCTCTGCCTAATTTACTTGGATTGAGGGGAAACCCAGGAATCAGTTGATTTGAGTACGTAGCCAATGTTGTAAAGAACTAATTGCTTTAACTTCTAATAGAAAAATATCACTATTTTTTTTAAAAAGTTACATAATTCATGTGTAGGAACATAATCCTTTTAGCCTAGAAGTAAAAAATGATATAGTCTTGCCCTATAGCACTGATCATGGCCATATATAATTTATAATAACCAAAATAATGACAATATTTTGGTACAGCATGCTCTATTAATTTGAATGCTCACGAGTTAACACATAATTCAATGTGATATGTATTAGGTTATAGAAAACCATGAGGTAAAAATCATAGGCTGCATTGAACTTTCTACTTCCCCAACTTTGCCTCATTATAGGGAGGGATGCAGCCCTAGAGTTCAAGAATTCCATAAAGACCAACCTGAAATTCTGGTGCCTGGCATCTTGTCACACCTTCTTCCAATACACAAACATCAAGGAGTGTAGAAGTTGAACATGGTCTGTTGTCACTGCCTCAAAGAATCCACTTCTAGCTTGTTCACACTAGGGTGTGAACATTTAAAGAGGGTAGGGAAGAACCACCTGGGTGGATTTTCACTGGGGATCTTATAATAAACTCTCAAAATCCCAGATTGAGACAAGGGAAGGGATGCTCAGTCGTATGTAATTAGGAAAAAGAGAGGGATTTTGAACCCACCCCTGCATCATCTAAGTCAAATAGAGCCAGTGTAACTGTTGGGACCGTTGCAGGTAGGGTGTGCTAGGTACCAAGCCGCAGTTAGGTAACCAATGACTTTTACAAGCTTATTTTCATCTCAGTACACCACATGCTTCATGTGCCACGTGCATGTATGTAAGTTACACATCTAAGATTATATTATTGGGTTACACTACCATGAATTATCTAAGGAAAACAGAATGATCATCATTGTGTGTGCAAAGACGACTTCTGAAATTAATACCAACAAGAGATTTCTTCTTTGCATATTTTCAAGCAGAAAGTGGACTAAATTATATCATTGGAGCATGACGTCTCAAAAAATATTTATTGCCAAATAATTCTTTACTGCTAAAAATTATTTATTGCATGAAATAGAAAAGATCTGAGACTGAAACTTCCATTTAAAAACATGATTTAAAAAAATAGAGTAATTACATAACAATTATGAAACTCAGATGCCAGAGTCAGAAATCAAGAAATTAACTATGTCAAGCAATTACAATATGATTACAAAGGCCCTTATATATTCATACAAGCTTTTTGCATTTTTTGAGCTAATTTTATGAAAAACATCAAAAGCCAGAAAACTAATGCTTAATGTATATTTTAAGGCCAAGAACAATATAGAAAAATTAATTTTCTCCTTAAAGTTTTTTAAGATATTTAAAGTAAACATTTTAAAAATTATTTAATCTGTGACCCAATTTGAATCACTTTGCTCTTCAGATTCCGATGTCTCCACAAAAATTCCGATGTCTCCTTGAAATTAGCTGATACATTATAAGAAATGAATGACTGTCCTGTCCTATTTGGGATACACATAAAAGTTACCCCAAAGGTTTAATTAGATAGTGAAGTACAAAAATACAGATTTGTAAAATATTACATATATAAACAATATAAATCTCTATTTTGACAAGTGACTTGATAAACTAGGTTAAATAATTGTTAATAGAGTTGAGTAAAGGCAGTGATGTTGGTAAACTAGTGATCCAAATGAAAAGAAAGTCGGCTGGGCACGGTGGCTCACGCCTGTAATCCCAGCACTTTGGGAGGCCAAGGCGGGTGGATCACAAGGTCAGGAGTTCGAGACCAGCCCGGCCAATATTGTGAAACCCCGTCTCTAATAAAAAATACACAAATTAGCCCAGCGTGGTGGCATGGTGCCTGTAGTCACAGCTACTCAGGAGGCTGAGGCAGGAGAATCGCTTGAACCAGGGAGGTGGAGGTTGCAGCGAGCTGAGACCACACCACTGCACTCCAGACTGGGCAACAGAGTGAGACGCCATCTCAAAAAAAAAAAAAAAAAAACCAGAAAAAAAGAAAGTTTTGATACATGGTGTATGCTGCATGTATGTAAGTTACACTCAAAGAGTAAGTCCTCCCACCATAGCTGTTTTCAAGTTATTACCATTTCAAGATACTAACTCCTGTGAATAGGAGGGTGAAGTCTTTAAATTACAGGAAATTGCAATAAAAGCCTGAGGCAAAGATATTTCAAGGGTTTTGGTTAAACAAAAGACACATTGGCTGGCATGAACAAGAGGAATCCACTATTGAAACCATCTTAGTCAATGGCAGGAAGACAGTGTTATGAGTCTACTGGTTACAGAAAATCTTTGTTTTAAAAACTCAGGTTTATCGAATTAAAATTTATATATGCCAAAAGTCATCTTTTTAAGTATGCAGTGTGTTGAAAACATAGATGGTTATATAACAAATACCATCCTCAAGATATAGAACAGTAACATCACCTAGAAAAATTCCCTTTTGTGCCTTTTGAATCAGTATTTCTGCTGCCCTCAGTCTTTGGAAATCGCTGTTCTTTGTCCCTATGGTTTTATATTTTCTAGAATGTCATACACAAGGGAGCAAACAGCATCCTGAATAGGCCTTTAAATCTGGCTTTTAAAATAGCATAATAAATCTGAGACACATTCATGTTGTTATGTTATCAGATTTGTTTCTTTTTCTTCCTAATGTGATATTAAATAGATACAGTATATAACTTTTTGACTATTCACCAGTTTTTGAAATTATGAATCATATGGTTAAAGTCACCAACAGATATACATATGTATATTACATATATGTATAATAATGTATGTATATATAATATATGTATATATATATATGTATATATACATATATGTATATAGTATACATATAAATCAGTGGATTCTTCAATTTTTTTATTGTCAAAATGATTTTTCCATTATAATTCCTTTGCTTCTCTGTTGAAAGTTTTAGAATGAGCTTGTTTGTTAGTTGCAAATATCCTGTTAGGAATTTTAACTGGATTGAATTTTTGTATTGAATTTTTTGTTTGGTTTGAACAGAATTAATTTATTGTCAATATTGGCTACCAAGCTCTTTACTTATTTACTTCTTCTTTGATTTCTTTTACCAGTGTTTTTTTAGTTTTTGTTACCCTTTCTCCATGTTTTTTTAGATTAAGAATTTAATGTTTCTTGTGCTACTTTAAATGTAACTTTAAAAAATTCTAATTTCCAATTGTTCATTAATAGTGTTGTAAAGTAGCGGGTCCCCCACCAGGGAATTTAAGGGCATATGTTGACTGCTTGAGTCCTGAAGGCTAGATGGTGAGCAAAGTTCATGGTGCTCAGCCGAGGAGCAGATGTCCCTGAAAACCAAAACATCCGGGAGCATATCTAGGTACATACCAAGAAGAACAGTTTCATCACATGTAGTAAGCAAAGAGCCAGAAAAGTAGCTTTGGCCGGGCGCGGTGGCTCATGCCTGTAATCCCAGCACTTTGAGAGGCCAAGGCGGGCGGATCACGAGGTCAGGAAATCAAGACCATCCTGGCTAACGTGGTGAAACCCCGTCTCTACTAAAAATACAAAAGATTAGCCGGGCGTGGTGGAAGGCGCCTATAGTCCCAGCTACTCGGGAGGCTGAGGCAGGAGAATGGCGTGAACCTGGGAGGCGGAGCTTGCAGTGAGCCGAGATCCCGCCACTGCACTGCAGCCTGGGCGACAGAGCGAGACTCCGTCAAAGAAAAGAAAAGAAAAGAAGAAAAGAAAAAAAAGAAAAGAAAAGAAAAGAAAAGAAAAGAAAAGAAAAGAAAAGAAAAGAAAAGAAAAGAAAAGAAAAGAAAAGAAAAGAAAAGAAAAGAAAAGTAGCTTAAAAGCAGCTTAGAGGAAGATGGTGGGCAGCAGGCGGATCTCTGGAGTTATCCCGCTGCCCTTTACGTAAGTCCTAATAAACTCGTCTTCTCATGAAGCTGGACTTGTCTGAGTCCTTCTTTGTTATTTCAGCACTATCTCTTTGGCAGAGGGATGTTCTTCTACACAGGTCTGGGTTTTTCCTGCAACAATTATATATAAAAAATAATTCTGTATATTAACATTATAGTGTTATAGTGCATAGTGTGAAATTACAAAACTCACAATTTATTTCTAGTAGCTTCACTTTTAATAATTTTAATTATTTTGTACTCACAATTTATTTCTAGCAGCTTCACTGCTAATAATTTTAATTATTTTGTACATAATGGAATACTGTGCATAGACCATCCACGAATCAAATAGAGTTTTATTTCTTCGTATCCAATTTGTATGCCTTTTGTTTATTTTTCTTACTTTAGTACACTGGTTAAAATTTGCAGTATACAGTTAAATAGTTCTTGAGGACAGGTTTCCTGTACTTCTTTTCTTCGTGCCTGTGTATAACGTATATTTAACTATATAATACATACAACACAACTATGTTTGTCTTCATATAATTTTTTACCTTTTTTTTAGTTTGTTTACGTAGCCCCTATATCTCTAGAAATGTTTCTTGGATTTACGATTTGATTGCCTTCACTTCTTTTGGAAAATTCTCATTCATTTTGTTTTTAAGTATTTATCATCCTTGTTCTCTTTCATGAATCCGTTCAAGTTAGGCATCCAGAGCTGTCCTTCAGCTCTTGGATGCCATGTTCTGCTATTTATCACTCTTCTTGTTTCTTACTTGTATTTGTTATTCAATTTCTATGTTTTTTATCTTCAACTTTACTGTTCCATTCTTTATTCATATCAAGTCTTCTGATGAATTACTTCATTGGTGTTTGCATTTTGAGGTAGATACAACAGTATATCTATTGAGACATTAATTAGTGCAATTAAACCGAAGTTTAACACATTTTAAGTAAAAATTTATCCCACTATCGCATAAAACTTGTGAAAGTTAAAGTCATCAGCACTTAATATTGTCTGTCATGCGAGGCAATCGGCACTCAAGTGGCAAATGCACTCATTTAACTCTAAATTGGTACTTTAGTTAATCTCTCATATTGATTTTTTAACCCTTAAACACTGGCAAAGAGAAGCATACACCTAAAGAGAGATTTTTTACATTATTGTTTATTTAGTTAGTTTTTAGAAACAAGGTCTCCTCTCTCTCCCAGGCTGGAGGGCTGTGGTGCAATCACAGCTCACTGCAGCCTCAAAATCCTGGGCCCAAGCATACCTCCCACCTCAGCCTCCCAAGTAGCTTGGATTACAAGTGCCTGCCTCAGTACCCGGCTACTTTTAAAACATTTTTTGATACACATAGAGTCTCAGTTTGCTGCTCAGGCTGGTCTCAAACTATTGGTCTCAAGCAATCCTCTTGCCTCAAGCTTCTAAAGTGCTGGGATTACAGGTTAACCAGGACACCTGGCCGAGAGGTTATTTTTTGTTGTTTTAATTTCTTTATTTAATAGTCTGTGTATTTAAATTTTGTTGACAATAATCTTAACAGCAACAATAGTATCTACTTGAAAGGTATGCATTCTATATATAATTCCTTAGATATAAATTTAAGTATAAATATTTGAAAACTCTTTAATTTTTTAATATTGTGTCCCATTTCTTAAAAAAGAGAGAAGCTATATTAACTTTTGAATTCAGTACACAGTTAACAGTTCTTTCATTTAATATGTGATAATATAAATTTAACAGTGAAACTTTCAAATACTCATATTAACTTACCCTGATAGATTTTATAGCTTTAATATAAAACTTCTCATAAATGTAAAATTTGACAAAGCACAATATTCTCCAGGAAGTTAGAAAAGTAATATAATTTTCTGTCTCTCAGAATGTGTTTTCTAACCTCTAAATATAAATTGATGGACTAATCTTTTAAAATTCAGAATCAAATATAATTGCTTTGGTTTGATCATTGAGAATTCTTTTTCCATTCCATCATTTTATAGTTTTTGCCTAAATAAAATACTTAAGGAAGTTATTGTTATGTTGTATTTGAAAGATGCCTGATGGAGAAACATTCATAGTTCTTTTCTATCCTTATGAAAGGTTATATGAAAACATATATATATGTATATATATAAACATGTGGATAAAGTACAGAAAATCCTATCATTGCCTCTGACTCAAATGGTAATCTTTAATATAAAGATTTGAAACTTTCATGGAACAGTATATCAGAACTTTATTTCCAATTTGTTTATGTATACTTAACGTATATCCTAAGTATCAAGAAATCACATTCAATTAACATATACATTATAAAACAATTCCTATATGATAATTCTAATAAGTAAACATGATTTTAGTGGTAGTAATTATTCAATCAAATATTCATATTTTAAAGATTAAATCTTCATATTTTAAAGCACATTACATCAGTTTACAATTCGATATTGACTACTGGATAGAATTTATCAATGAAATTTTGAATATGGCATGGTTAATGCAGATCATGTGAATTAAATTGCAAGGCAGAGAGCTTTTAAATTAAAAAAATAAGCTGGTTTATAAATCCAGTGCTAGACAGTTAATAAAAGCAATACATATAAATCTCCCAGACACCTCCCAATCTTGGTATTTTGAAATATTTTCCTCTTTTTAATATTATTTAAATAAAAAAATTATCTGCCTTTAAGCAACAAAACATGAACTCTTGGTAGAAAATTCACTAATTGACATAGGTATCTAGACTTATAAACCTGTAAAAAATGTGAAATAGAAGGCATAAAGTATTTGAGTCAATAAATTACTAACTAAATCTTTTTTTTTTTTTTTTTTTTTGAGACGGAGTCTCGCTCTGTCGCCCAGGCTGGACTGCAGTGGCGGGATCTCGGCTCACTGCAAGCTCCGCCTCCCGGGTTCACGCCATTCTCCTGCCTCAGCCTCCCAAGTAGCTGGGACTACAGGCGCCCGCCACTACGCCCGGCTAATTTTTTGTATTTTTAGTAGAGACGGGGTTTCACTGTTTTAGCCGGGATGGTCTCGATCTCCTGACCTCGTGATCCGCCCGCCTCGGCCTCCCAAAGTGCTGGGATTACAGGCGTGAGCCACCGCGCCCGGCCTTAACTAAATCTTTTGATTAAATCAGCTTTATAAAAAAAGTAAACGTAAACACATAAGTCTTTGTATAAGCACCCCTACATTTTTAAAAGTATATTTGCCTTTTCATAAACTCAGTTGAGTAGTGGTAACATTCATCATCACAACTTTTTAGAGGCAATGAAATTGATGTCATTTGAGGTCTTCATCTCATATTTATCTTTTATTTTCTTATTTTGTCATGTTTAGCAAAGGATAGTAAAAGTAGAGGATCATTCAACCCAGAAATACAGGGAAACTGATCCTTGTAAATAGCACCCTTTATAGACTCATGGATATTTTAAGAGCAAGATGTGCTAGAAAGGAAAATAAGGCAATCTCTTAATGCTGTGCCTTTTCTTCCATTACATTTTTAGATTATATATTATCCCTTGTTTATTTCTGTAGCTGGGGAAAATATTTTTATTGAAATAGATTGTTTTTTGAAGTTTGCTATATTAGGTAAAAATAAATACCAAACTTCTCTGTCTTCAGTTTAATAGAAAAAAAAAATCCCTTGTTACTCTGTTTCTGCCTTACTGTTAGTAGAAAGATTTATGATTAAGTAATTTTAGTAGGACAACATTAAGAACAAAAACATGAACCAAAATACTTTTTAAAATAAATATACACATTTTTACTATATATAGACACATATATAAAAGTATATATACATATATGTATATATGTGACTTCAATAACAGGAAAATAGATTTTCCAGATTAACAATCTAAACATCTCATCCATAACAAAAGGTTAGGCTCTATACCAATGCTTGAATGAAAACTGTAATATCATCCATTTAAAAAAATGCCAACACATGCATAATTTTAGGCTGTAAAAATGAAAATATTTCAGAATTGATTAACAAATGGTGGAAGTTAAAGTTGTCTCTTCCCGACCTGCACTTTGTTTTCTGTCTCTTGCCTTTTCTCACATTTTATTTTTCCTTCCTATCTCAACAATATACCCCACCTGCAGTGTGCCCAATGTGGACACATACCTGCTTTTTTCAGGCACTGTTTTGGACAACATTTCCCTACTGAGCATTAAATCACTTTTTCTTAAATACGTACTAAAGATTTCCATGGCTGAAAAGCTAGTTCCACATACATTAATAATCCTTGAAGAATTAAATCAGATACAACCTCTACATCAGCACAATATTTCAAGGTGGTAAGGGAGTGCTACTGCTGGGTTCGTCTTCACTTAATAACTTTATTAATGATGTGGATGAGTGAACAAATATGAAAAGAAAATTTATAGGTATTACATACGTAGATTCTGCAGAAACAAATAGGCTGGAAGGTAATGACTGTAGAATGACCTAGAGAGGTTAAAAAAAGAAAATAGTAGTCCAATATTATTCCACTTTTAAGTAAATGAGACCATTAAGCTCTTTAAAATAACCAGTAAATAAAAACTCAAAGCAATGATAGCTACATCAAAAAGTGAGGGAAGAGGGGAAATTATATGTTGCAATGTTACAGAGTACATTAAAGCATTCAGTATATTTCCTGAAAATTTCATAAGCACAGTTCTTAATGTTTATTCATAAATAAACAAAACCAAACCAAAAGCCATAGTTCATTTGTTTCTAACTAAGAGTACAAATTATTTATGCGGAAAAGTACATATAAGCTCACATAAATAACACGAATAATGTTTTCATTGTGAAGATATTCATAACGTTCAAATGACAAGGTCTTAGGAACTCTGCACCTTCATTAATTTTAATCAATATTTAACAATCAAGATTGTTTTCAATAAATCATGATCTAATAATGAAAGGGGGAAACTATTTGTTTTAACTTTCATTTCAGTTTTACCCTTTACTCACAAGTTGAAATTCATTCTCACTCTTTGCAAACTATTTTGAAACACTTCCAGGTAAAATTCATATAAATATTTTATTTTTCCTAATTTTTGGAAAAATTTTAGACTATTACAATCTGAGTTAATAGCCTAGTTCCTTTGTTGATCCAGTGTAAATAAATATTTCTCTTTTCTTGCTGTATTAAAAAACCCACAGTCTCTATAGCCAAGTCTATATCTATATCGATATCTATCTGTATCTGTATCTATCTATGTGTATCTCTATCGATGTATGCATACACAAATAATATCTGTGGAAGAATTTTTTTTCATGTAGTGTAATATCCACAGCTCTTCTACTTTAACCATAACTCAAGTTAATAACATTTTATTGTCTTTTGTTAGTTTTACCTGGAAAAGAAAGCACATCATATACAATATTATAAAATAGAAATAAAACTAAATATAGTGTTTTAGAAGGTAACAAAGTTTTATGTTTAAGGATATTAAATAAAATCTATTTCTTCCAGTATATTTTTTCACAATCTGTCTTAAATGGAATCTTCAGATATCTTAACAAGTTGACTACTAGATTTTGTAGTGTATTCCAATCAGATATCTATCTGAGGCCACTCTTTTTTTTAATAATCTAGGCTTCTGTAGACAATGTGGAAACATTTTTAAAATGATGACGCCCTCCTTTTCCTTCGTAGCTAAATTAGTACACAAAATTCTAAATATTTCCTTAGTTTTAATAATAATAAAGCAATATAAGATTCACCCTCTGTATTCAATTCTTTGTTACCAATTCTGCTATAATTAGAATTTTTGAAATTCTTAGTTATAACCTTTATTTTTGATAATTGCATTTAAAATGCAATAATAAAGCAAATAATTAAAATGCTAGGAATAAAATTGTCCTTTATTAGTTTATCATAAAGTTCCATAAATTTCAGCTCTCCTTGATTTCTCACTATTCTAGTTCATCAATTTTGTAATTAATCATTAAACATTATTCTTTCTCTATATTAAAAATATTAGCAATTAACAAATCCCTATTTAATATTATATTCATTGTTTTAGTTTGATGCTTTTTTTTTTTAGTGATATGTACAGAAGACAAAAAAATGATGTGCAGCCTTTGTGTTCCATTTATTGTTGCGTAAAATAAAATTTCATCAATCTTGGATAAAAATTCTTAGGCCTATGATTATATTTGAAGGAAACACTAACTTCTGACATGATTATTTAGAACACACATTTTCTTAACTTGTCTTCCATTTTAATGGAGCTATAAATAGCTTTGGCAAATTTTTCTGCTTTGCTGTTAATTTAACTCAGTAGATTTATTGAAATTTTAAGACACCACGTTACGCAAGATTTAGGGTATGTGACTACTCTTTCCTCCTGTGTGGAGGTCGACATTGCCACAGTCTAATATCATAGTTCCCCTAAGTGGTCCCCTCCCAGAAGTGAGTTGCAAGTTCCTGCTGACTTTCAGAATTATTTCTCCATGTTTATGTCATTTTGATGCAAGAGAGGTCAATACACAGGTATGTCATCAAAATAATATTTAGACTATGTCATTCCCACAAAAAACAACTTATATGCCATGTTTTACTCACTACCAAAGTCTTGTTGAATACTACTTGTTTCATTCCTCTAGCCAGGAGACAACCTGGCAGGTATACTGCCTGAGCACCAAGAAGTTATCATATAATTTGCGTTTCACTGACCTCTCTTACCTTGTCAAATTACCCACAATAATTTTGGTAAAGTTGCATCTAACTTGGTATGGACTAAAAATACTTGCGTCGCCCCCAAAATTTGTATGTTAAAACCCTAATTCCACTGAGATGATATTTGGAAACAGGGCCTTTGGGAAATAATTAGGTCATGAGTCTCTCTCTCTCTTTCTCTCTCTCTCTCTCTCTCTCTCTCTCTCTGTCTGGTCTCTCTCTCTGTCTCTTTATGAGGACATGACAAGGAATGGAGGTTTTACCTGTAACCATTGACTGGCACCTTTATCTTGGACTCTCAGCCTCCAGAACTCCGAGAAGTAAATTTCTATTGTTTAAACCAGTCAGTGTATGTTGTTTTTGTTGTTGTTATAGCAGCTTGAATTAAGACACAATTTTCCTAAAACTTAAAAATGTCAGATTGGTGGATAAAATTGTATTTCATTGTGCTTTTTTCTTCAAGCCTTATACCTCTGACTCCAAACTCATAGTAACCAGTGTAAGACATGGTAGAATCTTTCCACTAGTGCTTGGGACACTATTTATAGTATCTACCCAATCTAATTTTAATGAAAAAGTTGAAGGTTGGTATAAAAAAATGTTTATCATCTAGGAGTTCCAGGCTCAATTCAACATACTTGTGATGGTCTCATGTAGTAGCAGTGACAGTCAACTACAAATGGTGCCTGAACAGGGACATTTCAGAGACTATCAGGGACATACAGAGACCTGAAAGGACCTGGAGGGACCTGAAGAGGCCTGCAGGGATAAACAGAGATAAGTGGAGGTAAGTACAGAAAAGTAAGTAGAGATAAGTAAGTAGAGAAAAGTAGAGATAGGTAGGGAAAGACGGGGACTTGCAGGAACTAACAGGTACCATAGGGACAGACAGAGACAGATAGGAATAGATAAAGACTAGCAATATAAGGTCAGTGCCCTGAAGAGGTACTGGTCTGTGTCCTAAAGAGGTACAAAAGTAGAGACTAGCAAAGACTAGGAGAGATTTGGAGGAACAGACAGGGACAGATAGGGACAGATAGGGTCCTATAGGACTAGAGCGAGGAAGGTCTGCTGGAACAGAAAAAAACTAAAACCAACTAGATGAACGAGAAAGCCCATTACAACTCTGTTGGCAGCGACATAAGGTTAGTTCTCTAAAAAGGTACTGGTCAGTGCCCTAGAGGTACAAAGAATGGGAAGTTTTTAAAACAGGGAAACGAGGAAGAATTTGGCTATTTCTTTTCTCTTTTTTGTTTGTTTGGAGTTTTGGTATGTACCATCTTTTTGTTATTTAGAATTTTTTGCCCCACCTACAGTGCCTATCGAAAATGGTGAACAGAAGAGGGAGAATGAAAATTGCCTTGTATCGTCTTCTTTGGTGGCTACAGAAAGGCTAACTTTAGCTTTGGCTTTCATGGATTGTAAACGTGCACTGGCACCTGTGAGATGTGCAGAGGACTTGGGAGGCTTTCTCAGAGCTTGTCAAGATGTGGGAACTGAGCTTCATTGCTCTGCAGTATTGACTCAGGCAATAGCAAATTTGGTGGCTGACAGATCTAAAAGAAGCCAAGGGTCAAGCCCTAAAGTGGGAAAGTGTCATAAGTGTAGAAAACTTGGACGTTTCAAAAGAGAATGCCGTCAGACCTCTGTGAACAAGAGATCTTGTAACATAGTCCCCCTCTTAACAGAAAAAAAATGCCGGACTTTGCCCTCGATGCAATAAAGGAAATCATTGGGCTAATCAACACCACTCAAAATTTCATCAAAACGGCACCCCCCTGTTGGGAAGCAAGAAGGGGGCCTGGACCCGGGCACCTCAAACTATGAGGGCGTTCCCTGTCCAGGCCACAACTCCGTTTCAGGGGTGGGTTTCCAGAGGCACATGGATTCCCTCTCCCCAGGAACACCTGGAAACGCAGGATTAGATCTCCCAGAGAACCAATTACATTAAATGAAAGAAACAAACTCACTAAGATTCACATTGGTATTTGGGGATCTTTGCCAACAAGATACATGGGATTGATTTTGGTAAAAGCTGTCTTAACTTACAGGCCCAGGAGTTGTTGATTTTGATTGTGAAGGAGAAATTCAGGTAGTGGTAATGTCACAAGATCTTTGGGTTTTTGAACTGGGAGAATATGTTGCTCAATTTTCGCTTCTTCCCTGTAAATTGTACCCTTCTCCACATAAGAAGAAGCGAGGTGGTCAGGGATTTGGAAGTGCAACTAGGAGAGAGATTTATCTATCACCACCCATAGCATCTAGTGGACCCACCTGTACAGTGCAAATTGAAGGTTTAAGGACTGCTTTTTGCTATACTGTTTTACGAGAAGGATAAGCCTCGATTTGCTTTCTCTGTGCCGTGTGTTAATCAGAAAGAGCCTGCTTCTTGTTCTCAGTGGAAAGTTTTACCCCACGGCAATTAACCAAAGAGGCAGAAGCTGAGTTACAAATGTTTCAGCAATGGCGTGCCTCCCGGCTACAGCAAAAAAAATAAAAAATAAATAAAAAAGAAAACACTTTTGATTCTGTTTGGTAGATTTACTAACGTGGGGACGAGGGTATACTTACGTCTTTGCAGAAGATGAACAAACCGAGTGGGTGCTCCCAAGGTGTGTACGACCGTTGAACAGGAGACTGGAGGGACCCATGGATCCCAACCATGGACCTTGTTCCCCCGGTATGAACCATGAACCAGTTGAATCTGAATGCAAAGATGGAATGAGGACCACTAGAAGCAGGGAGCTCTCTTCTTCCCCATGCTAGCCTTTCCTTAAAACAGTTTCTTTTGTTTTTTGTTACCATTTCTATGTTCGTCTCTTCATTCAGTCTAGTAATGACGGTCTCAAGTAGTAACCGTGGCAGTCAGCCACACTTAAATCTTAATGCTTTTGAATTCTAGAAGGAACTCAAAAAGAGACAAACAAGTCAGTCATAGTAGTAATACATGGAGAATGAATTGTGAAATCTAAGAGACTGAATATCATGTCAAGCATAAGCTTTTTCAAAGCAATTAAACTGGGCTTTTAATGACATTACTTAGACTTTCCAGACAAAATGTGTAACAATACAGCTAATTTTAATAAAATGACTTTGAAATCCCCAAACTCAAATATAATCTCATGAAGTAATTGTTTGTGATAACACCTTAATATGTTTTATACCATCATTATGAAAAACAGTGCAAGAGAAAGGAGAAAAAATTCTTTATTGTGAGTTAAAAACTTTGAAACCTAAGTCAATCATTTTTATTGTTTCAAGAAATATTTCCCCACGGCTACTTTAGTAGCAAAATCAAAGTCAGGAGCCCAGGCTTCTGTAAACAAAGTTTAATTGTATCCCCTCCCCCTTTCTTCTCTGTCTCATAATTTTCTCAGTACTTTTTAAGGGGCGAGAGGCATCCCCATGAATGACGCTGTTATAGGTTCTAAGGCAGAGGATGTGATGATGATGATCTTTGGGAAACGGTGAGGTGAATGTTGTCCACGAAGCTGCTTTCTAGTAGGGTGTCTGTGGGAAACTATACCCTTTCTGTGGGGTC
The DNA here is from genome assembly GCF_000001405.40 of Homo sapiens. Lineage (NCBI taxonomy): Eukaryota > Metazoa > Chordata > Mammalia > Primates > Hominidae > Homo > Homo sapiens. The sequence continues at coordinate 70,661,930 of NC_000005.10, read as the reverse complement.
TTCTGAATGTAGCTAATACTATTTTTGTTTGGGCTGGAAGTTTTTTATTATTATTGTTTTTACACTTCAAGTTCTAGAGTACATGTGCATAACGTGCAGGTTTGTTACATATGTATATATGTGCCGTGTTGGTTTGCTGCACCCATTAACTCATCATTTACATTAGGTATTTCCTCTAATGCTATCCCTCCCCCATCCCTCCACCCTACGACAGGCCCCTGTGTGTGATGTTCCCCGCCCTGTGTCCAAGTGTTCTCATTGTTCAATTCCCACCTGTGAGTGAGAACATGCGGTGTTTGGTTTTCTGTCCTTGTGATATTTTGCTGAGAATGCTGGTTTCCAGCTTCATCCAAGTCACTACAAAGGACATGAGCTCATCCTTTTTTATGGCTGCATAGTATTCCGTGGTATATATGTGCCAGATTTTCTTAATCCAGGCTATCGTTGATGGACATTTGGGTTGGTTCCAAGTCTTTGCTATTGTGAATAGTGCCTCAATAAACATATATGTGCATGTGTCTTTATAGTAGCATGATTTATAATCCTTTGGGTATATACCCAGTAATGGGATGGCTGGGTCAAATGGTATTTCTAGTTCTAGATCCTTGAGGAATCGTCACACTGTCTTCCACAATGGTTGAACTAGTTTACACTCCCACCAACAGTGTAAAAGTGTTCCTCTTTCTCCACATCCTCTCCAGCACCTGTTGTTTCCTGACTTTTTAATGATCGCCATTCTAACTGGTGTGAGATGCTATCTCATTGTAGTTTTGATTTGCATTTCTCTGATGACCAGAGATGATGAGCACTGTTAAGTTCTATCCTCTCCATATGTCCATGGGGCTGTTGGAAATATTCTTTTTCTGGGCTTCATGCTGTGCCCAGAGCATTTCCTTTTTCCTTCTCCTTTTTAAGGCAAGGATGCATCTGTTTTCATAAGGTTTGTGATAAAACAACACTCAAGTTTTGCAAGTTACATGATTGTCATCATCATCGCACTAATTTTTTGTGAAATATGCATTTTAATTACTTCCAAGAGGGTTTATTTCTAATGAAAAAAATTAAACAATAAATAATTTTAGACTTACCCCATGCAAGAAATGACAAATTCACTGAAGCAAACATGTTTAGGCTACACTGTATACAATCTACAAATTGCCTGCTCAGTCTCAGTTTCTTGCATATATTTCTCATACATCTAAATGTTAATTTCCACACTTCTGTCTCTCTGAATCCCTGGCAAATGGCAATGGCTAGTGACTTTGCATTCACCTATCAGAAAAACATGAATCCGGACACACTTCCGGGAGCATGGGACGTGGTAGGAATTTACTGGATAATAGGAACTGATATGTTACTTTGAGAGTGCTAAAATTCTCCCAGTGAATGTAACTTTGCCTATATTTTATATAACTTATTGGTTTTGGTTTGATAATTAAAAATATCAAAATTATCCTGGGGCAGGAGCCAAGGATGGTATTATACAGTGAGAAGTGAGTCCCACATGTCAGTCTTGTCATTTTCTTCCTCAGATAAAGTGCAGAATTTTGTCATCAGTAATATGAAAGAGAGATTTTACAGAAAAATTGCCAATTTTTGTCCATGAAGATGAGGGCAATATGCTAAGTATCAACGGACTAAAAGATGGCATATATTTTTTAGTGGGACATCCATGCAAGACTGCATTTCTTACCTGTTGACTATTACAGTAAATAGAAAATAATTATTTTAATTAAGCGACTACAATTTAGGGCATTTGTTGTAGAAATTTACAAATGTTTCACATTGCTTGACTTCAGGGGGCGCCATTTTTACATCATCCATTTCTAATAGCATGGCCAAGAGTATACTCCAAGTAACAAATGAGGTATAGCATATGAGACAAAGTAGAAACACTTAAAGGGTTAAAGAAATTTTCACCCGTATCTCTATGATGCAAAGTAAAGCAAAAGACAAAGAAACAAGCAAAAAAGAACAAGTGGTCGCCAAGCTGGACTGCAGTGATAAAACCATGGCTCACTGCAAACTCCGCTTTCTGAGCTCAAGCAATCCTCCCACCTCAGCCTCATGAGTAGCTGGGACTACAGGTGCCCACCACCACTCCTGGCTAATTTTTGGGTTTTTAGTAGAGACAGATTTTTGCCACATTGGCCAGGTGGGTCCCAAACTCCTGAGCTCAAGCAATCCACCCACTTCGGCCTCCCAAAGTGTTGAGATTACAGGCATAAGCCACCACACCCGGCCGCTGCATTTTTTTTTAATGGGAAATAACAAGCATATTCATTACATATAAAATGATATATTTAGAAATTTTGTAGGCTTTATAAATTCTGTTGGATAATGGAAAATTTTTTATTGTATTTTTTGTGTATGAGAACATATGTTATAAAGTAAAATGTACATAGAGGGAAATGGGATTGTGAGGATAGTAACCATAGGTGAGGAGATGGATGAAAGAAAGGTCTTACACTGCTATAAGGAGCTGTTACTATATCTTCTTCATATTTTTATAAAACATATCTTATTAGAAGACTTAAGTTACTTATTTTTTTCTTATATGTATATATTCACCTCCATTTTGAAGGCTATTAGTCTGGGAAACCTACAAGAACATTGCCGTAGGGAAGCTCAAGTATGTTAACAACAACAAAAATAGTTCTGTGAATGCCTTTACATAATATAAGGTCTACATATTCTCTCTAGATCTGTGCGCCGTAAGACTGGATTTTGAAAAGCTGAGGCATAGACTGATAGCTCTTTACCACACTTGTTTTTTCTTCTTTCTGGATACATAGCTTGGCTATATTTCCATGCAACTGTGTCCCGGTTAATGTGTACCACTTTTAGAGGGTGGTACATATAAATGTTTCTTCCAGTTCTTTCAACATGTGTCATTTGAAAAAGGAGAACTCTGAAGCCCTCTAGGAAGTTGGAGCTACAATACTGGAGGCCAGTTTCCTGAATTACTCCCTGGTAAAAGCCACCCAGACAAGAAATGCCTTTATTTGAATGTTATTAATGAGAAACACATTTTAAACTTTCAGCCACTTTAACTTTGAGGATTGTTTGTTAAAACAGCTGGTGTTACCCAAACTGTTATAGGAGTCTACTAAATATCATTTCATTTTTTTCCCTTCTCAAACTCAGAATGAATTGGGAGATAGCCGTGGGCATTAAAACTGTTTCAAGAAGTGCAACTTAGCGTTCAGGGCTGACCTCATGAGCTTCCAGAGACATCAGAGTAAGTGACCCTTATTCTAGTTTCGAAGCTCTGTTCTAGTTCTAAGCATGCAAATAAATTTTAAGCAGGATTTCTTAGCCTGCAGGAGCTGAGGATGATTAATAAGTCCTGCTGTTATGCATAAATGCACTGACCTATACTGTGCCCTTCAGTCAAATTGTATATTGTTTAATCGTGATAAATGAAGTGCACCAGGCACAGATAAGCTAGTCCCTGGAGTATGTCCAGATACACCTGAAAGAAGAATGACTCAAGCTGGGTGTGTAAAGCTACACTTTGGAGGATAGAGCTTCCCACAGGTGCAATGGAACTCTCACTTCTCACTTGCTCAGAAATTATGATCTGCAGTGTGAGTCTCCCCTGGTAAGGAAACGTGTCCAGCTCCTTGAAACATGTTCTAGAGAACAGCATTCATTACCCTCCCATGAACTTAAACATGCTTCTTGGCTCCTGTGCATTTTAGGTAAGTAAGCTTTGATTTCCCCAGGTGGTGTCGGTGTCTAGTCTTTTCATAAACTTGCACTTACTATTAACATGGAGAGGACATCCACAGGCCGAGATACATTGCCATGTCTTGCATTAAAAGCAAATGAACCTGAAGTTTTTTTGTAAACAACTTACGAAGTTTCATTTGATTTGATTTGATTTTTAATAATTCCCTGAATTGCTGTGATAATTAGAGTAGTGAATTCATTTCTGGTATGTTTTAAAAGTAATTCAAGGAAAATAATTTTGCAGAATCCTGATTTAGATAATATGAAGAGTGAATAGGAAAATGATGAAATTGTTGCTGCTTTTTACAGAGGCTTAGAATCATGGAAATCATTTGCTTTCAGGTATAAAAGGGAATAATTTCATTTTCTACTTTTTACTTTAAATTTCTGTTATCTATGTCTACATGCTTCTGTCCATTTCTTCATAGTTTGTTTTTTAAATAATATGCTTCTACCATTCTCTGAAAGCTATTTTAATTTTTCAGCTTGAATATAAATTGGTTGATACTGGCTGCAAATTATTTTTGGTATTCTAATTTGTCTATTTTTCTTTTTCTTGAAATGGAATAAATAAGCTTCACACACACACACACACACACACACACACACACACACACACACACACAAACCCTAAACAAACAAAAAAAATCACACAGCACCAGCAAACTACTAGGATTTACTGTAGGATAAAAGCTCTACATGGCCCTGCATACAAACTTTCTGCATACTTCTGCAAATTTTTATGCATTACTCAATCCATTAAAAATCACCTTGGAAGAAATTGCAAACACAATAGAAACTAAATGAGATAGTCACAGAGAACAACAAAAATAGTAATTTAAGCTCCCATACAACATCAAGTGTGTTCAGTCTATTTTTGGTTCTTCGGGTTCTCTTTAAAATTGAATTGAGTTTGTATATGCATATGTATGTAGGAGTGGAGGATGGAATTAATTATCCCAAACATCCTACACTCACTCCTCTAATATTTCTTTTGTTAACATGCAAATCTGTTCTCTTCATTACGGTGATACTGCATTTACATTACAACACAATTAGAGATCATTAACTTTCTCCTTTATAATCAGCCATTTTCACAGGCCTTTGATATACAAGCACCTATAATATATTCTTACTCATCTCACACTTTCATTTACCAAAGTGTCAAAACAACATTTTTACATCATTGATATTTGTTTTAGTTTCTGCAAGCTGGCTGTTAGAAGATGATTACTTCTCTTAAATTACCTCTTACCCTCATCTTGCTATCTTTTTAAAAGGAAAGAAAAAGCACTATAAAAATCAGACACTTTGGGTTCTGAACCTTTTATTTTGTGTGAAAAGATACTTATTTATGTATGCTAAATCACACTGATGCGGAAGACAAACTGGCTCTTCGTTATTTTTTTTTGGCACTTTATAGAGGAAATGTGTGGAGAACAGATCTTTCCTAAGGTATTATATTCATGTGCCTTAAAGATTAAGAATACTCAATGCGCCAAGAAGTGCTATATACCAGAAAAGTTTGTATCAATTAATGTATCTAAATTAAGTTAAAGTTTCTTTCAATTTAATGTGCTTGCAGATGTAAAATTGCATGTTTAAGTTTTGCAGTTATGTACTAAATCTGGTGCTACACTTCTAATGTCTAAAGGTTTTATTCAATTTCAATTTATTTGTTTTATAGTTTGCCAGAATGTGCTTATGAAAGGCACTCTCAGTCATAAAAATAAAATTATAAGCAGACTGGCACATAACTATTTTTTTAAATAATAAACTTTCTGATTTTAGAGACTTGTATTCTTTTATAGGTCCTGGTTCTCTTTCACGCTCTGACCTATAAGAACCCATACAGCGTGCATTGCTGTGTATGGAAAAGCAGTAAAGGGAAGTACAGCCACCTTTTAGGTCCCATGAATAGCAAAATCTCTTTGACTAATCTCTTGTTTCAGGGTATGTCCACTCCTTGTTTAAAGAATGTAACTGGCTGGGCTTGGTGGCTCACTCCTGTAATCCCAGCACTTTGGGAAGCCAAGGTGGGCAGATTACAAGGTCAGGAGTTTAAGACCAGCCTGGCCAATATGGTGAAACCCCATCTCTACTAAAAATACAAAAATTAGTCGGCCGTGATGGTGGGTGCCTGTAGTCTCAGCTACTCAGGAGGCTGACTCAGGAGAATTGCTTGAACCCAGGAGGCAGAGGTTGCAGTGAGCCAAGATTGTGCCACTGCACTCCAGCCTAGGGGACAGAGTGAGACTCCATCTCAAAAAAAAAAAAAAAAAAAATGTAACCACACTCAATAGTCACTAGCACATTGTTTTGAATAGACTATATACTGAAAGATATCTGCTGGATATAGAATGACCTCAGGAAAAAGTCTAGACACTATAATCCATCTCACTTGCCAGCATTTAGCGACCTTTCAGCTTCATTACTGACTTTCAGCCAGTGTCCCTTAGGTGAGTGACTTGAGTCCTCTTTCATAATATTTGGCAGGAGAAAAGATGAGGTCATTGCTCCATCAATCCCGTCATGTCATGTCTGCTCATGTGTCATAGCTTATAAATAGTTACATGGTTCTGTCCAAGTGCAAGGGGGGCATTGCAGGTAGAGGTCTGTCTCCATGCGCCTTGAAAAGAAAATAACCAAATATCAGGGGAAAACAATAATATGAGCCATAGTGCCTGATATATACTATGACATCATAGAGATTTAATGAGTATTAATCAGGATTCAATGGCTGCAGGAGACAAACAGTTTCACAAACGAGGGTAATTAACTGGCTCATAGGCAATATCTCAAGAAAGGTGGGGTATTGTTATACTTCATGTGTTGCAGAAACATAGATGCTCCAATTTTACATGTTCTTTCTGTGTATGTAACATTCTTTGCCTTCTGGGTCTCAGCTTTATCTCTCAGGTTGACGTCTGTCACAGCTGTAGAGATAGTCACTGTCAATTCCTAGTTTCACAGTCTCCCATTTTCCAGTGGAGTCTTACTCTTTCTTTGTTTCCAGTTCAAATGTACTGGTTCTTAATTTAGCTTCGGGACCTATTGAATCAGTCTGTGGAAGCTGGAATAATATGATTAGGGCAGCAGAAATGAAGAATGCTTCTTTAGACCAATCACTATGTCCATGAGGCAGACTAAGGACTACATGACCCTAATAAATTTTAATTTCTAGAGCTTCTTATCTGGATCCTGAAGCAGTTTCGGCCTTTATACTATGAGAGACTGAATACACTAACAGACAATGGTGGTTCCACACACAGAAAATCAACTCTGACCTCTGCAGCAACCAGTCTGCAGCGATTGGTCCAAATGCTTAGGAATTGGTGGGTAACTTCCAGCTTCCCTAAGTGTTTCCCTCCAGCTTCCAATTTAGAACCAACCAGAGAATGCTAATTATGCAGCTTCACCCATCAAATAGGATGTTTTGCTTCTAGTTATCCAACCTTTAGATTCCCCATGACAATAATTTCCAACCAGGGCATTCCTGCAGCCTTCTGGTTTTCCCATGATAAAGCTTTCTCACTGCCTGCCTGCCTTTGATTCGTTGCCATATTGCAAGTGATGGTGGCCAACTCCCTGGCTACAGCAAGCTCTGACTGAATAACCTGTATTTCTTTTCATTTGAGCAGTCTTAGCTTATTTTTATAACTATTGAGGAAACGTTGTAGCAACCCTTACACTAAATGAACTTAATTATGCCAAACCTTTACTTACTACTTAAACAAATACTCTTCCAGACAATGTTACCAAACAGTGTCCCCTTTGTTGTGAAATCTTGTAGATACTGTTTAATTAGTAGAATCCTCTTACTTTCTTTTCCCTGTCAGTTTTACAGTATCCAACTGGTCCCGTGTATGATAGAAAACATTTCTATAAGGTAACACAGTATATTTCAACCCACACTATTACTATTGATGAGATTACTTTGCTATTCACATCTCATAACATTAGCAAAAATGCACAAATCTTAAACTGCCTTCTTTTTCCCCTCCAGGATGAAGGACAACCACATATTTAGCTGACAGTGATTCAAACTCTCATCTTGTCCAAAACTGACTTAAATGGCATAACTTTAATTAACTCTGATCTTACATTATCTGTTGACAGTTTTCACCTAGAATAGAGAAAATTAACCTTGTTTTGGATATTCTCTTATCTCTGAAGACTCCATCTGCCTGGGTTGCTGAATCAATTTTTGTAACTGGAACTCACAATCCAGCCTGAGGCAAAAAGTGAAGAGTATATGAGAGAGAGAACATTTATGTAGATAGTAGACAAGCACTAGAAATTGTGCATGATTTTGGAATGAAGGGCTCTTAGGTTCATTTTCGACTCTTAGCTGCAAGTATAGAAATTAAAAAGAAAATTAATGTTTTATCTGACTCCTTAAGAAATTATAAGTTAATTTAAACATATCTACTCCAGTGAAATAGAAATGAAATCTAAAGTTAATTCTCAGGCATATTGCTTTGCAAGAAATGCTCCTCTTCATAGAAAGCTGCCCAAGTAAACAAAATACTCCCTTACTGTAAACATTTATTCCTCTTTATGAAAAGTTACTTGTAAAAGAATTTTAACTAGGTATTGAGATTTATTTGACAGTTCAATGATAGCCACTCGGTGGCTCCTAAATCCGTACAAATAACATTAGCAATCACACTGTGTGGATCTACCTAAAATACTAAAGGTATCTCAGAATCAGTGTTACTAAGATATCGTGGATGAGTTTGTCTAGAGAAGAGCAAGCATGCCTTATCTGGAAATTCTGTAACCACCACAATGCTGATTAATCTGTAAAAGTGGGTCAAAACTTTCAACCACTATCACAGGCACTTTAACCCCCTATAAATGGACATTGTACAAATACCTTAGTCCCAAGGAAACCAATATGTCCTGGAGATTGTTTGTGAATGTCCCTAGTGGAGCAAAGCCTAAGTATAAGAATCTTTTTGGTGTGTTTTCCCCACCTGGGATCTCCTGTCAACCCTGTCAGCTGAAGGAAGGGCTCATTTTACAAGGAAGTGTTTTTGACGATTTTGCATGGTTGTCTTTATCTCTAAAGCATAATTACACTTATAATCTGAAAAGTATATAAAAGATAGAGATATTAAGTTGTTTGTTAAAAATAAGTAATCTGAATGTTCAGAATGACTTCGTCTCCCTTGTTCTATAGTGCTTCTTTCAGTGTTACTAGCCATGTGATCCTCAGCTTTAAATCTTACAGGCTTTTTCTTGTGAAGTGGTAACTGTAAGAACCATGAACTTGGATCTAGTTACTACATTCGCCAATTCTTCATTTTGTGGTAGTTGTTGTTATTTTTCTTTATGAGACAGGGTCCTGCTCTGTTGCCCAGGCTGATGTACAGTGGCATGATCACGGCTCATTGCAGCCTTGAACTCCTGGGCTCAAGCAATCCTCCAACCTCAGCCTTCTGAGTAGCTGGAACTACAGGCATGCACCACCATACCTCACCATTTTCTTTTTTTGTATATATACATTTTTTTTTCGGTAGAGAATCAGTTCTTCATTATTAAGTTTATAAAATACCAGCCAGAGGCCAGGCGCAGTGGCTCACGCCTATAATCACAGCATTTTGGGAGGCTGAGGCAGATGGATCACTTGAGGCCAGGAGTTCAAGACCAACCTAGACAACATGGTAAAATCCTGTCTCTACTAAAAATACAAAAAAATTACAAAAAATTAGCCAGGCATGGTAGTGCCTGCCTGTAGTCCCAGCTACTTGGGTGGCTGGGGCATGAGAATTGCCTGAACCCAGAAGTCAGAGGTTGCAGTGAGCCGAGATCATGTCACTGCACTCCAGCCTGGATGACAGAGAGAGAAGCTCTCAAAAAAATAAAAATAAAAATACAGCCAGAGATCGATTTAACTGTTAACTATTATTTGATGTAATTAGCTACATACCTATCATATAATTAAAATTCAGTATTGAGATGGTTGTCATAGGGACACTTCAAACCAGATTAAGTTTATTTTAAAAGTGAATTGAGAGATTTTACTTTATAAAAAAAAAACCAATTTGGTTAGTTTGCCATTTAGGCTTCTAATTTTGATCTGAGGCCTGCTAACCCTGGAGATTACACAAAGACTTTGTGAGGCGTACTGCGGCCAGGCAAAGACTTTTAAAGAACAGGTTTCCAGGTGTCACATTCGAATACTTCTTTCATCATTCTTGCTGTCCCTCTTTCATTTCTTCTTTTTCAAAAGAATTCTTCTCCCACAATGTTTCTTTTTTTAAAAGAGAAAAATATATCTCCACTTTTTTTAACTTTACCTTGGTGCTTTGTCCCCAGGTGTTGAAATTTCCAGGATGCAAAACGAAGGGGCAATTCAAAACATTCATCTCCACTTCTCAAAAGTAAGTCACCTTGATGACTGGGTAACAAAATCTTGCTAATCATTTGTGTTTTTTGTTTTGTTTTGTTTTGTTTTAGATTTTTAATTACTTTTAAAAATTTGAAGAAATACCTAGTTGAATTGTCAATGGACACCTGCAATTTTTGTTGTCATTCTTCAAAGGAGTTCAAAGAATCAAATGTCATTGTTATAACAAAGCCCTTCCAATCCTATCCACTTATTTCTGAGAACAAGATTTCTCAGTTCTTAGATCTTATAAAAATAATGATATAGGAATAAGAATGATGTGGAACCTGCCACCTTCTAGCAATAAAAAAGGTTCATTTATAAAAACATGAATTTATAGGCAAAACATTAGGAGGTAAATTTCAAAAAACGCTTTTGCAAATAATTAAATTTTAAAATCTGTCACATGTTTATGTTTTAATTCAACTTTTAATAAAATTTGAATGTATGGAGGCATTTTTTATTTTTTCCTCCTTATCACTCTGGGCCATAAAGCTCCACTTCTTTCAGAACATGTGCATGAGATATTTATACAGCTCTTCAGCTAAGGTTACTAATATGCAGCCCTGTGATGCCACCAGTTATAATTCTATTACTGCATTATTACTCTTTCAATTAAAAAGAAATAGTAGAAAAAACAAAGCAAACAAACAAACAAAAGGCAAAATAATTGCATTTCAGAGGATGTCTGTTCCCGTGTAAGGTGCGCCTGTCCTTGCTTCAAGGGGAGTGGGTTACTTTTTTTTAAGTTTTTATATTTTCAAGATTTGGGGTTTGATACAACCATTTTTTTTTTAACTTTAAATTCTGGGATACATGTGCTAAACGTGCAATTGTGTCACATAGGTATACATGTACCATGGTGGTTTGCTGTACCTATCAACCTGTCATCTAGGTTTTAAGCCCCACATGCATTAGGTATTTGTCCTAATGCTCTCCCTCCCCTTGCCCCCCAGCCCCCGACAGGCCTTGGTGTGTGATGTTCCCCTCCCTGTGTCCATTTGTTCTCATTGTTCAGCTCCCACTTATGAGTGAGAACATGTGCTGTTTGGTTTTCTGTTCCTGTGTTAGTTTGTTGAGAATGATGGTTTCCAGCTTCATTCATGTCCCTGCAAAAGACATGAATTCTTTCTTTTTTATGGCTGCATAGTATTCCATGGTATATATGTGTCACATTTTCTTTATCCAGTCTATCAATTGATGGGCATTTGGACAACCATATTTTTTGTTGAGTTTTGTTTCTTTAGTGGCTTAGCCATCTCTGCTGGTTTTAGTTAGTTCCAGCTGAGTCAATGGCTCATCTTAGACTGCATTTCTACCACCAACCTCTGCAAGGAAATACTCCACAGGACTTCTGGCCTAGACCTGAGGTTGCCATGGATTCATATTGAGCAAGTGAGTTCCATGTACACATCCCAGTCTTTCCTCAAGTAGCCTGCACGCCCTGTCTCCACCCTCAGTTTAAGAACACCAATGAGGTTTTTGAGATGTTCTTCTTACTCTCTGCCAAAGCAAGATATCTGATAGAAGGAGAAACCCTGTATTGACTCCCTGGCTTTTTGTTTATTCCAAAATTATGCTCTGTCTGGCTGACACATTGTGAAATTTAAGGGGAAAATTAGACCTTTTCCTCATTTCACTTTCATTGTTTCTTTTTTTAAAATCTATTGTGTATTTCATTCATTTTGGGGGGGGAACAAATTCTACAAACTGCTTTAATATTGTCCTTTTTTTCTAATATTCACATTAACTTTTTATGTAAAACATACCAATGCTTTTAATAAAGCTTACATAGGAATAAACTATTATAGACCTGCATAGATATAAGTACACATGTATTAATCTACATTAAAATAATGGATTTTATTCTGCGAAGACTCCAAGTTGCTCCTGGGTGCTAAGTGAAGCACTTAGGGAAATGTGTTCAGTCTTTGAGGTCATAGGAACATTAGATTATATCAAAGGAAACCTGGAGCCATCAGCTAAGTGGCCCTTCTGTCCTGTAGATACATAAAAACTAATGTGCTCCGCTATGCGGCTCACTTTCTGCTATTAGATACTATGAGGCACTAAGAAAAAACTACTGCCTGCATCATATCTTTCTTCGGTTTGAGATAAAGAGAATGGCCAGAACTGTATACAAGTCATGAAAGGCCCTGGTGTACATTTTTCAAAGTAGTGCAGATTGTGTTGAAATTATCAGTTTATCTTGCATATAAAAAAAACGTATATACACTTTGAGTAAAATATAAAAAGTGGTAAATATCACGAAAAGTTTGTTTTACTGTAACCATTTCTTGTTCTATTCTATTTGAGTATTTGCTCTATATATTTGATATACTTCCAGAATGCATCCTATTCACAAAGCAGGCAATTACTCTATCAGTGTATACAGTTGCAGAGTCTCTCCTCTATTCAGCTTCATTTGTACCTCCACTCCAGCCACTTGCAGAAATGGCGGATGCATCAAAAAGACTGGTTACAGGCCTTGCAACCTCCAAGCGGCTAATTACCAAGATGTTAAGTAAATGACCATTGCTCTTTATCATCCCCAATGGCGTATAAAAAGGATGTTAAACAGGTTGTCTCATGTTCCCTATACATTTATTCATTCCCGTGTTAAAATACGTCTTATGGGAAAAACAAAATTCACCAAAGAATGAGGAAGCGAACATGTGTTAACAGAGGGACTTCTGGCTAATTTTACAAAGAAGGATAAAAATTCTCAAAATATGTGTGGGGTGGATTGCGGGGGTATTACATATTCATAGCATGCCGCAGAAATCATTTTAAGTCTATCAAAAACAACTATATTGTGCATTTTCAAATAAGCACATATAAAAGATGAGCTATAAGAAGAGAGAAGGATGCTAAAATAAATAAGTGAAAGAGAAAAATGGCTGGGCACGGTGGCTCAAGCCTGTAATCCCAGCACTTTTGGGGGCCGAGAGGTCAGGAGTTCAAGACCAGCCTGGCCAACATGGTGAAACCTGGTCTCTACAAAAATACAAAAATTAGCTGGGCATGTTGGCTCATGCCTGTAATCCCAGCTACTCGGGAGGCTGAGGCAGGAGAATCCCTTGAACCTGGGAGGCGGAGGTTGCAGTGTGCCAAGACCGCATCGTTGCACTCCAGCCTGGACAACAAGAGTGGAACTCCGTCTCGAAAAAAAAAAAAAAAGAGAAAAGTAGGTGAAAAGAAGTAATTAAATGGTAAGGAAAGAATAGGTCAGGACAGGAATCCAGGATGACTTTACTATATTTGAACCATAGAACATTAACCAAAATCTTATTTTTCTTCCCCTCAGTAGTTTGAAGTTGAGCAATATCTGTGTCTTTTGCATCACACTCTGAAATTGCAAATTATTTCTTGTCCTTTCAGATAAATGATTATGCAAAAGAAGCCCAGAACTGGCACAATTTAGAAGGTTTGAGGTTGCTCTCATGTGTTTGTAGGGTATGCTATCATCATCCCATAGCCTAAGGCTGTAGTATTGGACTCTCTGGAAGCAGCTCTGAATGTGATAGGATGGAGATAATTGAAGATACAAGCAGCCATTATGTGTCTGAATATTGGTTTACTAGAAGAGCTAGATGTGTAGGAGCACATCCTTACTTGACAAATGTCTGACAGAATGACCTGGCACCATTACTGTTTTAAATGTGTAATATGCTATCTCAACTGGGACATTTTATGAAAGCTATAGGTTGTGACCTACTGTTCATTACACTTAGTTTCTGAGGTGCCAAAGACTGATGTGTGAGCCAAAGTTCATTATTGTTCTTCACTGGATCTTTGCATTTATTAGTCTGATGTTAATGGGATTCGCTCTTGAGTTGGATTGATGTTCAAGGTTAGAGCGACAGATGAGCTCCTGATCTTGACCAGAAATGATTTGCCCATTGCCAATTAGAAGAAGAAAAGGGCAAGGTGGAGGTTGAACTTGGAGTTAATAGGAATAATAGATGCTGAGGGTGCAAGATGAAACTCAGTAAGATAATACACTCTATTCTTAGACTGGCAAATTTACATAGTAAAGAGAACTTTTATCATTGTCATCCAAAGAAAATATAATCCTAAGAGAAAAAGTCCAGCTAGTTTTTTTTTTCTTTTTTGTTACCTGCTCATAGGATATAAACTTATTTCTATCACACACAGGTATCATTTTCTACACTTAAAACACTTCTTCTATTTCACACAAATGACAAAAAATGTCCTTCAATTATTTTGACACACGATCTCTCAAGATACATATCGTTTTATATCAACTATAAATACAAATTTAAAATTTTGATAAAAGAGAAATAACTGGAATAAAACAAAGCAGTATTTTTTAAAACTATAGCTTTTCCCCTAAGATATTCTCACACTAAAGAATTTTTCCCAATTCTTCTCCCCCACTGAGAAGTACAGTCTTCAAAAATTAGTCCAGGTATTAGTGTTTACCAAGGAGGAATATTTTGAACAAGAATAATCTGATGCTACTTTTCATTTGTCAAGTACATTTTCTAAATTATATTCTAATAAGAGAGAATATGCACATTTGCATGTCATGATTCTTATAAATATTTACTGAGTACTGTCTCTCTGTAAAGAACTACAGTGGGATGGATTTAAGATATATAATACATAATTTTTCATCTTCAAATTGTTCACGTTTTGTAGAGATAGTAACTTGTGCATAAATGACTAGAATGTTAAGTTGCTAAGTGACAAGTGACAAAAATGTTTAACCTGTAAAATCTTCCCCTTGGGAAATTGAGGAATAAAAACTTCCAACTAAAGGAACAAAGATTGTCATGAGCAAAGTTGTATAAAAAATAAATTAAATGTAGGATAATAAAGGTAGTGTATTAAAGTGAGAAGGGTTAGGGTTTCTTAGGTGACAGACTGGCTTGATTTTGTGACTTGTGTGATGGTAGCAAGTTATGTAACACCTCTGAGTTTCCATATCTTCATCTGTGAAGTAGACATAGCTGAACCAACCACATGGAATTGTTGCGAGGGTGAAATGCAATGGTGTGTGCAAGTTTCTAGGCAGTGTTGGACTGGATCTACTATTACGCTATACAAATGATACTTAGAATTTTTACAGTTATGCTTAATATTGTCATAATTCCAGGAAATGAGAAAAATCTCAGCAGAGGTACAAAACGGGCAAGCTCTGGGAAAAATGATCTTAGTGGGTTTATTTCAAAGGATGCTTGAAAGTGATCTGTGGAAAACAAAATTGACAAAAAGTGCATGTTGAAATGGAAATTAACGGGTCTTTGAATGTTAAGAGAAAGATAGCGGGCATGCTCTTTCATCTGTCTATCCCTGGCCCTTAGCATGCCTGGTGCTTTTCAGTGCTCCAGCTTTACGTGTTTAATCGTTTTTGTTTCATTCGAAATAAATGTTCTCATAGATATAGAAAACCAGCAGGCAATAAAATATATATTCTGAGCTGTGATTTAGTGGTATTATTACTTAGCAACAGTGTGTAGGATGAATTACAGAAAGCAAAAGTAGGGCATAATTATAATCACTAAGACTAATTATCAATATAAACTTTTGCCAGAACAATTGTAAATATATGGAGAGGTGATGCACATGAAAAACACATTAAAATACCCTAGGATTTTGCCAAAATAAGCTGTGTAATAAAACAAAGGGAGAAGAAATTGAAGAATATGATGAAGTTTAAATTGAGGTTCAAGGTGTTTTGCATGAAGAAAGATGAGAAATTTAAATTTGAGATATGATGAGTTTATGGTAGGAAATTGAGATACCATATTTTGCCAGTTGGACTAGACCTCACAAAAAGACTCAAAATAAGTATGCAGAACGCATTAGTTTAGATATATTTGAAGAGACCATGGGAAAAAAAGGAAAAAGGGAGGAGTTTAAAGAGTCAAACAAAAAGATGATGGAAAGGCAGTGGGAGACATAAAAGGGAACCAGAAATCTTAAGAGGAGAAAGTGTTCTGAAGAAACACACAAAGTCAATTACTTAAAAAGTTGAGAATCACTGGCAGTGCTGGATGATCGTGACTTTTTTCTCTATTTCAGTAAGCGGGCGATGGACATTAGAATGCAAGAGATGGATGAGGTATGGAAGTAGAAGGAATAAATGTCAACTATTATTTTAAAACATTTGCACAGAAAGCAAAGTAGGATAAGAGCTTAAAAATAAAGGTTCTGTTTATTTTCATTTTGTAGTCGTAGGGAAAATGTGGGCATGTTAAAAGAAAAGCTGAGTGTAAAAAGGGAATGAGAGGACAAATTGAAATAGACATGGGTTCAAATCCCAGATCCCACTGGACATCTCTGAGGCTTACTAGACATCATCTGTAAATATAAGATAAACACCTAATATAAAATGTGTTCAGCTATAAGAAGTTTGAGTTAGTGTATATGATTTTTAGAAAATCAATTTATCATATACAATAAAACATATATTAAATTAGACAGTTTGATGCATATTGACAATTGTATATCCCCTGCACATTTCCATCATATATGAAAACTTCTCACATGCCCTCACCATCTCAATCCCTGATCACAGGCAACCACTGATGGAGGTTCTGTCATTATGTACAGGATATATCTTTTCTAAATTTTGTATAAGTGACATCATACATGTGCATTATTTTGTTTCTGTCTTCTTTATCTCAGCATCTTGTTTTTTGAAATTTGTTCTTATTGAGTACATCAGTGGTCAGCTCCTTATTATTGCTTAGTGTATTTCATTTTAAAAGTATAATTATTACATATTGTGTGGAAAGATTTAAACATTCAGAAAATATAAAACTCAGTGCAACTATTTTTTCCTACTCTTCATGTATTATAATTCAGTCTTTTTGATAATTTTATATATATAGAAGGTATGATATTTATATTACATTTAAAATTTAGTACAACTTTTATTAAAGTGTACATATTATTTATACAATGCTTTTTTCTTTTCTATATCTATACAGCTTACCCATTTTTGAGAAGGCTGCATTTTTTTCTATAACATGTATATGTTGTACTTTACTTGTCTATATCCCCATTAAGAGATATGTTGCTTCCAGGTTTCATTATTATAAATACTGTTTCAGTGAACAGCTTTCAATATACATCTTTGTGCCCATGTGACAATAAAAGTATTTTTGTATGCATCTGCAAGTATAATAGTTATAGTGTCCATGCATTTTCAATTGGGTAGTTGTTTCAAAATAGCCCTACATTTTTCAAATAATTCTAATTCAAAGGACTGCTCCCCTTTCAAACCTGGTAAATATTGAAGTCCTTAATGCTTTTGCCAGAATTAGGCTGAATTGACAGAGCACTGATATGTAGAAGATATATATATATATACATGTATATTATATATATAATATATTATAAATATAATATATATATATAAAATTCTTAAAATTTAGCAAGTAACTGAACAACAAAAATGACAGATAAAAGAAGCAGGTCATGCATAGCCTATCTGCCTGAGATTTATTTAACCCTTCTTCAGAAGAGGCTTTGATTCTTGTCTCTCTGTGTCTACCTATAGACAGCATTTCTCCCAGGAAGCTTGCCCTGACCTCCTAGAATTGGTTATGTACCATTTATATATTTTTCATATTCCAATGTACATAACTCATAACAGAAATTATCACAAGGGAACAGCTGTGGTTTTATTGTTATGTCTAGCTATCCAGCTATCATCTTCACCAGACTGTAAGCTCCTTGAAGGCAGAAGCCAGATTTATCTTCATGACCTCTGTGTTTTAGATGAGGTCTCAGAGATAGAGGTCAGAATTTTCCCTCTAGGTAAATTAATTAGATTAACCTCAACTTATACAAAACAGTAGTCATTAAATTTATCCCCAGCCATCAGGAGCTTAACTACTCTGGAGAGAGAGCCAGGTGTTGGAGTAGGCAATTAAGACATCAAGACAAAAGGACATTAACAAACCTTTGAGGTTAAACTGGAAAAAGCCCTGACGGTCCAGTCCCCATCCTTTTTTTCCTTCATGAAACAGCTCTATCAAGGATCACATGGGTCAGCACAGATGTGGAGTTGTCTCACTATCAAAGGAACCCTGAACAACAGGCTCCTGCCTGCAGTTTTATGGAAGGTCAGGAAAAGGCTGGGAGCGGAAAAGCACTGAGTATTGAATCAGAAGGAAGACAATTGTCTTCAAGACTCCTCCTCCTCTCCCCATGAAAAGGAGGTCTTGGGCAAACATGCCTGGGGAAGGTCTGCCAAGGTCCCACAGTGGAGAGGCCTCCAGGGGAGGCACCAGTCAAGTGATGCTGATCTGTGTGTGAGCATGGCCCTGCAGCCCTTACTGAAACTGCCATTAGAGGACTATGCACTAGTGTGGGGAGGGCAGCTCTCCCTGTGGGACCCACTTGGTCAAGTCTTTGTCATTGTTTATGGATGGGCCCAAAAATCACATATAGGATTGAGTCTGGGGCTGAACTCTTTACTGCTCTGTCTGTATTCCCTGTCTTGGTTGACACCTAATACATGACTAAGAAACTAAGAAATCATTTCAGACGTCGTTTTTGTGTCTGTGTTTTATGCTTTGTTGGCTTGAAAACTTCATCCAATAAAACTTTAGTTATTTTTATTACCATTTCTTCCTTTATGACCCCACAGCATCCTCCATGTGCCAGGGTCCAAATCATCTTTAACCCGGACTATTCTATCAGTACCCAAATATATTCTTTCATCAAAATATATTCTTTCTCTTCTCTGGCTGTAATCTCATTCATTTCCAGGCTACTTCTTTTCAAACTAAAAAGCAAATATAATCACACTATTCTCTTTCTTCAAACACTTTCCCAATTCCTAGAGTAAAATCCCCCTTTTATAACATATAAGGCCTCAGTGACCTACCCTCAGGACTTCTTTAATTATTCTCCCATATTGTCCTATTATGTACCTGTTCCATCATCCTTACAACCCTCAGAACTCCCTAATCTGTTTTAATGCCACATTGTTATGCTCTTAATTTCCTTTGATAAAATGATTCTTTCCATTCATAAACTAGTTGATTACCACAACTTCTTAAGTATTCTATTGAAGTTTATCTTATTAGTCCATTTCACACTGCTATAAAGATACTACCTGAGAATGGATAATTTATAAACAAAAGAGGCTTACTTGACTCACAATTCCACATGGCTGAACTTATAAGTGAACTTATAATTAAACTTATAATCATGGTGGAAGGTGAAGGGAAAGCAAGGCAAGTCTTACACTGTGGCAGGTAAGAGAGAGAGCATGCAGGGGAAACTGCCACTTATAAAACCATCAGATCTCCTGAGAACCCCCTCACTATCACAAGAACAGCATAGAAAACCACCCTTTTGAGCTAATCACCTCCCACCAGGTCCCTCCCCATGACACATGGGGATTACAATTCGAGTTGAGATTTGGGTGGGGACACAGAGCCAAATCATAACATGTATCTTCTTTGCCAAGATTTTCCTTACAACGCAAAGTAGATTGACATATTTTAATTTCTTCCATCCCACCCCACCATAATATTCTTACCTCTATGACAGTGCTCATCAAAATTTGTAGCTATTATTTGTTTAAATGACTTCATTATGCTTCTTAAGAGGCATAAACTTTCTGCTATATTCATCTTTGTATGCCTGTCACACATTACATTGGCTGAGACAAGGTAAATATTTAATACATATCTATTAAATAAGAAACTTAAAAAAATAAAAGAGTGAATGAATAACTGTATCTAGGAAGTATGAAAGTGTCTTATCTTTTAGCATTTTTCATCAAGGAATTAAGAAATGTGTGGGGAAAAAGTTAAGAGGCCCCAGTTAAAATGGCTTTTATCCCAAATTCAGGCAATAACAAAAGTTGGCGAGGATATACAGAAAAAGGAACCCTTGCACACTGTCAGTGGGAATGTACATTAGTATGACCCTTAAGGAGAACAGTCTGGAGGTTTCTCAAAAAGCAAAAATTGAGCTATCATATGATCCAGCAATCCCACTCCTGGGTGTATAACCAAAAGAAAGGACATAGTATATCAGAGAGATATCTGCACTCCATGTTTATTTCAGCACTACTCACAATAGCCAAAATTTGGAATCAACCTAAGTATCCATCAAGAGATGAATGAATGAAGAAAATATAGTACATATACAAAATGGAATACCATTCAGCCATAAAAAACAATGAGTTCCTGTCATCTGCTACAATGTGGATAGAACTGGAGGTCATTATGTTAAGTGAAACAAGCCAGGCGCAGAAAGACAAACTTCGGATGCTCTCACTTATTTGTGGGAGCTAAGGCTTAAAACAATTGAACTCATGGAGATAAACAGTATAAAGGTTAACAGGCTGAGAAGGGTAGTGAGGGTTTGGGAGGAAAGCGGGGCACACTAATAGGTACAAAAACATAGTTAGAAAGAATGAATAAGACCTAGCATTTGCTAGCACAACAGGGTGACTATAGTCAAAAATAATTTAATCGTACATTTAAAAATAACTAGAAGAGTATAATCAGATTGTTTGTAACACAAAGGATAACTGTGTGAAGTGATGCATATTCAATTTACCCTGATGTGATTATTATGCATGTATCAAAACATCTCATGTACTCCATAAATTTTCAAAAGAAGTATGTATAGCATAATGCTTAAAATAATATACTGTAATAGTCTACAACTTGGCAAGAAATTAAGCTTTCGTTTATTTTTGTCACAACAGGTATACTACATGCAGATTAAAATATATATATTTTATATATATATATATATATATATATAT
Source organism: Homo sapiens (assembly GCF_000001405.40). Taxonomy (NCBI): domain Eukaryota; kingdom Metazoa; phylum Chordata; class Mammalia; order Primates; family Hominidae; genus Homo; species Homo sapiens. The sequence continues at coordinate 70,641,030 of NC_000005.10, read as the reverse complement.
ATATATATATACCATTTATCTTTTAAGGGCATTTTTCATAACCTTGAAATATAAACAATAAAAATTATGAAGCAATAATTTATTTTTTTAAAAAAATCCACTTGCCAAACAAACAAGATACTCCTTCCAGGATGTCAGTAATATCAAGATAAAATGCCAGAGAATTTTAGCTGAGTATAGTAAATCAAACAGCTAATTTTTAACTTTGATGGAGGAGAAAATTAGATAAATTCTGAAAATTCATCCATCATTTTTAGAGCACTAACCTTATGTCGCTGCCAACAGAGTTGTAATGGGCTTTCTCGTTCATCTAGTTGGTTTTAGTTTTTTTCTGTTCCAGCAGACCTTCCTCGCTCTAGTCCTATAGGACCCTATCTGTCCCTATCTGTCCCTGTCTGTTCCTCCAAATCTCTCCTAGTCTTTGCTAGTCTCTACTTTTGTACCTCTTTAGGACACAGACCAGTACCTCTTCAGGGCACTGACCTTATATTGCTAGTCTTTATCTATTCCTATCTGTCTCTGTCTGTCCCTATGGTACCTGTTAGTTCCTGCAAGTCCCCGTCTTTCCCTACCTATCTCTACTTTTCTCTACTTACTTATCTCTACTTACTTTTCTGTACTTACCTCCACTTATCTCTGTTTATCCCTGCAGGCCTCTTCAGGTCCCTCCAGGTCCTTTCAGGTCTCTGTATGTCCCTGATAGTCTCTGAAATGTCCCTGTTCAGGCACCATTTGTAGTTGACTGTCACTGCTACTACATGAGACCATCACAAGTATGTTGAATTGAGCCTGGAACTCCTAGATGATAAACATTTTTTTATACCAACCTTCAACTTTTTCATTAAAATTAGATTGGGTAGATACTATAAATAGTGTCCCAAGCACTAGTGGAAAGATTCTACCATGTCTTACACTGGTTACTATGAGTTTGGAGTCAGAGGTATAAGGCTTGAAGAAAAAAGCACAATGAAATACAATTTTATCCACCAATCTGACATTTTTAAGTTTTAGGAAAATTGTGTCTTAATTCAAGCTGCTATAACAACAACAAAAACAACATACACTGACTGGTTTAAACAATAGAAATTTACTTCTCGGAGTTCTGGAGGCTGAGAGTCCAAGATAAAGGTGCCAGTCAATGGTTACAGGTAAAACCTCCATTCCTTGTCATGTCCTCATAAAGAGACAGAGAGAGAGACCAGACAGAGAGAGAGAGAGAGAGAGAAAGAGAGAGAGAGACTCATGACCTAATTATTTCCCAAAGGCCCTGTTTCCAAATATCATCTCAGTGGAATTAGGGTTTTAACATACAAATTTTGGGGGCGACGCAAGTATTTTTAGTCCATACCAAGTTAGATGCAACTTTACCAAAATTATTGTGGGTAATTTGACAAGGTAAGAGAGGTCAGTGAAACGCAAATTATATGATAACTTCTTGGTGCTCAGGCAGTATACCTGCCAGGTTGTCTCCTGGCTAGAGGAATGAAACAAGTAGTATTCAACAAGACTTTGGTAGTGAGTAAAACATGGCATATAAGTTGTTTTTTGTGGGAATGACATAGTCTAAATATTATTTTGATGACATACCTGTGTATTGACCTCTCTTGCATCAAAATGACATAAACATGGAGAAATAATTCTGAAAGTCAGCAGGAACTTGCAACTCACTTCTGGGAGGGGACCACTTAGGGGAACTATGATATTAGACTGTGGCAATGTCGACCTCCACACAGGAGGAAAGAGTAGTCACATACCCTAAATCTTGCGTAACGTGGTGTCTTAAAATTTCAATAAATCTACTGAGTTAAATTAACAGCAAAGCAGAAAAATTTGCCAAAGCTATTTATAGCTCCATTAAAATGGAAGACAAGTTAAGAAAATGTGTGTTCTAAATAATCATGTCAGAAGTTAGTGTTTCCTTCAAATATAATCATAGGCCTAAGAATTTTTATCCAAGATTGATGAAATTTTATTTTACGCAACAATAAATGGAACACAAAGGCTGCACATCATTTTTTTGTCTTCTGTACATATCACTAAAAAAAAAAAGCATCAAACTAAAACAATGAATATAATATTAAATAGGGATTTGTTAATTGCTAATATTTTTAATATAGAGAAAGAATAATGTTTAATGATTAATTACAAAATTGATGAACTAGAATAGTGAGAAATCAAGGAGAGCTGAAATTTATGGAACTTTATGATAAACTAATAAAGGACAATTTTATTCCTAGCATTTTAATTATTTGCTTTATCATTGCATTTTAAATGCAATTATCAAAAATAAAGGTTATAACTAAGAATTTCAAAAATTCTAATTATAGCAGAATTGGTAACAAAGAATTGAATACAGAGGGTGAATCTTATATTGCTTTATTATTATTAAAACTAAGGAAATATTTAGAATTTTGTGTACTAATTTAGCTACGAAGGAAAAGGAGGGCGTCATCATTTTAAAAATGTTTCCACATTGTCTACAGAAGCCTAGATTATTAAAAAAAAGAGTGGCCTCAGATAGATATCTGATTGGAATACACTACAAAATCTAGTAGTCAACTTGTTAAGATATCTGAAGATTCCATTTAAGACAGATTGTGAAAAAATATACTGGAAGAAATAGATTTTATTTAATATCCTTAAACATAAAACTTTGTTACCTTCTAAAACACTATATTTAGTTTTATTTCTATTTTATAATATTGTATATGATGTGCTTTCTTTTCCAGGTAAAACTAACAAAAGACAATAAAATGTTATTAACTTGAGTTATGGTTAAAGTAGAAGAGCTGTGGATATTACACTACATGAAAAAAAATTCTTCCACAGATATTATTTGTGTATGCATACATCGATAGAGATACACATAGATAGATACAGATACAGATAGATATCGATATAGATATAGACTTGGCTATAGAGACTGTGGGTTTTTTAATACAGCAAGAAAAGAGAAATATTTATTTACACTGGATCAACAAAGGAACTAGGCTATTAACTCAGATTGTAATAGTCTAAAATTTTTCCAAAAATTAGGAAAAATAAAATATTTATATGAATTTTACCTGGAAGTGTTTCAAAATAGTTTGCAAAGAGTGAGAATGAATTTCAACTTGTGAGTAAAGGGTAAAACTGAAATGAAAGTTAAAACAAATAGTTTCCCCCTTTCATTATTAGATCATGATTTATTGAAAACAATCTTGATTGTTAAATATTGATTAAAATTAATGAAGGTGCAGAGTTCCTAAGACCTTGTCATTTGAACGTTATGAATATCTTCACAATGAAAACATTATTCGTGTTATTTATGTGAGCTTATATGTACTTTTCCGCATAAATAATTTGTACTCTTAGTTAGAAACAAATGAACTATGGCTTTTGGTTTGGTTTTGTTTATTTATGAATAAACATTAAGAACTGTGCTTATGAAATTTTCAGGAAATATACTGAATGCTTTAATGTACTCTGTAACATTGCAACATATAATTTCCCCTCTTCCCTCACTTTTTGATGTAGCTATCATTGCTTTGAGTTTTTATTTACTGGTTATTTTAAAGAGCTTAATGGTCTCATTTACTTAAAAGTGGAATAATATTGGACTACTATTTTCTTTTTTTAACCTCTCTAGGTCATTCTACAGTCATTACCTTCCAGCCTATTTGTTTCTGCAGAATCTACGTATGTAATACCTATAAATTTTCTTTTCATATTTGTTCACTCATCCACATCATTAATAAAGTTATTAAGTGAAGACGAACCCAGCAGTAGCACTCCCTTACCACCTTGAAATATTGTGCTGATGTAGAGGTTGTATCTGATTTAATTCTTCAAGGATTATTAATGTATGTGGAACTAGCTTTTCAGCCATGGAAATCTTTAGTACGTATTTAAGAAAAAGTGATTTAATGCTCAGTAGGGAAATGTTGTCCAAAACAGTGCCTGAAAAAAGCAGGTATGTGTCCACATTGGGCACACTGCAGGTGGGGTATATTGTTGAGATAGGAAGGAAAAATAAAATGTGAGAAAAGGCAAGAGACAGAAAACAAAGTGCAGGTCGGGAAGAGACAACTTTAACTTCCACCATTTGTTAATCAATTCTGAAATATTTTCATTTTTACAGCCTAAAATTATGCATGTGTTGGCATTTTTTTAAATGGATGATATTACAGTTTTCATTCAAGCATTGGTATAGAGCCTAACCTTTTGTTATGGATGAGATGTTTAGATTGTTAATCTGGAAAATCTATTTTCCTGTTATTGAAGTCACATATATACATATATGTATATATACTTTTATATATGTGTCTATATATAGTAAAAATGTGTATATTTATTTTAAAAAGTATTTTGGTTCATGTTTTTGTTCTTAATGTCCTACTAAAATTACTTAATCATAAATCTTTCTACTAACAGTAAGGCAGAAACAGAGTAACAAGGGATTTTTTTTTTCTATTAAACTGAAGACAGAGAAGTTTGGTATTTATTTTTACCTAATATAGCAAACTTCAAAAAACAATCTATTTCAATAAAAATATTTTCCCCAGCTACAGAAATAAACAAGGGATAATATATAATCTAAAAATGTAATGGAAGAAAAGGCACAGCATTAAGAGATTGCCTTATTTTCCTTTCTAGCACATCTTGCTCTTAAAATATCCATTAGTCTATAAAGGGTGCTATTTACAAGGATCAGTTTCCCTGTATTTCTGGGTTGAATGATCCTCTACTTTTACTATCCTTTGCTAAACATGACAAAATAAGAAAATAAAAGATAAATATGAGATGAAGACCTCAAATGACATCAATTTCATTGCCTCTAAAAAGTTGTGATGATGAATGTTACCACTACTCAACTGAGTTTATGAAAAGGCAAATATACTTTTAAAAATGTAGGGGTGCTTATACAAAGACTTATGTGTTTACGTTTACTTTTTTTATAAGCTGATTTAATCAAAAGATTTAGTTAGTAATGTATTGACTCAAATACTTTATGCCTTCTATTTCACATTTTTTACAGGTTTATAAGTCTAGATACCTATGTCAATTAGTGAATTTTCTACCAAGAGTTCATGTTTTGTTGCTTAAAGGCAGATAATTTTTTTATTTAAATAATATTAAAAAGAGGAAAATATTTCAAAATAGCAAGATTGGGAGGTGTCTGGGAGATTTATATGTATTGCTTTTATTAACTATCTAGCACTGGATTTATAAACCAGCTTATTTTTTTAATTTAAAAGCTCTCTGCCTTGCAATTTAATTCACATGATCTGCATTAACCATGCCATATTCAAAATTTCATTGATAAATTCTATCCAGTAGTCAATATCGAATTGTAAACTGATGTAATGTGCTTTAAAATATGAAGATTTAATCTTTAAAATATGAATATTTGATTGAATAATTACTACCACTAAAATCATGTTTACTTATTAGAATTATCATATAGGAATTGTTTTATAATGTATATGTTAATTGAATGTGATTTCTTGATACTTAGGATATACGTTAAGTATACATAAACAAATTGGAAATAAAGTTCTGATATACTGTTCCATGAAAGTTTCAAATCTTTATATTAAAGATTACCATTTGAGTCAGAGGCAATGATAGGATTTTCTGTACTTTATCCACATGTTTATATATACACATATATATATGTTTTCATATAACCTTTCATAAGGATAGAAAAGAACTATGAATGTTTCTCCATCAGGCATCTTTCAAATACAACATAACAATAACTTCCTTAAGTATTTTATTTAGGCAAAAACTATAAAATGATGGAATGGAAAAAGAATTCTCAATGATCAAACCAAAGCAATTATATTTGATTCTGAATTTTAAAAGATTAGTCCATCAATTTATATTTAGAGGTTAGAAAACACATTCTGAGAGACAGAAAATTATATTACTTTTCTAACTTCCTGGAGAATATTGTGCTTTGTCAAATTTTACATTTATGAGAAGTTTTATATTAAAGCTATAAAATCTATCAGGGTAAGTTAATATGAGTATTTGAAAGTTTCACTGTTAAATTTATATTATCACATATTAAATGAAAGAACTGTTAACTGTGTACTGAATTCAAAAGTTAATATAGCTTCTCTCCTTTTTAAGAAATGGGACACAATATTAAAAAATTAAAGAGTTTTCAAATATTTATACTTAAATTTATATCTAAGGAATTATATATAGAATGCATACCTTTCAAGTAGATACTATTGTTGCTGTTAAGATTATTGTCAACAAAATTTAAATACACAGACTATTAAATAAAGAAATTAAAACAACAAAAAATAACCTCTAGGCCAGGTGTCCTGGTTAACCTGTAATCCCAGCACTTTAGAAGCTTGAGGCAAGAGGATTGCTTGAGACCAATAGTTTGAGACCAGCCTGAGCAGCAAACTGAGACTCTATGTGTATCAAAAAATGTTTTAAAAGTAGCCGGGTACTGAGGCAGGCACTTGTAATCCCAGCTACTTGGGAGGCTGAGGTGGGAGGTATGCTTGGGCCCAGGATTTTGAGGCTGCAGTGAGCTGTGATTGCACCACAGCCCTCCAGCCTGGGAGAGAGAGGAGACCTTGTTTCTAAAAACTAACTAAATAAACAATAATGTAAAAAATCTCTCTTTAGGTGTATGCTTCTCTTTGCCAGTGTTTAAGGGTTAAAAAAATCAATATGAGAGATTAACTAAAGTACCAATTTAGAGTTAAATGAGTGCATTTGCCACTTGAGTGCCGATTGCCTCGCATGACAGACAATATTAAGTGCTGATGACTTTAACTTTCACAAGTTTTATGCGATAGTGGGATAAATTTTTACTTAAAATGTGTTAAACTTCGGTTTAATTGCACTAATTAATGTCTCAATAGATATACTGTTGTATCTACCTCAAAATGCAAACACCAATGAAGTAATTCATCAGAAGACTTGATATGAATAAAGAATGGAACAGTAAAGTTGAAGATAAAAAACATAGAAATTGAATAACAAATACAAGTAAGAAACAAGAAGAGTGATAAATAGCAGAACATGGCATCCAAGAGCTGAAGGACAGCTCTGGATGCCTAACTTGAACGGATTCATGAAAGAGAACAAGGATGATAAATACTTAAAAACAAAATGAATGAGAATTTTCCAAAAGAAGTGAAGGCAATCAAATCGTAAATCCAAGAAACATTTCTAGAGATATAGGGGCTACGTAAACAAACTAAAAAAAAGGTAAAAAATTATATGAAGACAAACATAGTTGTGTTGTATGTATTATATAGTTAAATATACGTTATACACAGGCACGAAGAAAAGAAGTACAGGAAACCTGTCCTCAAGAACTATTTAACTGTATACTGGAAATTTTAACCAGTGTACTAAAGTAAGAAAAATAAACAAAAGGCATACAAATTGGATACGAAGAAATAAAACTCTATTTGATTCGTGGATGGTCTATGCACAGTATTCCATTATGTACAAAATAATTAAAATTATTAGCAGTGAAGCTGCTAGAAATAAATTGTGAGTACAAAATAATTAAAATTATTAAAAGTGAAGCTACTAGAAATAAATTGTGAGTTTTGTAATTTCACACTATGCACTATAACACTATAATGTTAATATACAGAATTATTTTTTATATATAATTGTTGCAGGAAAAACCCAGACCTGTGTAGAAGAACATCCTTCTGCCAAAGAGATAGTGCTGAAATAACAAAGAAGGACTCAGACAAGTCCAGCTTCACGAGAAGATGAGTTTATTAGGACTTACGTAAAGGGCAGCGGGATAACTCCAGAGATCCGCCTGCTGCCCACCATCTTCCTCTAAGCTGCTTTTAAGCTTCTTTTCTCTTCTCTTCTCTTCTCTTCTCTTCTCTTCTCTTCTCTTCTCTTCTCTTTTTTTCTTTTCTTTTCTTTTCTTTTCTTTTCTTTTCTTTTCTTTTCTTTTCTTTTCTTTTCTTGACGGAGTCTCGCTCTGTCGCCCAGGCTGCAGTGCAGTGGCGGGATCTCGGCTCACTGCAAGCTCCGCCTCCCAGGTTCACGCCATTCTCCTGCCTCAGCCTCCCGAGTAGCTGGGACTATAGGCGCCTTCCACCACGCCCGGCTAATCTTTTGTATTTTTAGTAGAGACGGGGTTTCACCACGTTAGCCAGGATGGTCTTGATTTCCTGACCTCGTGATCCGCCCGCCTTGGCCTCTCAAAGTGCTGGGATTACAGGCATGAGCCACCGCGCCCGGCCAAAGCTACTTTTCTGGCTCTTTGCTTACTACATGTGATGAAACTGTTCTTCTTGGTATGTACCTAGATATGCTCCCGGATGTTTTGGTTTTCAGCGACATCTGCTCCTCGGCTGAGCACCATGAACTTTGCTCACCATCTAGCCTTCAGGACTCAAGCAGTCAACATATGCCCTTAAATTCCCTGTTGGGGGACCCGCTACTTTACAACACTATTAATGAACAATTGGAAATTAGAATTTTTTAAAGTTACATTTAAAGTAGCACAAGAAACATTAAATTCTTAATCTAAAAAAACATGGAGAAAGGGTAACAAAAACTAAAAAAAACACTGGTAAAAGAAATCAAAGAAGAAGTAATTAAGTAAAGAGCTTGGTAGCCAATATTGACAATAAATTAAGTCTGTTCAAACCAATCAAAAAATTCAATACAAAAATTCAATCCAGTTAAAATTCCTAACAGGATATTTGCAACTAACAAACAAGCTCATTCTAAAACTTTCAACAGAGAAGCAAAGGAATTATAATGGAAAAATCATTTTGACAATAAAAAAATTGAAGAATCCACTGATTTATATGTATACTATATACATATATGTAATATACATATGTATATCTGTTGGTGACTTTAACCATATGATTCATAATTTCAAAAACTGGTGAATAGTCAAAAAGTTATATACTGTATCTATTTAATATCACGTTAGGAAGAAAAAGAAACAAATCTGATAACATAACAACATGAATGTGTCTCAGATTTATTATGCTATTTAAAAAGCCAGATTTAAAGGCCTATTCAGGATGCTGTTTGCTCCCTTGTGTATGACATTCTAGAAAATATAAAACCATAGGGACAAAGAACAGCGATTTCCAAAGACTGAGGGCAGCAGAAATACTGATTCAAAAGGCACAAAAGGGAATTTTTCTAGGTGATGGTACTGTTCTATATCTTGAGGATGGTATTTGTTATATAACCATCTATGTTTTCAACACACTGCATACTTAAAAAGATGACTTTTGGCATATATAAATTTTAATTCGATAAACCTGAGTTTTTAAAACAAAGATTTTCTGTAACCAGTAGACTCATAACACTGTCTTCCTGCCATTGACTAAGATGGTTTCGATAGTGCATTCCTCTTGTTCATGCCAGCCAATGTGTCTTTTGTTTAACCAAAACCCTTGAAATATCTTTGCCTCAGGCTTTTATTGCAATTTCCTGTAATTTAAAGACTTCACCCTCCTATTCACAGGAGTTAGTATCTTGAAATGGTAATAACTTGAAAACAGCTATGGTGGGAGGACTTACTCTTTGAAGTGTAACTTACATACATGCAGCATACACCATGTATCAAGACTTTCTTTTTTTCTGGTTTTTTTTTTTTTTTTTTTTTTTGAGATGGCGTCTCACTCTGTTGCCCAGTCTGGAGTGCAGTGGTGTGGTCTCAGCTCGCTGCAACCTCCACCTCCCTGGTTCAAGCGATTCTCCTGCCTCAGCCTCCTGAGTAGCTGTGACTACAGGCACCATGCCACCACGCTGGGCTAATTTGTGTATTTTTTATTAGAGACGGGGTTTCACAATATTGGCCGGGCTGGTCTCGAACTCCTGACCTTGTGATCCACCCGCCTTGGCCTCCCAAAGTGCTGGGATTACAGGCGTGAGCCACCGTGCCCAGCCGACTTTCTTTTCATTTGGATCACTAGTTTACCAACATCACTGCCTTTACCCAACTCTATTAACAATTATTTAACCTAGTTTATCAAGTCACTTGTCAAAATAGAGATTTATATTGTTTATATATGTAATATTTTACAAATCTGTATTTTTGTACTTCACTATCTAATTAAACCTTTGGGGTAACTTTTATGTGTATCCCAAATAGGACAGGACAGTCATTCATTTCTTATAATGTATCAGCTAATTTCAAGGAGACATCGGAATTTTTGTGGAGACATCGGAATCTGAAGAGCAAAGTGATTCAAATTGGGTCACAGATTAAATAATTTTTAAAATGTTTACTTTAAATATCTTAAAAAACTTTAAGGAGAAAATTAATTTTTCTATATTGTTCTTGGCCTTAAAATATACATTAAGCATTAGTTTTCTGGCTTTTGATGTTTTTCATAAAATTAGCTCAAAAAATGCAAAAAGCTTGTATGAATATATAAGGGCCTTTGTAATCATATTGTAATTGCTTGACATAGTTAATTTCTTGATTTCTGACTCTGGCATCTGAGTTTCATAATTGTTATGTAATTACTCTATTTTTTTAAATCATGTTTTTAAATGGAAGTTTCAGTCTCAGATCTTTTCTATTTCATGCAATAAATAATTTTTAGCAGTAAAGAATTATTTGGCAATAAATATTTTTTGAGACGTCATGCTCCAATGATATAATTTAGTCCACTTTCTGCTTGAAAATATGCAAAGAAGAAATCTCTTGTTGGTATTAATTTCAGAAGTCGTCTTTGCACACACAATGATGATCATTCTGTTTTCCTTAGATAATTCATGGTAGTGTAACCCAATAATATAATCTTAGATGTGTAACTTACATACATGCACGTGGCACATGAAGCATGTGGTGTACTGAGATGAAAATAAGCTTGTAAAAGTCATTGGTTACCTAACTGCGGCTTGGTACCTAGCACACCCTACCTGCAACGGTCCCAACAGTTACACTGGCTCTATTTGACTTAGATGATGTAGGGGTGGGTTCAAAATCCCTCTCTTTTTCCTAATTACATACGACTGAGCATCCCTTCCCTTGTCTCAATCTGGGATTTTGAGAGTTTATTATAAGATCCCCAGTGAAAATCCACCCAGGTGGTTCTTCCCTACCCTCTTTAAATGTTCACACCCTAGTGTGAACAAGCTAGAAGTGGATTCTTTGAGGCAGTGACAACAGACCATGTTCAACTTCTACACTCCTTGATGTTTGTGTATTGGAAGAAGGTGTGACAAGATGCCAGGCACCAGAATTTCAGGTTGGTCTTTATGGAATTCTTGAACTCTAGGGCTGCATCCCTCCCTATAATGAGGCAAAGTTGGGGAAGTAGAAAGTTCAATGCAGCCTATGATTTTTACCTCATGGTTTTCTATAACCTAATACATATCACATTAAATTATGTGTTAACTGGTGAGCATTCAAATTAATAGAGCATGCTGTACCAAAATATTGTCATTATTTTGGTTATTGTAAATTATATATGGCCATGATCAGTGCTATAGGGCAAGACTATATCATTTTTTACTTCTAGGCTAAAAGGATTATGTTCCTACACATGAATTATGTAACTTTTTAAAAAAAAATAGTGATATTTTTCTATTAGAAGTTAAAGCAATTAGTTCTTTACAACATTGGCTACGTACTCAAATCAACTGATTCCTGGGTTTCCCCTCAATCCAAGTAAATTAGGCAGAGAGCAAAACTAAGGAACAGTATTTTCAAAGCTGACCAGGATTGACAATGACTGGTATTCAAATAGCTGTGAATTTGTGCAAATGTAGCAGAAGACAGCAAAGGGTTCTGGATATGCCAATTATTATTTATTTATTTTTATTATACTTTAAGTTCTAGGGTACATGTGCACAATGTGCAGGTTTGTTACATATGTATACATGTGCCATGTTGGTGTGCTGCAGCCATTAACTCGTCATTTACATTAGGCACATCTCCTAATGCTATCCCTGCCCCCTCCTCCCACCCCACGACAGGCTCTGGTGTGTCGTGTTCCCCACCCTGTGTCCAGGTGTTCTCATTGTTCAATTTGCACCTATGAGTGAGGATATGCGGTGTTTGGTTTTCTGTCCTTGCGATAGTTTGCTCAGAATGATGGTTTCCAGCTTCTAGAACTGGAAAAACCATTTGACCCAGCCATCCCATTACTGGATATATACCCAAAGGATTATAAATCATGCTGCTATAAAGACACATGCACACATATGTTTATTGCGGCACTATTCACAATAGCAAAGACTTGGAACCAACCCAAATGTCCATCCATGATAGACTGGATTAAGAAAATGTGGCACATATACACCATGGGAATACTATGCAGACATAAAAATGTATGAGTTCATGTCCGCTGTAGGGACATGGATGAAGCTGGATATGCCAATTATTATTAAAATAATTTTTGGGTTAAGCTGATTTTTACTTTTCTGAAAGAAAGATCCAAACACAATGCCTATAATAAATCTTAGAAATTGTCTGTCTCCATTGGTGAGATTAGTCAGTATAAACACTAACATATATAAATAAAACTAAACAACAGTTACTCTTTTCCATAATGTTATGCTTTTGTGTTCAATGAAATATTTAATTTAATTACTAAATTTCTAGCATTTCTCTGAAGGATAAAACAAATAAGCAAACAAACAAAGTAACAAGAAAAACCCAAAATAACTTCAATGAATTAAAACTGTCTAGTGCTACCTTTCCTATAATTATTGTCACCAAATAAAGTGCCTATTGGACAGAGATGGCTGGTTCACTGCAATCTCCATTGACCCTTTCGCCATCAGTAAAAATGTCCTCTAATGCTTAGCCGGACACATGATCACCAGGAATAAATGCTATATTCCCAATCTTTTCTTAACATAGGGCATGACACATGTGACCAATTTCTGACCTATGTTGTGTAAGGGGAAGTAACGCGTGTAACTTCTGAGAAGCTGACTTACATGCAGGGGGCATGTCCTATCTCTGTGCTTTCTTCCTTCTTGGAAAGGCAGCTCTGATGGCTAGATCTGGGGCAGCCATGGGGCAACATGAGAAGCAGCAGTACTTGGAGGTGCAAAGCAACAAGATAATAGCCATCTGGATTTCTGATGATCATGAAGACATCATATCTGAACTGGGGTGTCTGCATATCCCTGAGAGGCAAAAAATGTCTATATTGTTTCCGTGAGTTCTTAGCCTACACTGCACATACGAGTTATCAGAGAACTTTCAAAATTTATCAAATGCCCAGTCCTATTAAGGTATCTGGAAACTTATTCTTGGCCTATAATTTTCCACTGGGTCAACTATAACCCAGGTTTATCTGTCTTCTATATCCAGAGACTGTACCCTGCTCCTATGCAGTCTTGCTCTCTCCATAGCTTCATATGTGCAGCAGAACTCACCCTCTGCCTTCCATAACCAGGAGTGGGGCGCTACCTTCCCTCACCTGACTCCTGTGCTGCAGAAACTTGCTAAGAAACACGGAGCATATGTTTCAGACTCAGAATAAAATTATTTTTACAGTCACCAAGTTTTAGAGATTCTGATTTAGTGTATCTGGGTGTGTCCAGGGTACCAGTGTGCTCCCTTCTCACTCAAATGAAAATTACTGGAACATGATGTTATTTGGTATTCAGTTACACAAAGCTGAGTGTAACTGATTGGTTAATAGTAAAAGTTTTGATTTCAGTAAAATAGTTGAATTATTCTAAACCATAACTTTGTAGCTACATGATTTGGGTGAGATGATTTTTTTTTTTTTTTTTTGAGAAGGACTCTCGCTCTGTCACCCAGACTAGAGGGCAGTGGTGTGATCTTGGCTCACTGCAACCTCCTCCTCATGGGTTCAAGTGATTCTCCTGCCTCAGCCCCCCGAGTAGCTGGGATTACAGGTGTGCACCACCATGCCGGACCGGTTTTGTACTTTAGTAGAGATGAGGTTTCACCATGTTGGCCAGGCTGGTCTCAAACTCCTGATCTCAGGCGATCCACCTGCTTTGGACCCCCAAAGTGCTGGGATTACATGAGTTAGCCACCACACCCTGCCTGAGATGATGTTTTTGAGCCACAGTATTCCCATCAGTAAACCGGACATACTAATTGTAATTTCAGGTATTTTTGTGACACATATATTGTTGAAATTATTATTATTAAATTACTGACTTTAATAATACATTCTTAAATTAGTTATTATTATAATAACATAATTAATATTGAAAGCAGTTTATAAACTTGCGTGGTGCTAGGGGGCACTACAATGTAAAGGAATTTATGTAATAAAAGTAAAGATGCAACGTTTGATTTTATTTTTCATGTTTTGTAATGCAAAAATTAACTGTCCTTTTATTTAAATTACAGCACATGCAAATTAACTTTTAGGTATATAATTATTCTGAATTATTTCAGAAAACTATTATGGTCTCATCACTGGATTAAAAAATGTAATAATATTCTCAGTTTAAAGAAAATGCACAGGTTTTAAATCCTCTGTGATAAGGGCCCATGAACTTGGAGCTGCTGATTTTTTTTTTTTTTAATTTGCAGGGTTTTTACATAACAAATTATCAGAAACCAAAGCACCCAGATATCAGACTATGAATAGAAAACATCTTTCCTGAACAAGTACAGGCTTTATTACTTAATTGTATTTACACTGATGAGTGCACACAAAGAAAAATCAATTTGTGGGAGTTTATTTCATTGGTATTGAAATTGTATCTTCCTTGAAAAACTTGGCACACAGTGCCTAGTTTGTCTCCCAGTTCATTATATTATTATTTTACTATATTCTGTGCTGTTATGTAGTTTTATATGGGCTCACTAGTTGAGTGTTCAAAATTGCTTTTCTGAACTATAGAATATTAACTTCCAGTATTTACCAAAAAAATGTTATTTATTAAAAAAATCACAATAAAAGGGCATAAAATAAATATAAATACTCAACATTTTCAAGGTTCTTGTGGAATCATTCTGAAAGCATTAAAAGGAGAGGCTGGAAATCTGCGTTTATAATATTGGTCATTTCCCTACCTACTTAATAGTAACATTAAAGCTTCCTCAGTATGCTTTCTGAAACAAGTAAAAATGTTCTTTTACCTTAACTTATACTGTGGAAAATCTCAAAGGAATGCTAGAAAACCATTCCAATGTACTCACCCAAACAACACAAAATACCCACACCTTCTCCAATTCAAACAATCATTTAATTAATCGAAAGAGCTGAGATGCACTCCCTCTCTACCTCATAAGGGCTTCCATCATGAACTTGATTGTGTCCTAAATTCAGTCCTCCAGGAGAAGCTCATCACCCTCCCCATGTCCTGAATGTCAGAATCCAAAGCTGGAAACTGCATCCTACTTAATCTTTATGTTTTTTGAAAAAGTTTATCTTTCTTCCCGGGAATAAAAACATCTATTCTCTGAGGCACATGTAAGCATTTATCCTTCAGTATAATGAACTTTTTTAGTCATATTGTTAATGACAAGCTTACATAAATTTTTTTCTGCTCCCACCTTCAAAGCTCCAAGCCCTGTATTCTTACAGGATGATATTCATAAACTATTCGACCTTAGCTTCCCTCCACTTAAGCCTTTCTTGCTCAGAATCACTCCTTTTATTAGTTATCTGTTGATGCTTAACATATTACCTCCAAAACTTAGTGGATTAAAACAACAAACATTCATTATGCCAACTTCTCTGGGTCAGGAACTATATCAGAATTAGTAAGGCCCTCTAGCTCAAGGACTCTCATAAGGCTGCCATCATTTAAAAGCCTTACTTAGGGAAGATTCACTTCTAAGATTAATCATGTGGCTGGGGGCAGTCCCCAGGTCCTTCCTTGCTGGCTGTGACTGGTGACACTGGCTCCGTGCTATGTGGACTTCTTAATAGGCAGCGCCCAACATAGAAGTCAGCTTCCCTTACAATGAAAGAGAGAGAGAGGATTCCCAAGACAGAAGCCACAGTCTTTGTGCAATCTAATGTTGGAAGTGATATCCATCACTTCTGCCACAGTCTATTTGATAGTGAAGTGAGATAAATTCAACTAGGACAACAGAGTAGAAGATTCCTCAAGGAGTTACCTCTACCAGGGGTACAAGTGACATGGAGCAATTTTAGAGGCTGCTTACCAAACCCATGAAATGTATAATGACAAAACATGATATTCCTCTTAAATGACTAAATAAGCACACCACTCTTTGATCAATCTCCTGTCTGTTCAGTGTGGCAACAATTCCCACTGCAGCTGTTCTCCTGCCTCACTAGGACTTTCAATCCACTGGTGCCTCAGCCTTTGCCTATAGCATTATGATCCTCCTGCGGTCAGTTACTCCCACAAGCAAACTAACAATGGCTCTTCTCAACACTGGCTTTATGTTAGAATTGCCTGAGGAGGTTCCAAAGATACATATGAGTGCCTTGGCCCCAATTGAGATTGGCTGACCCAGTGTCTCTGGGACCTGGCATTCTATTATGATACTAATATGCAGCAATAGTTGGGAATCGATATTGTAGATTCAATTACTGAATATTTTAAAATGTAATTGCCAGTAACATAAAACCAGAATTGACATACTGCTTCCCTTGGGCTAAATACAATCCATCACCTATTTTTTAAATAAATTCTTATTGGAACGCAGCCACATTTTCTTATTGTCCATGGTTGCTTTTGCAGAACATGGGAGAACTGAGTACTTCCTACAGAGACAATATGGCTCACAAAATAAAAATATTTACTATCTGGCCCTTTGCTTAAAAAAAATTAATGAGTTTTGACCTATCCCCTTTCACATCTTCATTTTTCTCTCTCTCTTTCTCCCTCTCTCTCTCTCTCCCTCGGTTGCTTTTGGTTTTGTCCTTTTTAGAAGCACATTGCAACCTCTTCTCTAGATGAACTCAACTATCTGATTTCTGCATATTTCTCAGTCCATGACTGCTGCTGAAGAATGCCATGCAAGAAAACAAACTGATAATATTTTAAGACAATGATCACCATTGGAAACCGGGTTTTCAATTGTGCCTGACATAACTTTTTCAATCTCTACAATCCTCTAATTTCTGACACTCTCTTCTCCCTTCTCACTTCTCTCTCTCTGCAGATGACTTTGCTACTGCAACACAGAGAAAATATAAGTCTTTATACTCATAGTCTTTCAACTACCTGGCACTAAATCAATATACCTGTCTCCATTTGCAACTATTATCTTTCTCCCTGATCCTGTCAAGATGATCTTACTCTTTGTTGTAGGCTACTTTCCTCCTCTGACTTCAGAATTAGTTCTCACCTGACATTAAGAGGAAATTTACATTGTTACCAATTTCTCTACTGAAAATCCAACTTTTTATTTCCACGTAGATGCTTCCCATCGTGGTTTCCATGGACTTTATTGTCTCAATGATTGTCATTTTAGATCTATAACTCTTTTTCTGAGCTTTGGGTCTATATAAGCCAAATTTCTGCTCAACGGAGCAACCATATCCCCACTTTAATTGGACAAGTCTCTCCAGAAAATAAATCTCCTATTTCCTGTTGTGTTAAATGAAGAATAATTACTAAGGTATTCAGTAATGATAAAGAATCTGGGAATTTAACTGTTCTTGATATGAAATTTCAAACTACACACTTTTTTTTTTTGGGAAGCCAAACCCACCTCCAGCATTTTATTCCCACACATGATAAGCTTGTCCAAGGTGTGTGTGGTTTGGATGACTTTATATTTTGTTAGCTTTCCTCTTCCCTCTACATATGGACACTATGTTTTGTCAAAAGGAAACGTGTACACTGGTTGCTTGTTAAAAATAGCAAGGAAGACTATTCAGGACTATAGCAATGGGGGAATAATATAGCTATAGTAGAGAGAGATTGAACTAAAATTTCTCCCAGCATGGAGCTGGAAATTTATAAGCAAAGAGCTGAGGGAGTGAGTCAGTGGATAGAAACTAATTAGATATTAAGGGTGGCGGGGGGTGGGGTGGCGGGGAGCGGGGTTCTTGCTAAACTGCATTATTGCTAAAGGCATGCCAAAGTGATAAGATATCCAGGGCGAAGTGATTCTCAGTGAACTGGCTTAGCAGGCGTCTTTGTTAAACTGGGCCTGAGAAGAGGGACTGGAGAAGAATGATTAAACTTTGGTCAAGATGGGAATCTGTCAGTTTTGGCCTTCTCTAATCTATGTGGTTACGCTGCTCGAGAGCTTGCTAAGATGTATTCAAGAAGGCTAGTGTATTAGCTTGTTCTCACACTGCTGCTATAAAGAAACACTTGAGATGGGGTAATTTATAAAGCAAAGAAGTTTAATTGGCTCGCAGTTCTGCAGGCTGAACAGGAAGCATAGCAGCATCTGCTTCTGGGGAGGCTAAAGGGAGATTTTACTCATGGCAGAAGGCAAAGTGGAAGCACGAATCTTGCGAGGCAGAAGCAGGACTGAGAGGAAGAGAAAAGGTGCCACACACTTTCACCAACCATATCTCATGAGGATGCTATCATGATACAGCATCAAAGGGGGAAATCTGCCCCCATGATCCAGTCACCTCCCACAAGACCCCACCTCCAACACTGGGGATTACAATTCGGCATGAGATTTGGTAAGGGACACAGATCCAAATCATATCAGCTAGTAATAAAGTGTATTAAGATTTAGGAGTTGATATGGTTTGGCTGTGTCCCCACTCAAAATCTCATGGTGAATTGTAAACCCCATAATCCCCACATGTCAAGGGAGAGACCAGGTGGAGGTAATTGAATCATGGAGGTGGTTTCTCCCAAGCTGTTCTCATGACAGTGAGTGAGTTCTCTCGAGATCTAATGGTTTTACAACTGTTCGGCAAGTTCCTCCTCCCATCCTTCTTTTTCCTGCCATTTTGTGAAGAAAGTGCCTGCCTCCCTTTCACCTTCCACTACGATTGTAAGTTTCCTGAGGCCTCCCCAGTCATAGGGAACTGTGAGTCAATTAAACCTCTTTCTTTTATAAATTACTCAGTCTCAGGTATTTTCATATAGGAATGTGAGAAAGGACTAATACAGGAATCTTCAAGGACATCCCATCCAAATTAAAAGTTGTGTATCACTTGCTTCTTTGACCTCATCTACTGTATTAATTACATTTATATGTATATACACACACACACACACACACACACATATGCAAACATATATATATATCAGCTTTACTAAATGGTCTCTATATTCTCAGTTTTATTGTTTCATTAGGAAAAGAAATTGGCTGGGATATTGGTAACAGTATATTTCTGCTTATGCTGTAATACCCAAGTTGAAACATTTGATAGAAATTGATTGATGCTTGTTACCTGATGTTTTAAAATAAGGGCTAAATAGTTATATATCTCAATATTATCGTTATCCTGGATGTGACAGGGTACAGATGTGACAATGCATGTTTTTATAGTGTGTTCTACTGGTGATTCAAATAACTAAGGTATTGCCATTGGCAACATAATTTTTGTAAATATTGAAAGACTCTGGGAAGTTTCTACAATAAAAAGACTTTTTCTCTTCAATTTCCGTAGTGGTTGCATTCTGAAAAATTTAGTTTGTATTAAGCCATTCAAAGTATTTACATGTAAAATATTCATTTCTTGACTAAATAATTACAGATGATCACTTACGTGGCTATCCATTGGGGCATTTGATGGGAATATTTTTTACAATGTAGGATCGCAGGATATCTAGTATTGTTTGTCCTCACATTGGAAATACAATTA
This sequence comes from Homo sapiens, assembly GCF_000001405.40. Lineage (NCBI taxonomy): Eukaryota > Metazoa > Chordata > Mammalia > Primates > Hominidae > Homo > Homo sapiens. Next base: position 70,621,351 of record NC_000005.10, on the reverse strand, counting down.
CTGCCTTCTGATCGTTTTGACAATGGAGACACTCAAGCATTTCTAAACAGAAAAAGCTGGTACAAGCACACTTGAAGCACAATACATCTGAAAGGCACATGAAGAGTTCAATAAAATGTTTAACAACTGAAAAGACTGCAGAAATAAATTTAAGTATTCTGTCTATACTAAAATCCAAATGTAAATTATATTAGAGTTGCAGCTATTTAATACGCTATTTCAGCATTCACATGCTATTTTCTTTTTCTATTCAGATGTTTTTTCCACTGCCAGACACTTTCTAACAAGTCCTTCAAACCCTCTTTATAATAACTTATGAAAATATTTGTTACATTATGCTCAATGATTTCCTCAATTAAAATGATATATAAAATAAGAACAAGTGAGAGGAAAAAAACATAGTTTGTGCATCTGTTTTGTGATAAATATAGTAGTTAGATCTATTTTATATAAGTTTTCTCATTAAACCCACATCAAACTTTTTCTCCTGTATTTTTTAAATGGAAAATGTGAGGTTGATAGGAGTTAATTAACTCTACTAATAGCTGACGGAAATGAAACTATCATTACTGAGAACTATGGTTGGTTTTTACAATTATTTCATTTTTTGTTGGTTTGTTTTTGTTTTTGTTTTTTGAGATGGAGTTTCGTTCTTGTTGCCCAAGCTGGAGTGCAATGGCGTGATCTCAGCTCACTGCAACCTCTGCCTCTTGGATTCCAGTGATTCTCCTGCCTCAGCCTCCTGAGTAGCTGGGATTACAGGCACGTGCCACCACGCCCAGCTAATTTTGTATTTTTGGTAGAAATGGGGTTTCTCCATGTTTGTCAGGCTGGTCTCGAACTCCCAACCTCAGGTGATCCACCCACCTCCGCCTCCTAACGTGCTGGGATTACGGGTATGAACCAGCATGCCCGGCCAATCTATATCTTTTAAGTGTGAAATGCTTTCAGAAAAATATTTCAACCAAAAGGGAGAAATGTGGAAGTTGTGAGCACCAAAATGGAGTCACTTACATCAAACCATAAAAAAATGAAGCTGGGAGGCCATGAAAGAGGGGCCTTCATGTACATATGTCTATAATAAGAACTGCTGCAATGGTTCTCTCAAAAACCACGAAAATGTTAGATATGATAATTCTATGAAGACATCTCTCCAGCAACAGCCAATATTATCAATGAGTATTTGCCAACTCTTGTAACAAGCTTCTCTGGCCCATGAGGTTTATTACAAAACTTACATAAAATTTCTCTTTTAAGATTTTTGCCTTCCTGATATGGTTTAGATTTGTGTCCCCACCCAAATCTCATGTCGAATTGTAATCCCCAATGTTGGAGGAGGGGCTTGGTGAGAGGCGATTGGATCATGGGGGTGGATTTCCTCCTTGCTGTTCTTGTGATAGTGAGTTCTCATGAGACCTGCTTGTTGAAAAGTGTGTGGTATTTCCCCTTTGCCCTCTTCCCCCTGCTTCGGCCATGTAAGACGTGCCTCCTTCCTTTTTGCCTTCTGCCATCATTGTAAGTTTCCTGAGGCCTCCTCCAATCATGTTTCCTGTACAGCCTATGAAATCATGAGTCAATTAAACCTCTTTTCTTTATAAATTACCAAGTCTCAGGTAGTTCTTTGTGCTAGAACAAACTAATACAGTCCCTCAGCTTCTTTGGTGCCTAAGGTCCACCATAGCATGTGTATTTCAAATTGCAATTTACTGCTATTTCCTGAATACACTCCACTCTTTATTTTAGAGAGTCAGTATCTCTGTTGTTTAAGTTGACATAATCTAATGTCAGAAGCAAGATGCAAAGGCTCCAAGCCTTCTTTGTTACTTACAGTTACAGCACTGTTATCCAAACAGTAACAAAGAAAGCCTTTGGAAGGCTTTCAAGTATCTGGCGATACTTGAAATTGTGTATGATACTCACCTGAGCCTATTGTGATCTTCACTTGTACAAGTTGTCTTTATGCTGCGAGATAAGTCCTCTCTTGGTTTGAGCTCCCACCTTTTCAGTGAACTCTTACATTTTGGGGGATCTGCTCTTGTAAAGGACATCCTTTCTGGTGAGTATTCTTTTGGTTTAATTTTTGGTTTGGTTATTTGTGCATGAATTTAATCTCATTAGGAAACAAGTTAAGTTGAATAGACCAACTAGTGAATTAATCCGTCTCCAAAATATATGTTTTTGGCATTTACCTGTTTATTTTGAAACTCTTTGTAAGAAATGTAAACCTGTAATGATAATCTCTGCTTTGTAAGGATATCTCCCTCTCTGACACCTAAAACACTAGATGCTTTCACAAAGCAAAAGGAAGAGACCTAAATCTATCTATCTGTGTAAACTCACCCTTGACCATTTCATTCTGAAGGCTTCCTATATATGCTTTTTTTCATCTCAACAAATAGTGGTGTTTAAGTTCTGTACCTTTGAGATTTAAATTTTCTACATTCCTTCACCTAAAAATCATCTCTTTGGAAGTACAAATTTTGGGTGGCCTAACTAACACTTGTTTATGGGCCAATTGAACAGATCATTAAAAGACAGATAGTCTGAAAGAGGGAGTAAAACTACTTGCAAGCCAGGCAAATAACAATTCTTAATGCAAGTTGTAAGTTCTTCCTCTGTCTGTATTTTTCTACGTGTGTGTGTGTGTGTGTGCGTATGTACAATTTTTTCTACCAAAATTCATAAACGGCTCTACTTAATTGGCTTACAGAGAAAACATAAGTGTTTAAACTAAGAATTCTCTCAGAAAAACAGAAACTCAATTGCCTTTTGGCTTATGTGATGAAATAATCTTTGGCAGACAAAGCTAGTTTTAAAATTTGTTGGCAAAATAAAAACAAATATTTTCAGAATTGTCAGCATTAATTACAATGTACAGATACAGTTTTTAAACCTAAAGTTACTGGTGAAACAAGCTTGCTATTACTGAGATGTATAATGAATGTCTTAAAGCTATAAATCCACTCATCGTTGTGTTTAAGGAGGAACTGAAGCACAATTGTTAAGAACAAGTGAATTAGGTGAATATACATTGACAAAAGGTTGATAATAAAGTTGTCAGAATTTCAAAAATAATTTAGTGTGACTTGAAATCTTAAAATCATGTTATATTAAATTAAGTAACACTTTACTGATTTAATATTTGAGTCATTTCTAAGGAAAATACTGAAATATCAATTGCTTAACAGAAGTTTAAAATATACATAATTTGGCATCTTGGTTTCACATGTTATGGAAAAGCTAAACATATTTGGGCCTGTTAATTAAAGGCATAAAAATTATTTTATGAGATGGTGTTCATCTGCAAAATACTAACATGATGCACTTCAAAATGCTTACTAATTTTCACTAGAAATTAAGGTTACTAAGAGTTAATTAAAATTAATATTAGAGTAATTTAAACTAGAAATAATGAAGGGAAACAAATCTGTACGCGAGGGAAGGAAAACACATAAAGAAAGTTATAAGTAAGAGGTTGTGTTTTTGTTAAGGGAAAAAGAGAGTATTTTTTGTCTAAAAGTAGAATGTCTTACTGTTCCAAAAAGAAAAAGAGAAAAAATATAGACAAAAACTGAATAAGATAACTGGATGACAAATTTATAGAAAGTTTGTGGAAGATTAATCTTGTGAAAAGAATTTTATGTGTGACCAAGTTGGCTAAAGTTAAAAGGAAATTATTTATAAATATTCTGAAAACTTGAGCATTATTATCAAAAGTACAGGAATGGAAAACTTGAAATTTGTCCCCTGTGCTGAAACAACAAGCTTTTCTTTGAGTATTGACCTGCTCTTAATAGAAAATAGTGAAATGTTTTCTCTACCTTTTAGATAACTGGCCTAATAAACCAAGATTTTTTGTTTATCAAGGTAATTTCTTATGCTTTATGCTCTCTTTTACTAGGTCTTTGATTACTTGAGAAAAGTGAGTGAGGTGGGGCCAAGATGGTTGACTAGAAGCAGCTAGTGTGTGCCACTCTCACAAATAGCAGAAAGAGTGGTGAGACACTAGCTCTTCAACCGGAACATCCAGGTGGACACATAAGGATTCATCAGTGACATAGTGTGACCTTCGGATCACGGAGAAGAGTGAGACAGATCAACCATTCACCCAGGAGTGGCACAGACCCAGGGGAATCCCCCTACAAGAAAATGGTGAGTGAGTGAGAGTCCCGTGGGATGCATATTTCTGCCACGAACCTTTGAATCCCTGGGCTCAGGAGATACCCCAGCTGGGGTCTCCAGACCAAAACAGAGAGCCATGTGGAGTCTGGGTAGAGCTGCTTCTTAGGTAGGTGTGGAGTCCCAGTAGCATTTGTTCCCTGGGTACCCCAAAACCAGGGGCTGCAGCTCCAGCAATTGGGAAGGCCAAGTTTTCTTGCACGCTCCCCAGAAAAGGGGCCAAGTCCATGGGGCTGAGCAGTGATAGACTGCAGACCTCACCACCACTGAACCTTGTAGGATAAGGCCCACTAGCCTGGGATGCTAGTGAGGCCACCCTAGTCCTCCTGAGTTCTCCAGCTGGGAGCAGCTCTACACTTCTCCGGCATGCAGCTTCCAAAGAGAGAGGCAGTCCACCTTTTTGCTGTCTCGCAACCCTCCCTCCTGCTGCTCTCAGGCTTGGGAGGGTGCACAGCAATTAGGGACTATCACAGAACCCCAGCACAGTGCATCTGGTGAACTTAAAAAAATCAACAAGTGAAAAACAAACAATCCCATTTAAACGTACACAAAGTACATGAACGGACACTTTCAAAGGAGGGCATACATGTGGCCAGAAAGCATATGACAAAATGCTCAACATCACTAATCATTAGAGAAATGCAAATCAAAACCACAATGAGATACCATCTCACACCAATGAGAATGGCTATTATTAAAAACTCAAAAAATAAGAGATGCTAGTGAGGTTGTGGAGAAAAGGGAATGATTATACAGTGATGGTGGGAATGTAAGGTAGTTCAGCCATTGTGGAAAGCAGTGTGGCCATTTCTCAAAGAACTCAAAGCAGAAGTGCCATTCAACTCATCAATCCTACTGTTGAGTATATACCAAAAGAAATACAAATCATTCTACCATAAAGACACATGCACGTGTATGTTCATTGCAGCACTTTTCACAATAGCAAAGACATGGAATCAACCTAAATGCCCATCAGTGGTAGACTGGATGAAGAAATGTGGTAGATATACAACATGGAATACTATGCAGCCATAAAAAGAATGAGATCATCTCTTTTCCAGCAACATGAGTGGAGCTGGAGGCCATTATCCTAGAAAACCCAATACCATATGTTCTCACTTATAAGGGGAGCTAAACATTGAGTACATATGGACACAAATGGAACAACAGACACTGGGCCTACTTTAGAGTGGAGGGAGGAAGGAGGATGAAAATTTAAAAATTACCTACTGGGTACTATGCTTATTATCTGGGTTATGAAATAATCTATACACCAAACCCCGTGACACACAATTTACCTATATAAATGCGTAAGTAACCCACATGTGTACCCCTGAACCTAAAATAAAAGTTAAAAAAAGAGAAAAGTAAATGTTCTCAGTATTAAAAAGCTATGTTTTTGTTGACAATTATGTAAATTTCTACATTTATTTTTTGAAATCTTTTAATTTTCATTTTGGTTACCTGTTATCGTACTCTGATAAAGTGTTTTAAACTGTTTGATGTTTTTGACAAACTTCCCAAAATAATATTTTAAATTAACTCTTTTTGCCCTCAAGTTAATTTTGATATTTCTCATTTGGACCCCTGGAAAGATCAAAGAATGTGTATCTCACATTGTAAAGAGATATATTAAACTAATGAGACTTACTTGATATATTAAATTATATAGGGAGTATTGTCAAATACTAAGTGGTGCTAAACCTTCTTTAAGTTGTATTTCAGAATGTTATTGATATGTGTTACAAAATTATATTGAATTCTTCAAAATCTGACATGTTATCGGTCATAATCTTGGTTATTATCTTCAAGTTTTGTATGCCACAGAAATAAACAAATTTCTTTGTCAATTACATTATTAGTATAATAAACTCCATGAGATTTTTAACCATGGCCACTCTAAGTCTGTCATCCACAGGGACCGACTGCTTTCATTCTTTTGTAAAAGCATTTGCCATCAGCTACAATAAAAAATTGCTTCTTCTCTGAAACTGATGATCCATTAAGGTTTAACCCATATACTCCTCTATATACCTCTACAGCCTCCCCAAATCAAGTTGATATATTCCCCTAGCAGTCTGTGCAATGGAGACCAACACTACATTCTTTTAGATTGTTTTAAATTACATTTTTGAACTTCCAGTTTATTACATACCAAGAGTTGATTACAACCTCCTTGTTTCATAAGTGGAAGCTATGTTAGGGTTGGATGTGGGTGCCATAATTTCTTCAAGGATCCCGGACAGAGACCCACATCAGGATCAGAAACCCTACGATAGCATTGCAGATCTCATGGCTCAATAATCCTTGAAGATTATAATTTTCATCCTACTATCAGTTGCACTTTCTGTCACTTTTACTGCATTAAGTCTCCCGGTATCAAACAGAGCTCTGTGGTGTCACTGACTGAGGAATGGAATAGAGATGTCCACAAGGGGTCTTGATATCATGACTGCACAGAGATGTGAAAGGAGAGACCACTTCCTCACCACCCAGCTACTTCACTTCTCTCCCGGTATCAGCCCTATAGTCGGACCTAGGCTTTCAGAAGTGTAAGTGTGCAAACAAGTTTCGGTTGGACTTTAAGAGGACACTTTGTCATAGAAGAAAATCCAGTATCTCTAAGCTGGTTTTCTTTTCAGGAAAACATCCTGAGGGACCAGTAAGCAGGGAGATCCTTTTTCTAGTTTGCCTGTAGAGTTAGGAAGACAGTTGATTTTTCAGTCTTTTACAGGATGCTTAAACAAAGCTGTGTAATTACATAAGGTGGATCTTTATCTTGCCTAAGAAGATAAAGTGGGAATCTTCACTCCGCCAGGGCAAATTTCCAAGGAGCTCATTTATTCCATGTCTTTCAAACTTTCATGAGATACATTTCTCTTTCACATTGTTGCTGATTTCCAAATAGCTGTCAGCTAGTTTTTTCCTCCCCCTTTCCTATTCTTCACTATTTTGATAGCAAAGCTCATAGAATTAGAGGACTTAGAAGATGCTTTGTAAACATTGCCACAAAGGAACTGCTGAAATGATTCACAGGAAGACTGGTCAGTTGGGAGAAAGATCCTAAAGATGTTACACTGGTTTTCAACAACATGCTTAGAGAATTCTTGAAGCAGATAGGTGTCAACCCAGTGAAAACAACATTTTGATTTATTTTTTTTTTAAGTTTATGGTGATTGTGTCGGTTTCTAAAATAAGCAAATATTCAAGTCAAGAGATGTTTTGTTTTTTCTTCTGCCAAGAATGGGGTTAGGGGAGCAAAGACACAATTTGGGAAAGGACATATGTGCTATTATAGGGATCACCTTTAAGTTTCTGGGAAGGAATGGGCACGGGTGAGTAGGTTGGCTCAACATTGTCCTGCACTGCTTATTAGGACCTGAGACATGCAAGGGAAATGTGGGTGACATCAGGGCACCCAGGGCACAGCCCCACTAACTGCTGTGCTGAGTTTCTGTAGCCTGCCACGTTTCCCTTGGTGAAGTAAATGAAGATCAAGGAGTCATTTTATGATGTCCTGGTGCTGAGAATAATAAATGTCTTGTTACAAACAGATGTAACAATGGTTTTTTTCTGGATTATTATCAGGGTGGTCAGCTCTGGGTTAAGCACCCACATCCAATTTGTACAATAATATTGATACATAGGGCTACGCTTATTACTGCTCAAGCATTCTGTTTTAATAATTGTGTTTTACTTCTAAAGGTTAAATAAAAGCAAAAAATGGGGCTAAACTATCAAACTGTTCCCCTATTTGTTTTCTCCAGTGTACAACATATATATGTATATATTTTATTTTATTGAAGATGCAGTAGGATACCTGCCATTTAAGAAAATAAATAGAAAATTTAAAATCCCAACAAATGAGAAAAAGAAATTCAGTACCCAAGAATAGGGCTGGTCCAGCACCACCCCGAAGTAGGCTGTGGTTTATGGACTGAAGAGCCTTGCTCCCTTTACATTCGCTCATGCTCCCACACAAGGCTAGCAGTAGAAATGCTTGAATTCTGCTTGGCTTGCCAAGGGGACTCAGGAGTCAACCAAGGGAACTATTTGGCTCCACGAGGAATGGACACCTCAGGATGCTTCCTGAACAGGGCCTAGTCAGGAAGTAGCCTGGATGTGCATAGTCATGGTCACCTTATGAAAATGTGTGGCAGGTGGCTCTCAGGAAAAACACCAAGCCTGGATCATCTGTGTGGCAGCTTTGCCTGGGGAGGTAACAGCTCCAAATTGAAACTGAACTGCATCCTACATGCTTTACCAAAGCAGTGATGAGAGTGATCAGTGCATGTGGTGTGAGTGGTAGGTTTAAAAAAAAGGGAATGTTTTACGCTCAGTGTTTCCTCTGTCTTTGGGCTACTCAATCTGGACAATAGGTAACCATTCTTTTCAAGGAATCAACCCAACTTTGCTGGCTTGGTTTGTGGTTTGTTTCATCCCTAGCTATGAGCATGCTTTGGTCTATAAACGTGGCTTGTCTCATAATACATTCCCTTTCTGTAATTTTTTAAATTTTTTATTTCCATAGGTTTTTGGAGAACATGAGGTATTTGGTTACATGAGTAAGTTCTTTAGTGGTGATTTGTGAGATTTTGGTGCACACATCACCCGAGCAGTATACACTGAACTCAATTTGTAGTCTTTTACCCCTCATGCCTTTCCCACTCTTTCCCTTGAGTCCCCAAAGTCCACTGTATCATTCTTATGCCTTTGCATCTGCATAGCTTAGCTCCCACTTAAGAGTGAGAACATGCAATGTTTGGTTTTCCATTCCTGAGATACTTCACTTAGAATAATAGTCTCCAATCCCATCCAGGTTATTATGAATGCCATTAATTCATTCCTTTTTATGGCTGAATAGTATTCCATTACATATATGTATTTATGCATATATATATATATACATATGCATATATATATACATATACACACACACACACACACACACACACACACACACACATAAATATATACCACAGTTTATTCACTCATTGATTCACGGGCATTTAGGCTGGTTCCACATTTTTGCAATTGCTAATTGTGCTGTTATAAACGTGCATGTGCAAGTATCTTTTTTGTGTAATGACTTCTTTTCCTCTGGGTAGATAACCAGTAAGATTGCTGGATCAAATGGTAGTTCTACTTTTATGAATTGTCCTTGTTTTTCTTTAAAAGTTAATACTTTTGATCACTATAGTTTGTTAGTGTTGGATTGTTTCCACTTTGAAATTTCTAAACTTTTTCCCTTCATAATGTTAAAACAAGTTATGTTAGATGCCCTTTCAACATGAAAGGTCTGTAGTTAAGATATTACATATATTTTATTGTTTATAATAAAAATCTAGACATAAGAAGTGCCAAGTGTTAATTATAATATTTTGCACAGTATCTTTTTTCCCATGATGTGTTAATATCTACAATTTCATTAAATGTTGATGTTATTCTCTACTGAGATTCAGAAGCCTAGGGAGCTATGTGTTCATTTTGGTTATTTTTGTTGTTATTTCCCTGAAGCAAAAGACTACATGGCCTTCAGTGCAACAACCTCAGTCCAATTCTGAAGTTTATTATACTTGCTTGCCTCTTGGCTATTTAACTTCTGAGTGCAAATCATTGAACTCCCTAATGAAGTATTGTAGAGAATAAATTAAAATGAATAAAGAAAAATACTTCCTCTTCAAGGAGGTTCATGAAAAGGACTCTAACAAGTATGCTGGAATTTAGATTTCTTATGAGTTTAAGATTATACCACTGGACTGGGAAAGAATTTCCAGGACTCTAATGAAGAAACGATGGCTTCTTAAAACATCTAACCCAGATCAAGTAGAATAAGTTTAATGAATGGGACTAAACAAACTGATGGCAATATTTTCGAGTGACTTTTTGTTTAACATTTTGCTGTTTTTTTTAAATTTTTTGTTTTCCAGATTTGAGAAAACTTTTAAAAAGCTATCTATAGCATACAGCAATTTGGTAAAGTATACTTTTATAAATAAAAATGGAAATATTTATTTTTTCTTCCTACCTGCGGCTGCAGTCTTCAGAGAGCTCTTATTGATATTTTTATTTTATGGCAACATAGTTATTTGCATTAATTCAATAAAAATCTATTCTCTTTGTAACAGGATAGAATTACAAACATTGGTTATATTATAAATGGTTTGACTTGAATGTGATATTTGAGACTATGCACAGGATGCCTAGCTTCAAGGATTCCCAAGCTCACAGTGAGTGAATAAACATTTTTACCTCTTGACAGGCCAGGAACCTCCAGATATATTGGAGACCTCAAGAAGAGAGAAATTCATGCAGATTTTTAGATACTGCAGCCAAAGTCTGATGTTCGCCCTCCTTTGACTTCTGACCCTTGAAAGGCTTTTAAAAGTCTAATCTGAGATTTCTTATCAAAAGTTCCATCAAAATAAACTTAAAAACAGCCCATGTTTCATCCCTTTTCTTGCTATACTGTTGTCAATAATCATGCCAAGTTTAATGAGACTAAACTTATTCAGCAGACAAATTAGTCTTACTCTGATTATCTTTAGTAGAAATAGGGATGATTGTACAGAGAAAAATTATGTTTCTGAAGAAAAACTGCAGTACACCTGTTAGTAGATTGTAGTTTTCTTTGTTGTTTTCAAGTTTTTGTCATCTATCTCTAAATTAGACAGGGCACTTAATTATTCTAATTTCCTCCAACGTCTGGCTATGATTCTCCAACTAAGAACATAAACTGCCTTGTTCCTAAAGTCCTACAAGTTGGAGCCAGAAAACTCCATGTAAATTTCAAGAGAGAAATCTCATGGCTATTGTGTGGGCTACAAAGAGAATTGACTAAAATGCCCCATGCTATACCCAGGAACATTCAAACTACAAACCAGAGTAAGAAGTTGATGACATCACAGTGTGGAAAGCTTTTCCCAAGACATTGTAACAAAACTGGACTCTTATCCTTCTTATTTTTTTTTTTTCTTGCTTATGCCTACATTTTTCACTTGGCAGAATAACGCTGTGGTTAGAATTTCACATTCAGTAGCCTCCGTAACTGAATGAAGTTTTGGATCTGTCGTGTCAAACCCACATCTTTACATGACCTAAGGGATCCTTTAGTCCACCCAGTGGGTAACTATGGCAACATCCCTAATTTATTTGCCACCTTGGGTTTCGTTGCAGGCTTCACCGCAAAGGCTATTGCCGCCCAGCAGTGCTCATTAAAGTATCTTGCTGAGTAGCCGTAGATAACACAACAGGACAGGATGAGATAACTCTCAATTATCTACTGGTTGAACAAGAATGTCTGTGCCATTGCTAATAACTACATGCTGTACCTGAATATATTTCTCTGGGGAAGTCAAGACCTAATTGCATAAAATAGCAAGACAGGCTTTATGGCTACAACAGATCTCACTCAGTCTCACATAGACTTTTGATTCATTAGTTGGCTGCCTTTGGGTCCATGTTCATAGACAATATTTCATGTTACTATTAATTTTGTACCGCATCATTCTTTTTAAACTTTTTATCTGTTTCCTGTCCAACCTCTGCAGAAATGATGCATCTAACAGAGTAACACTGGTCCAGAACTTCCAAATGGTAGTCAATGCCTATGGAACTGACAAAATTGAACTTAGCAATGAACTCCAGGCAGATTTATCCTGAGAGCCACTCCTTCTGAACCTCTTTGTTTCTTAAATGTGACTAATAGGGTTTTGACATCTGCTCTTAGTTGCTGGCCATTCACCTCTGATGCAGGATCAGACTGACTAGGAAAGGTCCACTCCAGCACCAAGAAACAATCAAAACCTAACTATAGGCTGATTAATCAGCAATGCTTTCAGAAAAAATTCTTGGTCAAAGGGGGGAAATGTTAAAGTTACAAGCAAAGAAGTTGACTCACTGAAGTCAAACCACAACAAAATGGAGCTGGGAGAGTATAAAAGAAGGCCCTTCATGCATGGATGTCTCTAAAAGAATTATTGCAAGGACTCCCTGAAAACTACAAAAATTTTAGATACGACGCTTCTATGAAGACATCTTCCCAGCAATAGCCAGTATCACCGATGAGTATTTGTCCATACCAAGCAATAAGCTTCTGGGGCCAAAGAGGTTTATTTTAAAATAATTTACATGAACTTCACCTTTTTTTTTCTTTATTTCTTCTTCTTCTTCAAAAAACAAACAAAAGTGATATATGTGCAGAACGTGCAGGTTTGTTACATAGGTATACGTATGCCATGGTGGTTTGCTACACTTTTCAACCTATCGTCTAAGTTCCCTCCCCTCACCCCCCAACCTCCAACAGGCCCCAGCGTGTGTTGTTTCCTTCTCTGTGTCCATTTGTTCTCAATGTTCGAATCCCACTTACGAATAAGAACATGCGGTATTTGGTTTTCTGTTCCTGTGTTAGTTTGCTGAGGATGACGGCTTCCAGTTTCATCCATGTTTCTGCAAAGGACATGCTCTCATTCCTTTTTTATAGCTGCGTAGTATTCCATGGTGTATGTGTACCACATTTTCTTTATCCAGTCTATCAGTGATGGGCATTTGGGTTGGGTCCATGTCTTTGCTATTGTAAATAGTGCTGCAATAAATATATATACGTATGTTCCCTTACAGTAGAATGATTTATATTCCTTTGGGTATATACCTAGTAATGGGATTGCTGGGTCAAAAGGTATTTCTAGTTCTAGATCCTTGAGGAATGCCCATACTGTCTTCCACAATGGTTGAATTAATTCACTTTCCCACCAACAGTGTAAGAGCATTCCCATTTCTCCACATCCTCTCCAGTATTTATTGTTTCCTGACTTTTTAATAATCTCCATTCTAATTGGCGTGAAATGGCATCTCATTGTGGTTTTGATTTGCATTTCTCTGGTGATCAGTGATGTTGAGCTTCTTTTGTATGTTTTTTGGCCACGTAAATGTCTTTTTTTGAGACGTGTCTGTTCATATCCTTTGCCCACTTTTTGATAGCGTTGTTTGTCTTTTTCTTGTAAGCATGTTTAAGTCCCTTGTAAATTCTGGATATTCGATCATTGTCAGATGGGTAGATTGCAAAAATTTTTTCCCAGTCTGTAGGTTGCTTGTTCACTTTGATGATAGTTTTTTTTTTTTTTTTTTTTTTTTTTTTGCTGTGCAGAAGCTCTTTAGTTTAATTAGATCCCATTGTCAATTTTGGCTTTTGTTGCAATTGCTTTTGGCATTTTTGTCATGAACTCTTTGCCCACCATGCCTATGTCCTGAATGTTGTTGCCTAGGTTTTCTTCTAGGGTTTTTATGGTTTGGGGTTTTACATTTAAGTCTTTAATCCATCTTGAGTTAATTTTTGTATAAGGTGTAAGGAAGGGGTCCAGTTTCAGTTTCCTGCATATGGCTAGCCAGATTTCCCACATTATTACTGAATATGAGATCCTTTCCCATTGCTTGTTTTTGTCAGGTTTGTTGAAGATCAGGTGGTTGTAGACGTGTGGTGTATTTCTGAGGTCTATGTTCACCTTCATTGGTCTATATGTGTGTTTTGGTACCAGTTCCATGCTGTTTTGGTTACTGAGGCCCTGCAGTAATGAAGTCAGGTAGTGTGATGCCTCCAGTTTTGTTCTTTATGCTTAGGATTGTCTTGGCTATATGGGGTCTTCTTTGATTCCATATGAAATTTCAAATAGGTTTTTCTAATTCTGTGAAGAATGCCAACGGTAGTTTGATGGGGAACTTCACCTTTTACCCTTAAAAAAGCTTCGGCTCCCCCAGCTTTTTCAAATGTGCCTATGGTTCAGTACGGTACACATATCCCAAATTGCAGTTCATTGCTCTTCCCAGATAAACTATTTTGAAAAGTCAGTCTCTCTGCTGTTTATTTTAATAATTTTTAATAGAAGTACATCTTTCTTAAAAGCATAGCAAAAATTTTAAGTACATTCACAATAATAATAATTAGGAAACAAATGATCATTGCTTTGATTTTAAGAATTATTAATTTCTTTAATTTTTCAAGTTGAAATATAGAACATGTTTTATTTAGTTACCAATTTATTTCTGTATTTTTCATGAAACAATTTACTTTGGTAAGAAATTTCAAGGAATCTGTGGCATAAATACATATTTGGTCAATGTTCCTTGACCCAAAGTATTAAGGCTGGGTTGTATTTAATTCAGTGACTAAGTAATTTAGTCAGGTTATTCAATAAATTAATGAGGTAATAATCTATAAATTGTTATAATCTGTCAATCTATAAATCATATGTAAAATTGTATTATAAAAAGCAAATGAGTCTTTCTAACAATAGCTAGTTCCGACAATAAAATAACTTCACTTTTAGTTAGCAAGCCCGTATTACATTTCTAAATATTGAAGTCTGTGCAGTAGTTAATGAACTTTTAGTCAATTATTGAGAAAAAAACTTTTAGTACAGTAGAAGATATAAAAAACATGATTGAGCTCAATTTCTCTTTTTTAAAAAATCACTGATTTCTTGGTCAAACTTTTGCTTCTTTTGGAACTTTTGAACTTTGTGGCCATGTGAAATGGCACTCTGAAACTTCTAGTAGACTCAAATTGAGGTAACTTTCTTGCTCACGACAATTTTATGTCCAGTTTCTAATATAAGCCATTATTTCTAACACATGCCATGGTTCCATGTTTGAACTAATGTTAATACCACCTGCCCCTACATGACTGAGTCTGAGCACATCCCTGGGCCACATCAAGCACCATGGCAGATTAATCATTCCTTATGGTTTTAACAGGCAAGCTGGGGAAAAAAAATAACTGTCTCCTCCAACTTTGGTTATGAGTGAGTTTCTTACCTTTTAATGGTGAAAAATAAACTTATCTGTCATAGGAGAAAATAACATTACACTCATATGGAAGCAGAGGTGAGAAGTGAAGCCTTAGTAGTGATGTCATCGTTGCCAATTACTGAAGCCAGGAAGTTAGGAATCATCAGTCTTTTTCTTTTGAATTAATGTGACAGTAGTCGAGAGAGAGAAAAAAGTAGGCATGCTGTATGTTATTTAGAGGATAAGATCTATAGATTTGAAATTGATTTGGCATAAACCCACAGGAAAGTGAAGAATCAAGCATGTATTCTAAGCTTCTGGCTTGAGCAAGTGAGCAATCAGCAACATCAGCCCTATGACTTACTAGATTTTTACTGAGGTATACTTTGTAATGTAATAGCTGCGAGAAACTGAATATCATTGAAATTTAGAAAAGGTTATGACAATGTCATTGGGTTAATAGATAGCCTTTTCTTACAAAGATTTGTAAAAAATGAGAGGCCCTAGACATTTGCTGTGTATATTATGCATAAAAATACCACCTCCAGTGAATTCGTTTGGAAAAGAAACTCAAAGCAAGGCCAGACAAAGGAAACAAAAAGAAAAGAAACGAAAGGGAAAGGACAGGGAAGAAAAGGCAAGAAAAAACAAGACAGACAAAAAATTGGAAAAATATGACAGAGAGAGCAAGAATTGTATATATCATAATTTTATAATATTTTAAATTTATAAAATTATTTTTTGACTTTTTTTAATTCAAGAAGACCCTGGATATAAGTCCATCAGTATATAAATAATTGCTAAGAACTGGGACTAAATTTTAAATAAACTACACTGTTGAAAAAGCCAATATTTTCAAGAAAATTGACCAAAAGGTATCCTTGTCTTCATTTCCACTGACATCTTATGACTGCCATATTTTTTCAGCTATGGCTCTTTTTCTACCAATGGCATGTCACAAAAATGTGTGAACCTCTGGTCACTCTAATTAGTCATACCAATATTGCATAATTTTACCTCAGAATGTTTTTTCCAACTACATTCTTTCTCCAGGGGCATTTATATTCAATGTTTTTTCCAGGGGCATTTACATTCTGAATACCGTGCCTCAAAGTCAAACTGGTTAGCATTACAATCTTGTCTGGTATTATATATGCATTTATTAATGTACAAATTGACCTCAGAAATAGAATATATTTGTCAGGAGTTTTAGGTCTTGTGTTCCCAACACCTAACAATAGATACTTGTTGAATAAATTATGAAAGGGAAAAATAATTTTTAAGAAATTTTGAAAACTTAAAAAGGAAACAAAGGTGTCACAATGGAAACAAAATTTCACTTTTTTTCCTCTGAGTTTAGAGTAAATCTCAGATTCAAACACATCTGAGGATGTACAATTATCAATTATGTAATTCCAAGGGAAAGTAATTTGTACTTACAGGTTAGATATGATAATTAATTCACTTAATTCTACTCGTTTGCTTTTAAAAAAAAAAAAGAGGCTGTCAGAAATAATACATCACAGTAAAACCTCCTATCAAACAAGAAAAGATTGTATTTGGGAAAACATTTTCATAGACCTAAATTGAGTAACGTTTCCAACTTACATTTCACCAGTTAAGCTTCCCATTAGAAAATGTGTTTGTATGACACCAGTTCCACTTGCATTTTTTTCCCATAGGTTTCCCAGCAGACGTTTACAATCCTTTAGTGATGTTATAGCCAGAATTGTATTAGGTAATAATATAAAATCCCTAAATTTTATGTACAAACCTTCACTGATATTTTTAGTTATCATGAAAGAATCCTTGTATTTATTTCTATTCTAATTCTCCTCATGTCATTGGTATTTTATATGTATTCATTGTAAACATGTGTTGAATGTTCCAAATTTATACAAGCAAAACAATGTACATATTCTAGAGCTTAATATTTTCCCTCTCCCTGTTTTTTTTTCCGTGGCTTTCTCTTGCTTTCACTATTGCAAACTCTGACCCTGAGAGGCAAGAGTCGTGACCATTTAGTAAGATGTATCGTTGAGTATCATAAAATAGTTGGATAGTCTGCTATTTTTTTATAGTAGCAAAAATAGAATGTTCATATGCTTGCCCATGATTTTTATACATTTTTAAATTTGTCTACCACATGCCTAAATTTACCAAATTAAGTCCGTGTATATAAAACATTTGCACAAATGTTACTCAAGTTGTCTGAAATAAAAATACATGTATTTTGCAATTTAGAGCACATGACACTAAAGATGTATAGCTCCGTTAACTCACCTTCTGAACAAATTTCAGCAAGAAATTTCAGAATGAATATAAAAAAGTTAAGAAATATTCTAATATATAGTAGCTGAAAAGTTTACAGAAGTAAAGAAGAAAGACACAAATTAGTAGATTCTGAAGAATTATCTATACGAACCCATAACTATTCTCTTTATTTTGGATATTCTATTGTTTCCTTATAATTTGTTTATAAGTTTCCTTATAAATAAACAAATTATAAGGAAACAGTGGAATATCCAAAACAGAATATGCAAGCCAATTAACAATCACCATTTTTACCAACAAAAATATTGAAAGTCAGAAAATTGTGGAATATCTTTGAAGTGCTAATAAATGATAACGGCAAATCTAGAATTTTATGTCAATTAGATTTAGAATTCAAGAGCAGATCAAAATAGAGACATCTTCAGACAATCCAAAAACTGAGAGTTTACTACCAAGAATAGTAACTTTTACAGTATGTACCATAGAATAAAGGATAATTAACTGGATGTAAATTCCAAAATATTAGAAGAAGAAAGGATGTGAAAAAACATATATAAGCAGTCACAATTTTATTTAACAAACACACCAACAATATGTGATTTGTGGGAATAAGAAAAACAACATGAATATAAAATAATGAACAATTTGTAGCAAATATTTTTAAATAATTGCAATTAAAGAGCCCTAAGACTTTGTATTGTTTGGGCTTGGTGTTAGTAAACTTTATATTTTATGTTAATAATGTTTATTAGAATATCAAAATTGCCTAGCAAAAGAAAACTGATAATGTGAATAATTTCCAAAATAAAAGAGATAAGTTACAAAAAATGTTAAAGTAAACAAATGCAAAACAAGGCAAAAAAAAAAAAATCAAAGTGAGAAAGACCAGCAAAGTGAATAAAAGGAAGAAAATATGACTTTAAATATAAAAAAATAAATAAATGAAAACCTAAAAAATAACATGCAAGTTGCCAAAAGAAAACGATTTACTTGACTGAATAAAGGTCGTTAAAGGATTTCTTCAGCTGGTGAGCACCAGGCAAACCTGAAGACTAGGTGGTTCCAGACTGAAGTAGGATCAGGCGTCTAACAGAAGTCTGTGGAGTATGCCTGGTTTAGGCTGGACAGATATTTTCTGCTTTAACTGAAGTTGAGTTTAGGTTTTTGGGTTCTTTTCTGTTTGTTTTTGTTTTATCTGTTTATGTTCCACTTTCAGAGTCTCATTATCCATCAGAACAATATTATATGAGAACAATCTTTGCAGCTGATGGGCTAACCACGTTCCCTGGGTGGGGCAGGGGAAGTAGACAAGAATAAGAATGAAGTGGATGTAAAGGAAGAAGGCAAGGGGCGGGGGATTATTACCCTCTAGTATGTTTGTTTTAATCGCTTTACACGGTTACTAGTTTTCAAATTTACTAAATATTTTATATGATTCAAATCATTAACTGAGAAATTTCTTTCAAATTCAGTGCTCTTTGCAGAGTACTGGCTAGATGTTGGAATCCAAAAATGAACTGTGAAAAAAGGCCCGTGTCCTCAGGAACTTATGTTCAGAAGAAATGGAAAAACAAAATTAAATAAGTGGATAAATACATGTGTGTTGTTTTACTAAGACCTTATTTATTAAATATTTTGCTAAGCCTATAATATTAAATCAGCTATTTATATATCTCTATATAACAATGGTTCTAGAGTCAGGAGGTTAACCTTGTGGATTCCTCAGTGACCTTGAGTAATCACTCAACCAAAATACATTTGTATTTAAATACGAACATAAGTTCGAACATTACGTTGTTACCCTAGCCACTTCACAAAATACGTTCGAACACTAGGTTGTTACCCTAGACACTTCACAAAATATTTGAAAAACACATGGATAGACAATTTGATGATTCTATAAATCTGGTAAATGAATTAGAAATATTATAAAAGGTTTTTCTGAGAGGATACCATCGAGCAAAAAGAAAATGACTAGCATTTGACACTATGTAACTTTAAATCTATATTTCAGGGACCTCTGTCACTTTCTTGGGGAATTGAATCACCTATTCCTACTTAGCAGCATGAAAATGAGTTGACTCTCCAGGTTATAGCATTTGAAGGCATGCCTGAGAGGAGCAGATTCAAAAATCAACAGGTGGTTGATGTTTTCTGTGGGGAGCATTCCTGCCTCAGTCCTGCTGCTGTGACCCATTCCTAAACAGCTTTGGGGTCTACAGTCCCCCTTGGTACCTGCTGGGGATTTGTTCCAGGACCACCACCAATCCTACCACCATCATCCCTTCATAGCAAAAGCCAGAGATGCTCAAGTTTCTTATATAAAATGGCCTAGTATTTGCATATAACTTACACAACCCTCTTGTATACTTTCTATCATTTCCAGATTATTACTTACATTAATAATACTGAATACAATATAAATGCTATGCACATAATTGTTATAAGGATTGTTTTTTATTTGCATTGTTTTATTGTTGTATTTCTTTTTAAAAATTATTCTTGGTATTTCTTTTAACAAATATGTTTGATTCATGGTTAGTTAAATCCACCCACAATGGGGGTATGGAGGGTCAGCTGTATTCAGGAATTTGCATTAACAGACTTAAGAGCCTAGTAGATTCTTTGCTTAAATGAACTCTGTGCAGACACAGCATTCAACATTTCTATTTTGATACTTTAAGCAGACTGCAGTGTTTGACAAGCTATTTCAGTAATATGCAATAATCTTTACAAAATAGACATAGATGTTCTGTGACCCCAAATTCTCTGAAACTCTAAACTCAATTATTGAATCTATAGTGGTGTTTCTGATCAGATTACAAGATGAAGGAAGCAATGGAACTTGGCCTAATGTAATGAAAAATATTGCTATCTCTCCACTGATTATTTTGGATGATGGGAGAGCTGTATAGCCATTTAACTAAAGAGGAATCCTTTCAGGAACTACTCTGAAGTACTTTAAGAGATGGAGTTGCTGAAGAAAAAAGATTGAAAACAATTGGCTTAGCTGTTCAGAGCATGGCAAGAATGTAACTATAATCTGTCATTGTGTGGGCAGACAGATGGCCTGAAAATTGAATAAATTGGAAATCACTGGAAGGCAGCTATTTTGTCCTTGAGTGCATTAGGTATCTTGGAAAAATGTTATTAAATGGTGAACAATTGCTATCGAAAAGTTTCTAGTTGTTTGGAACATAGAGTTACATAAAGTCAAGATTCTATTATTATTCTAATAATAGATAAAATCCGAATGTAAAGAAAATGTTTCCTATGAACTATGTAATTTAATTCTTATCAGAGCAATACTTTAAACAATTATTTGATTAGCCTGTGTTTGTGAATGTATATAAAGTAAGCAATAACCTTATTTTCTCCTCTTTGTAATTTAATTCATTAGAAATTGAGAATCTCAGACTTCTCTCCAGCCCTATTAAATCTGCATCTTCATTTCCAGGTCACTCATACACTGTTTAACCTTGAGAAGCACTGTTGTATATTGTCTTGAGAGTCCACACTATGAAATAAATTGGCCCTTATTTACTCCTCAATTGAAATTCTTCAGACTTTCTTAAAGTTTCTAAATAAGTCCCAGTTAGTGGAAATGAACTGAATTTAGTTTAATTTTTTTTATCATGCATTGCTGTCCAAAAGAAGAAAGCTTATTTCTGCCAACTTCTTCTTATCCTCAACTTCCAACCACTGTCACGTCTGTCTTCTTTCTTTTTAATATTTTCAGGTGAATTAGAGGTTTGTCAACCGTAAGAATGAAATATATGGTTTATGGCCTATTTTTATGTAACTGGTCATTCTGAGATCTGGAAAACACTACCTGTGTTTATCTGCAACTAAAATCTAGACACCTGAGCCTACACTGCATAGCGAAACAGGTCACTAGAAAAACACAAGCAATTTAGAAAGGCTTTTAATATTGAACAGTTGCATTTTGTTTCTATTCATGTCTATCGCTTTCTCTTTTTTATTCTAAATTGCTTTATTATATTCTATATTTAATATTCTATCATTAACATGTCAATGACAGTCAATAATAATTGAGGACTCAGGTTTTGTCAATACACTGATTTATAATTAGTACAATATGTTATGAGTTTCCTTCGCACATTAATATTATCAGCTCTTCATTTTTTGTTGTTCACAATATATCTTCAACTACCTTTTTATTTTTAGGCAATGTACATATTACAATTTAAGAATAATATCTTCTTTGTTAAATATTTATTTCCACCCCTTTTCAGAAAATTAGATGGTTTACATTTATTGTTAGAAATAATATAAAGCTTTTCTGGTTTTGTGCTTCTAAATAATATTATTAATATATTCTTTTGTAATTACAAAAGCTCCTTGTTTTTGTTTTGTAATTACTTTCTCAATAAAATAGAGCTGCAAATATTTTGTTCCTTTAAATATTTCAAATAAATAATTTTCATTTATAATAAAAAATATAAAATATGCCAAAGAATTTATTATTTCAAAAAATATGTCATTCACCAATTTGCTTTTAGATTTGTGAATACAGTCTCATTTTATTTTAATACTTTAATCATAGATCTTAACTTTTTTATAATTAATTTTAATTTGTATTTAACATGGTAATAACATTTTTACTTAATTTTATATTGTTGGGTTAGTAGTCACTGTTAGTACACATAACTATTTTACTTTTTCAACATGTAATTTTCATTAATCTTATTCAGATAAAGTTCATTTTCACTATTTTTCTTCAATTGGAAATATTTCATATTTTAAAGACTTCCATTCCTAACAAATGTGGAATACAACATTTTTAGCTCAAAATATTTTTCAAAACAAAACAGAATTTTTCCAGTCTTCACATATAAAACTAAAGCAACAAGCTCAAGTCTATCCAGACATTTTATACTTCAGAAACGAAAATACTAATCTTACGTGTTTATGGCGGATGTTTTTCTTATAATTTTAGTTAAAAAATATTTGTAGAAGGTTTTTATAGTAATATAGTCAGAAAATTAGTCTGCATTTTTACCTACAAATTAAGCAGTATTTTAAAAATTAGCTCAGGAAATTTTATTTTATATTGTATTTTAGTCTGTATTTGAATGATATTTAAATTCTTAGATTTTCACTTTAGATGTGGGAACTCAGGTGCTTAATTCTATCCTCTTTAATTTTATATCTGTGATTTCTTCTGCTTTGTTTTCAGTTCTATTTTTTTCCTGCACTGCAAAAGAGTTTCTAAAGATTGTATTTAATATTACAAGCTTCATTTAGTGCTCTATCATTTGGCATTTACATTTTTACATAGTTTTAAAATTATATATATTTCTTTGTATTTTTTATCTAATTTTATACAATTTTAAAAATCATGCACCTCTAATATCTATTGACTAGGTTTAGCTTTCATTTCAGAGATAACATTAATAGTGAAAAATATTATCTTAAATGCAAAGATATTCATTATTTAAAAATTGATCAATGACATTCACTAAATTATCACAGGGACGAAAACATAAAATGATCATCTGTAGAGATGCAGAAAAATAATTTGACAAAATTCAGCACTGATTTATAAGAATTATCAGCAAAATAAGAACAGAAATGAAAATTGACCAACAACCAGAAATGACAGCAACAACAAAATACCAAGTCAGTAAAGATGGAGAGAAATAGGGAAGCAGTGAAGGTAGATGTCATTTCTGTTTTTAGTGGTGGAGTACAAGGTGTTCTTGTGCTTGAAGGTCATGTTCTTGTGATAAAACGCACTGCAGAGACAACACAGTTTAATTGGCTGAGGCAGGTGACTCCCTTTAAGCATCAGGGTGGAACAAACTACACGACAAAATGTAATTTTAAAGACCACTCTCATTCAAATGTAATAATATCAAAGCACCCTTAACTCATTAATGAGTGAAACAATGAGTGTCATGGTCTGAACTGTGTTCCCCTCCCCAAACCCGTATGTTCAAGCCCTAACCCCTAGTTATACACATAAGGTAAATGAAACCTCATTTGGACACAAAGTTTTTGCAGATGTAATCAAGCTAAAATTATGTCTGTAGGTGGGACTTAAAATAACATGGGTTGTCTTTATAAGAAGAGGGAACAGAAACAGATAGGATGTGGAGAGGACCATGTGAAGAGAGAAGCTGAGACTGAAAAGGATTTATGTATTAATATTGACAGAAGCCAAGGAACACCATCTGAAGTTCTGATGGCAACATCAGAAGCTAAGAGAAAGGCATGGAAAAGATTCTCACCTAGAGCATCCAGAGGAGAGGTTGGTCCTGCAGACACCTTGTTTTCTGACCTCTGACCTCCGCAACTGTGAGGGAAGAAATTTCTGTTGCTTAAAGACACACAGCTTGTGGTACTTCATTATAGCAGCCCAAGGTAACTAATATAGATGACAAAATTGGTTCCAAGGGTGTTTGAGGAACTGGACCTTTATAGGCATTATTTTCATAATACTGCATTAAGCTATGATAACTGGACTAGATTCAAAATTGGATAATGCCCTAAATGCAATAAAGCTATAATTTTGAGATAAAATTTTAATAGCTTTATGAGATATAATTAACATCTGGTATACTGCACATTTTTGAGGTGTGAAATTTTTAAACATTAACATACGTATATACTTGTAAAACCATCACACTAGAAAGAGATCTCAAGCCTCTTCTTTTGACTTTCAACACATTGTCAATCCAGTACTAATCTGGTTTTATTACCATATATTAGCTTTTATTTTCTACAATTATATATCAGTAGAATTATAGAGTATGAATTCTTTTTGTCTTTTTTCCTTAAGCATAATATTTTTGAGATTCAACAATTTCTTGCATGTTGAAGTAGCACCTTTTTTTATTGTTACGTATTATTTCATTTCATAGACATACCACTATAATTTATTTACTAAACTCTTGACCAGAGGTTCTCAAATGAGGGACATTTTACCTGCCGGGGACATTTCCAATGTTTGGGGACACTTTTGGTTATCAGAGGTTTGTGGAGGAGGGGATAGAGTGTCCACAGGCCAGGGTTCCACAAAGGATAGCTCCCCACAACAAAGAATTAAGCCACTTCAACAGCTAATAGTGCTGAACTTGAGAACGCCGCTCTTGGTGGACAGTTGCATGGTGTCTGTTTTTGACAATAATGAATAAAGGTACTTGTGCAAGCCTTTTTACAGACTTATGCTTTTCTCCCCCCTAGGATAAATGCCTAGGGGTAGAATTGGTACATGTAAGGTAGATTTAGTTATCCAAAGTAGCTGTACTGTGTTACACTCCCACCGTCGATGTATGCAAACTCTAGAGTCTGGTTTCTTGACATCTATGCCAAATATTGGTAACACAATTTTTAAAATAGTAGCTTTTCTAGTAGATGTGTATAATTATCTCATTTTATTTTTTATTACTAACGATATTAAGAAATTTTTCCTTTGCTTATTTGCTATTATATCATTTTTGTGTAGCATCTGTTAGTTTTTATAGCTCTCTTGTTTCTATGTTGTACATTATATTTATATATTCTTGCTCTTATTCATAATAAATAGTATATATAATTGTGTAATTAAAAATAAACATTAAAGTATAAATATATTTACACATTTCTGTAGTTTATCATTATATAATTATTGCTTTCTGAATAAAAAGAAATGTATCCACAGTTTGGATAAAAAGAAGTGCTTTCATGTAGTTTACTAAGACATTTTCTGTGCTTTATATTTGAAGCCTATGCTTTCACTTTTACACATTGTTCCATAATATATTTTGGACTCCTTTAATTTTGAACTCATTCACGCTTTTGTTGTGAGGAAGGACTTGAGGTTTGTTTTCTTCACATTTATCTCGTAGTTCTGCACACTTTGTTAAATAAAATTATCTTTCCCCTTTGAATAACTGCAGTATCTTTGATATTATATTATTCATATAAGCATGGATCTATTTGTGAACTCTATTCCATTCCATTACTCTAATTGTTTATCCATCTACTAATAACACATTCTCTCGATGACTATAGCTTTAAGTTATTGCATGGTGTTAGGAAGTGTGAGTATTCCAACTTTTTTTTCAGCTTTCTATCATTTGTTTTTGCTCTCTTGATGTACATTTTTAAATCAGTGTGTCAATTTATATAAAAATATCTTTTGTGATTATGGTGAGGATTTCTAGAATGATTAATTTGGAAAAACCAAAACCTTTTACACACTAAAATTCACTGAACTTTCAAGCCATGATTATTGTATTAGTTTGTTCCGGCATTGCTATAGAGAAATACAGAAGATTCGACAATTTATGAAGAAAAGAGGTTTAATTGCCCCACTGTTCTGCAGGCTATACAGGAAGGATGATGCTGGCATCTACTTAGCTTCTGGGAAGACTCAGGAAACGCACAATCATGGCAGAAAGCAAAGGGGGACAGGCACGTCACATGGCCAGAACAGCAAGAGAGTGAAAGGGGAAGCTGCTACACACTTTTAAATGACCAGATCTCATGAGAACTCACTCACTCACTATTATGAGAACAGTATCAAGAGGGATGATGCTGAACCACTCATGAGAAATCCACCCCATGATCCAATCACTTCCCATCAGGCCTCACCTCTAACATTGGAGATTACATCATACCAGATTTGGGCAGGGACACACATCAAAACCATCAATTATTGTATGTGACTCCATTTATTTAGAACTTTCCTACATCTCCCAACACTTTTGCTAGTTTCCTATTTAGAGAGATCTTGCATGTAATTTGTTAAAATCATATATACATATTTTATTTTTATTAGTATTTTACATGGATTTGATTTTTATCATTAATTGCTCATTGGAAATATATAGAAATAAGTTAATGGGTTGACTTATTTTTTCTATGATGTGGCTAAAATTACTAGTTTATTCCAGCAGCTGATTTTTACAGTCACTAGAAGTTTATGTGTAGGTAATGGAGTTGTTTAAAAATTTAGAAGTGTATTTTTCATTTCTTAACTGTGTATGTTTTACTTATTTATTTGATTTGTCTCACTGGTTAATTCCTCCCATACAGTAGAGAGAACAATAGTGAAAGAGGACACTTTGTCTTCTTCTGGATCTTAAATGAATAATTTATTAGTTCACACTTCAGTGTGATATTTCCGTAGATGCCTTCTATTTGCTTAAGGATGCTTCTTTGTATTCTATTGGGGCGAGATATTTTTATTATAATTCTATCTTGAAAATGCCAAATGTTTTTTCTGCCTCAGAGGAAGTTTATATATTTTTTTCATTTTACTCAGTTAATGTGGTGAGTTTGAAAATTCAAATACTTGAAAAATCACGTTCCCATCAAACACTGCTTCTTACTGTGCCTTTCTAAGAGGACTACCTTCAACTTGGGCATTTAGAGGATACTTCCCTTCCTATAGCTCAGGGTTTTTTTGTATTTTTTTTATGTTTAAATTTTAGTGATATTTCTTTTATGTGTTTTTAAAATATTTTATGGGCTACTGCATTGACCCATTTGTTTCAACTTTACAGCTCTAGTTAAATATAAAAATTAATAAAATGTCAACACTCAAGTATTACATATATCCCTTGATCTGGTGATTTAGGACTATGAGAAAAATGCTCAATTTCCCTCGATAGAAGGAAGTATGAACTTTTTTATTTATTTATTACTGTAGTCTCACAGCCTAAAAATCAGTAGGTCTCCACTGGTCAGCAAGCAAATGATCATGATTGTTTTTCTGAATTTTTGACAATTTCAGAATAGGCAAGAAAGCTAAGTTTTAAAAATAAAATGCCAACATCAAGAATTTAAAATCAAATTCGTCACAGTGAATCCCAACAGGAAATAGTTCTTCATTTTATGATTACTCAGAGATTTTGCTTGTTGTAGTGGTCTTCCTTCTGGCTCATAATTTTTTGCTACTCTGCAGCAGAAATAATAAGAAATATTTTCCCAGTCCACAGCGGTGAAGGAGAAGAAAACTATAAATCAAAAGTAGCATATTCTGTGGATCATTTATTGAAATAAACACAGTGAGTACAAGATGGGTAATCTATTTGCATAATCAAAGACACCCTTCATCTGTGTCTATTTTTCTCTTTTCTTTTCTTTTCTTTTCTTTTTTTTTTTTTTTGAGACAGAGTCTCACTCTGTTACCCAGGTTGGAGTGCAGTGGCATGATCTTGTCTCACTGCAGACTCCGCCTCTCGGGTTCCAGCAATCTTCCTGCCACAGCTTCCTGAGTAGCTGGCATTACAAGGTATGGGCCACCATGCCCGGCTAATTTTTGTATTTTTATTAGAGATGGGGTTTCGCTATGTTGGCCAGACTGGTCTTGAACTCCTGGCCTCAAGTGATCTGCCCGCCTCAGCCTACCAAAGTGCTGGGTTACAGGCATGAGCGACTTGCCTGGCTATGTCTATTTTTAACATAGTTATAGTGAACTATAATTATTTTTACACAAAAACTATTCTTACAAATGTTATATGTATTTTAAGAGCATACAAACTTACAGGTTTTTTTATTTAATAAAAACCAGTGGCAGATTGATAATGCAGAATATATTATTTGTAAAAAATCATTTGTTGTCATACAAACATATATTTTATTTGAAAATTATACTTTTGAATAGCTTTTTGGAAAGTTAAAGTATTCTCATTTATTGCATACGTTTGTCACCAAAATTATACGAAAGAGTGTTTGATTCAAAATGTGTGTGTGTGTGTGTGTGTGTTCCTATATAGGACCCAGATAACACATATATATTAAATAAATAAATACATGTATATATATATATCATGCACACACATTTAAATATAATGTAAATGTGTGTGTGTGTGTGTGTGTGTGTGTGTATGTGTATGTGTATGTGTATGCAGATGCCCCTCTGGAAACAAATTTAAAAAGAATCCCCTCTTTTGAGTGTATAAAGAAGTTCCTTTCTTAAGGAATGGATAACAGGGGTTGGTACTTTGGCTGAATTCCTCTTCCTCTTACTTTCATTAGACTTGGCACTGTTGCATAGAACACAATTTTCCAAAATGTAATGTCTGTGTTATGCCTACAAATGTACCATACATAACAATTTGTCATTTTCTGTAATTACATACTGACCTATTTAACATTTATCTAACCACTTATATATCTTAATCAAAATAAATCAACCCATGTAAATTGTTTATTTCTATTGTCTTTCTCAGTATAATGCACAAGATACCTTTCTATCTCTATATGTATTTGTCATTTTCATGTCTGTCCCTACATGAGTTGACTCTATTTTTCTGTTACATAGATATGTGATGTTAGTACAATATATGTTAACTAAAAATGGATGATGCAACCTTTTAAAATTATGACCATCGCAGTGAAAATTATGTCTCTAAAACCCAATGACCACAGGGACATTCCAGTTTTTAGAAAAATATCAGGGGCTTAGGTATTTTCAGATTAAATTAGGAAAAATAGAGTATCTTTCCATTTATTTATGTGGGCAAATTTCCCATTTGTTCACATTAAATCTTTTAATGGCATATTGCCTAAATCTTTCTCAGAAAAGCTTAGCCAAATTGCCTAGGATGTTTCCTTTCTCCCATATTACCATCACTGTTTACCATCATATTTCTAATAATTTTAATTTTGGAACATGAAAATGGTATTTCAATTTAAATGCGTATGTTTTTCTATTTGCAAAGAGATTAAACATCTCTTCAAGTTTTTAAACTATATGCAGCCCTTCTTTTCTGCCATACCTGTTCATTTCCTCAAGCTATTTTTCCATCAGACAGTTTCATGTTTTCTCATTGATTTGAAGCTTCTATTAAAGTATTGTATACACATGGGTAAATGCACATAAGTTTAAAGCTTAGTGAGTTTTAAAATACTATGATCATCCAGAATAAGAAAATGTAATAGTCACACACCTGATTTCCACCCATCCCTCCTAACATAACACTATTCTAACTTTTACCAGTAAGGAATCAAATAGTGTGTGTAGTGTTTTGAACCACATTTTTTTGCTTAATATTATATTTGTGAGACGAATTGACTATATGACCTGCAAATGAAACTATTTATATTTATTTCTCTAATATTTTATTAGGTGATCATATTACAACTTATTTGTTTACTGTACTCTTTATAAGTATTTTAGTCCACTTTTGGGCCACAGTTTGGGGTTATTTTGGTGTTATTCTGAAAAGTGTTTTCATGAGTACACATTTTTTTTTAGCTATATATATGCATGCATTTCTGGAGAAACCATCTTTACAAGTAGAATTTTGGGGCCTAATACATATCTTTATCCAAATTATTTGAACTAAGTTATGCCAATAACATCAATTTGAGTGTTCTAATTAGTCAACATTCTCATCAATACTTTGCACTTTCTCTTCAACTTAGAATTCTAAAATATTCCTTTCAAATTCAGGATTCTGAATGACAAGTACTTACATCTCATTGTGGTTTGAATTATTTTTTCAGGTAACCAATATAAATAAAAACCTTTTAATAAGTTCATTGGTTATTTGAATATTTTATTTTTGAAGTGTCTAAGATATTTTCTTTCTAATCCAGTCCAGTTATTTTTCTGTGGTTTGCTTCTTGTTGTCTTATTGAGTTCATTGCCTTTTTAATATTCTTTTCCGGTTAACATTTCCCCCTCATTGATCTGAAATGTTTTCATTATATACCACCTTTCCATATCTGTCAATGTCTTGATTTTCTATATGATCTTCATCTATCTGTAGTTATAACTCATTTTAATCATAGAAGCTTTAAGAATTGCTTAATATTTTGTATTGACTCCAAATTCCATTGATTTTATAGGATATTTCTAGCTATTCTTGCTTCTTTATTCCTCCAAGTAAATTTGTCTATTTTTCTAAATCTGGAAAAAGAAATTCTAGAAAATGTCGTTTTGTTATGACACAGAAGATATAAGTTTATTTAAAGAACTGGCACATTTATGATTTTAAGGCTTTTTCAAGAGCATGGAATTTCTTTCCCCGTGCTCAAGTCCAAATTTGTGCCATTCAGAAGTGTTTTCTAGTTTTTTTTATATATAGGTTTTAAACATTTCTGGTTAAGTTTATGCCCTCACATTTTATTTTAGTTTGGTTAATGACGTTTTACATGTGTGAGTTCCCTCAATTATTTGTTTTAAATGTTCTGATTCAATAGGAACACTCTCCTTAGTATCCTTAACAGAAATGATTCTTGTTTATAGAATTGCTAAATAAGTAAAGAAATTTTAAGTTAAATCATGGCAAGGAGTTATAATTATACTAAGCTTTTTTGTTCCTAGAGGTTTTGGCTCACTCGTATGGTAATCTATATGAAAATTTTTCTGTGATATCTAATATTAGAAAGATCCTCAGTGATAGAATAGTGTTTCTTCCTAGCTGATTCATACATCTTTCTCTGCCAACATTTTGTTTGTTGAAGTGTTCCCCAACATATGACTCATTGCTTACTAAATCCCTATTGAGCAGCCAAAGCCCTGGTGACTAATTATGTCATTAATTTGGGAAAGTCAGAGACAATAAGACTGTCAGTTGAAACTTTGTAGGAGGTAAAAAAGTCACTGCTGTCAGCTGCAAAGATCCTTAAAACGGTCTTCAGTAAAGTCAAATTTTGTGACAAGAATTATTGCATCAAAGTCGGGGAAATACCTCTTAGATCAAATAAGATACATTGAAAAGCCAAAAATTATTTTTATCTCACTTTGGGTTCTCATAAGGTCTACCCACTGTTACTTGGATATGAGACTTAACAAATGGAAAAGAAGACAGGGGTACTGTCACACTGTA
Organism: Homo sapiens; assembly: GCF_000001405.40. Lineage (NCBI taxonomy): Eukaryota > Metazoa > Chordata > Mammalia > Primates > Hominidae > Homo > Homo sapiens. The sequence continues at coordinate 70,590,323 of NC_000005.10, read as the reverse complement.
TTTTCCTACGGCCTAATGACCACAATGGTTGATGAACTGCAGTAAAGTTTCTATAATATTTTCCATCTATTCATTTGCTCAATCACCTTGTAATGGTTATGTTGGTTAATTCCAGTCTTTCATGGGTAAGCAACAAAATGAGACTTAATTTGAAATATCCAGTATTTTTCTATTCTTACAAATAATTTTCAGGATCAATGCACTGAGGATTAGGAATGGCAATGTGTATTACTACTTTGATACCAACTATATCCAATCTAATGTTGGAATTTGTTTGACAAAGTGTTATGTATTTGAAAACAGGCAGCACTGAATAAAAAGAATATGGGCAAAAGAAAAATGGAAGTGTTTTGAATGGAAGTCTAAAATATTTATTGATCAATGCTGAACTGAGTAAGCAGGAGATGCCTGTACATAAATGACATTATCCTGATCTAGTAACAGGGAGAAGCAGAATATCTGAAAGCTGTTTATTAATTTGATAATAATAAGATTAGAAACATGCAAATCAAGATTAATAGTATTCACTTCTAATTGGGTTTAGGTAGACTTTGACTATTTTGCTTCTGATGTTCTTATATTTTTAATTTTCTATAATGATCATATAACATATAATATTTTCATAATATTAAACATTTTAGAATTAAACTCCATTAGAGTGTATCTTTCCTAAAATAATATAAACATCCAATCTTGTCCTTAACAATTCTGTTCTCAAACATTAGCCTATTCCCTCAAGCCAGTGTTGCTTTCGACCCATATTGTCCATCATTTCAATTTATCTCAAAGTTTTTTATTGCAACAATTAAATGCTTTGAATGATACCCAAGGCATAGTTCTATTTCAACAAAATTTCAAAGTTAATAGTTACATCAAATTTTGTTGGTGCTCATTGAATTTGGTTATTAAAACCATAAGTAGTATGTTTTATGCTGACTGAGGGAGATAAAAGTAGTAATGTTTAATATTCAAACTGTGATGACTGAAAAAAAAATGAGGCCTGTAAAATCTTATTTAACGTCAAATTTTAATTAAACAGGCTTAGCAGACCAAAATTAAAATCTCAATTATTTTTAAATTATTAATGACAGACAACTAGATTGAGTGAACACTGGCATCTCTTTTCAAATAACTTAGTTTAGTGGATGAGTTAAACATAAACTAGTTATTATAATGCAGCGAAGTATGTGAAAAATTTAATTTGAACCCTACTTAGCTTAAAATCCTGACATTCTAGGATGCAAGTCCTGCAAACTTTCCATATGTAATCAACAATTTTCTAAACATGCATGCTGTATCTCTCCTGTGTGACTTTGCATACATCATTCCCACATTCTAGATCATCCCGACCCACCTTAAGTGACTGCTTTTGCATAATCTCCCTTAAAATTCTAACTCAAGCACTGCATCTTTTGAGTCCTTCCCTAACATCTTAACATCTTCCTTCTTTCATTCATCATTAACTATAGTTAGTTATTATAGCACCTGTTAGCACTGTAAAATTATGTGTGTTACACAAGTACAACATGCAGACTAAGGTCGTGTATTACCTAGCCTCATACCAGCGTCACCTAGAACAGCAAAAATGTATGCAGATTAATCACAATATATTTGGATGTACAAAATATATTGAGAGCAAAATATGATGGAAATTTAGGTGATGCTCTTTGAGCATTGCTTCCATTTTCCAATAATGTAACCAGGAATCACTGTTCATGTAATTAAAGAACAATAAGTCTATGTGAATCAAAATATACATATACATGCAAATGTTAAACCTCAGCAGGAAGAGGCCCATTCTCTTGCTTGCTGATATATATATATATATATATATATATATATACACACACACACACACACACACACATATATGTATGTTGTGTGTATATGTATATACACACAACAATCTATAGGCTTGCCTTTTAAAATAGTATAAGCAACAAATTTTAAGAGAAACAATAATGAGTGTGTAAAACATTAGATATGTGTATGTACCTTTGCTATTATTTGTGGAAATGGGGCTATAAAATAAGCTCCTTTATTTTCTTTTGTAAAACATTTCTTTAATATGAAGTAATGCAATACGTATTTATGTTCTAAGTGTTAATTTCCTTGGATATAAAATAATATCTTGTTCCTTTGATTCTCTTACATATAAGTGTATTTACTCAGATATTACTCCAAATACACCAGATATATTCAAAGTTGAAAAAATATATACTTTGGAATGTATTATCACCTTATTTCACATGAAGAAATCAAAATCTCTGGCATCCAAGTGCATTCCAGCCTGAAAAAAATTATGCAATTGTGAATTTAACAGAAAGCAAATTGCTCACATATGGAGTCAACGTGAAGCTATATCAATATTTATTAAAAGTTTATATATTACTTTTGATCCCCTGGAGAGAAATACAAAATTCAAATAATTATTCTATTTTTATATCCCAATTTGTAATTATGAAACTCTAGCATTTTAATTTTTCTCTTTCAAGTTTACCTGAAGCTTCACAAAATTCTGTGAGGAATCTATTATAACAGGTATTTTGCTTATTTCCACACAAACAGAAGGAAATGTGTATTTTCTATGCCCTGAAGAATTTACTCTTTTCTGTAAATGACATATGGTAGTTAATTCTTTTTGGTAATAAAATATTCCTGTTTTTAGGCCGAACAGCCTTTTCTTTAAATTCAGGGCAACATATCAAAGCTTTGCCGTAATAATACAGAGTAATCGACTAAAGTAATATAGAATTTAAATAACAAAGAGTTTAAACAATTTAATATGTCTTCTATTAATTTCAAACTGAAATTTTACAGAAATTATTTGGAATATGCTGCCAGAGTACACACACACACACACACACACACACACACAATCACACGCTCACATCACACACTCACACCCAGCTAAAGGAAATTACCACAGCTATAATGATTTCATTAAATATCTGAAATTAAAGTTTCTTTTGGATTTTCAGCTGAAGCTCATAGTAAATAAAAGTAATATGATCATTGTTGCATACTGTGAATCAACAGCACCCAGAAACCTTCGACTTTCTATATTTACACAGCTTAATTATCCGAACTGAAACCTGAGGCCATCTGTGTCAACATGATTTCACAATTCATTCCAGAAAATTATTTTTCAGGAAAGTAAGGCTGCAAACCAATAAATAACTTATTGTTTGCTTCAGGAAATTTCTGCAAATCAATTTATGTCAGTAAGCAACTCTCCTCTGGGCCAACAGATTGCTCACCTGGGCAGGTAGCAGCTTGTGTCAATTAACAGTTTACTTATGAAGACTTCTGTCATGGCCCTTAACTCACAGTGTCCCCCAATCCTAAACTCTATGTCCTGAACATTACCTATTCTTATCAGTCATTGGTCTTGAAAGGCCCCGGGCAACCATTTGAGCCCAGACTTCAATACTCTATCAATACCACCTTATCATCTACTTTTCTAACATGACCCCTCAAGGTGGTGACCCCACCTACAGTCGTCTTTTATTGAATTTAGCTTTCCCTAATCAACATGCTAGTCTATTGGATGCAGTGTCGGAGGCAAAAATCACAGAGGTTCTGAAAGCATCAGCCCATGGTTTTCTAAACATCATGGTTCAAGACCCTTAACACGAAACAGAAAGTTTCCCCGAGGCGCCGTAAACAACCCATTTGGGCGCTTCCCTGATAATTATAGTGAAATCTGGCATCTAATTTTTTTTGGTGGACTCTCAAATTTTATATTTATGTTTTGATTCCTAGAAATAAAAAATGTTTTTATAAGGAATTCTTTGATCGTTTATGTTTTATTCTTGATAGAAACCTACTACTTTATAACTTCGTTTATGTTTTACTCTTGATAGAAACCTACTACTTTATAACTTCGAACATTATTGATGTTCTTCCTGTATTTCTGAGAGGTGACAGCTTGCTGGCATCCCTCGCTGGCTCTCGGCACCTCCTCGGCCTCAGCCCACTCTGGCCGCGCTTGAGGAGCCCTTCAGCCCGCAGCTGCACCGTGGGAGCCCCTCTCTGTGCTGGCTGAGGCCTGAGCGGGCTCCCTCTGCTGGCGGGGAGGTGTGGAGGGAGAGGCGCGGGCCGGAACCTGGGCTGCCTGCGGGGCTCGCAGGTCCAGCGCGACTTCCGGGTGGGCGCGGGCTCGGCGCGACTTCCGGGTGGGCGCGGGCTCGGCGCGCCCCGCACTCTTGAGCGGTCGGCTGGCGCCGCCGGCCCTGGGCAGTGAGAGGCTTAGCACCCGGGCCAGCAGCTGCGGAGGGTGCACTGGGTCCTCCAACAGTGATGGCCCGCCGGCGCCGCGCTCGAATTTTCGCTGGGCCTCAGCCACCTCCCCGCGGGGCAAGGGGGCAGGGCTCGGGACCTGCAGCCTGCCATGCTGGAGCCCTCACCCTCCTCCCCGCCCCCGTCCCCTGCCCCCCGCCCCCCGCCCCCCAACCGCAGGCTCCCGCGCGCCACCCCGAGGGGACGGGCGCCACCTCCTGCTACGCGGCACCCGGTCCCGTCAACCGCCCAACGGCTGAGGAGTGCGGCAGCGCGCCAGAGACTGGCGGGCAGCTCCGCCCGCGGCCGGGATGCACTAGGCAAAGCCAGCTGGGCTCCTGAGTCCGGTGGGTACTTGGAGAACTTACTACGTCTAGCTGGAGGATTGTAAATGCACCAATCAGCATGCTGTGTCTAGCTCAAGGTATGTGAACGCACTAATCAGTGCTCTGTGTCTAGCTAATCTGGTGGGGACTTGGAGAACTTTTGTGTCTAGCTAAAGGATTGTAAACAGACCAAGCAGCTCTCTGTAAAATGAACCCATCAGCTCTCTATGAAATGGACCGATCATCAGGATGTGGGTGGGGTGAGATAAGGGAATAAAAGCAGCTGCCAGAGCCAGCAACAGCAACGTGCTAGGGTCCCTTTCCACAGTGTGGAGGCTTTGTTCTTTTGCTCTTTGCAGTCTTGCTGCTGCTCACTGTTTGGCTCTGCGCAGAGCTGTAACACTCACCAAGAAGGTCTGCAGCTTCACCCAAAGATATTCCAAAGATACAGAAAACTATATAGAGACATTTTGTATAGTTCTAATAGCATATAATCCACAGGTCCCTGATCTATAATATGGGTTTTTTATAAAATTGTTTTTTTGTATGCTATGAGGAATTTTACTTGTTAAAAAGAAGAGGTGGAAAGGCAGAATATGAAAACTATGAAAATGACATAAGAGACTATGAATTAGGTGAGAAACCAGAGAGGTTTAGAAACCTGTAGACATTGTGCATCCCCCAATGCCTTTCCCCTTAAAAAAATATTATATTCTAGTCCAGTCCATCAAATAAAGTCTACATTCATTAGAAACATATTCTCTTGGTTTTTATAATTTCAGTTTTTTCCAGACACAGTGCATATGCAGATTTGTTACTTTTGTACAGTGCACCCTGGTAGTGAGCATAGTACCCAGTAGGTAGTTATTCAGCCCATGCTCCCCTCTCTCCCCCACCCCCATAGCCTGCAGCATGTCTTGTTCCCATGTTAATGTTCCTGTGTGCTCAGTGTTTAGGTTCCACTTATAAGTGAGAATGTGTGGTATCTGGTTTTCTTTTCCAGCACTAATTTGCTTAGGATTATGTCCTTAGCTCCATCCATGTTGCTGCAAAGGACATAATTTCATTCTTTTTTATGGAGGCATAGTATTCCATAGTGTATATGTACCACATTTTCTTTATCCAATCCACCTTTGATGGGCACCTAGGTTCATTCCATGTCTGTGCTATTGTGAATAACATGCTGATGAACGTACGAGTGCATATATATTTTTCTGGTAGAATAATTTATTTTCCTTTGAATATATACCCAGTAATGGGAATGCTGGGTCGAAGGGTATCTCTGTTTTAAGTTCTTAGAGAAATCTCCAAAATACTTTCCACAGTACCTGAACCAGTTTACATTTCCATCAACAGTAGTGTATAAGCATTCCCTTTACTCTGCAGCCTGGCCAACATCTAATTTTTTTACTTTTTAATTATAGCTGTTGTGACTGATGTGAGATGGCATCTTACTGTGGTTTTTGCTTGCATTTATTTATTTGATGATTAGTAAGGATGAGTGTTTTTTCATATACTTGAGTGTCTTCTTTTGAGAAAATATCTGTTCATGTCCTTTGCCTTTTCTTGATTTAAATTTTAAGTTCTGGGGTACATGTGCAGGAAGCGCAGTTTTGTTACATAGATAAACGTGTGTGGTGGTGGTTTGCTGCACCTATCAACCCATCACCTAGGTATTAAGCCCAGCATGCATTAGCTATTTTTCCTGATGCTCTCCCTCTCCTCAACCCCCTACAGAAAATTATAGTGTGTGTTGTGTGTTGTTCCCCATTGTGTGTTGTTCCCCTCCCTGTGTCCATGTGTTCCCATTGTTCAGCTCCCACTTATAAGTGAGAAGATGCGGAGTTTGATTTTCTGCTCCTGTATTAGCTTTGCCCTTTTTAACTGGGGTTGTTTTATGCTTGTCATTTTTTCTTCCTTATGGATTTGTTATATTAGATCTTTATCAGATGCATAGTTTGCAAATATTTTCTCCCATTCTGTAAGTTGTCTGTTTACTCTGTGGATAGTTTCTATTGCTGTGCAGAAGCTTTTTAGTTTGATTGACTTTCACTTGTCAATTTCGTTTTTGTTGCAATTGTTTTTAGAAACTTAGCCAAAAATTATTTGCCAAGGCCAATGTCGAGAAAAATATTTCCTAGGTTTTGTTTTAGAGTTTTCATAATCTGAAGTCTTACATTTTAACCTTTAATCCATCTTGAATTAATTTGTGTGTATGGTGGAAGGTAAGCATCCAGTTTCACTCTTCTGCTTATGGCTAGCGAATTATCCCAGCACCATTTATTGAATAGGGTGCCTTTTCCCCATTGTTTGTTTTTGTTGGCCTTGTCCACGATCCAGATGGTGGTAAGTGTGCAGCTTTATTTTTGAGTGTTCTATTCTGTTCCATTGGCTTAAGTGTCTGCTTTTGTAACAGTATCATGGTTAGTGTACACTTATAGTATAGCTGGAAATTGGGTAGTATGACGCCTCTCTGGCTTTATTATTTTTGCTCAGAATTGCTTTGGCCATTCTGGCTTTTGGGGGTGTTCCATATAAATTTAGAATAGTTTTTTCTAATTCTGTGAAGAATGATGTTGGTAGTTTCATGGAGATAGCCTTGAATCTACAAGTTGCTTTGGGCAGTGTGGCCATTTTAACAATATTGATTCTTTTAATCTGTAAACATGGAATGTTATTCCATTTATTTGTGTTATCAAAATCTCCTTCCTTCCTTCCTTCCTTCCTTCCTTCCTTCCTTCCTTCCTTCCTTCCCTCCCTCCCTCCCTCCCTCCCTCCCTTCCTCCCTCCCTTCCATCCTTCCTTCCTTTTCTTATTTCCTTCCTTTTTTGAGACAGAGTCTCACCCTTTCACCCAGGCTGGAATGCAGTGGAGTCATTATAGCTCACTGCAGGCTTGAACTCCTGGCCTCAAGCCGTCAGGGTAGTTAGGACTACAGGCATGTGCCACCATGCCTCGCTATTTAAAAAAAAAAAAAAAATTTGTATAGATGAGGTTCCACTATGTTGCCTAGGTTGGTCTCAAACTCCTGGGTCCAAGCGATATACCTGCCTCGGCCTCCCAAAGGCATGAACCACTGCATCCAGCTTCAGATTTCAGCTGTGTTTTGTAATTCTCCTTGTGGAGATCGTTCACATCTTAGGTTAGTTGTATTTGCAGGGATTTTATTTTCATCCTAGGTGTTGTAAATATGATTGTGTTCTTAATTTAACTCTCAACCTGGATGTTGTTGTTGTATAGAAATGCTACTAATTGTTGTACATTGATTTTGTATCCTGAAACCTTGCTAAAATCCTTTATCATTTCTAGTAGACTTCTGTTGAAGTCTTTAAGGTTTTTTAGGTATAGAATGATATTGTTGGGTGAAGACAGATAGTTTGCCTTAATCTTCACTTCCTATTTGGGTGCTTTTCTCTTTTTCTGTTGCAAGATTGCTCTGACTAGGATTTCTGGTACTATGTTGAATAGGAGTGGTAAGAGTGGATGTCCTTGGCTTGTTTCATTTCTAAAGGAGAATGCTTTCAGCTTTTGCCCATTGAGTATTATATTGGCTGTGGGTTTGTTGTAGATAGCTCTTTTTTATTTTGAAGTATGCTTATTTGAAGCCTCAACTGTTGAGGGTTTTTTTTTGTTTTGTTTTTTCATGAAGGGACACTGGATTTAATTGAAAGCTTTTCCGGCATCCATTGAGATGATCATATGGTTTTTGATTTAATTCTGTTTATCTGGTGAATCACATTTATTGATTTGCATATGTTGAACCAGCCATGCATCCCAGGAATAAAGCCTGTATTGTCATAGTAGATTAATTTTTTGATATGCTGCTGATGGATTCAGTTTGCTAGTACTTTGTTGAGAATTTTTGAGTCTATGTTCGTCAACAGTGGTCACCTGAATGTTCTTTTTTTTTGCGTCTCTGCCAGGTTTTGGTATTAAGCTGCTTCTGGCTTCACAGCGTGAGTTAGGAAGGAGTACGTTCTCTTCAACTTTTCTGGAATAGTTTCAGTAGAATTGTACTAGTTCTTCGTTATACTTCCGGTAGAATTTTGCTGTGAATCCATATAGTCCAGGGCTTTTTGGCTTGGTAGATTTTTTATTACTTATTCAATTTCAGAGCTTCATATTGGTCTCTTCAGTATTTCAGTATCTTCCTGATTCAATCTTGGAAGATTGCCTGTTTTCAGAAATTTATCCATTTCCTCTAGATTTTCTAATTTTTGTGTCTAGAGTTATTCCTAGTATTCTCTGAGGATTATTTTGTATGTCTGTGGGACCATTTTTAATGTCGTTTTTGTCATTCTGATTTATATATTTAGATCTTCTCTTTTTTTTCTTTGTTTATCTAGCTAAAGGTCTATCAATCTCTTTTTTTAAATCAACTCTTGGTTTCATTAATCTTTTGTATGGATTTTTGCATCTCAATTTCATTCAGATCTTCTCTATTTTAGTTGTTTCTTTTCATTCCTAGCGTTGATGTAGGGTTGTTCTTTTTTTTTTCTTCCCTAGTTCCTTTAGGTGTAGTGTTAGATTGTTAATTTGAAGTATTTCTAACTTTATGATAAAGGCATTTAAACGTTCCTCTTAACACTGATTTAGCTGCATCCCAGAGATTTTGGTAATTTGTGTTCCCATTTTCATTAATTTCACTTTCTTAAAATTTCTCCCTTAATTTTGATTTTCACACAGAAGTTATTCAGGAGAAAGTTGTTTAATTTTCATCTATTTGTGTAGTGTTGAGAGATGTTGATATTTATTTATATTTTGATTACATTGAGATCTAAGAGTGTGCTTGATATGATTTCATTTTTTAAAATTTATCCAGACTTGCTTTATGACCAAGCATGTGGTCAATGTTAGAATATGTTCCCTGTGCAGATGAGAAGAATGTATATTCTGTGGTTATTGAGTGGAGTGTTCTGTAGATGTCTTATTAGGTCCAAATGGTCAAGTGTGAAGTTTAAGTACACAGTTTCTTTCTTGGTTATCTGCTTTGATGATCCAGTGCTGCCAGCGGGGGTGTTGAAGTCTCCTACAGTTATTGGGTGGTCGTCTGTCTTTTTGTAGTCCAAAAAGAACTTGTTTTATGAATCTGGGTGCTCCATGTTGGGTGCATTTATATTTAGGGTACTTAAGTATTCTTGTTTGATCATATACTTTCTCATGACGTAATGCTCTTCATTCTTCAATTGTTCTTTTTAATTTTGATTAAAGTCTGTTTTATCTGATATAAGAATAGTTACTCCTGCTTTTTTGTTATCATTTGCATGGCAGATTTTCTCCATCCCCTTATTTTGGGCCAGTGGCTGTCATTACATATGAGATGAGTCTCTTGAAGACTACAGATGGTGAGCCTTGCATTTTTATCCAGTTTGCCATTGTATGTCATTTAAGTGGGGGTGTTTAGCCTATTTACATTTATGGTTAATGTTGATACATGAGATTTTGATCCTATCATCACGTTTGTAGCTGGTTTTTAGGTAGACTTGATTGTGTAGATACTTTATAGTGCCTGTGAGCTATGTACTTCAGTGGGTTTTTGTGGTAGCAGGTGTCATTCTTTTTACTCAATGTATAGCACTCCCTTAAGGACCTTTCATAAGGCTGGTCAAGTTGAAATTGATTCCCTCAGTATTTGCTTATCTGAGGAGAAATTTGTTTCTTCTTCACTTAGGAAGTTTAGTTTAGTGAAATATAAAATTATTGCCTGGAATTTATTTTCATTAATGATGTTGGACATAGGCCCTTAATCTCTTCTGGCTTGTAAGGTTTTTGCTGAGATATTTACTACTAGCCTAGTGGAGTTCTTGCTTTATGAAAACATGACCTTTCTCTCTAGCTGCCTTTAAGATTTTTTTTTTCTTTTGTATTTACTTTGGTGAATATGATGACTGTGTGCCTTAGGGATAGTCACCTTTTGTAGTGCCTAGCTGGGTTTGCTGTATTTTTTGGATTTACATGTCACTCTCTCTAGCGAGGTTAGGAAGATTTTCATAGACTCTATTCTCAAATCTATTTTCCAAGTTGCCTTTTCTCTTTGTTTCTCTTCTAGGAATGACAATGAGTCGTAGATTTGGTCTCTTTATATAATTCCATATTTCTTAAAGCTTTGGTTCATTTTCTTTTTTTAATTCTTTTTTAAAATTTTCTTTTGACTCAGTTGATTCAACGAACCAGTCTTTGAGCTCTGAGATTCTTTCCTTAGCTTGGCCTACCTTCTGTTAATATTTCTTATTGTATTATAAAATTCTTATACTGAATTTTTTCTGCTCTAGAAATTCAGTGTGGCTGTTCTTTAAAATGGCAATTTCATCTTTCAGCACTTACTTAGATTGCTTTACTGGATTACTTGGCTAGGGTTTCAACTTTCTCCTTAATGTTCATGAGCTTCCCTGCCATCGAGGTTCTGTATTCTATGTCTGTTGCAATTATTTTAGACTGATTAAGAACCATTGCTTGGTAGCTAGTGGGCTAATTTTGAGGTAAGAGGACACTCTAGCTTTTTGAATTGCCAGAGTTCTTGCACTGATTTTTTCTCTTCTGGTAGGGTTAGTGTTCCTTTAACTGTAGTGTATGTTGAGTATAGGCAATTGGTTTTGTTTCTGGATGCTTTCAAAGGGTCAGGGCTTTCTCTGTCCAGGATTTTTATGTATGAGTAATTCTGGTGTTTGGTTTCACAGGTGTATATGTAGCAGGATAAATTTTGATGTTGTAGTTTGGGATGTGATCCAATGCATAGTGCTTAAGAGTGATGGCCAGTGGCTAGCCTAATACCCAGTGGCATGGCTGTTTTATACTTCCTTTTGTTTGCAGGTGTGCTCTATAGTGGGGGTGGGAGAGATGCCTCCATCACCAGATGTGCTCCTGGGCCCTGGGGGAGTCTCCTGCAATCACTGTGTTTCTTGTGTTAGGTGTTCTAGGCCACAGGTCTCTCTCAGGCAGAGGCCCTTTCCTAGGAGCCATTCTGGGGAACTAGCTGTAGTGTTTGGGTTCCCTGCACAGGCTTCCTCCCTCTTCAGCTCAGCTTCATTGCTGCCTCTGCATCCACTCAGCATTTTCTCTCTCAAGATCTGCCTAAATTACGGTGGTTTACTCCATAATTTGGTATCTCTCAGTGGGGGTGGTGCTTCCTGACCATGTCAAATTGACCATGTATTGTCACAGAATGAAAACCTCTTTGATAGACTTTGTAACATTTTTGAATATTACATTCAGGAGTAAAATCTTACGCAGTGTGATCCCAGCTATCTCTTCACTTTTGAGAATAACCTTAAGTAATTAAAGGATAATTAAATATGTAATTAAAAATTGAAAAATATAACAGCTACACTTCCAGATGTCAACTTCTTTCAGAAAATTTTAAAATCTCTTTAAAGAAAGGTAAATTGAGACCAAAATAGATTAATAGCTTTATAAAAATAAGTGCTCAAGGAGGGTGTTACATGTGAAAATTAAACTTGGAATTTGTCATTTTACCCGTAAAATTACTGAGAGTAATTTCCTTGAAATGGAAATAACTTTACAAATTTTTAATTAACAAAAATGCTGAAATATTACTCCGCTTACCTTTATGTAACCTCTTCCTTGAAAACAACAATTTACTCATCTGGTGTGTGACTCTGATAACCTTCAATCATTCTCTATATCTGACACCATGACTAGTAACTTAGATCTTTAACTAAGCAACCTTTCTTTCCACCTTTGTGATATTATATCTAGTAATTTAATAACAGACAATCTATGTTGCAAATTAAACTTCCAAATTGAATAGTAATTTTCAAATCCCAAGGACCCATTTCTTCTGCCTCAATCTTAATTAGGTCTTAGTTAATAGAAAAATTAACTGGCTGGGTGCGGTGGCTCATGCCTGTAATCCCAGCACTTTGGGAGGCCAAGGTGGGTGGATCACCTGAGGTCTGAAGTTCGAGACCATCCTGGCCAACATGGTGAAACCCCATGTGTACTAAGAACACAAAAAATTGGCCGGGTATGGTGGTGGGTGGGTGCCTGTAATCCCAGCTACTCAGGAGGCTAAGGCAGGAGAATCACTTGAACTGGCGGGGTGGAGGATGCAGTGAACCGAGATCCCAGCACTGCGCTGCAGCCTGGGCAGCAACAGTGAAACTCCTCAGAAAAAAAAAAAAAAAAAAAGAAAAAGAAAAAGAAAAAAGAAAATTAACTAAATCAAGCCTAAATAAAACATATTCACAAAGTGGCAGACTTTTTTAATCCAAAAATTTAACTGTATTAATGTCTCATTTATAGAACATTATTTTACAATGAGGTTTTACACATCAATCAGTTGAGTCACTTCTTTTTTTTTTTGAGATGGAGTCTCGCTCTGTTGCCCAGGCTGGAGTGCAGTGGTGTGACCTCAGCTCACTGCAACCTCCACCTCCTGGGTTCAAGCGATTCTCCTGCCTCAGCATCCTGAGTACAGGCACTACAGGCACGTGAGCAAGAGAAGCTGACAGATTCAAATGTTCACAAACATTTATGTTCTATTTTGATAGATACATAAACTATGTTTCTCATTCTTATATACTTTATATTAGGGCATGGGATTAAAGTCAAAATAGTGGAAAATTAGTAGAAATAACATATTTTATATCCAATTTAGTCTCCAAAATCCCAACATGCACTCTTCTGTATACGTTTTTCAGTATGCTTGACTGGAACGGCCAATTCTACAGTAGTCTTGGAAGCAACATACTGCAGATTAAATACCTTAGTAGCCTATGTTCTTGAATGCGGACATAAAGGAGCAATGCTTTTCCTATCTTAAAAAAACAGTTTATATGAATGAAACTTCTGTTCTGTTTAAGATATTATATGTTGTTGAGTGTAGTTGTCAAAGCAACTAGCACGATTCCAAGTAATATAGAAATCACCAGCTTGAGTTGGGTCTGCCATAACAGCACCTAAAACGTATCCACTAAATTAGTATTAAATGGACAAGTAAACCAAACTCAGAGGGTTGAAATGAAGACTTGTAATACCCAGTGAAAAAAAATTATTGAAACTACCATCTAAAATTAATTGGAAGCTTAATATTACCTCTAGGAAAGAGTGTGGGAAATGAGGAAAGGCAAAAGGTAATGTGTTCATGTTTGTTCTGTTCCATAATCCAAGAAATAGATAAACACAGGCAAAAAAAAAAAAAAAAAAAAAAGAAAAAAGAAATATCCTGTCTTTAGAGTGGAAAGAAAGTGGATAGAGTTGAGTTGCTAAACCTTAGCATTATTGACATTTTATGCCTGATATTCCTGCATTCTGTGGGAGGTTATTCTTTGCATTGTAGGATATTAATAGTATCTTTAGGCTATACCACCACATACCAGTAGCATCACCACCTAATCATTATAATTCAAAATGTCTCCAGACACTGACAAGTGTTCTATGGAAACAAAGTCATTCCTTGTTGGAAACCACTTGTAAACAAAAAGTCTAGTAATGGTGGAATTATACAGTGACAGAAAAGCTCAGGTTTTTCTGATTAGGTTGAAAAAGCTGCTCAGAAATTAAATCCTACTGTGTTCATAAAAAACAAGGAACCCAGCCCTGAAGCAAAGAACTCATCAGGGAAGTTGTTTTCTCTTTCAAGTCTATGATTTCAAATGACCTTAAAGTGGTCATCTTTACAGTCAGAGAAGCATATGTGTGTTGGGGAGGAGAAAAAAGAAGGAAATGAGGCAGACTTTAGAATTATACCTAGGAAAGAACTGTATGTTTGGTTATAAACTAGATCCAATAAATAAATAAATGGTTTCCACGTAACTACTTGGCAAAGGTACAATAAGCCTATTGTGAGAAAAAAAAATTAAGGCTTAAAATATCCTCAAGCATCCCAAATTGCACTAATCAGTGCAATTGATTAGTCATGCTGAGAAAACACTCATTGTTCTAATTTAAGATGGAGGCATGGAGAATAAGAGAAAATGTAAATTACCTCAGAAAGTAAATCTATGAGCCACAGGGACAATGGACCTTAAAGTTATTTCCACAGGACATGTTTATGGTTTCATCAAATAAATATTTGTACTGCTCAGAAATATTTTTGTCAGTGCTCTGCAGACTTCTTTGTCTTCTGATAGGAGCTTCACCATGGTAACTTAGATTTTACAGATAATTTGTCTTTTGACTTTATAGGACACTAGTCCTCGTTAAGTCATATAGTGGCCTGAGGGAGAGAACTGCACGTCATGAAACATCCTGAACTCTAAGTTGTAGGCAGTAACTGGGCAAAACTTTAAGTTGTTTACAGAGGGAAGAGAAGTGAATTTTTCATATATAAAGAAGTGTGCAAATTGTATTTCATGAGTAGTCTTTTGTCTTCTGGAATGGTGATATATACAAAGTAATCTGGGAAGATACAATTTGGTAATAGTAGATCCTTCGTTAACTTGAATTATTTTTTGCAGGAAAGATGCGTCTTTAGCCAAAATTACTTATGGTAAACTGTTATGTAAGCAAGAAATCACCTTCTACTTGGTTTAAGCTATTCAGTGTACTCTCTAGATAGATATGACACAAAGCTAGCATTATGATACAGTAAACCAAGTGTTAATGTAACTTTATGTTGATTTTGACTACATTCTGAAAATAATAAAAGTCATCTGGTATTTTAGGCTTACGATATGAACTTGATACTATGATAGGTGTCTGAAATGTTTATCTCATTTGATTCTTAGAACAAACTTATATTGTGGGTACTAATACAGTACTGATTTTTTAAATAAGAAAAAGGATTGCAAAAAATGTAAAAAGTCTTATTAAAGAGTACAAAATTCTATCTCCAAATGTGTAATGAATTTTATATAGTCAGTTAATATTTGTTTAGCTCAATAAAGTAATGTTCGGTGTAATAGTTGATTTCTTTAATGTTCATTCAGAATCACATTATCAATTTGAAATTAATTCACCTATTCGAAGAAGTTGCTTCCTCCAATTAAGACAGTATAGTAAGCAAAATAATGGTTTACAAAACAAACAAACCAACAAAAAAAAAACGCATGTCCTGATTTCTGGAAGCTGTGAATATGTTAACTATCTGGTAAAAGGGGCTTTGCAAGTATTATAATGTTAAGGATGGTAAGATGAAAAAGTGTCCTTTTGAGTTCAGTGTAATCAAATGGGTTTAAACTAGGGAAACATTCTTGGCTAGAAACATAAGGTGGTATGATTTCAAAAGAATGGTCAGAGAGACACAGCATTTCTGGTTTGAACAAATGAAAGACCATAAGCTAACAAATCAGGACAGCCTCTGGAGGCTGGAAAAGTCAAGGAAACTGATTTTCCCCTAAAACCTTCAGAAAGGAACACAACAGTTCTCACTCTTTGATTTTAGCCTCATAAGATGCATTGCAGACATCTGAGAAACACAATTGTTTGACACTATATTTGTGCTATTTTAAACCACTAACTTTGTAGTAATTGGCTACAGCAGCAGTAAGAAAATAATGCAGAGTGTTTCTATAATGGAGATAAAAGTATAAACAAGAGGCAAGGATTTCCTTCCTTCACAGTGTTTATAATATACTAAGAAAACAAACATTAAATACACAGGGCCCCAATAGATTATTCCACTTTAATTTTAGCTGGCACTGTGGAAGGAAAATAGAAATTCTAGAATATAGTGAATAGGAATATAACTTATTCTTATGTGGGAAGAAATGCTTATTACTGAATACTATTTGGGCTGAAAATAAATGCACTGTAGTTACAGTAAGTACAGTAAAAAAGGTAGTTTGCTATAAGGGAACAGAGCCATTGAAATGTAATGAAAGTCATCAAAGTTTTAGGCACTAACTATAAGTTGCAAGGAGTTAAACAATTGTAAGCAGTCCGATTATTAAAAAAATATGTGCCTGATTCTCAAAATCACAAGTATTCTTTAAGATTGCTAACCGTAGTAGTCAGTTTTCACAATGATATAAAGAATGACTTGAGACTGAGTAATTTATGAAGAAAAGAGATTTAATTGATTCATAGTTCTTCAGGCTTTACAGGAAGCATGAATGGGAGGACTCAGGAAACTCAGAAAATCATGGTGGAAGGCAAAGGGGAAACAAGGTTCTTCTTGACATGGCACCAGGAGAGAGAGAGCACAAGGAGGGAAGTGCCACACACTTTTAAACCATCAGATCTCTTGGAACTCACTCACTATCATGAGAATAGCATGTGGAAATCTGCTCCCATGATCCAGTCACCTCCACCCAGGCCCCTCTCTTGACATGAGAGGATTACAATTTGAGATGAGATTTGGGTGGGGACAGAGGGCCAAGCCATATTATTTCTCCTCTGGCCCCTCCCAAGTATCATGTCCTTCTCACATTTCAAAACCAATCATGCCTTCCCAACAGACTGGAAGTCTTAACTTATTCCAGCATTAACTCAAAAGTCCATGTCCAAAGTTTCATCTGAGACAAGGCAAATCGCTTCTGCCTATAAGCCTGTAAAATCAAAAACAAGTTAGTTAATTTCAAGACAACAGTGGGGGTACAGGGATCAGATAAACACTCCAATTCCATAAGGGAGAAATTAGCCAAAACAAAGGGTCTGCAGGCCCCATGCAAGTCCAAAACCCGACAAGGCAGTCATTAAATCTTAAGGCTCTGAAACAATCTTCTTTGACCTCATCTCTCACGTCCAGAGCATACTGATGCAATATCTGGGCTCCCATGAGCTTTGACAGCTCTGCCTCTGTGGCTCTGCAAGGCACAGCCCCCACAGCTGCTTTCACAGGCTAGGATTGAGTGCCTGTGACTTTTCCAGGCACACTGTGCAAGCTGTCAGTGGATCTACCATTCTGGGGTCTGAAGCACTATGACCCTCTTCTCAAAGCTCCAGTAGGGAGTGCCCCAGTGGGGAATCTGTGTGGGGGCTCCAACCCCACATTTTCCCTCTGCACTGCCCTAGTAGAGGTTCTCCATAAGGGCTCCACTTCTGCAGCAGACTTTTGCCTAGACATCCAGGCATTTCCATACATCCTCTGAAATCTAGATGGAGGTTCCCAAACCTCACCTCTTCCCTTCTGCACAACCACAGGCCCAGCCTCATGTGGAAGCCACCAAAGCTTGAGGCTTGTATTCTCTGAAGCAATGGCCTGAGTAGTGCCTTGGACCCTTTTAGCCACAGTTGGAGCTGAGCAGCTGGAACACTGGGCACCATGTCCCGAGGCTGCCCAGAGCAGCAGGGCCCTGGGCCCATCCCACTAAACAATTTCTCCCTCCTAGGCCTCCAGGCTTATAATGGGAGGGGCTGCCTCAAAGGTCTCTGAAATGTACTGGAGACGTATTCCACATTGTCTTTGCCATTAACATTTGGCTCCTCTTTACTTATGCAAATTTTTGCTTGAATTTCTCCCAAGAGCGTGGGTTTTTCTTTTTTACTATATGGTTAGGCTGCAAATTTTCCAAACTTTTATGGTCTGCTTTCCTTTTAAATATACGTTTCAGTTTCAAGCCATCTCTTTCTTCATGGACATGAGCATAAACTTTTAGAAGCAGCCAGGCCACATGTTGGAAGGTCTGTTGCTTAGAAATTTGTTTCACCAGATACCCTAAATCATCTCTCTGAAGTTCAACATTACACAGATCTCTAGGGCCGGGTCAAAAGGCTGTCAGTCTCTTTGCTAAAGCATAGCAAGAGTAACTTTTTCTTCAGTTCTCAATGAGTTCCTCATCTCCATCTGAGACCCCCTCAGCCTGGACTTCATTATCCAAATCATTATCAGCATTTTGTTCACAACCATTCAACAGGTCTCTAGGAAGATTTAAACTTTCCCATATCTCCCTGTCTTCTTCTGAGTCCTCCAAACTGTTTCCTACCTCTGCCTGTTACCCAGTTCCAAAGTTACTTCCATATTTTCAGGTATTTTTATAGCAATGCCCCACTTCTCTGGTACCAATTTTCTGTATCTATCTCTTCTCAAACTGCTATAAAGAACTACTGGGTAATTTATGAGGAAAAGAGGTTTAATTGACTCACAGTTCTGCAAGCTTAACAGGAAGCACGACTGGGAGGCCTCAGGAAACTAACAATCATGGCAGAAGGTAAAGGGGGAGCAGGTGCCTTCTTCACATGGTGTCAGTAGAGAGAAGAGCCGGGGGGAAGTTCCACACACTTTTAAACCATCAGATCTTGTGAGAACTCACTGACTGTCACGAGAACAGTATGGGAAATCCACCCCCATGATCAAATCACCTCCTACCAGACCCCTCCCCTGACACGTGGGGATTACGATTCAACATGAGATTTGTGTGGGGACACAGAGCCAAAGTATATCACTCACCTAATAAGTGCTTATCTTGATTAAATTGTATGGAAAACTACAACTTAAATTATGTGATCAGAAATTCTATCTAATGATAGACATTAATTCAAATGCCACCATGTTCTCCTGTCAGCTTCTCATATATTGTCATGGATATGATTTAATTGTCCTTCAGTGTCATGGAACACATCCTGAGATTCAGCTGATGAAGTTGCAAACTGGATAAATATAAATGATGATGTTTCAAAAAAGAAAATCCTCACTTAGTAAAAAAATGTTAGGTTTATTTTACACTTTCTTGACAGCTGAACTAATATAAAAAGCACTCACCTTGTTTCTTTCAGTTTTGTGTATGTTTTGATTGTGTCAGCTGAGTTCTTCTTCACGGGATTTTCTATGTGTCAGAGACACTTGTCCCCCATTCTGTTTTCCTGTGTAATCTCAAAATTGACAAGGGTCTTCACTGTATGTGAAAAGGATGTCTGTGTTGCTTGATTTTATGTGTGACTACTGTTTGCGATTGTCCTTTTCCCAATATGACATGTAATTTTACAGCACAGATAGTTTTTCAAAAGAATTACATTCCCAGGCTTAGCAGAGGGAGCGGCCTACTTATTGAAATGTGAAATCGAATCTCTGAAACAGAAACACCAAATTATTATACTAATCTGTAAAGTAGCTATAAAACGTTATTTTTCAGAGTGAAGTATCTGTCAAGATGGCTAGTTTTGGTGTATAATAGAAACGGTATTTTATTCCTTTTATTTCTGTAAACAGATTAAGTCTGTGTGTGTGTGTGTGTGTGTGTGTGTGTGTGTGTGTGTGTGTGTGTGTGTGTACATGGGATATAATACAAATCTACCTCGACTTATAATGAGTTATATCCTGATAACCACAGGCCAAGATGTGTTATGATGGATCTGGATATACTCATAAGTTGAAAATATTTTAGGTAAAAAATGCATTTAGTACATTTAACAAAAATACTGGCAAACCGAGTCCAGCAGCACATCAAAAAGCTTATCCACCAAGATCAAGTTGGCTTCATCCATGGGATGCAAGACTGGTTCAACATACGCAAGTCAATAGATGTAATCCATCACATAAAGAGAACCAAAGACAAAAACCACAAGATTATCTCAATAGATGCGGAAAAGGTCTTTGACAAAATTCAATAGCCCTTCATGCTGAAAACTCTCAATGAACTAGGTATTGATGGAACATATCTCAAAATAATAAGAGCTATATATGACAAACCCGCAGCCAGTATCATACTGAATGGGCAAAAACTGGAAGCTTTCCCTTTGAAAACTAGCAGAAGACAGTGATGCCCTCTCTCACCACTCCTATTCAACATAGTGTTGGAAGTTCTGGCCAGGGCAGTCAGGCAAGAGAAAGAAATAAAGGGCATTCTATTAGGAAAAGAGGAAGTCAAATTGTCCCTGTTTGCAGGTGATATGATTGTATATTTAGAAAACCCCATCATCTCAGCCCAAAATCTCCTTAAGCTGATGAGCAACTTCAGCAAAGTCTCAGGTTACAAAATCAGTGTGCAAAAATCACATGCATTTGTATACACCAATAACAGACAATCAGAGAGCCAAATCATGAGTGAACTCCCATTCACAGTTGCTACAAAGAGAATAAAATACCTAGGAATCCAACTTACAAGGGATGTGAAGGACCTCTTTAAGGAAAACTACAAACCACTGCTCAACGAAATACAAGAGGACACAAACAAATGGAAGAACATTCCATGCTCATGGGTAGGAAGAATCAATATCGTGAAAATGGCCATACTGCCCAAGGTAATTTATAGATTCAATGCCATCCCCATCAAGCTACCAATGACTTTCTTCACAGAATTGGAAAAAACTAAAGTTCATATGGAATCAAAAAAAAGCCCATATTGCCAAGACAATCCTAAGCAAAAAGAACAAAGCTGGAGGCATCACGCTACCTGACTTCAAACTATACTACAAGGCTACAGTAACAAAAACAGCATTTTACTGGTACCAAAACAGAGATATAGACCAATGGAATGGAACAGAGGCCTCAGAAATAACGCTAAACATTTACAACCATCTGATGTTTGACAAACCTGACAAAAACAAGAAATGGGAAAAGGATTCCCTATTTAATAAATGGTACTGGCTAGCCATATGTAGAAAGCTGAAACTGGATCCCTTCCTTCACCTTATAGAAAAATTAATTCAAGATGGATTAAAGACTTAAATGTTAGACCTAAAACCATAAAAACCCTAGAAGAAAACCTAGGCAATACCATTCAGGACATAGGCATGGGCAAGGACTTCATGTGTAAAACACCAAAAGCAATGGCAACAAAAGCCAAAATAGACAAATGGGGTCTAATTAAACTAAAGAGCTTCTGCGCAGCAAAAGAAACTACCATCAGAGCGAACAGGCAACCTACAGAATGGGAGAAAATTTTTCCAATCTACCCATTTGACAAATAGCTAATATCCAGAATCTACAAAGAACTTAAACCAATTTACAAGAAAAAAACAAAGCCATCAAAAAGTGGACAAAGGATATGAACAGACACTTTTCAAAAGAAGACATTTATGCAGCCAACAGACACATGAAAAAATGCTCATCATTACTGGTCATCAGAGAAATGCAAATCAAAACCACAATGAGATAGCATCTCACACCAGTTAGAATGGCGATCATTAAAAAGTCGGGAAACAACAGGTGCTGGAGAGGATGTGGAGAAATAGGAATGCTTTTACACTGTTTGTGGGAGTGTAAACTAGTTCAACCATTGTGGAAGTCAGTGTGGCAATTCCTCAAGTATCTAGAACTAGAAATACCATGTGACCCAGTGATCCCATTACTGGGTATATACCCAAAGCATTATAAATCATGCTGCTATAAAGACACATGCACATGTATGTTTATTGCTGCACTCTTCACAATAGCAAAGACTTGGAACCAACCGAAATGTCCATCAATGATAGACTGGATTAAGAAAATGTGGCATACATACACCATGGAATACTATGCTGGCATAAAAAATGATGAGTTCATGTCCTTTGTAGTGACGTGGATGAAGCTGGAAACCATCATTCTGAGCAAACCTTCGCAAGGACGGAGAACCAAACACCGTGTGTTCTCACTCATAGGTGGGAATTGAACAACGAGAACACTTGGACACAGAGTGGGTAACATCACATGCTGGGGCCTATTGTGGGGTGGGGGGATGGGTAGGGATAGCATTAGGAGAAATACCTAATGTAGATAATGAGTTAATGGGTGCAGCAAACCAACATGGCACATGTATACATATGTAACAAACCTGCAAGTTGTGCACATGTGCCCTAGAACTTAAAGTATTAAAAAAAAATACACTTAAGAAATGTGCTCAGAACACTTACATTAGCCAGTCCAAAAAAAAAATCTAACCTAAAGCCTATTTTTAAATAAAGTGTTGAATATCACATGTAAATTATTAAATACTGAATGTGAAAAACGGAATGGGTATATGGGTAATAAAAGCATTGTTTCTACTGAATGTTTATCACTTTTGTACCATGATGAAGCTGTAAAGTTGTACCATTGTAAATCTGGGACCATCTGTGTTACATTCAAGAGAAAAGCTCAGTCGAACTAATAAATAAATCAAAATTTCTTCTGATTATTTAGGTGTTTTTTCCTGTTAGATAATTAAGACATCCAACTGTTGCTTGCTGCTTCACCACACAGACCATACACAGATACAAATACACACTCCATGAATGAGCATATGTGCTTGTTTAAAGAGACATACTAACCAAACAGTTGTATGCTGCCGTGATATTGATTATGTCATCAAGTTCCTTATTTAACAAAACACAGCTGTGTATGAAGTATTTCTCTAAAATGTACATTCAATAGCAACTGGTTTTGTTCAGTCTTATGTACCCATATTATTTAAATGAGCACCTGGAGTCTAGAATTAACTAAAAAATATCTATGTTGATGCATATTAAGTTGATTTTGAAGTCATAAATTTTGACAAGAATTGATACTATGGCACTGTCATAACTTTACAAAAGATGACCTGAACTAACATGATTTTATGCTTTTACCAGTGGAACTCCCTGAAATATATTCAGATAATTTGTTATTAAAGCAAAACTAAGTTTATTGAAACCCTGTGCCAAGAAAGTACACCATTTTGACATACTTTTGCAGTGTTTCAGCAGGGAAGAGTGAGAGGAAGATTTTTCATGTTTGTGGAGAATGGCTTAAGAGAGTTAAATGAGTCTTTCAAAGTGAGTAGCTGATTGAAATTGAGCTAAACTCAGAGCATAATAGTTTAGATAGTCTAAGAAATTGAAAAAAAAGTTGATGCCAAGCATACAAGAAATAACACCACCAAAAAATAGACCTAAATACAGACAAAATTAGATTAAAAACAAGAATATGTTCAATGTTAATAAAAGCAAAAGGAACATAGACATAGTTATGGAGGAGTTTTGTTTTGTTTTAATAAGATAAAAATATGGTTAGTTTTATAGCAATACACCTGGAAATCTGGATCAATTCTGTCCACTATAGTCATTACTAGTGACATGTAGATATTGAACACTTGAAATATGGTGGATTTGAATTGATTTATGCTATATGTAAAATACAAACTAGATTTAGTTTAAAAAATGTAAAACTGAATAATTTTAATATTGTTTTATGCTGAGATGACAATATTTTGGATATACTGGATTAAATACATATAAAATATTGTTAAAAATCAAGTAGTATAGTAAAATTGGTCTTTTTGTTTTACTTTTTTATTTTGTTTTGGTTTTTGAAGGGATAGAAATCATGGCTAAGATGGACCCTGGGGCATATCATTGACCATCATGAAACATGCACTGATTTGCCAAATGTATTATTTTCCTGTGGCTGTTATAAAAATCACAATACACTTAGTAGTTTAAAACAACATAAATTTATGGTCTAGCAGTATTCCAGGTTAGAAGTTCAACACAGGTCTTACTGATTTAAAATCAAAGCATTGGAAGACTGCATTCCTTCTATAGGCTCTGTGGAATAATCCATGACCTGGCCTTTCCCAGGCTTTAGAATCCAGCTGCATTCTTTGATGCATGTTCCCTGTCTTGGGCAGCTTGGAATACTGTAAGAAAATACCATAGACCGGGTGACTTAAACAACTGACATTTATTTCTCAGAGTTCTGAAAGTTGGGAAGTCCAAGATTAAGGTGCTGGTATATTTGGTTCGTGGTGAGGGCCCACTCCCTCTCTGGTTAGTAGATGGCCTCCTTCTCTCTGTGTTCACATGGCCTTTCCTGGATACATGTTTACGGAGAGAGAAAGAGAAGGGTGGTTGGGTGGGAGGTGGTCTAGTATCTCCACCTTTTCTTATAAGAACACTAACATTATCATGAGAACACCACACTTAGGACATTATCTCAACCTAGGTTCCTCCCAAAAGCTCCATCTCCAGATACTATCACACTGCCAATTAATAGATCATTGAAAATAATCTATTAATATTTGAACAATGCCAATCATCTTCAATAGATTAATTTTAGGGAGACACAAATATTCAGTTCATAACAGTTCCTTTCCTTGACCTTCAAAGCTACAAATGAAGGAGCAAGTCTTCACATTCTCCTTTTATATCTCCCTCTTCTACGTGTAAAGAATCTTATGATTGCATTTGGCCATCTAAAAATCTATGATAGTCTCTCCATTTCAAAATCCTTAACTCTAATTGCATTTGCAAAGTCTGTCCTGCCAGGTAAGCTAACAAATTTATAAATTATCTGGATTAGGACCCCATCATCTCTGAAGAGCCATTATTCTGACTACCACATCAGTATGTTAGTTTATGTCAAGATTGCTGTAATAATCAATAGGTTCTGGTACCACAAATCCAGTAGCAGTCATTAAGGTTGATTGAGTTTATTGATTGCTTTCAGCTCCATTCTGCTATTAATCACTTTTGGGGATATAAAATGAAGACCTTATCACATAGAGGAAGAGGTAGATGTGATAGGAGCTTGAATATGTAATAAGAATTTTTTATGATATGTAAATGTGAGAAATGAATTAAGTATGTGCCATTTGTTCTCTTCTTTTTAAGACGTTTCTTTCTAAAGGTTTAGTGACAGAAGTTGCATTCTATTAAAGATCCCTAAGGGCTGTTCTGCTGTAGGCATAAGCTTTCTTTCCTGGGTGCAGCATGTTAGGATTTAAGATTTCTATTTATCTAATACTCTGCTGTTTGTCAGATAAAATAACAATAAATAGTGAGTCCAATTATTGATAAACCCAGATGTTTCATATTTAGGAATCGATGTTAAAAAAAAAAAAACTCTAATTGGCATCCTAAGGAAAATGTGTGCAGCTTAGCACTGATTCAACTGCATGTTTAGCCAAATTGTGAACAAATTACGGCCAGCTTCCGGACTCTTCTAGAGAGTGACTAAGGACGGCATAGAGGAATTAGGAATAGTAGCTTTATAGGTAAAATAATTAAATGTAACCTTAAGCATAAAAAGATAAAGTTAACTAGGAAAATGAAAACTCAAGATATACAGATTAAATATGACAAACAATGGATCTTTTTTTGTGGATCTTGGTTTGCAGATACCGATATCTCATATAGTGATTCACTTGATCCAAAGGCATTTGATGGAAGCTGTCTTCTCCCAAAGACTATTTGCTTTTGGAAGAATCCTAAGAGTCATTAGTTAGAAGTTTTTGGTAGGGATACTTTCCTGTAATATGAAGATGACCTAAACCTCTTTACTTGAGAGATAGGAATCAAAGGATCAGTCTTTTAAAGACTATGGGTTTGCTAGTTGTTAGCTGTGCCTGATAGTGACTTTTTTCCTATGATCTTTCCCTGCCGTGTCTCTTAGAAGACAAGGTATCCAGGTATGAAAACCAATTTTGCAGACATTGTTTAGGATACTAATGGGGAAAGTCTTCAGTAACTTTTGTTGAAAGAATGGATTTCCTGAGTCCTTACAGCATTTAGTTAAATAAGTGTAGATTTCTAGAATCAGAGCTAATATTCCTAGACACTTGGTTTAGCTGTTACTAACTCATGAACCACAGAAAGAAGAAATACCTTAGACCATGCAAGTTTGACGATCTCTGTGAACTTTACCAACTTTAGTTTCAGAATTCCATCTTTCTACCTTCCCAAAAGGTTGAAAGTGATATGGACAGTGAAGTCTGATTAATTGACAGAACTTTTCCATGTTAATAAAAATTCCGGTAAAATGGTTTCCTTGTTACTAGAGATATAGTTTGGGATTCCCCAGGCTGAAAAAAAAAAAAAGGATTTTCTCCATGCCAACAAGAGACAAATAATGATCAGAACATATTTAAAATCTATTGCCAGCACTTGTTATGAAAAATTCATTTAGATTTTTACTGAGACATTTTACAGTTTTGTTAGGATTAATCTGACGAAGGTTGAGACAAGTTGTAAGGATATAGTTATATAAAGATATACTTACCAATTTTAGCAAAATTTTCCCCCAGCTATTGGTTAAATACATTGGTCAATTTGTCCTCATTGTGCCAGAAAAGCTCAGCAGTTCTGACTAAAGTTTATGTTAACCCATTGCCAGTAGAATGAAAGAGTTGAATCCTCTCTTAAATTATAATATATAGTTGACTCCTCAACAACACAGGTTTGAACTGTGCAGGTCTGCTCATATGTAGATTTTTTCCTATAAATATATTAGAAAATTTTTGGAGATTTATGAAAAATTGAAAAAGATAACAGGTGACCCATCTACACAAGAAATATTAAAAAACTAAGAAAACGATGTCATGAATGCATAAATCATATGTAGATACTAGTGATCATTTAATACAATGAAATATATATGCGTCTATTATAAAAAGTTAAAATTTATCAAGACGTAGGCAAACACAGAGCATACATGCAGCCAATTGAAGTTTAGAGAAAAGTAAAACAAAAATATACAAAAGTAAATCATAACTGCACAAAATTAACTGTAGTACATACTGTACTACTGGGATAATTTCCTAGCCTCCACCTGTTGTTCTTGCAGTGAACTCAAGTGTTGTGAGTATTCACTTAAAATGCCACATAATGCTAATCATCTTCTTGTGAGTAGCTTGTCTCTCCAGTAAATTAACACAGTAAAAAGTGTTCTCTCATGTTTCTCCTGTATTATTCATGATGTCTAGTGCAATACCATAAACCTTGAATAACACCTTCAGACCTATAAAAAGTGCTGCTAGTGATGCTGAAAGTTCTTCCAGGAAACAGAGAAGGGTCCTGACATTACAGGAAAACAATGAATTGCTTGATAGGTACCCTAGATTGAGGTCTGCAGCTGTGTGTGCTGCCATTTCAGAAGAAGGATCCATCTTGTAAACACAGGATTGTAAACTTATGAGAGAAATAAATATACTGTAGTACTGTAAACGTATTTTTTCTTCCCTATAATTTTCTTAATAACACTTTCTTTTCTGTAACTAGCTTCATTGTAAAACTACGGTGTAAAATACATACAGCGTATGAAATATGTGTTAAGGATTGTCCAGTCAACAGTAGGCTGTTAGTTTAGTTTTGGGGAGTCCAAAGTTATATGTGAATTTTTGACTGTGCTGGGGTGGTGGGGAGGGGTTAGGGAGGTTTGATGGCCCTAAACCTTGTGTTTTTCAGGAGTCAACTGTACAGTTTAGAAGAATATGATTTAGAATTTCCCTGAGATTAAGAACATATTAAATGGTGGGAAGGATATTGATAGACCTCTAGATCTAGTGACACTATCAACTTTGACTGTGTCTGTTTGATGAAGGAATTAAAATCTAGTAACAAAAGCATTTTGTAGATAGTTATTGTACCAGTCTTTGTTCTTGAACATCAGTGTGTTTTTTTGAACTGAAAATCACACATTGAATGAAAGGCTTCATCTCAATATATTTTATTTACACATAAATTTGAGCTGTTTTTTGTTCACAAGTTTGGCCGATAAAAGAGCCCTCACAATAGCTTTAATTACCATTTAAAATTACAAATTAATGTGATTTTTTAATTTTTCTCTCTTTTGTAGGGTGAAGGAGCAATGCTTTTGGTTACTCAGTATTCTCTCAAGAAAATTTAAAGATAGTTTATACACAGAAGATATTTTAACAGGTTATATTCTGAACTTGTGGCCCGGATTTGGAAAAAGCAATATCAAGTATGGTTCAAGGGGACAAGAAAGAGAGAAGCATTTGTTACCATTTTTCCAAGTCAAAAATATTTAATCAGATAATATTTTAAAAGCCAGCAATAATTAGTAATGATTGGTATAATGTTTTTGTCAAAATTATTAAATAGGAGATAAAATTAAAAGCTTTATTTTTTTGCATTCAAATAAAATTTTAAGTATTTTGATGAGCTTATTAAATCAACAATGCATGTATTACATTGAACCTGACTTCTTAATAAGTTGCAACCAAATCTTTAATGATAAGTTTAGGTCAGAGAGATAATTTTGAGATTTGTCACCATAAAGATAGGGTATAATGTGATGTAAATAATTAAGATCAGGTGGAAAGACAAATAAGATTGAAGGAAGACCCAAGACCAAGGTTTGGGGCACTCTCAGAAGTTCTAAAAAAAAAATTTAGACTATGAGTAAAGAAGGATTGATCAGCAAGGTGAAATGGATCAAGGAAATGTGGGCACTCAGAGGTACAGAGGGGTTAATTGCTGCTCAGAAAATACTCAGACGAATGCTGAACAGTAGATTAGATAGAACCGATGTCCTAGAAATCATGAAGATAAGTGACTTTATTAAAATACATATTATAAACAAAGAAGGAATTTACTGTTCGAAAAGTTGTCTTGAAGAATTGTTTTGGGAGAAAATAAAAAATAAACCTTATTTTCTAAAATACACTAAAACTAATTCCAAATGAGTCAAAGGATTGTGTACAGATATTTTAAATTAATAAAACAATGTTAGTGCAGATTCTCTTTAATTACTTCCCTGATTGTTTTACCTATAGTAACTCATTTAATTCTACTAGCAATCTTTTCATGTTGGATACAGCTATTCAAATTTTCTTTTGTTATTGCAATAGCCTCCTAACCATTCTTCCACAAAATTGAGGCACTAAAAGGTTGTGAAATTTCCTCTATGCCACAGAGCTTTTTAGTGATGATTTGGCATTTGGAAGCACATCTTTGAAATGTTCGTTTTTCTCTGATGGCCAGTGATGGTGAGCATTTCTTCATGTGTTTTTTGGCTGCATAAATATCTTCTTTTGAGAAGTGTCTGTTCATGTCCTTCGCCCACTTTTTGATGGGGTTGTTTGTTTTTTTCTTGTAAATTTGTTTGAGTTCATTGTAGATTCTGGATATTAGCCCTTTGTCAGATGAGTAGATTGTGAAAATTTTCTCCCATTCTGTAGGCTGCCTGTTCACTGTGATGGTAGTTTCTTTTGCTGTGCAGAAGCTCTTTAGTTTAATTAGATCCCATTTGTCAATTTTGGCTTTTGTTGCCATTGCTTTTGGTGTTTTAGACATGAAGTCCTTGCCCACGCCTGTGTCCTGAATGGTAATGCGTAGGTTTTCTTCTAGGGTTTTTATGGTTTTAGGTCTAACGTTTAAGTCTTTAATCCATCTTGAATTAATTTTTGTATAAGGTGTAAGGAAGGGATCCAGTTTCAGCTTTCTCCATATGGCTAGCCAGTTTTCCCAGCACCATTTATTAAATAGGGAATCCTTTCCCCATTGCTTATTTTTCTCAGGTTTGTCAAAGATGAGATAGTTGTAGATATGCGGCGTTATTTCTGAGGGCTCTGTTCTGTTCCATTGATCTATATCTCTGTTTTGGTACCAGTACCGTGCTGTTTTGGTTACTGTAGCCTTGTAGTATAGTTTGAAGTCAGGTAGCGTGATGCCTCCAGCTTTGTTCTTTTGGCTTAGGATTGACTTGGCAACGCGGGCTCTTTTTTGGTTCCATACGAACTTTAAAGTAGTTATTTCCAATTCTGTGAAGAAAGTCATTGGTAGCTTGATGGGGATGGCATTGGATCTATAAATTACCTTGGGCAGCAAAGACTTGGAACCAATCCAAATGTCCAACAGTGATAGACTGGATTAAGAAAATGTGGCACATATACACCATGCAATACTATGCAGCCATAAAAAATGATGAGTTCATGTCCTTTGTAGGGACATGGATGAAATTGGAAATCATCATTCTCAGTAAACTATCGCAAGGACAAAAAACCAAACACCGGATGTTCTCACTCATAGGTGGGAATTGAACAATGAGAACACATGGACACAGGAAGGGGAACACCACACGCTGGGGACTGTTGTGGGGTGGGGGAAGGGGGGAGGGAAAGCATTAGGAGATATATCTAATGCTAAATGACGAGTTAATGGGTGCAGCACACCAGCATGGCACATGTATACATATGTAACTAACCTGCACATTGTGCACATGTACCCTAAAACTTGAAATATAATAATAATAAAATTTAAAAAAAAATGTTCATTTTTAATTATAGCACTACACCATGCACTGAATCACGGAGGGTAAAAATGCACACTGTTAATAAGAAGGAGGGAGTCAATCTCATTAGTATTATAATATTTATACTGAATGAGACTCCATTCCCGAAATTCACAGAATTAAAATAATAAAAATAAAAATTTATTGCTAGCCAATTTGCAGCAAAAAAGATTCATTCTCATATTCTGCTATGAGAAAATAAATGAAATTGAATTTTAAAAGACATTTTTGGAAAGCCCTTTGAATTAACCAGAAAATTG
Organism: Homo sapiens; assembly: GCF_000001405.40. Lineage (NCBI taxonomy): Eukaryota > Metazoa > Chordata > Mammalia > Primates > Hominidae > Homo > Homo sapiens. The sequence goes on along the minus strand of NC_000005.10, from coordinate 70,559,649 downwards.
TTAAATTCGTAGTTTTTTTGACTAACATTCTTCTTCCACGTTAACAGAATTTATATATAAGTGACACTCATTGCATATACTTTTAAGGGGTAAAATAATTACTAAATTTATGTACACTATTAATACTTCATTGTATAAAATTGCATATATACCCATATGCAAATGTGCACAGAATCAGTAGGGTAACCATAGACATAAAATGATCAGTGCAGGATATTTTATTTATGCATTTTATATATAATATACTTTTCATTTAATATTTTTGCTAATTTTATTGAATTGAATATTTATGCCTTGGTTATAGAACAACTAAATTTATTTTCAAAGAAACTCCATTATTATTGTCTGCAAGAGTAAAACTTATAAACAATCTAAAAATTCAACCAAATACAACCATTTACAATTGTGCCCTAGTTGAATTTGTAATCGTAGGAGAAAACACAGGTGTTGAATTTTTTGAATTTCATTTAAAAAATAATTGACACAATCCCTAAGGTATCATATAAATTAATTGAATTGTTATTGTCTTGGGTTAACATTTATTTCTAGAGTTTTTTTTCCCCTAATATCTGATTTTTTCCATTAACATTACTTATTTGGATAATCAGAAAAAAATCAACATTGCCAAAAGATAGATAATACCACAAGCGAAATATCTATGATAATGATAGGAAAATGCTTTGAATTCAGGCTGAATGAGAATTAGTCTAGGAAAACAGCTTGGACCCTCTCATTCCTGTTAATGTCATCTCTGTGTTTAGCACTGCTGCTATTCCTCAGCTACTAAGAAATGCTCTATTGCTGGGCATGGCATATGGGAAGCCAAGAAAAATGACTGGCTGCTTGGTGACAGCTCTCTAGTCCTCATGCCAAGTTCTGCCAGTGATTTAAATATTAAGTAATGGAAAGAATTTTGAAATCCAGGATGATTAGAAAAGTCATTTTCTACAAAAGTGAAGCATTGTCTTTAGAGATTAAAATCTATGAAAATAACATTATTGAAATACTAGACTTCAGACTATTTTTCTGAATTACTGTAACTGTTGAAATAGGTCTTTCAGCCCATTAAGATAAACACCACACTTTTCTCTTCATGATCTCCAGCTGTAATTTTATAGTGAAAGGTGCTTGCATAAAAGAGTTCACACTATCTGAAAGATGTCACATGTAACATTGACTGGCAGCCATTTCAGAATGGCAGACAGCCAATAAATCATTCAGAACTATGTGTCACTCGTTGTGGCTTTAAAATTGTATTCCTTCTCCTTTGATAAAGAACATTTCAATGTCAAATAGTTTGTTCTATTTAAACTTATACATCAACCAGAATATTGAGATACACAATAAAATTAAATGATTTGGTAATACCTTTAGAATTTATCTAAAAACAGCCGTATGTATTTGCATGACAGATTTGGTTCACAAACCGATCAAGTTGTTAGTATCAAAGGCATGTTTTAGTGCTGATTTGTGTATAGATAAATTTAGGAAATTACATAAATAGAAATACTTCTTTATAAAATTCCTTGACCTTGTGATATCTTGGTATTAAGAATCTTAAAGGAATCATTTAAAAAAATTCAAAAGCAAACAATTTCGATTTTACAAGAGCTAAGAAAAAAACATTTTGCTATGGACACAGATCGCTCTTCAAGAAAAGATTTCTTTCCCCCTTGGCTGCTAGGAGCAATATTACAAAGCAGCCTTCAGCTCTCAGCTCCTTCAAAGTTTGCCTCAGCTGTAACCATTGTCTGGCTCAATGTTAGGGCATCCTGGAGCACTGGACATGCAAACACGAATGGAGATGAGGTTATAAAGCCTGGCCATTTTGACCCACCTGAGAGGATTCTGACAGGTCCTTCCAGTGCCTGAGAAACCCAGGGCTCACATGCTTTATATTCTGATCATTCTGTAGGGGTTGTTCCCATGGGTGATAGAAGCTGCCAAATATAAAGAGGCAACCATGCAAATTTTTAGGAATTATTTCCAAAACTCTCATAACAACATCATATATATTTATTGGTTGTTTAAGTAGATTTCTGAGGAGTAGATAGCAACGATAGAAGTGAAAGAAAGTAAATGCAGTTGTTAAAGGATTAGTCTTCCCATACTTAGAAAGTACACAAGTTGCATATACACTATGTTCCTTCCCTAGAGCAAGTATTTCAATGCAGTCGTGTGTGTGTTTGTGTGCTTGTGTGTGTGTGGTGTGTGTGTGTGTGTGTGTGTGTATGCTAACTGAACTCATTATAGATTTTATTGGATCAGATATATGAAGAGACTTGGAAGACTTGGGTTTGTCTGGAACTGGGTGAAATAGAGAAGGACGATCATTGACATAGAAAGCTGATTACTTTGTCCTTTGAGTATAAATAGTCTTACAATAAAATGGCATCTCCACTGTCTAAAACACATTTTTACATTTGCTCTCCTTCTGAAATTATTTATGTGAAATTAACAAATGTACTTATTACCTTAGAAACAAACGATCCGTAATTTATATTATTTATTGTATATTTGTAGATCCACTTAAAATTGATTTGCAATATAAGGAAAAAATGCGTTTTATAAGTTGTTTGCTTTGTGTAGTGCATCTTGTTAACCGTAGGACTACTGTTGCATTGAAACAAAATAGAATTAATCTGTTCAGGTAAATAGAACTGGAAGTGAGATTTGTTGTCACTCCTTCTCCTTCAAGTACTGACCAGTCTTTTAATTCACACATAACTAACACTCTGTGCAATAATATTTTTTTGTTCTCTGTCTTTTCAAACAGAACTCAAGCTCCATGAGGAGATGTTTCATTGTCGGTGAGCACATTCTTGTCAATTAGTTCCTTCTTGTTTCTTACTATAGCCCCTGTGTCTAGAACCTTTCCAGGTATTCAGTAGCCATTTAAAAATTATTTGTTGAATGAATTGTTATTTTAAAGAACATCCACAATTTTGCCTGACTGGGCATGGGAATACATGCCCATCTTTGGACTGAATGTCCATTTTTCCCTTCTTTGATTTATCAAAATATTGGTTAAATGATCAGGACTACCGTCAGAAGGAATTTTATATCTAAAAATAGTTTACCTTCTATGGATGTAAAAAATAGTTGTAGTAGTTCTGGCTTTTATATTATTCGATGTTTCAAAGCGGTTTTTTTTTTCCATCACCATATTCTACGTTCTTGAAAAGTACTCGTTCATGTGACTGCTATCATTTATGCTTGTGCAGCACGTAGATACAGGAGAGAAGATAAGGAAAATGCTTACCCTGTGTCTCCTTCCCTGTAACACAGTTTTTTTTTACCATATTGATTCTCCACTTTCTACTCCCTAAGTAAAATTTTGCAACAGGCATTTGGGAAACTCTGGATACAAGAAAAAAATTTTAATATTGTACAAAGAGACAAGAGGTGACTTCTTTTTTATTTTTCATTTAGAGTTTATAGTTTAATTAAAGAAAATGCACATATATCTAAAGATAATCATGGATAATACACTCATGTAATTACTACTTTCAGTGGTTGTAACAACAGCCAAAGCACAAACAGAAATGAGAAAGAATTATCAGCATTATGCAAGTACATATCCTCTTTAAGAATTCCTGTTATAGTGAAAGCATTAAAATAATTGAACACGTACAGAGACCATATACTTTGTGATCTTTTTAAAAAAGTATTCAAAATATATTTCTGTGTGCAAAACATTTTCATAATGGTCTTGTTTAAATGAAAGTATTTAGAATAGCACATTGTAAAATTATGCTGCAGAGCACAAGTATTTTTCTCTTTAGAAGACACATAATAAAATAGAATCATCAGTGTTTTTTCATAAACATGAATCTTTAGAGTGTTACTTGATCCTGCATAATAAGGGTACTTTTTTGCTTAATGTAAGCATAGTATACTAATTCTTTTAAACTTCAGAAAGCATATTTACAGTCTAGGCAGATGGGACATGAAGGTCACACAGCATGAGCAGTGAAATATCTCATTTACCTAGAGTTCTAGAGAGAATTTTAGGAACTCTTATTTATTATCAGTGCATAAACAAGAGTAAACTCTACAAAACTGTTTGCAAAACTCTCCTCTTTCTACTCAGAAGGCTTTCCCTAGAATAATCATTATGGAGTCTGTCCATCCTTTACTCATTCACTGCATGGGGACAGGTGTTAGTTATGAGATTGGTGAATTTAGAAAGCTAACCAATTTCATACCTATTTTGGGATTCTCAATTCACAAACTTTTGTGCGTTTCTTAATTATTTCCTTTCTTTTTCTTGTAGAGAGCAGTCATGATGGCCTGCACTCCACACAATGCAACAGAGTGAAAGAGCAGGTTCTGCTTCTTTGGTGTAGTCCTGAAGCTTCCTAAGAAACTTCACATCAGGTGATGGATAGGAGCAACCCTGTAAAACCAGCCTTAGACTATTTTTCAAACAGTAAGTAATAAAGGTGACGTTTTGATCTTTATCTGCTTAATTACTTCTGCTATGATTCTATTGATTCTAACATTGAAGGAGCAGTAAATTTATATGTATTATCCAACTATAAAACAATAAATAAACGATATGTCAAATACATTATCACATCCTTATGTTCTTATGATAATATTGTCCTTTTTTTAACAGTTTTTATTCTTATTTGTTGATTGGTTTGTCTTTATGTTGTCCTTTCTACTATCAAACTGAACATGTTGAGGTCATAGGCTATCAAAACTGTACATTTCTGATGCTAACCATAGAGACTTAACAACAGTAAATAGGCCAAAATGGAATGTTGTTAGCCATAGTGTGTATTATTATTTCTTTTATACATGTGGTCACTGTTAGAGGAGTTTATGACTTTTTGCCTAGATTAATGACACACAAACCATCTACAAACGAATCATACCTTATTCCCTCACTGTAATTTTTAATGTTGCTATTTTTGCCTGTTAACATTCCATAGGTTTATCACATTGCTTAAAGATTTAATTTAATTTCTGTAATTGTATATGTCATGAGAGATTGCTTTTAACCTTCCAATGTTCGTGGTCTCATTTTCACTAACATAATCCCAACTTTAGCTGCGCACAATACCACATTTCCCAGCATTCCTTGCATCTGGATATAGCTGTATTCAAATAAGCCGTGTGAAACTTCTGGGATGGCTCCTTAAGTGCAGTTGACTCATTAGGGAGGTATGTCTTTTTTATTTTTCTACACTTTGTGCTGCTGTCCTGGAGTACAGACATGGTGGCTAGAAGCATGAAATCACCTTGAAGGTAGAAGTCATGCATTGAAGTTAGTAAAAGTGAAATGTAAGTGTATAGTTTCCTGATGAAAATGGGAAGCTTATGTACTAGCAACAGAATGCTTATTATGCAGGCTTCCTATATGTAAAAGAGGACAAATTCTCATTTTATTAAGTTTCTGAAAGTAGATTTCTAAATGCTGGTTCTATTTTTTATTGAAAGTAATGGCAAAAAACGCAATGCCTTTTGTACCAACCTAATAGTTAATAAACATATCCTCAAATGAAATGTCTTAGAATTGTGTTCATCAAGTTAATATTAATAATTTATTAGAATAGCACTCTAAAGGGTTGCAGCCTATGCATGAAAATACTTACAAACTACTACATGATAATCAATTCTTTTTGGCAAGACTGCTATTTACATGGACACAAGAGTTATTATAAGAATGTTGTATGTATACATGAATAGTGTCTGTTAAACACTGGATATAATAAAAACAATAGTTTTTCTGTTAATTATAACAATCTGAACATTTTTGTGATTATATTTCACAAATGACACACCATTTTATTTGCAGATTTTTCTTATCCCCAAAGTTTTTGTTAATTTATTACCAACACAGCACACAAGTCTAGTGGCAATGCATTACCTCTGCAGTTGATTTTGAAGTAAGAAGGCCTATTTATTGCATTCATTCCTGCTTAGATGACATCTTAAATTTGTTAATTGGATTATTATGCTCTATTCTATACATTTATTGATTTATAGATTTTGTGGACACAAATTTCAAAACATATTCGAAAATTTGGTGATAGCTTTTTAGAATCTATTCTTCAACATAGTTATTGAAAGTGAACAAGAAGGACCTCCTCTAGAGATTAGGTTGAGAACCACTTCTTTGATTTGTTAAATATGTGTACATGGATACCATGTGGCTTTATTATGAGGAGCCACTTAAGTGGCTGAGTTACAATTCACAAAACATTGTCACAGGGAAAATATCAGGACAAATTTTCAAGTCGCATGCCAAGAAAAGAAACTTTCTGAATGCTTATAAGAAATACCTTAATTAATGGGAGCCCTTCAAAGTACACAAAACATCATAACTAGGAGTTGCAACACAACCAGCAATTTGCTGATTGAAATGCATTCATTCATACTGACTTCACCTGCTGAATGGAATATTGTGCTGTACTGTCCTTAGCTATGGAGAGAGAATTAAGGAATATCCCCTTCTGGTGTTCAACAACAACGAAAGAGCAAGAAAGATATATTCCTAATTTTTAAAGAAGAATGTAGAGATACTTAAACAAGACAATGAAGGTGGTAGAAAGATTATTACCATCCCCAAAGTGTTTGCTCATTAAAACATTTTGTGATTTTCTCTGCCAATATCATACCTGTATGGATAATTGTTTTCCTATCCACACAGTTATGAGAGTGAGAAGATGGAATATAAAAGATGGAACAAGAGGGAATCTGTGTGGTGACCACAGTAATCACAGGCTGGTTGGGATCCTAAACTCGGCCACAGCACAAAAGCATGTTCAAGTTTAAAGTCATGAGAGAGGCCTGGCATAGTGGCTCACACCTATAATCCCTGCACTTTGGGAGGCCAAGGTGGGAGGATTGCTTGGGGCAAAGAGCTCAAGATCAGCCTGGGCAACATAGTGAGATCCCATCTAAAAAAATGTTCTTTAAGTTAGCCTTATGTGGTGGCATGTTCCTGTGGTATCAGCTACTCAGGTGGCTGAAGTGGGAGGGTCACTTGAGCCTGGAGGTTGAGCCATAATCATGCCACTGCACTCCAGCCTTGGTGACAGATTAAGACTCTGTCTCCAAAAGTAAAACACCAAACAACACAAAAAGTAAAGTCACAATAAAATGAGATGCTATTAAGGTTGTTTTAGGTTGATTTTCAACTAGACCAGCATTTAGCCTGTACAAAGGCATATACAAAATAAACCCTAAACCTAAATGGGATTCAGCAGCAGCAGTGTGGGTTAAAGAAGCCACCAGTTCCCTGGAGGCCAGAACCACAGGCCTGTGGCCTTTTTTATTGTTTTGACAGGGAGGTGGAAAGCAGGAGTATAACTACATTCAAGTGTCTGCTCTGTTGCTGTAGGAGAAAATCCGTGCTGTAGCACATCAAAGTTTTTCCAAATTTTATTTCTTAGGACATCTTTGGGGTTTATGTAAGTATTAAATAGAGCTCCCCTAGCCCAGGCTTACACAGGACATATGTCTAGTGTCATAGGTCTGTATGCTTAAATTATAGCAGAAAGTTTGCTAAAATTTAAGTGAAGTAATGTTGAAGGTTGAATCATTTGAAACAAACTACCTGCACCAAAATATTCTTTAGTGTACTGATTTCTATCCCACCCCTAATGAGGCTGAATTTTAATCTTAACTCTGCTTGTAATTAGGTATTTATATGTGTCTGTTATTCATTTTTTAACAAGATGTCTCTTCAGAGATAAAATGAGGGTAGCAAAAAATAATTTTAATAGCCATTTATATGGCTTTGATAACAATTGTCTGTTCTACTTATCTGACTGATTCTAAACTCTAAAGGTTATTTTACAGTTAGTAAATTACATAATTTTTATGCAACAATTTGCCTGCCAGGATTCCTATAATACTTGTCAGCTATCAGTAGGTATAAGCCTGTTAGCCTCTAATGTGAAGATAATATCTCTTTAAGTTATAACGCATTTACAATTGTTACAGTTTCTAAGGTCTTTTTGAAGTTAGAGATGCATCTGAGGATGATGGTTTTCAAGGAGATAGCTCTTTGACAAAAAATGACAATATGGGACTTAGTGTTATATTAATTTACACATTATGTTTTTGCTATAAAGAGATAAAAGGTGTGCTATACTACCTATCAATTACTGTATGCCACATTTTGTAGAATTGTTTTCCATATTATTGTAGAATGTGGCACTTAAATAGTATCATGAAAAAAGTTTATTCAAGAAATAAGACATTAATGAAATATAATTAATATATAAAGACTATATTTAAAAATAATTATGTATTTCTAATCCTAAACTTTTTAAGGTGACATTATTTTTTTCTGTGATATAATTTCAGTTGAGAAGAACTTTAAATTTTAATAAGATTTTAAGATGATTCAGTAATGTTAACATACTTTTCTTCTGTAAATTTTGTTAACAATTTAGCTGCATTAATTAAATATTTATGTAGCTAATTTTAATAGTGATATTTTAATACAATTCTTAATTTTACTCCTGGCTTTCAATCATTCATATATGTTTTTAAAAATTGCTTTTTCCATTGCTTTACTTCTTAATTACTTTTATCAAAGTCTTAATTGTGTGTGGTTGATTTTAAAAGTTAAATATTTCTATAAGATTTATAAAGACAAACTGGGTACAGTGACTCACACCTGTAATCCCAGCACTTTGGGAGGCCGAGGGGGTAGATCACTTGAGGTCAGGAGTTCGAGACCAGCCTGGCCAACATGGTGAAAGCAGTTTCTACTAAAAATACAAAGATATGCCTGGTGTGGTGGTTGGCCCCTGTAATTCCAGCCACTTGGGAGGCTGAGGCAGGAGAATTGCTTGAACCTTGGAAGCGGAGGTTGCAGTGAGCTGAAACCATGCCATTGCACTCCAGCCTGGGCAGCAAGAGCGAAACTCCATCACAAAAAAAAAAAAAAAATATATATATATATATATATATATATATTATATATTATATATATGTATGTATGTATATATAAATGTATATGTGTGTGTATATATATATATATATACACACTATATATATATATATATATACACACACACAATAGAAATGTCCTGGCTATATCTATATTAATAGGTTTTGCACATTTAAACCAAAGTCACACATATGGTTTGATTCTAATTAATTCTAATGCATCTTGCAGGTTTCAAACTGTATTCTATTATGTAATTATCTGCTGATCCACTCTGTATCCTGTTGTGTAAGTTGCGATGATTAACCTCTGCCTTTACGATGTAATCCAAATGTAGCATATAGACCTCAATGATAAGATTGATCATGGTGCATTTAATCATTAATTTATTATTAATCTCTTTTATCCTGGTACTTAGAGTGCAGATTTTTCTCAACAACTATTTACGCAATCATTAAATGAAATATAGCCTTGTGTCACTTAGCAATGAGGATATGTTCTGAGAAGTGTGTGGCTAGGTGATTATCTTACTGTGCAAACTTCATAGAGTGATCAATCTATAATGGTGATAGCAATTTTTCAACCCTATTATAATCTTAATGAGCCATTGTTTTACATGCTGTCTCTTATTGATGTAAACGTTGTTATGTGGCACATGATTATATAAAAGATATTAATCCATTCATTATTTATGCATTCATCCATTTGACCTATGGTAGTGTTCTATTGAAAATGAGTCATCGTGATACAGAAATCCACTGTTAGTTGTTTTTACTTTCTCTTGTTCGTGGGGAAGAGTGGGTATTGATTTTAAAAGTCTAAAGAATGGGGTATTGTGAATAGTGCCGCAATAAACATACGTGTGCATGTGTCTTTATAGCAGCATGATTTATAATCCTTTGGGTATATACCCAGTAATGGGATGGCTGGGTCAAATGGTATTTCTAGTTCTAGATCCCTGAGGAATCGCCACACTGACTTCGACAATGGTTGAACTAGTTTACCGTCCCACCAACAGTATAAAAGTGTTCCTATTTCTCCACATCCTCTCCAGCACCTGTTGTTTCCTGGCTTTTTAATGATTGCCATTCTAACTGGTGTGAGATGGTATCTCATCGTGGTTTTGATTTGCATTTCTCTGATGGCCAGTGATGGTGAGCATTTTTTCATGTGTTTTTTGGCTGCATAAATGTCTTCTTTTGCGAAGTGTCTGTTCATGTCCTTCGCCCACTTTTTGATGGGGTTGTTTGTTTTTTTCTTGTAAATTTGTTTGAGTTCATTGTAGATTCTGGATATTAACCCTTTGTCAGATGAGTAGGTTGCGAAAATTTTCTCCCATTCTGTAGGTTGCCTGTTCACTGTGATGGTAGTTTCTTTTGCTGTGCAGAAGCTCTTTAGTTTAATTAGATCCCATTTGTCAATTTTGGCTTTTGTTGCCATTGCTTTTGGTGTTTTAGACATGAAGTCCTTGCCCACGCCTGTGTCCTGAATGGTAATGCGTAGGTTTTCTTCTAGGGTTTTTATGGTTTTAGGTCTAACGTTTAAGTCTTTAATCCATCTTGAATTAATTTTTGTATAAGGTGTAAGGAAGGGATCCAGTTTCAGCTTTCTCCATATGGCTAGCCAGTTTTCCCAGCACCATTTATTAAATAGGGAATCCTTTCCCCATTGCTTATTTTTCTCAGGTTTGTCAAAGATGAGATAGTTGTAGATATGCGGCGTTATTTCTGAGGGCTCTGTTCTGTCCCATTGATCTATATCTCTGTTTTGGTACCAGTACCGTGCTGTTTTGGTTACTGTAGCCTTGTAGTATAGTTTGAAGTCAGGTAGCGTGATGCCTCCAGCTTTGTTCTTTTGGCTTAGGATTGACTTGGCAACGCGGGCTCTTTTTTGGTTCCATACGAACTTTAAAGTAGTTATTTCCAATTCTGTGAAGAAAGTCATTGGTAGCTTGATGGGGATGGCATTGGATCTATAAATTACCTTGGGCAGCAAAGACTTGGAACCAATCCAAATGTCCAACAGTGATAGACTGGATTAAGAAAATGTGGCACATATACACCATGCAATACTATGCAGCCATAAAAAATGATGAGTTCATGTCCTTTGTAGGGACATGGATGAAATTGGAAATCATCATTCTCAGTAAACTATCGCAAGGACAAAAAACCAAACACCGGATGTTCTCACTCATAGGTGGGAATTGAACAATGAGAACACATGGACACAGGAAGGGGAACATCACACTCTGGGGACTGTTATGGGGTGGGGGGAGGGGGGAGGGATAGCATTAGGAGATATACCTAATGCTAAATGAGGAGTTAATTGGTGCTGCACACCAGCATGGCACATGTATACATATGTAACTAACCTGCACATTGTGCACATGTACCCTAAAACTTAAAAGTATATATAAAAAAAAAGGGGGGTATACACACAATCAGGTGTCAAGCAGTGGCACCTCGTGCAAAATAATAAACTCATCTAAGATCCTAGCAGTTCATTCTGAAAATAAAGCTGGAAATATATCTTGGATATGTAAAATGTGAGTGTAAAAATTAATGAAACTAAGCAATGGGAATATGAGTAGTAAATTATTTGAGAAAATATTATAACATTTACTTTTTTAAATTTCAAAACTATATTTCCTTATTTAAAACTGAAAATTTTTGTGTACATATATGAAACTAATTGTGTCATTTTTCTTTTTGTTACAATATAGAGTGATGTTTCAAAACACAAACATAATAGGTAGAGTCAATTACTTAGGGGAGTTTAAACCTGGAGGTAACATTAGAAATAGAAATAATAAAATGCAGTGTTTTTGGATTTGTCTGTTAAGATTATTTTAATCCAAATCATATTTAATGGTTTACATAGTTGTATATCAAATTTGGTTTTAGAAATAAATTATACAGTAAATTTAAAAATGCAAAAAATGTATATTGTTATACATTCTGTAACCTATGAATCCATATAACTTGGGCAAGAAAATTATATAATTAAAAATAAAACCTTTCTGTTCTCAATTATGTTTTAGGGACAGCTATATAGTTCACACTCACAAAGGAATCATAAAAACTCTATGTATAATCTTGGAAGTAAAAATATCTGTTGTATCATATTTATGAAGTATACAATTGATTAAAAATGATAATGTCTGTCTTCTATCCAACGGCAATAACAGAAGATAATGGCATATAAGTAGGCCTGTCTCCTTTTTTTTGGCATTGATTTATATATCTTTACTAGCTTTGTTGTTTTAACTCCAATAAAAGATTATTTAGTAAGCCAAAGCAAAAAAAAAAAAAAAAAATCCTGTGAGCAGCCACAAACTGAAAGACTACGATTTTTAGTCAATGTCCTAAGCAACACAGTGATTTTAGGTTAACCAATGTGTCAAAGAGAATGAGGAAAAATTATTACAAAAATGAATAAATAAACTGGTCTAGGTCAAACCGTACTCCTTCTAAAGAGAGTAGTCAACTGATATTAAAGCCTATGACGTAGTATGTGCCATATTGAGTATGCAATATCTAAATATTTCTTTTTTTTCTTTCTCCAGCTACTGCAAACCCTAATTGTTTCCTTATCCGATCACTTTAAAGTCATTCAGCAAATCATAATTATGCCATTGTTAACATCAGAAACTGAAAACCTACTGTCAAAAGTGAGCTAAAATATCATATTTGGATTTATTTATAAATTTATTTTATAAAAAGATTGACTTTCAATTTGAGAATAACATAAAAAATCAATTCATTCCTCTGTGCATCAATATTGTATCATTGGTAGTTTAAACTTTTCATCTAATATTAGATTGCATGCAGGATTTTATATCTAATTACTCTGGCAGATGGCCTTTAGAAAGTTCAAAAATAAAATGCAGCAATTCATATTGGCAGATTTACTATTGAGACCAATGCTTTCTTAACTAAAAGGTTTTGTTTAAAATCGTTAGTTTAGGAAATCTGATAAAGAGTTTTGAATATCAGAGCGTTTAAAAGAGATTCTTACTTTACATCTGGCATATTTCTTGTGTTACATATTATAATTTCATTGAACATGGCTGTCTGTAAAACTATGTATATGATCCGGAAGAGACTCAAACTAAATTAAGTTTTAACAGCCATCAATTCATTTTAAAATGACACAGGCATGAAAAATGATCTATCAAGATTTGTAAATCTTATTCTGTTAGCTATTGCTAGAGATAGTCTAAAGGTATTCTACTTGGAATTTGAGATCAAGACAAAGATTTTCTGTTAGTAATAATATTCAGATTATTTTTATTTTGATGTATAAATTTAAAATTCTTAGAATATTTTCAACAATATTTTCCATTTCTAAATTTATTTTATTTCTAAACAAATGTAATTACTTTATTTATTAACTTTTATTTTCAGTTCAGGGGTATATGTGCAGGTTTGTTATATAGGTAAACCTATAGGTAAATAGGTATACAGATTATTTTGTCACCCAGGCATTAAGCCTATGCGCGTTAGTGAAAAATGTTATTGCTTTAAATATCCAAATTATTCAGCTGCATTTGATCTCATTCTTTAGTCCAATGTAAGTAAGAGTAAAACAATGACATTTAAGGCCACCAGGCTATTCTCATTTTTGGAAAAATGCTGGATTACATTACCAGCATATTAAATGAGAATATCAAGGTGTAATATCTCCCTAGAAATTGTCTCACCTTCAATACTATTGACATTTTTGGACCTGATAATTTTGTTGTGGGCTCTAGCCTCATGTTATAGGAGGTTTACCAGTTTTCCTGCCCTAAACTTACCGGATGTGAATAGCACACTCCACTACCTACAGCAGTAAAAACTAAAATTGTCTCTAAACATTGACAAATTGTCCCTGGTAGTGAAAATCACCCCTGGTTGAGACCGTGTTGTTGAAAATAAAACAAAAACTTTCACATCAATAAATATGTTAGGCTGTGTATGTTAAGGATTAACATTAAGACAATATGGAGCAAGCACTACATGAAAGCAGTGACGATTGGGAATTAGTGGCACATTATCCTAATAGTTAATATAGTGACTGTAATATCTAAATATCATCCTATAGAGTTTTTCTTAGATTTTTTCATTAGTATAACAGGATGTTGTGTATGTTACACTGTATATACTGTTATTTTGAGAGACAATTTTGGGAGATTTTGCCAAGGTATTTTCAATTATAGGTCTTTAATACATTCTAAGCAAGTGGGTCTCAAAAATGGGAATTTTACACCCCACATTCTTCTTCCCATCCGGTGGACATTTGTCAATGTGCGCAGATATTTCTGATTAAAAAAAAAAAAAAAACTGTGAAAGAGAGGGTGTGCTACTGGCATCTGGTGGTCGAGGCTAGGGATGTTGCTAATCATCTTACAATGTACACGATAGTTCCCCACAATGACTTTGAGAAACCCTGCTCTGACACTACTGCAGGATGAATTTTAAGCACAATTATAAGAGAGGACCTAGATATTGAGTTTTAAAAGGAGAAAATATAAGTACAAAAGAAGAATGAAGATTGTTACAACAGGGGCAAGTAGAAGTTAGAAGAAAATGTGATAAAGTAAATCTACATTTTAGAATAGTACTGGAAGTTATTATCAGGTGTTACAGACAAGTTTGAGACTTCCGTAAGTGACCTAAAGAAATTATGGACACTGCAAGACTAAATAATCATTCATTTAGGAAGGAGCTTAAATGCACTTTCTCAAGGCCGGGCGAGGTGGCTCACGCCTGTAATCCCAGCACTTTGGGAGGCCAAGGTGGGCAGATCACGAGGTCAGGTGATCGAGACCATCGTGGGTAACACGGTGAAACCCCGTCTCTACTAAAAAATACAAAAAAAAATTAGCCGGGCACGGTGGCGGGCGCCTTAGTCCCATCTACTCGGGAGGCTGAGGCAGGAGAATGGCGTGAACCCGGGAGGCGGAGTTTGCAGTAAGCCGAGATCCCGCCACTGCACTCCAGCCAGGGTGACTGAGTGAGACTCTGTCTCAAAAAAAAAAAAAACTTTCTCAAGCATGCTAAGTCACAAAATTTGAGTTATCCTGAGCTTTTTTTACTTTAAGCTATCAAGCCATTGTTTGGAATCTTCAGAACCTCTTTAGAGTTTGGGATTTAAGAGTCAGTAGGTAGATAGTGAGCTTAAGATGCCAAACACAACATATAAAGCTATAAAAATCCATATGATCTTGAAAGATTAAATGGAAGCCCAGCACAAAACAATTGCTGAGTATATTATTTACATTATCTGAAAGTATGCCAAACAGACACTTTATATGTTAATAAAGATATGAGAAAGAAAATTCCAAAGAGTTTCTAAAAAGTGAACAACCACAAAATTTCAATAGCTTGCAACAAACATTTTCTTCTCACTCATGTTACCTGATGGAAAATCAAATGGCTGCCTGGAGACAGCATGGAGGGAGAGACTGATTACTGAGGTGCACAAGAAAACTTTTCATAATGATGGTTGTGAATGTAGTGATATTTCCAAAAGTATATACATATATATATATATCTATCTCAAATTTGACCACATCACACATTTCAAGTATACTGAATTGACTGTGCATCTCTTATTATACCCCAGGAAAGTTGAAGATATGACAATGAAAAAAAAATTCTTCCACCGACTACCCATCAATTTTCTTCTCATTAGCCTCACAGATTTCACAGTTAATTAAAGGGAAGATGCAAATATGTTCAAACTGTACATATTCTGAGGCCCATACCTTGCCATTAGCTCAATAAAGAGAGACATTGTCCCTGGCATGAAAATGAAAAACTTGCACACTCCCTAGGTGGCTTCTGGACACTCTTAAGACATGAACACACTTTGGGGGCTCACCCTGTCAGGCTTTGCTCTCCGAGCTTAGATGAGAAAAACACAAAAATAAAACCAAAAGGTGACATTTAGGTGCCCATCAAGAAAGATGTGTTGGGAACTGGACAGGTCAGGGCTTTAAGTACTGTATCTTACTGTATGTTTAAGTACTGTATGTTACTGTAGAAACTTACCCATTTTCCCCTCAGAACAACTCTGTCTCAGGAGGTGAGTCTGAGAGCTACTGTTTCTTTGTAAAGGTTTTATCTGATCAGGCCCACGGTCACCACGTCAGCCCCACTGCCCCTAAATAGTTTGAATCTTGATGTTTTGATTTCAAAGACTTCTGATTCTAGCTACATAGCTTTGTCCATTTCCCACCTTACCACTATTTACTTTGAATTTTGTTGCATGCCGAGACCAGTGACTGCCACAAATGTGACTGTTCCTAGAATCTGCTTTCTGCTCTGATCTTTAGTCAGTGTGCAGACTCTAACATAAACTCCTTTCTATCGTATTTTCTTGAGTCCAAGAGCCCATAGATTGTATAATGCACTATTTTATGTCCCGTTAAGCAAGTAATTCGCATTGTGGCTAATTAAACTAAGACATACCACTGAATTGTAAAATGCATTATATTTTCAGGAGATATTAAAATATGAAATGTATAGGTCTTGGAATAGATGAATTGTGACAGTATCTTTGGAAAGCTAATTCAGTTGCAGTATTGCTTAAGATGTCTTTAAGAGCTGACTTCCTTTAGTTGGAATACATATGTAAATTATTTGCAGAGGAGATTTACCTCTTTTATCTCATTCATTTGTTTATTCAGTCATTTATTGATATCAATATGGACTAAGGAAAATTACATTTTTGGGTATAATCCAAATATACTACCAATTAATGTATTGTGTTGCTAAAATTATTCTAGAAATTGAAAGACCTTTCACTTGGCCCCTGTGCTTGTTTGACATATCTCACGAATAGATTTTTGTTAGTATTTTCATAATTTCTGGCACTAGAGGATGTCCCAGGCTCATCTTGTGTATTTTCTTCCCCATTCTTAGAATCAGCCACTTTCAAAGACGCCCTGCTTTCTATATATGAAATCAATATTTAAGTGCTAGCTGTGCCTGTAGCTAAGGGAGTATCAATTTTTTCATAGCTCTCTAAGATGAGAGAGCAAAGAAACAATGTGTATATTCTTACACATATCTTTAAATATTTCTATATGTAAACATCTATATTAGTCCATTATCCCATTGTTATAAAGAACTACCTGATCCTAGGTAATTTATAAAGAAAAGAGCTTTAATTGCCTCACAGTTGCACAGGCTGTACAGGAAGCAAGGATGGGGAAGCCTCAGAAAACGTACAGTCATAGCAGAAGGCAAAGAGGAAGCAGGCACATCTTACATGGCTGGAGAAGGAGGAAGAGAACTAAGGGGGAGATGCTACACACTTTTAAACAACCAGATTGTGTGAGAACTAAGTCATTATCACAAGAACAGCAAGGAGGAAATCTGCCCCCATAATCCAATCCCCTCCCACTAGACCCCTCCTTCAACACTGGCGATTACAATTGGACGAGAGGTTTGAGAGGGGACAAAATGTAAACCATATCACCATCTATGTCTGTATTAAGCTAAACATGGGTTCTTACTGATGTCACTACCTCTAACCTAGTCCCGCAAGCATCAATGCCTTCCTGTATCTCTAAACCCCCACTCCAACAATAAAAATCCTGACTCTTATTTTGTGACATCTATTTAGTTAATTGTTCACTTCCAGTATATGTATATAGCTGTACCAGAATTGATAACCTGCCCTTAGTAGAAGAACATCTTTATCAACTAAATTAAATGCCTTCGTACAAGTTTCTTTTGCCTTTCATCTTAAGAGACTGCACTCATTTTCAATATCACTTTGACTAGCACCCTTTCCCTTAAGTCCCTCACTGAAGTTATTTTGTATGGTTCATAATAGAGCTAGATAAATTTGTAACAGTCTGCATTCCATCCTGAGATTCTACAACCTTTTAATTAATTTTTAATTAAAAATATAACTTTTATTTTGGTAAATATTAGCACTTCTGTGCCACACTACTATATATAAATATCAAAAAAAGGTCCAGAAAGCTATAGAAAATTTGAGTAAAGTGCTGAATGTTGAACCTAACAATAACTGGGCTAAAGTAAGTACAGAAGGCAATTTTTTATTTATGTAAATTTATGGGATACAAATATAATCTTATTACCTCCATAAAGTACATAGTGTTGAAGTAAGGGTTTTAGAATATACATCACCTGAAAAATGTACATTGTACTCATTACATAATTTCTCATCATCCCCTCCTCCCACCCTCCTGAAATTTCCAAGTCTCTGTTGTCTATCATTCCACATTCTATGTCCATGTGTATACATTATTTAGCTTCCAGTTATAAGTGAGAACATGCAGTATTTGTCTTTCTGTGTCTGATTTGTTTCACTTAAAATAATGACCAGTTACATCCATGTTGTTACAAAAGACATGATTTTATTCTTTTGTATAGCTGAATAGTATTCTATAGCGCATATGTGCCAGATTTATTAATGTAATCATCCACTGAGGGACACATTGCTATTGTGAATAGTGCTGTGATAAACATATGGGTGCAGATACCTTTTTCATACAATTATCTGTTCTCCTTTGGGTAGATCTCCAGTAGTGGGATTGTTGGGTGAAATTGCGGTTTTATTAAGAATGTATATTCTGTAGTTGCTGGGTAGTATTTTCTGTAAATGTCAGTTAGGTCTATTTCATCTAAGGTTGAATTTAAGTCTTAGGTTTATTTGTTTTCTGTCTTGATGATAACATTTAATGCTGTGAGTGAGATGGTAAAGTCCCCCAGTATTATCGTATTGCTGTCTATTCCTTTTTTATGTCTAGTAATATTTATTTGATGAATCTTGGTGGTCTAGTGTTGGATGCATATGTGTTTAGAATTGTTATATCCTCTTGCTGAATTGATCCCTTTATCATTATGTAATGACTTCCTTTGTCATTGTTATACTGTTTTAGATTTAAGTTCTGTTTTACTTGATATAAGTATAGCTATTCCTGCTTGCTTTTAGTCTCCGTTACATGGAGTATCTTTTTTCACCCATTTACTTTAAATCTGTATGTGTCTTTACTTTTCAGTCTGTATGTGTCTATATGTTTCTTGTAAGCATAATATTTTTGGATCATTTTTTAGTTCGTTCCATCAATCTACCTTTCTTTTTTTTTTTTTTACTTTTAGATGGAGTTTCACTCTGTCATCCAGAGTGGAGTGCAGTGGCGCAATCTTGGCTCACTGCAAACTCCGTCTTGCAGGTTCAAGCGATTCTCCTGCTTCAGCCTCCCAAGTAGATGGGATTACAGGTGCCGGCCACCACGCCTGGCTAATTTTTGTATTTTTAATGGAGATAGGGTTTCACTATGTTGGCCAGCCTGGCCTCGAACTCCTGACCTCGTGATCCACCCACCTCGGCCTCCCAAAGTGCTGGGATTACAGGTGTGAGCAACTGCACCTGGCCCAATATCTATCAATCTATATATTTTAAGTGGAACGTTTAATTCATTTACATTCAAGGTTAATGTTAATACATGAGGTTTTCTTTCTGCCATATTGCTGTTTGTTTTCTACTTGTTTTATAAGTTCTTTGGGGTTATTTTGTTGTTGTTTTTTGTTTTTCTTTCTGTGTGTCTCTTTGTCTTTGTGGTTTGGTGGAAATCTGTTGTGTTGCTATTTGATTGCTCGTCCTACTTTGTGTGACTGTTTTACAAGACCTATGAGTTTGCTACTTTCATGTGTTTTGATGATGATGATGAATGTTGACCTTTCATTTTTGTGTTTGGGACACCTTTGAGTATTTCTCATAGGACTCGTTTGGTGGTGACGAATTCCCTCAGTGTGTGCTTGTCTGGAAAATACTTTGAATCATTTCAAGAAAATTAGCAGTGAGTTATGTCAATCAAGCCATTGGTTTGTATTTGGTGGCACATTTACTCTGTATTATTTCACACTAGAACCATCTGAGTTAAGTTTTATTATTTGCTATATGTTGCAGATGAAGAAACTGAAGCTGAGAGAGGTTTAGTGAATGACTAAAAAGGTTGTCAGGCTGCAGGGAAAAAAACAAAACAAAACTGTACGACTAGCCTGCAATGCTTCCCAAAGTATGTAGCTTATTATTATTGGTCACTTTTTGAGTACAAAATGCTGTGCTATGTAACAGAATAATACAATGTACATATACATATCAATTAACATAAGCATAACTGTAATCACATATACTGATAAATAAAAATATAAAGTAATATATGGTAATGACCCAACCATTTGCCTAAGTTTCATGTATTACAGAAGTTTTGAGGAGGGACTTCAGCTGTATGCAAATGAGCAATTCGGGTCGTACAGTTGATTACCCATTAGTTCAGAATTTTAATAATTTAAAATATATTTATTAAGAACCTAACAATTGGAAGACCTTACAATAGGTGGGAAAATTCGACAGATGAATAATGCTTAGGAGATATCAGCATGTTTTGGAAGGATATTCCCATGAAGAGAAAAAGTATCGTGGGAAGTGTGGGAAGTGTTATGGTGCGAGAGTAATACAGGTTCCAGCATGTGTTTACATTATTTTGTTGGAGGTGTTGGGGAACCTTTCATGGAAGGTGTGTGGTAGACTGTTGGACAGGTTTCCTCAACTTTCGTTCCACTCTTTGAAGAGGTTAGAAAACTAAAACAAAACAAAACAAGCAATGCAGCTTCCCTTGAGCTAGCTTTATGAATGCAGCTTAGACCACTTACCGATTGTTTGCATATGAATCAGACTTAGAAAAATGGAAGAGATCAAAGCCTGTCTTGCTATTGTTGATTCTGGCAAGTGAAATCATGGGGACAATAGTTCAGAAGTAGTGGAAGTGGTAGGATTCAATATCCTTGTGCCTAATCCCCAGTTTCATGGGCATAAGAGGCTTAAAGTTTTAATAGCAGGAGCATCTTTTTGACCCAGGATTGCAGAAATGATTGCGTGCCTTTGAATTCAAGAACTCAAAACCTTCCTCCATGCCACAGCTACTTTAGTTATTTTAGCCCTTCCTATTGTATATGTATGAAATGCACTTTCTGCTTAAGATACCTATTGCGGTTTTTATTTCCTTATTAAAACCTTGGAAAAATATAGCACTTAAATTATGTTTTGTAGAAATTCACTAAGCAAATAAAGCTAAAGGGGGAGAGAGTTAACCTTCTCTGCCCCCTTTTTATCAGAAGTTAGTTGTAGAAGAAATACACAATTTTTGCGCAATGTTAGCACCATCTAAGTTCTGTAGGTCTGGAACACAGACTGGTTAAATGAGCATTTCAGGAGCACTATAGTTGCAAAGTTAAGCAGTCACCACAATTTTATGTGTCATACAAAGATTTTTAACTTTATGTTTAAGCAACGAGCCTAGAAGCAAATGGTATTTCCATCAAGAATCGTCTCATATAAAGTAGAGCGTTTTGGAAAATGAAGTTATTAATAGATAAAAACATGTTTATGCAGTTGGTTTCTAAGTATGACAAACCTATTTCTTGGTAAATTGCAAGTCCATTCCACCTGTGTTTGTAGGCTCATTTGCCTAAAAGTCTTGGGATTTTTTCTGATGATCTATTAAATTTTCTTTCTGATTATCTTTTCTAATGCTGTAATAGCATTTCTAACACTGTAATGAAAGAGAACAAAAGTACACGCTTGCTCATCATTTACTAATTCTAAAAATATATATTGAATACATCTATGTAGCAGGTACTGTGGTAGGTGTGGAAGATAGTTGAGACAGGTAACAAGCCCAACATTACGGAGCTTAGCATCACCACCTAGAAGAGTTTTTAAAAAACATAGATAAGTGAATAATGATTATAAAGACAAAGAGATTCTTGCCATATAATTACATATAAGCAAATTTAGGATGTGATGAAAGATTTTGATATTGGTCTTCTGATTTGGCTGTAGGATGAAGTGTTTATAAGTCATCCCAAGGAAGAAACAATTCAGATGAGAACTATTCAATGGATTTGCAATAACAATCCAAAGATGGAAGAAGACACTTCTAGGTAGACAAAATTGCAAGTATAGAGAATGTAAATTAAGAGAGAGCTTAGCTTTCAGATGAATTAAAAGATTGTGGTGATCAGAATGTAGAGATTGACGAGAGACAAATGAAATAAAACTAGAAGGACAAGTAGAGATTTGTGGGTCAAGTTTTTAAATTTTATTATAAATGCACTGATACTGTTCTGAACATTTTCTTACACATGGAAATTTAATGATTATGGCTATTGAAAAATGTAACTCTTCATTTATATTTTTCCGAGAATGAAATCGGTGGAATTGCTGGGGGGTGAAAATGTCCAATGCGAAACAGGAGGCTGATTTAAGAAGGGATACTGCAAAATTGGTCATGATGGCTCAAACTGCTGTTCATAATAGAAGAAAATGGATAGAGTTACATATGGATGAGAGTAAATTGACAAGGCTAAATGCTAAAACGTGGGTAGTGACAGAAAGTAGGTGTCAAAATAGACTTCCAGGAAAAGAAAAAATGGGTCTACAAAAGAGCCAAATGCTGATGTGGGTTACATGATCCTGAGCAGATGCAGATGTAATTGGTTAAGTAAAGTAAGTTCTTAAGATAGATTTGGCCTGGCGCTATACATTCTAGAGCCCCTGAATATAAGTGGGATATAAAACCATGGGAATGACTGTATTTGTCTAAGGAGAGAATTTGGCAGAAGAAAAGGAGACATAAGATGAAATGCAGAGGAAATTCAAATTTAATTGGCAGGTGTAGGAAGACAAGGAGATGACAAAAGGAACTGGAAATGAGTAATCAGAGACAGAAAAGTAAAAGTAAGAGTAGAATGTCATGGAAGGCAAATAATTGGAATGTTTCAAGAACAGGGAAATGGGCAATAAAGAGAAGAAAAAAATAGTGACCAGAGGGTATAGTAATGTGTAGAAATTCATCCTGTGTTAGGTTTGATTGCTTAGACGTTTTATATAAAAATCTTTCCCAGAGAGTAATAAAACAGAAGTGAGGTTAGAGAAAGAACATACGATTTAGCCAAAAGGTGGGAAAAGTTAGGAAATGAAGAATAAATATGTTTAAAGATAATGTTATGGCTACTCAATGTACAACCTCTTTTCTTTCATTATTTTTAATTGTCATATTTAAAAATAGTAATTACCACTTTTAAAAATTGTCTTATTATTTGTTACATAAGAAAATGCATTAATTCAAGCCACATAGTATCATTTATATTATGACTGTCGAAACATTACTAGAATTACTAGAACTATTAACCTAATGGCCTGAAAATTTCAACTCACTTCCCTAGCTGTCCTGATGATCATTAGTGAAAGGAAAGACTCCATTAAATAATGCTTACTTATAGAGAACTGGTTATATCTGTCTCATTTCCATACATATATCTGTATAAATTAATTTGATTAATAAAACAAACACAAGGCACAAACAACAAAACACAGTTTATAAATGTCATTGAAAAATGCATGCCTGTACAATTTGGGTATTTGTAATTGTAAATTGATATACTTCATTTTTTATCCAGGAGTTACTTAGATTGAAACTTTACCTAATGTATGATAAAATAATACGTGATTAAATTTAAAAACATGATGAATTTATTTAAAATTGGCTTCAATAATGTCAGAAAGTAATAAAATAAAATGATTCCTTCAAAGACTGCACCTGTTTATTGCCTGAGATTATCTCTCTTGGCCACAAATCAATATTACTTTCTTTCATTCATCAGTGATAAAGCTTTTCAATAATTCTAATTTTAAAGGATGATTACAGCAAGTATATAGTCATTGATTGCTTAAAGGTTGCAGCTAAAATGAACACAATGGTCATTTTATTTTTAATAAATGAGCCCTTTTGAAAAGTCAAGCATTTTTCCTCTCACAAAACTTTGTGTAATAAGATTATAGATTTGATCATGTATGAGTTTGCACTGTGTGTGTGTATATATGTGTGTGATTTCAGCGATAAAGTTCACTGTTCCACAGCTGGCAATTTCTTCTGCTTAATTGAAAATTCCGTTTTAAAATATTTCTTTAAAGTTCTAAAATGGGTTTAAATGGGTTCATGAGCTGTAATACTATTAAAAATATATATATCTACATATTTGTTGATTCTTCTCAGTTTAAGAAGTGGAGCTTCATACTCCTCCCCTTGAAGGCAGGCTAAGCTGAGTGACTCCCATCTAAGAAATAAAACACCGCAGGATTGGAATGTTACCTTGTGAGACAAGGTCACAAAGGCTAGGGTTTTAATTTTGAGTGAACTAATTTGCTCCTTACTGGTGTTTCTCTCTCTTTCTCTCCTTCAACTCTTTACGAGCCCAGCCACCATGCAAATAATTCCAAACTATCTTTTCTAGAAAGCTCACATGAAGAACCGAGGCATCCTATCTGATATCCAGCCAAATGATTAAACATTCTAGAAGCAGACTATGATGCACTGAATTTGTGAAATCCTAACCCCCAGTGTAATGATAGTAGGAGGTGGAGCTTTTGGTAGATGATAGTCTGTCTTCATGTTGGGGATTAGTGCCTTGATTATTATTTTTTGTTTTTATTTTTATTTTTATTTATTTATTTATTTATTTTTGAGACAGAGTTTTGCTCTGTTACCCAGGCTGGAGTGCAGTGGTGCCATGTCAGCTCACTGCAACGTCTGCCTCCTGGGTTCAAGTGTTTCTTCTGCCTCAGCCTCCTGAGTAGCTGAGTAGCTGAGACTACAGGTACGCACCACCACACCTGGCTAATTTTTGTATTTTTAGTAGAGACGGGGTTTCACCATACTGGCCAGGCTGGTCTGGAACTCCTGACCTCGTGATCTGCCTGCCTCAGCCTCCCAAAGTACTGGGATTACAGATGTGAGCCACCTTGCCCAGCCGGGGATTAGTGCCCTTATAAAAGAGACCCCAAAAAGCGTCCTTGCCCCTTCTGCCATGTGAGCTAGAGGACAGTAATCTATGAACTAAAAAATGGGCTCTGACCAGACACCAAATCTGCAAGCACCTTGATTTTGCACCATCCAGCCTCCGGTACCATTAGAAACGTTTCTGTTGTTTATAAGCTACCCTGTCTATGGTATTCTGTAGCGACAGTGCAAACAAACTAAGACACGGACCTTCCAACACAAGTTAAAGGCTTCAGGGGATGCTGCCTGGGTCAACAACATGACAGCAACCTTTACTCATGAGAGACTTTGAGTCAGAACCACCTACCCAAATCCATCATTTCCCTGACTTCTATGAATTGTGTCATACATATTTGTTATTTTAAGCCATTAAGTTTTAGGGTAATTTTTAAATGGAAAAATACATGATCATAGGTAAACTATAATTAATAGAAAAATCTAATGCCAATAATATTTACCATTGATTGACCGTCAAAACTCCATTAATTATTTGCTTTCCATTTATATTTATTTTTGGATTTCTTTTTTAAGAGAATGGCACCTGTGACAGCATACTGTTAATATTACCCTTTTATCGTACTTTACCATGCCATCTCTGAAGAATATTACAGACCATTTTGGAGCATGGTGAATAAGAAATTTTCACCTTAGGAGTTCACTTGAATAGTCATTTTTATATTTGTGACTGCAAATCACTCTTAGGGGCTGTACTTCCTTAGTACTGGTAGCATTATTATCCAATGGACTTTTATAGCTTTCATTAGGTTTTCTTTTGTTTTTGTTCTTTAAAGAACGTTTTACTTATCTTAGTATTTCATTTTTCATCTATATTATGAGGCAGTAAGAGTCTTCTGTTTTTCCAAAGTGGAGACTGCTTTATATTTATTTCGTATTGTCTACAGCTGTAGTGTTCAATACATTAGCCACTAGCCACATGTGGTTATTTAAATAAGATAAAATAAAAATTGGCCGGGCGTGGTGGGTCACGCCGGTAATCCCAGCACTTTGGGAGGCCGAGGCGGGCAGATCATTAGGTCAGGAGATCGAGACCATCCTTACTAAGACGGTGAACCCCCATCTCTATTAAAAATACAAAAAATTAGCCGGGCGTGGTGGCGGGCGCCTGCAGTCCCAGCTACTCAGGAGGCTGAGGCAGGAGAATGGCGTGAACCTGGGAGGCAGAGTTTGCAGTGAGCCGAGATGGCGCCACTGCACTCCAGCCTGGGGGACAGAGCGAGACTCCATCTCAAAAAAAAAAAGAAAATTAAAAATTAAGTTCTTTAGTTGCACTAGCCATATTTCAAATACTTGATGGATACATGTGGCTAGTGGCTAACATAAGGGATAGCACAGATATAAAACATTTCCTCGTCATATAAAGTTCTATTGGATAGTGCTGGTCTGTAGCTTATAAGGATGGTATCTTAGTCTGCTTCAGCTGCTAAAACAGAATACCATAAATTAGGTAGCTTAAACAGTAGATATTTTGACCAGGCGTGGTGGCTTATGCCTGTATTCCTAACACTTTGGGAGGCCGAGGCAGGTGGATAACTTGAGCTCAGGAGTTTGAGACTAGCCTGGGCAGCATGGCAAAACCTTGTCTCTACGAAAATTAGCTGGGCGTGGTGGTGCACGCCTGTAGTCTGAGCTACTTGGGAGGCTGAGGTGGGAGAATTGCTTGAACCTGGGAGGCGGAGGTTGCAGTGAGCCATGATCGCACCACTGTACTCCAGCCTGGATGACAGAATGAGACTCTGTCTCAAAAAAAACAAAAACAAACAAAAAAAAAAAAACAGATATTTCTCACAGTTCTGCAGACTGGAAGTGCAAGATCAAAGTGTTGGCAAATTACGTTTCTTAAAGAGGGCCTGCTTCCTAGATTGGAAATGGCCATCTTCTCTCGGTATCCTCACATGGTAGGGAGAAAAGCAGCTCTAGTGTCTCTTCTTATAAAGGAAGTAATGCCACCATAGGGGCTCTATTCTCATGACCTCATCTAAACCTAATTCTCTCCTAAAGGCCACGCCTCCCAGTATCCTCACCTTGGGGGTTAGGGCTTTATCATATGAATTTTTTTTTTTTTTTTTTTTTTTTTTTTGAGACAGAGTCTCGCTCTGTCTGTCACCCAGGCTGGAGTGCAGTGGCACAATCTCGGCTCTCTACAAGCTCCGCCTCCTGGGTTCACGCCATTCTCCTGCGTCAGCCTCCTCAGTAGCTGGGACTAAGGCGCCCGCCACTGCGCCCGGCTAATTTTTTGTATTTTCAGTAGAGACGGGGTTTTACCATGTTAGCCAGGATGATCTCGATCTCCTGACCTCATGATCCACCCGCCTCGGCCTCCCAAAGTGCTGGGATTACAGGCATGAGCCACCGCGCCGGGCCTATCATATGAATTTTGAGGGAACACAAACATGCAGTCTGTAGCAGATGGTAATAGGCTGACATATTACACTTGTTGATGTAAATCTGATAGGTTTCTTTCTCTCCAAGGACAGCTTTTTAAATATTTAACAGTATCAATAATTTTTCAGGTTCTGTGAGAATTTTATAATTTATAATTTGCAGACTTAATGTATAATCTATTTTGTCCTAACAATTACAAATATATTTTTTATTTCAGATTGTATATATTCCTACCAGATGGAGATAATTACAGCTTTAAAAATTTTTATTTTTTCATTTTATTTCACACATTGACATTAAATTTTTATGGACACATAATAACTGTACATATATATGGGGTAGAATGTGATGTTTTAATACATGTACTCAATGTGTAATGATCAAATCAGGGTAATTTGCATAATGATTTTTCTGTAGGGAGAAAATTCAAAATCTACTCTTCTGGCTATTTTCAAATATATAATATGTTATTGTTAACTATACTCATCCTACTATGCAATAGGACACCAGAACTTATTCCTGGGTTCTACATCCGTTAAGGCAACCAAGGATTGGAAATATTGGAAAAAAAAATTGCGTCTGTACTGAACATGTACAGACTTTTTTCTTGTCCTTATTCCTTACACAATATAGTACAATAACTATTTGCATGACATTTACATCGGATATTATGAGTGATCTAGAGTTGATATGAAGTATATGGGAGGATGTGCAAAGGTGATGTGCAAATACTATGTCATTTTATATCAGGGACTTGAGTATCCTTTGTTACCCTCAGGAGATCCTGAAACCAGTCCCCCATGGATACTGAGGGCTGACTGTATAGTCCTATCCTCACGGAACTTTCATTCTAATGGGGGAAGACTGACTATAAACAAAATGTATGTAATAGGTGGTGGTAAGTACCGTGGAGAAGTAACAAACGGGGCAAAGTGAGTTATACAGCTCCATTCTTAGAAACCTTGGAGTACTTTTCTTAGTTTATACTCGTGGTGGTTTCCTTTTGTCTCCTTTATTACATGGGACTCTGACATGTGCCCATAGCTAGGGTGACAGTAGGATCTACCCGATAGTAGGGTGGCAGTAGGATCTACCCAAAAAGCATCCTGCTGATACAGGACCAAAGCATCCTGTTGTTCTCGAGCCTATAAAAAGAGCTAATGGTCTTGCTTCTCTTAACTGTGGCCTCCTACACTGTGTTTTGGATGATTGGTGATGTCTTGGATATTCTGTTTCTTTGGAACTTTGAATATACAACACTTTACTAGGGAATTAGCAATGGAAGCAGAGCAAAGATGTACAGAGGAAACAATGCGTAACTCTGATGGAATTGAAGTCATGAGGCAGCAGAGAGCTTAAATTACAGCTTTAAAAATTTTTATTTTTTAGAGGGAATTTACTTGGGAGTAACAGCAGTAATAGTTAACGGAGCCAGAATGCTTGAGTCATATAATTGCAAAGCAGAGTTGGGAGCAACAGATGCTAAAGAGTAGTTGCTGTAGTTCCTCTGTGGGTCGTAGGAGCAGTTGTCATATTACTATATAGCTACTGCATGAAGAAGAGTTCTTAGTGAGGCCTGGGTGAACAGCTCTTCTTAGTATTCTGTGTGACCCCATTTGACCTTTTAACAAATCCCTAAGTAAATAAATAGCCCCTCAGGAAAACTAAGTTTTTCTCTGCTGTTTTTTTGCTTGAGAGAGCTATAACTGTAATAGACTTATATTTCTGAACATTTTAGTGCTTGCCAATATTTGGTAATATTTATGTTTCCTATATTTGTAATGAACATTCTTCTTCCGGTACATTTTTTGTTAAATTATTGTTTGATGGATAAAAGTTCACCTTTTATTGTATAAAATTGACTGAGATTAATTTATACACATTGACAATGGGTAAATAGAATTTTTCAGATTATTAAAAGCTGAAGGATGCCCACGTAAGCAAAAAAAAAAAAAGAAAAAACCAACAAAAATAAACCCAAACCCCTCAAACAATTTCGAACACGAAACATTCTTCTGATGCCGGCATCCCTGCTTGCAGGTGTGAAGGGGGCAGGAATCAGCGAGGTGTCCTGGGCTGAGTCCCCGGAGTGGGAAGAGGTGGCAGGAAGGGGATCTGAGGAGGAGAACAGGGGTCCTGGTGGTCTGTGCTTCTTCCCAGACACGGGAGCTGTAGAGGAGACCTCTGCAGCAGATGCTAGGGGGGCCAGTAGGCCCAGGCAGTCTTGGGACTTGGGTCTGTCCTGCTGTGCATCCATAGTGGGTGCTTTAGAAACGGGAGGCCCACCCGAAGCCCCTGTTGCAAGTGAGGACAAAGTGTGGGAAGGCCGTGAGGGTCTGCAGTCCGGGATGGCCTTGTCCTCAACGTGCAGTGCACTGTTGATGCGCTGGAATGCCGTCTCTTTTTCCAGGTGCAGGTCTTCAGCCGTGACCCGGTACCCCAGCTCTAAGGGAGGTGGCAGCATCAAAGGCTCCCCTCGCCTGCGTGGCAGCAGGGGAATCTTGCGTCTACGGGGCCTAGAGTCCTGGGATCTGGGGGAGCCACCCGTTGGGGCGATTGTCTGCCCTGGTGCTGTATCTGCCCCCTTTTCACACCGTGTGTGACCCGAAGAGACAGCCTGAGGCCTGTCCTCACTCACTGTCTTTGAGTAACTGAGGGTCAGCTGGCAGCGGGATGAGGCTGGCCCCCTCCTCTGCTTTAGCCCCGGCAAGCCTCCCGTGGAGCTGTAGGAGCTGGAGATGGCATTTCGTTTGGTGTTCGAGCTCGTCCAGGATGTCTGGGATGTGTGGTTATATCTGATTTCTGAGCTCTGGGCGTGGAGGTCTGTCTGCAGAGGCCCGGGCCTGGGCACAAAGGGAGAGGGGCCTCCATTGTCCCGCAGGGGCCAAAATGCAGACCGTGCATCCCCGGTGACCTCGGGGACCGTTCTCTGATCATCAGGATTTTCTTGGACTCTGGGGTCCTTGTCCTGCTCAGGCATCCCTGCCCCGCTCTCCTTGAGGGCCCTCAACACTATCTTCCCTGGACACAAGTCTGGGGACAGCCGGGTGTTGTGGACCCCAAAGGGGTGACTACCTGCTCCTGGGCCCCACAGAGTCCTTGTGCTCAGTGTAGTGGCTGAGCTGGGGGATGCCCTGGAACTCGGAGCACACAGCACTGGCTTACTGTGGTACCTGTGCAGTGAAATTGAAGACAGAATCACCAGGATGGAACACAGGTCTTGCAGGATCACTTGAAACCTTCTTAGAGTTGTCTTGACACCAGTGATGTCGAGTGTCCGGGTGTTTGTAGGATGGCCTGCCACTCAGTCCAGGGGCAGGAGCAACGGGGAGATCCCACAAGCAAAGTGAACTGGGGGATGGGCTGAAGGGGCTCCAGGCAACTGAGCCCTACTCGCAGGTCCTCGGCCTTGGCCCAAACAGGAATGAGGGGCACAGAGTGCCCGGGTAACCGCTCCTGGGAGCAGTGGGGAACTGTCGGATACTTGAACTCTCAAGAGCTGGGCTCTGAGCGTCCTCGTCCAGCTGCCAACTTGGCCAAAGGCTAAGCCAGCAGATTGTTCTGTTGCCGGGCAACGCGACTTCTAAACCTGAGGGAGTGGGCATGTGAGCACATAATGGCACCAGTGACAGAGCGACCATAATGGATGAATAAGCGCAGCCAGGTACCCGCGCAAGGCACCTGCTGGCAATGGCAGGAGGCGGACGTGGGGGGTCGTGCAGTAGGTACTGGAGGGAGAGACGTGGGCACAAAGGTCGCGGGAGGAACAGGTGCCCACAATGGCTGCATATTTGCCCGTGGATCACTGAAGATTCCTGCTCTCCTGCTGAGGTGGAGACTGCAGTGAGCTGAGATCGCACCATTGCACTCCAGCCTGGGCAACGAGTGCAAAACTCAGTCTCCAGATAAAAAAAAGAAAAAGAAAAAAAAGAGGCCGGGTGTGGTGGCTTATGCCTATGATCCTAGCACTTTGGGAGGTCGGGGTGGACGGATCACGAGATCAGGAGTTGGAGGCCAGCCTGGCCAACATAGTGAAAGCCCGTCTCTAGTAAAAATACAAAATTTAGTCAGACATGGTGGGCAGGAGAGAGCATGTGCAGGGGAACATCCATTTATAAAACCATCAGACCTCATGAGACTTATTCACTACCATGAGAACAGCATGGGGGAAACTGCCTCCATGATTCAGTTATCTCCACCTGGCCCCACCCTTGACACATGGGAATTGTTACAATTCAAGATGAGATTTGGGTGCGGACAGAGCCAAACCATATAATTCTTCCCCGGCCCCTCCCAAATCTCATGTCCTCATATTTCAAAAGCAATCATGCCTTCCCCTAAGTCCCCCAAACTCTTATTTCAGCATTAACTCAAAATTCCATAGTCCAAAGTCTCATCTGAGACAAGGCAAGTCCCTTCCACCTATGAGCCTGTAAAATCAAAAGCAAGTTAGTTATTTTCTAGATACACAGGGATACAGGCATTGGGTAAATACACTCGTTTCAAATGGGAGAAATTGGCCAAAGCGAAAGAGCTACAGGCCCCATGCAAGTCCAAAACCCAGCAGGCAAATCTTAAAGCTCCAAAATGACCTCCTTTGACTCCATGTGTCACATCTAGGTGATGCAAGAAGTGGGTTCCCAGGGTCTTGGGCAGCCCCGCCCCTGTGGCTTTGCAGGGTACAGCCCCCCTTCTGGCTGCATTGAGTGTCTGCAGCTTTTCCAGGCACACAGTGCAAGCTGTCAGTGGATCTACCATTCTGGGGTCTGGAGGATGGTGGCCCTTTTCTCACAGCTCTGCTTGGCAGTACCCCAGTGGGGACTCTGTGTGGAAGCTCCAACCCCATATTTCCCTTTGACACTGCCCTAGCAGAGGTTATCCATGAGGGCCCCCCCTCCCCTCCCCTCCCCCCCACAGCAAACTTTTGCCTGGATTTCCAGGCATTTTCATACATCTTCTGAAATGTAGGCGGAGGTTCATGAACGTTAATTCTTGACTTCGGTGCATCTGCAGGCTTAACACCACCTAGAACCTGAAAGGCTTGGAACTTGCACCCTCTGAAGCCATGGCCTGAGGTGTACCTTGGCCCCTTTTACCTATGGCAGGAGCAGCTGGGATGCAGGGCCCCAAGTTCCTAGGCTGCACACAGCAGGGGGTTCTGGACCCACAAAACCATTTTTCCTTCTAAGCCTCCTGGCCTGTGATGGGAGGGTCTGCTGTGAGGGTCTCTAACATGCCCTGGAGACATTTGCCCCATTGTCTTGGTGATTAACATTTGGCTCCTCATTACTTATGCAAATTTCTACAACCCAGTCTCCTGAGAAAATAGATTTTTCTTTTCTGTTGCATCATCAGGGTACAAATTTTCTGAACTTTTATGCTCTGCTTCTTCTCGAATGCTTTGCTGCTTAGAAATTTCTTGTGTCAGATACCTTAAATCATCTCTCTCAAGTTCAAAGTTCCACAGATCTGTAGGGAACTCTAGAAAAAAATTCTTATTTTCCCTCTTTCCCGCCTATCTTATGCCCGTTTCTAATACAGGTGCACAATGCCTGCAGTGTCTTTGCATAGTAAGAGTGACTTTACTCCATTTCCCAACAAATTCCTCATCTGCCTCTGAGACCACCTCCGCCTGGACCTTGTTGTCCATATCACTATTAACATTTTGGTCAAAGCCATTCAACAAGTCTCTAGGAAGTTCCAAACTTTCCCACATTTTCCTATCCTCTTCTGAGCCTTCCAAACTGTTCCAGCCTCTCCCTGTTACCCATTTCCAAAGTTGCTTCCACATTTTCGGGTATCTTTACAGCAGCACCCCACTCTACTGGTATCAACTTATTGTATTAGTCTGTTCTCACACTGCAAATAAAGACATACCTGAGACTGGGTAATTTATAAAGGAAAGAGGTTGAATTGACTCACAGTTCTGCATGGCTGGGGAGGCCTCACAATCATGGTGGAAGGCAAGGAGGTGCAAAAGCATGTCTCACATAGTGGCAGGCAGGAGAGAGCATGTGCAGGGGAGCTCCCATTTATAAAACCATCAGATCTCATGAGACTTAGTCACTACCGCGAGAACAGTATGGGGGGAACCATCCCCATGATTCAGTTATCTGCACCCGGCCCCACCCTTGACACGTGGGAATTATTACAATGCAAGGTGAGATTTGGGTGGGGACCCATCCAAACTATGTCAGTATGTTTTGACTTCTTGCTTGATTGCTAGGTTGCATAGAGGACAAACATGGAAATTAATGAAGTACCTTAATATCTGGCTTCAGATCTTAGACAGGATCAGAGGGCCAGCTCAAATTTGCAAGGAGGGGAGGTAGATCCCACCATTTTATGGGTGAATGGCAAAATCAAACAGAAATTATGTGGGATGGGAGATACTGATGCAGCCATCATTGGAAACATTCTACTTAGCTAATTTTATGCTAGGCTTTAGGTCAAGAAGGAGAGAGAGAGCTGACATGCTGTGGTACACACTTATAGTCCCAGCGACTTGGAAAGCTGAGGCAGGAGGATTGCTTGATCCCAGGAGTTTGAGGTAGTGTGCGATGATCGTTCTTGTGAATAGCCACTAGCCACTGAACTCCAGCTTGGGCAACATTGAGACACCCTGTCTCTTAATTTAAAAAAAAAAAAAAAAAAAAAAAGGAGGAAAGAAAGTGGTCTCAGTTTTTAATGTAAATATTTTTAATGGGATACTGATATTTTAAGATTAATGTATATTGTATATCAGTTAACTGCAGGTCAATAATTATATAAAACTTAAGGTACGAAAAACATTTATTTTTGCTAACATATCTGTGAGTTGACTGTTGTTGGCTTGGTGAGGCTGCAAGCTGCAGATAGAGTCTAGGTATGTTTTCTGTGTGTTTGTTCCCCCTTGGATCAGTGGACTACCTGAGAATGTGTTTCTGTCACAGTGATAGAATCACAAGGAAACTCCAGTTCTGGAAGTACATTTTAAGCCATTGCTTCTCTCATGTCCACTAACATTCAGTCAGCCAAAGCACATACCTTGTCCATGGCTAACATTGATAGTATAGATAAATATACCTGATCTCTAGCAGGAGGAACTGCATTGTCTTGGGGAAAGGTTTTAGATATAGGGAGGGGTGATGAGTTGGGAACAATAATGTAGTCTGCCGCAAACATATTAAAGTGTAACTGGATATGGTTGCTGCAGAATTTTGAACCTTTGTTTTAATTGTGATTTTTACTCTTTCCCCCCTATCTAGTGCCCTTTTGTAATACAGTAATTATCATGATTTTTGTCTGAACTGAAATCTTCTGAGATTAGATTGTCTACGAAAATACAGTCGATCCTCCTTGTTTTCAGCTTTTGTATTTGTGAACTCACCTACTATTTTTTGTAACCCCCAAATCAGTACTCACAGCACTTTCATAGTCATGTGTTTGCGCAGAGTGTCAAAGAATTTGAGTTTGAACAGGATGATATTCTGCCTTCTTTTTCAGCTCTCATACAATAGTCAGGTATCCTTTTTGTGGTCTATTTAATGCCATGCTTTTCCTGTTTTTGTACTGTTTG
This sequence comes from Homo sapiens, assembly GCF_000001405.40. Classification (NCBI taxonomy): domain Eukaryota; kingdom Metazoa; phylum Chordata; class Mammalia; order Primates; family Hominidae; genus Homo; species Homo sapiens. The sequence continues at coordinate 70,524,906 of NC_000005.10, read as the reverse complement.
TTGGTTGTTTTGCCATTTAAATTAACCCCCAAGCATAGTGCTGAAGTGCTGCTTAGCATTCACAAGTCCAAGAAGTCTGTGATGTGTCTTACAGAGAAAATACATGCATTAAATAAACTCCATTCAGGCGTGAGTGCTGTAGTGCCGTTGGCTGTGAGTTCAATGTTAATGAATGAACAATGTATATTATTTATTTATTCTTCATTTAATTAATTATTATTATTTTTTTTTTGAGATAGAGTCTCACTCTGTTGCTCAGGCTGGAGTGCAGTGGTGCAGTCTTGGCTCACTGCAACCTCTGCCTCCTGGGTTCAAGCGATTCCCCTGCCTTCGCCTCCCAAGTAGCTAAGACTACAGGCATGCGCCACCATGCCTGGCTAATTTTTTTTTTTTTTTTTTGTAGTTTTAGTAGAGACGGGGTTTCACCACGTTGGCCAGGCTGGTCTCGAACTCCAGACCTCAAATGATCTGCCCGCCTTGGCTTCCCAAAGTGCTGGGATTACAGGCGTTAGCCACTGTGCCTGGCCAACAATATATATTAAATAAGCACACATACAACAAAAGTAGGTGTTGGTAAGCTTACAAAAGTGTGACCAGTAGCTTGCTGAAACCTAACTTTTTATTTGTTCATGGAACTTTCTAGACCGTAACTACACTGAATAATGAGAATCTGCTGTAATCTTTTTAGGTGCTGTAGATGAGCCATTGGATTAAATTATTACAGTATGTTTCAGACTGCTGTATGTTGAACCCTAGTGAAATGCCTCTCAAACCTTCATAAGGATCACAATCTCATGTCCTTTTTTTTTGTTATTAAATGCCCAGTATGTGTTAGCGATTTAAACAAAATTCAAATATTTTTTTTTTTTTTTTTGAGACAGAGTCTCGCTCTGTCACCTAAGCTGGAGAGTGCAGTGGTATGATCTCGGCTCACTACAACCTCTGCCTCCCGGGTTCAGGCGATTCTCCTGCCTCAGCATCCTGAGTAGCTGGGATTACAGGCACCCGCCACCACGCTGGGCTAATTTTTGTATTTTTAGTAGAGACGGGGTTTCGCCAGGTTGTCCAGGCTGGTCTGGAACTCCTGACCTCATGCGATCTGCCTGCCTTGGCCTCCTGAAGTGCTGGGATTATAGGCGTGAGCCACCATGCCCGGCGTTGACTTCTTAATAATAACCATACTGACTGGTGTGAGATGGTATGCCATTGTGGTTTTGATTTGCATTTCTCTAATGATCAGTGATATTGAGCTTTTTCTCATATGCTTGTTGGCCGCATGTGTGTCTTCTTTTGAAGTGTCTGTTTATGTCCTGTGCCCACTTTCTAATGAGATTTTTTTTTTTCTTGTAAATTTGTTTAAGTTCCTTATCAGTGTTGGACATTAGATCTTTGTCACATGCATTGTTGCAAAAATTTTCTCCCATTCTGTAGGTTGTCTGTTCACTCTGTTGATAGTTTCTTTTGCTGTGCAGAAGCTTCAAGAAGAAAGGAATCCGATTGGTTCTGTGTCTGTCTCTTTTGGTATTCTCAGAATTATGTAGTCATTCATATAGAAAGATGATTAGGAAAATAGGACAAGAATAGCAGAAATCTACATAAAAATGTAGGAAATTAAAATTAGTTACCAGCATACAAAAAACTTCTGTATGTTATAATTACATACTATAACTCACCCCTCCTTGGCAAATATTCTCTCTCTTTTGACTTCAAAATCATGGCTTATATGTACTTTCTCTATTTCCCAGATGCAAATATAATTAATTGACTTTATTTATCTAGGAAATGTTACTCATATCTTAATTGTAGTCATTGGCTTGAGTGACGGGTTTTGGTAATTCAACTACTATTACTTGAAAGTAGTAGATTTCATAGGATACTGTTATAAAATCTTTTTAACCTCTTTTCTGATTTCAGGAGTAATTAGTAATTGTGGTTTACTGGAAAATTCAATGAATAGGGTGTTAAAGGAAGCAATTCATTAATAATATATGTAATCTATTGGGAGACTGAGGCGGGTGGATCACCTGAGTTCAGGAGTTCGAGACCAGCCTGGCCAACATGGCAAAACTCCGTCTCTACTGAAAATAGAAAAATTCGCCGGGCATGGTGGTGCATTCCTGTATTCCCAGGTACTCGGAAGGCTGAGGCAGGAGAATCACCTGAACTCCAGAGGTGGAGGTTGCAGCGAGTCAGGATCGCAGCACTACACTCCAGCCTGGGTGACAGTGAGACTCCATCTCAAAAAAAAAAAAAAAAAAAAAAAAAAAATTAAAAAATTAAATTAAAAGCGGGCTGGGCGCATTGGTTCAGGGCCGGGCACGGTGGCTCAAGCCTGTAATCCCAGCACTTTGGGAGGCCGAGGCAGGCGGATCACGAGGTCAGGAGATCAAGACCATCCTGGCTAATGTGGTGAAACCCCGTCTCTACTAACAATACAAAAATTAGCTGGATGTGGTGGCAGGTGCCTGTAATCCCAGCTATTCCAGAGGCTGAGGCAGGAGAATCACTTGAACCTGGGAGGCAGAGGTTTCAGTGAGTCCAGATCATGCCACTGCACTCCAGCCTGGGTGACAGAGCGAGATTCTATCTCAAAAAAAAAAAAAAAAAAAGCAACAGAAGCAAATGAGAGTGCCTGGGAGTGGTCATTGTGGGGCCTTCCCGTTTGTGTGACCCAGGTCATGTCCCTCCCTAAGCCCTGGTCTCTCTTGCCTCCTGCAGGGCTGGTGAATTACCAGATCTCCGTCAAGTGCAGTAACCAGTTCAAGTTGGAAGTGTGTCTTTTGAATGCAGAAAACAAAGTCGTGGACAACCAGGCTGGGACCCAGGGCCAGCTGAAGGTGCTGGGTGCCAACCTCTGGTGGCCGTACCTGATGCACGAACACCCCGCCTACCTGTACTCGTGGGAGGTAATGGTGGTTTGGGACTTGCGTAAGGGAGGTCTTTTGCCCCCATCTGGTAGCCCTGGCTTCAGCAGGAGCCCAGGACAGGTGAACGGGCAGGTGTGGTCCTCTGAGCTTTCTGATGTTTCCCACCCTTGGTGGGAGGCCCAGATTTTTTATTTATTTATTTATTTATTTATTTATTTGTTTGTTTGTTTTTGTGATGGTCTCACTCTGTCACCCAGGCTGGAATGCAATGGCCTGATCACAGCTCACTGCAGCTTTGAGCTGCAATCCTCCTACCTTGGCCTCCTGAGTAGCTGGGACTACAGGCACATGCCACCATGCCTGGCTAATTAAAAAAATTTTTTTTGTAGGCCGGGCATGGTGGCTCACACCTGTAATCCCAGCACTTCGGGAGGCTGACGCGGGCGGATCACTTTAGGCCAGGAGTTGGAGACCAGCCTGGCCAACATGGTGAAACCCCGTCTCTACTAAAATATGAAAATTTGCAGGGCATGATGGTGCACGTCTGTAATCCCAGCTACTCGGGAGGCTGAGGCAGGGGAATTGCTTGAACCCAGGAGGCAGGGGCTGCGGTGAATTGAGATCATGCCGCAGCACTCTATCCTGGGTGACAGAGTGAGACTGTCTCAAAAAAAAAAAACTCCTTTTTATAGAGTTGGGGTCTTACTAGGTTGCCCAGGCTGGTCTTGAACTCCTGGACTCAGGTGATCCTCCTGCCTTAGCCTCCCAAAGTGTAGGGATTCCAGGCATGAGCCACCTCGTCTGGTCAAGGAGAAGGCCTGATTTTGAAGGGCAGGTCCCAGGGTCAGCCAGTGAAGGGCAGAGCCTCTGGTTGCTGCTTCTCTGCAGGCCCAGTGGCGACTTCTGGGGTGCATGCACGAGGGGTCTTCCTGCTGTAGGGCAGGCCAGATGGGGCTCAGGCTGTCGGGGCGCTCACACCTGGCGCTTTGGCTGTCGTAGGTGCGGCTGACTGCACAGAAGTCACTGGGGCCTTTGACTTCTACACACTCCCTGTGGGGCTCCGCACTGTGCCCGTCACCGAGAGCCAGTGGGTGAGAGCCAGTTTCATTTGCGGTAGAGGCAGCAGAGGTTGTAGAAATGCTCCTTGAGGCAGATGCCACACCCCAATTTCATGGAGTGATTTGGGCTGAGCCGAGTCTGCAGCAGGCAGAAGGCTCTGAGATGTTGTCCTAGCCTGGGCAAAGGACAATTCAGAGCTCGGGGGAATAGGGGTGTGCTCAGCACGACTGGGTGGACAGGCCGTTTGTTGTGAATCGTACAGGCTTCCAGGAGCGGGTGCCTGAGGCTTCCAGACAGGCTTTGGGAGGTGGCCAGAGGAGATGCCTGTTTCCGGGGCAGGAAATGGAGGGAGGGCCCAGGCTGGAGAGGTTCAGCCAGGCTGTCACAAGGCTTTGAAGCTTCCCATCTGAGAGCCTGGCTATTGGAGAGTGTGGGTTTGGAACTTGAGGCTAGGAGGTTCTATTCTGTCCTGTGCCAGCCACAGCCTTCGGATGGGCAGAGCAATGATGGGGGGAAGATGTAAAAGAAAAGAACTGAGGAAAGAAGAAGAAAACCAGCTTCAACAACGGTCTAGGCCGGATGCGGTGGGTCACGCCTGTAATCCCAGCAGTTTGGGAGGCTGAGGTGGGTGGATCACCCGAGGTCAGGAGTTCGAGACCAGCCTGGTCAACAGGTAGTGAATCCTGTCTCTACTAAAAATACAAAAATTAGCTGGGCATGGTGGTGGACGTCTGTAATCCCAGCTACCAGGTAGGCTGAGGCAGGAGAATCGCCTCAGGTGAACCAGGAGGCAGAGATTGCAATGAGCTGAGATAATGCCACTGCATTCCAGCCTGGGCTACAGAATGAGACTCTGTATCTCAACAAAACAAAACAAAACAAAAACACAACAGTCTGTTCTGTGGAGGCCTTGGGCAGATGCTGGGAGCTCTGAGCACGGACTGGTCCCTCTGTTGGGAGCCTCTTCCCTTCATCCCTCCTGGTTAACTTGACTCAGCATAAAGGCCATTTCTTCTAAGAGCCTGTCCCTGACTCTCCAATCGGGGATGTGTCTGTTGTCTCATAGAGTGCCCAATTCCTGCCACCACTTGTCATTTCCATTCGCAACATTTCTTTCATTGTTTGTTTTTCAGAGTCAGGGTCTCACTCTGTTGCCCAGGCTGGAGTGCAGTGGTGCAATCATAGCTCGTTGCCATCTCGACCTCCTGGGCTTAAGCGATCCTCCCCACTCAGCCTCCCAAATAGCTGGGACCACAGACGTGCGCTGCCTTGCCAGGCTAAATTTTAATATTTTTTTTTCCCCACGAGTCAGAGTCTTGCTCTGTCTCCCAGGCTGGAGAGCAGTGTTGCGATCTTGGCTCACTGCATCCTCTACCTCCTGGGTACAAACAGTTCTCCTGCCTCACCCTCCCGAGTAGCTGGGATTACAGGCTCACGCCACCATGCCCAGCTAGTTTTCTTCTTTATTTTTTGTTGAGATGGGGTTTCACCATGTTGGCCAGGCTGGTCTCGAACTCTTGAGCTCGTGATCCACCTGCCTTGGCCTCCCAAAGTGCTCACAGGCTTGAGCCACCATGCCCGGCCCTAATTTTTAAATTTGTTGTAGAAACAAGGTCTTGCTATGTTGTCCAGGCTGGTCTCAAGCGCCTGGTCTCAAGTAAGCCTCCCAAAGTGCTGGGGTTCTAGGCTTGAGCCACCTCGCCTGGCACTTGCACCGTTTTTCTGTGCATGCATCTCCACTCCCACTGCCCAGGACCTGTGGACTTAGATTTGAGTCATTACTGAGCACCTAGCACCCAGCCTCATGCCTCCCTCCCACCTCGCACTACCTGTTTGCTTGATGCATTAATAAATATTCCACCTGAATCCACAGCCCATTCACTCCTGTGTTCAAGAGCTATTTCAGGAAGTGAACCTCATTTCTGGCAGTGTTCAGTCCAGTGACCTCAGCTCTGTGTACCCGGCAGGGTGGCTACGCCTCTGGGGGAGTTGGATTCAGGGGTGGGGGAGAAAGAGTGTTGTTAGAGAGCTCGGTCTAGGACTAGAGGAACGTGCCCTTATGTAAAATACATCTCAAGTTAGGGAAGAAAGCAGCGGCTCTGTGCTTTGTTGTTTTTTTTTTTTTTTCTTTTCTTTCTTTCTTTTTTTTTGTTTGTTTGTTTGTTTGTTTGTTTGTTTGTTTGTTTGTTTTGGGGCAGGGTCTTGCTCTGTGGCCCAGGCTGGAGTGCAGTAGCGTGATTTCGGCTCACTGCAACCTCCACCTCCCGGGTTCAAGCAATTCTTGTGCCTCAGCCTCCCGAGTAGCTGGAGTTACAGATGCGTGCCACTAAGCCTGGCTAATTTTTGTATATTTAGTAGAAATGGGGTTTTGCCATGTTGGCCAGGCTGTTCTTGAACCCCTGACCTCAGTGATCTGCCTGCCTCAGCCTCCTGAAGTGCTGGGATTACAGGCGTGAGCCATCGTGCCTGGCCCCCAGTTGTGTTCTGGCAGGGGAAGATGGGACAGAGAGGATGGGAGGTTGTCTGAGCCTTTCCCGGACTGACGGAACCTGTGTCTTCTCTCTTTTGTGGACAGGATGGTGATTGCTCACACCAAAGCCTTGGACCCCTCCCAGCCTGTGACCTTTGGGACCAACTCCACCTACGCAGCAGACAAGGGGGTGAGCCTGGGGGTCCCCACCCCATTTCTCCCTGCCTTTGCCTGGGCTTGTCCTGAAGCCTGCTCATGGGAACAGCTGGAAAGAACCATGTGCTGCCAGTCTGAGCTTTTTATTTTGTTTTACTTAGAAAGATAGAGACAGGGTCTTGCCATGTTGCCCAGGCTGGTCTCGAACTCCTGGGCTCAAGTGATCCTCCTGCCTCGGCCTTCCAAAGGGCTGGGGTTACAGGCGTGTGCCACCGCACTCAGCCGCGGCCAGTCTGTTTTCAAAGATGGTCTTTGGGTTAATGACAATTCTCTCTCTGCTTACTCTCCAGGCAGTGTGGCTTTCTGAATCCAAGGAGGCTGGGCATAGGGAGATGGGATTTGTTTGCCCGGTTTGGACTCAGCATTTTTTGTACTCGATTTAATAGACTCATAAAATGTCAAAGGTTTAAGTGAGCTTAGAGTTCATCTGGCCCAAACCTGGCTGATCAGAATCTCCAGGGGAAGTTTTATTGAAATGCCAGATCTCTGCGTTCTGAGATCCTGATTTAGTAACTCCAGGGTTGGAACCTGAGTTTTTTGTTTTTTTGTGTGTGTGTGTGAAGGCAAGGTCTTACTCTGTTGCTCTGGCTGGAGTGCAGTGGTGTGATCACAGCTCACTGCAGCCTTGAATTCCTGGGCCTAAGCAACCCTCTTGCCTCAGCCTTCCAAGTAGCTGGGACTCCGGGGGTACACCACTGTGCCCGGCTAATTTTAAATGTTTTTGTAGAGATGGGATCTCACTATGTTGCCCAGGCCAGTCTCAAACTCTTGAGCTCAAGTGATCCTCCTGCCTTAGCCTCCTAAAGTGCTGGGATTACAGGCATGAGCCACCGTGCCTGGCTGATACTAGCATTCTTTTTTATTTTTTATTATTTTTTTAAGATAGAGTCTTGCTCTGTTGCCCAGGCTGGAGTGCAGTGGCACAGTCTCAGCTCAGTGCAACCTCCGCCTCCCAGGTTCAAGCAATTCTCCTGCCTCAGCCTCCCAAGTAGCTGGGATAACAGGCACATGCCACCACGCCTGCGCTTGATCGTGGGAGGCAGAGGTTGCATTATTGTGCCACTCCATTCTAGCCTGGGCAACAGAGCGAGACTCTGTCTTCCAAACAAAGCGGAAAAAGATTATCTGCGAGAATGACTGCATTGGCCCCTTGGGTGGGAGGGCTTCTCCAGGGCAAGGTGAGGGGATGCCCAGTGCTGGGAGTGCTGCCTGGAGAGGAGTCAGTTCCAGTGGCGGGGGCCCTGGGTTTTGGCTGAGGACTGCGTGTTGGCAGCTGCTCTGCCTCTCACAGCCCTTCCCAGCTGCACACGTCGTGAGCGTCAGTGTGCAATCACAGGCCTGCCTCCTTTGGGCCACTTTGTGACCATGTTTTTTGCTTGTGGGGCAGGGTAATTTCAGGATCTAAATTGGTGCAGTTGGATGTTCTCAGCCCCGAGAGGCAGCTCTTCCCGTTGTAGGCTTTTTGTTTTGTTTTGTAGAAATGGAGTCCTACGACGTTGCCCAGGCTGGTCTCAAACTCCTGGGCTCAAGTGATCCTCCCACCTTGGCCTCCCAATGTGCTGGGATTACAGGCATGAGCCACTGTGCCGTGCTGATTTTCTTGATACTATTTTTTGTAGAGCTGGGGTCTTGCTGTGTTGCCCAGGCTGGTCTCGAACTCCTGGCCACAAGCCACCCTCCTGCCTCAGCCTCCCAGAGTGCTGGGATTACATCCCCTTCTTACCTTCTCTGTCAGAGGAGCCCCCACAGCATGTGAGTACTGAGTCATGCGGTCTTGTGGTTGCTGAACGGGCTCTGCTGCTCTGGTCCTAGGCTCTGTATGTGGATGTGATCCGTGTGAACAGCTACTACTCTTGGTATCGCAACTACGGGCACCTGGAGTTGATTCGGCTGCAGCTGGCCGCCCAGTTTGAGAATTGGTGTAAGACATCACAATCCCATTATTCAGAGCGCGTATGGAGTGGAAACGCTTGTAGGGTTTCACCAGGTAAGCGGTGTTGAACTTTCTGCTTGTGTATTCTCTCTGGGCAGAGATGCCACTTGCCTCCCCCACCATGCCATCTCTGAAGAATATTACAGACCATTTTGGAGCATGGTGAATAAGAAATTTTCACCTTAGGAGTTCAGTTGAATAGTCATTTTTATATTTGTGACTGCAAGTCACTCTTAGGGGCTGTACTTCCTTAGTACTGGTAGCATTATTATCCAATGGACTTTTATAGCTTTCATTAGGTTTTCTTTTGTTTTTGTTCTTTAAAGAACGTTTTACTTATCTTAGTATTTCATTTTTCATCTATATTATGAGGCAGTAAGAGTCTTCTGTTTTTCCAAAGTTGAGACTGCTTTATATTTATTTCGTATTGTCTACAGCTGTAGTGTTCAATACATTAGCCACTAGCCACATGTGGTTATTTAAATAAGATAAAATAAAAATTGGCCGGGCGTGGTGGCTCACGCCGGTAATCCCAGCACTTTGGGAGGCCGAGGCGGGCAGATCATTAGGTCAGGAGATCGAGACCATCCTTACTAAGACGGTGAACCCCCATCTCTATTAAAAATACAAAAAAATTAGCCGGGCGTGGTGGCGGGCGCCTGCAGTCCCAGCTACTCAGGAGGCTGAGGCAGGAGAATGGCGTGAACCTGGGAGGCAGAGTTTGCAGTGAGCCGAGATGGCGCCACTGCACTCCAGCCTGGGGGACAGAGCGAGACTCCATCTCAAGAAAAAAAAGAAAATTAAAAATTAAGTTCTTTAGTTGCACTAGCCATATTTCAAATACTTGATGGATACATGTGGCTAGTGGCTAACATAAGGGATAGCACAGATATAAAACATTTCCTCGTCATATAAAGTTCTATTGGATAGTGCTGGTCTGTAGCTTATAGGATAGTATCTTAGTCTGCTTCAGCTGCTAAAACAGAATACCATAAATTAGGTAGCTTAAACAGTAGATATTTTGACCAGGCGTGGTGGCTTATGCCTGTATTCCTAACACTTTGGGAGGCCGAGGCAGGTGGATAACTTGAGCTCAGGAGTTTGAGACTAGCCTGGGCAGCATGGCACAACCTTGTCTCTGCGAAAATTAGCAGGGCGTGGTCGTGCACGCCTGTAGTCTGAGCTACTTGGGAGGCTGAGGTGGGAGAATTGCTTGAACCTGGGAGGCGGAGGTTGCAGTGAGCCATGATCGCACCACTGTACTCCAGCCTGGATGACAGAATGAGACTCTGTCTCAAAAAAAACAAAAACAAACAAACAAAAAAAAACAGATATTTCTCACAGTTCTGCAGACTGGAAGTGCAAGATCAAAGTGTTGGCAAATTATGTTTCTTAAAGAGGGCCTGCTTCCTAGATTGGAAATGGCCATCTTCTCTCGGTATCCTCACATGGTAGGGAGAAAAGCAGCTCTAGTGTCTCTTCTTATAAAGGAAGTAATGCCACCATAGGGGCTCTATTCTCATGACCTCATCTAAACCTAATTCTCTCCTAAAGGCCACGCCTCCCAGTATCCTCACCTTGGGGGTTAGGGCTTTATCATATGAATTTTTTTTTTTTTTTTTTTTTTTTTTTTGAGACAGAGTCTCGCTCTGTCTGTCACCCAGGCTGGAGTGCAGTGGCACAATCTCGGCTCTCTACAAGCTCCGCCTCCTGGGTTCACGCCATTCTCCTGCGTCAGCCTCCTCAGTAGCTGGGACTAAGGCGCCCGCCACTGCGCCCGGCTAATTTTTTGTAGTTTTAGTAGAGACGGGGTTTTACCATGTTAGCCAGGATGATCTCGATCTCCTGACCTCATGATCCACCCGCCTCGGCCTCCCAAAGTGCTGGGATTACAGGCATGAGCCACCGCGCCGGGCCTATCATATGAATTTTGAGGGAACACAAACATGCAGTCTGTAGCAGATGGTAATAGGCTGACATATTACACTTGTTGATGTAAATCTGATAGGTTTCTTTCTCTCCAAGGACAGCTTTTTAAATATTTAACAGTATCAATAATTTTTCAGGTTCTGTGAGAATTTTATAATTTATAATTTGCAGACTTAATGTATAATCTATTTTGTCCTAACAATTACAAATATATTTTTTATTTCAGATTGTATATATTCCTACCAGATGGAGATAATTACAGCTTTAAAAATTTTTATTTTTTCATTTTATTTCACACATTGACATTAAATTTTTATGGACACATAATAACTGTACATATATATGGGGTAGAATGTGATGTTTTAATACATGTACTCAATGTGTAATGATCAAATCAGGGTAATTTGCATAATGATTTTTCTGTAGGGAGAAAATTCAAAATCTACTCTTCTGGCTATTTTCAAATATATAATATGTTATTGTTAACTATACTCATCCTACTATGCAATAGGACACCAGAACTTATTCCTGGGTTCTACATCCGTTAAGGCAACCAAGGATTGGAAATATTGGAAAAAAAAATTGCGTCTGTACTGAACATGTACAGACTTTTTTCTTGTCCTTATTCCTTACACAATATAGTACAATAACTATTTGCATGACATTTACATCGGATATTATGAGTGATCTAGAGTTGATATGAAGTATATGGGAGGATGTGCAAAGGTGATGTGCAAATACTATGTCATTTTATATCAGGGACTTGAGTATCCTTTGTTACCCTCAGGAGATCCTGAAACCAGTCCCCCATGGATACTGAGGGCTGACTGTATAGTCCTATCCTCACGGAACTTTCATTCTAATGGGGGAAGACTGACTATAAACAAAATGTATGTAATAGGTGGTGGTAAGTACCGTGGAGAAGTAACAAACGGGGCAAAGTGAGTTATACAGCTCCATTCTTAGAAACCTTGGAGTACTTTTCTTAGTTTATACTCGTGGTGGTTTCCTTTTGTCTCCTTTATTACATGGGACTCTGACATGTGCCCATAGCTAGGGTGACAGTAGGATCTACCCGATAGTAGGGTGGCAGTAGGATCTACCCAAAAAGCGTCCTGCTGATACAGGACCAAAGCATCCTGTTGTTCTCGAGCCTATAAAAAGAGCTAATGGTCTTGCTTCTCTTAACTGTGGCCTCCTACACTATGTTTTGGATGATTGGTGATGTCTTGGATATTCTGTTTCTTTGGAACTTTGAATATACAACACTTTTCTAGGGAATTAGCAATGGAAGCAGAGCAAAGATGTACAGAGGAAACAATGCGTAACTCTGATGGAATTGAAGTCATGAGGCAGCAGAGAGCTTAAATTACAGCTTTAAAAATTTTTATTTTTTAGAGGGAATTTACTTGGGAGTAACAGCAGTAATAGTTAACGGAGCCAGAATGCTTGAGTCATATAATTGCAAAGCAGAGTTGGGAGCAACAGATGCTAAAGAGTAGTTGCTGTAGTTCCTCTTTGGGTCGTAGGAGCAGTTGTCATATTACCATATAGCTACTGCATGAAGAAGAGTTCTTAGTGAGGCCTGGATGAACAGCTCTTCTTAGTATTCTGTGTGACCCCATTTGACCTTTTAACAAATCCCTAAGTAAATAAATAGCCCCTCAGGTAAACTAAGTTTTTCTCTGCTGTTTTTTTGCTTGAGAGAGCTATAACTGTAATAGACTTATATTTCTGAACATTTTAGTGCTTGCCAATATTTGGTAATATTTATGTTTCCTATATTTGTAATGAACATTCTTCTTCCGGTACATTTTTTGTTAAATTATTGTTTGATGGATAAAAGTTCACCTTTTATTGTATAAAATTGACTGAGATTAATTTATACACATTGACAATGGGTAAATAGAATTTTTCAGATTATTAAAAGCTGAAGGATGCCCACGTAAGCAAAAAAAAAAAAGAAAAAACCAACAAAAATAAACCCAAACCCCTCAAACAATTTCGAACACGAAACATTCTTCTGATGCCGGCATCCCTGCTTGCAGGTGTGAAGGGGGCAGGAATCAGCGAGGTGTCCTGGGCTGAGTCCCCGGAGTGGGAAGAGGTGGCAGGAAGGGGATCTGAGGAGGAGAACAGGGGTCCTGGTGGTCTGTGCTTCTTCCCAGACACGGGAGCTGTAGAGGAGACCTCTGCAGCAGATGCTAGGGGGGCCAGTAGGCCCAGGCAGTCTTGGGACTTGGGTCTGTCCTGCTGTGCATCCATAGTGGGTGCTTTAGAAACGGGAGGCCCACCCGAAGCCCCTGTTGCAAGTGAGGACAAAGTGTGGGAAGGCCGTGAGGGTCTGCAGTCCGAGATGGCCTTGTCCTCAACGTGCAGTGCAGTGTTGATGCGGGGCCTAGAGGCCTGGGATCTGGGGGAGCCACCCCTGGGGGCAAGTGTCTGCCCTGGTGCTGTACCTGCCTTCTTCTCACAGCGGGTGTGACCCGAAGAGACAGCCTGAGGTCCGTCCTCACTCACTGTGTTTGAGGAACTGTGGGCCAGCTGGCAGTGGGATGAGGCTGGCCCCCTCCTCCGCTTTAGTTGCGGGAGGCCTTCCGTAGAGCTGTGGGAGCTGGAGCTGGCATTTCCTTGGAGGCAGGATCTGGTCCGGGAGGTCTGGGATCTCTGGTTATATCTCACTTCTGACCTCTGGACACGTGCTGCAGCTGTGGCTGAGGCCAAGAAATGTGAGGGGCCTCCATCCACTGCATTGAGTAGTGACCCCGACGTGGGGTGCAATGTGGAGGGGGGAGGGGCTGCTGCTGCAGCTGCAGGAGCCGAGGTGCCAGGCCTTGTTCTTCTCATGCCGGCATCGCTGCTTGCAGCTGTGAAGGGCGCGGGAATCAGCGAGGTGACCTGGGCTGAGTCCCGGGAGTGGGAAGAGGTGGCAGGAAGGGGATCTGAGGAGGAGAACAGGGGTCCTGGTGGTCTGTGCTTCTTCCCAGACACGGGAGCTGTAGAGGGGACCTCTGCAGCAGATGCTAGGGGGGCCAGTAGGACCAGGCAGTCTTGGGACTTGGGTCTGTCCTGCTGTGCATCCATAGTGGGTGCTTTAGAAACGGGAGGCCCACCGGAAGCCCCTGTTGCAAGTGAGGACAAAGTGTGGGAAGGCCGTGAGGGTCTGCAGTCCGAGATGGCCTTGTCCTCAACGTGCAGTGCAGTGTTGATGCGGGGCCTAGAGGCCTGGGATCTGGGGGAGCCACCCCTGGGGGCGAGTGTCTGCCCTGGTGCTGTACCTGCCTTGTTTTCACAGCGGTGACCCGAAGAGACAGCCTGAGGTCCGTCCTCACTCACTGAGGAACTGTGGGCCAGCTGGCAGTGGGATGAGGCTGGCCCCCTCCTCCGCTTTACTTCGTGGAGGCCTTCCGTAGAGCTGTGGGAGCTGGAGCTGGCATTTCGTTTGAGGCACGATCTGGTCCGGGAGGTCTGGGATCTCTGGTTATATCTCACTTCTGACCTCTGGGCACGTGCTGCAGCTGTGGCTGAGCCCAAGAAATGTGCGGGGCCTCCATCCACTGCATTGAGTAGCGACCCCGACGTGGGGTTCAATGTGGAGGGGGGAGGGGCTGCTGCGGCAGCTGCAGGAGCCGAGGTGCCAGGCCTTGTTCTTCTCATGCCGGCATCCCTGCTTGCAGCTGTGAAGGTGGCAGGAATCAGCGAGGTGACCTGGGCTGAGTCCCGGGAGTGGGAAGAGGTGGCAGGAAGGGGATCTGAGGAGGAGAACAGGGGTCCTGGTGGTCTGTGCTTCTTCCCAGACACGGGAGCTGTAGAGGGGACCTCTGCAGCAGATGCTAGGGGGGCCACTAGGCCCAGGCAGTCTTGGGACTTGGGTCTGTCCTGCTGTGCGTCCATAGTGGGTGCTTTAGAAACGGGAGGCCCACCGGAAGCCCCTGTTGCAAGTGAGGACAAAGTGTGGGAAGGCCGTGAGGGTCTGCAGTCCGAGATGGCCTTGTCCTCAACGTGCAGTGCACTGTTGATGTGGGGCCTAGAGGCCTGGGATCTGGGGGAGCCTCCCCTGGGGGCGAGTGTGTGCCCTGGTGCTGTACCTGCCTTGTTTTCACAGCGGTGACCCGAAGAGACAGCCTGAGGTCCGTCCTCACTCACTGTGTTTGGGGAACTGTGGGCCAGCTGGCAGTAGGATGAGGCTGGCCCCCTCCTCCGCTTTAGTTCCTGGAGGCCTTCCGTAGAGCTGTGGGAGCTGGAGCTGGAGCTGGCATTTCGTTTGAGGCAGGATCTGGTCCGGGAGGTCTGGGATCTCTGGTTATATCTCACTTCTGACCTCTGGGCACGTGCTGCAGCTGTGGCTGAGGCCAAGAAATGTGAGGGGCCTCCATCCACTGCATTGAGTAGTGACCCCGACGTGTTGTTCAATGTGGATGGGGGAGGGGCTGCTGCGGTAGCTGCAGGAGCCGACCTTGTTCTTCTCATGCCGGCATCCCTGCTTGCAGCTGTGAAGGTGGCAGGAATCAGCGAGGTGACCTGGGCTGAGTCCCGGGAGTGGGAAGAGGTGGCAGGAAGGGGATCTGAGGAGGAGAACAGGGGTCCTGGTGGTCTGTGCTTCTTCCCAGACACGGGAGCTGTAGCAGGGACCTCTGCAGCAGATGCTAGGGGGGCCACTAGGCCCAGGCAGTCTTGGGACTTGGGTCTGTCCTGCTGTGCATCCATAGTGGGTGCTTTAGAAACGGGAGGCCCACCCGAAGCCCCTGTTGCAAGTGAGGACAAAGTGTGGGAAGGCCGTGAGGGTCTGCAGTCCGAGATGGCCTTGTCCTCAACGTGCAGTGCACTGTTGATGTGGGGCCTAGAGGCCTGGGATCTGGGGGAGCCACCCCTGGGGGCGAGTGTCTGCCCTGGTGCTGTACCTGCCTTGTTTTCACAGCGGTGACCCGAAGAGACAGCCTGAGGTCCATCCTCACTCACTGTGTTTGAGGAACTGTGGGCCAGCTGGCAGTGGGATGAGGCTGGCCCCCTCCTCCGCTTTACTTCTTGGAGGCCTTCCGTAGAGCTGTGGGAGCTGGAGCTGGCATTTCGTTTGAGGCACGATCTGGTCCGGGAGGTCTGGGATCTCTGGTTATATCTCACTTCTGACCTCTGGACACGTGCTGCAGCTGTGGCTGAGGACAAGAAATGTGAGGGGCCTCCATCCACTGCATTGAGTAGTGACCCCGACGTGGGGTTCAATGTGGAGGGGGGAGGGGCTGCTGCGGCAGGTGCAGGAGCCGAACTTGTTCTTCTCATGCCGGCATCCCTGCTTGCAGCTGTCAAGGGGGCAGGAATCATCGAGGTGACCTGGGCTGAGTCCCGGGAGTGGGAAGAGTTGGCCGGAAGGGGATCTGAGGAGGAGAACAGGGGTCCTGGTGGTCTGTGCTTCTTCCCAGACACGGGAGCTGTAGCGGGGACCTCTGCAGCAGATGCTAGGGGGGCCACTAGGTCCAGGCAGTCTTGGGACTTGGGTCTGTCCTGCTGTGCATCCATAGTGTGTGCTTTAGAAACGGGAGGCCCACCCGAAGCCCCTGTTGCAAGTGAGGACAAAGTGTGGGAAGGCTGTGAGGGTCTGCAGTCCGGGATGGCCTTGTCCTCAACGTGCAGTGCACTGTTGATGCGCTGGAATGCCGTCTCTTTTTCCAGGTGCAGGTCTTCAGCCGTGACCCGGTACCCCAGCTCTAAGGGAGGTGGCAGCATCAAAGGCTCCCCTCGCCTGCGTGGCAGCAGGGGAATCTTGCGTCTACGGGGCCTAGAATCCTGGGAT
This sequence comes from Homo sapiens, assembly GCF_000001405.40. Classification (NCBI taxonomy): domain Eukaryota; kingdom Metazoa; phylum Chordata; class Mammalia; order Primates; family Hominidae; genus Homo; species Homo sapiens. Next base: position 70,508,644 of record NC_000005.10, on the reverse strand, counting down.
CTGGGGGAGCCACCCGTTGGGGCGATTGTCTGCCCTGGTGATGTATCTGCCCCCTTTTCACACCGTGTGTGACCCGAAGAGACAGCCTGAGGCCTGTCCTCACTCACTGTCTTTGAGTAACTGAGGGTCAGCTGGCAGCGGGATGAGGCTGGCCCCCTCCTCTGCTTTAGCCCCGGCAAGCCTCCCGTGGAGCTGTAGGAGCTGGAGATGGCATTTCGTTTGGTGCTCGAGCTCGTCCAGGATGTCTGGGATGTGTGGTTATATCTGATTTCTGAGCTCTGGGCGTGGAGGTCTGTCTGCAGAGGCCCGGGCCTGGGCACAAAGGGAGAGGGGCCTCCATTGTCCCGCAGGGGCCAAAATGCAGACCGTGCATCCCCGGTGACCTCGGGGACCGTTCTCTGATCATCAGGATTTTCTTGGACTCTGGGGTCCTTGTCCTGCTCAGGCATCCCTGCCCTGCTCTCCTTGAGGGCCCTCAACACTATCTTCCCTGGACACAAGTCTGGGGACAGCCGGGTGTTGTGGACCCCAAAGGGGTGACTACCTGCTCCTGGGCCCCACAGAGTCCTTGTGCTCAGTGTAGTGGCTGGGCTGGGGGATGCCCTGGAACTCGGAGCACACAGCACTGGCTTACTGTGGTACCTGTGCAGTGAAATTGAAGACAGAATCACCAGGATGGAACACAGGTCTTGCAGGATCACGGAAAACCTTCTTAGAGTTGTCTTGACACCACTGATGTCGAGTGTGCGGGTGTTTGTAGGATGGCCTGCCACTCAGTCCAGGGGCAGGAGCAACGGGGAGATCCCACAAGCAAAGTGAACTGGGGGATGGGCTGAAGGGGCTCCAGGCAACTGAGCCCTACTCGCAGGTCCTCGGCCTTGGCCCAAACAGGAATGAGGGGCACAGAGTGCCCGGGTAACCGCTCCTGGGAGCAGTGGGGAACTGTCGGATACTTGAACTCTCAAGAGCTGGGCTCTGAGCGTCCTCGTCCAGCTGCCAACTTGGCCAAAGGCTAAGCCAGCAGATTGTTCTGTTGCCGGGCAACGCGACTTCTAAACCTGAGGGAGTGGGCATGTGAGCACATAATGGCACCAGTGACAGAGCGACCATAATGGATGAATAAGCGCAGCCAGGTACCCGCGCAAGGCACCTGCTGGCAATGGCAGGAGGCGGACGTGGGGGGCCGTGCAGTAGGTACTGGAGGGAGAGACGTGGGCACAAAGGTCGCGGGAGGAACAGGTGCCCACAATGGCTGCATATTTGCCCGTGGATCACTGAAGATTCCTGCTCTCCTGCTGAGGTGGAGACTGCAGTGAGCTGAGATCGCACCATTGCACTCCAGCCTGGGCAACGAGTGCAAAACTCAGTCTCCAGATAAAAAAAAGAAAAAGAAAAAAAAGAGGCCGGGTGTGGTGGCTTATGCCTATGATCCTAGCACTTTGGGAGGTCGGGGTGGACGGATCACGAGATCAGGAGTTGGAGGCCAGCCTGGCCAACATAGTGAAAGCCCGTCTCTAGTAAAAATACAAAATTTAGTCAGACATGGTGGGCAGGAGAGAGCATGTGCAGGGGAACATCCATTTATAAAACCATCAGACCTCATGAGACTTATTCACTACCATGAGAACAGCATGGGGGAAACTGCCTCCATGATTCAGTTATCTCCACCTGGCCCCACCCTTGACACATGGGAATTGTTACAATTCAAGATGAGATTTGGGTGCGGACAGAGCCAAACCATATAATTCTTCCCCGGCCCCTCCCAAATCTCATGTCCTCATATTTCAAAAGCAATCATGCCTTCCCCTAAGTCCCCCAAACTCTTATTTCAGCATTAACTCAAAATTCCATAGTCCAAAGTCTCATCTGAGACAAGGCAAGTCCCTTCCACCTATGAGCCTGTAAAATCAAAAGCAAGTTAGTTATTTTCTAGATACACAGGGATACAGGCATTGGGTAAATACACTCGTTTCAAATGGGAGAAATTGGCCAAAGCGAAAGAGCTACAGGCCCCATGCAAGTCCAAAACCCAGCAGGCAAATCTTAAAGCTCCAAAATGACCTCCTTTGACTCCATGTGTCACATCTAGGTGATGCAAGAAGTGGGTTCCCAGGGTCTTGGGCAGCCCCGCCCCTGTGGCTTTGCAGGGTACAGCCCCCCTTCTGGCTGCATTGAGTGTCTGCAGCTTTTCCAGGCACACAGTGCAAGCTGTCAGTGGATCTACCATTCTGGGGTCTGGAGGATGGTGGCCCTTTTCTCACAGCTCTGCTTGGCAGTACCCCAGTGGGGACTCTGTGTGGGAGCTCCAACCCCATATTTCCCTTTGACACTGCCCTAGCAGAGGTTATCCATGAGGGCCCCCCCCTCCCCTCCCCCCCACAGCAAACTTTTGCCTGGATTTCCAGGCATTTTCATACATCTTCTGAAATGAAGGCGGAGGTTCATGACCGTTAATTCTTGACTTCGGTGCATCTGCAGGCTTAACACCACCTAGAACCTGAAAGGCTTGGAACTTGCACCCTCTGAAGCCATGGCCTGAGGTGTACCTTGGCCCCTTTTACCTATGGCAGGAGCAGCTGGGATGCAGGGCCCCAAGTTCCTAGGCTGCACACAGCAGGGGGTTCTGGACCCACAAAACCATTTTTCCTTCTAAGCCTCCTGGCCTGCGATGGGAGGGTCTGCTGTGAGGGTCTCTAACATGCCCTGGAGACATTTGCCCCATTGTCTTGGTGATTAACATTTGGCTCCTCATTACTTATGCAAATTTCTACAACCCAGTCTCCTGAGAAAATAGATTTTTCTTTTCTGTTGCATCATCAGGCTACAAATTTTCTGAACTTTTATGCTCTGCTTCTTCTCGAATGCTTTGCTGCTTAGAAATTTCTTCTGTCAGATACCTTAAATCATCTCTCTCAAGTTCAAAGTTCCACAGATCTGTAGGGAACTCTAGAAAAAAATTCTTATTTTCCCTCTTTCCCGCCTATCTTATGCCCGTTTCTAATACAGGTGCACAATGCCTGCAGTGTCTTTGCATAGTAAGAGTGACTTTACTCCATTTCCCAACAAATTCCTCATCTGCCTCTGAGACCACCTCCGCCTGGACCTTGTTGTCCATATCACTATTAACATTTTGGTCAAAGCCATTCAACAAGTCTCTAGGAAGTTCCAAACTTTCCCACATTTTCCTATCCTCTTCTGAGCCTTCCAAACTGTTCCAGCCTCTCCCTGTTACCCATTTCCAAAGTTGCTTCCACATTTTCGGGTATCTTTACAGCAGCACCCCACTCTACTGGTATCAACTTATTGTATTAGTCTGTTCTCACACTGCAAATAAAGACATACCTGAGACTGGGTAATTTATAAAGGAAAGAGGTTGAATTGACTCACAGTTCTGCATGGCTGGGGAGGCCTCACAATCATGGTGGAAGGCAAGGAGGTGCAAAAGCATGTCTCACATAGTGGCAGGCAGGAGAGAGCATGTGCAGGGGAGCTCCCATTTATAAAACCATCAGATCTCATGAGACTTAGTCACTACCGCGAGAACAGTATGGGGGGAACCATCCCCATGATTCAGTTATCTGCACCCGGCCCCACCCTTGACACGTGGGAATTATTACAATGCAAGGTGAGATTTGGGTGGGGACCCATCCAAACTATGTCAGTATGTTTTGACTTCTTGCTTGATTGCTAGGTTGCATAGAGGACAAACATGGAAATTAATGAAGTACCTTAATATCTGGCTTCAGATCTTAGACAGGATCAGAGGGCCAGCTCAAATTTGCAAGGAGGGGAGGTAGATCCCACCATTTTATGGGTGAATGGCAAAATCAAACAGAAATTATGTGGGATGGGAGATACTGATGCAGGCATCTTTGGAAACATTCTACTTAGCTAATTTTATGCTAGGCTTTAGGTCAAGAAGGAGAGAGAGAGCTGACATGCTGTGGTACACACTTATAGTCCCAGCGACTTGGAAAGCTGAGGCAGGAGGATTGCTTGATCCCAGGAGTTTGAGGTAGTGTGCGATGATCGTTCTTGTGAATAGCCACTAGCCACCGAACTCCAGCTTGGGCAACATTGAGACACCCTGTCTCTTAATTTAAAAAAAAAAAAAAAAAAAGGAGGAAAGAAAGTGGTCTCAGTTTTTAATGTAAATATTTTTAATGGGATACTGATATTTTAAGATTAATGTATATTGTATATCAGTTAACTGCAGGTCAATAATTATATAAAACTTAAGGTACGAAAAACATTTATTTTTGCTAACATATCTGTGAGTTGACTGTTGTTGGCTTGGTGAGGCTGCAAGCTGCAGATAGAGTCTAGGTATGTTTTCTGTGTGTTTGTTCCCCCTTGGATCAGTGGACTACCTGAGAATGTGTTTTTGTCACAGTGATAGAATCACAAGGAAACTCCAGTTCTGGAAGTACATTTTAAGCCATTGCTTCTCTCATGTCCACTAACATTCAGTCAGCCAAAGCACATACCTTGTCCATGGCTAACATTGATAGTATAGATAAATATACCTGATCTCTAGCAGGAGGAACTGCATTGTCTTGGGGAAAGGTTTTAGATATAGGGAGGGGTGATGAGTTGGGAACAATAATGTAGTCTGCCGCAAACATATTAAAGTGTAACTGGATATGGTTGCTGCAGAATTTTGAACCTTTGTTTTAATTGTGATTTTTACTCTTTCCCCCCTATCTAGTGCCCTTTTGTAATACAGTAATTATGATTTTTGTCTGAACTGAAATCTTCTGAGATTAGATTGTCTACGAAAATACAGTCGATCCTCCTTGTTTTCAGCTTTTGTATTTGTGAACTCACCTACTATTTTTTGTAACCCCCAAATCAGTACTCACAGCACTTTCATAGTCATGTGTTTGCGCAGAGTGTCAAAGAATTTGAGTTTGAACAGGATGATATTCTGCCTTCTTTTTCAGCTCTCATACAATAGTCAGGTATCCTTTTTGTGGTCTATTTAATGCCATGCTTTTCCTGTTTTTGTACTGTTTGTTGGTTGTTTTGCCATTTAAATTAACCCCCAAGCATAGTGCTGAAGTGCTGCTTAGCATTCACAAGTCCAAGAAGTCTGTGATGTGTCTTACAGAGAAAATACATGCATTAAATAAACTCCATTCAGGCGTGAGTGCTGTAGTGCCGTTGGCTGTGAGTTCAATGTTAATGAATGAACAATGTATATTATTTATTTATTCTTCATTTAATTAATTATTATTATTATTTTTTTTGAGATAGAGTCTCACTCTGTTGCTCAGGCTGGAGTGCAGTGGTGCAGTCTTGGCTCACTGCAACCTCTGCCTCCTGGGTTCAAGCGATTCCCCTGCCTTCGCCTCCCAAGTAGCTAAGACTACAGGCATGCGCCACCATGCCTGGCTAATTTTTTTTTTTTTTTTTTGTAGTTTTAGTAGAGACGGGGTTTCACCACGTTGGCCAGGCTGGTCTCGAACTCCAGACCTCAAATGATCTGCCCGCCTTGGCTTCCCAAAGTGCTGGGATTACAGGCGTTAGCCACTGTGCCTGGCCAACAATATATATTAAATAAGCACACATACAACAAAAGTAGGTGTTGGTAAGCTTACAAAAGTGTGACCAGTAGCTTGCTGAAACCTAACTTTTTATTTGTTCATGGAACTTTCTAGACCGTAACTACACTGAATAATGAGAATCTGCTGTAATCTTTTTAGGTGCTGTAGATGAGCCATTGGATTAAATTATTACAGTATGTTTCAGACTGCTGTATGTTGAACCCTAGTGAAATGCCTCTCAAACCTTCATAAGGATCACAATCTCATGTCCTTTTTTTTTGTTATTAAATGCCCAGTATGTGTTAGCGATTTAAACAAAATTCAAATATTTTTTTTTTTTTTTTTTTGAGACAGAGTCTCGCTCTGTCACCTAAGCTGGAGAGTGCAGTGGTATGATCTCGGCTCACTACAACCTCTGCCTCCCGGGTTCAGGCGATTCTCCTGCCTCAGCATCCTGAGTAGCTGGGATTACAGGCACCCGCCACCACGCTGGGCTAATTTTTGTATTTTTAGTAGAGACGGGGTTTCGCCAGGTTGTCCAGGCTGGTCTGGAACTCCTGACCTCATGCGATCTGCCTGCCTTGGCCTCCTGAAGTGCTGGGATTATAGGCGTGAGCCACCATGCCCGGCGTTGACTTCTTAATAATAACCATACTGACTGGTGTGAGATGGTATGCCATTGTGGTTTTGATTTGCATTTCTCTAATGATCAGTGATATTGAGCTTTTTCTCATATGCTTGTTGGCCGCATGTGTGTCTTCTTTTGAAGTGTCTGTTTATGTCCTGTGCCCACTTTCTAATGAGATTTTTTTTTTTCTTGTAAATTTGTTTAAGTTCCTTATCAGTGTTGGACATTAGATCTTTGTCACATGCATTGTTGCAAAAATTTTCTCCCATTCTGTAGGTTGTCTGTTCACTCTGTTGATAGTTTCTTTTGCTGTGCAGAAGCTTCAAGAAGAAAGGAATCCGATTGGTTCTGTGTCTGTCTCTTTTGGTATTCTCAGAATTATGTAGTCATTCATATAGAAAGATGATTAGGAAAATAGGACAAGAATAGCAGAAATCTACATAAAAATGTAGGAAATTAAAATTAGTTACCAGCATACAAAAAACTTCTGTATGTTATAATTACATACTATAACTCACCCCTCCTTGGCAAATATTCTCTCTCTTTTGACTTCAAAATCATGGCTTATATGTACTTTCTCTATTTCCCAGATGCAAATATAATTAATTGACTTTATTTATCTAGGAAATGTTACTCATATCTTAATTGTAGTCATTGGCTTGAGTGACGGGTTTTGGTAATTCAACTACTATTACTTGAAAGTAGTAGATTTCATAGGATACTGTTATAAAATCTTTTTAACCTCTTTTCTGATTTCAGGAGTAATTAGTAATTGTGGTTTACTGGAAAATTCAATGAATAGGGTGTTAAAGGAAGCAATTCATTAATAATATATGTAATCTATTGGGAGACTGAGGCGGGTGGATCACCTGAGTTCAGGAGTTCGAGACCAGCCTGGCCAACATGGCAAAACTCCGTCTCTACTGAAAATAGAAAAATTCGCCGGGCATGGTGGTGCATTCCTGTATTCCCAGGTACTCGGAAGGCTGAGGCAGGAGAATCACCTGAACTCCAGAGGTGGAGGTTGCAGCGAGTCAGGATCGCAGCACTACACTCCAGCCTGGGTGACAGTGAGACTCCATCTCAAAAAAAAAAAAAAAAAAAAAAAAAAAAAATTAAAAAATTAAATTAAAAGCGGGCTGGGTGCATTGGTTCAGGGCCGGGCACGGTGGCTCAAGCCTGTAATCCCAGCACTTTGGGAGGCCGAGGCAGGCGGATCACGAGGTCAGGAGATCAAGACCATCCTGGCTAATGTGGTGAAACCCCGTCTCTACTAACAATACAAAAATTAGCTGGATGTGGTGGCAGGTGCCTGTAATCCCAGCTATTCCAGAGGCTGAGGCAGGAGAATCACTTGAACCTGGGAGGCAGAGGTTTCAGTGAGTCCAGATCATGCCACTGCACTCCAGCCTGGGTGACAGAGCGAGATTCTATCTCAAAAAAAAAAAAAAAAAAAAAGCAACAGAAGCAAATGAGAGTGCCTGGGAGTGGTCATTGTGGGGCCTTCCCGTTTGTGTGACCCAGGTCATGTCCCTCCCTAAGCCCTGGTCTCTCTTGCCTCCTGCAGGGCTGGTGAATTACCAGATCTCCGTCAAGTGCAGTAACCAGTTCAAGTTGGAAGTGTGTCTTTTGAATGCAGAAAACAAAGTCGTGGACAACCAGGCTGGGACCCAGGGCCAGCTGAAGGTGCTGGTGCCAACCTCTGGTGGCCGTACCTGATGCACGAACACCCCGCCTACCTGTACTCGTGGGAGGTAATGGTGGTTTGGGACTTGCGTAAGGGAGGTCTTTTGCCCCCATCTGGTAGCCCTGGCTTCAGCAGGAGCCCAGGACAGGTGAACGGGCAGGTGTGGTCCTCTGAGCTTTCTGATGTTTCCCACCCTTGGTGGGAGGCCCAGATTTTTTATTTATTTATTTATTTATTTATTTATTTATTTATTTGTTTGTTTGTTTTTGTGATGGTCTCACTCTGTCACCCAGGCTGGAATGCAATGGCCTGATCACAGCTCACTGCAGCTTTGAGCTGCAATCCTCCTACCTTGGCCTCCTGAGTAGCTGGGACTACAGGCACATGCCACCATGCCTGGCTAATTAAAAAAATTTTTTTTGTAGGCCGGGCATGGTGGCTCACACCTGTAATCCCAGCACTTCGGGAGGCTGACGCGGGCGGATCACTTTAGGCCAGGAGTTGGAGACCAGCCTGGCCAACATGGTGAAACCCCGTCTCTACTAAAATATGAAAATTTGCAGGGCATGATGGTGCACGTCTGTAATCCCAGCTACTCGGGAGGCTGAGGCAGGGGAATTGCTTGAACCCAGGAGGCAGGGGCTGCGGTGAATTGAGATCATGCCGCAGCACTCTATCCTGGGTGACAGAGTGAGACTGTCTCAAAAAAAAAAAACTCCTTTTTATAGAGTTGGGGTCTTACTAGGTTGCCCAGGCTGGTCTTGAACTCCTGGACTCAGGTGATCCTCCTGCCTTAGCCTCCCAAAGTGTAGGGATTCCAGGCATGAGCCACCTCGTCTGGTCAAGGAGAAGGCCTGATTTTGAAGGGCAGGTCCCAGGGTCAGCCAGTGAAGGGCAGAGCCTCTGGTTGCTGCTTCTCTGCAGGCCCAGTGGCGACTTCTGGGGTGCATGCACGAGGGGTCTTCCTGCTGTAGGGCAGGCCAGATGGGGCTCAGGCTGTCGGGGCGCTCACACCTGGCGCTTTGGCTGTCGTAGGTGCGGTTGACTGCACAGAAGTCACTGGGGCCTTTGACTTCTACACACTCCCTGTGGGGCTCCGCACTGTGCCCGTCACCGAGAGCCAGTGGGTGAGAGCCAGTTTCATTTGCGGTAGAGGCAGCAGAGGTTGTAGAAATGCTCCTTGAGGCAGATGCCACACCCCAATTTCATGGAGTGATTTGGGCTGAGCCGAGTCTGCAGCAGGCAGAAGGCTCTGAGATGTTGTCCTAGCCTGGGCAAAGGACAATTCAGAGCTCGGGGGAATAGGGGTGTGCTCAGCACGACTGGGTGGACAGGCCGTTTGTTGTGAATCGTACAGGCTTCCAGGAGCGGGTGCCTGAGGCTTCCAGACAGGCTTTGGGAGGTGGCCAGAGGAGATGCCTGTTTCCGGGGCAGGAAATGGAGGGAGGGCCCAGGCTGGAGAGGTTCAGCCAGGCTGTCACAAGGCTTTGAAGCTTCCCATCTGAGAGCCTGGCTATTGGAGAGTGTGGGTTTGGAACTTGAGGCTAGGAGGTTCTATTCTGTCCTGTGCCAGCCACAGCCTTCGGATGGGCAGAGCAATGATGGGGGGAAGATGTAAAAGAAAAGAACTGAGGAAAGAAGAAGAAAACCAGCTTCAACAACGGTCTAGGCCGGATGCGGTGGGTCACGCCTGTAATCCCAGCAGTTTGGGAGGCTGAGGTGGGTGGATCACCCGAGGTCAGGAGTTCGAGACCAGCCTGGTCAACAGGTAGTGAATCCTGTCTCTACTAAAAATACAAAAATTAGCTGGGCATGGTGGTGGACGTCTGTAATCCCAGCTACCAGGTAGGCTGAGGCAGGAGAATCGCCTCAGGTGAACCAGGAGGCAGAGATTGCAATGAGCTGAGATAATGCCACTGCATTCCAGCCTGGGCTACAGAATGAGACTCTGTATCTCAACAAAACAAAACAAAACAAAAACACAACAGTCTGTTCTGTGGAGGCCTTGGGCAGATGCTGGGAGCTCTGAGCACGGACTGGTCCCTCTGTTGGGAGCCTCTTCCCTTCATCCCTCCTGGTTAACTTGACTCAGCATAAAGGCCATTTCTTCTAAGAGCCTGTCCCTGACTCTCCAATCGGGGATGTGTCTGTTGTCTCATAGAGTGCCCAATTCCTGCCACCACTTGTCATTTCCATTCGCAACATTTCTTTCATTGTTTGTTTTTCAGAGTCAGGGTCTCACTCTGTTGCCCAGGCTGGAGTGCAGTGGTGCAATCATAGCTCGTTGCCATCTCGACCTCCTGGGCTTAAGCGATCCTCCCCACTCAGCCTCCCAAATAGCTGAGACCACAGACGTGCGCTGCCTTGCCAGGCTAAATTTTAATATTTTTTTTTCCCCACGAGTCAGAGTCTTGCTCTGTCTCCCAGGCTGGAGAGCAGTGTTGCGATCTTGGCTCACTGCATCCTCTACCTCCTGGGTACAAACAGTTCTCCTGCCTCACCCTCCCGAGTAGCTGGGATTACAGGCTCACGCCACCATGCCCAGCTAGTTTTCTTCTTTATTTTTTGTTGAGATGGGGTTTCACCATGTTGGCCAGGCTGGTCTCGAACTCTTGAGCTCGTGATCCACCTGCCTTGGCCTCCCAAAGTGCTCACAGGCTTGAGCCACCATGCCCGGCCCTAATTTTTAAATTTGTTGTAGAAACAAGGTCTTGCTATGTTGTCCAGGCTGGTCTCAAGCGCCTGGTCTCAAGTAAGCCTCCCAAAGTGCTGGGGTTCTAGGCTTGAGCCACCTCGCCTGGCACTTGCACCGTTTTTCTGTGCATGCATCTCCACTCCCACTGCCCAGGACCTGTGGACTTAGATTTGAGTCATTACTGAGCACCTAGCACCCAGCCTCATGCCTCCCTCCCACCTCGCACTACCTGTTTGCTTGATGCATTAATAAATATTCCACCTGAATCCACAGCCCATTCACTCCTGTGTTCAAGAGCTATTTCAGGAAGTGAACCTCATTTCTGGCAGTGTTCAGTCCAGTGACCTCAGCTCTGTGTACCCGGCAGGGTGGCTACGCCTCTGGGGGAGTTGGATTCAGGGGTGGGGGAGAAAGAGTGTTGTTAGAGAGCTCGGTCTAGGACTAGAGGAACGTGCCCTTATGTAAAATACATCTCAAGTTAGGGAAGAAAGCAGCGGCTCTGTGCTTTGTTTTTTTTTTTTTTTTTTCTTTTCTTTCTTTCTTTTTTTTTGTTTGTTTGTTTGTTTGTTTGTTTGTTTGTTTTGGGGCAGGGTCTTGCTCTGTGGCCCAGGCTGGAGTGCAGTAGCGTGATTTCGGCTCACTGCAACCTCCACCTCCCGGGTTCAAGCAATTCTTGTGCCTCAGCCTCCCGAGTAGCTGGAGTTACAGATGCGTGCCACTAAGCCTGGCTAATTTTTGTATATTTAGTAGAAATGGGGTTTTGCCATGTTGGCCAGGCTGTTCTTGAACCCCTGACCTCAGTGATCTGCCTGCCTCAGCCTCCTGAAGTGCTGGGATTACAGGCGTGAGCCATCGTGCCTGGCCCCCAGTTGTGTTCTGGCAGGGGAAGATGGGACAGAGAGGATGGGAGGTTGTCTGAGCCTTTCCCGGACTGACGGAACCTGTGTCTTCTCTCTTTTGTGGACAGGATGGTGATTGCTCACACCAAAGCCTTGGACCCCTCCCAGCCTGTGACCTTTGGGACCAACTCCACCTACGCAGCAGACAAGGCGGTGAGCCTGGGGGTCCCCACCCCATTTCTCCCTGCCTTTGCCTGGGCTTGTCCTGAAGCCTGCTCATGGGAACAGCTGGAAAGAACCATGTGCTGCCAGTCTGAGCTTTTTATTTTGTTTTACTTAGAAAGATAGAGACAGGGTCTTGCCATGTTGCCCAGGCTGGTCTCGAACTCCTGGGCTCAAGTGATCCTCCTGCCTCGGCCTTCCAAAGGGCTGGGGTTACAGGCGTGTGCCACCGCACTCAGCCGCGGCCAGTCTGTTTTCAAAGATGGTCTTTGGGTTAATGACAATTCTCTCTCTGCTTACTCTCCAGGCAGTGTGGCTTTCTGAATCCAAGGAGGCTGGGCATAGGGAGATGGGATTTGTTTGCCCGGTTTGGACTCAGCATTTTTTGTACTCGATTTAATAGACTCATAAAATGTCAAAGGTTTAAGTGAGCTTAGAGTTCATCTGGCCCAAACCTGGCTGATCAGAATCTCCAGGGGAAGTTTTATTGAAATGCCAGATCTCTGCGTTCTGAGATCCTGATTTAGTAACTCCAGGGTTGGAACCTGAGTTTTTTGTTTTTTTGTGTGTGTGTGTGAAGGCAAGGTCTTACTCTGTTGCTCTGGCTGGAGTGCAGTGGTGTGATCACAGCTCACTGCAGCCTTGAATTCCTGGGCCTAAGCAACCCTCTTGCCTCAGCCTTCCAAGTAGCTGGGACTCCGGGGGTACACCACTGTGCCCGGCTAATTTTAAATGTTTTTGTAGAGATGGGATCTCACTATGTTGCCCAGGCCAGTCTCAAACTCTTGAGCTCAAGTGATCCTCCTGCCTTAGCCTCCTAAAGTGCTGGGATTACAGGCATGAGCCACCGTGCCTGGCTGATACTAGCATTCTTTTTTATTTTTTATTATTTTTTTAAGATAGAGTCTTGCTCTGTTGCCCAGGCTGGAGTGCAGTGGCACAGTCTCAGCTCAGTGCAACCTCCGCCTCCCAGGTTCAAGCAATTCTCCTGCCTCAGCCTCCCAAGTAGCTGGGATAACAGGCACATGCCACCACGCCTGCGCTTGATCGTGGGAGGCAGAGCTTGCATTATTGTGCCACTCCATTCTAGCCTGGGCAACAGAGCGAGACTCTGTCTTCCAAACAAAGCGGAAAAAGATTATCTGCGAGAATGACTGCATTGGCCCCTTGGGTGGGAGGGCTTCTCCAGGGCAAGGTGAGGGGATGCCCAGTGCTGGGAGTGCTGCCTGGAGAGGAGTCAGTTCCAGTGGCGGGGGCCCTGGGTTTTGGCTGAGGACTGCGTGTTGGCAGCTGCTCTGCCTCTCACAGCCCTTCCCAGCTGCACACGTCGTGAGCGTCAGTGTGCAATCACAGGCCTGCCTCCTTTGGGCCACTTTGTGACCATGTTTGTTGCTTGTGGGGCAGGGTAATTTCAGGATCTAAATTGGTGCAGTTGGATGTTCTCAGCCCCGAGAGGCAGCTCTTCCCGTTGTAGGCTTTTTGTTTTGTTTTGTAGAAATGGAGTCCTACGACGTTGCCCAGGCTGGTCTCAAACTCCTGGGCTCAAGTGATCCTCCCACCTTGGCCTCCCAATGTGCTGGGATTACAGGCATGAGCCACTGTGCCGTGCTGATTTTCTTGATACTATTTTTTGTAGAGCTGGGGTCTTGCTGTGTTGCCCAGGCTGGTCTCGAACTCCTGGCCACAAGCCACCCTCCTGCCTCAGCCTCCCAGAGTGCTGGGATTACATCCCCTTCTTACCTTCTCTGTCAGAGGAGCCCCCACAGCATGTGAGTACTGAGTCATGCGGTCTTGTGGTTGCTGAACGGGCTCTGCTGCTCTGGTCCTAGGCTCTGTATGTGGATGTGATCCGTGTGAACAGCTACTACTCTTGGTATCGCAACTACGGGCACCTGGAGTTGATTCGGCTGCAGCTGGCCGCCCAGTTTGAGAATTGGTGTAAGACATCACAATCCCATTATTCAGAGCGCGTATGGAGTGGAAACGCTTGTAGGGTTTCACCAGGTAAGCGGTGTTGAACTTTCTGCTTGTGTATTCTCTCTGGGCAGAGATGCCACTTGCCTCCCCCACCATGCCATCTCTGAAGAATATTACAGACCATTTTGGAGCATGGTGAATAAGAAATTTTCACCTTAGGAGTTCAGTTGAATAGTCATTTTTATATTTGTGACTGCAAGTCACTCTTAGGGGCTGTACTTCCTTAGTACTGGTAGCATTATTATCCAATGGACTTTTATAGCTTTCATTAGGTTTTCTTTTGTTTTTGTTCTTTAAAGAACATTTTACTTATCTTAGTATTTCATTTTTCATCTATATTATGAGGCAGTAAGAGTCTTCTGTTTTTCCAAAGTTGAGACTGCTTTATATTTATTTCATATTGTCTACAGCTGTAGTGTTCAATACATTAGCCACTAGCCACATGTGGTTATTTAAATAAGATAAAATAAAAATTGGCCGGGCATGGTGGGTCACGCCGGTAATCCCAGCACTTTGGGAGGCCGAGGCGGGCAGATCATTAGGTCAGGAGATCGAGACCATCCTTACTAAGACGGTGAACCCCCATCTCTATTAAAAATACAAAAAATTAGCCGGGCGTGGTGGCGGGCGCCTGCAGTCCCAGCTACTCAGGAGGCTGAGGCAGGAGAATGGCGTGAACCTGGGAGGCAGAGTTTGCAGTGAGCCGAGATGGCGCCACTGCACTCCAGCCTGGGGGACAGAGCGAGACTCCATCTCAAAAAAAAAAAGAAAATTAAAAATTAAGTTCTTTAGTTGCACTAGCCATATTTCAAATACTTGATGGATACATGTGGCTAGTGGCTAACATAAGGGATAGCACAGATATAAAACATTTGCTCGTCATATAAAGTTCTATTGGATAGTGCTGGTCTGTAGCTTATAGGATGGTATCTTAGTCTGCTTCAGCTGCTAAAACAGAATACCATAAATTAGGTAGCTTAAACAGTAGATATTTTGACCAGGCGTGGTGGCTTATGCCTGTATTCCTAACACTTTGGGAGGCCGAGGCAGGTGGATAACTTGAGCTCAGGAGTTTGAGACTAGCCTGGGCAGCATGGCAAAACCTTGTCTCTACGAAAATTAGCTGGGCGTGGTGGTGCACGCCTGTAGTCTGAGCTACTTGGGAGGCTGAGGTGGGAGAATTGCTTGAACCTGGGAGGCGGAGGTTGCAGTGAGCCATGATCGCACCACTGTACTCCAGCCTGGATGACAGAATGAGACTCTGTCTCAAAAAAAACAAAAACAAACAAACAAAAAAAAACAGATATTTCTCACAGTTCTGCAGACTGGAAGTGCAAGATCAAAGTGTTGGCAAATTATGTTTCTTAAAGAGGGCCTGCTTCCTAGATTGGAAATGGCCATCTTCTCTCGGTATCCTCACATGGTAGGGAGAAAAGCAGCTCTAGTGTCTCTTCTTATAAAGGAAGTAATGCCACCATAGGGGCTCTATTCTCATGACCTCATCTAAACCTAATTCTCTCCTAAAGGCCACGCCTCCCAGTATCCTCACCTTGGGGGTTAGGGCTTTATCATATGAATTTTTTTTTTTTTTTTTTTTTTTTTTGAGACAGAGTCTCGCTCTGTCTGTCACCCAGGCTGGAGTGCAGTGGCACAATCTCGGCTCTCTACAAGCTCCGCCTCCTGGGTTCACGCCATTCTCCTGCGTCAGCCTCCTCAGTAGCTGGGACTAAGGCGCCCGCCACTGCGCCCGGCTAATTTTTTGTATTTTCAGTAGAGACGGGGTTTTACCATGTTAGCCAGGATGATCTCGATCTCCTGACCTCATGATCCACCCGCCTCGGCCTCCCAAAGTGCTGGGATTACAGGCATGAGCCACCGCGCCGGGCCTATCATATGAATTTTGAGGGAACACAAACATGCAGTCTGTAGCAGATGGTAATAGGCTGACATATTACACTTGTTGATGTAAATCTGATAGGTTTCTTTCTCTCCAAGGACAGCTTTTTAAATATTTAACAGTATCAATAATTTTTCAGGTTCTGTGAGAATTTTATAATTTATAATTTGCAGACTTAATGTATAATCTATTTTGTCCTAACAATTACAAATATATTTTTTATTTCAGATTGTATATATTCCTACCAGATGGAGATAATTACAGCTTTAAAAATTTTTATTTTTTCATTTTATTTCACACATTGACATTAAATTTTTATGGACACATAATAACTGTACATATATATGGGGTAGAATGTGATGTTTTAATACATGTACTCAATGTGTAATGATCAAATCAGGGTAATTTGCATAATGATTTTTCTGTAGGGAGAAAATTCAAAATCTACTCTTCTGGCTATTTTCAAATATATAATATGTTATTGTTAACTATACTCATCCTACTATGCAATAGGACACCAGAACTTATTCCTGGGTTCTACATCCGTTAAGGCAACCAAGGATTGGAAATATTGGAAAAAAAAATTGCGTCTGTACTGAACATGTACAGACTTTTTTCTTGTCCTTATTCCTTACACAATATAGTACAATAACTATTTGCATGACATTTACATCGGATATTATGAGTGATCTAGAGTTGATATGAAGTATATGGGAGGATGTGCAAAGGTGATGTGCAAATACTATGTCATTTTATATCAGGGACTTGAGTATCCTTTGTTACCCTCAGGAGATCCTGAAACCAGTCCCCCATGGATACTGAGGGCTGACTGTATAGTCCTATCCTCACGGAACTTTCATTCTAATGGGGGAAGACTGACTATAAACAAAATATATGTAATAGGTGGTGGTAAGTACCGTGGAGAAGTAACAAACGGGGCAAAGTGAGTTATACAGCTCCATTCTTAGAAACCTTGGAGTACTTTTCTTAGTTTATACTCGTGGTGGTTTCCTTTTGTCTCCTTTATTACATGGGACTCTGACATGTGCCCATAGCTAGGGTGACAGTAGGATCTACCCGATAGTAGGGTGGCAGTAGGATCTACCCAAAAAGCATCCTGCTGATACAGGACCAAAGCATCCTGTTGTTCTCGAGCCTATAAAAAGAGCTAATGGTGTTGCTTCTCTTAACTGTGGCCTCCTACACTGTGTTTTGGATGATTGGTGATGTCTTGGATATTCTGTTTCTTTGGAACTTTGAATATACAACACTTTACTAGGGAATTAGCAATGGAAGCAGAGCAAAGATGTACAGAGGAAACAATGCGTAACTCTGATGGAATTGAAGTCATGAGGCAGCAGAGAGCTTAAATTACAGCTTTAAAAATTTTTATTTTTTAGAGGGAATTTACTTGGGAGTAACAGCAGTAATAGTTAACGGAGCCAGAATGCTTGAGTCATATAATTGCAAAGCAGAGTTGGGAGCAACAGATGCTAAAGAGTAGTTGCTGTAGTTCCTCTTTGGGTCGTAGGAGCAGTTGTCATATTACTATATAGCTACTGCATGAAGAAGAGTTCTTAGTGAGGCCTGGGTGAACAGCTCTTCTTAGTATTCTGTGTGACCCCATTTGACCTTTTAACAAATCCCTAAGTAAATAAATAGCCCCTCAGGAAAACTAAGTTTTTCTCTGCTGTTTTTTTGCTTGAGAGAGCTATAACTGTAATAGACTTATATTTCTGAACATTTTAGTGCTTGCCAATATTTGGTAATATTTATGTTTCCTATATTTGTAATGAACATTCTTCTTCCGGTACATTTTTTGTTAAATTATTGTTTGATGGATAAAAGTTCACCTTTTATTGTATAAAATTGACTGAGATTAATTTATACACATTGACAATGGGTAAATAGAATTTTTCAGATTATTAAAAGCTGAAGGATGCCCACGTAAGCAAAAAAAAAAAAGAAAAAACCAACAAAAATAAACCCAAACCCCTCAAACAATTTCGAACACGAAACATTCTTCTGATGCCGGCATCCCTGCTTGCAGGTGTGAAGGGGGCAGGAATCAGCGAGGTGTCCTGGGCTGAGTCCCCGGAGTGGGAAGAGGTGGCAGGAAGGGGATCTGAGGAGGAGAACAGGGGTCCTGGTGGTCTGTGCTTCTTCCCAGACATGGGAGCTGTAGAGGAGACCTCTGCAGCAGATGCTAGGGGGGCCAGTAGGCCCAGGCAGTCTTGGGACTTGGGTCTGTCCTGCTGTGCATCCATAGTGGGTGCTTTAGAAACGGGAGGCCCACCCGAAGCCCCTGTTGCAAGTGAGGACAAAGTGTGGGAAGGCCGTGAGGGTCTGCAGTCCGAGATGGCCTTGTCCTCAACGTGCAGTGCAGTGTTGATGCGGGGCCTAGAGGCCTGGGATCTGGGGGAGCCACCCCTGGGGGCAAGTGTCTGCCCTGGTGCTGTACCTGCCTTCTTCTCACAGCGGGTGTGACCCGAAGAGACAGCCTGAGGTCCGTCCTCACTCACTGTGTTTGAGGAACTGTGGGCCAGCTGGCAGTGGGATGAGGCTGGCCCCCTCCTCCGCTTTAGTTGCGGGAGGCCTTCCGTAGAGCTGTGGGAGCTGGAGCTGGCATTTCCTTGGAGGCAGGATCTGGTCCGGGAGGTCTGGGATCTCTGGTTATATCTCACTTCTGACCTCTGGACACGTGCTGCAGCTGTGGCTGAGGCCAAGAAATGTGAGGGGCTTCCATCCACTGCATTGAGTAGTGACCCCGACGTGGGGTTCAATGTGGAGGGGGGAGGGGCTGCTGCTGCAGCTGCAGGAGCCGAGGTGCCAGGCCTTGTTCTTCTCATGCCGGCATCGCTGCTTGCAGCTGTGAAGGGCGCGGGAATCAGCGAGGTGACCTGGGCTGAGTCCCGTGAGTGGTAAGAGGTGGCAGGAAGGGGATCTGAGGAGGAGAACAGGGGTCCTGGTGGTCTGTGCTTCTTCCCAGACACGGGAGCTGTAGAGGGGACCTCTGCAGCAGATGCTAGGGGGGCCAGTAGGCCCAGGCAGTCTTGGGACTTGGGTCTGTGCTGCTGTGCATCCATAGTGGGTGCTTTAGAAACGGGAGGCCCACCCGAAGCCCCTGTTGCAAGTGAGGACAAAGTGTGGGAAGGCCGTGAGGGTCTGCAGTCCGAGATGGCCTTGTCCTCAACGTGCAGTGCAGTGTTGATGCGGGGCCTAGAGGCCTGGGATCTGGGGGAGCCACCCCTGGGGGCGAGTGTCTGCCCTGGTGCTGTACCTGCCTTGTTTTCACAGCGGTGACCCGAAGAGACAGCCTGAGGTCCGTCCTCACTCACTGTGTTTGGGGAACTGTGGGCCAGCTGGCAGTGGGATGAGGCTGGCCCCCTCCTCCGCTTTAGTTCCTGGAGGCCTTCCGTAGAGCTGTGGGAGCTGGAGCTGGAGCTGGAGCTGGCATTTCGTTTGAGGCAGGATCTGGTCCGGGAGGTCTGGGATCTCTGGTTATATCTCACTTCTGACCTCTGGGCACGTGCTGCAGCTGTGGCTGAGGCCAAGAAATGTGAGGGGCCTCCATCCACTGCATTGAGTAGTGACCCCGACGTGGGGTTCAATGTGGAGGGGGGAGGGGCTGCTGCGGCAGCTGCAGGAGCCGACCTTGTTCTTCTCATGCCGGCATCCCTGCTTGCAGCTGTGAAGGTGGCAGGAATCAGCGAGGTGACCTGGGCTGAGTCCCGGGAGTGGGAAGAGGTGGCAGGAAGGGGATCTGAGGAGGAGAACAGGGGTCCTGGTGGTCTGTGCTTCTTCCCAGACACGGGAGCTGTAGAGGGGACCTCTGCAGCAGATGCTAGGGGGGCCACTAGGCCCAGGCAGTCTTGGGACTTGGGTCTGTCCTGCTGTGCGTCCATAGTGGGTGCTTTAGAAACGGGAGGCCCACCCGAAGCCCCTGTTGCAAATGAGGACAAAGTGTGGGAAGGTCGTGAGGGTCTGCAGTCCGAGATGGCCTTGTCCTCAACGTGCAGTGCAGTGTTGATGTGGGGCCTAGAGGCCTGGGATCTGGGGGAGCCACCCCTGGGGGCAAGTGTCTGCCCTGGTGCTGTACCTGCCTTGTTTTCACAGCGGTGACCCGAAGAGACAGCCTGAGGTCCATCCTCACTCACTGTGTTTGAGGAACTGTGGGCCAGCTGGCAGTGGGATGAGGCTGGCCCCCTCCTCCGCTTTAGTTGCGGGAGGCCTTCCGTAGAGCTGTGGGAGCTGGAGCTGGCATTTCGTTTGAGGCACGATCTGGTCCGGGAGGTCTGGGATCTCTGGTTATATCTCACTTCTGACCTCTGGACACGTGCTGCAGCTGTGGCTGAGGCCAAGAAATGTGAGGGGCCTCCATCCACTGCATTGAGTAGTGACCCCGACGTGGGGTTCAATGTGGAGGGGGGAGGGGCTGCTGCGGCAGCTGCAGGAGCCGACCTTGTTCTTCTCATGCCGGCATCCCTGCTTGCAGCTGTCAAGGGGACAGGAATCATCGAGGTGACCTGGGCTGAGTCCCGGGAGTGGGAAGAGTTGGCCGGAAGGGGATCTGAGTTGGAGAACAGGGGTCCTGGTGGTCTGTGCTTTTTCCCAGACACGGGAGCTGTAGCGGGGACCTCTGCTGCAGATGCTAGGGGGGCCACTAGGCCCAGGCAGTCTTGGGACTTGGGTCTGTCCTGCTGTGCATCCATAGTGGGTGCTTTAGAAACGGGAGGCCCACCCGAAGCCCCTGTTGCAAGTGAGGACAAAGTGTGGGAAGGCCGTGAGGGTCTGCAGTCCGAGATGGCCTTGTCCTCAACGTGCAGTGCACTGTTGATGCGCTGGAATGCCTTCTCTTTTTCCAGGTGCAGGTCTTCAGCCGTGACCCGGTACCCCAGCTCTAAGCGATGTGGCAGCATCAAAGGCTCCCCTCGCCTGCGTGGCAGCAGGGGAATCTTGCGTCTACGGGGCCTAGAGTCCTGGGATGTGGGGGAGCCACCCGTTGGGGCGATTGTCTGCCCTGGTGCTGTATCTGCCCCCTTTTCACACCGTGTGTGACCCGAAGAGACAGCCTGAGGCCTGTCCTCACTCACTGTCTTTGAGTAACTGAGGGTCAGCTGGCAGCGGGATGAGGCTGGCCCCCTCCTCTGCTTTAGCCCCGGCAAGCCTCCCGTGGAGCTGTAGGAGCTGGAGATGGCATTTCGTTTGGTGCTCGAGCTCGTCCAGGATGTCTGGGATGTGTGGTTATATCTGATTTCTGAGCTCTGGGCGTGGAGGTCTGTCTGCAGAGGCCCGGGCCTGGGCACAAAGGGAGAGGGGCCTCCATTGTCCCGCAGGGGCCAAAATGCAGACCGTGCATCCCCGGTGACCTCGGGGACCGTTCTCTGATCATCAGGATTTTCTTGGACTCTGGGGTCCTTGTCCTGCTCAGGCATCCCTGCCCCGCTCTCCTTGAGGGCCCTCAACACTATCTTCCCTGGACACAAGTCTGGGGACAGCCGGGTGTTGTGGACCCCAAAGGGGTGACTACCTGCTCCTGGGCCCCACAGAGTCCTTGTGCTCAGTGTAGTGGCTGGGCTGGGGGATGCCCTGGAACTCGGAGCACACAGCACTGGCTTACTGTGGTACCTGTGCAGTGAAATTGAAGACGGAATCACCAGGATGGAACACAGGTCTTGCAGGATCACGGAAAACCTTCTTAGAGTTGTCTTGACACCAGTGATGTCGAGTGTCCGGGTGTTTGTAGGATGGCCTGCCACTCAGTCCAGGGGCAGGAGCAACGGGGAGATCCCACAAGCAAAGTGAACTGGGGGATGGGCTGAAGGGGCTCCAGGCAACTGAGCCCTACTCGCAGGTCCTCGGCCTTGGCCCAAACAGGAATGAGGGGCACAGAGTGCCCGGGTAACCGCTCCTGGGAGCAGTGGGGAACTGTCGGATACTTGAACTCTCAAGAGCTGGGCTCTGAGCGTCCTCGTCCAGCTGCCAACTTGGCCAAAGGCTAAGCCAGCAGATTGTTCTGTTGCCGGGCAACGCGACTTCTAAACCTGAGGGAGTGGGCATGTGAGCACATAATGGCACCAGTGACAGAGCGACCATAATGGATGAATAAGCACAGCCAGGTACCCGCGCAAGGCACCTGCTGGCAATGGCAGGAGGCGGACGTGGGGGGTCGTGCAGTAGGTACTGGAGGGAGAGACGTGGGCACAAAGGTCGCGGGAGGAACAGGTGCCCACAATGGCTGCATATTTGCCCGTGGATCACTGAAGATTCCTGCTCTCCTGCTGAGGTGGAGACTGCAGTGAGCTGAGATCGCACCATTGCACTCCAGCCTGGGCAACGAGTGCAAAACTCAGTCTCCAGATAAAAAAAAGAAAAAGAAAAAAAAGAGGCCGGGTGTGGTGGCTTATGCCTATGATCCTAGCACTTTGGGAGGTCGGGGTGGACGGATCACGAGATCAGGAGTTGGAGGCCAGCCTGGCCAACATAGTGAAAGCCCGTCTCTAGTAAAAATACAAAATTTAGTCAGACATGGTGGGCAGGAGAGAGCATGTGCAGGGGAACATCCATTTATAAAACCATCAGACCTCATGAGACTTATTCACTACCATGAGAACAGCATGGGGGAAACTGCCTCCATGATTCAGTTATCTCCACCTGGCCCCACCCTTGACACATGGGAATTGTTACAATTCAAGATGAGATTTGGGTGCGGACAGAGCCAAACCATATAATTCTTCCCCGGCCCCTCCCAAATCTCATGTCCTCATATTTCAAAAGCAATCATGCCTTCCCCTAAGTCCCCCAAACTCTTATTTCAGCATTAACTCAAAATTCCATAGTCCAAAGTCTCATCTGAGACAAGGCAAGTCCCTTCCACCTATGAGCCTGTAAAATCAAAAGCAAGTTAGTTATTTTCTAGATACACAGGGATACAGGCATTGGGTAAATACACTCGTTTCAAATGGGAGAAATTGGCCAAAGCGAAAGAGCTACAGGCCCCATGCAAGTCCAAAACCCAGCAGGCAAATCTTAAAGCTCCAAAATGACCTCCTTTGACTCCATGTGTCACATCTAGGTGATGCAAGAAGTGGGTTCCCAGGGTCTTGGGCAGCCCCGCCCCTGTGGCTTTGCAGGGTACAGCCCCCCTTCTGGCTGCATTGAGTGTCTGCAGCTTTTCCAGGCACACAGTGCAAGCTGTCAGTGGATCTACCATTCTGGGGTCTGGAGGATGGTGGCCCTTTTCTCACAGCTCTGCTTGGCAGTACCCCAGTGGGGACTCTGTGTGGGAGCTCCAACCCCATATTTCCCTTTGACACTGCCCTAGCAGAGGTTATCCATGAGGGCCCCCCCCTCCCCTCCCCCCCACAGCAAACTTTTGCCTGGATTTCCAGGCATTTTCATACATCTTCTGAAATGTAGGCGGAGGTTCATGAACGTTAATTCTTGACTTCGGTGCATCTGCAGGCTTAACACCACCTAGAACCTGAAAGGCTTGGAACTTGCACCCTCTGAAGCCATGGCCTGAGGTGTACCTTGGCCCCTTTTACCTATGGCAGGAGCAGCTGGGATGCAGGGCCCCAAGTTCCTAGGCTGCACACAGCAGGGGGTTCTGGACCCACAAAACCATTTTTCCTTCTAAGCCTCCTGGCCTGCGATGGGAGGGTCTGCTGTGAGGGTCTCTAACATGCCCTGGAGACATTTGCCCCATTGTCTTGGTGATTAACATTTGGCTCCTCATTACTTATGCAAATTTCTACAACCCAGTCTCCTGAGAAAATAGATTTTTCTTTTCTGTTGCATCATCAGGCTACAAATTTTCTGAAATTTTATGCTCTGCTTCTTCTCGAATGCTTTGCTGCTTAGAAATTTCTTCTGTCAGATACCTTAAATCATCTCTCTCAAGTTCAAAGTTCCACAGATCTCTAGGCCCAGAAAAAAAAAATTAGCCTGGCATGGTGGCATGTGCCTGTAGTCCCAGCTACTCAGGAGTCTGAGGTGGGAGGATTGCTTGAGCCTGGGAAGTCCAGGCTGCAGTGAGTCAAGACTGCACCACTGCACTCCAGCGTAGGCAACAGAGCGAGTCTGTCTCATAAACAAATAAAAAATAAAATAAAAGACCCCACTGTGTTGTTGCCTATAACAATTCACTTTAAGGCTGGGTGCAGTGGCTCATGCCTGTAATCTCAACACTTAGGGTGGCAGAGGTGGGAGGACAGCTTGAGCCCAGGAGTTTGAGATCTGCCTGGGCAACATAGTGAGACCCCGTTACCCACAAAAAGGAAAAGGAAAAAACAAGAATTGACTTTAAATATAGTCACAGATAGATTAAAAAGAAAATAATCTAAAAGATGTAACATGAAAAAACTAATAAAGGCCTAAAAAATACTATCAAGGATAAAGAGGGATATTTCTGTTTTTTAGAGACAAAGTTTTACTCTGTCACCCAGGCCACAGTACAGTGGCACAATCATAGCTCATTGCAACCTATACTCCTGAGCTCAAGCGATTCTCCTGCCTCTGCCTCCCAGGTAGCTGGGACTACAGATGCATGCTACCACACCCTGTTTGTTTTAAAAATTTTTTGTAGAAATGGAGTCTAGCTATGTTGCAAAGGCTAGTCTCAAACTCCTCGCCTTGTGCACTCCTCCCACCTCAGCCTCCCAAAGTGCTGGGATTATAGGTGTGAACCACCATGCCTGCTTGGGATATTTAATATATTCTCTGGAATATGAAAGACCAAAGGGCAAAAAAATAGCTAAGACACACTCTTGAAGAGAAAGAACAAGACTATTCTGCAGGAAAATATGAAAATAAGCTCAACTGCCAGGCGCGGTGGCTCACACCTGTAATCCCAGCACTTTGGGAGGCTGAGGTGGGTGGATCACCTGAGGTTGGGAGTCCGAGACCAGCCTGACCAACATGGAGAAACCCCATCTCTACTAAAAATACAAAATTAGCTGGGCGTGGTGGCACATGCCTGTAATCCCAGCTACTCGGGAGGCTGAGGCAGGAGAATCACTTGAACCTGGGAGGCGGAGGTTGTGGTGAGCCGAGATCGTGCCATTGCACTCCAGCCTGGGCAACAAGAGTGAAACTCCCGTCTCAAAAAAAAAAAAAGAAAGAAAAAAAGAAGAAGAAAATAAGCTTAACATTATTAGTAATTACACTGACAAAAATTAAAATTTGGGCAATACCAAGTTAGTGAGGAAGCAAATCAATAGAAACGCATCTAGGCCAATGGGAATGTAAATCAGTGCAACCACTTGGGAAAAAGCTTTGCATTATCTAGTGGAGTTGAACACCCGCAAAGTTCTATGACTCTGCAATTCTTTACTTTGTTATGTATCCTAGAGAAACACACATGAGCACTGGAAAATATGTACAAGAATGTTCATAGGGCATTATTTGAATTTGCAACACTCTGAAAACGACCCACGAGGTTAATCAACAGTAAAATAAGTTATTATATATTCATAAAATAATACACTATTTACCAATGAAAACAAGTGAACTACAACTGTGTAGTACATATAAATATGGATGAATCTCAAAAACATCGTGGAGTAAAACCAGCCAATTACAAGAAGAATCATGCAGTATGCTTCTTATTTGAACTTCAAGAATAGACAAAGCTAAATATGTTTAAGGATGTATATGTAGTTGGTAAAACCACAAAGAGAAGCAGGGGAATAATTAACCCAAACTGAGCATCACATTTACCTCTGGATTGGAGGGACAGGGATATAATCAGAATTAGGGGGTGGTTGGCATGCAGAGTTGTTTTTTGTTTTTTGATTTTTTTTTTTTTGAGACAGAGTCACGCTCTGTCGCCCAGGAGTGCAATGGCGCCATCTTGGCTCACTGCAACTTCCGCCTCCCAGGTTCAAGCCATTCTCCTGCCTCAGCCTCCCTAATAGCTGGGACTACAGGCGTGTGTCACCAGGCCCGGTTAAATTTTTCTGTTTTTTAACAGAGATGGGGTTTCACCATGTTGCCCAGGCTGGTCTCGAACTCTTGAGCTCAGACAATCTGCCCACATCGGCCTCCCAAAGTGCTGAGATTACAGGCGTGAGTCACTGCACCCGGCCGCAGGGGTCTTTTAAGGCATTGATAATGTCCAATTTCTTGACTTTACTAGGAGGTTCATAGGTTGCTTTTTATTCATTCTTTAAAGCATACATAAAAATTTTAGGTAATCATTTGGAGACATACTGGTTTGCAGTTTTTTTAAGAGGCAAAGGAAGAGTAAAAATCCAAAAAGGAGTTGGCTGGGAGCAGTGGCTCATGCCTGTAATCCAAGTACTTTGGGAGGCTGAAGCAGAAGGATCATTTGGAGCCAGGAGTTTGAGACCAGCCTGGGCAACAAAGCAAGACCCCATCTCTACAAAAAAAAACTTTAAAAAATTAGTCGGGCATGGTGACACATGCTTGTAGTCCTAGCTACTTGGGAGGCTGAGGTGGGAGGATCACTTGAGCCCAGGAATTTGAGGCTACAGTCAGCTAGGATTGTACCACTGCACTTGCTCCAGCCTGGGTGACAGAGCCGAGACCCAGTCTCTTAACAAAAAAACACTAAAGGCCAGGTGTGGCGGCTCACACCTGTAATCCCAGCACTTTGGGAGGCTGAGGCAGGAGGATCACTTGAGGTCAGGAGTTCAAGACCAGCCTGGCCAACATGGTGAAACCCCGTCTCTACTAAAAGTACAAAAAATTAGCCAGGCATGGTGGGGAGGTACCTGTAATCCCAGCTACTTGGGAGGCTGAGGCAGGAGAATCGCTTGAACCCGGGAGGCGGAGGTTGCAGTGAGCCGAGATCACGCCACTGCACTCCAGCCTGGGTGACAGAGTGAGACTCCATCTCAAAAACAACAACAACAAAACACTAAAACTAATAATAATAATAGTATAAAAGGGAGTTGATCGATTCCAGAGTAAGTTCTAAATAAGACTAGACTGCATCCTAGCTTATCCTTCCAAGAATTAAGTAGAATGTCCCCATTGTTCTCAATAATTTATTATACACTAAGCCCAAATAAGAAAGAAAAATGAGGTAACTACTGCTATCAAAATACCTTCAAGGCAATAAAATTAGATAGAAGTATTCATTTTGTTTTATTTTTGTTTTTACCACTATACAAATGAGCAGGAAGCATTCATTTTAAAATCTGTATGTGTTCATATTCATTTCTAAAAAAAAAACTCTTACTAATTACATAGTGAAAACACAAATTTCTTCTTGCAATTAAACATTTCTAAAGAGTTTGATGGGTAAAAAAAAATTAAGTTTAAAGATTCATAGAAAAGAAATATTTCTTCATAAAATTTTAGAACAGATATTTTTCTGAAAGCTTCCAGCACAGGAAAAAAAAAAATTTTGTTTGCAGTAAAAGGATTGACAAGCAGAAAGGCATGGAACTTCTCGACAGCACATTAGGAACCAGTAGAAATGTAGCAGTGCCTCTACAATTTAGAATTAAAATGACTTCCAACCTATAATTCTACACCTAGCTAAACTATCAAATAAGTGTGAGAATACAGGAAAAACATATATCTAGATAGATCTATATGTCTGTATATGCATTATATGCAACTAAAAGTGTGTATTTCTTATGCAGTCTTTCCCAGGGAACTCCGATGAAGTGTTCCAACAAAATGAGCGAGTGAACCAAGAAGAGGATGACATTAGATCCAGGAGATACAACAGAGGAGATAATCTCCAGGATGCCTGTGAAGAAAGATCCCTGGATCCCAGGATGATTATAGGACAAGTTGTTCATAATCCAGCAGGCCAGAAGACTTCCAGGGAAACTCATTTCAAGATGAAAATGGACCAGCCGCAGTGGCTCACGCCTGTAATACCAGCACTTTGGGAGGCTGAGGCAGGCGGATCACTTGAGGTCAGGAGTTTGAAACTAGCCTGGCCAACGTGGCAAAACTCCATCTCTATTAAAAATACAAAAATTAGCCAGGCATAGTGGTGCATGCCTGTAGTCCCAGCTACTTGGGATGCTGAGGCAGGAAGAATTGCTTGAACCTGGGAGGCAGAGTCTGCAGTGAGCCGAGATCATGCCACTGCACTCCAGCCTGGGTGACAGAGCCAGACTCCGTCTCAAAAAAAAAAGAAAAAGAAAAAAAAAATGATGACTCTTTCAAGAAATGAAAATGATGAGATATCTGGTAGGTCTGAATGACTTAAGAGGAGATTTAAACATTTGGGATAAGTTGAAGATGAGCTGGTGTTCGTCTTCATTTATTTCATTTAAATAAATAAAATTATTAATACATGAATTTTATCTCAAGAAACAAAAATAAGCAATGTACATAAAAATTAAGCAGATGGCTGGCCGGGCGCGGTGGCTCACGCCTGTAATCAGAGCACTTTGGGAGGCTGAGGCGGGTGGATCACAAGGTCAGGAGATGGAGACCATCCTGGCTAACACGGTGAAACCCCGTCTCTACTAAAAAAATAAATAAAAAATAAATTAGCCGGGCGTGATGGCAGGTGCCTGTAGTCCCAGCTACTCGGGAGGCTGAGGCAGGAGAATGGCATGAACCCAGGAGGCGGAGGTTGCAGTGAGTGAGATCACGCCATTGCACTCCAGCCTGGGCGACAAAGTGAGACTCCATCTCAAAAAAAAAAAAAAAAAAAAAAAAAAAAAAATTAAGCAGATGGCTATAATTTTTTTAAAAATAGAAAAGTGTTGATGAGAAATGGGAAACCTCATACATTGTTGGTCAAACTGTATGCTTCCATTTAGAGGAAATAGTCAGAACAAATAAATCCATAGACACCAATTAGGTTGGTGTATCCCAGGGGCTGGGCATGGAGTGGGGTGGAGAGAGAAGGAGGGCCTGCTTAGTGGATACAGAGTTTTCTTTGGGGGCGATGAAAGTGTTTTGGAACTAGATAGAGGGGGTGGTTGCACAACATTGTTGTTGGTGGGAATTTAAAATGGTGCAAGCACTGTGGAAAAAACAGTTTAGCATTTCCTCAAAAAGTTAAAACAGGCCAGGCGCTGTGGCTCACGCTTGTAATTCCAGCACTTTGGGAGGCCAAGCCAGGTGGATCACTTGAGGTCAGGAGTTTGAGACCAGCCTAGCCAACATGGTGAAACCCTAAAAATACAAAAAATTAGCCGGGCATGGTGGCAGACACCTGTAATCCCAGCTACTCAGGAGACTGAGGCAGGAAAATTGCTTGAACCTGGGAGGCGGAGGTTGCAGTGAGCTGAGATCGCACCGCTGCACTCCAGCCTGAGCGACAGAGTGAGACTCTGTGTGAGAAAAAAAAAAAAAAAGTAAAAACATAGAATTACTATACAGCTAGCAATATCGTTGTTAGGTATATGCCCCAGAGACTTGAATACAGTTACATGCTCCATCAGATACCTGTACCCAAATGTTCCTATCGGTATTACTCATGGTAGCCAAAAGGTAGAAACAACCCAAATATCTACAAATAGATGAATGGATAAATAAAATGCAGTGTATCCATATGGAATATTACTTGGTCTCAAAAGGAAGGAAGTACTTATGCAAGCTACAACATGGATAAACTTCAAAACAATATGCCAAGTGAAAGAATCCAAATGCAAAAGGTCAAACGGTATGCTTCCATTTAGAGGAAATAGTCAGAACAAATAAATCCATAGACACCAATTAGGTTGGTGTATCCCAGGGGCTGGGCATGGAGTGGGGTGGAGAGAGGAGGGGGGCCTGCTTGATGGATACAGAGTTTTCTTTGGGGGCGATGAAAGTGTTTTGGAACTAGATAGAGGGGGTGGTTGCACAACATTGTGAATGTACTATAATAAATGCCACAGAATTGTGTACTCTAAAATGGTTTAATTGCTGTGCATGGTGGCTCACGCCTATAATCCCAGCACTTTGGGAAGCCAGGATGGGAAGACTGCTTGAGCCTAGAAGTCTGAGAGCAGCCTGGGCAACATAGAGAGACCCTGTCTCTTAAAAAAAAAAAAAAAAAAATTAGCTGGGTGTGAAGACATGTGCCTGTAGTCCCAGCTACTTGGGAGGCTGAGCGAGGAAGATTGCTTGAGCCAGAGAGGTCAAGGCTGCAGTGAGCCATGATTGCACCACTGCACTCCAACCTGGGCAAGAGAGAGAACCTGTCACAAAAAATAATAAATAAATAAATAAAATGGTTACTACCTGAATTTTACCTCAGGAAAAAAAAATAAGCTAACATACCAACAGGACAGTTATTACTTCCTAAAAAAATAAAAGGATATACAGGAAGGGAAAAATAAATAAAAATTTACCACAAGCTTCAGCTCCACATAGCATTTGTATAGTCATGATAATGTAAACATGTAATGTGAATATATGAATCTAGCCAAAACTATGCCATAACTATAAAGAGGGGAAGGCTAGTACAGGAAGGGGGTCATGGAGCAAAGGGATGAAAGACATGAAGACTCATCCTTCATAGCCTGAATCCGAGGAGTGGATAAAGACTCAATCTAAAGATAAAATAAGGCAGGAAATGAGGAAAAAGAAAAAAACTGTTGAAGTGCATCCAAAGTTGCAGATGGTTAACATTCATTCCACTCACTTGGGAAAACATCTGGTGTGATCGTCTAATGGGTCATCACCTTCCTGCCATTTCTCTAAACACCCTCCACAGGAAAAGCACTGGACGATGTCCTTTATACCTAAAAGTAAGGAAACTTGATCAGTGCCACTGGCATGGGCATCTGTCCATTAACATGCAGATAATAACCACCAGACCTGTAATAGTGAAAGCCTATTCAGTCTCCAGTTGGGTTTTGTGACAGTCAGAAGTTGGTTACCAGTGAGGCAATTTTCTATATAAGACTCTGTCCACCAATGGGGTAACTGGCAAGTAGTCATTGAATGCTCCTACACACCATGCACTTTGATGCACACCATCCCTCTGCCCCATTCTCCTTTGATCA
The DNA here is from genome assembly GCF_000001405.40 of Homo sapiens. NCBI lineage: Eukaryota > Metazoa > Chordata > Mammalia > Primates > Hominidae > Homo > Homo sapiens. Next base: position 70,478,217 of record NC_000005.10, on the reverse strand, counting down.
ACAAACAGATTGGCAACCAGAATCTGGAATTGAAGCTCCATGAGGGGGCTGGGCGCAGTGGCTCATGCCTGTAATCCCAGCACTTTGGGAGGCCAAGGCCAGCGGATCTCCTGAGGTCAGGAGTCTGAGACCAGCCTGGCCAACACGGTGAAACCCTGTCTCTACTAAAAATACAAAAATTAGCTGGGCATGGTGGCACATGCCTGTAATGCCAGCTACTCAGGAGGCTGAGGCACAAGAATCGCTTGAACCCAGGAGACGGAGGTTGCAGTGAACCAAGATAACGCCATTGCACTCCAGCCTGGGCAACAAGAGTGAAACTCTGTCTCAAAAAATAAAAATAAAAATAAGCTCTATGAGGGTAGAGGTTTTTGCTCACTAATGAATGACATGAACCTAGAAAAGTGCTTGACACTCATGTGGCACTCAATTAGTATTCGTTTAATGAATGAATCAGAAAGAATATATTTAGAGCTCACGGAAAAAAAAATACCAGCAAATCTAGCAGCCCTTATGTAAGTGAATGCATGAAGAATTAATTGCCTCTTACCACATTATTGCCATGTTTATTACACCAGAAATAGGATTAAGTCTCTTTGTGAAATTATATTTCTTTGGAAAGAAATTGGTATTTAGCTCTGCAAAAGGATCAAACTAGAAACAGAGCATTTCTCATCTTCCTTCCACTCTGGGAAAGCTGGGGCAGAGGAAAGCCTCCCAGAAATATGAGATCCTAGAGCTTGCAAGATCTGAAAACAGTCAGAGATGATTAGGATTTGTGTGGAGTGGTGGAGGATTGGAAAGGAAGAGGGGGAGCACACTGGTCAGAGGGGTCTTGCGGAAGGCTGACAAGAGGAAGACACAGTAGAGTAGGGAGAAATGGCAAACACTCTTTCCAAAGGCTTAAGATTGTGAGGCAGTCAGATTTTTTTTTTCCAATGGCACATGTCTGTTAGGTAGAGTGACAACTATATTCTGCTTCTCTGTGTTGCTCTATGGTATTTGTGACAACTACTTGATCTCTCAGTTAAAGATCTGCATTAACCTCCACTGTAACTTATGCATGTGTTCGGTTTGAGCAAGACCAGCAAGGTACCTAGGAACCTTTCCCTGATCATCTTGTATTTCAGGCAGAGATTTAGCTGACAGGAACCAGCCCATCATTTATAGATTGCAGAGGTGCTTCCTAATGACCAGCAGCTAAAGAGAAAATGCCACAATCTGGTGGAAGGCTCTACGTGTTTAGGAATCATGAAAATTAATTTCCTGATTTTCTCCTGCAGGCAGAATGTGGCAAAGATTGCTATCCATGTTCCTATTATCTCAAATCCTTCCATACTAATAGAAATCCCAATATTTAGCTGGGCACATTGTCACCCAGGAAAAAGATTAGGTTTCCCAGCTCCTCTTACAGCTAGGTATGGTCATCTGACTAATAATAATAATAATAATAATTATTATTATTATTATTATTATTATTATTATTTTTGAGACAGAGTTTCACTCTTGTTGCCCAGGCTGGAGTGCAATAGCATGATCTTGACTCCCCGCAACCTCCACGTCCCAGGTTCAAGCGATTCTCCTGCCTCAGCCTCCCAAGTAGCTGGGATTACAGGCACCCGCCACCATGCCTGGCTAATTCTTTGTATTTTTAGTAGAGACAGAGTTTCACCATATTGGCCAGGCTGGTCTCAAACTCCTGACCTCAGGTGATCCACCCACCTCGGCCTCCCAAAGTGCTGGGATTACAGGCGTGAGCCACCATGCCCGGCCCATCCAACTAAGTTCTGATTAAAGAAATATAAGCAGAAGTGTCCTGTGACAGTTTCTAGGAGCACTTTGTCAGGGGACAAGAGGTGAGGAGAGTAATGTGTAGAAAGAAAAGACATGATAATTATCACAAATAGAATACTTGTATTCATTGTTAGTCCAGACCTTAAGGTTTCAAATTTGAAGGTTTACCACCTAAGGGAGGAATAGAAAACTGGGAGAGGATTTATGATGCAGGAAAGAAAAGAGATGTATGCCAGGTGCAGTGGCTCACACCTGTAATCCCAGCATTTTGGGAGGCCAAGGCAGGAGGATTACTTGAGCCCAGGAGGTTGAGGCTGCAGTGAGCCATGATCTCGCCACTGCCCTCCAGCCTGGATGACCATGTCTCAAAAAAAATAGAAAGAAAAGAAAACGAATCTATAAGAAATGCTGAAGAGAGGCCTGGCGCGATGGCTCACACCTGTAATCCCAGCATTTGGGAGGCCAAGGCGGGCAGATCACGAGATCAGGAGATCAAGAGCATTCTGACTAGCATGGTGAAACCCTGTCTCTACTAAAAATACAAAAAAGTAGCTGGGCGTGGTGGCAGGCGCCTGTGGTTCCAGCTACTCCAGAGGCTGAGGAAGGAGAATCTCTTGAACCCGGGAGGTGGAGGTTGCAGTGAGCCAAGATCTGCATTCCAGCCTGGGCAACTCTGTCTCCAAGGGGGAAAAAAAAAGAAAAGAAAAAGAAACGCTGAAGCTAGTGGACATTGCTGAGTGTAGCTAAACGTAAGCCCAGGAGCATAAAGTCTATGTGGGAATTAAAGGTCAAGCAAGCAAGTGGGCACAACCTACTGACTCACCTGTGTAGAAAAGACCTGCTTTGGCCAGTGCTGCAACTCCCACAGCTGATTCCCGGGGCCAGTCCTTAAAAGAGTCCAGCCGTAGTTCTTCGTAAGCAAAGATGCTGTCATTGCAATAAGCTTGAATAAAAAGCACAAGGTGAGACCAGCAGGCTTTAGTCTTTTTTTTTTCTATATCTTTATTGCTGCTGCACAAATTAAAGAGACCAGTAGGCTTTGATATTGCAAGTATCAGCGTTCAAGTTGTCCCTTCACAGTTACAGATGGAATGATGTCTAGAGTTTGCTTCAAAATAAACGGGGCGGGGCGGGGGGGACGACAAAAAGAGATAGGGACAAAAAATCAAAAGAAGAAATAAACAAGCAAAGCCTTTGGAAAATGTTTGAGTTTTTACCTGATGCCATAGGTAATTCTCTCTGGACCCAGGAATTCACAAAATGTTCTCCCTGAGGGAAATTAAAATTCAAGTTGTTGATTATCTGACTTTTTTTTTTTTTTTTTTTTTGAGGCAGAGTCTCACTCTGTTGCCCAGGCTGAAGTGCAGTGGCAGGTTCTCGTCTCACTGCAACCTCCGCCTCCTGGGTTCAAGTGATTCTCCTGCCTCAGCCTCCCGAGTAGTACAGGCATGTGCCACCACACCCGGCTAATTTTTTTTTTTTTTGTATTTTTAGTAGAGACAGACACGATGTTGGAGGTCTTTTTTTTTTTTTTTTTTTTTTTTTTTGAGACAGAGTCTCGCTCTGTCGTCCAGGCTGGAGCACAGTGGCACGACCTTGGCTCACTACAAGCTCTGCCTCCCAGGTTCACGCCATTCTCCTGCCTCAGCCTCCCGAGTAGCTGGGACCACAGGCGCCTGCCACCATGCCGGGCTAATTTTTTTTTTTTTTGTATTTTTAGTAGAGATGGGGTTTCACCATGTTAGCCAGGATGGTCTCTATCTCCTGACCTCATCATCCGTCCGTCTCGGCCTCCCAAAGTGCTGGGATTACAGACGTGAGCCACTGCACCCGGCCCATGTTGGAGGTCTTGAGGCTGGTCTCGAACACCTGATCTCAAGTGATCTGCCCAGCTCGGCCTCCCAAAGGGCTGGGATTACAGGCATGAGCTACTGCGCCCAGCCTGATTGTTTGACTTATGAAGTATATACCTATCTATGAACAAGAACTGAAGGAACTTTACCCCAGAATGAAGAGTTTCACTGGATGGAACGGCAGAGTCGGAGGAGAATTATTCCTTTAATTTTTATTTCTGTTGATGTTGCAATTGTTTTTATGCAGTGCAAGCAAACATACACACACACACACACACACACACACACACACACACACACGCATGCAAGCTGTGAATGTTTATGCATACTCAGGAGGAAGCCTTCTCAGGGTCACTGTTTCCGGAAACTGACCTTGAAAACAGACCTGCATTTAAATATCACAGATGTACTTTGACGAATGAGGAAGTAAGAGACATAGAATGGTAACTAAATTCATCAGGGTATTATATATTGAGCAACTGATTCTTCTGGGAAAGCTGCACCCAGTTTCTTTTTGAGGAAACACCTCTCTTCCCCCACTGTCAGGCCATGTTCTCTATAGAGTTCTGGTCTCCTGAGTCATGTTAATCAATAAATTCTCATTTTTGTTTAAGCCAGTTTGGATTCGATTTCCCATCACTCTCCACTAGGAAATTTTTACTGATTCAGGATAGTTAGCCAGCTAGGAAGAGCCAGCTCTGCAGCCCACTGTGGGTGACAGCGCCTAGGTCAGGAGATCTTAGCAAGCCTGCAGATAGGGGCAGCAGAGGGAAGCTGGGGCAAGTGGCTTCATTCATAAAGGGGAAGACTATCAGGAAGGCAAGCAGAGCCCGTCAGAAGCCAGCCCTGGAAAAAGAAAAAGGCTCTAGGTCAGCAAGTGAATGTGATATTTTTCACTTTGAAGATGGGAGCCAGGGGAATGAAAGGAGAAAGGAAGAAAGAAATCAAACCCATGACATAAAAAGAATGCCTATGCCCTTCTGAGTCAGACACTTACAGGTAATCCAAAAACTTGAGAAAAAAATTGCTGTTATACATTACCGTTATGTCAACAAATCCCTTGTAGCTTTGAATATACTGGGTAATTTCCTCTGAGGATTTCTTACTCCGAAGAAATTCACATCTGTAATTAATAAATATAATTAAAATTTACCCCAGTACTGTGATAGAGCTGTCCTATATCACAATGAACATTTATAAAGACGTATTGAATTGTTGAATTTTATTATACTTCAATAAAATTGCCAAAAAATTTACCACAAAACTTAGGAGAATTACCATTATTCTCATATAATTATTTGTTATTTCTATTAGTGACAACATGTGTAGTTATTTAAAATTAAATCTTCAGGTTAACTTTTTTCTTGAAATAAAACATGCAATACAATCAAAGAGACTGATTTACAGTAAATATAGGATGGAGCTTTTGTTTTTTGGAATTAAGCAGTGGTGACTAAATCTAGTCGCTAGGGTTATATGAAAGCTACTGGCAGTAAAGAGAACTATATTTAAAATAATAGGCCAGACGCAGTGGCTCACATCCAGGAGTTCAAGACTAGCCTGGGCAACATGGCAAAACCCCATCTCCACAAAAAATACAAAAATTAGCCGGGCATGGTGCCACACCTCTGTAGTCCCAGCTACTCAGGAGGCTGAAGGGGGAGGATCACCTGAGCCCGGGGAGGTAGAGGCTGCACTGAGCCATGATCAGGCTGCTACACTCCAGCCTGGGCAACAGACTGAGACCCAGTCTCAAAAGTAAATACAAAAAATCTTTTTAAGATAACAATATATTTATCTACTGAACAAAAAATTACCATGCATTAAAAAGTAATGGCTATTAGGCCAGGCGTGATGGCTCACGCCTGGAATCCCAGCACTTTGGGAGGCCGAGACAGGTGGATCACGAGGTCAGGAGTTCGAGACCAGCCTGGCCAAGATGGTGAAACCCTGTCTCTACTAAAAGTACAAAAATTAGCTGGGTGTGGTGGCGGGCGCCTGTAATCCCAGCTACTTGGGAGGCTGAGGCAGGAGAATCGCTTGAACCTGGGAGGTGGAGGTTGCAGTGAGCTGAAATCATGCCACTGCACTCTAGCCTGGGCAACAGAGCAAGACTCAATCTCAAAAAAAACCAAAAACAAAAAAAGTAACGGATGTTAATGGATAATTTTTGATTTTTTTAAAAAAGAGCACACTGAATACCATTTAAAAACATATTCCTTTCCCATAAAAGAGAAGCAGTTTTAAAATTAACTTTTAAAATTTCCTCCAATTCAGCTGGGCATGGGGGATCATGCCTGTAATCCCAGCACTTTTGGAGGCTGAGGCGGGTGGATCACTTGAGGCCTGGAGTTTGAGACCAGCCTGGTCAACATGGTGAAACCCCATCTCTACTGAAAATACAAAAATTAGCCAGGCATGGTGGCGGGTGCCTGTAATCCCAGCTGCTTGGGAGGCTGAGGCGGGAGGATCACTTGAACCTGGGAAGCAGAGTTTGCAGTGAGTCATGATTGTACCACTACACTCCAGCCTGGGCAACAGAGAGAGACTCTGTCTCAAAAAAAATAAAAATAAAAATAAAAATCCCTCCAATTCAAATTTAAGTTTTCTTTCTATGGTGCTGTAGCAAAGAATGGGCTGGGAACCCAAAGGCTGGAGCATTAGTACCCGCTCTTCCACCAGTGGGGATGTGACCAACCTTGCCATGTTCTCTTATAATCACAGGAGAACATGGATGCCATCAGATGATCTGCATATTTCCCCAGGGCCATGATTCTATGTGATAGGCAGCCAGGGTCCCCAGTTTTCAGGTGTATAAATGTTTCCAAGGATTGCCGTAAGTCTGCACATAACCTACATGGCACACAATGCACGGGGTGGTTCCCTGTCCTCATGATTTATATGGATTGAGGAGGAACTCAGTACCTTAAAAAGTTACCATAAAATCATCTTACATTTATGGAGTGCCACATTTTAAAAAGTGTAAGGGTATACTCATTTTGTTGACAGTTGATAAAAAGAAGCAACAAATTGAAGTCCAGAAAGCTAAAGACAGAGTAACCCAACAAGAAACTTGGGGATTCTTGCTCTAATTCCAGCTCTTAGATTTTATTGACTGACCATGTGCTTATGACGACAAACAAATGAAAGGCAAAACAGTTGGTCATCTGTCATCCTCACATTATACATGGTAATTTTTACAAAGCATTTGATCCATATACTTTGTTTCTCATCCTTACAACCACCAGACAAGCTGTACATTATTATCTGCTGTGGAAGTCGCAGATACCAAGATGAAATCACTTTTATCAGACCCACACAAAATAGGGCTGGGAAGGCACGAAGGAGTGGGGTTCAGGCTTTCATGTCCAAGACAGGAACGGTTCCAAAGACTTTCTAAGAATCCCATAAGAAATCCCTTCACGCCTGTCACGCATCTCCTGCTTTGCATTGCTTGCATGTACGCACATATTTCTATGGCAAGGTTTATCACTGCACATTCTTTTGGACTGCAGCAATTCAGATAAGATAACATGAGATGAGATGCTGTCAAAAGAACACCTGCCCAGGAACAGCATCTCCACCAATGAACACACAAGAACTCTGGCTTTGAGCCTTCAGAACCAAGGAATTCTCTTCTGCCCTCTCTCCTCTCCCCTCTCCCCCGTCCCCTGTCTTCTCTCTCCTCTCCCCTCTCCCCTCTCTCCTCTCTCTCTAAAGAAACTGGAGCCTCATCACATTGCCCAGGCTGGTCTCAAACTCCTGGCCTCCAAAGACCCTCCCGCCTCAGCCTCCCACATAGCTGTGATTACACGTATGAGCTACCATGCCCAGCTATGAACTCTGTTTCTAAGCAGCTTATGTGAACTTCTCCCTTTTGCCAAGAAAAATTCCCTTTACTCTTCCCTCACTGCACGTGCCTGTGGTTTACAGTAGTGCATTCCAAATCATAACCCTCTTTTCTTATTCCTGAATAAATTTGACATATTTGGGGATATCTGTCTCTAATTTTTTTGTTGTTGTTGACACTGCATTTTACATATGAGATTCAGACAAGGTCAGTCACCTGCCTAGGGTCTGGTAGTCAGGTAGCAGCAGATTCAAGCCTGGCTCTATCTCCTAAGCCTCTGCACTACCCCCTGCCCTTGTTTGCTGGCCTGAACTCCTTCCTCTCTAGGAGTGGTTGCTGGACTGCTGTCTCCCCTCCCTGTGCTTATTACCTTACCCTCTGACTATGTTAGAGAAGGCATATGAAGGCCCCTGCAGACAGGATGTGCGGCTCTAGTAGGTGCTAGTCACATGATAATGTGATCATGTGTGAGTGGTGCCACTGGTACTTGTCCAGTGTATAACCCAGCGACACTAAACACAGTGACCCTGAGGCTAAGTGAAGCCTGAGCTGAGGCTAGAGCTGAGACAGGTGCCCACGAGCAGCGGCTTGTGCTCCAGCCGGGGCTGCTGTTCCCTGTTACATATGCATATATGGTGCACTGTCAGCATGGACAAGGACTGCCTGGGTGGCTGTTTTGATTCGTCAGGGAGCCAGAGTGACTGTCAAATGATTTCTCAATTCTAGCTTCATTCGTCCCTATAACCATCTCATCTACTTGTCTAACTTTCTCTCTCTCCTCTTCCTGCCTTTCTCCTCTCCTCCCTTGTTTACTTCCTCCCTCCTAATCTCCTCACTTTCTTTTCAACTATGAAAGTAATATATACTTGTTTCCAAAAATTTAAACAAGACAGCAATGAACAAAATAAATGTGAAAATCCATCACTACTTCACCCCCTGACAAATCCAGATCCAGAAGTATCTACAGTTTGGTTTACATATTTTCATAAGGTTTTCTATATATTTTCAAGCAACTCCATATATAGTTTGAGTGGTTTTAAACATTTTCAAAGTCTCACACTGCACTTATTGTGCATATTGCTTTCCCACACAACGTATCAAAACATACCAAAGATATCCATTCACTTTTTTTTTCTTTTGAGATGGAGTCTCACTCTGTTGCCCAGGCTGCTGTGCAGTGGAGTGATCTTGGCTCACTGCAACCTCCGCCTCCCAGGTTCAAGCAATTTCTTGCCTCAGCCTCCCGAGTAGCTGGAACCATAGGCACGCACCACCACGCTCGGCTCATTTTTGTATTTTTAGTAGAGATGGGGTTTCACCATGTTGGCCAGGGAAGAGGGGAGATAGGAGAGGAGAGAGGAGAGAGGGAAGAGGGGAGAGGAGAGTTCATCACTTGAATGAACTCCTGGCCTCAAGTGATTTGCCCGCCTTGGCCTCCCAAAGTGCTGGGATCACAGGTGTGAGCCACTGTGCCCAGCCTTTTTTTTTTTTTTTTTTTGAGATGGAGTCTCGCTGTGTTGACCAGGCTGGAGTGCAGTGGTGCGATCTCAGCTCACTGCAACCTCTGCCTCCCGGGCTCAAGCAATTCTCCTGCCTCAGCCTCCCAAGTAGCTGGGATTACAGGCGCCTGCCACCACGCCTGGCCAATTTTTGTATTTTTAATAGAGACAGGGTTTTACCATGTTAGCCAGGCTGGTCTTGAACTACTGACATCAAATGATCCGCCTACCTTAGCCTCCCAAAGTGCTGGGATTACAGGCATGAGCCACCATGCCGGGCCTCCATTCACTTTTGTGGGCATGGCTGTCCATGTGCAAGATGACTTATAAATGTAAATAACTGTGTCCAGTTTTGTAGTTAATTTAGTATCCAACCAACAACTTTGCATGTAGTAGGTGTGTGACAAATATTTGTTAAAGAAAATAGAATCTGAGGCTGGGCACGGTGGCTCATGCCTATAATCCCAGCACTTTGGGAGGCCGAGGCAGGTGGACTGCCTGAAGTCAGGAGTTCGAGACCAGCCTCGCAAATATGGAGAAACCCCGTCTCTACTAAAAATACAAAAACTAGTCAGGTGTGGCAGTGCGCACCTATAATCCCAGACCTGGGTGGGGTGAGGCAGGAGAATCGCTTGAACCCAGGAGGCAGAGGTTGCAGTGAGCCAAGATTGCACCACTGCACTCAAGCCTGGGCAACAGAGTGAGACTGTCACAAAAAAAAAAAGAAAGAAAGAAAATAGAATCTGAGCCTGACCAAACTGCTAGATCCAAGTGTCAGGTTCCTGGAAATGCAGAAGGTAGAGGAACATGTTAGACTATGCCAGAGGAACACATTCTGCCAAATCTAGAGTAGAGGGAATTTTACAGGACAGATTACATGGCTTCTTTAACAAATAAGTGACAAGAAAAAAGAGATGGATAAAGAGGAAATCTACGAATTAAAAATCTTAAGGGGCTGAGCACAGTGGCTCATGCCTGTAATCCCAGCACTTTGGGAGGCTGAGGTGGGAGGATCACTTGAGTCCAGGAGTTTGTAGAACCAGGAGTTCCAGACCAGCCTGGGCAACAAAGTGAAACCTTGTCGCTATAAAAGATATGAAAATTAGCTGGGCATGGTGGTAGGCACCTGTGGTCCCAGCTACTCAGGACGCTGAGGTGGGAGGATTGCTTGAGTCTGAGAGGTGGAGGTTGCAGTGAGCTGAGATTGCACCACTAAACTCCAGTCTGGGCTCCAGTCTGGGCAACAGAGCAAAACTCACTCTCAAAAAAAAAAAAAAAAAAAAAGAAAGAAAACAACAAATCTTGGTCAGGCACAGGTGGCTCATGCTTGTAATCCTAGCACTTTGGGAATCCAAGGTGGATCACTTGAGGCCAGGAATTTCAGACCAGCCTGGGCAACATGATGAAACCGCATCTCTACTAAAATTACAAAAATTAGCCAGATGTGGTGGCACATGCCTGTAGTCCCAGCTACTCGGGGAGCAGAGGCAGAAGGATCACTTGAGCCCAAGAATTCAAGGTTACAGTGAGCCACAATTATGCCACTCACTGTACATTTCATGAAATCTCTTTCCTCAACAGCATCCCCATTCAGATGTCACATCCATTCCGATAATATATCAGGGAGAGATGATAACAATTATGCAATTATATTGCATAATTGAATTATATTGAAATATAATCCATCGGGAGCAGTGGCTCATGCCTGTAATCTCAGCACTTTAGGAGGCCGAGGTGGGTGGATCACCTGAGGTCAGGAGTTTGAGACCAGCCTGGCCAACATGGCAAAACCCCATCTCTACTAAAAATACAAAAAAAAAAAAAAAAAAAAATTAGTCAGGTGTGGTGGCACGTGCTTGTAGTCCCAGCTAGTTGGGGCTGGCTGTGGTGGCTTACACCTATAATCCCAGCACTTTGGGGGGCTGAGGCCAGGAGTTCAAGACTAGCCTTGCCAACATGGTGAAACCCCATCTCTACTAATAATACAAAAAAAATAGCTGGGCATGGTGGCGCATGCCTATAATCTCAGCTACTCGGGAGGCTGAGGCAGGAGAATTGCTTGAACCCACGAGGCAGAGGTTGCAGTGAGCCGAGATCGCACCACTGCACTCCAGCCTAGGCGACAAGAGTGAAACTCCATCTCAAAAAAAGAGAAAGAAATATAATTCACACATCATAAAATTCACCCATTTAAAATGAACAACTGAGGGTGCGGTGACTCATACCTATAACCCCAATGCTCTTGAGGCCAAGGCGGGAGGATTGCTTGAGACCAGGAGTTGAGATCAGCCTGGGCAACATAGCTAGACCCTGTCTCTAAAAAACTTTTTTTTAAAGAAAACGAAAACTTAGCAGGGCATGGTGGCATGTGCCTGTAGTCCTAACTACGTGGGAGGCTGAGGTGGAAGGATCTCTTGAGCCCAGGAATATGAAGCTGCGGGGAGCTATGATTGCAGTACTGTACTCCAGCCTGGACAACAGAGTGAGGCTCTGTCTCTAAAAAAAGTAAATAAAATGTACAGTTCAATAAATATCAGCATATTCATAAACATGCACAACCACCACCACAATCAATTTTAGAACATTTTCATCCCCCCAGAAAGAAACGCTGTGCCCATTAGCAGTTGCTTTCCATGTCCCCCATTACCCTCCTAGCCCTAGGCAACTACTATGTTACTTTCTGTCTCTATAGATTTGCCTACTGGGGACATTTCATATAAATTGAATCATACAGTACGTGGTCCTTTGTGTCTGGTTGCTTTCACTTTGCAAAATGTTCATGTTGGTAGAGGTGCTTAAAAAATAAAATAAAAAGAACAACAAAAAAAGGAAGCGAAATTCATCCATGTTGTATTGTTTTAGTACTTCATATTCCTTTTCATTGTCAAATAATATTTCATTATGTGGATATACCACACTTTATTATCACATATACCATATTTTATTCCTCAACCCAGTTGATGGATGTGTGGATTGTTTACGCTTTTTGGCTATTATAAATAATACCGCTGTGCACATTAGTGTGCAAGTTTTTATATGGACATTTTTCACTTTTTTTTTTTCTTGAGACAGGGTCTTGCTCTGTCACCTAGGCTGGAGTGCAGTGGCTTGATCACCATCCATTGCAGCCTCAACCTCAAGGGCTGAAGCGATCCTCCCACCTCAGCTTCCCAAGCAGCTCGTACTACAGGAGCACACCACCATTTTTTATAGAGACAAGCGTGTTGGGGGTGTTGGTGGGGGGGGTCTCACTATGTTGCCAAGTTGGTCTCAAACCCCTGGGCTCAAGTGATCCTCCCACCTCAGCCTCCTAAAGTGCTGGGATTACAGGCCTGAGCCACCACACCTGGCCCATTTTTCACTCTTAAACTTACAGTTGTATTGTCATACTAAACTAAGTTAATTGCTGTTTAATTTTTTATTAGCAGGTATAACAATACATTATGCACCATGGTCCAACAATGACAATAAAGTTTTTCACCACTCCGGGCATTTTATCCACACCAATGTAAATGTCCTTGGGTCCCATAGCACCAAGAGACTCTGCCACCCTTTTCTTTACATCACACTGCTTTAAAGTGACTGTAGATTCTGCTTTTGCATCATCCTAAAGGTTTATTTGTTTAATTCATCAAGACTAGGATACATTAGAATCTTGACTGGGCACAGTGGCTCACACCTGTAATCCCAGCACTTTGGGAGGCTAAGGTGGGAGGATTGCTTGAGCCCAGGAATTTGAAACCAGTCTGGGCAACAAAGTGAGATGGAGTCTTGCTCTGTTCACCCAGGCTGGAGTGCAGTGGCACAATTTTGACTCACCGCAACCTCTGCTTCCCAGGTTCAAGCAATTCTCCTGGCTTAGCCTCCTGAGTAGCTGGGATTACAGGCATGTGCCACCATGCCCGGCTAATTTTTTTATTTTTAGTAGAGACAGGGTTTCACCATGTTGGCCAGGCTGGTCTCGAACTCCTGACCTCAGGTGATCCACCCGCCTCGGCCTCCCAATGTGCTAGGATTACAGGTGTGAGCCACCATGCCCAGCCCTTTCCTTTTTTTTTTTTTTTTTTTAATAGGAGACAAGGGCTCACTCTGTTGCCAAGGCTGTAGTACAAGTGCAGTGGCATGATTCTAGCTCACTGTAGCCTCAGATTCCTGGGCTTAAGCAATCCTCTTGCCTCAGCCTCTCAAAGTGCTGGGATTACAGGTGTAAGCCAGGACACCCGGCCTCCTTTCTTTTGAATGATATTAATCTGTTCATCATTCAGCACAATTTGGAGCAAAGGAACTAGTAAGTCTTCAACAGGCTTTCACTTCATCCTGCTCCCCCAGTAGTAGGGTCATACAAAAAGTCTACGAAGGTAGAGGCCCTCTTATCACAGCAACAATCATCACTTAAGTCAAAGACATAAAATTAAGGGATACCTTAGTTTCATCACAGAACCAGTCCAAATGTGTTTGTTTGCATTCTCAACATTTCAGTAACCTCTAGGGAGTATTTCTTCTAACAATTATGGGTGGAATTGGGCAGTTCCCCTTTACAAGATATGTTTTATGTACTGCCACCTTTGTGCAGCTCAACCGATTTGGAATTTGCCCAGCTAACCACATTCCGGCAAAAGCTGCAGCTAATTGAAGATCTTCAACGAATTCAGCTAATTAAGACCAAACACACCCTTTCATTTGAAGGTACATTTGACAGTACCTAATACAAGGAAAAGAGCTCCTTTGTCATTCATGTATATCCAACCCAGCAGTGGTTCTGCAGGAAGCTCTGTCAGTCCACAGGCAACTTCACTCTTGTGTAGTTCCCTGTTTCAGTTGTCTCTTGATGCCCTCCCACTGTAGTTTCGTTGGTGATTATCTACCCGATGAGGGTCACATTCCCATCAGAAGAAATATCTGCCCAACTCCTCTTTGGCATCATGTTCCTTCCCTTTACAGAAGGAAATTGGTGGACTTGGCAACACAGGCTCTTTTTTAGTTACTTTCATTTTTGCCAAAGCAGCCTAACCAGCCAGGGAACTGTATTCTTGGCTGACTTCCTCTGTGTCTGGATTTCTTTTTAAATCTATTTAGCGATTTCCTCTTGCTCTGCATCAACCACCTTCAAGTTCCATTGTCATCCCTTTCTTCCCATTGAGAGTTGTAGCACTTCAGCAAATTCAAACAGGGATTCCCCAGCAACTAGCCTGGCACCAGTGGCTCTAAATCTTTCCCCACTTTTCATCTTTCTCCCAAACAAAGCCTTAGCTATCATTTAAATTATAAAGTAAAAAACTGGGGGGCCAGGCGCAGTGGCTCACACCTGTAATCCCAGAACTTCGGGAGGCTGGGACGGGCGGATCACTTGAGTTCAGGAGTTCAAGACCAGCCTGGCCAACATGGCGAAACCCCATCTCTACTAAAAATACAAACAAATTAGCCGGGCGTGGTGGTGCATGCCTGTAATCCCAGCTACTCGGGTGGCTGAGGCACAAGAACTGTTTGAACCCAGGAGGCAGAGGTTTCAGGCTTCAGTGCCACTGCACTACAGCCTGGGCAACAGTGTGAGACCCTGTCTCGAAAAAAAAAAAGAAAAAAAAAAAACCTGGGGCCAGGCGCAGTTGCTCACACCTGTAATCCCACCACTTTGGGAGGCCAAGGCAGGCAAATCACTTGAGCCCAGGAGTTCGAGACCAGCCTGGGCAACATGGTAAGACTCCAGCTCTACAAAATAATTTTTTTAAAAGTTAGGCAGCCGTGATGGTGTGCGCCTATAGACCCAGCTACTCGGGAGGCTGAGGTGGGAGGATCTCTTGAGCCCAGGAGGTTGAGGCTATAGTGAGCTGTGATCAAGATACTGCACTCAACTTGGGTGACAGACTGAGAGAGACCCTGTCTCAAAAACAAAAAAAAAGTAATGATCCTATTCACAGTACCCTCTTCATCAATTACACAGGTTTGGATCATTGAAAAGACTTAGAAGACTCCGCATAGTATCCTCACATAAGGCTTTAATAAAGGTAAAGGATAGATACAAAAAAAAAAAAAACCCAACAAACCAAAAGGCAAGTGAAACACCACACCCAGTTCCTAGGGTCCTTTTGCAGCCACAGAGGATGTGGAAGATGTGCTTCATCTTTAAGCAATGAACCAGCTAGATGATACATGCAAGACACCTTGGTCTCAAGAGAACTGTAACCTCATCTGAGGCTCTTTTATACTCCTCTGATCAGGTAGCCAACACTAGCTTGCATACCAGGGCTCAAAACCAGAAACAAGCTGGTATAGTCAAGCTGGGGCAGTGACATGCACCTGTAATCCCAGCTACTTGGGAGGCTGAAGTGGGAGGATCACTTGAGCCCAGAAGTTCAAAGCCAATGAGATTTCATCTCCAAAAAGAAAGAAAGAAGCAAGAAACAGGCTGCTCCCTGGTCTGTCTCCCACCCCAGCACAGGACTCTATTAATCACTGGCTAGTACATTTCATTTAGGTTTGGCCAAGGAACAGCACCAAGGCTTCAGGCCTCCCCAGAGATAAATGAGTACAGAGTTGCAGCAGACCAGCAGACATTGATCCTGTCTGACACAACGAAGTTTGGTGGTCAATCATGCCAGTCTAGAGGCTGTTTCTGGGGGAGGAGAAGTAATTTCCAAGGCCCTTTCCAGGTCTAATATTCTTTGACTACAGTGCTAAGAGTGCCATTGAGGCAACTGTGCCATGGAGCTAGGATTTAAACCCAAGTCTGTGTGACTCCAGTGTCTGTCCTCTTTCCTCCATACCATCCTGCCTCCAAAGAGAGAAACAATAGCAAGACAAAGAAGGGACCATAGGTTTAGGTGTGGAAGAAAAGCACCTTTGCCAGGGATAGTAATTTACTTACCTGAGGTTTATCCACAGTTCTAGTCTAATAGAGGAGAATGCTGGCCAGTGGAAGGAAAGTATGTGGCTGAAGAACAAATGCTCTGTCCGTCCTTTAGTAGGAAGCAGTGAGAAAATATTTAAGGAACTAAAATGCAAAAAAAAAATCGCGCAGTCAGAGACTTTACCAGTAAATGCTCTAAGGTCTTGAGTCAACAGGATTTAATCAGGACCCAAAAGGAGTAATGAAACCTACAGAGTCTCACACCAGAAGTATTTTATTCTAGTTTTTTTGTTTCTGTTGTTTTTGAGACAGTGTCTCACTCTGTCGCCCAGGCTGGAGTACAGTGGCACGATCCTAGCTCACTGCAGCCTCAAGCTTCCAGGCTGAAGCGATCCTCCCATCTCGACCTCCCAAAGTGCTAGGATTATAGGCATGAACCACCACATCCGGCCTTTATTCTAGTTTGTTAAGATTGGTTAATAGTTAAGGTGCTAGTGTCTTATTTCTGTTATAGTAACAGTTTCTATCTTTCTGGTAGCTTTTAGGATCTTTTCTCCTAAGTGTAGACCTCTCTACATTCATTGGGCTGGGTATTCAATGGGCATTTTCAATCTGAGCTCTTGGGTCTCCCATCAAGCCTGGGAAATTACCTTCTATTATTTATTTGATAACTTCCTACTGTCTGTTACTCTCTTTTTACTCTTTTGGTATTCCCACTATTCAGGTGAGTAATTAATTGATCACTTATTTTTTTTTCATATATTCTTTTCCTACTTTCTAAGGGTCTCGCTCTGTCATCCAGGCTGGAGTGCAATGGCACAATCACAGCTCACTGCAGCCACCACCTCCTGGACTCAAGTGATCCTCCCACCTAGCCTCCCAAGTTTTGGGACTACAGACGTGTGCTACCATGCACAGCTGATTTTATATTTTATTTTGTGTAGAGATGGGGGTCTCACCTTGTTGCCCAGGCTGGTCTCAAACTCCCGGGCTCAAGTGATCTGCCGGCCTCAGCCTCCCAAAATGCTGGGATGACAGGTGTGAGCCACCGCACCCAGCTGTCCTCTCCTTTATATTCCGGTTCTCCAATCTAGTTTAAAATTTCAGCAATTATAATTTCCCACAGCTCTTTCTTTTCTCTGTGCCTTATTTTCATAGTGTCAATTTTTTTAACCAGTGCCATCTTCCTGAATCTGCTGTACGATACTAATGTTTAAGTTCCTGTTTCCTGAATTATGTTTCCTCAAAGGTTTTTACCACTTACCTTGGTGTTTACTTTTCATATTATCAACTTTCCTCAAATGTGTAGTGATCCTGGGTTTTCAACTCATGTTTAAAAATTAAGTCATTTAAAAACACATTGGTCAAACTAATCATTAAAAAATCAGGAGCCACAGGAGTGGGACTTGAACCTGAGCCTTTCCCTCTATGGAGAACAAGAATTACCCTAATGTCAGAATGTCAGAGAAAGATTTCAGAAAATGATTTCAAGTTACTTGGGGTTTTTTTTGTTTTGTTTTGTTTTTGGAGATGGGGTCTCACTTTGTCACCCAGACTGGAGTGCAGTGGCACAATCTCGGTTCACTGCAGCCTCTACCTCCCAGGCTCAAGTGATCCTCTCATCTCAGCCCCACAATAGCTGGGACTACAGGCATGCACCACCACACCTGGCTAATTTTTGTATTTCTAGTAGAGACAGGGTTTCGCCATGTTGCCCAAGCTGGTCTTGAACTCTTGACCTCAAGCCATTTGCCCACCTCAGTCCCCCAAAATGCTGGGATTACAGTCATGAGCCACTGGGCCTGGCCCGTTACTTGTAAAGACAAAGCTAGCAGCCGAAAACTTACTTGGAACGTTCCTTGGACATAAAATCACCATTTCTTAAAAGGATTCTTAGTTTTGGGGTGCCAGTGCCCACACTGGTTCTCTAGGTCAGCTAAGAGAAAGCAATGTGTTCAATTTTGGGGGGAGCAGGGAAGACTCCTGTAATTTTTTGCCCCAGGGTAAACACTTGTGTGTCAAATATTCTGATCATGGGGTAGAGAGAGCTGACTGTCCCGTGCACGGGCTTCCAATTAGTCCCTCAATTTTCAGCCCTTCATGTCACTCCAGCCCTCCTTCCTATCTGGCATCCTGTGTCCGCAGTTACTCCAAGCTTCTCCACAGGGCAGATAGTCTCTCATAGGAGACTCCATATTCAGGAAGCGGTTTCCTTGAGCTGCTTCCTTCCTGACTACTAGTCCATATAGTTTCTTCTTTCCAAGAATGTGTTAAAATATTCTATGTGCTACTGGTCCCATTTCTGTTCTATTTTATTTTTTTTTACCTTTAAACTCTGTTGGACTTGACATTCTTGTTTTCTTAATTTTCCTGGGTTTATACTTTTAAGAATCAGTAATATTGTGTATTTATTACCAAAAACATGAACTAAAATTTACATAGAGCCTATCAAGGAAAAACCATTTCTCTACTCACATTTCTGACATCAAATATATGGGTTTTCCACCAACCAATTCTCCAATTCTCCACAGACAGCAGCTGAGTGTCTTACAATTTTACTCAATTCTGATGCTAATTAACCAGAGTTAGTGCAGACCCCACGGGTTAGGGGCTCAGCCCCCAAGACTGCCCCCTACTTCAGATGCCAGCCACAACTATTAGGACCTCAGGGTACCCACACTTCTGTCTGAGTTCACTACAAATCATGGGTATCTGCAACCCCCTCAGGTTCGATAATTTCTTTCTTGGGGGTTGGGGGAGTTTAGGAGCAGAGGTTTAATAGGCAAAAGAAAGAAAAACGAGAACAGATCTCTCCCTTGTGAGGGGCTTCCGAAAGGAAAATCCGGCCTGCGGTGGACTGCACCAGATTTTATAGGTAGGCCTGAGGAGGCGGCGTCTGATTTGCGCAGAGCCCACAGGTTGGTTTGAACAGGTGTGACGTTTACATAGCACGCGGGGAAGGTTGGGCGCCCCACCCTAATCTTACTGTGACAAAGGGCAGAGTGACCTTGACATGCCATGTGCTTTCCAGAACAAGGGCAGAGAGTGACGCTCACTGTGGTGGGAGAGGAGACCCTCTGTTCCTAGAAAATCACAACAGCATGCCCCCGTGCTATATCCCTGGTTACTACAGCAGTCTTTGTTCTTGCCTAACAAGATTACTTCCCTGAACTGTAAAACTCCCTCAGTACTGCATACAGAGAGAGGTTAGGAGACATGGTGGTCGTGGATAGGAAATGAGGGAATTATGATAGGAAAGTTGGAGGTCCTGTTGCCGACACCCCTTAGGGTGGTCGGAGGCTGGGGTCAGTCCAGAAGCCTTCGGATGGCACCAGGAGGTAGCCCCAGCCAGAAATCCTCAGTTGCTCCAGGACCTCTTCCAGCCCCACACGACAGCTTGGTCCTCCGTGAAAGGAAACTGGTTCAAACATGGCCAATATGCCCAGCAGCCCGTGGGTATTGGGGGGTTCTCCATGTTCTCCCCAGCAAGCCTGTCCCCCAAAACTTGTAAGGCTGGCAGCCACGCTCATAATTTTTAAATGGCTAATTGGTGAAGGCAGAGTTTTCTCATTCACAGAAGCAGAAGGGGGCCCAGTATTTGGTTTGGTTTGATTCTAAAATGGAGGCCAAGAGCCTCGAAATCAAAGGACAGAGTTGAGGTCCGCCCCTTTACTCACCTTTGCAATGAATGCACCTTGGAATCCCAGACGAAGTCCCCAATATGAAGTGGCATTGTTGTCTGGGGTCAATACCCGGGGTTCGTCGTCTCGCACCAACAAGGTTAAGGACACGATACACACGAAGAGTGGGTTTAGGAGCGGAGGTTTAACACGCAAAAGAAAAAGGAGAACAGCTCTCTCCCTTGTGAGAGAGAGCGGCTTCCGAAAGGAAAATCCCAGGTTCGATCGTTTCTTATAATGGCTCACAGAACTCAGAAACTTTACTTATGTTTACTGCTTTATTATAAAGGATACAGATGAACAGGCAGTCGAAGAGGTACACAGGGCAACGTCCAGAAGGGTCCCAGGTGAGCACAGGACCTTTTGTCTTCATGCAGTTTGAGGTGCATCGCCTTCTTGGTATGTGGTTGGGGTTAACCAAACCGAAAGCTCTCCAAACCTGTGGTTTATTTTTTAATGGAGGTGCCATCACTTAGGCATGATTGGCTAAATCACTGGCAATTGGTGGTTAATCAATCGCCAGCCCTTTTACCCTCTCTGGAGGTCGAGGCGTGGGGCTGCAAATCCCAGACCTCTAATCATGCCTTAGTCTTTCAGGGGATAGCCCCCATCCTGAAGTTGTCTAAAGGATCCCAGCCACCAGTTAGCTCACTGTCATACACTCTTATCACTTGGAGATTCCAAAGGTCTTAGAAGCTCTTGTGTCAGGAACCAAGACCAAGTATTCTAATAAAAGATGTTTCTATCACCCCTGTCACTCAGGAAATTACAAGGGTTTCTGGAGATCTGTGCCAGGAACTGGATGAAGATCAAATATATATATTTATTATATCACAATATTGCAGCCTACTACTTGCCAGGCACAATTCTAAGCACTTTACATGTGTCCACTTAATTCCTTTAACAGTCCAAAATCAGCTATTGCTATATCATCTCCATATTACAGATAAGGAAACTCAAGCACATAGGGGTTAAGGTTAACCAGTGATCTGGCTAGTCTGTACTTTTACCTGATGTTGTGCTGCCATACAGACTAGATTTT
This sequence comes from Homo sapiens, assembly GCF_000001405.40. Lineage (NCBI taxonomy): Eukaryota > Metazoa > Chordata > Mammalia > Primates > Hominidae > Homo > Homo sapiens. Next base: position 70,457,655 of record NC_000005.10, on the reverse strand, counting down.
TTTTTTTTTTTTTTAGACTGAGTCTTGCTCTGTTGCCAGGCTGGAGTGCAATGGCGTGATCTCAGCTCACTGCAAACCCCGCCTCCCGGGTTCAAGTGATTCTCCTTCCTCAGCCTCCCCAGCAGCTGGGACTACAGGCACATGCCACCTCGCCCAGCTAATTTTTGTATTTTCAGTAGAGACAGGGTTTCACCATGTTGACCAGGATGGTCTCGATCTCTTGACCTCGTGATCCGCCCACTTCGGCCTCACCAAATGCTGGGATTACAGGCGTGAACCACAGCACCCAGCCAAGACTAGATTTTTAAGAAAAGGCAATCCAGATGTCCTAGAAGGTTCATTTCCTCTTTTTGGTGGTTTAGCAAATTTCTTAGTAAGGCTTCTAGCTGTTATAGCAGCATTAGTATGTGAACCACAGTTAAGCTCTAGTCCAACAAGGCCATTTCTTCAGCAGAGAAGCAATTGTTAAATAATCGACCAAGTATTCATTGGCTCCCTCTTTTTGTATCAACATACACAATTGTTACAGTGCCAGTGTTTATTGGAACCACTTTCCATGGTGCATCCAGCTGTGCCTAGACCAGCAGGTCTTTTTCCAGAAGTCCAGATGGCAGGGGAACCTCTTCACGTTGTTGACCCTTCTCCCTGTAATTTTTTCCCCAATAAACCTTTTCATTATGTTGCTGTATTTATACCCAAATACACATTACATTTATTTTAGTACCTTGTACATTTTGTTGCCCTTATAAATTGGAGGGGTTTTAAAAACTATTTTTTATTCTCAATATTCATTGATGATGTATAGGACTCCTTCTGGACTGTTTAATATATGACTGTAAATCCCCCTGAATTTTCTTAGATGTTTGTAGTATCTGATTATGACAGTTTTGTCTTTTATTTATTGCCTTGTTGCATTGATTAGGTCCTCTAATATAATGTTGCTTAATAATGAAGATAGATATCCTATCTTATTCTTGACTTTTGGTATAAATTCTTCTAAAGTTTGAGCATTAAACATGATGTTTGTTGTAGATTCTTAGTGGATACTCTTTAGCAGTTAAAGTAACTTCTCTTTTACTTCCAGTGACACTACTACCTAATTTGAAGAGAGGATTTGGAATTTTGAGTTTCAAAATAATACTGTTTTCAAACACTTTTTTAGCTAAAAAGTACACACACATAGGGCAGTGTTTTAAAGTTTAGCTACTTCAGGGCATATGTGTATACTCACTGAAGTTTTAATTTAATGGCTTATTGGTCATTCATGTATCTTCTTTGGTAAGGTAATTAAATTTTTTTCTTTTTTTTTAAAAGACAGAGTCTCGCTCTGTCGCCCAGGCTGGAGTGCAGTGGCACAATCTCAGCTCACTGCAACCTCCGCCTCCTGGGTTCAAGCGATTCCCCTGCCTCAGCCTCCCGAGTAGCTGGGATTACAGGCGCCCACCACCACGCCCAGCTAATTTTTGTATTTTTAGTAGAGACAGGGTTTCACCATGTTAGCCAGGCTGGTCTCGAACCCCTGACCTCGTGATCCACCCACCTCGGCCTCCCAAAGTGCTGAGATTACAGGTGTGAGCCACTGCACCTGGCCGTAATTAAATTCTTGACCCATTTAAAAAGTGCGTGTTTTCCTTTTTATTACTAAATTATAAGGATTCTTTATATATTTTGCATACTAGTCCTTTGTTAGATATTTACATTGCACATATATTCTCTCAGTCTGTTAACCATCTTTTCATTTTCTTAATGGTGTCTTTCAAAAAGAAGTTTTTAATTTTGATGAAGTCCAATTTTAATTTTTGTTATGATTGATAGTTTTTGTGTCCTAAGAAATCACTATCTACTCTAAAGTTGTGAAGATATTCTAAAAGTTAACATTTGTATTGTACAATATCAACTGTTAGTTGAGGATATGGAGCAACTGGAAGCTCATACATTAGTTGTGGGAATGTAAAATGGTATTAATACAATGTCTTTGGAAAAACAGTTCACTGGTGTCATGGAAAGCTAAGTATACTCTTGCCATACAATCTAGCAATTCCATTCCTACATATTTACCCAAGAAAAATGAAAACACATGAACACACAAAGATTTATACAATAATGTTCATAGCAACTTTATTCATAATAATAACCAAAAAATCAGAAACAACCCAATGTCCATTGGGGATAAACACATGGATAAACAACGTATCCATAAATGAAGTACAGGTGGTAAAAAGAAGCAAAGTATTGATATATGCAACAAATGAATAAGCTCAAAAACATTATGCTAAGCAAAAGAAGCCATACATATCATTTAATTTTTAAAAATTGTATATAACAGACAAATCTCATCTACAGTGACAGAAAACAGATCAATGTCACCGGCCGCTGGAACTCCTAGGGAGTACTCACTGCAAAGGAGCCCTTCTGGAGTGATGAAGATGTTCTCTCTCGATTGTGGTGGTCGTGGCATGGGTACAGAACACTTGTCAAAAGGCATGGAATTACTCAAGATGGGAGCATTTTTACTGTATGTTAATTATAACTCAATAAAATTGATTTTTTAAAATTCTAAGTACATATATAAATACATTAATGTTTACAGAGCATTAAGAGAAGTGAAAAAGGTCGGGCGCAGTGGCTCACGCCTGTAATCCCAGCACTTTGGGAGGCCGAGGCGGGCGGATCACGAGGTCAGGAGATCGAGACCATCCTGGCTAACACGGTGAAACCCCGTCTCTACTAAAAATACAAAAAAACAATTAGCCGGGCGTGGTGGCGGGCACCTGTAGTCCCAGCTACTTGGGAGGCTGAGGCAGGAGAATGGTGTGAACCCGGGAGGCAGAAATTGCAGTGTGAGCCGAGATCGCGCCACTGCACTCCAGCCTGGGTGACAGAGCGAGACTCTGTCTCAAAAAAAAAAAAAAACAAAACAAAAGAGAGAAGTGAAAAAATAATTCCATGTTTGAGATTTGTTTTTTTTGTTTGTTTGTTTTCAGACGGAGTCTTGCTCTGTCACCCAGGCTGGAGTGCAGTGGCGCGATCTCGGCTCACTGAAATTTCTGCCTCCCGGGTTCACGCCATTCTCCTGCCTCAGCCTCCCGAGTAGCTGGGACTACAGGCGCCCGCCACCACGCCCGGCTAATTTTTTGTATTTTTAGTAGAGACGGGGTTTCACCGTGTTAGCCAGGATGGTCTCGATCTCCTGACCTCGTGATCCGCCCGCCTCGGCCTCCCAAAGTGCTGGGATTACAGGCGTGAGCCACCGCGCCCGGCCGAGATTTGTTTGTTTATAAAGTTACCTGAATTTGTTTTTTAAGTTTAGTAGAATTCTTTTATCAGGACCTGTTTTTAAGTTACCTATGTACCTCTCTAAATGGGATTACAGGCAGTAGCTCTCACACTTCAACATTTATGGTAACCACCTGGAGGATTTGTTAAAGCGGACTGCTAGACCCATCCTCAGAGTTTCTGATTCAACAGGCCTGTGATGGGGCTCAAGAATTTGCTTTTTTTTTTTTTTTTGAGATGGAGTCTCATTCTGTTGCCCAGGCTGCAGTGCAGTGGTGCGATCTTGGCTCACAGCAACCTCCGCCTCCTGGATTCAAGTGATTCTCCTGCCTCATCCTCCTGAGTAGCTGGGATTACAGATGCCCTTCACCACGGCCGGCTAATTTTTGTATTTTTAGTAGAGACAGGGTTTCACCATGTTGGTCAAGCTGGTCTCGAACTCGTGACCTCGTGATCTACCCACCTCAGCCTCCCAAAGTGCTGGGATTACAGGCATGAGGCACCGCGCCTGGCCAAGAATTTGCATTTCTAATGACTTCTTGGGTGATGCTAATGCTACTTACTGGTCCAAACACTACATTTAGAGTCACTGACTGTAGAGATCCTTAAAAGATCCCTATTCCTCCAAAGAGTCAATTCTTAATGCTTAAAACTTGAACTAGGCTGGGTACAGTGGCTAACGTCTGTAATCCCAGCACTTTGGAAGGCCTAGGAGAGAGGATCATTTGAGGCCAGGAGTTGACACGAGCCTGGACAGCACAGCAAGAGTCCATCTCTTAAAAAAAAAATTCAGCCAGGCATGGTGGTGCACACCTGTAGTCCTAGCTACTTGAGAAGCTGAATTGGGAGGATCACTTGTGCCCAGGAATTCAAGGCTGCAGTGAGTTGATTGTGCCATTGCACTCCAGCCTGAGAGACAGAGTGATACTGCCTCAAAAAAATAAAAATTTAAATTTAAAACAGAAACACAAAAAACCTAAATTATCCCCTAAGGCTGGCCACGGTGGCTCACACCTGTAATCCCAGCACTTTGGAAGGCCAAGGTGGGTGGATCACTTGAGGTCAGGAGTTCCGAGACCAGCCTGGTCAACATGGTGTGAAACCACGTCACTACTAAAAATACAAAAATCAGCCAGGCATGGTGGCACATGACTGTAGTCCCAGCTACTCGGGAGGCTGAGGCAGGAGAATCACTTGAACCCGGGAGGCAGATGTTGCAGTGATCCAAGATCATGCCACTGCACTCTAGCCTGGTTGACAGAGCAAGACTCTGTCACAAAAACAAAAACAAAAAGTAAATAAATTACCCCCTAGGAGGAGTATATCCCAGGAAAGTGTAACACCTGAAACTTAAAAGATTATCTGCCCTGATGATAAACGATAGAAAAGAGACAGGCCAGGCCAAAGTTTGTCAACTGGTGGACTGAAGATAAGTTTTATTTAGCCTCTGTGTTTTTCTAAATTAGAGGCTAACATCTCAAACTTGGGAGAATTCACTTTAAAAATCCAGTTTTTACGGCTGGGCATGGTGGCTCACGCTTGTGATTCCAATACTTTGGAAGACTGAGGTGTGCAGATTACTTAAGCTCAGGAGTTCAAGACCAGCCTAGGCAACATAGGAAGACACTGTCTCTACAAAAAAAAACTTTTTAAAAATTAGCCAGGCACAATGGCACACACCTGTGGTCCCAGCTACTAGGGAGTCTGAAGTGGGACCATCACTTGAGTCTGGAAGGTCGAGACTGCAGTGAGCCATGATTGCACCAATGCACTCCAGCCTGGGGAACAGAGCAAGGCTTTGTCTCAAAAAAAAAAAAAAAAAAAAAAAAAAAAAAAAAAATCCAGATTTAGTTTCTCTTTAAGTATCATTCCCAGAAGAAAAAAATAGGCTGGGGCCAAATAATGGTTACCTCACTTTATTTTTACATTTTTTTGAATTAAGTAACAAAATTTAAAAAATACAAAAGGATGTACAGTGAAAAGTACATCTCCCTTCTATCCCTGATCCCCAGACTCTCAGAGGCTGCCTCCTTTAGATGGGGCGGGTGCTTTCCAGATGTCCCCACTCTGCATCAACTGGCCCTCTTTCACTTATCTGCATTGTCTGCCTGACCCCTTTAGACATCTGAGCTGCCTCCCAACCCATTTTACCACGCCTCTCCTGCATCCCCTTAACACTTGGCATGTCTGTCGTTAGCACTTTCACACAAGCTTCTTTACAAGGCTGTGTCTTTTTAGATGGGGAGATTCACAGATGCATGAGGTTAGGTTTACATCTTCTTTTGACTATCTACATCCCTGATAACTAGGATGGTGTCAGACTTATGGCAGATGTACAAGTTTGTTGAGTGAATTAATAAATTAATGAATGGGCAAATTGTGTATTGTTTCCAGGGTCCTGAGGTGTGACGCAAATAGCAATTCAGTCAGGTGAAATCAATAATTTAGATCCCATCAGGATCCCAGCCGAGTCCCCAGTCCATCTTGTAACACTTCTCCCCAGAACATACTTAAATTACCTGGAAATAATGAATCCTCTGCCCTTACAGAACTGGATCCAAAGCAGGCACTAGGGCACTCTAAGACTACTTCTCAGAAGTGTGACAACCTCCTGTACCCTTTTTCTCCTTACTACAGGGCCCAAGGACTGAAACTTCTTACCTTTTCTCCTAAACTCTGCCACCCACTAATGGCCTCAGGACTGGGATTCCACTAACCCACTCCCCAAGGGCTGATTGCACCCTTTCTTTGTCACCACTCATGAAATCATTTCATGCTATGAATTGGCCAACCGTTCTAGAGATATAGCTGAACACAAACATGACCAGAAACATGAGGAAGTTATAAAGTATTGAGAAATCCTTCTAGAAGTAGATGCAATGCCACACCACTGAGCACGAGATCTGGCTTCCTGAGCAGTTACCAAAGGACGAGATGACACAGCCCTGTGGGCAAACTAGGATCAACGGGAAATGGAAGAACTTAGGAAACTAAGTTACTTCTCCTTCCTCCCTTCAATGGACTGCTCAGAGGGGCAGTTTCTCCTTATAAACCTTCTGGAGAAGCCCCACACTCTAAGTGAACACACTTGCTGGAAGGCTCCTGTATCTCGTCACAGCTTGTCATGAAGCCTGGTCACTGCAGTAACACAATGCATCACGTTTTTCCTTGCTTTGCTTTCCCTTTTCTTCCACACTCTCACCCCCCTAGATCTGTCCCTCCCTAATAAAGTAACAATACTTTCATCTTTGCCTCAGGTTCTACTTCCTAGGGGACCTAAGTTAAGAAATTCTTGTTGTTGACCAGGCGTGGTGGCTCACGCCTGTAATCCCAGCACTTTGGGAGGCCAAGGCAGATGGATCATGAGGTCAGGAGATCGAGACCATCCTGGCTAACACAGTGAAACCCCGTCTCCAGTAAAAATACAAAAAATTAGCCAGGCGTGGTGGCAGGCACCTGCAGTCCCAGCTACTCGGGAGGCTGAGGCAGGAGAATGGCATGAACCCGGGAGGTGGAGCTTGCAGTGAGCTGAGATCGCGCCACTGCACTCCAGCCTGGGCGACAGAGCGAGACTCTGTCTCAAAAAAAAAAAAAAAAATTCTTCTTGTTGTAATTTATTGTTGTTGCAATTTTTGTTTGTTGTAATTTCTAGGGTAACCACTGAAAGAATAAAAACAAAGTATACAATTTTCAAACTAGTGACGAAAAACATAGAATGGTAGAAAGTAAGTAATCAAAAAGAAGGCAAGAAGGAAAAGATCGTATCAAATATGTAGTTAAAAAAATTTAAAAAAACGAAAGATGGAATTGTTGGAACCAATAACACAAAGATAATAGACTTAAACCCAAATATATCAGTGGTAATCTTTTAATAAATATTTATATTTATTAGATATATTTATATATTTTAATATATAATATATTAAAATATATATTATATATAAATATATATAAATATATAAATATAAATATAAATAATATATTTATAAATATAATATTTATAATAAATAAAATATATCAGTGGTAATCTTTTAATAAGTAAATATATTTATTAAATATAAAAGGTACACAGTAAATATAAATGAACTAAATGCTTTAGTTAAAAGACAATAAAAATTATGAAATAAAAATGTATACACTTGAAAGTATTTAAAATAAATCTAATTTTCATAATGAATTTTAAGCATTAAGGAGTTTTGTAACTGAATAGTGGAACTCAGAAAGACATCCTATTCAGAAGGATCTCTCATGATAATAGTTTCCTTCACTATTGTAGTATACTGTAGAGTTTCAAGAAAAAAATTAAAGGCCAAAACTGTCTTACATTACCATTGCTGTTTCTGCAATCTTCAACAAACCAAAATTTTCTCTGTAATTGTGAAAAAAGAACTCCTCCTTAAGCATAACTAAAATTTTGCCTTAACCTTATCAAATACCCAAAACTGTAGAAAGAGATAAAGCTGTTAATAGAGACATGGGTATCCCTTTTTATCAGGTCAGGAGGGTAAGTCTCTAATAGAGAGTTCTAGTAACTTCTCAAAAGGTAACTAATGAAGGCCTTCCTTCTAAACCAGATAGGGGGAGATAGAATGCTCTGAGTATTAAAGGCATCTCCTGCAAGCCACTGATACCTTTGTTGACAGAGCACACAGAAGAAAATAGCAGTTACCAGGTTACCTATAGGTGAAATTTGTTTCCACATAAAGAACCACTGGGTCCAGGCTCATGGAGTATGACTCCTGAGAGAAACTCCCGTTACTCTGATCAGTGTGTGTGTGTGTGTGTGTGTGTGTGTGTATTAAAAATGAATATTCCTGGGCTCCCAATAAACTCTCCAGGGTGGGATTACGTTGTCTTTACTGATAATGTTCTTAACTAAAAATTCTTAGTTATAAAATCACAAATTTCGGCCGGGCACGGTGGCGGAGGTGGGTGGATGACCTGAGGTCAGGAGTTGGAGATCAGCCTGATCAACAAGGTGAAACCCCGTCTCTACCAAAAATGCAAAAATTAGCCAGGCGTGGTGGCAGGCGCCTGTAGTCCCAGCTACTCAGGAGGCTGAGACAGGAGAATGGCTTGAGCCTGGGAGGCGGAGGTTGCAGTGAGCCAACAGCAGGCCACTGCACTCCAGCCTGGGCGATGGAGCAAGACTCCATCTCAAAAAAAAAAAAAAAAAATCACAAATTTCATAGTGAAACTCAAGTTAGAGTACCTGAAGTTTATATACATAAAATAGACATACCTTTGCTATGAAAGCCTGATTTACTCTTTTTTTTTTTTTTTTTTCTTGAGACAGAGTCTAGCTCTGTCGCCCAGGCTGGAGTGCAGTGGAGCGATCTCGGTTCACTGCAAGCTCCGCCTCCTGGGTTCACACCATTCTCCTGCCCCAGCCTTCCGAATAGCTGGGACTACAGGCGCCCGCCACCAGGCCCAGCTAATTTTTTGTATGTTTAGTAGAGACGGGGTTTCACCGTGTTAGCCAGGATGGTCTCGATCTCCTGACCTCGTGATCTGCCCGCCTCGGCCTCCCAAAGTGCTAGGATTACAGGCGTGAGCCACCGCGCCCGGCTGAAAGCCTGATTTACTCTTAACTGGATATAACCAGAAAGAGTTCTGCCCACAATGATATATCTGCATTGAATCTAAAACACAGACTTCATCATACATTCTCACCTAAATTTCTCTGATGACCCAGAGTAAGGCAAAAGGTTTAGCATATGAGAGTGAAAGGATTTGAATCTCACTTTCTGTCAAACTTTAGAGCTCTGTTAACCATGGTTAGTATCAACTATGATTTTAGGCAACTTTGCTTATAGTAAAAATAACTCGTTAATTGTTACGTATCTGGATTGGGATGCACTATAAATAAATGGAGTCTTCAAGCTTTAGGCTTTCCTGAGTGTAGTGACTCTTGAAATTGACACATCCCTTGTGGATACCTGGAAGCTGTGTTTATGGAATTGTTAAGAGATATTGGTTCCTTGATGCCTGTGGAGGATCTTATCTCCTTGCACCCAAATTGTACTAGTGGACTGCTACAAGGACTTCCACTGCTAATGAGGACTGCTTGATGCTGTGCTGGCAGGCTGTTGTTTCTGTTTAATATCCTTCTGAGTAAGCGGGTACCAAGTATGGCCATGGCAGTCTTGTGAGTTTGAATGTTTAATGTAAAGTGACTTCTGTTGGTCATAGCCACAAATAATTTCAGATGTACTAACTTGATAAACATATTCCAGATGTTTGGTTAAACCTAAAAAGACCTCTCTGGTGGATGTAGCAGTACATCATTTCATATGTATTAATTTCATAACTTTTTTTTTTTTTGAGAGGGAGTCTCACTCTAGGGTGGAGTGCAGTGGCACAATCTCGGCTCCCTGCAACCTCCGCCTCCTGGGTTCAAGCGATTCTCCTGCCTCAGCCTCCCAAGTAGCTGGGACTCCAGGCGTGAACCACCATGCCCGGCTAATTATTTTTTGTATTTTTAGTAGTGACGGGGTTTCACCATGTTGGCCAGGCTGGTCTCGAACTCCTGACCTCAAGTGATCTGCCCACCTCAGCCTCCCAAAGTGTTGGGATTACAGGTGTGAGCCACAGCGCCCAGCCTAATTTCATAAGTATTGATAAATTTTCATCTTACACTGAATTTACATTCAGACTTAACTTTCTTCTTACACTAAATTAATGAATTAACATAAATCATAAAGATTCTATATTTAATTATAAAAACATAAAATTATCACATCAATTTAATTCTTATAAGTTTATACATACTGCATAATGACTTTGAAAACAGTATAACTCAAAATAATAGAAAACAAAATTAATTGAATGAAGTACTACTGAATTTCAGGTATTTCTGTGACAACACAAATTTAAAATTTAATAAAATATTACCTTTTCTTAGCAAAAAGTTTCTTAAGTCAGATTATCCTTTCATGTTTTAAATGAAGCTTCTTCTAAAGAAGTCCTTTTATTCACAGTTGCAAATTTCTTTTTAACACATACAATGTATACTACATGCTGGAATCAAACACCTGAAGGAGCTGGAATCTTATGAATACAGCCAGGGCAACAGTGTAGAGAATCATGAACAAAAACATCACAGTCCACACAGAAAACATTTTGGCACACAGCACAAACATAAACCTGTAGTGAAAAGAAGAAAAGTGATAAACTAGTTTCCAAAAGTTAATTACAGCACAGCTAGATGACATTCAAGGTGTGCTTTGCTCTTTTATATCTCTACCAATTTTTTCCCACTACCTACTTTATTACTTCCAATGTACTCTATATTCTCAAATCTAAGGCAATTAATTTTTTCCCCAAAACTATCCCTTAGAAATGAGGGAATGGTTTTGTTTTTGAGTCTTTAAAGTCTATTCTATTACAGTTCGCTCTCAATTATTTCATTCTAAGGTTTAGGAAAGACATATGAGCTTCAAACCAGCGCTACTTTTGAATGCTTAGCAAGACCACCTGATTGATTCAATTAAAAAGAGAAGCATAAAAATTTAACATCGATTTAATTATTCTTAGGGAATGACCTCACAATTGCAAACATATTTCCCTTTCAAGTAAACCTTTAAAAAAATATGTCAAATGACACAGATAAGACAAGCAGAAAGGAAAAAACTACATTTGTTCTTTCAGCATTACATATATGAGTACTTGCTCCTTGGGATAGAATTTCCAGGGCAGCTTCATACACAGATTCAAAAATCACTAAATCTCAGAAGTATTTGGCTTTGAATAAAAAAAAAAAGAAAGAATGAATAAATAAATTTCAAACAACACAGACAATGACCTATTCTTAAAAACTCAAATGAGGCCGGGTGTAGTGACTCACGCCTGTAATCCCAGCACTTTGGGAGGCCAAGGCGGGTGGATTGCTTGAGCCCAGGAGTTCAAGACCAGCTGGTCAACATGGTGAAACCCAGTCTCTACTAAAAATACAAAAATTGGCTGGGCATGGTGGTGCACGCCTATAATCCCAGCTGCTTGGGAGGCTAGGCATGAGAATCACTTGAACTTGGGAGGCAGAGGTTGCAGTGAGCCAAGATTGCATCACTGCACTACAACCTGGGTGACAGAGCAAGAGTCTGTCTCAGAAAATAAAACCAAAAAACTGTCAAATGATTCAAAAAGTGGTTCCAGTTAAGAGTAAACTACTGATGTCAAAGAGGTATATAAAATTTAATAAAATTACTTTATAAATTGTGACAGTGGAAGAGCAATACTTCTAATTATTATTTTATATAATATATATAGTTTTAAATATGAACATGTAACTAAATTAAAAATTAAAGCTAGACAGTGATCCATATTATTTACATCTATACAAATTTATTTATTAAAGTTGGCCCTCTTCAAAATTTAAAAAAGTATTTTCTCATTGGCATAATGGAAGAATCACCTATTATCTGTGGCCACCTTAAACAATTTCAATGTGTTATCACACAGCTTAAAGTATAATATGAAGAAAATATTTTAAATACTTTCAGACTAAATGCAGTTTAGCTTGAAAGCTAAAGACAAATTACATGTTTTACAAGGGTGTACCAAAGTAGACAAAACAATCAAAGAATTTAAAAAAAGAGGAAAAAAATTAAAAAATTTTTAATAAAAAGTTTTAAAAAGATGAATTACAAAATACTTTATAGCAAAAATTAGAATGCAGAATAACAAAACTACTATTTAAACTATTTTGTTCCTATTTTACCTTCACCTATTGTCATTATCTTTACAAGAAATAAACTGATATGAGCCTGGTCTTTAACAACCTGTTGAAAACTTATAGTACCATTGATTTCAATATTTCTTGTACATTACTTAATATTTAGAAAGCCAAAGAACTTACATGTTGGTCTTTCAATTCCCCCTGACATCCATAACAAAATCTGAAAAAAAAGTTTAACAATGTTTTTTCTTAGAATTTACTCATTAAAATAGTTCAACAAAATCTCACTAACTAGAATCCTTTAATTAATATGTACTTGTCTTTACACATGACTTTCAGGAAAAAGAGTTAAGAATACCAATAGGCCAGGCACAGTGGCTCACGCCTATAATCCCAGCACTTTGGGAGGCCGAGGCAGGTGGATCACCTCAGGTCAGGAGTTCGTGACCAGCCTGGCCAACATGGCGAAACCCCGTCTCTACTAAAAATACAAAAATTAGCTGGGCGTGATGGCAGGCGCCTATAATCCCAGCTACTCAGGAGGCTGACGCAGGAGAATCGCTTGAACCCAGGACACGGAGGTTGCAGTGAGCCGAGATGGTGTCATTGCACTCCACACTGAGCAACGGGAGCAAAACTCTGACTCACAAAAAAAAAAAAAAAAAAAGAATAGCAATAATTTAAAAAAAAATTCCACAGTATATACAAGGTCATCTGACAGCCCAAAATTTAGTTTTTATTTTCATTAAGGTTAACTGTGAGCATGCTTTATTTTTCTTTGTTTTCGAGTCAGGGTCTTGCTTTGTCTCAAAGGCTGGAGTGCTGAGGTGCTATCACAGCTCACTGCAGCCTCAACCTCCTGGGCTCAAGTGATCCTCCTGCCTCAGCCTCCTGAGTAGCTGGGACTACAGGCATGTATCTCCATGCCTGGCTAATTTTTTATTGAGGCAGGGTCTCGCTATATTGCCCAGGCTGGTCTCGAATGCCTGGGCTCAAGCAATCCTCCTATCTTGGCTTCCCAAAGTGTTAGGATTACAGGCATGAGCCACCATGCCCAGCCAGAAGCACTTTCTAACGTTTGTTTGATAGTCACTTATTCTAATAAGTGCTACTTTGTGATTCTTCACAGTTATTGGCTATAAATCTCCAACTATGAAAGAAGAGAATTTAATTATCTTTCAATCATCTTGAACCCAGTAATGCATAAATATTTAACTAGTGTCATTCTCAATTCTTTCTACATAGTGAAGTCTTCCTTTTGGATAGAACAATAATCAATGTTTAGTTTACTATGCCTATAAAAATATTCTCAGCTAAGCCATAAGTTTTCCCCTATTTAAAACATTTTTTTTTTTCCTGGAAATACTGTGTTGCTATTCCCAAGGTTAGTTTCCTATATAATTGACACTAATTCAGGCCCAATCTTCTCCGGAATAGTCTAACTGTCCTCTCGATATGTTCAAATACATCAGGAGTTCTGCAGTTTTCATCCCCTTGGTGATCTCTCTCCTGGAGCATCCTGACTGTCTCCAAACTGGACGGTTCCCCATATGTGACACACAGGTATCATTCTGGAATTTCTCCTTACCATCATCCTAGGCCGTTCTTCAGCCTGTTTTGAATTAGATACATATTACTAGATCCCATGTCATTCTCCTTCTCAGTTCCTTTGAATCACCTACCTCTTCCAGACCTTCCCCAGAAAAATCTCTTTTTGAGACCTTACAAGTCTGAAAATGTCTTTATTCTACCTACACTTAACTGACAGTTTGGCTGGGTATCTAAGTTGGTAACAATTTTCACCACAAACTTTGAAGGTGACTGCTCCCTCTCTGCATCCGGTGTTGCTAATGAGAAGCCAAACAATTTTAATTCCAGATCCTTTGTGTGTGACCTAGTTTTTCCTCTCTGGAAATGTTTAGGGTTAATGGTTTATTGTGTATTCTGAAATTTCACAATTATGGGGTCTGCCTTCCTTCAATACGTTAGGCACTTGGCAGTCCCTTTCTTTTATCTTCGTTGCAGAGATGAGGTCTTGCTGTGTGACCCAGGCTGGCCTGGAACTCCTGGCCTCAAGTGATCCCCCAGTCTCAGCCTCCCAAAGTGCAAGGATTAGAGCTATGAGCCACCCTTCCCAGCCAACAGGCCCTTTCAATCTAGAAAGTTCTGTCCTTCAATATAAAATTTCTTTGAACTATGTCTTTGATGATTTTCTATCCTACTTTTTTTCTTTTTTTCTCGTATCATTCTCATTGGACCTTCTGGATAATTCCACCAGTATTCTTATCTTTACTCTCCTATTTGAACCTCTTTATTTTACTCCTTTTATTGTACTTTCTGGAATATTTCTTCAACTCTATCTTCTATAGTACTGGGTTTTTCATTTTTACTATATTTAACCTCAACCATAAGCAAATAAATACCAAGCTAAAACAATGAGACTTTTTTCTTTTTCTTTTGCCTGTGAGTTTTGGCCAATATAAAAAAGTTTCATAATACCTAATGTTGGCTAAATGTGCGAAAACAATAAATGAAAGTTCTTTGAAGAACAACTTTACAATATCTATCAAAATTCACAAAACATGTAAAACTCTTGACTCAGTAATTTTACCTCTAGGAATTTACCATGCATTTATACTTGTACAAATGTTCAAAAATATAGATATAAGCATTATTTGTTAATAGCAAAAAAAAAAAATCTTAAATATCCAACAGGAAGCAATTGATTATATAAACCATAATTATACCTGAAATATGCAACAATTTCAAAAACAACATTGATCTAGATATGGTGATACTGAATGACTTCTAAATGATTTAAGTGTGAAAAGCAAGATGGATACATAATTGTTTTCGGCTAGCCAGTAAGTGTTTAATGTGACTCCTAAATCCTGGATGTTCTTTTTTTTTTTGATGGAGTTTCGCTCTTGTCGCCCAGCTGGAGTGCAATGGTGTGATCTTGGCTCACTGCAACCTCCACCTCCCAGGTTCAAGGGATTCTCCTGCCTCAGCCTCCTGAGTAGCTGGGGATTACAGGCACCTCCCACCACACCCGGCTAATTTTTATATTGTTAGTAGAGATGGTGTTTCACCATGTTGACCAGGCTGGTCTCGAACTGCTGACCTCAGGTGACCCACCTGCCTCGGTCTCCCAAAGTGCTGGGATTACAGGCGTGAGCCACCGTGCCAGCCGATCCTAGATGTTCTTAAAAGTAGTAAATCTTTATTTTCTGAAAACTATTCTATAAAGGATTGACTACCTCTATTTCAGACTTTATTTGTTGTATTTCACACAAATAGCATTCGTAAAAATACTTAAAGATTTTAGATAAATTATGTTATGCCAGATTTTTTTTTTTTGAGACGAAGTTTCGCTCTTGTTACCCAGGCTGGAGTGCAGTGGTGCGATCTTGGCTCACCGCAACCTCTGCCTCTCGAGTTCAAGCGATTCTCCTGCCTCAGCCTCCCGAGTAGCTGGGATTACAGGTATGCACCACCACACTAGGCTAATTTTGTATTTTTAGTAGAGATGGGGTTTCTCCATGTCATTCAGGCTGGTGTTGAACTCCTGACCTCAGGTGATCTGCCTGCCTTGGCCTCCAAAAGTGCTGGGATTACAGGTATGAGCCACCATGTCCAGCTTTTTTTTTCTTTTTTAAGAGACAGTGTCTCACTATGTTGCCCCAGCTAGTCTTCAACTCCTGGCCTCAAGTGATCCTCCCACCTCAGCCTCCCAAAGTGCTGAATGAGCCTCTTATTTTCAGTAGTGTGCTAGGACTGGATTGTACTGGATCAAAAGGATATATTGTTAAATATGTATTCAAGAAAGCTGGTTGTTAATTGTAGCTAAAAATTGGCCATGGTGGGAGTATTCAAACCATGGAAATCAGCAAATACTACCAATCAGGGCTTTTTTTCTTTTCCTTCTGGAAAACTGATTTAGTAGTACAATCATCACCCCTATTTATACATAGGTGGGTTTAGTGAAATTATTTGGTTTCTGGAGATTCAGATCTATTTAGCAACGAGTCATTTCAATCATAACTATGGCATTCTTTATCTCATCTTCCATATTAGAAGTACTCTTGTCCAAGTTAATCAGATTATTTTTTAAGGTAGTAACAATCTATTCAAACATTAGCTTACCACTTATAACAGATATAAATTAGTCCAAACTGAAATACCTTTCTCCATTATATTCTTCTAGGGGAATTTCTTGAAAAGCATCCAAAGGAAACAAATGATGGTAAGACCGTGCCAAGTGGGGAGCAGACACCAAAGTAAGACCTAACACATTAAGCAGAGAGACATGTTGAGTAGTCCAAACCTCATGAAGACAACGGCTGAAAAGCCAAAAGATGTAACTTCAGCAGAATATGTTCAGTTTCTTTTAGGATGGCAGTTATTAATTTTACCTGTGGCTATAACAGAAGATTGTAGGATGGAGTCTTAGTTCTGTCACTAAGTGTGTAACCAACCTGTCTCGGTCTATTTGCTTACTTATATTATAAATGAAATAAAATTCGACAATTCTATTAGTTTAATTCTTCATTCTTATATATATTTACTTTATAAAGGTAAGAGATGGAAAAATGTCTACTACATCTACTGCACTGCCTTTAAAGAATATACTTTTTTCAGAAAGAGGATCAGGAAACTAGAATGCTACATTTATACATGGAAGTGGAGTACTGGGCACTCAATTTAAAAAGTAATCTATTTTTCTTTGCACAGATTAAATCCAGAAACATAGGAATAACTTAACATTTACATTAATTTTAGCAGCAATACAGATTAAGAAGTCATTCAAGATTTACTGAATAATGAATAGTTGTTTTCTTACCACAGATTTTACATTCAACAGGTAGCTCACAGTACTTTGCCCGACACTGTGGGCAGAAATAGCCTCCTAATGTAAGCCCTGGCTCAGTATTGCCATCCAAATGCCTGTAGGGGGAAAAAGGGTAATATATAATGATCTGAAAAGTTAGAGCGGGAAAGCATGCTATCTTGACCTTAAAATCTTGACACTATTTAAAAATCTATTTAAAAGTCTGTATTTTTGGCCGGGCGCAGAGGCTCACACCTGTAATCCCAGCACTTTGGGAGGCCAAGGCGGGTGGATCACCTGAGGTCAGGAGTTCAAGACCAGCCTGGCCAACACGGTGAAGCCCCATCTCTACTAAAAAATACAAAAATTAGCCAGGCGCCTGTAATCCCAGCTACTTGGGAGGCTGAAGTAGAATTGCTTGAACCCAGGAGGCAGAGGTTGCAGTGAGCTGAGATTGCACCACTGCACTCCAGCCCGGGTGCCAAGAGTGAAACTCCATCTCAAAAAAAAAACAAAAGAAGTCTATATTTAAAAAAAAATTTATAACTTATATAGAGATGGGGGTCTCTCACTATATTGCTGGTCTTGAATTCCTAGCCTCAAGTGATCCACCTGCCTTAGCTTCCCAAAGTGCTGGGATTATAGGTGTGAGCCACCATGCCTGGTCTAAAAGTCTATTTTAAAATCTGTGAGTATGTCTTATAACTAAATTATGCTACATTCATTTTTTTCCCCCTCTTCATTTTTTTTTTTTTTTTTGAGACGGCTTCTCACTCTGTTGCCCAAGCTGGAGTGCAGTGGCACAATCTCAACTCACTACAATCTCCGCCTCCCAGGTTCAAGCAATTCTCGTGCCTTGGCTTCCTGAGTAGCTGGGATTACAGGCACGTGCTACCACACCCAGCTAATTTTTGTATTTTTAGTAGAGATGGGGTTTCATCATGTTGGCCAGGCTGGTCTCAAACTCCTGGTCTCAAGTGATCTGCCTGCCTTGGCCTCCCAAAGTGCTGGGATTACAGATGTGAGCCACTACACCCAGCCCTTCTCTTCATTTTTAAAGTCTCTATTACTATCTTTGAATTCACTAATTTTTTCTTCTGCAGTGTCTAATCTGCTGTTAATCCCAGCCAATATATTTTTCATCTAAAACACTGTATTCTTCATCACTAGAAGTTTGATTTGGGTCTTTTTTATACCTTCCATATCTCTTCTTACCATTCTCATGTTCTCTAACATCCTGAACATACAGAGTACATTTATAATTGTTGTCCTAACATCTTTGTCTACTAATTCTTTTTTTTCTTTTTTGATAAGAGTCTCGCTCTGTCACCCAGGCTGTAGTGAAATGGCACGATCTCAGCTCGCTGCAACCTTTACCTCCTGGGTTCAAGTCATTCTTGTACCTCAGCCTCCCAAGTAGCTGGGATTACAGGCGTGTGCCACCAGGCCTGGCTAATTTTTGTGTTTTTAGTAGAGATGGGTTTCGCCATGTTGGCTGTGCTGATCTCGAACTCCTGGGCTCAAGTGATCTGCCCACCTGAGCCTCCCAAAGTGCTAGCATTACAGGCAGGAGCTACCGCACCCAACCCTTTGTCTATTAATTCTACCAACTGGGTTATTTCTGGGTATGTTTCCATTCTGTGATTTTTCTCCATTTTATGGGTCATATTTTCCTTTGCATCCCTGGTAATTTCTGCCAGGGACTATGAATTTTGCTTTGCCAGACATTGTGAATTTTGCTTTGTTTTGGGGGCTGGATTTTTTCTTTTTTTTTTTTTTTTGTATTCCCTCAAATATTTAAGGGTTTGTTCTGAAATATACTTCATTAACTTGGAAATAGTTTAATCTCTTCAAAATTTGCTTTTAAACTTTGGTAGGCTGGTCTAGAACAGCTGTTAGTCTAGATTTTTCTTTTCTTTTCTTTTCTTTTTGCCTCTGGTTCCAGTTCTTGTGATAGAATTAATTTGATCCCATTACTGTGGACTCTATTCAATGCCTGTCATGTTAAGAGGTATTTCCATACAGACTGGTGAGAACATGAATGTTCTCTGTGTGAGCTCTGGAAACTGTTCTGTCTGCTGCTTTCCAGTGATTTTTTCCCTGACTTCCAGTAGTCTCCTCACACAAAAGGGCTGATCAACGCTCAGCTGCTGACTCATGAGCAAGTCTATGCAGCTCCCCAGAGAGTTCTCTCTGTGCAGATCTTTCCTCTCCAGTACTCTGACCTGCAAAATTATCGCCATCTCAGCCTCCTTGAAAGATGAACTTTGTTTCTTCAACTCAACAACATCTCCAGCCTCTGTGTGCAGCCTGGAAATTCCATCCAGGCAGTAAGGTGGAGTGCTCTTAGGGCCCATCTCATTTGTTTCCTTTCTTTCAGGGATCATTATCAGCAAGGCTTGCTGTCCAACGTCTGAAAACCACTGTTTTATATATTTTGTCTGCTTTTTTTGACAGGAGGGTAAATCTAGTCCCTGTTACAGCTTTTTGGCTGGAGGCAGAAATCTTGTTTGTGATTTTTAAGAATTACTCTCTTAAATTTAATTTTGTTTTATAATTATGTAAAATACAAAGCTCTGAAGTTAAAACAAGGTACAGTAATATTCTATATAACATTTTGGTCAGTGATGAACCACATATATGACAGTGGTCCCATAAAATAATACATTTTAGTTGTACCTTTTCTGTGTTTAGTTAAACAAACACTAGGTGTTACATTACAACTGCCTACATTATTCAGTACACAATATGCTGTACAGGTGTGCAGCCTAGGAGCAATAGGCTATACTATATAACTGCGATGTTAGTAGGCTACACTATCTAGGTTTGTGTAAGTGCACTCTGTGATGTTTGCACAATGATGGTATCACCTAATGACGCATTTCTCGGAATGTATCCCTATCATTAAGTGATGCATTCAGAAAAGTCTAGGGTCTAACCCTTTGCTTTTCCCTACACACTCACTGAGGTAAACATTAAAAAAAAAAATTTCCCCCTCCACCCCTTTTAAGTTTTTATTATTTCCATACTATTGTTTTTATTATTAACATAAACAAGTATATACATCCACTTACATCTCTACTTTCTTCTTAGGTGATTAGCAGCATACTACAAAATTCTCTCAAACTACTGTTTTACTTAGTAATTTATCCTGAAGATCACTCCATACAAGTATATAGAGATAGTCTTCATTGCCTATCTTTTGAATTTATAACTTAAAAGAAGGAATTAAAAATGTAAAAACATTATCACTGATATTTTCAAGGTCTTTACTTACGCCATGCTGAAAGAGGGTTTTGCATCCTGGTCAGATAAAGAAGCAATGGTGTGCTGAGGAAATCCTTCATAGAAGAAAATGTATTACTTTCTTTTTCCAAGCAAACAGCAAAATTCTAGGACTAAGAACCTAAAAATGTTCTTCTCAAAAAGCCAATGAAGTTGTACAAAATATCACTTTACTGCCTTTCAGATAAGCTTATTATAGCATGATGAAACTGACTAATTCCAAGCTACAAGAAAAAGTAGAGGAAACGGGGGAAAGACCTGTCTATATATGACCTCAGATTCTGAAGTTCATATATATATTTTTCTTTTTTTTTTTTCTTGAGATGGAGTCTTGTTCTGTCACCCAGGCTGGGGTGCAGTGGCATGATCTTGGCTCACTGCATCCTCCACTGCCTGGGTTCAAGCGATTCTCCCACCTCACCTTCCCATGTAGCTGGGATTACAGGCATCTGCCACCATGCCCAGCTATATATTTTCTAACTTAATGATTAACACTACTTTTTAAAGAGGTTGTAATTTTTACATCATTTCTGATAAAACTGAAGATATCATAGTACACCTTCATTTTATCTACGTTTATGCTTTTATGTTTAAAATTTTGAAATGCTCAAATCTTTCATGTAATTTGTTTTCCATATACAATTTTAAATTCTGAAAACATGTTCAGGAAAAGCAGAAACCATTTTTAAAAAGATATATTACATAAAAAATGTAAATGTATCTACATATCAAAACAAATAAATAAAAGTAAAGGCAAATAACCAACAAGAAAAATATTTGCATCGGGTGACTGAGAAGGGTTAACATTCCTAAAGGACTCTAATAAATAAATTATAAATTTAAATAACTTTAAAATGAAATAAGAAAATATATCAGTAAATCAAAAAGATTAGCCAAACATAAGATCTAAAATGTATTGAATGTTTACATCAAGCATTATTCTAAACGCATCATCTGTATTAACTCAATCCTTGAAACACACAATAAGGTTGATAGTTACTGACATCATTAAACACATGAGAAGACCGTGGAAAAGAGAGGTCGACTGGTAATATAAAAGGCCAAAAGTAGAAAAGCATTTTATTTCATTAACATTTAAAAACATACATATTAAATAAGGAGATTATTTTTCTATTAAAAGTTATACTTTTTTCAATATAAATGTAATAAATTTTCATTGTAACATTTAACATTTTTGTAAAATAGAAGAAAATAACATTTTAAAAAAGTGATCCAAGGCCGGGCACAGTGGCTCAAGCCTGTAATCCCAGCACTCTGGGAGGCCGAGGCGGGCGGATCATGAGGTCAGAAGTTCAAGACAAGCCTGGCCAACATGGTGAAACCCCGTCTCTACTAAAAATACAAAAATTAGCTGGGCATGGTGGTGCCCGCCTGTAATCCCAGCTACTCGGGAGGCTGAGGCAGGAGAATTGCTTGAACCTGGGAAGCGGAGGTTGCAGTGTGAGCTGAGATCGCACCACTGCACTTCCAGCCTAGGAAATAGAATGAGACTCCATCTCAAAAAAAAAAAGAAAAAAAAAAGTGATCCAAAACCAATAATTTCCCCTCCTTTGAGCAATTTGGTGTACTTCCCTGCAAGCTTTGTCTTTGCACAGTTTGCATTACACAGCTTTGATCATCCAGTACAGAGAATTTTGTAGCTTATTTTATTTTTATTTTATTTTATTTTTTTGAGACAGAGTCTTGCTCTGTCACCCAGACTGGAGTGCAGTGGCGCAATCTCAGCTCATGGCAACCTCCGCTTCCTGAGTTCAGGCAATTCTCCTGTCTCAACCTCCTGAGTAGCTGGGATTACAGATGTCTGCCACCATGCCCAGCCATTTTTTGGTAATTTTTAGTAGAGACAGGGTTTCGCCATGTTGGCTAGGGTGGTCTCAAACTCCTGACCTCAGGTGATCCGCTAGCCTCGGCCTCCCAAAATGCTAGGATTACAGGCATGAGCCACCACGCCCGGCCTTTGTAGCTTATTTTAAAAAATTTTTAATATAAGTGTTTTTCTTTTGTTTTCTTTTTTGAGACAGAGTCTCGCTCTGTCGCCCAGGCTAGAGTGCAGTGGTGTGATCTCGGCTCATTGCCAGCTCTGCCTCCCGGGTTCATGCCATTCTCCTGCCTCAGCCTCCCGAGGAGCTGGGATTACAGGCGCCCGCCACCACGCCTGGCTAATTTTTTGTATTTTTAGTAGAGATGGGGTTTCACCGTGTTAGCCAGGATGGTCTCGATCTCCTGACCTCAAGATCCGCCCACCTCGGCCTCCCAAAGTGCTGGGATTACAGGCGTGAGCCACCGAGCCCGGCTTAATATAAGTATTTTTCTATAAACACAGTTTATACCTTTCTAGCCTTAAAAATAAAGAAAGCCAACAGTATTTTCTGGGTGACAGGACTACTGGTAGTTTTAATTTTTTTTTTCCACTTCTCTGTACTTTCCAAAATTGCTTCAACAAGCATATTTTTTCTTTAAAAATTCTTAAATATTAAAATAACTTGTGCAAATGAAAATAGAGAGCCTAGATATGTATTTTTTAAAAACATAAAAACACTTACCCATACGAATAAGTGAGCATTCAGAACTTGAGCTAGCAGGAGGAGGACTAACATGATGTGTGAGCAACTCTTTGTAATGGCTTTCATCTAAAATAACATGGTACGTGCCTAACAAGATGAAAAGGGAAAAAAAAACACCTTCATAGACATAACGAACTGTACGTTCTACGTAATTCTGTAAAAGTTGTATCATCTGAAAATGTACATTTTTAAAATAATGATTTTAGCTAAATTATCACTTTTAAAACCTTATTTAAGTAATATATCTAAATCAACTTCTCTAGGAATAACTATAATTACAATTGATTATTATTACTACTATTATTATTTTAACATATAAATAGAGACAGGTCTCACTATGTTAACCAGACTGATCTCAAACTTCTGGCCTCAAGTGATTCTCCTGCCTTGGCCTACCAAAATGTTGAGATTACAGGCATGAGCTATCATGCCTGGCCTGTAATTACAATTTAATTAAAGACAAGTTATAAAATCTTTATAAAGAATTACATACAGTAAAATTTCCAGCTTTCCAAGAGTTATAATACCTCCTCTAAATACTGACATAAGTACTGAAAACTCTTTGCATTTGGAGATGATTTCTTATGGAATCAATGATATATTTAAGATGACTGCCCATATTTTAGACTACTTTAAGTTTAGTAGCTCAGAACAGATTAAAACATCCTAATTTAATTAATAAATTATTTCCTACACAGTAATTATAAGCAAATATTAAATAAATTATATATATACCACCAGTTTCACGAGCAAGTACAGTGCAAACGCGAACTTCTGCAGACAATCCAGTAACAGATACTCTAATTTTAGCTGCCTTTAGGGTCTTCATAAAATCCAAGTAGATAGATAGTTTTAGGAAAGAAGAAAAACATTTAAGATTTAATGTATTTGAAAAATAAAGAATGCTCTGAAAACTAGTAATAAATTCAATACATCTACCACAAAGATGAATCACACATACAAAAATACATATATATATAAATCAATTTGCTACAGAATTCTCTTTACAGTTATAACTTTGGTTTTGATTTTTTGGTCTACCTTGATTAGATCATAAATATTAGATGGATCGCAAGTTGTAAGGCTGCTAAAGATGATTAGTACTTCTCGACTTGTATGTCCAGGCATGTGTCTTAAAAGAAAGATAAAATACACTCCAATTAGGTACAACAAATTATACTACCAAAAAATTTACCCAGAAAGAACAGTAAACATAGGATTACACATTTAGACTATAGAATATCTCATTTGTTTCAACAATGCAAAGAAAGGTTGTGAGTATATTTTAAACACTTTAATGCAAATTTTTCTAAAATGAGCTATGCACTTCAAAAAATTGTTAATTGATTCATTTAATATTTACCAAGTACTCTCAAGTTCTGGGGGTAGAGTGATAAACAAGACTGACAATGTTCCCGACATCATTAAGCTTACATTCTAGTAGGTTTGTTTCATACAAAGTCTAGAGTATACAATAA
Organism: Homo sapiens; assembly: GCF_000001405.40. Classification (NCBI taxonomy): domain Eukaryota; kingdom Metazoa; phylum Chordata; class Mammalia; order Primates; family Hominidae; genus Homo; species Homo sapiens. Next base: position 70,433,523 of record NC_000005.10, on the reverse strand, counting down.
AAAATACAACAATATATGGATAAACTTTAAACTAAAATGTGGCAATATCATATGGATCAGCTTTAAAGTGCAGAGATGTGGCTTCAAAACAGTAACACACACTTCTTTCTCAAAGACTATAGTAGTCCCCTCTTATCTGCAGAGGATACATTCCAAGACCCCCAGTGGATACCTGAAATCAAGGATAGTACTGAACCCTATATATACAGTCGTTCTTCGGTATCCTTGGGGGATTGATTTCAGGCCCTCCTATGGATACCAAAATCTGCAGATGTTCAAGTCCCAGATACAAAAGGGCGTAGTATTTGCATATAACCTATGTACATCCTCCCATATATTTTAAGTCATCTCTAGATTATTGATAATACCTAATACAATGTATACTATGTAAGTAATTGTTATCCTCTATTATTTAGGGGATAATGGCAAGAAAAAATGTCTATTTGTTCAGTACAGGTACAATTTTTTTCCAAAAATTTTTGATGCGTGGTTGATCGAATTCACAGAAGCAGAACCCAGGATTCAGAGGGCTGATTATACCATGTTTTTCCCTATACAGGCATACCTTGGAGATACTGCAGGGTTGGATTCCAGACCGCAGCAATAAAGCAAATATCACAATAAATATTTGCAATAAAGCAAGTCACATGAACTTTCAGGTTTCCTAGTGTATATAAAAGTTCTGTTTACGGCCAGGGATGGTGACTCACGCCTGTATTCCCAGCACTTTGGGAGGCTGAAGCGGGCACATCACGAGGTCAGGAGATCGAGACCATCCTGGCTAACACGGTGAAACCCCGTCTCTACTAAAAATACAAAAAAATGAGCCGGACGTGGTGGCAGGAGAATGGTGTGAACCCAGGAGGCGGAGCTTACAGTGAGCCAAGATTGCGCCACTGCACTCCAGCCTGGGCGACAGAGCGAGACTCCGTCTCAAAAAAAAAAAAAAGAAAGAAAAAGAAAAGTTCTGTTTACACTATACTGTAGTCTAGTAAGTGTGCAACAGCATTATATCTAAAAAAAAAAAGTACACACCTTTATGAAAAATACTTTATTGCTAAAAATCGACTGAACTGTCAGTGAATAATATCTTTTTGTTGAAGGAGAGTCTTGCCTTGATATTGATGGCTGCTGACTGATCAGAGTGGTGCTTTCTGAAGGGTGAGGTGGCTATGGCAATTTCTTAAAATAAGACAAAGTAGTTTGTTACATGGGTCAACTCTTCCTTTCATGAAAGGAATGCAAATGCTGTTTGGTAGCATTTTATTCATAGTAGTACCTCTTTCAAAATGGGAGTCATTCCTTTGAAACCCCACTGATGCTTTACCAACTAAGTTTATGGGCTATTCTTTTTTTGTTTTGAGACTGATTCTTGCTCTGACACCCAGGCTGGAGTGCAGTGGTGCGATCTCGGCTCACTGCAACCTCTGCCTCCTGGGTTCAAGCAATTCTCCTGCCTTAGCCTCCCCAGTAGCTGGGATTACAGGCATGCACCACCATGCCCAGATAATTTTTGTATTTTTAGTGAGGACGGGTTTCACCATGTTGGCCAGACTAGTCTTGAACTCCTGACCTCAAGTGATCCATCCGCCTCGGCCTCCCAATGTGCTGGGATTACAGGCATGAGCCACCATGCCCAGCCAGTGTAGATATTTTGACCTCTTTCTATGAATGGCATTTAGAATGGTGAATTCTTTCCAGAAGGTTTTCAATGTACTTTGCTCAGATCCATCTATGGCAGTCACAGCCTTATGATATGTATTTCTTAAATAATCAAGACGTGAAAGTTCAAAGTATTCCTTTATCCAAGGGTTGCAGAATGAGTGCTATGTTAGTAGATATGAAAATAACATTAATCTTCTTGTACATCTCAATTAGAGCTCTTGGGTGACTGGGTGCATTGTCAATGAGCAATAATATTTTGAAATAAATCTTTTTTCTGAGATATATCTCAACAATGGGCTTAAAATATTCAGTAAGCCCATGCTGTAAACAGATGTGCTGTTATCTGGGCTTTGTTATTCCATTTGCAGAGCACAGACTGAATAGATTTAGAATAATTCTTAAGGACTCTAGGATTTTCAGAATGGTAACAAACATTGGTGCCAACATCAAGTCACCAGCTGTATTAGCCCCTAACAAGAGAAGAAGCCTATCCCATGAAGCTCTGAAACCAGGCATTCACTTCTTCTAGCTATGAAAATCCTAGATGGCATCTCCTTCCAACAGAAGGCTGTTTCATTTACATTGAAAATATGAGGCCAGGTGCAGTGGCTCATGCTTGTAATCCCAGCACTTTGGGAGGCAGAGGCGGAGGACTGCTTGAGCCCAGGAGTTCAAGACCAGCTGGGCAATGTGGCGAAACCCTACCTCTACAACAACAACAACAACAAAAATTAGCTGGGTGTGGTGGCACATGCCTGTAGTCCCTGCTACTTGTGGGGCTGGGAGAATAGCTTGAGCCTGGGAGTTTGAGGCTGCAGTGATCCATGATTGCACCACTGCACTCTAACCTGGGTGACAGAGCGAGACCCTCTCTCAAAAACAAAAAAGAAAAAGAAAATTTGATATTTAGTGTAGTCACCTTCATCAATTATTTTAGCTAGATCTTCTGGATAACTTGCTGCAGCTTCTACATCAGCACTTGCTGCTTCCTCTTGCACTTTTTTTTTTTTTATTTTGAGACGGAGTCTCACAGTGTCGTCTGGGCTAAAGTGCAATGGCGCGATCTCGGCTCACTGCAACCTCTGCCTCCTGGGTTCATGCGATTCTCCTGCCTCAGCCTCCCGAGTAGCTGGGATTATAGGCGCACACCACCACACCTGGCTAATTTTTTGTATTTTTAGTAGAGACAGGGTTTCACTATGTTGGCCAGACTGGTCTTGAACTCCTGACCTCATGATCTGCCCACCTTGGCCTCCCAAAGTGCTGGGATGACAGGCGTGAGCCACCGCGCCCAGCCCCTCTTACACTTTTATGTTTTGGAGATGGCTTCTTTCATTAACCTCATGAGCTCAGCTCTGTTAGCTTCAAACTTTTCTTCTGCAGCTTCCTCACTGCTCTCAGCCTTCATAGAATTGAAGAGAATTAGAGCCTTGCTTTGGATTAGGATTTGACTTAATGGACTGTTGTGGCTACTTTAATCTTCTATCTAGACCATTAAAACTTTGTCTGTATCAGCAATAAAGCTGTTTCACTTTCTTATCATTCATGTGTCCACTGAAGCAGCACTTTGAATTTCCATTATTTTTTTCTTATTTTGAGACAGGATCTTGCTCTATCATACAAGCTGGAGTACAGTAGCACAATCGTAGCTCACTGCAGCCTCAAACTACTGGGCTCAATCCTCCTGCCTCAGCCTCCTGAGAAGTTAGGGACTACATACAGGTGCTCGCCACTGTGCCTGGCTAATTTTTTTTTTTTTTTTTTTTTTTTGTAGAGATGGAGGTCTTGCTATGTTACCAGGACTGGTCTCAAACTCATGGCCTCAGGTGATCCTCCCATCTTAGCCTCCCAAAGTGTTGCAGTTACAGGTAAGAGCCACCACGCACAGCCCAGCACTTTCAATTTCCTTCAAGAACTTTACCTTTGCATTCACAATGTGACTAAGTGTTTAGCACAAGAGACCTAGCCTTCAGCCAGTCTTGCATTTTGACATGCCTTCCTCACTAAGCTCAATCATTTCTAGCTTTTGATTTAAAGTGAGACATGCGACTCCTCCTTACTCTTGAACACTCAGAGGCCACTGGAGGGTTATTATTGGTGTAACTTGAATATTTTTGTGTCTTAGGAGATGGGGGGGCCGAACAGAGGGAGAGAGACTGGAAAACAGCCAGTTGGTGGAGCAGTCAGAACACACGTAACACTTATCAATTAAGTCTGTTGTCTTATATGGGCGCAGTTTGTGGTGCCCTAAAATAATTACAATAGTAACATCAAAGATCACTGATCACAGATCACCATAACAGATATAACAATAATTTACAAAGCTTGAAATATTGCAAGAACTACCAAAGTGTGATATAGAGGCAAGAAGTGAGCACATGCTGTTAAAAAAAAAATGGCACCAACAGACTTGCTCAACAGAGTTGCCATAAACTGTCAGTTTGTAAAAAAAAAAGTTATCTGAAAAGTGCAATAAAAGTGCAACAAAATGAGGTGTGCCTTACATACACACCTATGATCAATAATGTATAAATTAGGCACAATAAGAGATTAACAACAATAACTAATAATGGAACATTTATAACAACGTGCCGGCATCACTACTCCTGCACTTTGAGGTCATTATTAAGTAAAATAACACAAACACTGCAATAGTTTTGACAGTCAATAACAACAGTTAATCTGATGACTTAGGCCATTACATGGGTGGGCAGCATATACTGTGAGGATCTACAGGACCAAGGGATGATTCACGTCCTGGGCAGGACAGAGAGGGAAGGTGTAGGATCTCATCACGCTACCCAGAATGGCACACAACTTAAATCTTATGAATTATTTATTACTGAAGTTTTCAATTTAATATTTTCAGACCAAGAGTAACTAAAACTGGAAAGTGAAACTGCAGATAAGGGGGGATTACTATAATTTAACCTCACAGTAATTCAGAGTCATAATAATCATGAACATTAATATTGCATACCATTTAATTAAAATGATAGCTTGTAGAGTTTTAAGTTGTGGTGACCAGTTTTCACCTACACTAAATAGACGTTTTTATGCTTTCTGCAGCAATTTTATCAATTAGTTATAGCTTTCCTGCTTATATTTTCATTGTTATCGTCTCAGCTCTCACTGGTAGACCCTACTACTGTACTTACCTCTATTACATGTGTTGCCTCCTTCTCATCCACTTCAAAACTAGAAAAATATCTATTATATAAAGGTATAAGTCTGAGCCAGGGCAGACTATCCAGAGATAAAATATATAAGCTTTAGGGAGGCTGAGGTGGGCGGATCGCTTGAGGCCAGGAGTTCAAGACCAGCCTGGCTAACATGATGAAACCCCATCTGTACTAAAAATACAAAAATTGGCTGGGCATGGTGGCACACACCTGTAATCCCAGCACTAGGGAGGCTGAGGCACAAGAATCACTTGAACCCAGAGGTGGAGGTTGTAGTGAGCTGAGATCACGCCACTGCATGCCAGCCTGGGTGACAGAGCAAGACTCTGTCTCGAAAAAATATATATGTGTGTGTGTGTGTGTGTGTGTGTGTGTGTGTGTGTGTGTGTGTGTATAATAGACATATAAGCTTTAACTTATATATGTAAGTTTAACATATATATAAGCTTTATATATATATGTATAATAAATTATATATATAATATGTATATAAAGCTTATATATATATATAAGCTTTAACTATACCAAGTATTTCCTTTGGGGTCTTAGCTCTATTCCATATAGCTGAACTTGCCATATCTATTAATTTACAGATATATGACATTGGTGCAAAAGGAATTGTGGTTTTGGCCATTACTTTCAAAATAAATTAATAAATGTTAATAAAGGTACAACCAACTTACAATTATTATACTATATTAAATCTCATTTTAATAAAATATTTTTTCATCAACCTATTTTTGTACTATTGATACTGCCGACAGTTTTAAATTATATTTTTATAAAACCTTTAACAATATCTTACTAAAATGTAAAATAAAAATTACTAACCAACACCACACTAAACATCATAAATAACACTACATAATTCTCGTACTTAACAATTTTGTTATAGCTGGGTTTATGGGCCCCATATTAACACATCACTTCAACTTAACTCATTTAAAAAACTTCTAATTCAATTATACATAATGTATAATACTAACTTTAGAGTCTGCATAGCCATGCTTAGGGAATTATAAAGAGATGGCTCTCCATGGCAGGTCATATCCACAGCTTTCTTCAAAGACGTTATATGTTTTCTTGGGTTTCCTAAAATAGAAATAAGATCTTTAAATAAAATCCTATATATTAAAAAAGTTTATGTTTCTCTCAAAATTTACATATCTATGATGTTAAAGAACAGAATCCTTTCAATGTATATTTCTGTTGGAATTTTATCTGCAATATTTTGTAAACACTCTCACTTCATACTGAAAAACAGAATACAAATAATCTCCTTATAGACTAGCATACATATTTTAAAATAATGCTAACCTAGAGTGCATTTTTTTACTCTTAATATTTCCATATTTCATCATTTTTAAGACCAATACATTTTCACATTTAACATCTCTGAAATCAGCATGTGTTTAATAATCACTGGTAGCCAGCAGCACTTGTAACATAGTCTTTGCCTGTTCATATGTGAACCTACAAATAGGTCTTCATATGTTGTTGCTTCAATTGCATTATGTACATTGTCCTCTTCATGGTGAGTTTAACTGCCATTTAAAATGTTTTTAAGGCCAGGCGCGGTGGCTCACGCCTGTAATCCCAGCACTCTGGGAGACCACGGCAGGCAGATAACCTGAGGTCAGGAGTTTAAGACACACCTGGTCAACATGGTGTAAATCCCATCTGTAGTAAAAATGCAAAAATTAGCTGGGTATGGTGGCATACACCTGTAATCCCAGCCACTAGGGAGGCTGAGGCACAAGAATCACTTAAACCCAGAAGGTGGAGGTTGCAGTGAGCTGAGATTGCACCACCGCACTCCAGCCTGGGCAACAACAGCGAAACTCCATCTCAAAAAACAAACAATAAAATGTTTTTAGAAATGTTGTTAATACAAAAGGCTATATTTTTATGTAGAAAGGTGTGGAACACAGCAGTGAGGCATAAATTTATTATAATGAATCAAATATTGATGGAAGAATGCATGCAATTCCGTATTTTTCTTGAGGGAAGAAATCAAGAACTTTACAAGACCTAAGAAACGAATATTCCCACAAACAGACGAAGCTGTGTTATCTTACCAAATAGCATCTGAAAAGATTGTCTATCTTATGCTAAGCAATTCAAATGAAGGGGGGAGAAGCTGCCAAATCCTTTTTTTTCTTTTTAATATAATATTTTTTTATATTATTTATATTTAGATTATATATATATCTGTTGCCAGGCTGGAGTGCAATGGGGCAATTTTGGCTCAATGCAACTTCCACCTCCCAGGCTCAAACCATCCTCCCACCTCAACCTCCCAAGTAGCTGGGACTACAAGTGCCCAGCACCACACTTGGCTAAATTTTTTTGTATATTTTTGGTAGAGACAGGGTTTCACCATGTTGTCCAGGCTAGTCCTGAACTCCTGGATTCAAGCAATCCTCCCGCCTCAGCCTCTCAAAGTGCTGGGAGTACAGGTGTAAGTCACCACACCTGGCCCCCAAATTTGAGATGTCTGTACATGTCAAATTACCAAGAAGCTAGTATAGCCAACTCATATATCATTTGATACTGTGTCAAAGTTTAACTACTAGGACTTTTCCTTCTTAATGGCTTATAAAAGTATCTTGTAATTGATGGAATCTGAGTTTCAATGAAATATAGTATTCCGTAAACATTTTCCATTTCAGCACTGTCTTCGTATCAATCAATAACCTAAGTATCATTAAATTGATTTTGTCATAAAATATAATCCATCAAAGCATACTATTAAACATTTAATTTTTAATCTGTCACTATTATACATAATGTTACAAAGAGTATCTTTGTAGAGTGATCATTCTCCTTCCATAACATTCCCTAAATATAATTTCAGGAACAATTTTTATGCTTTTCTAAAAAATATTGAACTAATTTGTAAGACTATCAGCACTATAAATAACAGTTTCTCTGTGGTTCCACAAGCAACATATTGCTTTGGAAACTTAATTTTGCTCATTTAAAATATATTAAAAAATAAAATGTTATGTAATTGGGTAGAGTGTTTTTGGATTACTAGTTTCCCTGATTTAATTTCTGGGTTTTTTCTGTGTGAATCATGTCTTCTTTGTCTATTCATCAACTTGGAGCTCCCTTGAGTTTTTACTCATCTGAGTAAGTTTTAAAATATTAACCATTTGTAATATTTAATATTTACTGCAAGTATTTTAGATTCATAAATTTTAGAGATGAAAAGTACCTCGCTAAGCAGTCCAAATCCCTCACTTCATAAGTGAGAAAATTAATCTAAAACAAGTGAAATGACTTGCCCAAAGACATATGCCTGCTTAACTGCAGGACCAGCAGCACCCAAACCTAGATCTCCTGGCTCTCTATCCACTTCTCTTCCTACCCTACAAAATTATTTTTAATCTCCCACTGTGTTATGGGTATAGGAAAAAAGCATACTACAATAGTGTCAGTGTGGTTTACAGCAGTGGTCTGATTGGAGGGAAAAAATGGTGGCTTCAAGAGGCCTGTCAGAATCTCCAGAATATTTTTCATCTTTATACATGACTTCACTAACATCCATAGAAAACTGCTGGGGCCGGGCATGGTGGCTGATGCCTGTAATCCCAACACTTTGGGAGGCTGAGGTGGGTAGATCACCTGAGGTCAGGAGTTCGAGATCAGCCTGGCCAGCATGGTGAAATCCTGTCTCTACTAAAAATAAAATTAGCCAGGTGTGGCAGCGCACACCTGTAATCCCAGCTACTCGGGAGGGGGAGGCAGGAGAATCTCTTGAACCCGGGAGGCGGAGGTTGCAGTGAGCCAAGACAGCACCGCCTGGGCGACAGAGTGAGAGACTCCTTCTCAAAAAAAAAAAAAAAGAAGCAATAGAAAACTGCTGGTAACTCGGGGTGGGTAAAGTGAGAGGAAAATATTGACCTTATATTCCTACCTTGGAGGAACCATCCTTCTTCCACTATATAATAATCCTGCTTAGTTCATGTGGTGCTGACCCTACTTCTATCCTGCTCTGGGCATCAGCAGGCAATCGAAGCGTACAAACAAAATACTTCATTTCCTGGCCACTTTGTTCATGGATGGGCAGATCGTAACTCAGGCCAATCAGAGTTCTCCCTAGACGTGTGCTGAAGCTATAGGCTACGGGTACAATGTAGAACTGGGACAATTAAGAGACATCTTTTCAACTTCCAGAAAATCTATCAGAGAATGAAGCCAGACAAAGCCAGGACCCCAACATATGCAGCAACTATATATGGAATTGGCCCACCTTTGAACATAGCCCAAAATTTTCCTTCTGCACTTAAGCTAGTGTGACATTCTTTTGGTTACTCACAACTGAGTTTCTTGAATCACTCCAGGCCAATGTACATTTCACTCCTCACTGCATTTAATGAAAAACTACTAATGAAGAAAGTATGTCATTTCCCTTATGTGTGCCGGCAAGGATAAAAGGTTGAAAACCAGATTTAAGGGAGAGTGTATTTCACAGAAAATAAAATAGAATCAGTGATGCAAATTTGTAACAGCATATATACCAAAGCAAATAAAAAATGCCATTACTACGTTTTGAAACTAAAATTCAGTTAGGTATGTCATGGAAGCAGAAAAATTGATTCATTAGCAATAGCTACAGTTTAATTTTTATACTTTTTCCCTTTTAAATTAGATGCTTAACTTTATAAGAATTTAATTTTAAGATTAACTGGATTTTATAAATGATTACAATAACTGTATTTTAATATTTTCAGGATAAGGCCGGATGCGGTGGCTCAAGCCTGTAATCCCAGCACTTTGAGAGGCTGAGGCGGGCTGATCACAAGGTCAAGAGATTGAGACCATACTGGCCAACATGGTGAAACCCCGTATCTACTAAAATACAAAAAATTAGCAGGGCGTGGTGGCGGGCATCTGTAGTTCCAGCTACTCAGGAGGCTGAGGCAGGGAATCGCTTGAACCCGTGAGGCGGACTTTGCAGTGATCCGAAATTGTGCCACTGCACTCTAGCCTGGCGACAGAGCAAGACTCCCATCTCCAAAAAAAAAAAAAAAAAAAGGAAAGAAAAAAAATTTCAGGATAAGCACATATAGATTTTAAATAAAAACATTTATATTCAATGTAGTATTATTTACCACTACGCAGAACTCAATTTAGAATAGTTAACCTTGTATCCTAAGAATATAATGGTGGGGGAGATGTTATTAAATTGTTTCACCTAGAGAAGACAGAGGAACCACCCTTCACGTTACTTATTAAGCAGCCATATAAACAGGGCTACGAGGTTGGGTAAATAAAGCAAAGTCCTTGAGTCATGTAAAGGTAATTTTATGCATACCTGAAAGTTCAGTCAATTTTTCAGCTCTTTTACTCTTAGTTACAATTATTCCAATCTTGAAATAAAAACAAAAATTATTATTAATATAACAAGTTATTTCCTCCCATTAAGAATATATATAACTATTCCTGTAGATGATATTGGAGCAGAAAAAAAAATAATTTATATAGCTAAAATAAACTAGTAATTACAAAAGAAAGAAGCAACAGGTGAGAAACTTTTTCTCATGCTGTTTTTGGCAAATAAATTTAGCTATGAGTTCACATTACGTTTAACTTTTAGAGTTATTACGCTTTTCATTTTTAAGTATACCAGAAACTGGTTAAACAATTTGGGTAATTCACAAAATACATGTCCAATTTTTAAAAATAAATTACATTTGGAAGCAAAATAGGAATCTAATTCTGAATTCTATCACTTAGATACGTACCTGACTAATAGGATTTTGATCAAAATATTCCTCTACAAAGTATTCCAACAACTGTTTAAACAAAAAAAGACATACTAGATAAAGGCAAAATAACAATCATAAAGAACACGTCCAACTGATGTTTGTGAAACCTGTTAATCAAGCGTCACTTCTCATGACTTTTAAACTTACAGATTTTCAAAAACTGTTAAGTAATAAAAATATTAAACAGTAAAAACGTTAATTTGAAATGGTGGGTGATGAGATAGGTTTGAGCTAGGTTTTAAAAGATGGAACCATTTGGATGTGTCAGAAGAAATTTCAATGAGGAAAAGATCCAATGAAGAGAGATGGGAGAACGAGCAGAATTGAGAATAGGTTTTGATAAATTAGGAATACGAACATATTTGTAATCTGAGGAGACAGAGTTAAGTAAGGCAAAGGAGAATGAAGATTCAAGAAAGAAAAGGGGTAACTGATAAACCAAGATCCTGATGTGGGGTGGGAGGATAGAAATTAAAAACACAAATAATTAGCTATGTTGGTTTAAAATTTCCCTAAATAACCTGGCAGTACTTCTACTTAGCTATCATTAGCATTAACTAAAAATACAAGGCAAAAAATAAAAAATATTGCATTCTTTAAAAATATCCTTTAGAATCCAGTGTTCTTCCCCACTTTTTTAGTAAAAGTTTAAGTGATTTTGGTACAAATTTAAATGATTTAGTATAAACTTAAATTTTACCTTTAAAGTACACGTCAGTCTATTAGGCTTTAAATCTTGGTCTTCCATTGTTCTTGATCCATCTACTACCACATAAAGGTGGCGCATCTATCGGAAAAAAGAAAGGGCCAATTTCAAGTACTTGTTTTGTTTTGTAGAAACTGGGTCTCGTTCTGTTGCCCAGGTTGGTCTCAAACTCCTGGGCTCAAGCAATCCTCCTGCCTTGGCCTCCCAAAGTGCTGGGATTATAGGCATGAGCCACTGTGCCCAGCCTCAAGTGCCATTTTGACTAGTAAAAATGGCATTTAATAATTACATATTCTATGCACGTATTTTTAACATATTCTTTTAAAAACTTTGTTGTTTTGCTATTGTTTTTTCTAGCAAGACAGAATGTTTCTCTAACCTAAACTAGTTCTGTACTAGTAAAAGAAAAAATAATGACATACCATTCCAAGTCGAACTTGTCCATGGTGCTCAAATACTGTTAAAATTATACAAACATTTTAATGTAATTCCATATACTATCCCCCCCCACAAAAAAAATACAACTTTCCAATTGACCTCCTTTGTTTTTCTTTTTTTCTAATTCTGAGTAAGAATGTCATAACGTGCATTTTTAGTGGAGTAAATAATTAACTTATGGAATACAATACACACAATTATAGGTATTGTAGACAGTCTCTAAAGACCATTTCCTGCTGGGGCAAGGGTAGGTGGCTAGTTCTTTCCCCATAGTCAGAAGGCAATAGGTCAGTTACCCTGAAACACAGCTAAAATGAAGTACTGAGGAGTATTTATAGATAGAAAGGCTTAAAATGAATATATTTTACCTTTTTAAGATACATAGGAAGGTTACATACCTTTTTCTCTTTGCCTTGAATAGAATGTCTTCTATTGTAGCTTTAAGTGATCCAGATTCATCTTCTTTAAGAATCTCCCTATAAGTCATAATTATTTGTTTGAAAAGACAAGCTAAAATGATTACTAGCCCAAATGAAATGAAAATATATGTCCACACAAAGATTTGCATGTAAGTGTTCATGGCTGCATTTTCCTAACAGTCAAAAACTGTAAAGAACCTAAATATCCACAGACTAGTGAATGGATAAACAATAATGTGGCATAACCATAGATGGGAATACTATTCAGCAATAAAAAAGGAATGAAGTATTAATACACACTGCATCATGGATGAGTCTTAAAAATAAGTGAAAGCCAGCCACAACAGACCAACTATTATAGTCATGCATCGCTTACTGACAGGGATACATTCTGAGAAATGCATTGTTAGGCAATTTCATTATTGTGTGAATATCACAGGGTATACTTACACAAACCTAGATGGTATAGCCTATCCCACGCCTAGGTTACAAACCTGTACAGCACGTTACTATACTGAATATCTTAAGACAACTGTAACACAATGGTCAGTATTTGTATATCTAAACATACATAGAAAAGGTAGAGTAAAAATACAGTATTATAATATTATGGGACCATTGTCATATATGCAGTCTGTCTTTGACCAAAACATCATTATGTGGCACATGATTGTATATGATCACATTTTTGTGAAATGTCCAGAAAAGGTTAAAATTTGGAGACAAAAAGTAGACTAATGATTGCCCACAGGTGGAATTAAATTAAGATTTAAATTAATTGTAAATGAATGTGAAGGATCTTACTGGAGTGGTTACAATATTCTAAAACTGGTTTATGATAATGGCTGCACAGCTCAGTAAATTATTAATAAAACATCACTGAATTGTACATTGGAAATGGGTGAATTTTAACATATGTAAAATATACTTTAATAAAGTTGTAAAGAAAAAAAAAGACATTGTCTAAAAGAAAAGACAGGGCAATAAAGCTCTCCTTACCATGTTCTTTCATAGCCTCCTTCCCATCGCTTAGTTCTTTCAGGTTCTTCATCCATTTTTTTCAAAACTGTATTTTATTATTCAATAATCTGTAAAAACCATTAGAATGTAAGTTATCTAAAGATGTTTGTTACAAAATTCATCCAATTAAATTTGAAAATTAGACACATATATAAAGTAAAAAAAAATGGAATGCCAGGTCATCTTATTCTTTGTATTTTACTCAATAATTGTCTTAAAAATCTTCATAGAACTCCATTTCTCATTTCCAAGAAATAATATGAACTTATACACAAACTTGGTACCAATAAAAATAAGCGTCTTTTTACGATTTGTAAAAGAACAAAAATGCTTTATAGATGTGTCACATGACAAACTGTAGACTTGTGAGGAGTCAGTATGGGCGTAGTTGAACTATTATAGCTGAGTGACATGTGATTCATTGTACTATCTCTCTGTGTATGTCTCAATTTTCTCATAATCAAAAGTTTTTAAATCACATTTATTATTTATAAATGGGTAAATGCTATAGCTCATAATTCAAAAAAAAAGGACACAAAATTAAACATAGTTCTTTGAGACATCTCCAAACTGCTTTCCATAGTGGCTGAACTAATTTACATTCCTACCAACAGTGGATAAGCATTCCCTTTTCTTCACAACCTTGCCAACATCTGTTATTTTTTGACTTTTTAATAATATCCATTCTAACTGGTGGTGAGATGGGTTTGTGGTTTTGATTTACATTGTGGTTTTGGTTTGCATTTCTCTAATGATCAGTGATGTTGAACATTTTTTCATATATTTATTGGACACATGTATGTCGATCCAACAATCCCAATACTGGGTATAAACCCAAAGGAAAATAAAACCATTCTACCAAAAGTACAAGAGCACTCATATTAATCACAGCACTATCCAAAATAGCAAAGACATCAAATCAACTTAGATGCTCATAAATGGTGGACTGGATAAAGAAAATGTGGTACGTAATATATCATGGAATACTAGCAGCCAAAAAAACAACGAAAAAAAAAACACAATGAAATCCTGTCTTTTGCAGCAACATGGATACAGCTGGAGGCCATTATCCTCATTGAATTAACACGAACAGAGGCCCAACGCAATGGCTCACGCCTGTAATCCTAGCACTTGGGAGGCCAAGGCAAGTGGATCACCTGAGGTCAGGAGTTTGAAACCAGCCTGGCCAACATGGTGAAACCCTGTCTCTACTAAAAATAGAAAAAAATTAGCCAGATGTGGTGGCGAGCACCTGTAATCCCATCTACTCAGGAGGCTGAGGCAGGAGAATTGCTTGAACCCGGAAGGCAGAGAGGTTGCAGTGAGCCGAGATCGTGCCACTGCACTCTGGCCTAAAAAAAAACAGCAACAGAAAACCAAAGACGGCATGTTCTCATTTACGAGTGGAAACTAAACACTGAGTACACGTGGACATAACGATGAGAACAACAGACATTGGAGACTATTAGACAGGGAAGGATGGGAGAGAGTGAGGGTTGAAAAACTGCCTATCGGGTACTATGTTTACTACCAGGGTGACGGGATCATTTGTATACCAAACCTCAACAACAAGCAATTTATCCATGTAACCAACATGCACACGTACTCCGTGAAAATAAAAGTTGAAAACAAAACAAAACAAACAAACACAGGCCAGGGCCAGGTGCAGCGGCTCCATCCCTGTAATCCCTGCACTTTTGAGAGGACAAGGTGCGGATCACCTGAGGTCAGGAGTTCGAGACCAGTCAGGCCAACATGGCAACACCCGTCTCTACTAAAAATACATAAATTAGTTGGGCATGGTGGCAGGTGCCTGTAATCCCAGCTACTAGGGAGGCTGAGGCAGGAGAATTCCTTGAACCTGGAGGGCAGAAGCTGCAATGAGCCAAGGTCACGCCACTTCACTCCAGCCTGGGTGACAGAGCAAGACTCCGTCTCAAAAAAAAAAAAAAAAAAAAACCAGGCCAGGTATGATGGCTGACATCTGTAATTCTAGCACTTTGGGAGACTAAGGCAGGTGATCACTTGAGGTCAGGAGTTTGAAAATTAGCTAGGAGGTTGGTGGGAGCGGGCCCCTGTAATCCCAGCTACTGGGGAGGCTGAGACAAGAGGACTGCTTGAACCCAGGAGGCACGGAGGCTGCAGTGAGCCGAGATCAGGTCACTGCACTCCAGCCTGGGCAACAGAATGAGACCCTGCCTCAAAAAAGAAAGAAAAGAAAGGAAAGAAAGAGAGAGAGAGAAACGGGCACGGTGGCTCATCCTGTAATCCCAGCACTTTGGGAGGCCGAGGCCAGCAGATCATTTCAGGTCAGGAGTTCAAGACCAGGCTGGCCAACATAGTGAAATGCCGTCTCCACTAGAAATACAAAAATCAGCAGGGCCTAGTGGTGCACACCTGTAATCCCAGCTACTCGGGAGGCTGAGGCAGGAGAATCACTTGAACCTGGCAGGTAGACACTGGAGCGAGCCAAGGTTGTGCCACTGCACTCCAGCCTGGGTGAGAGAGCGAGACTCTGTCATTCATTCATTCATGCACAAATAAATGTCCTCATCACACCTCCATCCTCCCCAATGCAATCTCCCTCCCAACTCCACCACCTCGTGGCTCACTGCAACCTCCACCTCCCGGGTTCAAGTGATTCTCCTGTCTCAGCCTCCCAAGGAGCTGGGATTGCAGGCGCGTGCCACCATGCCCAGCTAATTTTTGTATTTTTAGTACAGTCAGGGTTTTGCCATGTTTTATATTTTTGTAGAGCCAGGGTTTCACCTGACTTGCCAGGCTGATCTCAAACTCCTGACCTCAAGTGATCTGCCTGTAAACAGAATATTTTTGTTTCTTTTTTTGTTTTAAGACGGAGTTTCACTCACCACCCAGGCTGGAGTGCAATGGCGCGATCTCGGCTCACTGCAACCTCCGCCTCCGAGTTCAAGTGATCCTCCTGCCTCAGCCTCCCGAGTAGCTGGGATTACAAGAGCCCGCCACCACACCTGGCTAACTTTTGTGTTTTTAGTAGAAATGGGGTTTTGCCATGGTGGCCAGGCTGGTCTCGAACTCCTGACCTCAGGTGACCCACTCACCTCGGCCTCCCAAAGTGCTGGGATTACAGGCGTGAGTCACCACACCCAGCCTCAACTGAACATTTTGCTCCTCCCTGTTTTCTGTTACGTATTGTGAACTTTAAAAATGAAAAACTCGCATAACGTTCTCAACGTTTTTAAACTCAAATTCTTGGCAGGGCACACAGTGGCTCAAACCTGTAATCCCAGCACTTTGAGAGGCCAAGGCAAAAGGATTGCTTGAGTTCAGGCGCTCAGATCAGCCTGGGCAATAACCTTGTCTCTACAAAACATCAAAAAATTAGCTGGGCGAGGTGGCGAGTACTTGAGTCCCAGCTACTTGGGAAGCAAAAGTGGGAGGATGACTTGAGCCCAGGAGAGTCGAGGCTACTATGTTCACTACTGCACTACAGACTGGGTGACAGAGTGAGACCCTATCTCAAAATAAATAAAATAATTACAAATATATAATAAATATTATAAATATAAAAGTAAATAGCAACTGAGAGACTTTTGGCTGACCATATCAAAGGAATTCTTTTTTTTCTTTTTTTTTTGAGACAAGAGTCTTGCTCTGTCGCCCAAGCTTGGAGTGCAGTGACGCAATCTCGGCTCACTGCAACCTCCGCCTCCAGGGTTCAAGCGATTCTACTGTCTCTTCTGTCTCCCGAATAGCTGAGATTAAGGCACACGCCACCACAGCTAACCTTTTTATTTTTAGTAGAGACGGGGTTTCACCAGCCTGTTGGCCAGGCCTGGTCTCGAATTCCTGACCACAACTGGTCCGCCCACCTCGGTCCTCCAAAGTGTTGGGATTACAGGCATGAGTCACCACGCCCGGCTAAAAGGACTTCTTAATTAGAGCTGCCTGCAACGGGAAATCCGACTGGACAGGAGGTATTAAGGTCCCTAAAACTGCAGACGTTCAATGGGAAGTCTGATTGTAAACATGCATGCTGTTTAAAGGATTCATGCATCCTGAAGATGGACTTTGTAAAGATCTCCAATGGCCTGTCACTTCCCGTCAGTCCATTTTCTTCTTAAAAATATCAGCGAGGCCAGGTGGGTGGCTCACACCTGTAATCCCAGCACTGTGGGAGGCCGAGGCGGGAGGATCACGGGGTCAAGAAATCAAGACCATCCTAGCCAACATGGTGAAACCCCGTCTCTACTGAAAATACAAAAATTAGCTGGGCGTGGTGGCACGCGCCTGTAGTTCCAGCTACTCGGGAGGCTGAGGAAGGAGAATCGCTTGAACCCGGGAGGTGGAGGTTGCAGTGAGCCGAGATCGCGCCGCTGCGCTCCAGCCTGGCGACAGGGCGAGACTCCGTCTCGAAGAAAAAAAAAAATTTTTAAGTGATCTGTTTCCTGGAATCCAACCCCAAACAATCCACGTTCCTCAGCATAAGCCTACTGGTGTGATTCCCGTTACATGAGCTCGGAATGCTATCTGCCAACAAATGAGAGCACCAAACATCCCAATTTAAGAAGCTTTTCTTCACACCTTACCAAGCTATGTGAAACTGGCAAGGGTGATTACTGTCCTTGTTTTTCAGGTATGGGATTCAGGCTCAGAGGTTGGTCACTTTCTCAAGCGGGTCACAAACTCGAACCCTGAACCATCATTTCTAAAAGTCGCGCTTTTACTTAGGGAGAGACGGCCTGCAGCTTCCCTCCCTACTCTGCGGCTCCCCAGACGAAAGTTACCTTCCTCTGCCTTCACAAGCTCCTTCACATCCTCCTTCCCTATGAGCCCAGGCAGGGCAATTCAACCTCCGTTCCCCGCCACGAAAACGCTCCCAGCCGCCTAGCTAGCCAGACGGCCTGCCCCACCTCTGCGCCTCACAGACTTCCACACGCGGACTCACCGGCGCCGCTAGAAGGACTCTCAGCCGGAAACTCCGCCCGACACTCCTCTCCGCCGCTTTAGGGGCGCCCCGGAAGTCATTCCGCCGCGCCCTGCGGCCACGCCGAAACGTTCCGGATGCTGCAGAGTGCAGCTGCCGGAGCGGGGCGCTCAGGTGCAGGGCATGGCCTCCGCTGAGTTGGGGCGCGGAAAGGGACGGTGTTCCAGCTGGAATTCACAGAGAACCGGAAAGAGTGATCGCCATTCGCTCTCGGAAGGTCGAAGGCTCTGCAGCCATCGACCTGGGTTCTGAGGAGCTCGATCTGGTTTTTCTACTTCTAAAAGGTTGGGATGAAGGACCCTGGCCACAGAAGTAAAGCCAGAATTATCCTTGCTTCTTGCTGTGTATTTCAGGACTCCTCCATTGCTCTTGCTGTTCATTCAACAAACATTGAGCATCTACTTTGAGCCTGATGCATGTCTAAGCACTGAAGAAATAACAATGAAAAACTGTCAAAAATCCTTGCTCTCGTGGAGTTTTCCTTCTCCAAGGGGAGTCAGTATGAAGAAAAACATATACTATATGAAATGGTGATAATGCTGTGGAGAAAAACTAAGCACTGAAGGGGAAAAGTTTGCAGTTTAAAATAGGGTGGCCAGGCCGGGTGCGATGGTTCACACCTGTAATCCCAGGCATGGTGATTTGGGAGGCCGAGCGGGGGTGGATCATCGGAGGGCAGGAGTTCGAGACCAGCCTGGCCAACATAGTGAATTCCGTCTCTACTAAAAATACAAAAACATTAGCCGGGCGTGCTGGCAGGCGCCTGTAATCCCAGCTACTCGGGAGGCTGAGGCAGGAGAATCGCTTGAATCCAGGAGGCACAGGTTGCAGTGAGCCAACCTTGCACTCCAGCCTGGGTGACAGAGACTTCATCTCAAAAAATAAAATAGGGTGGCCAGAGGAGTCCTCGCTGGGAAGACAGTTAAGCCATGACCTGAATGAGGAAGGGTGTTAACCCTACTGATACCTAGGGGAAAAGCTCTTCAGACAAAGAGAGCTGCAAGTGCAAAGGCCCTGAGGTAGAAGTGCATTGGGGTCTTTGACGACTGCAGGAGTGAGCAGGGGATGAGTGGTGGCAGCTGCAATCAGAAGGGTAAGGTGGGGAGGAGAGGCTGTGAGCACTGTTAAGAACTTTGGGGGAATTGTGATGGCTTGGACCAGCAGCTGGTGAGAAGTGACTGAATTCTAAATCTTACCAATACACTGGATGTGTGTTATGAGAAAAGAATCAAGGATACCTCCATAGTCTTTAGCTGAGCAACTGAAAGGTTGGGGTTGCAATTATTAAAATGTTGGCGGGGTGGGTAAGATCAATTCAGTTTTGGACAAGTTGTCTGACTGCCAATTAACACAAGTGGAATTACTGGCATTTCCCATACTTGAGAAATGGAGAGGCAGTGCACCCCCAGATGAGAAAAGGGTTAGGAATAACACAAAGGAACTGCAGAAGCTAGGGCCTCTTTCCTTCCCCATCAGCATACTCATCCCCTCCACTGCCTTTATTTTATTGTTAAAAATTTTTCCCATCTCTGTTGTCTCCCTCAAAAATATAAACAGAAGGTATCTTGCATAGCAGTGGAAAGAACAGCCCTGGATTTAAAATCAGGCTCTGACACACTGGCTGGGTGACCTCAAGCAAGTCACAACCCAAGTCTATGAACTAATGTGTAAAATGGGGTTGTCTCCACCAACCCTGCAGGGCTTAGTGGGAACTCCATAATCAGTCTCATTTCCTCCCAGAAGACAGGATTTTAAAAGGGAGAGGAGGGGAAATTAGTATCGCAGTGCCAGGAAGCTTCCATGCTTGCCTCCCTCCCACCTTTGACCTCATTAGAGGACTCACACACAAATTCCACACTTTTCCTTTTGTGCCCTTCCTTCCTATCCACACTTTTGCTTCCTTCCATCTTAATTGACCATCCTATTTGCAAGACGGGATGCATTCCTCTAGGACAAACAGCCTAGAGGAATCCCAAGCCCCAAGTTTCTTGCATATGTTTGTTATCCATCAGCCTGGGAAGGCTTTAAGGAAAACCAGGAAAAAGATAGAGGACTCCCCAATAAATATAAAGCATATTTGCGAAGAGAGGAGACTGAAACAGTTTTCCCAACTGTAATATTTGCTCTGTATAGATTTTAGACATGGATGTTAAGATTCAACTAGGAATGGTACTACAGCAAAACAAAATATGCATAAATCCATAATCTCTTGGCATGATTATGACTGACATATTCTAATCATTTACAAAGTGGTAGAATAAATTATCTAACCTACTCAGATGTTTTTTCAACTTGTAAAACTAAAAGACAACTATAAAGAATGGATAATCTGTTCTTTGCCCATGAGTGGCCAGACACTATCAACAGGGTTAGGACATTCACAATCAGCTCAGCCAGTGGAATCAGATATAAAAAGCATGCAACTTGAAAGACTGGGAGAAGTGAACCTGTCTATTCCAATAGACAGGCTCCCTTACAGGGAAACTAAATCATTCCAGAAAGCCTCATCTAAAACCTCTGTAATTGACAACAGTATCTAACAATCGTGATCTTGATAAGTAAACTATTTGCTGTAACCTAAAGAAGCATTTGTTTATCATGTACAAATATTTAGAATGCCAATCCTGCATTCTCTGCCTAGAATTCAAAAGAATTTACATTCTAAGGCTGCACCCAGCACAGATCAATCATATGGGATTGGATGACACATGCACTTTTAAAAAACACAATTTGCTTTTAGAAAACTTGTTAAAGTTTCACCTTCTGGCTTTGGAAGATGGGGGTAGCTAGGCATATTTACTTTTAGACAAGGACTGAGTCACACATTAACTACCTTCTTAACTATGAGATTATTACAAATATATTTTTACAAATACAAAAAACTGAAGTACAGAGAGGCTAAGTTAATTTCTCCAAGGTCCCACAGCAAGTAACTGCAGAAGGGCAAAGCAAAAATAGGACAACACATGTAGGCAATACCAAGCAGTTCTTGTGGCAGCAACTGGAAACCTTTTGGAGACACCATTCTGCATTTCGTTGTAGTCATACACAAAACCCTAGTTATGTATCCATGCTTCTTTCTCATAATGCCAAAGTGGCACTATTCTAATTTACTAACAAGGTTTTCTAAAAACTACCCAAATTATTGAGGTGTTTTTGCTCACTTCTTCCCATTAGAATAAATGTAGACAATAAGAAACGCATGAGGGATGACATAGTCCTCCATCAAATCTGTCCTTTCACACAAGAGATGGCATGGTGTAGTGTAGCAGAATCATGAGCTGCCAGGAAATTATGAATTCTGATTCCTCCAGCTGAGTCTTTGAAAAAGTCCAGATGAGAAACACTTCCATCCTGATGCTGAAGCAAGGAGAATGTCCTTGTGTGAGGAATTCTCACAACACCAACTGAAGCTAAGGTCCCCGGAGCCATGATAAAAGCACTTTTCTGCCCTGATTCTTCTTTACACACATGTACCCATTCAGGTCTTTACAGATATTTCACAGGAAGCATTTATGTTACAAGTACTTAAAATGCACTCGAAATTAATATAGGATACTTTATTTACATCAGAGTGATCTCACATTATCCAATCCATTAACAAAGTCAACACAGGATGGAAGTATAGAATCTAACAGTTGAAGAGACTAAGATCCTAATCCCTTGTTTTGCCACTTGCTAGTGTGACAACAGCCAGTTAATCTATCATATCATTAGTTCCTTGTCTATAAAAGAAGAATAAGAAATGGTCACATGTCAAAAGATCGTTGTGAGGATTAAATATCATATATGTACTTATGTGTATGTAACTTATTTACTATAAATACTAGTTGACTTCACTTTATTTCAAAAAATATAAAGCACATATGACAAAACATTAACACATGTTATTTCTGGGCGGATGGTACTTATATTTTATACTTTTCTGTATTTAAATTTTTCAAAATAAAATAATGATCCTATATACTTTTAATACAAAATCACATATGTAGGGCATCACTTTATACGCAGGGAATCTTTACAAAATGAACTATGTGCTATCACAACAAACTCCTTAGAACAATAGTTTATAACAAAGCAGAATTCCAGACAAGAACTACAGGTCAGAAATGGAAGGGATGTCGGAAATCTAATCTAAACCTCTGACTTTCTAGACTAGGAAGCTGCTTGAGTGGCTTTTCAAATTTACATCCAGCTAGTTAATGCCAACGCCAACAGAAACACCCTGATCCTAGTTTCCTAAAACGGTATTTAGTATAAATACACATGAAAATTTTTCTTATTTTTGAAATTTCAAAGTCCAATTTTATAACACAATTTTACAATGCAAATTCTTGCTGTTTCACTTTCTGGATTCAGCTGAATAGTTTTGTGAAAATACTGACAAACTTGCCTTCACGAACTGACTTCCAAGAACAAATTGTTAAAACTTTAACAGAAAAATCAGTTAAAGGTGCTCATCAAGAGAGTCCTTTTCATTTGGTATAAATCCAAAACTATGAAAATACCTTTTGTATTATGTGCATGCAGAAAATTAAGAATTTATTCAATTTGCAGAAATAAATCAGTGATATAATGGAAACATTTAAAATTTTATCTCTGGAAAATAATCCAAAATCATCTATCAAAAATTATAGGCCGGGCGCAGTGGCTCACGCCTCTAATCCCAGCACTTTGGGAGGCCGAGGTGGATGGATCACCTGAGGTCAGGAGTTCGAGACCAGCCTGACCAACGTGGAGAAACCCCATCTCTACTAAAAATACAAAAAAAAATTAGCCAGGTGTGGTGGCGCATGCCTGTAATCCCAGCTACTCGGGAGGCCGAGGCAGGAGAATTGTTTGAACCTGGGAGGCGGAGGTTGTGGTGAGCTGAGATCGCGACATTGCACTCCAGCCTGTTCAACAAGAGCAAAACTCCATCTCAAAAAAAAAAAAAAAAAAAAAAATACACACACACACACACACACTTAGGCCAGGCATGGTGGCTCACGCCTGTAATCCCAGCACTTTGGGAGGCCGAGGCAGGCAGACCACAAGGTCAGGAGTTCAAGACCAACCTGGCCAATATGGTAAAACCCCGTCTCTATTAAAAATACAAAAATTAGCCAGGCATGGTGATGGGTACCTGTAGTCTCAACTACTCGAGAGGCTGAGGCAGGAGAATTGCTTGAACCCGGGAGGTGGAGGTTGCAGTGAGCCAAGATAGCGCCACTGCATTCCAGCCTGGGTGAGAGTGAGACTCTGTCTCAAAAAAAAAAAAAAATTATATACCTAAATATCTGAAATGCATACTAAAGTTCAGTTTATAGATTATTCTAAAAAAAAGTTTTTAGAAAAGTCTAAGCTGGGATGATCACAATCAACTTGGTCAGCACAGTGCTATCAAGTAATTTTACTAATAAGAATCTGAATTTTTAAAAAAGTGATACAATTTAAGGGCACCATTTGAAATTATTTGGTATTTCGTGGTATAGCATTCTATTCCCAGACATATCAGCATTCTTACAGCCAAAGGAATGGGAAACGACTAACCAGCACAGCATCCAAAGGAGTATAAACAACAACAGATACAACTCCTGAGTGTGTTTTATTTAGGCTTGATTTAGTTAATTTTCTTTTTTCTTTTTCTTTTTCTTTTTTTTTTTTTTTTTTCTGAGGAGTTTCACTGTTGCTGCCCAGGCTGCAGCGCAGTGCTGGGATCTCGGTTCACTGCATCCTCCACCCCGCCAGTTCAAGTGATTCTCCTGCCTTAGCCTCCTGAGTAGCTGGGATTACAGGCACCCACCCACCACCATACCCGGCCAATTTTTTGTGTTCTTAGTACACATGGGGTTTCACCATGTTGGCCAGGATGGTCTCGAACTTCAGACCTCAGGTGATCCGCCCACCTTGGCCTCCCAAAGTGCTGGGATTACAGGCATGAGCCACCGCACCCAGCCAGTTAATTTTTCTATTAACTAAGACCTAATTAAGATTGAGGCAGAAGAAATGGGTCCTTGGGATTTGAAAATTACTATTCAATTTGGAAGTTTAATTTGCAACATAGATTGTCTGTTATTAAATTACTAGATATAATATCACAAAGGTGGAAAGAAAGGTTGCTTAGTTAAAGATCTAAGTTACTAGTCATGGTGTCAGATATAGAGAATGATTGAAGGTTATCAGAGTCACACACCAGATGAGTAAATTGTTGTTTTCAAGGAAGAGGTTACATAAAGGTAAGCGGAGTAATATTTCAGCATTTTTGTTAATTAAAAATTTGTAAAGTTATTTCCATTTCAAGGAAATTACTCTCAGTAATTTTACGGGTAAAATGACAAATTCCAAGTTTAATTTTCACATGTAACACCCTCCTTGAGCACTTATTTTTATAAAGCTATTAATCTATTTTGGTCTCAATTTACCTTTCTTTAAAGAGATTTTAAAATTTTCTGAAAGAAGTTGACATCTGGAAGTGTAGCTGTTATATTTTTCAATTTTTAATTACATATTTAATTATCCTTTAATTACTTAAGGTTATTCTCAAAAGTGAAGAGATAGCTGGGATCACACTGCGTAAGATTTTACTCCTGAATGTAATATTCAAAAATGTTACAAAGTCTATCAAAGAGGTTTTCATTCTGTGACAATACATGGTCAATTTGACATGGTCAGGAAGCACCACCCCCACTGAGAGATACCAAATTATGGAGTAAACCACCGTAATTTAGGCAGATCTTGAGAGAGAAAATGCTGAGTGGATGCAGAGGCAGCAATGAAGCTGAGCTGAAGAGGGAGGAAGCCTGTGCAGGGAACCCAAACACTACAGCTAGTTCCCCAGAATGGCTCCTAGGAAAGGGCCTCTGCCTGAGAGAGACCTGTGGCCTAGAACACCTAACACAAGAAACACAGTGACTGCAGGAGACTCCCCCAGGGCCCAGGAGCACATCTGGTGATGGAGGCATCTCTCCCACCCCCACTATAGAGCACACCTGCAAACAAAAGGAAGTATAAAACAGCCATGCCACTGGGTATTAGGCTAGCCACTGGCCATCACTCTTAAGCACTATGCATTGGATCACATCCCAAACTACAACATCAAAATTTATCCTGCTACATATACACCTGTGAAACCAAACACCAGAATTACTCATACATAAAAATCCTGGACAGAGAAAGCCCTGACCCTTTGAAAGCATCCAGAAACAAAACCAATTGCCTATACTCAACATACACTACAGTTAAAGGAACACTAACCCTACCAGAAGAGAAAAAATCAGTGCAAGAACTCTGGCAATTCAAAAAGCTAGAGTGTCCTCTTACCTCAAAATTAGCCCACTAGCTACCAAGCAATGGTTCTTAATCAGTCTAAAATAATTGCAACAGACATAGAATACAGAACCTCGATGGCAGGGAAGCTCATGAACATTAAGGAGAAAGTTGAAACCCTAGCCAAGTAATCCAGTAAAGCAATCTAAGTAAGTGCTGAAAGATGAAATTGCCATTTTAAACAACAGCCACACTGAATTTCTAGAGCAGAAAAAATTCAGTATAAGAATTTTATAATACAATAAGAAATATTAACAGAAGGTAGGCCAAGCTAAGGAAAGAATCTCAGAGCTCAAAGACTGGTTCGTTGAATCAACTGAGTCAAAAGAAAATTTTAAAAAAGAATTAAAAAAAGAAAATGAACCAAAGCTTTAAGAAATATGGAATTATATAAAGAGACCAAATCTACGACTCATTGTCATTCCTAGAAGAGAAACAAAGAGAAAAGGCAACTTGGAAAATAGATTTGAGAATAGAGTCTATGAAAATCTTCCTAACCTCGCTAGAGAGAGTGACATGTAAATCCAAAAAATACAGCAAACCCAGCTAGGCACTACAAAAGGTGACTATCCCTAAGGCACACAGTCATCATATTCACCAAAGTAAATACAAAAGAAAAAAAAATCTTAAAGGCAGCTAGAGAGAAAGGTCATGTTTTCATAAAGCAAGAACTCCACTAGGCTAGTAGTAAATATCTCAGCAAAAACCTTACAAGCCAGAAGAGATTAAGGGCCTATGTCCAACATCATTAATGAAAATAAATTCCAGGCAATAATTTTATATTTCACTAAACTAAACTTCCTAAGTGAAGAAGAAACAAATTTCTCCTCAGATAAGCAAATACTGAGGGAATCAATTTCAACTTGACCAGCCTTATGAAAGGTCCTTAAGGGAGTGCTATACATTGAGTAAAAAGAATGACACCTGCTACCACAAAAACCCACTGAAGTACATAGCTCACAGGCACTATAAAGTATCTACACAATCAAGTCTACCTAAAAACCAGCTACAAACGTGATGATAGGATCAAAATCTCATGTATCAACATTAACCATAAATGTAAATAGGCTAAACACCCCCACTTAAATGACATACAATGGCAAACTGGATAAAAATGCAAGGCTCACCATCTGTAGTCTTCAAGAGACTCATCTCATATGTAATGACAGCCACTGGCCCAAAATAAGGGGATGGAGAAAATCTGCCATGCAAATGATAACAAAAAAGCAGGAGTAACTATTCTTATATCAGATAAAACAGACTTTAATCAAAATTAAAAAGAACAATTGAAGAATGAAGAGCATTACGTCATGAGAAAGTATATGATCAAACAAGAATACTTAAGTACCCTAAATATAAATGCACCCAACATGGAGCACCCAGATTCATAAAACAAGTTCTTTTTGGACTACAAAAAGACAGACGACCACCCAATAACTGTAGGAGACTTCAACACCCCCGCTGGCAGCACTGGATCATCAAAGCAGATAACCAAGAAAGAAACTGTGTACTTAAACTTCACACTTGACCATTTGGACCTAATAAGACATCTACAGAACACTCCACTCAATAACCACAGAATATACATTCTTCTCATCTGCACAGGGAACATATTCTAACATTGACCACATGCTTGGTCATAAAGCAAGTCTGGATAAATTTTAAAAAATGAAATCATATCAAGCACACTCTTAGATCTCAATGTAATCAAAATATAAATAAATATCAACATCTCTCAACACTACACAAATAGATGAAAATTAAACAACTTTCTCCTGAATAACTTCTGTGTGAAAATCAAAATTAAGGGAGAAATTTTAAGAAAGTGAAATTAATGAAAATGGGAACACAAATTACCAAAATCTCTGGGATGCAGCTAAATCAGTGTTAAGAGGAACGTTTAAATGCCTTTATCATAAAGTTAGAAATACTTCAAATTAACAATCTAACACTACACCTAAAGGAACTAGGGAAGAAAAAAAAAAGAACAACCCTACATCAACGCTAGGAATGAAAAGAAACAACTAAAATAGAGAAGATCTGAATGAAATTGAGATGCAAAAATCCATACAAAAGATTAATGAAACCAAGAGTTGATTTAAAAAAAGAGATTG
This sequence comes from Homo sapiens, assembly GCF_000001405.40. NCBI lineage: Eukaryota > Metazoa > Chordata > Mammalia > Primates > Hominidae > Homo > Homo sapiens. The sequence goes on along the minus strand of NC_000005.10, from coordinate 70,405,928 downwards.
ATAGACCTTTAGCTAGATAAACAAAGAAAAAAAAGAGAAGATCTAAATATATAAATCAGAATGACAAAAACGACATTAAAAATGGTCCCACAGACATACAAAATAATCCTCAGAGAATACTAGGAATAACTCTAGACACAAAAATTAGAAAATCTAGAGGAAATGGATAAATTTCTGAAAACAGGCAATCTTCCAAGATTGAATCAGGAAGATACTGAAATACTGAAGAGACCAATATGAAGCTCTGAAATTGAATAAGTAATAAAAAATCTACCAAGCCAAAAAGCCCTGGACTATATGGATTCACAGCAAAATTCTACCGGAAGTATAACGAAGAACTAGTACAATTCTACTGAAACTATTCCAGAAAAGTTGAAGAGAACGTACTCCTTCCTAACTCACGCTGTGAAGCCAGAAGCAGCTTAATACCAAAACCTGGCAGAGACGCAAAAAAAAAGAACATTCAGGTGACCACTGTTGACGAACATAGACTCAAAAATTCTCAACAAAGTACTAGCAAACTGAATCCATCAGCAGCATATCAAAAAATTAATCTACTATGACAATACAGGCTTTATTCCTGGGATGCATGGCTGGTTCAACATATGCAAATCAATAAATGTGATTCACCAGATAAACAGAATTAAATCAAAAACCATATGATCATCTCAATGGATGCCGGAAAAGCTTTCAATTAAATCCAGTGTCCCTTCATGAAAAAACAAAACAAAAAAAAACCCTCAACAGTTGAGGCTTCAAATAAGCATACTTCAAAATAAAAAAGAGCTATCTACAACAAACCCACAGCCAATATAATACTCAATGGGCAAAAGCTGAAAGCATTCTCCTTTAGAAATGAAACAAGCCAAGGACATCCACTCTTACCACTCCTATTCAACATAGTACCAGAAATCCTAGTCAGAGCAATCTTGCAACAGAAAAAGAGAAAAGCACCCAAATAGGAAGTGAAGATTAAGGCAAACTATCTGTCTTCACCCAACAATATCATTCTATACCTAAAAAACCTTAAAGACTTCAACAGAAGTCTACTAGAAATGATAAAGGATTTTAGCAAGGTTTCAGGATACAAAATCAATGTACAACAATTAGTAGCATTTCTATACAACAACAACAACCAGGTTGAGAGTTAAATTAAGAACACAATCATATTTACAACACCTAGGATGAAAATAAAATCCCTGCAAATACAACTAACCTAAGATGTGAACGATCTCCACAAGGAGAATTACAAAACACAGCTGAAATCTGAAGCTGGATGCAGTGGTTCATGCCTTTGGGAGGCCGAGGCAGGTATATCGCTTGGACCCAGGAGTTTGAGACCAACCTAGGCAACATAGTGGAACCTCATCTATACAAATTTTTTTTTTTTTTTTAAATAGCGAGGCATGGTGGCACATGCCTGTAGTCCTAACTACCCTGACGGCTTGAGGCCAGGAGTTCAAGCCTGCAGTGAGCTATAATAACTCCACTGCATTCCAGCCTGGGTGAAAGGGTGAGACTCTGTCTGAAAAAAGGAAGGAAATAAGAAAAGGAAGGAACGATGGAAGGAAGGGAGGAAGGGAGGGAGGGAGGGAGGGAGGGAGGGAAGGAAGGAAGGAAGGAAGGAAGGAAGGAAGGAAGGAAGGAAGGAGATTTTGATAACACAAATAAATGGAATAACATTCCATGTTTACAGATTAAAAGAATCAATATTGTTAAAATGGCCACACTGCCCAAAGCAACTTGTAGATTCAAGGCTATCTCCATGAAACTACCAACATCATTCTTCACAGAATTAGAAAAAACTATTCTAAATTTATATGGAACACCCCCAAAAGCCAGAATGGCCAAAGCAATTCTGAGCAAAAATAATAAAGCCAGAGAGGCGTCATACTACCCAATTTCCAGCTATACTATAAGTGTACACTAACCATGATACTGTTACAAAAGCAGACACTTAAGCCAATGGAACAGAATAGAACACTCAAAAATAAAGCTGCACACTTACCACCATCTGGATCGTGGACAAGGCCAACAAAAACAAACAATGGGGAAAAGGCACCCTATTCAATAAATGGTGCTGGGATAATTCGCTAGCCATAAGCAGAAGAGTGAAACTGGATGCTTACCTTCCACCACACACACAAATTAATTCAAGATGGATTAAAGGTTAAAATGTAAGACTTCAGATTATGAAAACTCTAAAACAAAACCTAGGAAATATTTTTCTCGACATTGGCCTTGGCAAATAATTTTTGGCTAAGTTTCTAAAAACAATTGCAACAAAAACGAAATTGACAAGTGAAAGTCAATCAAACTAAAAAGCTTCTGCACAGCAATAGAAACTATCCACAGAGTAAACAGACAACTTACAGAATGGGAGAAAATATTTGCAAACTATGCATCTGATAAAGATCTAATATAACAAATCCATAAGGAAGAAAAAATGACAAGCATAAAACAACCCCAGTTAAAAAGGGCAAAGCTAATACAGGAGCAGAAAATCAAACTCCACATCTTCTCACTTATAAGTGGGAGCTGAACAATGGGAACACATGGACACAGGGAGGGGAACAACACACAATGGGGAACAACACACAACACACACTATAATTTTCTGTAGGGGGTTGAGGAGAGGGAGAGCATCAGGAAAAATAGCTAATGCATGCTGGGCTTAATACCTAGGTGATGGGTTGATAGGTGCAGCAAACCACCACCACACACGTTTATCTATGTAACAAAACTGCGCTTCCTGCACATGTACCCCAGAACTTAAAATTTAAATCAAGAAAAGGCAAAGGACATGAACAGATATTTTCTCAAAAGAAGACACTCAAGTATATGAAAAAACACTCATCCTTACTAATCATCAAATAAATAAATGCAAGCAAAAACCACAGTAAGATGCCATCTCACATCAGTCACAACAGCTATAATTAAAAAGTAAAAAAATTAGATGTTGGCCAGGCTGCAGAGTAAAGGGAATGCTTATACACTACTGTTGATGGAAATGTAAACTGGTTCAGGTACTGTGGAAAGTATTTTGGAGATTTCTCTAAGAACTTAAAACAGAGATACCCTTCGACCCAGCATTCCCATTACTGGGTATATATTCAAAGGAAAATAAATTATTCTACCAGAAAAATATATATGCACTCGTACGTTCATCAGCATGTTATTCACAATAGCACAGACATGGAATGAACCTAGGTGCCCATCAAAGGTGGATTGGATAAAGAAAATGTGGTACATATACACTATGGAATACTATGCCTCCATAAAAAAGAATGAAATTATGTCCTTTGCAGCAACATGGATGGAGCTAAGGACATAATCCTAAGCAAATTAGTGCTGGAAAAGAAAACCAGATACCACACATTCTCACTTATAAGTGGAACCTAAACACTGAGCACACAGGAACATTAACATGGGAACAAGACATGCTGCAGGCTATGGGGGTGGGGGAGAGAGGGGAGCATGGGCTGAATAACTACCTACTGGGTACTATGCTCACTACCAGGGTGCACTGTACAAAAGTAACAAATCTGCATATGCACTATCTGTGTCTGGAAAAAACTGAAATTATAAAAACCAAGAGAATATGTTTCTAATGAATGTAGACTTTATTTGATGGACTGGATTAGAATATAATATTTTTTTAAGGGGAAAGGCATTGGGGGATGCACAATGTCTACAGGTTTCTAAACCTCTCTGGTTTCTCACCTAATTCATAGTCTCTTATGTCATTTTCATAGTTTTCATATTCTGCCTTTCCACCTCTTCTTTTTAACAAGTAAAATTCCTCATAGCATACAAAAAAACAATTTTATAAAAAACCCATATTATAGATCAGGGACCTGTGGATTATATGCTATTAGAACTATACAAAATGTCTCTATATAGTTTTCTGTATCTTTGGAATATCTTTGGGTGAAGCTGCAGACCTTCTTGGTGAGTGTTACAGTTCTGCGCAGAGCCAAACAGTGAGCAGCAGCAAGACTGCAAAGAGCAAAAGAACAAAGCCTCCACACTGTGGAAAGGGACCCTAGCACGTTGCTGTTGCTGGCTCTGGCAGCTGCTTTTATTCCCTTATCTCACCCCACCCACATCCTGATGATCGGTCCATTTCATAGAGAGCTGATGGGTTCATTTTACAGAGAGCTGCTTGGTCTGTTTACAATCCTTTAGCTAGACACAAAAGTTCTCCAAGTCCCCACCAGATTAGCTAGACACAGAGCACTGATTAGTGCGTTCACATACCTTGAGCTAGACACAGCATGCTGATTGGTGCATTTACAATCCTCCAGCTAGACGCAGTAAGTTCTCCAAGTACCCACCGGACTCAGGAGCCCAGCTGGCTTTGCCTAGTGCATCCCGGCCGCGGGCGGAGCTGCCCGCCAGTCTCTGGCGCACTGCCGCACTCCTCAGCCGTTGGGCGGTTGACGGGACCGGGTGCCGCGTAGCAGGAGGTGGCGCCCGTCCCCTCGGGGTGGTGCGCGGGAGCCTGCGGTTGGGGGGCGGGGGGCGGGGGGCAGGGGACGGGGGCGGGGAGGAGGGTGAGGGCTCCAGTATGGCAGGCTGCAGGTCCCGAGCCCTGCCCCCTTGCCCCGCGGGGAGGTGGCTGAGGCCCAGCGAAAATTCGAGCGCGGCGCCGGCGGGCCATCACTGTTGGAGGACCCAGTGCACCCTCCGCAGCTGCTGGCCCGGGTGCTAAGCCTCTCACTGCCCAGGGCCGGCGGCGCCAGCCGACCGCTCAAGAGTGCGGGGCGCGCCGAGCCCGCGCCCACCCGGAAGTTGCGCCGAGCCCGCGCCCACCCGGAAGTCGCGCCGAGCCCGCGCCCACCCGGAAGTCGCGCTGGACCGGCGAGCCCCGCAGGCAGCCCAGGTTCCGGCCCGCGCCTCTCCCTCCACACCTCCCCGCCAGCAGAGGGAGCCCGCTCAGGCCTCAGCCAGCACAGAGAGGGGCTCCCACGGTGCAGCTGCGGGCTGAAGGGCTCCTCAAGCGCGGCCAGAGTGGGCTGAGGCCGAGGAGGTGCCGAGAGCCAGCGAGGGATGCCAGCAAGCTGTCACCTCTCAGAAATACAGGAAGAACATCAATAATGTTCGAAGTTATAAAGTAGTAGGTTTCTATCAAGAGTAAAACATAAACGAAGTTATAAAGTAGTAGGTTTCTATCAAGAATAAAACATAAACGATCAAAGAATTCCTTATAAAAACATTTTTTATTTCTAGGAATCAAAACATAAATATAAAATTTGAGAGTCCACCAAAAAAAATTAGATGCCAGATTTCACTATAATTATCAGGGAAGCGCCCAAATGGGTTGTTTACGGCGCCTCGGGGAAACTTTCTGTTTCGTGTTAAGGGTCTTGAACCATGATGTTTAGAAAACCATGGGCTGATGCTTTCAGAACCTCTGTGATTTTTGCCTCCGACACTGCATCCAATAGACTAGCATGTTGATTAGGGAAAGCTAAATTCAATAAAAGACGACTGTAAGTGGGGTCACCACCTTGAGGGGTCATGTTAGAAAAGTAGATGATAAGGTGGTATTGATAGAGTATTGAAGTCTGGGCTCAAATGGTTGCCCGGGGCCTTTCAAGACCAATGACTGATAAGAATAGGTAATGTTCAGGACATAGAGTTTAGGATTGGGGGACACTGTGAGTTAAGGGCCATGACAGAAGTCTTCATAAGTAAACTGTTAATTGACACAAGCTGCTACCTGCCCAGGTGAGCAATCTGTTGGCCCAGAGGAGAGTTGCTTACTGACATAAATTGATTTGCAGAAATTTCCTGAAGCAAACAATAAGTTATTTATTGGTTTGCAGCCTTACTTTCCTGAAAAATAATTTTCTGGAATGAATTGTGAAATCATGTTGACACAGATGGCCTCAGGTTTCAGTTCGGATAATTAAGCTGTGTAAATATAGAAAGTCGAAGGTTTCTGGGTGCTGTTGATTCACAGTATGCAACAATGATCATATTACTTTTATTTACTATGAGCTTCAGCTGAAAATCCAAAAGAAACTTTAATTTCAGATATTTAATGAAATCATTATAGCTGTGGTAATTTCCTTTAGCTGGGTGTGAGTGTGTGATGTGAGCGTGTGATTGTGTGTGTGTGTGTGTGTGTGTGTGTGTGTGTGTACTCTGGCAGCATATTCCAAATAATTTCTGTAAAATTTCAGTTTGAAATTAATAGAAGACATATTAAATTGTTTAAACTCTTTGTTATTTAAATTCTATATTACTTTAGTCGATTACTCTGTATTATTACGGCAAAGCTTTGATATGTTGCCCTGAATTTAAAGAAAAGGCTGTTCGGCCTAAAAACAGGAATATTTTATTACCAAAAAGAATTAACTACCATATGTCATTTACAGAAAAGAGTAAATTCTTCAGGGCATAGAAAATACACATTTCCTTCTGTTTGTGTGGAAATAAGCAAAATACCTGTTATAATAGATTCCTCACAGAATTTTGTGAAGCTTCAGGTAAACTTGAAAGAGAAAAATTAAAATGCTAGAGTTTCATAATTACAAATTGGGATATAAAAATAGAATAATTATTTGAATTTTGTATTTCTCTCCAGGGGATCAAAAGTAATATATAAACTTTTAATAAATATTGATATAGCTTCACGTTGACTCCATATGTGAGCAATTTGCTTTCTGTTAAATTCACAATTGCATAATTTTTTTCAGGCTGGAATGCACTTGGATGCCAGAGATTTTGATTTCTTCATGTGAAATAAGGTGATAATACATTCCAAAGTATATATTTTTTCAACTTTGAATATATCTGGTGTATTTGGAGTAATATCTGAGTAAATACACTTATATGTAAGAGAATCAAAGGAACAAGATATTATTTTATATCCAAGGAAATTAACACTTAGAACATAAATACGTATTGCATTACTTCATATTAAAGAAATGTTTTACAAAAGAAAATAAAGGAGCTTATTTTATAGCCCCATTTCCACAAATAATAGCAAAGGTACATACACATATCTAATGTTTTACACACTCATTATTGTTTCTCTTAAAATTTGTTGCTTATACTATTTTAAAAGGCAAGCCTATAGATTGTTGTGTGTATATACATATACACACAACATACATATATGTGTGTGTGTGTGTGTGTGTGTGTGTATATATATATATATATATATATATATATATCAGCAAGCAAGAGAATGGGCCTCTTCCTGCTGAGGTTTAACATTTGCATGTATATGTATATTTTGATTCACATAGACTTATTGTTCTTTAATTACATGAACAGTGATTCCTGGTTACATTATTGGAAAATGGAAGCAATGCTCAAAGAGCATCACCTAAATTTCCATCATATTTTGCTCTCAATATATTTTGTACATCCAAATATATTGTGATTAATCTGCATACATTTTTGCTGTTCTAGGTGACGCTGGTATGAGGCTAGGTAATACACGACCTTAGTCTGCATGTTGTACTTGTGTAACACACATAATTTTACAGTGCTAACAGGTGCTATAATAACTAACTATAGTTAATAATGAATGAAAGAAGGAAGATGTTAAGATGTTAGGGAAGGACTCAAAAGATGCAGTGCTTGAGTTAGAATTTTAAGGGAGATTATGCAAAAGCAGTCACTTAAGGTGGGTCGGGATGATCTAGAATGTGGGAATGATGTATGCAAAGTCACACAGGAGAGATACAGCATGCATGTTTAGAAAATTGTTGATTACATATGGAAAGTTTGCAGGACTTGCATCCTAGAATGTCAGGATTTTAAGCTAAGTAGGGTTCAAATTAAATTTTTCACATACTTCGCTGCATTATAATAACTAGTTTATGTTTAACTCATCCACTAAACTAAGTTATTTGAAAAGAGATGCCAGTGTTCACTCAATCTAGTTGTCTGTCATTAATAATTTAAAAATAATTGAGATTTTAATTTTGGTCTGCTAAGCCTGTTTAATTAAAATTTGACGTTAAATAAGATTTTACAGGCCTCATTTTTTTTTCAGTCATCACAGTTTGAATATTAAACATTACTACTTTTATCTCCCTCAGTCAGCATAAAACATACTACTTATGGTTTTAATAACCAAATTCAATGAGCACCAACAAAATTTGATGTAACTATTAACTTTGAAATTTTGTTGAAATAGAACTATGCCTTGGGTATCATTCAAAGCATTTAATTGTTGCAATAAAAAACTTTGAGATAAATTGAAATGATGGACAATATGGGTCGAAAGCAACACTGGCTTGAGGGAATAGGCTAATGTTTGAGAACAGAATTGTTAAGGACAAGATTGGATGTTTATATTATTTTAGGAAAGATACACTCTAATGGAGTTTAATTCTAAAATGTTTAATATTATGAAAATATTATATGTTATATGATCATTATAGAAAATTAAAAATATAAGAACATCAGAAGCAAAATAGTCAAAGTCTACCTAAACCCAATTAGAAGTGAATACTATTAATCTTGATTTGCATGTTTCTAATCTTATTATTATCAAATTAATAAACAGCTTTCAGATATTCTGCTTCTCCCTGTTACTAGATCAGGATAATGTCATTTATGTACAGGCATCTCCTGCTTACTCAGTTCAGCATTGATCAATAAATATTTTAGACTTCCATTCAAAACACTTCCATTTTTCTTTTGCCCATATTCTTTTTATTCAGTGCTGCCTGTTTTCAAATACATAACACTTTGTCAAACAAATTCCAACATTAGATTGGATATAGTTGGTATCAAAGTAGTAATACACATTGCCATTCCTAATCCTCAGTGCATTGATCCTGAAAATTATTTGTAAGAATAGAAAAATACTGGATATTTCAAATTAAGTCTCATTTTGTTGCTTACCCATGAAAGACTGGAATTAACCAACATAACCATTACAAGGTGATTGAGCAAATGAATAGATGGAAAATATTATAGAAACTTTACTGCAGTTCATCAACCATTGTGGTCATTAGGCCGTAGGAAAATACAGTGTGACAGTACCCCTGTCTTCTTTTCCATTTGTTAAGTCTCATATCCAAGTAACAGTGGGTAGACCTTATGAGAACCCAAAGTGAGATAAAAATAATTTTTGGCTTTTCAATGTATCTTATTTGATCTAAGAGGTATTTCCCCGACTTTGATGCAATAATTCTTGTCACAAAATTTGACTTTACTGAAGACCGTTTTAAGGATCTTTGCAGCTGACAGCAGTGACTTTTTTACCTCCTACAAAGTTTCAACTGACAGTCTTATTGTCTCTGACTTTCCCAAATTAATGACATAATTAGTCACCAGGGCTTTGGCTGCTCAATAGGGATTTAGTAAGCAATGAGTCATATGTTGGGGAACACTTCAACAAACAAAATGTTGGCAGAGAAAGATGTATGAATCAGCTAGGAAGAAACACTATTCTATCACTGAGGATCTTTCTAATATTAGATATCACAGAAAAATTTTCATATAGATTACCATATGAGTGAGCCAAAACCTCTAGGAACAAAAAAGCTTAGTATAATTATAACTCCTTGCCATGATTTAACTTAAAATTTCTTTACTTATTTAGCAATTCTATAAACAAGAATCATTTCTGTTAAGGATACTAAGGAGAGTGTTCCTATTGAATCAGAACATTTAAAACAAATAATTGAGGGAACTCACACATGTAAAACGTCATTAACCAAACTAAAATAAAATGTGAGGGCATAAACTTAACCAGAAATGTTTAAAACCTATATATAAAAAAAACTAGAAAACACTTCTGAATGGCACAAATTTGGACTTGAGCACGGGGAAAGAAATTCCATGCTCTTGAAAAAGCCTTAAAATCATAAATGTGCCAGTTCTTTAAATAAACTTATATCTTCTGTGTCATAACAAAACGACATTTTCTAGAATTTCTTTTTCCAGATTTAGAAAAATAGACAAATTTACTTGGAGGAATAAAGAAGCAAGAATAGCTAGAAATATCCTATAAAATCAATGGAATTTGGAGTCAATACAAAATATTAAGCAATTCTTAAAGCTTCTATGATTAAAATGAGTTATAACTACAGATAGATGAAGATCATATAGAAAATCAAGACATTGACAGATATGGAAAGGTGGTATATAATGAAAACATTTCAGATCAGTGAGGGGGAAATGTTAACCGGAAAAGAATATTAAAAAGGCAATGAACTCAATAAGACAACAAGAAGCAAACCACAGAAAAATAACTGGACTGGATTAGAAAGAAAATACTTTAGACACTTCAAAAATAAAATATTCAAATAACCAATGAACTTATTAAAAGGTTTTTATTTATATTGGTTACCTGAAAAAATAATTCAAACCACAATGAGATGTAAGTACTTGTCATTCAGAATCCTGAATTTGAAAGGAATATTTTAGAATTCTAAGTTGAAGAGAAAGTGCAAAGTATTGATGAGAATGTTGACTAATTAGAACACTCAAATTGATGTTATTGGCATAACTTAGTTCAAATAATTTGGATAAAGATATGTATTAGGCCCCAAAATTCTACTTGTAAAGATGGTTTCTCCAGAAATGCATGCATATATATAGCTAAAAAAAAATGTGTACTCATGAAAACACTTTTCAGAATAACACCAAAATAACCCCAAACTGTGGCCCAAAAGTGGACTAAAATACTTATAAAGAGTACAGTAAACAAATAAGTTGTAATATGATCACCTAATAAAATATTAGAGAAATAAATATAAATAGTTTCATTTGCAGGTCATATAGTCAATTCGTCTCACAAATATAATATTAAGCAAAAAAATGTGGTTCAAAACACTACACACACTATTTGATTCCTTACTGGTAAAAGTTAGAATAGTGTTATGTTAGGAGGGATGGGTGGAAATCAGGTGTGTGACTATTACATTTTCTTATTCTGGATGATCATAGTATTTTAAAACTCACTAAGCTTTAAACTTATGTGCATTTACCCATGTGTATACAATACTTTAATAGAAGCTTCAAATCAATGAGAAAACATGAAACTGTCTGATGGAAAAATAGCTTGAGGAAATGAACAGGTATGGCAGAAAAGAAGGGCTGCATATAGTTTAAAAACTTGAAGAGATGTTTAATCTCTTTGCAAATAGAAAAACATACGCATTTAAATTGAAATACCATTTTCATGTTCCAAAATTAAAATTATTAGAAATATGATGGTAAACAGTGATGGTAATATGGGAGAAAGGAAACATCCTAGGCAATTTGGCTAAGCTTTTCTGAGAAAGATTTAGGCAATATGCCATTAAAAGATTTAATGTGAACAAATGGGAAATTTGCCCACATAAATAAATGGAAAGATACTCTATTTTTCCTAATTTAATCTGAAAATACCTAAGCCCCTGATATTTTAGAGACATAATTTTCACTGCGATGGTCATAATTTTAAAAGGTTGCATCATCCATTTTTAGTTAACATATATTGTACTAACATCACATATCTATGTAACAGAAAAATAGAGTCAACTCATGTAGGGACAGACATGAAAATGACAAATACATATAGAGATAGAAAGGTATCTTGTGCATTATACTGAGAAAGACAATAGAAATAAACAATTTACATGGGTTGATTTATTTTGATTAAGATATATAAGTGGTTAGATAAATGTTAAATAGGTCAGTATGTAATTACAGAAAATGACAAATTGTTATGTATGGTACATTTGTAGGCATAACACAGACATTACATTTTGGAAAATTGTGTTCTATGCAACAGTGCCAAGTCTAATGAAAGTAAGAGGAAGAGGAATTCAGCCAAAGTACCAACCCCTGTTATCCATTCCTTAAGAAAGGAACTTCTTTATACACTCAAAAGAGGGGATTCTTTTTAAATTTGTTTCCAGAGGGGCATCTGCATACACATACACATACACATACACACACACACACACACACACACACACATTTACATTATATTTAAATGTGTGTGCATGATATATATATATACATGTATTTATTTATTTAATATATATGTGTTATCTGGGTCCTATATAGGAACACACACACACACACATTTTGAATCAAACACTCTTTCGTATAATTTTGGTGACAAACGTATGCAATAAATGAGAATACTTTAACTTTCCAAAAAGCTATTCAAAAGTATAATTTTCAAATAAAATATATGTTTGTATGACAACAAATGATTTTTTATAAATAATATATTCTGCATTATCAATCTGCCACTGGTTTTTATTAAATAAAAAAACCTGTAAGTTTGTATGCTCTTAAAATACATATAACATTTGTAAGAATAGTTTTTGTGTAAAAATAATTATAGTTCACTATAACTATGTTAAAAATAGACATAGCCAGGCAAGTCGCTCATGCCTGTAACCCAGCACTTTGGTAGGCTGAGGCGGGCAGATCACTTGAGGCCAGGAGTTCAAGACCAGTCTGGCCAACATAGCGAAACCCCATCTCTAATAAAAATACAAAAATTAGCCGGGCATGGTGGCCCATACCTTGTAATGCCAGCTACTCAGGAAGCTGTGGCAGGAAGATTGCTGGAACCCGAGAGGCGGAGTCTGCAGTGAGACAAGATCATGCCACTGCACTCCAACCTGGGTAACAGAGTGAGACTCTGTCTCAAAAAAAAAAAAAAAGAAAAGAAAAGAAAAGAAAAGAGAAAAATAGACACAGATGAAGGGTGTCTTTGATTATGCAAATAGATTACCCATCTTGTACTCACTGTGTTTATTTCAATAAATGATCCACAGAATATGCTACTTTTGATTTATAGTTTTCTTCTCCTTCACCGCTGTGGACTGGGAAAATATTTCTTATTATTTCTGCTGCAGAGTAGCAAAAAATTATGAGCCAGAAGGAAGACCACTACAACAAGCAAAATCTCTGAGTAATCATAAAATGAAGAACTATTTCCTGTTGGGATTCACTGTGACGAATTTGATTTTAAATTCTTGATGTTGGCATTTTATTTTTAAAACTTAGCTTTCTTGCCTATTCTGAAATTGTCAAAAATTCAGAAAAATAATCATGATCATTTGCTTGCTGACCAGTGGAGACCTACTGATTTTTAGGCTGTGAGACTACAGTAATAAATAAATAAAAAAGTTCATACTTCCTTCTATCGAGGGAAATTGAGCATTTTTCTCATAGTCCTAAATCACCAGATCAAGGGATATATGTAATACTTGAGTGTTGACATTTTATTAATTTTTATATTTAACTAGAGCTGTAAAGTTGAAACAAATGGGTCAATGCAGTAGCCCATAAAATATTTTAAAAACACATAAAAGAAATATCACTAAAATTTAAACATAAAAAAAATACAAAAAAACCCTGAGCTATAGGAAGGGAAGTATCCTCTAAATGCCCAAGTTGAAGGTAGTCCTCTTAGAAAGGGACAGTAAGAAGCAGTGTTTGATGGGAACGTGATTTTTCAAGTATTTGAATTTTCAAACTCACCACATTAACTGAGTAAAATGAAAAAAATATATAAACTTCCTCTGAGGCAGAAAAAACATTTGGCATTTTCAAGATAGAATTATAATAAAAATATCTCGCCCCAATAGAATACAAAGAAGCATCCTTAAGCAAATAGAAGGCATCTACGGAAATATCACACTGAAGTGTGAACTAATAAATTATTCATTTAAGATCCAGAAGAAGACAAAGTGTCCTCTTTCACTATTGTTCTCTCTACTGTATGGGAGGAATTAACCAGTGAGACAAATCAAATAAATAAGTAAAACATACACAGTTAAGAAATGAAAAATACACTTCTAAATTTTTAAACAACTCCATTACCTACACATAAACTTCTAGTGACTGTAAAAATCAGCTGCTGGAATAAACTAGTAATTTTAGCCACATCATAGAAAAAATAAGTCAACCCATTAACTTATTTCTATATATTTCCAATGAGCAATTAATGATAAAAATCAAATCCATGTAAAATACTAATAAAAATAAAATATGTATATATGATTTTAACAAATTACATGCAAGATCTCTCTAAATAGGAAACTAGCAAAAGTGTTGGGAGATGTAGGAAAGTTCTAAATAAATGGAGTCGCATACAATAATTGATGGTTTTGATGTGTGTCCCTGCCCAAATCTGGTATGATGTAATCTCCAATGTTAGAGGTGAGGCCTGATGGGAAGTGATTGGATCATGGGGTGGATTTCTCATGAGTGGTTCAGCATCATCCCTCTTGATACTGTTCTCATAATAGTGAGTGAGTGAGTTCTCATGAGATCTGGTCATTTAAAAGTGTGTAGCAGCTTCCCCTTTCACTCTCTTGCTGTTCTGGCCATGTGACGTGCCTGTCCCCCTTTGCTTTCTGCCATGATTGTGCGTTTCCTGAGTCTTCCCAGAAGCTAAGTAGATGCCAGCATCATCCTTCCTGTATAGCCTGCAGAACAGTGGGGCAATTAAACCTCTTTTCTTCATAAATTGTCGAATCTTCTGTATTTCTCTATAGCAATGCCGGAACAAACTAATACAATAATCATGGCTTGAAAGTTCAGTGAATTTTAGTGTGTAAAAGGTTTTGGTTTTTCCAAATTAATCATTCTAGAAATCCTCACCATAATCACAAAAGATATTTTTATATAAATTGACACACTGATTTAAAAATGTACATCAAGAGAGCAAAAACAAATGATAGAAAGCTGAAAAAAAAGTTGGAATACTCACACTTCCTAACACCATGCAATAACTTAAAGCTATAGTCATCGAGAGAATGTGTTATTAGTAGATGGATAAACAATTAGAGTAATGGAATGGAATAGAGTTCACAAATAGATCCATGCTTATATGAATAATATAATATCAAAGATACTGCAGTTATTCAAAGGGGAAAGATAATTTTATTTAACAAAGTGTGCAGAACTACGAGATAAATGTGAAGAAAACAAACCTCAAGTCCTTCCTCACAACAAAAGCGTGAATGAGTTCAAAATTAAAGGAGTCCAAAATATATTATGGAACAATGTGTAAAAGTGAAAGCATAGGCTTCAAATATAAAGCACAGAAAATGTCTTAGTAAACTACATGAAAGCACTTCTTTTTATCCAAACTGTGGATACATTTCTTTTTATTCAGAAAGCAATAATTATATAATGATAAACTACAGAAATGTGTAAATATATTTATACTTTAATGTTTATTTTTAATTACACAATTATATATACTATTTATTATGAATAAGAGCAAGAATATATAAATATAATGTACAACATAGAAACAAGAGAGCTATAAAAACTAACAGATGCTACACAAAAATGATATAATAGCAAATAAGCAAATGAAAAATTTCTTAATATCGTTAGTAATAAAAAATAAAATGAGATAATTATACACATCTACTAGAAAAGCTACTATTTTAAAAATTGTGTTACCAATATTTGGCATAGATGTCAAGAAACCAGACTCTAGAGTTTGCATACATCGACGGTGGGAGTGTAACACAGTACAGCTACTTTGGATAACTAAATCTACCTTACATGTACCAATTCTACCCCTAGGCATTTATCCTAGGGGGGAGAAAAGCATAAGTCTGTAAAAAGGCTTGCACAAGTACCTTTATTCATTATTGTCAAAAACAGACACCATGCAACTGTCCACCAAGAGCGGCGTTCTCAAGTTCAGCACTATTAGCTGTTGAAGTGGCTTAATTCTTTGTTGTGGGGAGCTATCCTTTGTGGAACCCTGGCCTGTGGACACTCTATCCCCTCCTCCACAAACCTCTGATAACCAAAAGTGTCCCCAAACATTGGAAATGTCCCCGGCAGGTAAAATGTCCCTCATTTGAGAACCTCTGGTCAAGAGTTTAGTAAATAAATTATAGTGGTATGTCTATGAAATGAAATAATACGTAACAATAAAAAAAGGTGCTACTTCAACATGCAAGAAATTGTTGAATCTCAAAAATATTATGCTTAAGGAAAAAAGACAAAAAGAATTCATACTCTATAATTCTACTGATATATAATTGTAGAAAATAAAAGCTAATATATGGTAATAAAACCAGATTAGTACTGGATTGACAATGTGTTGAAAGTCAAAAGAAGAGGCTTGAGATCTCTTTCTAGTGTGATGGTTTTACAAGTATATACGTATGTTAATGTTTAAAAATTTCACACCTCAAAAATGTGCAGTATACCAGATGTTAATTATATCTCATAAAGCTATTAAAATTTTATCTCAAAATTATAGCTTTATTGCATTTAGGGCATTATCCAATTTTGAATCTAGTCCAGTTATCATAGCTTAATGCAGTATTATGAAAATAATGCCTATAAAGGTCCAGTTCCTCAAACACCCTTGGAACCAATTTTGTCATCTATATTAGTTACCTTGGGCTGCTATAATGAAGTACCACAAGCTGTGTGTCTTTAAGCAACAGAAATTTCTTCCCTCACAGTTGCGGAGGTCAGAGGTCAGAAAACAAGGTGTCTGCAGGACCAACCTCTCCTCTGGATGCTCTAGGTGAGAATCTTTTCCATGCCTTTCTCTTAGCTTCTGATGTTGCCATCAGAACTTCAGATGGTGTTCCTTGGCTTCTGTCAATATTAATACATAAATCCTTTTCAGTCTCAGCTTCTCTCTTCACATGGTCCTCTCCACATCCTATCTGTTTCTGTTCCCTCTTCTTATAAAGACAACCCATGTTATTTTAAGTCCCACCTACAGACATAATTTTAGCTTGATTACATCTGCAAAAACTTTGTGTCCAAATGAGGTTTCATTTACCTTATGTGTATAACTAGGGGTTAGGGCTTGAACATACGGGTTTGGGGAGGGGAACACAGTTCAGACCATGACACTCATTGTTTCACTCATTAATGAGTTAAGGGTGCTTTGATATTATTACATTTGAATGAGAGTGGTCTTTAAAATTACATTTTGTCGTGTAGTTTGTTCCACCCTGATGCTTAAAGGGAGTCACCTGCCTCAGCCAATTAAACTGTGTTGTCTCTGCAGTGCGTTTTATCACAAGAACATGACCTTTAAGCACAAGAACACCTTGTACTCCACCACTAAAAACAGAAATGACATCTACCTTCACTGCTTCCCTATTTCTCTCCATCTTTACTGACTTGGTATTTTGTTGTTGCTGTCATTTCTGGTTGTTGGTCAATTTTCATTTCTGTTCTTATTTTGCTGATAATTCTTATAAATCAGTGCTGAATTTTGTCAAATTATTTTTCTGCATCTCTACAGATGATCATTTTATGTTTTCGTCCCTGTGATAATTTAGTGAATGTCATTGATCAATTTTTAAATAATGAATATCTTTGCATTTAAGATAATATTTTTCACTATTAATGTTATCTCTGAAATGAAAGCTAAACCTAGTCAATAGATATTAGAGGTGCATGATTTTTAAAATTGTATAAAATTAGATAAAAAATACAAAGAAATATATATAATTTTAAAACTATGTAAAAATGTAAATGCCAAATGATAGAGCACTAAATGAAGCTTGTAATATTAAATACAATCTTTAGAAACTCTTTTGCAGTGCAGGAAAAAAATAGAACTGAAAACAAAGCAGAAGAAATCACAGATATAAAATTAAAGAGGATAGAATTAAGCACCTGAGTTCCCACATCTAAAGTGAAAATCTAAGAATTTAAATATCATTCAAATACAGACTAAAATACAATATAAAATAAAATTTCCTGAGCTAATTTTTAAAATACTGCTTAATTTGTAGGTAAAAATGCAGACTAATTTTCTGACTATATTACTATAAAAACCTTCTACAAATATTTTTTAACTAAAATTATAAGAAAAACATCCGCCATAAACACGTAAGATTAGTATTTTCGTTTCTGAAGTATAAAATGTCTGGATAGACTTGAGCTTGTTGCTTTAGTTTTATATGTGAAGACTGGAAAAATTCTGTTTTGTTTTGAAAAATATTTTGAGCTAAAAATGTTGTATTCCACATTTGTTAGGAATGGAAGTCTTTAAAATATGAAATATTTCCAATTGAAGAAAAATAGTGAAAATGAACTTTATCTGAATAAGATTAATGAAAATTACATGTTGAAAAAGTAAAATAGTTATGTGTACTAACAGTGACTACTAACCCAACAATATAAAATTAAGTAAAAATGTTATTACCATGTTAAATACAAATTAAAATTAATTATAAAAAAGTTAAGATCTATGATTAAAGTATTAAAATAAAATGAGACTGTATTCACAAATCTAAAAGCAAATTGGTGAATGACATATTTTTTGAAATAATAAATTCTTTGGCATATTTTATATTTTTTATTATAAATGAAAATTATTTATTTGAAATATTTAAAGGAACAAAATATTTGCAGCTCTATTTTATTGAGAAAGTAATTACAAAACAAAAACAAGGAGCTTTTGTAATTACAAAAGAATATATTAATAATATTATTTAGAAGCACAAAACCAGAAAAGCTTTATATTATTTCTAACAATAAATGTAAACCATCTAATTTTCTGAAAAGGGGTGGAAATAAATATTTAACAAAGAAGATATTATTCTTAAATTGTAATATGTACATTGCCTAAAAATAAAAAGGTAGTTGAAGATATATTGTGAACAACAAAAAATGAAGAGCTGATAATATTAATGTGCGAAGGAAACTCATAACATATTGTACTAATTATAAATCAGTGTATTGACAAAACCTGAGTCCTCAATTATTATTGACTGTCATTGACATGTTAATGATAGAATATTAAATATAGAATATAATAAAGCAATTTAGAATAAAAAAGAGAAAGCGATAGACATGAATAGAAACAAAATGCAACTGTTCAATATTAAAAGCCTTTCTAAATTGCTTGTGTTTTTCTAGTGACCTGTTTCGCTATGCAGTGTAGGCTCAGGTGTCTAGATTTTAGTTGCAGATAAACACAGGTAGTGTTTTCCAGATCTCAGAATGACCAGTTACATAAAAATAGGCCATAAACCATATATTTCATTCTTACGGTTGACAAACCTCTAATTCACCTGAAAATATTAAAAAGAAAGAAGACAGACGTGACAGTGGTTGGAAGTTGAGGATAAGAAGAAGTTGGCAGAAATAAGCTTTCTTCTTTTGGACAGCAATGCATGATAAAAAAAATTAAACTAAATTCAGTTCATTTCCACTAACTGGGACTTATTTAGAAACTTTAAGAAAGTCTGAAGAATTTCAATTGAGGAGTAAATAAGGGCCAATTTATTTCATAGTGTGGACTCTCAAGACAATATACAACAGTGCTTCTCAAGGTTAAACAGTGTATGAGTGACCTGGAAATGAAGATGCAGATTTAATAGGGCTGGAGAGAAGTCTGAGATTCTCAATTTCTAATGAATTAAATTACAAAGAGGAGAAAATAAGGTTATTGCTTACTTTATATACATTCACAAACACAGGCTAATCAAATAATTGTTTAAAGTATTGCTCTGATAAGAATTAAATTACATAGTTCATAGGAAACATTTTCTTTACATTCGGATTTTATCTATTATTAGAATAATAATAGAATCTTGACTTTATGTAACTCTATGTTCCAAACAACTAGAAACTTTTCGATAGCAATTGTTCACCATTTAATAACATTTTTCCAAGATACCTAATGCACTCAAGGACAAAATAGCTGCCTTCCAGTGATTTCCAATTTATTCAATTTTCAGGCCATCTGTCTGCCCACACAATGACAGATTATAGTTACATTCTTGCCATGCTCTGAACAGCTAAGCCAATTGTTTTCAATCTTTTTTCTTCAGCAACTCCATCTCTTAAAGTACTTCAGAGTAGTTCCTGAAAGGATTCCTCTTTAGTTAAATGGCTATACAGCTCTCCCATCATCCAAAATAATCAGTGGAGAGATAGCAATATTTTTCATTACATTAGGCCAAGTTCCATTGCTTCCTTCATCTTGTAATCTGATCAGAAACACCACTATAGATTCAATAATTGAGTTTAGAGTTTCAGAGAATTTGGGGTCACAGAACATCTATGTCTATTTTGTAAAGATTATTGCATATTACTGAAATAGCTTGTCAAACACTGCAGTCTGCTTAAAGTATCAAAATAGAAATGTTGAATGCTGTGTCTGCACAGAGTTCATTTAAGCAAAGAATCTACTAGGCTCTTAAGTCTGTTAATGCAAATTCCTGAATACAGCTGACCCTCCATACCCCCATTGTGGGTGGATTTAACTAACCATGAATCAAACATATTTGTTAAAAGAAATACCAAGAATAATTTTTAAAAAGAAATACAACAATAAAACAATGCAAATAAAAAACAATCCTTATAACAATTATGTGCATAGCATTTATATTGTATTCAGTATTATTAATGTAAGTAATAATCTGGAAATGATAGAAAGTATACAAGAGGGTTGTGTAAGTTATATGCAAATACTAGGCCATTTTATATAAGAAACTTGAGCATCTCTGGCTTTTGCTATGAAGGGATGATGGTGGTAGGATTGGTGGTGGTCCTGGAACAAATCCCCAGCAGGTACCAAGGGGGACTGTAGACCCCAAAGCTGTTTAGGAATGGGTCACAGCAGCAGGACTGAGGCAGGAATGCTCCCCACAGAAAACATCAACCACCTGTTGATTTTTGAATCTGCTCCTCTCAGGCATGCCTTCAAATGCTATAACCTGGAGAGTCAACTCATTTTCATGCTGCTAAGTAGGAATAGGTGATTCAATTCCCCAAGAAAGTGACAGAGGTCCCTGAAATATAGATTTAAAGTTACATAGTGTCAAATGCTAGTCATTTTCTTTTTGCTCGATGGTATCCTCTCAGAAAAACCTTTTATAATATTTCTAATTCATTTACCAGATTTATAGAATCATCAAATTGTCTATCCATGTGTTTTTCAAATATTTTGTGAAGTGTCTAGGGTAACAACCTAGTGTTCGAACGTATTTTGTGAAGTGGCTAGGGTAACAACGTAATGTTCGAACTTATGTTCGTATTTAAATACAAATGTATTTTGGTTGAGTGATTACTCAAGGTCACTGAGGAATCCACAAGGTTAACCTCCTGACTCTAGAACCATTGTTATATAGAGATATATAAATAGCTGATTTAATATTATAGGCTTAGCAAAATATTTAATAAATAAGGTCTTAGTAAAACAACACACATGTATTTATCCACTTATTTAATTTTGTTTTTCCATTTCTTCTGAACATAAGTTCCTGAGGACACGGGCCTTTTTTCACAGTTCATTTTTGGATTCCAACATCTAGCCAGTACTCTGCAAAGAGCACTGAATTTGAAAGAAATTTCTCAGTTAATGATTTGAATCATATAAAATATTTAGTAAATTTGAAAACTAGTAACCGTGTAAAGCGATTAAAACAAACATACTAGAGGGTAATAATCCCCCGCCCCTTGCCTTCTTCCTTTACATCCACTTCATTCTTATTCTTGTCTACTTCCCCTGCCCCACCCAGGGAACGTGGTTAGCCCATCAGCTGCAAAGATTGTTCTCATATAATATTGTTCTGATGGATAATGAGACTCTGAAAGTGGAACATAAACAGATAAAACAAAAACAAACAGAAAAGAACCCAAAAACCTAAACTCAACTTCAGTTAAAGCAGAAAATATCTGTCCAGCCTAAACCAGGCATACTCCACAGACTTCTGTTAGACGCCTGATCCTACTTCAGTCTGGAACCACCTAGTCTTCAGGTTTGCCTGGTGCTCACCAGCTGAAGAAATCCTTTAACGACCTTTATTCAGTCAAGTAAATCGTTTTCTTTTGGCAACTTGCATGTTATTTTTTAGGTTTTCATTTATTTATTTTTTTATATTTAAAGTCATATTTTCTTCCTTTTATTCACTTTGCTGGTCTTTCTCACTTTGATTTTTTTTTTTTTGCCTTGTTTTGCATTTGTTTACTTTAACATTTTTTGTAACTTATCTCTTTTATTTTGGAAATTATTCACATTATCAGTTTTCTTTTGCTAGGCAATTTTGATATTCTAATAAACATTATTAACATAAAATATAAAGTTTACTAACACCAAGCCCAAACAATACAAAGTCTTAGGGCTCTTTAATTGCAATTATTTAAAAATATTTGCTACAAATTGTTCATTATTTTATATTCATGTTGTTTTTCTTATTCCCACAAATCACATATTGTTGGTGTGTTTGTTAAATAAAATTGTGACTGCTTATATATGTTTTTTCACATCCTTTCTTCTTCTAATATTTTGGAATTTACATCCAGTTAATTATCCTTTATTCTATGGTACATACTGTAAAAGTTACTATTCTTGGTAGTAAACTCTCAGTTTTTGGATTGTCTGAAGATGTCTCTATTTTGATCTGCTCTTGAATTCTAAATCTAATTGACATAAAATTCTAGATTTGCCGTTATCATTTATTAGCACTTCAAAGATATTCCACAATTTTCTGACTTTCAATATTTTTGTTGGTAAAAATGGTGATTGTTAATTGGCTTGCATATTCTGTTTTGGATATTCCACTGTTTCCTTATAATTTGTTTATTTATAAGGAAACTTATAAACAAATTATAAGGAAACAATAGAATATCCAAAATAAAGAGAATAGTTATGGGTTCGTATAGATAATTCTTCAGAATCTACTAATTTGTGTCTTTCTTCTTTACTTCTGTAAACTTTTCAGCTACTATATATTAGAATATTTCTTAACTTTTTTATATTCATTCTGAAATTTCTTGCTGAAATTTGTTCAGAAGGTGAGTTAACGGAGCTATACATCTTTAGTGTCATGTGCTCTAAATTGCAAAATACATGTATTTTTATTTCAGACAACTTGAGTAACATTTGTGCAAATGTTTTATATACACGGACTTAATTTGGTAAATTTAGGCATGTGGTAGACAAATTTAAAAATGTATAAAAATCATGGGCAAGCATATGAACATTCTATTTTTGCTACTATAAAAAAATAGCAGACTATCCAACTATTTTATGATACTCAACGATACATCTTACTAAATGGTCACGACTCTTGCCTCTCAGGGTCAGAGTTTGCAATAGTGAAAGCAAGAGAAAGCCACGGAAAAAAAAACAGGGAGAGGGAAAATATTAAGCTCTAGAATATGTACATTGTTTTGCTTGTATAAATTTGGAACATTCAACACATGTTTACAATGAATACATATAAAATACCAATGACATGAGGAGAATTAGAATAGAAATAAATACAAGGATTCTTTCATGATAACTAAAAATATCAGTGAAGGTTTGTACATAAAATTTAGGGATTTTATATTATTACCTAATACAATTCTGGCTATAACATCACTAAAGGATTGTAAACGTCTGCTGGGAAACCTATGGGAAAAAAATGCAAGTGGAACTGGTGTCATACAAACACATTTTCTAATGGGAAGCTTAACTGGTGAAATGTAAGTTGGAAACGTTACTCAATTTAGGTCTATGAAAATGTTTTCCCAAATACAATCTTTTCTTGTTTGATAGGAGGTTTTACTGTGATGTATTATTTCTGACAGCCTCTTTTTTTTTTTTTTTAAAGGAAACGAGTAGAATTAAGTGAATTGATTATCATATCTAACCTGTAAGTACAAATTACTTTCCCTTGGAATTACATAATTGATAATTGTACATCCTCAGATGTGTTTGAATCTGAGATTTACTCTAAACTCAGAGGAAAAAAAGTGAAATTTTGTTTCCATTGTGACACCTTTGTTTCCTTTTTAATTTTTCAAAATTTCTTAAAAATTATTTTTCCCTTTCATAATTTATTCAACAAGTATCTATTGTTAGGTGTTGGGAACACAAGACCTAAAACTCCTGACAAATATATTCTATTTCTGAGGTCAATTTGTACATTAATAAATGCATATATAATACCAGACAAGATTGTAATGCTAACCAGTTTGACTTTGAGGCACGGTATTCAGAATGTAAATGCCCCTGGAAAAAACATTGAATATAAATGCCCCTGGAGAAAGAATGTAGTTGGAAAAAGCATTCTGAGGTAAAATTATGCAATATTGGTATGACTAATTAGAGTGACCAGAGGTTCACACATTTTTGTGACATGCCATTGGTAGAAAAAGAGCCATAGCTGAAAAAATATGGCAGTCATAAGATGTCAGTGGAAATGAAGACAAGGATACCTTTTGGTCAATTTTCTTGAAAATATTGGCTTTTTCAACAGTGTAGTTTATTTAAAATTTAGTCCCAGTTCTTAGCAATTATTTATGTACTGATGGACTTATATCCAGGGTCTTCTTGAATTAAAAAAAGTCAAAAAATAATTTTATAAATTTAAAATATTATAAAATTATGATATATACAATTCTTGCTCTCTCTGTCATATTTTTCCAATTTTTTGTCTGTCTTGTTTTTTCTTGCCTTTTCTTCCCTGTCCTTTCCCTTTCGTTTCTTTTCTTTTTGTTTCCTTTGTCTGGCCTTGCTTTGAGTTTCTTTTCCAAACGAATTCACTGGAGGTGGTATTTTTATGCATAATATACACAGCAAATGTCTAGGGCCTCTCATTTTTTACAAATCTTTGTAAGAAAAGGCTATCTATTAACCCAATGACATTGTCATAACCTTTTCTAAATTTCAATGATATTCAGTTTCTCGCAGCTATTACATTACAAAGTATACCTCAGTAAAAATCTAGTAAGTCATAGGGCTGATGTTGCTGATTGCTCACTTGCTCAAGCCAGAAGCTTAGAATACATGCTTGATTCTTCACTTTCCTGTGGGTTTATGCCAAATCAATTTCAAATCTATAGATCTTATCCTCTAAATAACATACAGCATGCCTACTTTTTTCTCTCTCTCGACTACTGTCACATTAATTCAAAAGAAAAAGACTGATGATTCCTAACTTCCTGGCTTCAGTAATTGGCAACGATGACATCACTACTAAGGCTTCACTTCTCACCTCTGCTTCCATATGAGTGTAATGTTATTTTCTCCTATGACAGATAAGTTTATTTTTCACCATTAAAAGGTAAGAAACTCACTCATAACCAAAGTTGGAGGAGACAGTTATTTTTTTTCCCCAGCTTGCCTGTTAAAACCATAAGGAATGATTAATCTGCCATGGTGCTTGATGTGGCCCAGGGATGTGCTCAGACTCAGTCATGTAGGGGCAGGTGGTATTAACATTAGTTCAAACATGGAACCATGGCATGTGTTAGAAATAATGGCTTATATTAGAAACTGGACATAAAATTGTCGTGAGCAAGAAAGTTACCTCAATTTGAGTCTACTAGAAGTTTCAGAGTGCCATTTCACATGGCCACAAAGTTCAAAAGTTCCAAAAGAAGCAAAAGTTTGACCAAGAAATCAGTGATTTTTTAAAAAAGAGAAATTGAGCTCAATCATGTTTTTTATATCTTCTACTGTACTAAAAGTTTTTTTCTCAATAATTGACTAAAAGTTCATTAACTACTGCACAGACTTCAATATTTAGAAATGTAATACGGGCTTGCTAACTAAAAGTGAAGTTATTTTATTGTCGGAACTAGCTATTGTTAGAAAGACTCATTTGCTTTTTATAATACAATTTTACATATGATTTATAGATTGACAGATTATAACAATTTATAGATTATTACCTCATTAATTTATTGAATAACCTGACTAAATTACTTAGTCACTGAATTAAATACAACCCAGCCTTAATACTTTGGGTCAAGGAACATTGACCAAATATGTATTTATGCCACAGATTCCTTGAAATTTCTTACCAAAGTAAATTGTTTCATGAAAAATACAGAAATAAATTGGTAACTAAATAAAACATGTTCTATATTTCAACTTGAAAAATTAAAGAAATTAATAATTCTTAAAATCAAAGCAATGATCATTTGTTTCCTAATTATTATTATTGTGAATGTACTTAAAATTTTTGCTATGCTTTTAAGAAAGATGTACTTCTATTAAAAATTATTAAAATAAACAGCAGAGAGACTGACTTTTCAAAATAGTTTATCTGGGAAGAGCAATGAACTGCAATTTGGGATATGTGTACCGTACTGAACCATAGGCACATTTGAAAAAGCTGGGGGAGCCGAAGCTTTTTTAAGGGTAAAAGGTGAAGTTCCCCATCAAACTACCGTTGGCATTCTTCACAGAATTAGAAAAACCTATTTGAAATTTCATATGGAATCAAAGAAGACCCCATATAGCCAAGACAATCCTAAGCATAAAGAACAAAACTGGAGGCATCACACTACCTGACTTCATTACTGCAGGGCCTCAGTAACCAAAACAGCATGGAACTGGTACCAAAACAGACATATAGACCAATGAAGGTGAACATAGACCTCAGAAATACACCACACGTCTACAACCACCTGATCTTCAACAAACCTGACAAAAACAAGCAATGGGAAAGGATCTCATATTCAGTAATAATGTGGGAAATCTGGCTAGCCATATGCAGGAAACTGAAACTGGACCCCTTCCTTACACCTTATACAAAAATTAACTCAAGATGGATTAAAGACTTAAATGTAAAACCCCAAACCGTAAAAACCCTAGAAGAAAACCTAGGCAACAACATTCAGGACATAGGCAGGGTGGGCAAAGACTTCATGACAAAAATGCCAAAAGCAATTGCAACAAAAGCCAAAATTGACAATGGGATCTAAAGGCAGTGATGTTGGTAAACTAGTGATCCAAATGAAAAGAAAGTCGGCTGGGCACGGTGGCTCACGCCTGTAATCCCAGCACTTTGGGAGGCCAAGGCGGGTGGATCACAAGGTCAGGAGTTCGAGACCAGCCCGGCCAATATTGTGAAACCCCGTCTCTAATAAAAAATACACAAATTAGCCCAGCGTGGTGGCATGGTGCCTGTAGTCACAGCTACTCAGGAGGCTGAGGCAGGAGAATCGCTTGAACCAGGGAGGTGGAGGTTGCAGCGAGCTGAGACCACACCACTGCACTCCAGACTGGGCAACAGAGTGAGACGCCATCTCAAAAAAAAAAAAAAAAAAAAAAACCAGAAAAAAAGAAAGTCTTGATACATGGTGTATGCTGCATGTATGTAAGTTACACTTCAAAGAGTAAGTCCTCCCACCATAGCTGTTTTCAAGTTATTACCATTTCAAGATACTAACTCCTGTGAATAGGAGGGTGAAGTCTTTAAATTACAGGAAATTTCAATAAAAGCCTGAGGCAAAGATATTTCAAGGGTTTTGGTTAAACAAAAGACACATTGGCTGGCATGAACAAGAGGAATCCACTATCGAAACCATCTTAGTCAATGGCAGGAAGACAGTGTTATGAGTCTACTGGTTACAGAAAATCTTTGTTTTAAAAACTCAGGTTTATCGAATTAAAATTTATATATGCCAAAAGTCATCTTTTTAAGTATGCAGTGTGTTGAAAACATAGATGGTTATATAACAAATACCATCCTCAAGATATAGAACAGTACCATCACCTAGAAAAATTCCCTTTTGTGCCTTTTGAATCAGTATTTCTGCTGCCCTCAGTCTTTGGAAATCGCTGTTCTTTGTCCCTATGGTTTTATATTTTCTAGAATGTCATACACAAGGGAGCAAACAGCATCCTGAATAGGCCTTTAAATCTGGCTTTTTAAATAGCATAATAAATCTGAGACACATTCATGTTGTTATGTTATCAGATTTGTTTCTTTTTCTTCCTAACGTGATATTAAATAGATACAGTATATAACTTTTTGACTATTCACCAGTTTTTGAAATTATGAATCATATGGTTAAAGTCACCAACAGATATACATATGTATATTACATATATGTATATAGTATACATATAAATCAGTGGATTCTTCAATTTTTTTATTGTCAAAATGATTTTTCCATTATAATTCCTTTGCTTCTCTGTTGAAAGTTTTAGAATGAGCTTGTTTGTTAGTTGCAAATATCCTGTTAGGAATTTTAACTGGATTGAATTTTTGTATTGAATTTTTTGATTGGTTTGAACAGAATTAATTTATTGTCAATATTGGCTACCAAGCTCTTTACTTATTTACTTCTTCTTTGATTTCTTTTACCAGTGTTTTTTTTAGTTTTTGTTACCCTTTCTCCATGTTTTTTTAGATTAAGAATTTAATGTTTCTTGTGCTACTTTAAATGTAACTTTAAAAAATTCTAATTTCCAATTGTTCATTAATAGTGTTGTAAAGTAGCGGGTCCCCCACCAGGGAATTTAAGGGCATATGTTGACTGCTTGAGTCCTGAAGGCTAGATGGTGAGCAAAGTTCATGGTGCTCAGCCGAGGAGCAGATGTCGCTGAAAACCAAAACATCCGGGAGCATATCTAGGTACATACCAAGAAGAACAGTTTCATCACATGTAGTAAGCAAAGAGCCAGAAAAGTAGCTTTGGCCGGGCGCGGTGGCTCATGCCTGTAATCCCAGCACTTTGAGAGGCCAAGGCGGGCGGATCACGAGGTCAGGAAATCAAGACCATCCTGGCTAACGTGGCGAAACCCCGTCTCTACTAAAAATACAAAAGATTAGCCGGGCGTGGTGGAAGGCGCCTATAGTCCCAGCTACTCGGGAGGCTGAGGCAGGAGAATGGCGTGAACCTGGGAGGCGGAGCTTGCAGTGAGCCGAGATCCCGCCACTGCACTGCAGCCTGGGCGACAGAGCGAGACTCCGTCAAGAAAAGAAAAGAAAAGAAAAGAAAAGAAAAAAAGAGAAGAGAAGAGAAGAGAAGAGAAGAGAAGAGAAGAGAAGAGAAGAGAAGAGAAGAGAAGAGAAGAGAAGAGAAAAGAAGCTTAAAAGCAGCTTAGAGGAAGATGGTGGGCAGCAGGCGGATCTCTGGAGTTATCCCGCTGCCCTTTACGTAAGTCCTAATAAACTCATCTTCTCGTGAAGCTGGACTTGTCTGAGTCCTTCTTTGTTATTTCAGCACTATCTCTTTGGCAGAAGGATGTTCTTCTACACAGGTCTGGGTTTTTCCTGCAACAATTATATATAAAAAATAATTCTGTATATTAACATTATAGTGTTATAGTGCATAGTGTGAAATTACAAAACTCACAATTTATTTCTAGTAGCTTCACTTTTAATAATTTTAATTATTTTGTACTCACAATTTATTTCTAGCAGCTTCACTGCTAATAATTTTAATTATTTTGTACATAATGGAATACTGTGCATAGACCATCCACGAATCAAATAGAGTTTTATTTCTTCGTATCCAATTTGTATGCCTTTTGTTTATTTTTCTTACTTTAGTACACTGGTTAAAATTTCCAGTATACAGTTAAATAGTTCTTGAGGACAGGTTTCCTGTACTTCTTTTCTTCGTGCCTGTGTATAACGTATATTTAACTATATAATACATACAACACAACTATGTTTGTCTTCATATAATTTTTTACCTTTTTTTTAGTTTGTTTACGTAGCCCCTATATCTCTAGAAATGTTTCTTGGATTTACGATTTGATTGCCTTCACTTCTTTTGGAAAATTCTCATTCATTTTGTTTTTAAGTATTTATCATCCTTGTTCTCTTTCATGAATCCGTTCAAGTTAGGCATCCAGAGCTGTCCTTCAGCTCTTGGATGCCATGTTCTGCTATTTATCACTCTTCTTGTTTCTTACTTGTATTTGTTATTCAATTTCTATGTTTTTTATCTTCAACTTTACTGTTCCATTCTTTATTCATATCAAGTCTTCTGATGAATTACTTCATTGGTGTTTGCATTTTGAGGTAGATACAACAGTATATCTATTGAGACATTAATTAGTGCAATTAAACCGAAGTTTAACACATTTTAAGTAAAAATTTATCCCACTATCGCATAAAACTTGTGAAAGTTAAAGTCATCAGCACTTAATATTGTCTGTCATGCGAGGCAATCGGCACTCAAGTGGCAAATGCACTCATTTAACTCTAAATTGGTACTTTAGTTAATCTCTCATATTGATTTTTTTAACCCTTAAACACTGGCAAAGAGAAGCATACACCTAAAGAGAGATTTTTTACATTATTGTTTATTTAGTTAGTTTTTAGAAACAAGGTCTCCTCTCTCTCCCAGGCTGGAGGGCTGTGGTGCAATCACAGCTCACTGCAGCCTCAAAATCCTGGGCCCAAGCATACCTCCCACCTCAGCCTCCCAAGTAGCTGGGATTACAAGTGCCTGCCTCAGTACCCGGCTACTTTTAAAACATTTTTTGATACACATAGAGTCTCAGTTTGCTGCTCAGGCTGGTCTCAAACTATTGGTCTCAAGCAATCCTCTTGCCTCAAGCTTCTAAAGTGCTGGGATTACAGGTTAACCAGGACACCTGGCCTAGAGGTTATTTTTTGTTGTTTTAATTTCTTTATTTAATAGTCTGTGTATTTAAATTTTGTTGACAATAATCTTAACAGCAACAATAGTATCTACTTGAAAGGTATGCATTCTATATATAATTCCTTAGATATAAATTTAAGTATAAATATTTGAAAACTCTTTAATTTTTTAATATTGTGTCCCATTTCTTAAAAAGGAGAGAAGCTATATTAACTTTTGAATTCAGTACACAGTTAACAGTTCTTTCATTTAATATGTGATAATATAAATTTAACAGTGAAACTTTCAAATACTCATATTAACTTACCCTGATAGATTTTATAGCTTTAATATAAAACTTCTCATAAATGTAAAATTTGACAAAGCACAATATTCTCCAGGAAGTTAGAAAAGTAATATAATTTTCTGTCTCTCAGAATGTGTTTTCTAACCTCTAAATATAAATTGATGGACTAATCTTTTAAAATTCAGAATCAAATATAATTGCTTTGGTTTGATCATTGAGAATTCTTTTTCCATTCCATCATTTTATAGTTTTTGCCTAAATAAAATACTTAAGGAAGTTATTGTTATGTTGTATTTGAAAGATGCCTGATGGAGAAACATTCATAGTTCTTTTCTATCCTTATGAAAGGTTATATGAAAACATATATATATGTGTATATATAAACATGTGGATAAAGTACAGAAAATCCTATCATTGCCTCTGACTCAAATGGTAATCTTTAATATAAAGATTTGAAACTTTCATGGAACAGTATATCAGAACTTTATTTCCAATTTGTTTATGTATACTTAACGTATATCCTAAGTATTAAGAAATCACATTCAATTAACATATACATTATAAAACAATTCCTATATGATAATTCTAATAAGTAAACATGATTTTAGTGGTAGTAATTATTCAATCAAATATTCATATTTTAAAGATTAAATCTTCATATTTTAAAGCACATTACATCAGTTTACAATTCGATATTGACTACTGGATAGAATTTATCAATGAAATTTTGAATATGGCATGGTTAATGCAGATCATGTGAATTAAATTGCAAGGCAGAGAGCTTTTAAATTAAAAAAATAAGCTGGTTTATAAATCCAGTGCTAGACAGTTAATAAAAGCAATACATATAAATCTCCCAGACACCTCCCAATCTTGGTATTTTGAAATATTTTCCTCTTTTTAATATTATTTAAATAAAAAAATTATCTGCCTTTAAGCAACAAAACATGAACTCTTGGTAGAAAATTCACTAATTGACATAGGTATCTAGACTTATAAACCTGTAAAAAATGTGAAATAGAAGGCATAAAGTATTTGAGTCAATAAATTACTAACTAAATCTTTTTTTTTTTTTTTTTTTTTTTGAGACGGAGTCTCGCTCTGTCGCCCAGGCTGGAGTGCAGTGGCGGGATCTCGGCTCACTGCAAGCTCCGCCTCCCGGGTTCACGCCATTCTCCTGCCTCAGCCTCCCAAGTAGCTGGGACTACAGGCGCCCGCCACTACGCCCGGCTAATTTTTTGTATTTTTAGTAGAGACGGGGTTTCACTGTTTTAGCCGGGATGGTCTCGATCTCCTGACCTCGTGATCCGCCCGCCTCGGCCTCCCAAAGTGCTGGGATTACAGGCGTGAGCCACCGCGCCCGGCCTTAACTAAATCTTTTGATTAAATCAGCTTTATAAAAAAAGTAAACGTAAACACATAAGTCTTTGTATAAGCACCCCTACATTTTTAAAAGTATATTTGCCTTTTCATAAACTCAGTTGAGTAGTGGTAACATTCATCATCACAACTTTTTAGAGGCAATGAAATTGATGTCATTTGAGGTCTTCATCTCATATTTATCTTTTATTTTCTTATTTTGTCATGTTTAGCAAAGGATAGTAAAAGTAGAGGATCATTCAACCCAGAAATACAGGGAAACTGATCCTTGTAAATAGCACCCTTTATAGACTCATGGATATTTTAAGAGCAAGATGTGCTAGAAAGGAAAATAAGGCAATCTCTTAATGCTGTGCCTTTTCTTCCATTACATTTTTAGATTATATATTATCCCTTGTTTATTTCTGTAGCTGGGGAAAATATTTTTATTGAAATAGATTGTTTTTTGAAGTTTGCTATATTAGGTAAAAATAAATACCAAACTTCTCTGTCTTCAGTTTAATAGAAAAAAAAAATCCCTTGTTACTCTGTTTCTGCCTTACTGTTAGTAGAAAGATTTATGATTAAGTAATTTTAGTAGGACAACATTAAGAACAAAAACATGAACCAAAATACTTTTTAAAATAAATATACACATTTTTACTATATATAGACACATATATAAAAGTATATATACATATATGTATATATGTGACTTCAATAACAGGAAAATAGATTTTCCAGATTAACAATCTAAACATCTCATCCATAACAAAAGGTTAGGCTCTATACCAATGCTTGAATGAAAACTGTAATATCATCCATTTAAAAAAATGCCAACACATGCATAATTTTAGGCTGTAAAAATGAAAATATTTCAGAATTGATTAACAAATGGTGGAAGTTAAAGTTGTCTCTTCCCGACCTGCACTTTGTTTTCTGTCTCTTGCCTTTTCTCACATTTTATTTTTCCTTCCTATCTCAACAATATACCCCACCTGCAGTGTGCCCAATGTGGACACATACCTGCTTTTTTCAGGCACTGTTTTGGACAACATTTCCCTACTGAGCATTAAATCACTTTTTCTTAAATACGTACTAAAGATTTCCATGGCTGAAAAGCTAGTTCCACATACATTAATAATCCTTGAAGAATTAAATCAGATACAACCTCTACATCAGCACAATATTTCAAGGTGGTAAGGGAGTGCTACTGCTGGGTTCGTCTTCACTTAATAACTTTATTAATGATGTGGATGAGTGAACAAATATGAAAAGAAAATTTATAGGTATTACATACGTAGATTCTGCAGAAACAAATAGGCTGGAAGGTAATGACTGTAGAATGACCTAGAGAGGTTAAAAAAAGAAAATAGTAGTCCAATATTATTCCACTTTTAAGTAAATGAGACCATTAAGCTCTTTAAAATAACCAGTAAATAAAAACTCAAAGCAATGATAGCTACATCAAAAAGTGAGGGAAGAGGGGAAATTATATGTTGCAATGTTACAGAGTACATTAAAGCATTCAGTATATTTCCTGAAAATTTCATAAGCACAGTTCTTAATGTTTATTCATAAATAAACAAAACCAAACCAAAAGCCATAGTTCATTTGTTTCTAACTAAGAGTACAAATTATTTATGCGGAAAAGTACATATAAGCTCACATAAATAACACGAATAATGTTTTCATTGTGAAGATATTCATAACGTTCAAATGACAAGGTCTTAGGAACTCTGCACCTTCATTAATTTTAATCAATATTTAACAATCAAGATTGTTTTCAATAAATCATGATCTAATAATGAAAGGGGGAAACTATTTGTTTTAACTTTCATTTCAGTTTTACCCTTTACTCACAAGTTGAAATTCATTCTCACTCTTTGCAAACTATTTTGAAACACTTCCAGGTAAAATTCATATAAATATTTTATTTTTCCTAATTTTTGGAAAAATTTTAGACTATTACAATCTGAGTTAATAGCCTAGTTCCTTTGTTGATCCAGTGTAAATAAATATTTCTCTTTTCTTGCTGTATTAAAAAACCCACAGTCTCTATAGCCAAGTCTATATCTATATCGATATCTATCTGTATCTGTATCTATCTATGTGTATCTCTATCGATGTATGCATACACAAATAATATCTGTGGAAGAATTTTTTTTCATGTAGTGTAATATCCACAGCTCTTCTACTTTAACCATAACTCAAGTTAATAACATTTTATTGTCTTTTGTTAGTTTTACCTGGAAAAGAAAGCACATCATATACAATATTATAAAATAGAAATAAAACTAAATATAGTGTTTTAGAAGGTAACAAAGTTTTATGTTTAAGGATATTAAATAAAATCTATTTCTTCCAGTATATTTTTTCACAATCTGTCTTAAATGGAATCTTCAGATATCTTAACAAGTTGACTACTAGATTTTGTAGTGTATTCCAATCAGATATCTATCTGAGGCCACTCTTTTTTTTAATAATCTAGGCTTCTGTAGACAATGTGGAAACATTTTTAAAATGATGACGCCCTCCTTTTCCTTCGTAGCTAAATTAGTACACAAAATTCTAAATATTTCCTTAGTTTTAATAATAATAAAGCAATATAAGATTCACCCTCTGTATTCAATTCTTTGTTACCAATTCTGCTATAATTAGAATTTTTGAAATTCTTAGTTATAACCTTTATTTTTGATAATTGCATTTAAAATGCAATGATAAAGCAAATAATTAAAATGCTAGGAATAAAATTGTCCTTTATTAGTTTATCATAAAGTTCCATAAATTTCAGCTCTCCTTGATTTCTCACTATTCTAGTTCATCAATTTTGTAATTAATCATTAAACATTATTCTTTCTCTATATTAAAAATATTAGCAATTAACAAATCCCTATTTAATATTATATTCATTGTTTTAGTTTGATGCTTTTTTTTTTTAGTGATATGTACAGAAGACAAAAAAATGATGTGCAGCCTTTGTGTTCCATTTATTGTTGCGTAAAATAAAATTTCATCAATCTTGGATAAAAATTCTTAGGCCTATGATTATATTTGAAGGAAACACTAACTTCTGACATGATTATTTAGAACACACATTTTCTTAACTTGTCTTCCATTTTAATGGAGCTATAAATAGCTTTGGCAAATTTTTCTGCTTTGCTGTTAATTTAACTCAGTAGATTTATTGAAATTTTAAGACACCACGTTACGCAAGATTTAGGGTATGTGACTACTCTTTCCTCCTGTGTGGAGGTCGACATTGCCACAGTCTAATATCATAGTTCCCCTAAGTGGTCCCCTCCCAGAAGTGAGTTGCAAGTTCCTGCTGACTTTCAGAATTATTTCTCCATGTTTATGTCATTTTGATGCAAGAGAGGTCAATACACAGGTATGTCATCAAAATAATATTTAGACTATGTCATTCCCACAAAAAACAACTTATATGCCATGTTTTACTCACTACCAAAGTCTTGTTGAATACTACTTGTTTCATTCCTCTAGCCAGGAGACAACCTGGCAGGTATACTGCCTGAGCACCAAGAAGTTATCATATAATTTGCGTTTCACTGACCTCTCTTACCTTGTCAAATTACCCACAATAATTTTGGTAAAGTTGCATCTAACTTGGTATGGACTAAAAATACTTGCGTCGCCCCCAAAATTTGTATGTTAAAACCCTAATTCCACTGAGATGATATTTGGA
The DNA here is from genome assembly GCF_000001405.40 of Homo sapiens. Lineage (NCBI taxonomy): Eukaryota > Metazoa > Chordata > Mammalia > Primates > Hominidae > Homo > Homo sapiens. Next base: position 70,370,289 of record NC_000005.10, on the reverse strand, counting down.
AACAGGGCCTTTGGGAAATAATTAGGTCATGAGTCTCTCTCTCTCTTTCTCTCTCTCTCTCTCTCTCTCTCTCTATCTGGTCTCTCTCTCTGTCTCTTTATGAGGACATGACAAGGAATGGAGGTTTTACCTGTAACCATTGACTGGCAACTTTATCTTGGACTCTCAGCCTCCAGAACTCCGAGAAGTAAATTTCTATTGTTTAAACCAGTCAGTGTATGTTGTTTTTGTTGTTGTTATAGCAGCTTGAATTAAGACACAATTTTCCTAAAACTTAAAAATGTCAGATTGGTGGATAAAATTGTATTTCATTGTGCTTTTTTCTTCAAGCCTTATACCTCTGACTCCAAACTCATAGTAACCAGTGTAAGACATGGTAGAATCTTTCCACTAGTGCTTGGGACACTATTTATAGTATCTACCCAATCTAATTTTAATGAAAAAGTTGAAGGTTGGTATAAAAAAATGTTTATCATCTAGGAGTTCCAGGCTCAATTCAACATACTTGTGATGGTCTCATGTAGTAGCAGTGACAGTCAACTACAAATGGTGCCTGAACAGGGACATTTCAGAGACTATCAGGGACATACAGAGACCTGAAAGGACCTGGAGGGACCTGAAGAGGCCTGCAGGGATAAACAGAGATAAGTGGAGGTAAGTACAGAAAAGTAAGTAGAGATAAGTAAGTAGAGAAAAGTAGAGATAGGTAGGGAAAGACGGGGACTTGCAGGAACTAACAGGTACCATAGGGACAGACAGAGACAGATAGGAATAGATAAAGACTAGCAATATAAGGTCAGTGCCCTGAAGAGGTACTGGTCTGTGTCCTAAAGAGGTACAAAAGTAGAGACTAGCAAAGACTAGGAGAGATTTGGAGGAACAGACAGGGACAGATAGGGACAGATAGGGTCCTATAGGACTAGAGCGAGGAAGGTCTGCTGGAACAGAAAAAAACTAAAACCAACTAGATGAACGAGAAAGCCCATTACAACTCTGTTGGCAGCGACATAAGGTTAGTGCTCTAAAAATGATGGATGAATTTTCAGAATTTATCTAATTTTCTCCTCCATCAAAGTTAAAAATTAGCTGTTTGATTTACTATACTCAGCTAAAATTCTCTGGCATTTTATCTTGATATTACTGACATCCTGGAAGGAGTATCTTGTTTGTTTGGCAAGTGGATTTTTTTAAAAAAATAAATTATTGCTTCATAATTTTTATTGTTTATATTTCAAGGTTATGAAAAATGCCCTTAAAAGATAAATGGTATATATATATATATATAAAATATATATTTTAATCTGCATGTAGTATACCTGTTGTGACAAAAATAAACGAAAGCTTAATTTCTTGCCAAGTTGTAGACTATTACAGTATATTATTTTAAGCATTATGCTATACATACTTCTTTTGAAAATTTATGGAGTACATGAGATGTTTTGATACATGCATAATAATCACATCAGGGTAAATTGAATATGCATCACTTCACACAGTTATCCTTTGTGTTACAAACAATCTGATTATACTCTTCTAGTTATTTTTAAATGTACGATTAAATTATTTTTGACTATAGTCACCCTGTTGTGCTAGCAAATGCTAGGTCTTATTCATTCTTTCTAACTATGTTTTTGTACCTATTAGTGTGCCCCGCTTTCCTCCCAAACCCTCACTACCCTTCTCAGCCTGTTAACCTTTATACTGTTTATCTCCATGAGTTCAATTGTTTTAAGCCTTAGCTCCCACAAATAAGTGAGAGCATCCGAAGTTTGTCTTTCTGCGCCTGGCTTGTTTCACTTAACATAATGACCTCCAGTTCTATCCACATTGTAGCAGATGACAGGAACTCATTGTTTTTTATGGCTGAATGGTATTCCATTTTGTATATGTACTATATTTTCTTCATTCATTCATCTCTTGATGGATACTTAGGTTGATTCCAAATTTTGGCTATTGTGAGTAGTGCTGAAATAAACATGGAGTGCAGATATCTCTCTGATATACTATGTCCTTTCTTTTGGTTATACACCCAGGAGTGGGATTGCTGGATCATATGATAGCTCAATTTTTGCTTTTTGAGAAACCTCCAGACTGTTCTCCTTAAGGGTCATACTAATGTACATTCCCACTGACAGTGTGCAAGGGTTCCTTTTTCTGTATATCCTCGCCAACTTTTGTTATTGCCTGAATTTGGGATAAAAGCCATTTTAACTGGGGCCTCTTAACTTTTTCCCCACACATTTCTTAATTCCTTGATGAAAAATGCTAAAAGATAAGTCACTTTCATACTTCCTAGATACAGTTATTCATTCACTCTTTTATTTTTTTAAGTTTCTTATTTAATAGATATGTATTAAATATTTACCTTGTCTCAGCCAATGTAATGTGTGACAGGCATACAAAGATGAATATAGCAGAAAGTTTATGCCTCTTAAGAAGCATAATGAAGTCATTTAAACAAATAATAGCTACAAATTTTGATGAGCACTGTCATAGAGGTAAGAATATTATGGTGAGGTGGGATGGAAGAAATTAAAATATGTCAATCTACTTTGCGTTGTAAGGAAAATCTTGGCAAAGAAGATACATGTTATGATTTGGCTCTGTGTCCCCACCCAAATCTCAACTCGAATTGTAATCCCCATGTGTCATGGGGAGGGACCTGGTGGGAGGTGATTAGCTCAAAAGGGTGGTTTTCTATGCTGTTCTTGTGATAGTGAGGGGGTTCTCAGGAGATCTGATGGTTTTATAAGTGGCAGTTTCCCCTGCATGCTCTCTCTCTTACCTGCCACAGTGTAAGACTTGCCTTGCTTTCCCTTCACCTTCCACCATGATTATAAGTTTAATTATAAGTTCACTTATAAGTTCAGCCATGTGGAATTGTGAGTCAAGTAAGCCTCTTTTGTTTATAAATTATCCATTCTCAGGTAGTATCTTTATAGCAGTGTGAAATGGACTAATAAGATAAACTTCAATAGAATACTTAAGAAGTTGTGGTAATCAACTAGTTTATGAATGGAAAGAATCATTTTATCAAAGGAAATTAAGAGCATAACAATGTGGCATTAAAACAGATTAGGGAGTTCTGAGGGTTGTAAGGATGATGGAACAGGTACATAATAGGACAATATGGGAGAATAATTAAAGAAGTCCTGAGGGTAGGTCACTGAGGCCTTATATGTTATAAAAGGGGGATTTTACTCTAGGAATTGGGAAAGTGTTTGAAGAAAGAGAATAGTGTGATTATATTTGCTTTTTAGTTTGAAAAGAAGTAGCCTGGAAATGAATGAGATTACAGCCAGAGAAGAGAAAGAATATATTTTGATGAAAGAATATATTTGGGTACTGATACAATAGTCCGGGTTAAAGATGATTTGGACCCTGGCACATGGAGGATGCTGTGGGGTCATAAAGGAAGAAATGGTAATAAAAATAACTAAAGTTTTATTGGATGAAGTTTTCAAGCCAACAAAGCATAAAACACAGACACAAAAACGACGTCTAAAATGATTTCTTAGTTTCTTAGTCATGTATTAGGTGTCAACCAAGACAGGGAATACAGACAGAGCAGTAAAGAGTTCAGCCCCAGACTCAATCCTATATGTGATTTTTGGGCCCATCCATAAACAATGACAAAGACTTGACCAAGTGGGTCCCACAGGGAGAGCTGCCCTCCCCACACTAGTGCATAGTCCTCTAATGGCAGTTTCAGTAAGGGCTGCAGGGCCATGCTCACACACAGATCAGCATCACTTGACTGGTGCCTCCCCTGGAGGCCTCTCCACTGTGGGACCTTGGCAGACCTTCCCCAGGCATGTTTGCCCAAGACCTCCTTTTCATGGGGAGAGGAGGAGGAGTCTTGAAGACAATTGTCTTCCTTCTGATTCAATACTCAGTGCTTTTCCGCTCCCAGCCTTTTCCTGACCTTCCATAAAACTGCAGGAGCCTGTTGTTCAGGGTTCCTTTGATAGTGAGACAACTCCACATCTGTGCTGACCCATGTGATCCTTGATAGAGCTGTTTCATGAAGGAAAAAAAGGATGGGGACTGGACCGTCAGGGCTTTTTCCAGTTTAACCTCAAAGGTTTGTTAATGTCCTTTTGTCTTGATGTCTTAATTGCCTACTCCAACACCTGGCTCTCTCTCCAGAGTAGTTAAGCTCCTGATGGCTGGGGATAAATTTAATGACTACTGTTTTGTATAAGTTGAGGTTAATCTAATTAATTTACCTAGAGGGAAAATTCTGACCTCTATCTCTGAGACCTCATCTAAAACACAGAGGTCATGAAGATAAATCTGGCTTCTGCCTTCAAGGAGCTTACAGTCTGGTGAAGATGATAGCTGGATAGCTAGACATAACAATAAAACCACAGCTGTTCCCTTGTGATAATTTCTGTTATGAGTTATGTACATTGGAATATGAAAAATATATAAATGGTACATAACCAATTCTAGGAGGTCAGGGCAAGCTTCCTGGGAGAAATGCTGTCTATAGGTAGACACAGAGAGACAAGAATCAAAGCCTCTTCTGAAGAAGGGTTAAATAAATCTCAGGCAGATAGGCTATGCATGACCTGCTTCTTTTATCTGTCATTTTTGTTGTTCAGTTACTTGCTAAATTTTAAGAATTTTATATATATATATTATATTTATAATATATATATAATATACATGTATATATATATATATATATATATATCTTCTACATATCAGTGCTCTGTCAATTCAGCCTAATTCTGGCAAAAGCATTAAGGACTTCAATATTTACCAGGTTTGAAAGGGGAGCAGTCCTTTGAATTAGAATTATTTGAAAAATGTAGGGCTATTTTGAAACAACTACCCAATTGAAAATGCATGGACACTATAACTATTATACTTGCAGATGCATACAAAAATACTTTTATTGTCACATGGGCACAAAGATGTATATTGAAAGCTGTTCACTGAAACAGTATTTATAATAATGAAACCTGGAAGCAACATATCTCTTAATGGGGATATAGACAAGTAAAGTACAACATATACATGTTATAGAAAAAAATGCAGCCTTCTCAAAAATGGGTAAGCTGTATAGATATAGAAAAGAAAAAAGCATTGTATAAATAATATGTACACTTTAATAAAAGTTGTACTAAATTTTAAATGTAATATAAATATCATACCTTCTATATATATAAAATTATCAAAAAGACTGAATTATAATACATGAAGAGTAGGAAAAAATAGTTGCACTGAGTTTTATATTTTCTGAATGTTTAAATCTTTCCACACAATATGTAATAATTATACTTTTAAAATGAAATACACTAAGCAATAATAAGGAGCTGACCACTGATGTACTCAATAAGAACAAATTTCAAAAAACAAGATGCTGAGATAAAGAAGACAGAAACAAAATAATGCACATGTATGATGTCACTTATACAAAATTTAGAAAAGATATATCCTGTACATAATGACAGAACCTCCATCAGTGGTTGCCTGTGATCAGGGATTGAGATGGTGAGGGCATGTGAGAAGTTTTCATATATGATGGAAATGTGCAGGGGATATACAATTGTCAATATGCATCAAACTGTCTAATTTAATATATGTTTTATTGTATATGATAAATTGATTTTCTAAAAATCATATACACTAACTCAAACTTCTTATAGCTGAACACATTTTATATTAGGTGTTTATCTTATATTTACAGATGATGTCTAGTAAGCCTCAGAGATGTCCAGTGGGATCTGGGATTTGAACCCATGTCTATTTCAATTTGTCCTCTCATTCCCTTTTTACACTCAGCTTTTCTTTTAACATGCCCACATTTTCCCTACGACTACAAAATGAAAATAAACAGAACCTTTATTTTTAAGCTCTTATCCTACTTTGCTTTCTGTGCAAATGTTTTAAAATAATAGTTGACATTTATTCCTTCTACTTCCATACCTCATCCATCTCTTGCATTCTAATGTCCATCGCCCGCTTACTGAAATAGAGAAAAAAGTCACGATCATCCAGCACTGCCAGTGATTCTCAACTTTTTAAGTAATTGACTTTGTGTGTTTCTTCAGAACACTTTCTCCTCTTAAGATTTCTGGTTCCCTTTTATGTCTCCCACTGCCTTTCCATCATCTTTTTGTTTGACTCTTTAAACTCCTCCCTTTTTCCTTTTTTTCCCATGGTCTCTTCAAATATATCTAAACTAATGCGTTCTGCATACTTATTTTGAGTCTTTTTGTGAGGTCTAGTCCAACTGGCAAAATATGGTATCTCAATTTCCTACCATAAACTCATCATATCTCAAATTTAAATTTCTCATCTTTCTTCATGCAAAACACCTTGAACCTCAATTTAAACTTCATCATATTCTTCAATTTCTTCTCCCTTTGTTTTATTACACAGCTTATTTTGGCAAAATCCTAGGGTATTTTAATGTGTTTTTCATGTGCATCACCTCTCCATATATTTACAATTGTTCTGGCAAAAGTTTATATTGATAATTAGTCTTAGTGATTATAATTATGCCCTACTTTTGCTTTCTGTAATTCATCCTACACACTGTTGCTAAGTAATAATACCACTAAATCACAGCTCAGAATATATATTTTATTGCCTGCTGGTTTTCTATATCTATGAGAACATTTATTTCGAATGAAACAAAAACGATTAAACACGTAAAGCTGGAGCACTGAAAAGCACCAGGCATGCTAAGGGCCAGGGATAGACAGATGAAAGAGCATGCCCGCTATCTTTCTCTTAACATTCAAAGACCCGTTAATTTCCATTTCAACATGCACTTTTTGTCAATTTTGTTTTCCACAGATCACTTTCAAGCATCCTTTGAAATAAACCCACTAAGATCATTTTTCCCAGAGCTTGCCCGTTTTGTACCTCTGCTGAGATTTTTCTCATTTCCTGGAATTATGACAATATTAAGCATAACTGTAAAAATTCTAAGTATCATTTGTATAGCGTAATAGTAGATCCAGTCCAACACTGCCTAGAAACTTGCACACACCATTGCATTTCACCCTCGCAACAATTCCATGTGGTTGGTTCAGCTATGTCTACTTCACAGATGAAGATATGGAAACTCAGAGGTGTTACATAACTTGCTACCATCACACAAGTCACAAAATCAAGCCAGTCTGTCACCTAAGAAACCCTAACCCTTCTCACTTTAATACACTACCTTTATTATCCTACATTTAATTTATTTTTTATACAACTTTGCTCATGACAATCTTTGTTCCTTTAGTTGGAAGTTTTTATTCCTCAATTTCCCAAGGGGAAGATTTTACAGGTTAAACATTTTTGTCACTTGTCACTTAGCAACTTAACATTCTAGTCATTTATGCACAAGTTACTATCTCTACAAAACGTGAACAATTTGAAGATGAAAAATTATGTATTATATATCTTAAATCCATCCCACTGTAGTTCTTTACAGAGAGACAGTACTCAGTAAATATTTATAAGAATCATGACATGCAAATGTGCATATTCTCTCTTATTAGAATATAATTTAGAAAATGTACTTGACAAATGAAAAGTAGCATCAGATTATTCTTGTTCAAAATATTCCTCCTTGGTAAACACTAATACCTGGACTAATTTTTGAAGACTGTACTTCTCAGTGGGGGAGAAGAATTGGGAAAAATTCTTTAGTGTGAGAATATCTTAGGGGAAAAGCTATAGTTTTAAAAAATACTGCTTTGTTTTATTCCAGTTATTTCTCTTTTATCAAAATTTTAAATTTGTATTTATAGTTGATATAAAACGATATGTATCTTGAGAGATCGTGTGTCAAAATAATTGAAGGACATTTTTTGTCATTTGTGTGAAATAGAAGAAGTGTTTTAAGTGTAGAAAATGATACCTGTGTGTGATAGAAATAAGTTTATATCCTATGAGCAGGTAACAAAAAAGAAAAAAAAAACTAGCTGGACTTTTTCTCTTAGGATTATATTTTCTTTGGATGACAATGATAAAAGTTCTCTTTACTATGTAAATTTGCCAGTCTAAGAATAGAGTGTATTATCTTACTGAGTTTCATCTTGCACCCTCAGCATCTATTATTCCTATTAACTCCAAGTTCAACCTCCACCTTGCCCTTTTCTTCTTCTAATTGGCAATGGGCAAATCATTTCTGGTCAAGATCAGGAGCTCATCTGTCGCTGTAACCTTGAACATCAATCCAACTCAAGAGCGAATCCCATTAACATCAGACTAATAAATGCAAAGATCCAGTGAAGAACAATAATGAACTTTGGCTCACACATCAGTCTTTGGCACCTCAGAAACTAAGTGTAATGAACAGTAGGTCACAACCTATAGCTTTCATAAAATGTCCCAGTTGAGATAGCATATTACACATTTAAAACAGTAATGGTGCCAGGTCATTCTGTCAGACATTTGTCAAGTAAGGATGTGCTCCTACACATCTAGCTCTTCTAGTAAACCAATATTCAGACACATAATGGCTGCTTGTATCTTCAATTATCTCCATCCTATCACATTCAGAGCTGCTTCCAGAGAGTCCAATACTACAGCCTTAGGCTATGGGATGATGATAGCATACCCTACAAACACATGAGAGCAACCTCAAACCTTCTAAATTGTGCCAGTTCTGGGCTTCTTTTGCATAATCATTTATCTGAAAGGACAAGAAATAATTTGCAATTTCAGAGTGTGATGCAAAAGACACAGATATTGCTCAACTTCAAACTACTGAGGGGAAGAAAAATAAGATTTTGGTTAATGTTCTATGGTTCAAATATAGTAAAGTCATCCTGGATTCCTGTCCTGACCTATTCTTTCCTTACCATTTAATTACTTCTTTTCACCTACTTTTCTCTTTTTTTTTTTTTTTCGAGACGGAGTTCCACTCTTGTTGTCCAGGCTGGAGTGCAACGATGCGGTCTTGGCACACTGCAACCTCCGCCTCCCAGGTTCAAGGGATTCTCCTGCCTCAGCCTCCCGAGTAGCTGGGATTACAGGCATGAGCCAACATGCCCAGCTAATTTTTGTATTTTTGTAGAGACCAGGTTTCACCATGTTGGCCAGGCTGGTCTTGAACTCCTGACCTCTCGGCCCCCAAAAGTGCTGGGATTACAGGCTTGAGCCACCGTGCCCAGCCATTTTTCTCTTTCACTTATTTATTTTAGCATCCTTCTCTCTTCTTATAGCTCATCTTTTATATGTGCTTATTTGAAAATGCACAATATAGTTGTTTTTGATAGACTTAAAATGATTTCTGCGGCATGCTATGAATATGTAATACCCCCGCAATCCACCCCACACATATTTTGAGAATTTTTATCCTTCTTTGTAAAATTAGCCAGAAGTCCCTCTGTTAACACATGTTCGCTTCCTCATTCTTTGGTGAATTTTGTTTTTCCCATAAGACGTATTTTAACACGGGAATGAATAAATGTATAGGGAACATGAGACAACCTGTTTAACATCCTTTTTATACGCCATTGGGGATGATAAAGAGCAATGGTCATTTACTTAACATCTTGGTAATTAGCCGCTTGGAGGTTGCAAGGCCTGTAACCAGTCTTTTTGATGCATCCGCCATTTCTGCAAGTGGCTGGAGTGGAGGTACAAATGAAGCTGAATAGAGGAGAGACTCTGCAACTGTATTCACTGATAGAGTAATTGCCTGCTTTGTGAATAGGATGCATTCTGGAAGTATATCAAATATATAGAGCAAATACTCAAATAGAATAGAACAAGAAATGGTTACAGTAAAACAAACTTTTCGTGATATTTACCACTTTTTATATTTTACTCAAAGTGTATATACGTTTTTTTTATATGCAAGATAAACTGATAATTTCAACACAATCTGCACTACTTTGAAAAATGTACACCAGGGCCTTTCATGACTTGTATACAGTTCTGGCCATTCTCTTTATCTCAAACCGAAGAAAGATATGATGCAGGCAGTAGTTTTTTCTTAGTGCCTCATAGTATCTAATAGCAGAAAGTGAGCCGCATAGCGGAGCACATTAGTTTTTATGTATCTACAGGACAGAAGGGCCACTTAGCTGATGGCTCCAGGTTTCCTTTGATATAATCTAATGTTCCTATGACCTCAAAGACTGAACACATTTCCCTAAGTGCTTCACTTAGCACCCAGGAGCAACTTGGAGTCTTCGCAGAATAAAATCCATTATTTTAATGTAGATTAATACATGTGTACTTATATCTATGCAGGTCTATAATAGTTTATTCCTATGTAAGCTTTATTAAAAGCATTGGTATGTTTTACATAAAAAGTTAATGTGAATATTAGAAAAAAAGGACAATATTAAAGCAGTTTGTAGAATTTGTTCCCCCCCCAAAATGAATGAAATACACAATAGATTTTAAAAAAAGAAACAATGAAAGTGAAATGAGGAAAAGGTCTAATTTTCCCCTTAAATTTCACAATGTGTCAGCCAGACAGAGCATAATTTTGGAATAAACAAAAAGCCAGGGAGTCAATACAGGGTTTCTCCTTCTATCAGATATCTTGCTTTGGCAGAGAGTAAGAAGAACATCTCAAAAACCTCATTGGTGTTCTTAAACTGAGGGTGGAGACAGGGCGTGCAGGCTACTTGAGGAAAGACTGGGATGTGTACATGGAACTCACTTGCTCAATATGAATCCATGGCAACCTCAGGTCTAGGCCAGAAGTCCTGTGGAGTATTTCCTTGCAGAGGTTGGTGGTAGAAATGCAGTCTAAGATGAGCCATTGACTCAGCTGGAACTAACTAAAACCAGCAGAGATGGCTAAGCCACTAAAGAAACAAAACTCAACAAAAAATATGGTTGTCCAAATGCCCATCAATTGATAGACTGGATAAAGAAAATGTGACACATATATACCATGGAATACTATGCAGCCATAAAAAAGAAAGAATTCATGTCTTTTGCAGGGACATGAATGAAGCTGGAAACCATCATTCTCAACAAACTAACACAGGAACAGAAAACCAAACAGCACATGTTCTCACTCATAAGTGGGAGCTGAACAATGAGAACAAATGGACACAGGGAGGGGAACATCACACACCAAGGCCTGTCGGGGGCTGGGGGGCAAGGGGAGGGAGAGCATTAGGACAAATACCTAATGCATGTGGGGCTTAAAACCTAGATGACAGGTTGATAGGTACAGCAAACCACCATGGTACATGTATACCTATGTGACACAATTGCACGTTTAGCACATGTATCCCAGAATTTAAAGTTAAAAAAAAAATGGTTGTATCAAACCCCAAATCTTGAAAATATAAAAACTTAAAAAAAAGTAACCCACTCCCCTTGAAGCAAGGACAGGCGCACCTTACACGGGAACAGACATCCTCTGAAATGCAATTATTTTGCCTTTTGTTTGTTTGTTTGCTTTGTTTTTTCTACTATTTCTTTTTAATTGAAAGAGTAATAATGCAGTAATAGAATTATAACTGGTGGCATCACAGGGCTGCATATTAGTAACCTTAGCTGAAGAGCTGTATAAATATCTCATGCACATGTTCTGAAAGAAGTGGAGCTTTATGGCCCAGAGTGATAAGGAGGAAAAAATAAAAAATGCCTCCATACATTCAAATTTTATTAAAAGTTGAATTAAAACATAAACATGTGACAGATTTTAAAATTTAATTATTTGCAAAAGCGTTTTTTGAAATTTACCTCCTAATGTTTTGCCTATAAATTCATGTTTTTATAAATGAACCTTTTTTATTGCTAGAAGGTGGCAGGTTCCACATCATTCTTATTCCTATATCATTATTTTTATAAGATCTAAGAACTGAGAAATCTTGTTCTCAGAAATAAGTGGATAGGATTGGAAGGGCTTTGTTATAACAATGACATTTGATTCTTTGAACTCCTTTGAAGAATGACAACAAAAATTGCAGGTGTCCATTGACAATTCAACTAGGTATTTCTTCAAATTTTTAAAAGTAATTAAAAATCTAAAACAAAACAAAACAAAACAAAAAACACAAATGATTAGCAAGATTTTGTTACCCAGTCATCAAGGTGACTTACTTTTGAGAAGTGGAGATGAATGTTTTGAATTGCCCCTTCGTTTTGCATCCTGGAAATTTCAACACCTGGGGACAAAGCACCAAGGTAAAGTTAAAAAAAGTGGAGATATATTTTTCTCTTTTAAAAAAAGAAACATTGTGGGAGAAGAATTCTTTTGAAAAAGAAGAAATGAAAGAGGGACAGCAAGAATGATGAAAGAAGTATTCGAATGTGACACCTGGAAACCTGTTCTTTAAAAGTCTTTGCCTGGCCGCAGTACGCCTCACAAAGTCTTTGTGTAATCTCCAGGGTTAGCAGGCCTCAGATCAAAATTAGAAGCCTAAATGGCAAACTAACCAAATTGGTTTTTTTTTTATAAAGTAAAATCTCTCAATTCACTTTTAAAATAAACTTAATCTGGTTTGAAGTGTCCCTATGACAACCATCTCAATACTGAATTTTAATTATATGATAGGTATGTAGCTAATTACATCAAATAATAGTTAACAGTTAAATCGATCTCTGGCTGTATTTTTATTTTTATTTTTTTGAGAGCTTCTCTCTCTGTCATCCAGGCTGGAGTGCAGTGACATGATCTCGGCTCACTGCAACCTCTGACTTCTGGGTTCAGGCAATTCTCATGCCCCAGCCACCCAAGTAGCTGGGACTACAGGCAGGCACTACCATGCCTGGCTAATTTTTTGTAATTTTTTTGTATTTTTAGTAGAGACAGGATTTTACCATGTTGTCTAGGTTGGTCTTGAACTCCTGGCCTCAAGTGATCCATCTGCCTCAGCCTCCCAAAATGCTGTGATTATAGGCGTGAGCCACTGCGCCTGGCCTCTGGCTGGTATTTTATAAACTTAATAATGAAGAACTGATTCTCTACCGAAAAAAAAATGTATATATACAAAAAAAGAAAATGGTGAGGTATGGTGGTGCATGCCTGTAGTTCCAGCTACTCAGAAGGCTGAGGTTGGAGGATTGCTTGAGCCCAGGAGTTCAAGGCTGCAATGAGCCGTGATCATGCCACTGTACATCAGCCTGGGCAACAGAGCAGGACCCTGTCTCATAAAGAAAAATAACAACAACTACCACAAAATGAAGAATTGGCGAATGTAGTAACTAGATCCAAGTTCATGGTTCTTACAGTTACCACTTCACAAGAAAAAGCCTGTAAGATTTAAAGCTGAGGATCACATGGCTAGTAACACTGAAAGAAGCACTATAGAACAAGGGAGACGAAGTCATTCTGAACATTCAGATTACTTATTTTTAACAAACAACTTAATATCTCTATCTTTTATATACTTTTCAGATTATAAGTGTAATTATGCTTTAGAGATAAAGACAACCATGCAAAATCGTCAAAAACACTTCCTTGTAAAATGAGCCCTTCCTTCAGCTGACAGGGTTGACAGGAGATCCCAGGTGGGGAAAACACACCAAAAAGATTCTTATACTTAGGCTTTGCTCCACTAGGGACATTCACAAACAATCTCCAGGACATATTGGTTTCCTTGGGACTAAGGTATTTGTACAATGTCCATTTATAGGGGGTTAAAGTGCCTGTGATAGTGGTTGAAAGTTTTGACCCACTTTTACAGATTAATCAGCATTGTGGTGGTTACAGAATTTCCAGATAAGGCATGCTTGCTCTTCTCTAGACAAACTCATCCACGATATCTTAGTAACACTGATTCTGAGATACCTTTAGTATTTTAGGTAGATCCACACAGTGTGATTGCTAATGTTATTTGTACGGATTTAGGAGCCACCGAGTGGCTATCATTGAACTGTCAAATAAATCTCAATACCTAGTTAAAATTCTTTTACAAGTAACTTTTCATAAAGAGGAATAAATGTTTACAGTAAGGGAGTATTTTGTTTACTTGGGCAGCTTTCTATGAAGAGGAGCATTTCTTGCAAAGCAATATGCCTGAGAATTAACTTTAGATTTCATTTCTATTTCACTGGAGTAGATATGTTTAAATTAACTTATAATTTCTTAAGGAGTCAGATAAAACATTAATTTTCTTTTTAATTTCTATACTTGCAGCTAAGAGTCGAAAATGAACCTAAGAGCCCTTCATTCCAAAATCATGCACAATTTCTAGTGCTTGTCTACTATCTACATAAATGTTCTCTCTCTCATATACTCTTCACTTTTTGCCTCAGGCTGGATTGTGAGTTCCAGTTACAAAAATTGATTCAGCAACCCAGGCAGATGGAGTCTTCAGAGATAAGAGAATATCCAAAACAAGGTTAATTTTCTCTATTCTAGGTGAAAACTGTCAACAGATAATGTAAGATCAGAGTTAATTAAAGTTATGCCATTTAAGTCAGTTTTGGACAAGATGAGAGTTTGAATCACTGTCAGCTAAATATGTGGTTGTCCTTCATCCTGGAGGGGAAAAAGAAGGCAGTTTAAGATTTGTGCATTTTTGCTAATGTTATGAGATGTGAATAGCAAAGTAATCTCATCAATAGTAATAGTGTGGGTTGAAATATACTGTGTTACCTTATAGAAATGTTTTCTATCATACACGGGACCAGTTGGATACTGTAAAACTGACAGGGAAAAGAAAGTAAGAGGATTCTACTAATTAAACAGTATCTACAAGATTTCACAACAAAGGGGACACTGTTTGGTAACATTGTCTGGAAGAGTATTTGTTTAAGTAGTAAGTAAAGGTTTGGCATAATTAAGTTCATTTAGTGTAAGGGTTGCTACAACGTTTCCTCAATAGTTATAAAAATAAGCTAAGACTGCTCAAATGAAAAGAAATACAGGTTATTCAGTCAGAGCTTGCTGTAGCCAGGGAGTTGGCCACCATCACTTGCAATATGGCAACGAATCAAAGGCAGGCAGGCAGTGAGAAAGCTTTATCATGGGAAAACCAGAAGGCTGCAGGAATGCCCTGGTTGGAAATTATTGTCATGGGGAATCTAAAGGTTGGATAACTAGAAGCAAAACATCCTATTTGATGGGTGAAGCTGCATAATTAGCATTCTCTGGTTGGTTCTAAATTGGAAGCTGGAGGGAAACACTTAGGGAAGCTGGAAGTTACCCACCAATTCCTAAGCATTTGGACCAATCGCTGCAGACTGGTTGCTGCAGAGGTCAGAGTTGATTTTCTGTGTGTGGAACCACCATTGTCTGTTAGTGTATTCAGTCTCTCATAGTATAAAGGCCGAAACTGCTTCAGGATCCAGATAAGAAGCTCTAGAAATTAGAATTTATTAGGGTCATGTAGTCCTTAGTCTGCCTCATGGACATAGTGATTGGTCTAAAGAAGCATTCTTCATTTCTGCTGCCCTAATCATATTATTCCAGCTTCCACAGACTGATTCAATAGGTCCCGAAGCTAAATTAAGAACCAGTACATTTGAACTGGAAACAAAGAAAGAGTAAGACTCCACTGGAAAATGGGAGACTGTGAAACTAGGAATTGACAGTGACTATCTCTACAGCTGTGACAGACGTCAACCTGAGAGATAAAGCTGAGACCCAGAAGGCAAAGAATGTTACATACAC
This sequence comes from Homo sapiens, assembly GCF_000001405.40. NCBI lineage: Eukaryota > Metazoa > Chordata > Mammalia > Primates > Hominidae > Homo > Homo sapiens. The sequence goes on along the minus strand of NC_000005.10, from coordinate 70,354,739 downwards.
AGAAAGAACATGTAAAATTGGAGCATCTATGTTTCTGCAACACATGAAGTATAACAATACCCCACCTTTCTTGAGATATTGCCTATGAGCCAGTTAATTACCCTCGTTTGTGAAACTGTTTGTCTCCTGCAGCCATTGAATCCTGATTAATACTCATTAAATCTCTATGATGTCATAGTATATATCAGGCACTATGGCTCATATTATTGTTTTCCCCTGATATTTGGTTATTTTCTTTTCAAGGCGCATGGAGACAGACCTCTACCTGCAATGCCCCCCTTGCACTTGGACAGAACCATGTAACTATTTATAAGCTATGACACATGAGCAGACATGACATGACGGGATTGATGGAGCAATGACCTCATCTTTTCTCCTGCCAAATATTATGAAAGAGGACTCAAGTCACTCACCTAAGGGACACTGGCTGAAAGTCAGTAATGAAGCTGAAAGGTCGCTAAATGCTGGCAAGTGAGATGGATTATAGTGTCTAGACTTTTTCCTGAGGTCATTCTATATCCAGCAGATATCTTTCAGTATATAGTCTATTCAAAACAATGTGCTAGTGACTATTGAGTGTGGTTACATTTTTTTTTTTTTTTTTTTTTTGAGATGGAGTCTCACTCTGTCCCCTAGGCTGGAGTGCAGTGGCACAATCTTGGCTCACTGCAACCTCTGCCTCCTGGGTTCAAGCAATTCTCCTGAGTCAGCCTCCTGAGTAGCTGAGACTACAGGCACCCACCATCACGGCCGACTAATTTTTGTATTTTTAGTAGAGATGGGGTTTCACCATATTGGCCAGGCTGGTCTTAAACTCCTGACCTTGTAATCTGCCCACCTTGGCTTCCCAAAGTGCTGGGATTACAGGAGTGAGCCACCAAGCCCAGCCAGTTACATTCTTTAAACAAGGAGTGGACATACCCTGAAACAAGAGATTAGTCAAAGAGATTTTGCTATTCATGGGACCTAAAAGGTGGCTGTACTTCCCTTTACTGCTTTTCCATACACAGCAATGCATGCTGTATGGGTTCTTATAGGTCAGAGCGTGAAAGAGAACCAGGACCTATAAAAGAATACAAGTCTCTAAAATCAGAAAGTTTATTATTTAAAAAAATAGTTATGTGCCAGTCTGCTTATAATTTTATTTTTATGACTGAGAGTGCCTTTCATAAGCACATTCTGGCAAACTATAAAACAAATAAATTGAAATTGAATAAAACCTTTAGACATTAGAAGTGTAGCACCAGATTTAGTACATAACTGCAAAACTTAAACATGCAATTTTACATCTGCAAGCACATTAAATTGAAAGAAACTTTAACTTAATTTAGATACATTAATTGATACAAACTTTTCTGGTATATAGCACTTCTTGGCGCATTGAGTATTCTTAATCTTTAAGGCACATGAATATAATACCTTAGGAAAGATCTGTTCTCCACACATTTCCTCTATAAAGTGCCAAAAAAAAATAACGAAGAGCCAGTTTGTCTTCCGCATCAGTGTGATTTAGCATACATAAATAAGTATCTTTTCACACAAAATAAAAGGTTCAGAACCCAAAGTGTCTGATTTTTATAGTGCTTTTTCTTTCCTTTTAAAAAGATAGCAAGATGAGGGTAAGAGGTAATTTAAGAGAAGTAATCATCTTCTAACAGCCAGCTTGCAGAAACTAAAACAAATATCAATGATGTAAAAATGTTGTTTTGACACTTTGGTAAATGAAAGTGTGAGATGAGTAAGAATATATTATAGGTGCTTGTATATCAAAGGCCTGTGAAAATGGCTGATTATAAAGGAGAAAGTTAATGATCTCTAATTGTGTTGTAATGTAAATGCAGTATCACCGTAATGAAGAGAACAGATTTGCATGTTAACAAAAGAAATATTAGAGGAGTGAGTGTAGGATGTTTGGGATAATTAATTCCATCCTCCACTCCTACATACATATGCATATACAAACTCAATTCAATTTTAAAGAGAACCCGAAGAACCAAAAATAGACTGAACACACTTGATGTTGTATGGGAGCTTAAATTACTATTTTTGTTGTTCTCTGTGACTATCTCATTTAGTTTCTATTGTGTTTGCAATTTCTTCCAAGGTGATTTTTAATGGATTGAGTAATGCATAAAAATTTGCAGAAGTATGCAGAAAGTTTGTATGCAGGGCCATGTAGAGCTTTTATCCTACAGTAAATCCTAGTAGTTTGCTGGTGCTGTGTGATTTTTTTTGTTTGTTTAGGGTTTGTGTGTGTGTGTGTGTGTGTGTGTGTGTGTGTGTGTGTGTGTGTGTGAAGCTTATTTATTCCATTTCAAGAAAAAGAAAAATAGACAAATTAGAATACCAAAAATAATTTGCAGCCAGTATCAACCAATTTATATTCAAGCTGAAAAATTAAAATAGCTTTCAGAGAATGGTAGAAGCATATTATTTAAAAAACAAACTATGAAGAAATGGACAGAAGCATGTAGACATAGATAACAGAAATTTAAAGTAAAAAGTAGAAAATGAAATTATTCCCTTTTATACCTGAAAGCAAATGATTTCCATGATTCTAAGCCTCTGTAAAAAGCAGCAACAATTTCATCATTTTCCTATTCACTCTTCATATTATCTAAATCAGGATTCTGCAAAATTATTTTCCTTGAATTACTTTTAAAACATACCAGAAATGAATTCACTACTCTAATTATCACAGCAATTCAGGGAATTATTAAAAATCAAATCAAATCAAATGAAACTTCGTAAGTTGTTTACAAAAAAACTTCAGGTTCATTTGCTTTTAATGCAAGACATGGCAATGTATCTCGGCCTGTGGATGTCCTCTCCATGTTAATAGTAAGTGCAAGTTTATGAAAAGACTAGACACCGACACCACCTGGGGAAATCAAAGCTTACTTACCTAAAATGCACAGGAGCCAAGAAGCATGTTTAAGTTCATGGGAGGGTAATGAATGCTGTTCTCTAGAACATGTTTCAAGGAGCTGGACACGTTTCCTTACCAGGGGAGACTCACACTGCAGATCATAATTTCTGAGCAAGTGAGAAGTGAGAGTTCCATTGCACCTGTGGGAAGCTCTATCCTCCAAAGTGTAGCTTTACACACCCAGCTTGAGTCATTCTTCTTTCAGGTGTATCTGGACATACTCCAGGGACTAGCTTATCTGTGCCTGGTGCACTTCATTTATCACGATTAAACAATATACAATTTGACTGAAGGGCACAGTATAGGTCAGTGCATTTATGCATAACAGCAGGACTTATTAATCATCCTCAGCTCCTGCAGGCTAAGAAATCCTGCTTAAAATTTATTTGCATGCTTAGAACTAGAACAGAGCTTCGAAACTAGAATAAGGGTCACTTACTCTGATGTCTCTGGAAGCTCATGAGGTCAGCCCTGAACGCTAAGTTGCACTTCTTGAAACAGTTTTAATGCCCACGGCTATCTCCCAATTCATTCTGAGTTTGAGAAGGGAAAAAAATGAAATGATATTTAGTAGACTCCTATAACAGTTTGGGTAACACCAGCTGTTTTAACAAACAATCCTCAAAGTTAAAGTGGCTGAAAGTTTAAAATGTGTTTCTCATTAATAACATTCAAATAAAGGCATTTCTTGTCTGGGTGGCTTTTACCAGGGAGTAATTCAGGAAACTGGCCTCCAGTATTGTAGCTCCAACTTCCTAGAGGGCTTCAGAGTTCTCCTTTTTCAAATGACACATGTTGAAAGAACTGGAAGAAACATTTATATGTACCACCCTCTAAAAGTGGTACACATTAACCGGGACACAGTTGCATGGAAATATAGCCAAGCTATGTATCCAGAAAGAAGAAAAAACAAGTGTGGTAAAGAGCTATCAGTCTATGCCTCAGCTTTTCAAAATCCAGTCTTACGGCGCACAGATCTAGAGAGAATATGTAGACCTTATATTATGTAAAGGCATTCACAGAACTATTTTTGTTGTTGTTAACATACTTGAGCTTCCCTACGGCAATGTTCTTGTAGGTTTCCCAGACTAATAGCCTTCAAAATGGAGGTGAATATATACATACAAGAAAAAAATAAGTAACTTAAGTCTTCTAATAAGATATGTTTTATAAAAATATGAAGAAGATATAGTAACAGCTCCTTACAGCAGTGTAAGACCTTTCTTTCATCCATCTCCTCACCTATGGTTACTATCCTCACAATCCCATTTCCCTCTATGTACATTTTACTTTATAACATTATGTTCTCATACACAAAAAATACAATAAAAAATTTTCCATTATCCAACAGAATTTATAAAGCCTACAAAATTTCTAAATATATCATTTTATATGTAATGAATATGCTTGTTATTTCCCATTAAAAAAAAATGCAGCGGCCGGGTGTGGTGGCTTATGCCTGTAATCTCAACACTTTGGGAGGCCGAAGTGGGTGGATTGCTTGAGCTCAGGAGTTTGGGACCCACCCGGCCAATGTGGCAAAAATCTGTCTCTACTAAAAACCCAAAAATTAGCCAGGAGTGGTGGTGGGCACCTGTGGTCCCAGCTACTCATGAGGCTGAGGTGGGAGGATTGCCTGAGCTCAGAAAGCGGAGTTTGCAGTGAGCCATGGTTTTATCACTGCAGTCCAGCTTGGCGACCACTTGTTCTTTTTTGCTTGTTTCTTTGTCTTTTGCTTTACTTTGCATCATAGAGATACGGGTGAAAATTTCTTTAACCCTTTAAGTGTTTCTACTTTGTCTCATATGCTATACCTCATTTGTTACTTGGAGTATACTCTTGGCCATGCTATTAGAAATGGATGATGTAAAAATGGCGCCCCCTGAAGTCAAGCAATGTGAAACATTTGTAAATTTCTACAACAAATGCCCTAAATTGTAGTCGCTTAATTAAAATAATTATTTTCTATTTACTGTAATAGTCAACAGGTAAGAAATGCAGTCTTGCATGGATGTCCCACTAAAAAATATATGCCATCTTTTAGTCCGTTGATACTTAGCATATTGCCCTCATCTTCATGGACAAAAATTGGCAATTTTTCTGTAAAATCTCTCTTTCATATTACTGATGACAAAATTCTGCACTTTATCTGAGGAAGAAAATGACAAGACTGACATGTGGGACTCACTTCTCACTGTATAATACCATCCTTGGCTCCTGCCCCAGGATAATTTTGATATTTTTAATTATCAAACCAAAACCAATAAGTTATATAAAATATAGGCAAAGTTACATTCACTGGGAGAATTTTAGCACTCTCAAAGTAACATATCAGTTCCTATTATCCAGTAAATTCCTACCACGTCCCATGCTCCCGGAAGTGTGTCCGGATTCATGTTTTTCTGATAGGTGAATGCAAAGTCACTAGCCATTGCCATTTGCCAGGGATTCAGAGAGACAGAAGTGTGGAAATTAACATTTAGATGTATGAGAAATATATGCAAGAAACTGAGACTGAGCAGGCAATTTGTAGATTGTATACAGTGTAGCCTAAACATGTTTGCTTCAGTGAATTTGTCATTTCTTGCATGGGGTAAGTCTAAAATTATTTATTGTTTAATTTTTTTCATTAGAAATAAACCCTCTTGGAAGTAATTAAAATGCATATTTCACAAAAAATTAGTGCGATGATGATGACAATCATGTAACTTGCAAAACTTGAGTGTTGTTTTATCACAAACCTTATGAAAACAGATGCATCCTTGCCTTAAAAAGGAGAAGGAAAAAGGAAATGCTCTGGGCACAGCATGAAGCCCAGAAAAAGAATATTTCCAACAGCCCCATGGACATATGGAGAGGATAGAACTTAACAGTGCTCATCATCTCTGGTCATCAGAGAAATGCAAATCAAAACTACAATGAGATAGCATCTCACACCAGTTAGAATGGCGATCATTAAAAAGTCAGGAAACAACAGGTGCTGGAGAGGATGTGGAGAAAGAGGAACACTTTTACACTGTTGGTGGGAGTGTAAACTAGTTCAACCATTGTGGAAGACAGTGTGACGATTCCTCAAGGATCTAGAACTAGAAATACCATTTGACCCAGCCATCCCATTACTGGGTATATACCCAAAGGATTATAAATCATGCTACTATAAAGACACATGCACATATATGTTTATTGAGGCACTATTCACAATAGCAAAGACTTGGAACCAACCCAAATGTCCATCAACGATAGCCTGGATTAAGAAAATCTGGCACATATATACCACGGAATACTATGCAGCCATAAAAAAGGATGAGCTCATGTCCTTTGTAGTGACTTGGATGAAGCTGGAAACCAGCATTCTCAGCAAAATATCACAAGGACAGAAAACCAAACACCGCATGTTCTCACTCACAGGTGGGAATTGAACAATGAGAACACTTGGACACAGGGCGGGGAACATCACACACAGGGGCCTGTCGTAGGGTGGAGGGATGGGGGAGGGATAGCATTAGAGGAAATACCTAATGTAAATGATGAGTTAATGGGTGCAGCAAACCAACACGGCACATATATACATATGTAACAAACCTGCACGTTATGCACATGTACTCTAGAACTTGAAGTGTAAAAACAATAATAATAAAAAACTTCCAGCCCAAACAAAAATAGTATTAGCTACATTCAGAAGACCCCACAGAAAGGGTATAGTTTCCCACAGACACCCTACTAGAAAGCAGCTTCGTGGACAACATTCACCTCACCGTTTCCCAAAGATCATCATCATCACATCCTCTGCCTTAGAACCTATAACAGCGTCATTCATGGGGATGCCTCTCGCCCCTTAAAAAGTACTGAGAAAATTATGAGACAGAGAAGAAAGGGGGAGGGGATACAATTAAACTTTGTTTACAGAAGCCTGGGCTCCTGACTTTGATTTTGCTACTAAAGTAGCCGTGGGGAAATATTTCTTGAAACAATAAAAATGATTGACTTAGGTTTCAAAGTTTTTAACTCACAATAAAGAATTTTTTCTCCTTTCTCTTGCACTGTTTTTCATAATGATGGTATAAAACATATTAAGGTGTTATCACAAACAATTACTTCATGAGATTATATTTGAGTTTGGGGATTTCAAAGTCATTTTATTAAAATTAGCTGTATTGTTACACATTTTGTCTGGAAAGTCTAAGTAATGTCATTAAAAGCCCAGTTTAATTGCTTTGAAAAAGCTTATGCTTGACATGATATTCAGTCTCTTAGATTTCACAATTCATTCTCCATGTATTACTACTATGACTGACTTGTTTGTCTCTTTTTGAGTTCCTTCTAGAATTCAAAAGCATTAAGATTTAAGTGTGGCTGACTGCCACGGTTACTACTTGAGACCGTCATTACTAGACTGAATGAAGAGACGAACATAGAAATGGTAACAAAAAACAAAAGAAACTGTTTTAAGGAAAGGCTAGCATGGGGAAGAAGAGAGCTCCCTGCTTCTAGTGGTCCTCATTCCATCTTTGCATTCAGATTCAACTGGTTCATGGTTCATACCGGGGGAACAAGGTCCATGGTTGGGATCCATGGGTCCCTCCAGTCTCCTGTTCAACGGTCGTACACACCTTGGGAGCACCCACTCGGTTTGTTCATCTTCTGCAAAGACGTAAGTATACCCTCGTCCCCACGTTAGTAAATCTACCAAACAGAATCAAAAGTGTTTTCTTTTTTATTTATTTTTTATTTTTTTTGCTGTAGCCGGGAGGCACGCCATTGCTGAAACATTTGTAACTCAGCTTCTGCCTCTTTGGTTAATTGCCGTGGGGTAAAACTTTCCACTGAGAACAAGAAGCAGGCTCTTTCTGATTAACACACGGCACAGAGAAAGCAAATCGAGGCTTATCCTTCTCGTAAAACAGTATAGCAAAAAGCAGTCCTTAAACCTTCAATTTGCACTGTACAGGTGGGTCCACTAGATGCTATGGGTGGTGATAGATAAATCTCTCTCCTAGTTGCACTTCCAAATCCCTGACCACCTCGCTTCTTCTTATGTGGAGAAGGGTACAATTTACAGGGAAGAAGCGAAAATTGAGCAACATATTCTCCCAGTTCAAAAACCCAAAGATCTTGTGACATTACCACTACCTGAATTTCTCCTTCACAATCAAAATCAACAACTCCTGGGCCTGTAAGTTAAGACAGCTTTTACCAAAATCAATCCCATGTATCTTGTTGGCAAAGATCCCCAAATACCAATGTGAATCTTAGTGAGTTTGTTTCTTTCATTTAATGTAATTGGTTCTCTGGGAGATCTAATCCTGCGTTTCCAGGTGTTCCTGGGGAGAGGGAATCCATGTGCCTCTGGAAACCCACCCCTGAAACGGAGTTGTGGCCTGGACAGGGAACGCCCTCATAGTTTGAGGTGCCCGGGTCCAGGCCCCCTTCTTGCTTCCCAACAGGGGGGTGCCGTTTTGATGAAATTTTGAGTGGTGTTGATTAGCCCAATGATTTCCTTTATTGCATCGAGGGCAAAGTCCGGCATTTTTTTTCTGTTAAGAGGGGGACTATGTTACAAGATCTCTTGTTCACAGAGGTCTGACGGCATTCTCTTTTGAAACGTCCAAGTTTTCTACACTTATGACACTTTCCCACTTTAGGGCTTGACCCTTGGCTTCTTTTAGATCTGTCAGCCACCAAATTTGCTATTGCCTGAGTCAATACTGCAGAGCAATGAAGCTCAGTTCCCACATCTTGACAAGCTCTGAGAAAGCCTCCCAAGTCCTCTGCACATCTCACAGGTGCCAGTGCACGTTTACAATCCATGAAAGCCAAAGCTAAAGTTAGCCTTTCTGTAGCCACCAAAGAAGACGATACAAGGCAATTTTCATTCTCCCTCTTCTGTTCACCATTTTCGATAGGCACTGTAGGTGGGGCAAAAAATTCTAAATAACAAAAAGATGGTACATACCAAAACTCCAAACAAACAAAAAAGAGAAAAGAAATAGCCAAATTCTTCCTCGTTTCCCTGTTTTAAAAACTTCCCATTCTTTGTACCTCTAGGGCACTGACCAGTACCTTTTTAGAGAACTAACCTTATGTCGCTGCCAACAGAGTTGTAATGGGCTTTCTCGTTCATCTAGTTGGTTTTAGTTTTTTTCTGTTCCAGCAGACCTTCCTCGCTCTAGTCCTATAGGACCCTATCTGTCCCTATCTGTCCCTGTCTGTTCCTCCAAATCTCTCCTAGTCTTTGCTAGTCTCTACTTTTGTACCTCTTTAGGACACAGACCAGTACCTCTTCAGGGCACTGACCTTATATTGCTAGTCTTTATCTATTCCTATCTGTCTCTGTCTGTCCCTATGGTACCTGTTAGTTCCTGCAAGTCCCCGTCTTTCCCTACCTATCTCTACTTTTCTCTACTTACTTATCTCTACTTACTTTTCTGTACTTACCTCCACTTATCTCTGTTTATCCCTGCAGGCCTCTTCAGGTCCCTCCAGGTCCTTTCAGGTCTCTGTATGTCCCTGATAGTCTCTGAAATGTCCCTGTTCAGGCACCATTTGTAGTTGACTGTCACTGCTACTACATGAGACCATCACAAGTATGTTGAATTGAGCCTGGAACTCCTAGATGATAAACATTTTTTTATACCAACCTTCAACTTTTTCATTAAAATTAGATTGGGTAGATACTATAAATAGTGTCCCAAGCACTAGTGGAAAGATTCTACCATGTCTTACACTGGTTACTATGAGTTTGGAGTCAGAGGTATAAGGCTTGAAGAAAAAAGCACAATGAAATACAATTTTATCCACCAATCTGACATTTTTAAGTTTTAGGAAAATTGTGTCTTAATTCAAGCTGCTATAACAACAACAAAAACAACATACACTGACTGGTTTAAACAATAGAAATTTACTTCTCGGAGTTCTGGAGGCTGAGAGTCCAAGATAAAGGTGCCAGTCAATGGTTACAGGTAAAACCTCCATTCCTTGTCATGTCCTCATAAAGAGACAGAGAGAGAGACCAGACAGAGAGAGAGAGAGAGAGAGAGAGAGAGAGAGAAAGAGAGAGAGAGACTCATGACCTAATTATTTCCCAAAGGCCCTGTTTCCAAATATCATCTCAGTGGAATTAGGGTTTTAACATACAAATTTTGGGGGCGACGCAAGTATTTTTAGTCCATACCAAGTTAGATGCAACTTTACCAAAATTATTGTGGGTAATTTGACAAGGTAAGAGAGGTCAGTGAAACGCAAATTATATGATAACTTCTTGGTGCTCAGGCAGTATACCTGCCAGGTTGTCTCCTGGCTAGAGGAATGAAACAAGTAGTATTCAACAAGACTTTGGTAGTGAGTAAAACATGGCATATAAGTTGTTTTTTGTGGGAATGACATAGTCTAAATATTATTTTGATGACATACCTGTGTATTGACCTCTCTTGCATCAAAATGACATAAACATGGAGAAATAATTCTGAAAGTCAGCAGGAACTTGCAACTCACTTCTGGGAGGGGACCACTTAGGGGAACTATGATATTAGACTGTGGCAATGTCGACCTCCACACAGGAGGAAAGAGTAGTCACATACCCTAAATCTTGCGTAACGTGGTGTCTTAAAATTTCAATAAATCTACTGAGTTAAATTAACAGCAAAGCAGAAAAATTTGCCAAAGCTATTTATAGCTCCATTAAAATGGAAGACAAGTTAAGAAAATGTGTGTTCTAAATAATCATGTCAGAAGTTAGTGTTTCCTTCAAATATAATCATAGGCCTAAGAATTTTTATCCAAGATTGATGAAATTTTATTTTACGCAACAATAAATGGAACACAAAGGCTGCACATCATTTTTTTGTCTTCTGTACATATCACTAAAAAAAAAAAGCATCAAACTAAAACAATGAATATAATATTAAATAGGGATTTGTTAATTGCTAATATTTTTAATATAGAGAAAGAATAATGTTTAATGATTAATTACAAAATTGATGAACTAGAATAGTGAGAAATCAAGGAGAGCTGAAATTTATGGAACTTTATGATAAACTAATAAAGGACAATTTTATTCCTAGCATTTTAATTATTTGCTTTATCATTGCATTTTAAATGCAATTATCAAAAATAAAGGTTATAACTAAGAATTTCAAAAATTCTAATTATAGCAGAATTGGTAACAAAGAATTGAATACAGAGGGTGAATCTTATATTGCTTTATTATTATTAAAACTAAGGAAATATTTAGAATTTTGTGTACTAATTTAGCTACGAAGGAAAAGGAGGGCGTCATCATTTTAAAAATGTTTCCACATTGTCTACAGAAGCCTAGATTATTAAAAAAAAGAGTGGCCTCAGATAGATATCTGATTGGAATACACTACAAAATCTAGTAGTCAACTTGTTAAGATATCTGAAGATTCCATTTAAGACAGATTGTGAAAAAATATACTGGAAGAAATAGATTTTATTTAATATCCTTAAACATAAAACTTTGTTACCTTCTAAAACACTATATTTAGTTTTATTTCTATTTTATAATATTGTATATGATGTGCTTTCTTTTCCAGGTAAAACTAACAAAAGACAATAAAATGTTATTAACTTGAGTTATGGTTAAAGTAGAAGAGCTGTGGATATTACACTACATGAAAAAAAATTCTTCCACAGATATTATTTGTGTATGCATACATCGATAGAGATACACATAGATAGATACAGATACAGATAGATATCGATATAGATATAGACTTGGCTATAGAGACTGTGGGTTTTTTAATACAGCAAGAAAAGAGAAATATTTATTTACACTGGATCAACAAAGGAACTAGGCTATTAACTCAGATTGTAATAGTCTAAAATTTTTCCAAAAATTAGGAAAAATAAAATATTTATATGAATTTTACCTGGAAGTGTTTCAAAATAGTTTGCAAAGAGTGAGAATGAATTTCAACTTGTGAGTAAAGGGTAAAACTGAAATGAAAGTTAAAACAAATAGTTTCCCCCTTTCATTATTAGATCATGATTTATTGAAAACAATCTTGATTGTTAAATATTGATTAAAATTAATGAAGGTGCAGAGTTCCTAAGACCTTGTCATTTGAACGTTATGAATATCTTCACAATGAAAACATTATTCGTGTTATTTATGTGAGCTTATATGTACTTTTCCGCATAAATAATTTGTACTCTTAGTTAGAAACAAATGAACTATGGCTTTTGGTTTGGTTTTGTTTATTTATGAATAAACATTAAGAACTGTGCTTATGAAATTTTCAGGAAATATACTGAATGCTTTAATGTACTCTGTAACATTGCAACATATAATTTCCCCTCTTCCCTCACTTTTTGATGTAGCTATCATTGCTTTGAGTTTTTATTTACTGGTTATTTTAAAGAGCTTAATGGTCTCATTTACTTAAAAGTGGAATAATATTGGACTACTATTTTCTTTTTTTAACCTCTCTAGGTCATTCTACAGTCATTACCTTCCAGCCTATTTGTTTCTGCAGAATCTACGTATGTAATACCTATAAATTTTCTTTTCATATTTGTTCACTCATCCACATCATTAATAAAGTTATTAAGTGAAGACGAACCCAGCAGTAGCACTCCCTTACCACCTTGAAATATTGTGCTGATGTAGAGGTTGTATCTGATTTAATTCTTCAAGGATTATTAATGTATGTGGAACTAGCTTTTCAGCCATGGAAATCTTTAGTACGTATTTAAGAAAAAGTGATTTAATGCTCAGTAGGGAAATGTTGTCCAAAACAGTGCCTGAAAAAAGCAGGTATGTGTCCACATTGGGCACACTGCAGGTGGGGTATATTGTTGAGATAGGAAGGAAAAATAAAATGTGAGAAAAGGCAAGAGACAGAAAACAAAGTGCAGGTCGGGAAGAGACAACTTTAACTTCCACCATTTGTTAATCAATTCTGAAATATTTTCATTTTTACAGCCTAAAATTATGCATGTGTTGGCATTTTTTTTAATGGATGATATTACAGTTTTCATTCAAGCATTGGTATAGAGCCTAACCTTTTGTTATGGATGAGATGTTTAGATTGTTAATCTGGAAAATCTATTTTCCTGTTATTGAAGTCACATATATACATATATGTATATATACTTTTATATATGTGTCTATATATAGTAAAAATGTGTATATTTATTTTAAAAAGTATTTTGGTTCATGTTTTTGTTCTTAATGTTGTCCTACTAAAATTACTTAATCATAAATCTTTCTACTAACAGTAAGGCAGAAGCAGAGTAACAAGGGATTTTTTTTTTCTATTAAACTGAAGACAGAGAAGTTTGGTATTTATTTTTACCTAATATAGCAAACTTCAAAAAACAATCTATTTCAATAAAAATATTTTCCCCAGCTACAGAAATAAACAAGGGATAATATATAATCTAAAAATGTAATGGAAGAAAAGGCACAGCATTAAGAGATTGCCTTATTTTCCTTTCTAGCACATCTTGCTCTTAAAATATCCATGAGTCTATAAAGGGTGCTATTTACAAGGATCAGTTTCCCTGTATTTCTGGGTTGAATGATCCTCTACTTTTACTATCCTTTGCTAAACATGACAAAATAAGAAAATAAAAGATAAATATGAGATGAAGACCTCAAATGACATCAATTTCATTGCCTCTAAAAAGTTGTGATGATGAATGTTACCACTACTCAACTGAGTTTATGAAAAGGCAAATATACTTTTAAAAATGTAGGGGTGCTTATACAAAGACTTATGTGTTTACGTTTACTTTTTTTATAAAGCTGATTTAATCAAAAGATTTAGTTAAGGCCGGGCGCGGTGGCTCACGCCTGTAATCCCAGCACTTTGGGAGGCCGAGGCGGGCGGATCACGAGGTCAGGAGATCGAGACCATCCCGGCTAAAACAGTGAAACCCCGTCTCTACTAAAAATACAAAAAATTAGCCGGGCGTAGTGGCGGGCGCCTGTAGTCCCAGCTACTTGGGAGGCTGAGGCAGGAGAATGGCGTGAACCCGGGAGGCGGAGCTTGCAGTGAGCCGAGATCCCGCCACTGCACTCCAGCCTGGGCGACAGAGCGAGACTCCGTCTCAAAAAAAAAAAAAAAAAAAAAAAGATTTAGTTAGTAATTTATTGACTCAAATACTTTATGCCTTCTATTTCACATTTTTTACAGGTTTATAAGTCTAGATACCTATGTCAATTAGTGAATTTTCTACCAAGAGTTCATGTTTTGTTGCTTAAAGGCAGATAATTTTTTTATTTAAATAATATTAAAAAGAGGAAAATATTTCAAAATACCAAGATTGGGAGGTGTCTGGGAGATTTATATGTATTGCTTTTATTAACTGTCTAGCACTGGATTTATAAACCAGCTTATTTTTTTAATTTAAAAGCTCTCTGCCTTGCAATTTAATTCACATGATCTGCATTAACCATGCCATATTCAAAATTTCATTGATAAATTCTATCCAGTAGTCAATATCGAATTGTAAACTGATGTAATGTGCTTTAAAATATGAAGATTTAATCTTTAAAATATGAATATTTGATTGAATAATTACTACCACTAAAATCATGTTTACTTATTAGAATTATCATATAGGAATTGTTTTATAATGTATATGTTAATTGAATGTGATTTCTTGATACTTAGGATATACGTTAAGTATACATAAACAAATTGGAAATAAAGTTCTGATATACTGTTCCATGAAAGTTTCAAATCTTTATATTAAAGATTACCATTTGAGTCAGAGGCAATGATAGGATTTTCTGTACTTTATCCACATGTTTATATATATACATATATATATGTTTTCATATAACCTTTCATAAGGATAGAAAAGAACTATGAATGTTTCTCCATCAGGCATCTTTCAAATACAACATAACAATAACTTCCTTAAGTATTTTATTTAGGCAAAAACTATAAAATGATGGAATGGAAAAAGAATTCTCAATGATCAAACCAAAGCAATTATATTTGATTCTGAATTTTAAAAGATTAGTCCATCAATTTATATTTAGAGGTTAGAAAACACATTCTGAGAGACAGAAAATTATATTACTTTTCTAACTTCCTGGAGAATATTGTGCTTTGTCAAATTTTACATTTATGAGAAGTTTTATATTAAAGCTATAAAATCTATCAGGGTAAGTTAATATGAGTATTTGAAAGTTTCACTGTTAAATTTATATTATCACATATTAAATGAAAGAACTGTTAACTGTGTACTGAATTCAAAAGTTAATATAGCTTCTCTCTTTTTTAAGAAATGGGACACAATATTAAAAAATTAAGGAGTTTTCAAATATTTATACTTAAATTTATATCTAAGGAATTATATATAGAATGCATACCTTTCAAGTAGATACTATTGTTGCTGTTAAGATTATTGTCAACAAAATTTAAACACACAGACTATTAAATAAAGAAATTAAAACAACAAAAAATAACCTCTAGGCCAGGTGTCCTGGTTAACCTGTAATCCCAGCACTTTAGAAGCTTGAGGCAAGAGGATTGCTGGAGACCAATAGTTTGAGACCAGCCTGAGCAGCAAACTGAGACTCTATGTGTATCAAAAAATGTTTTAAAAGTAGCCGGGTACTGAGGCAGGCACTTGTAATCCCAGCTACTTGGGAGGCTGAGGTGGGAGGTATGCTTGGGCCCAGGATTTTGAGGCTGCAGTGAGCTGTGATTGCACCACAGCCCTCCAGCCTGAGAGAGAGAGGAGACCTTGTTTCTAAAAACTAACTAAATAAACAATAATGTAAAAAATCTCTCTTTAGGTGTATGCTTCTCTTTGCCAGTGTTTAAGGGTTAAAAAAATCAATATGAGAGATTAACTAAAGTACCAATTTAGAGTTAAATGAGTGCATTTGCCACTTGAGTGCCGATTGCCTCGCATGACAGACAATATTAAGTGCTGATGACTTTAACTTTCACAAGTTTTATGCGATAGTGGGATAAATTTTTACTTAAAATGTGTTAAACTTCGGTTTAATTGCACTAATTAATGTCTCAATAGATATACTGTTGTATCTACCTCAAAATGCAAACACCAATGAAGTAATTCATCAGAAGACTTGATATGAATAAAGAATGGAACAGTAAAGTTGAAGATAAAAAACATAGAAATTGAATAACAAATACAAGTAAGAAACAAGAAGAGTGATAAATAGCAGAACATGGCATCCAAGAGCTGAAGGACAGCTCTGGATGCCTAACTTGAACGGATTCATGAAAGAGAACAAGGATGATAAATACTTAAAAACAAAATGAATGAGAATTTTCCAAAAGAAGTGAAGGCAATCAAATCGTAAATCCAAGAAACATTTCTAGAGATATAGGGGCTACGTAAACAAACTAAAAAAAAGGTAAAAAATTATATGAAGACAAACATAGTTGTGTTGTATGTATTATATAGTTAAATATACGTTATACACAGGCACGAAGAAAAGAAGTACAGGAAACCTGTCCTCAAGAACTATTTAACTGTATACTGGAAATTTTAACCAGTGTACTAAAGTAAGAAAAATAAACAAAAGGCATACAAATTGGATACGAAGAAATAAAACTCTATTTGTTTCGTGGATGGTCTATGCACAGTATTCCATTATGTACAAAATAATTAAAATTATTAGCAGTGAAGCTGCTAGAAATAAATTGTGAGTACAAAATAATTAAAATTATTAAAAGTGAAGCTACTAGAAATAAATTGTGAGTTTTGTAATTTCACACTATGCACTATAACACTATAATGCTAATATACAGAATTATTTTTTATATATAATTGTTGCAGGAAAAACCCAGACCTGTGTAGAAGAACATCCCTCTGCCAAAGAGATAGTGCTGAAATAACAAAGAAGGACTCAGACAAGTCCAGCTTCATGAGAAGACGAGTTTATTAGGACTTACGTAAAGGGCAGCGGGATAACTCCAGAGATCCGCCTGCTGCCCACCATCTTCCTCTAAGCTGCTTTTAAGCTACTTTTCTTTTCTTTTCTTTTCTTCTTTTCTTTTCTTTCTTTTCTTTTCTTTTTTTTCTTCTTTTCTTTTCTTTTCTTTGACGGAGTCTCGCTCTGTCGCCCAGGCTGCAGTGCAGTGGCGGGATCTCGGCTCACTGCAAGCTCCGCCTCCCAGGTTCACGCCATTCTCCTGCCTCAGCCTCCCGAGTAGCTGGGACTATAGGCGCCTTCCACCACGCCCGGCTAATCTTTTGTATTTTTAGTAGAGACGGGGTTTCACCACGTTAGCCAGGATGGTCTTGATTTCCTGACCTCGTGATCCGCCCGCCTTGGCCTCTCAAAGTGCTGGGATTACAGGCATGAGCCACCGCGCCCGGCCAAAGCTACTTTTCTGGCTCTTTGCTTACTACATGTGATGAAACTGTTCTTCTTGGTATGTACCTAGATATGCTCCCGGATGTTTTGGTTTTCAGGGACATCTGCTCCTCGGCTGAGCACCATGAACTTTGCTCACCATCTAGCCTTCAGGACTCAAGCAGTTAACATATGCCCTTAAATTCCCTGGTGGGGGACCCGCTACTTTACAACACTATTAATGAACAATTGGAAATTAGAATTTTTTAAAGTTACATTTAAAGTAGCACAAGAAACATTAAATTCTTAATCTAAAAAAACATGGAGAAAGGGTAACAAAAACTAAAAAAACACTGGTAAAAGAAATCAAAGAAGAAGTAAATAAGTAAAGAGCTTGGTAGCCAATATTGACAATAAATTAATTCTGTTCAAACCAATCAAAAAATTCAATACAAAAATTCAATCCAGTTAAAATTCCTAACAGGATATTTGCAACTAACAAACAAGCTCATTCTAAAACTTTCAACAGAGAAGCAAAGGAATTATAATGGAAAAATCATTTTGACAATAAAAAAATTGAAGAATCCACTGATTTATATGTATACTATATACATATATGTATATATACATATATATATATACATATATTATATATACATACATTATTATACATATATGTAATATACATATGTATATCTGTTGGTGACTTTAACCATATGATTCATAATTTCAAAAACTGGTGAATAGTCAAAAAGTTATATACTGTATCTATTTAATATCACATTAGGAAGAAAAAGAAACAAATCTGATAACATAACAACATGAATGTGTCTCAGATTTATTATGCTATTTTAAAAGCCAGATTTAAAGGCCTATTCAGGATGCTGTTTGCTCCCTTGTGTATGACATTCTAGAAAATATAAAACCATAGGGACAAAGAACAGCGATTTCCAAAGACTGAGGGCAGCAGAAATACTGATTCAAAAGGCACAAAAGGGAATTTTTCTAGGTGATGTTACTGTTCTATATCTTGAGGATGGTATTTGTTATATAACCATCTATGTTTTCAACACACTGCATACTTAAAAAGATGACTTTTGGCATATATAAATTTTAATTCGATAAACCTGAGTTTTTAAAACAAAGATTTTCTGTAACCAGTAGACTCATAACACTGTCTTCCTGCCATTGACTAAGATGGTTTCAATAGTGGATTCCTCTTGTTCATGCCAGCCAATGTGTCTTTTGTTTAACCAAAACCCTTGAAATATCTTTGCCTCAGGCTTTTATTGCAATTTCCTGTAATTTAAAGACTTCACCCTCCTATTCACAGGAGTTAGTATCTTGAAATGGTAATAACTTGAAAACAGCTATGGTGGGAGGACTTACTCTTTGAGTGTAACTTACATACATGCAGCATACACCATGTATCAAAACTTTCTTTTTTTCTGGTATTTTTTTTTTTTTTTTTGAGATGGCGTCTCACTCTGTTGCCCAGTCTGGAGTGCAGTGGTGTGGTCTCAGCTCGCTGCAACCTCCACCTCCCTGGTTCAAGCGATTCTCCTGCCTCAGCCTCCTGAGTAGCTGTGACTACAGGCACCATGCCACCACGCTGGGCTAATTTGTGTATTTTTTATTAGAGACGGGGTTTCACAATATTGGCCGGGCTGGTCTCGAACTCCTGACCTTGTGATCCACCCGCCTTGGCCTCCCAAAGTGCTGGGATTACAGGCGTGAGCCACCGTGCCCAGCCGACTTTCTTTTCATTTGGATCACTAGTTTACCAACATCACTGCCTTTACTCAACTCTATTAACAATTATTTAACCTAGTTTATCAAGTCACTTGTCAAAATAGAGATTTATATTGTTTATATATGTAATATTTTACAAATCTGTATTTTTGTACTTCACTATCTAATTAAACCTTTGGGGTAACTTTTATGTGTATCCCAAATAGGACAGGACAGTCATTCATTTCTTATAATGTATCAGCTAATTTCAAGGAGACATCGGAATTTTTGTGGAGACATCGGAATCTGAAGAGCAAAGTGATTCAAATTGGGTCACAGATTAAATAATTTTTAAAATGTTTACTTTAAATATCTTAAAAAACTTTAAGGAGAAAATTAATTTTTCTATATTGTTCTTGGCCTTAAAATATACATTAAGCATTAGTTTTCTGGCTTTTGATGTTTTTCATAAAATTAGCTCAAAAAATGCAAAAAGCTTGTATGAATATATAAGGGCCTTTGTAATCATATTGTAATTGCTTGACATAGTTAATTTCTTGATTTCTGACTCTGGCATCTGAGTTTCATAATTGTTATGTAATTACTCTATTTTTTTAAATCATGTTTTTAAATGGAAGTTTCAGTCTCAGATCTTTTCTATTTCATGCAATAAATAATTTTTAGCAGTAAAGAATTATTTGGCAATAAATATTTTTTGAGACGTCATGCTCCAATGATATAATTTAGTCCACTTTCTGCTTGAAAATATGCAAAGAAGAAATCTCTTGTTGGTATTAATTTCAGAAGTCGTCTTTGCACACACAATGATGATCATTCTGTTTTCCTTAGATAATTCATGGTAGTGTAACCCAATAATATAATCTTAGATGTGTAACTTACATACATGCACGTGGCACATGAAGCATGTGGTGTACTGAGATGAAAATAAGCTTGTAAAAGTCATTGGTTACCTAACTGCGGCTTGGTACCTAGCACACCCTACCTGCAACGGTCCCAACAGTTACACTGGCTCTATTTGACTTAGATGATGCAGGGGTGGGTTCAAAATCCCTCTCTTTTTCCTAATTACATACGACTGAGCATCCCTTCCCTTGTCTCAATCTGGGATTTTGAGAGTTTATTATAAGATCCCCAGTGAAAATCCACCCAGGTGGTTCTTCCCTACCCTCTTTAAATGTTCACACCCTAGTGTGAACAAGCTAGAAGTGGATTCTTTGAGGCAGTGACAACAGACCATGTTCAACTTCTACACTCCTTGATGTTTGTGTATTGGAAGAAGGTGTGACAAGATGCCAGGCACCAGAATTTCAGGTTGGTCTTTATGGAATTCTTGAACTCTAGGGCTGCATCCCTCCCTATAATGAGGCAAAGTTGGGGAAGTAGAAAGTTCAATGCAGCCTATGATTTTTACCTCATGGTTTTCTATAACCTAATACATATCACATTGAATTATGTGTTAACTCGTGAGCATTCAAATTAATAGAGCATGCTGTACCAAAATATTGTCATTATTTTGGTTATTATAAATTATATATGGCCATGATCAGTGCTATAGGGCAAGACTATATCATTTTTTACTTCTAGGCTAAAAGGATTATGTTCCTACACATGAATTATGTAACTTTTTAAAAAAAATAGTGATATTTTTCTATTAGAAGTTAAAGCAATTAGTTCTTTACAACATTGGCTACGTACTCAAATCAACTGATTCCTGGGTTTCCCCTCAATCCAAGTAAATTAGGCAGAGAGCAAAACTAAGGAACAGTATTTTCAAAGAGGACCAGGATTGACAATGACTGGTATTCAAATAGCTGTGAATTTGTGCAAATGTAGCAGAAGACAGCAAAGGGTTCTGGATATGCCAATTATTATTTATTTTTATTATACTTTAAGTTCTAGGGTACATGTGCACAATGTGCAGGTTTGTTACATATGTATACATGTGCCATGTTGGTGTGCTGCAGCCATTAACTCGTCATTTACATTAGGCACATCTCCTAATGCTATCCCTGCCCCCTCCTCCCACCCCACGACAGGCTCTGGTGTGTCGTGTTCCCCACCCTGTGTCCAGGTGTTCTCATTGTTCAATTTGCACCTATGAGTGAGGATATGCGGTGTTTGGTTTTCTGTCCTTGCGATAGTTTGCTCAGAATGATGGTTTCCAGCTTCTAGAACTGGAAAAACCATTTGACCCAGCCATCCCATTACTGGATATATACCCAAAGGATTATAAATCATGCTGCTATAAAGACACATGCACACATATGTTTATTGCGGCACTATTCACAATAGCAAAGACTTGGAACCAACCCAAATGTCCATCCATGATAGACTGGATTAAGAAAATGTGGCACATATACACCATGGGAATACTATGCAGACATAAAAATGTATGAGTTCATGTCCGCTGTAGGGACATGGATGAAGCTGGATATGCCAATTATTATTAAAATAATTTTTGGGTTAAGCTGATTTTTACTTTTCTGAAAGAAAGATCCAAACACAATGCCTATAATAAATCTTAGAAATTGTCTGTCTCCATTGGTGAGATTAGTCAGTATAAACACTAACATATATAAATAAAACCAAACAACAGTTACTCTTTTCCATAATGTTATGCTTTTGTGTTCAATGAAATATTTAATTTAATTACTAAATTTCTAGCATTTCTCTGAAGGATAAAACAAATAAGCAAACAAACAAAGTAACAAGAAAAACCCAAAATAACTTCAATGAATTAAAACTGTCTAGTGCTACCTTTCCTATAATTATCGTCACCAAATAAAGTGCCTATTGGACAGAGATGGCTGGTTCACTGCAATCTCCATTGACCCTTTCGCCATCAGTAAAAATGTCCTCTAATGCTTAGCCGGACACATGATCACCAGGAATAAATGCTATATTCCCAATCTTTTCTTAACATAGGGCATGACACATGTGACCAATTTCTGACCTATGTTGTGTAAGGGGAAGTAACGCGTGTAACTTCTGAGAAGCTGACTTACATGCAGGGGGCATGTCCTATCTCTGTGCTTTCTTCCTTCTTGGAAAGGCAGCTCTGATGGCTAGATCTGGGGCAGCCATGGGGCAACATGAGAAGCAGCAGTACTTGGAGGTGCAAAGCAACAAGATAATAGCCATCTGGATTTCTGATGATCATGAAGACATCATATCTGAACTGGGGTGTCTGCATATCCCTGAGAGGCAAAAAATGTCTATATTGTTTCCGTGAGTTCTTAGCCTACACTGCACATACGAGTTATCAGAGAACTTTCAAAATTTATCAAATGCCCAGTCCTATTAAGGTATCTGGAAACTTATTCTTGGCCTATAATTTTCCACTGGGTCAACTATAACCCAGGTTTATCTGTCTTCTATATCCAGAGACTGTACCCTGCTCCTATGCAGTCTTGCTCTCTCCATAGCTTCATATGTGCAGCAGAACTCACCCTCTGCCTTCCATAACCAGGAGTGGGGCGCTACCTTCCCTCACCTGACTCCTGTGCTGCAGAAACTTGCTAAGAAACACGGAGCATATGTTTCAGACTCAGAATAAAATTATTTTTACAGTCACCAAGTTTTAGAGGTTCTGATTTAGTGTATCTGGGTGTGTCCAGGGTACCAGTGTGCTCCCTTCTCACTCAAATGAAAATTACTGGAACATGATGTTATTTGGTATTCAGTTACACAAAGCTGAGTGTAACTGATTGGTTAATAGTAAAAGTTTTGATTTCAGTAAAATAGTTGAATTATTCTAAACCATAACTTTGTAGCTACATGATTTGGGTGAGATGATTTTTTTTTTTTTTTTGAGAAGGACTCTCGCTCTGTCACCCAGACTAGAGGGCAGTGGTGTGATCTTGGCTCACTGCAACCTCCTCCTCATGGGTTCAAGTGATTCTCCTGCCTCAGCCCCCCGAGTAGCTGGGATTACAGGTGTGCACCACCATGCCGGACCGGTTTTGTACTTTAGTAGAGATGAGGTTTCACCATGTTGGCCAGGCTGGTCTCAAACTCCTGATCTCAGGCGATCCACCTGCTTTGGACCCCCAAAGTGCTGGGATTACATGAGTTAGCCACCACACCCTGCCTGAGATGATGTTTTTGAGCCACAGTATTCCCATCAGTAAACCGGACATACTAATTGTAATTTCAGGTATTTTTGTGACACATATATTATTGAAATTATTATTATTAAATTACTGACTTTAATAATACATTCTTAAATTAGTTATTATTATAATAACATAATTAATATTGAAAGCAGTTTATAAACTTGCGTGGTGCTAGGGGGCACTACAATGTAAAGGAATTTATGTAATAAAAGTAAAGATGCAACGTTTGATTTTATTTTTCATGTTTTGTAATGCAAAAATTAACTGTCCTTTTATTTAAATTACAGCACATGCAAATTAACTTTTAGGTATATAATTATTCTGAATTATTTCAGAAAACTATTATGGTCTCATCACTGGATTAAAAAATGTAATAATATTCTCGGTTTAAAGAAAATGCACAGGTTTTAAATCCTCTGTGATAAGGGCCCATGAACTTGGAGCTGCTGATTTTTTTTTTTTTTTAATTTGCAGGGTTTTTACATAACAAATTATCAGAAACCAAAGCACCCAGATATCAGACTATGAATAGAAAACATCTTTCCTGAACAAGTACAGGCTTTATTACTTAATTGTATTTACACTGATGAGTGCACACAAAGAAAAATCAATTTGTGGGAGTTTATTTCATTGGTATTGAAATTGTATCTTCCTTGAAAAACTTGGCACACAGTGCCTAGTTTGTCTCCCAGTTCATTATATTATTATTTTACTATATTCTGTGCTGTTATGTAGTTTTATATGGGCTCACTAGTTGAGTGTTCAAAATTGCTTTTCTGAACTATAGAATATTAACTTCCAGTATTTACCAAAAAAATGTTATTTATTAAAAAAATCACAATAAAAGGGCATAAAATAAATATAAATACTCAACATTTTCAAGGTTCTTGTGGAATCATTCTGAAAGCATTAAAAGGAGAGGCTGGAAATCTGCGTTTATAATATTGGTCATTTCCCTACCTACTTAATAGTAACATTAAAGCTTCCTCAGTATGCTTTCTGAAACAAGTAAAAATGTTCTTTTACCTTAACTTATACTGTGGAAAATCTCAAAGGAATGCTAGAAAACCATTCCAATGTACTCACCCAAACAACACAAAATACCCACACCTTCTCCAATTCAAGCAATCATTTAATTAATCGAAAGAGCTGAGATGCACTCCCTCTCTACCTCATAAGGGCTTCCATCATGAACTTGATTGTGTCCTAAATTCAGTCCTCCAGGAGAAGCTCATCACCCTCCCCATGTCCTGAATGTCAGAATCCAAAGCTGGAAACTGCATCCTACTTAATCTTTATGTTTTTTGAAAAAGTTTATCTTTCTTCCCGGGAATAAAAACATCTATTCTCTGAGGCACATGTAAGCATTTATCCTTCAGTATAATGAACTTTTTTAGTCATATTGTTAATGACAAGCTTACATAAATTTTTTTCTGCTCCCACCTTCAAAGCTCCAAGCCCTGTATTCTTACAGGATGATATTCATAAACTATTCGACCTTAGCTTCCCTCCACTTAAGCCTTTCTTGCTCAGAATCACTCCTTTTATTAGTTATCTGTTGATGCTTAACATATTACCTCCAAAACTTAGTGGATTAAAACAACAAACATTCATTATGCCAACTTCTCTGGGTCAAGAACTATATCAGAATTAGTAAGGCCCTCTAGCTCAAGGACTCTCATAAGGCTGCCATCATTTAAAAGCCTTACTTAGGGAAGATTCACTTCTAAGATTAATCATGTGGCTGGGGGCAGTCCCCAGGTCCTTCCTTGCTGGCTGTGACTGGTGACACTGGCTCCGTGCTATGTGGACTTCTTAATAGGCAGCGCCCAACATAGAAGTCAGCTTCCCTTACAATGAAAGAGAGAGAGAGGATTCCCAAGACAGAAGCCACAGTCTTTGTGCAATCTAATGTTGGAAGTGATATCCATCACTTCTGCCACAGTCTATTTGATAGTGAAGTGAGATAAATTCAACTAGGACAACAGAGTAGAAGATTCCTCAAGGAGTTACCTCTACCAGGGGTACAAGTGACATGGAGCAATTTTAGAGGCTGCTTACCAAACCCATGAAATGTATAATGACAAAACATGATATTCCTCTTAAATGACTAAATAAGCACACCACTCTTTGATCAATCTCCTGTCTGTTCAGTGTGGCAACAATTCCCACTGCAGCTGTTCTCCTGCCTCACTAGGACTTTCAATCCACTGGTGCCTCAGCCTTTGCCTATAGCATTATGATCCTCCTGCGGTCAGTTACTCCCACAAGCAAACTAACAATGGCTCTTCTCAACACTGGCTTTATGTTAGAATTGCCTGAGGAGGTTCCAAAGATACATATGAGTGCCTTGGCCCCAATTGAGATTGGCTGACCCAGTGTCTCTGGGACCTGGCATTCTATTATGATACTAATATGCAGCAATAGTTGGGAATCGATATTGTAGATTCAATTACTGAATATTTTAAAATGTAATTGCCAGTAACATAAAACCAGAATTGACATACTGCTTCCCTTGGGCTAAATACAATCCATCACCTATTTTTTAAATAAATTCTTATTGGAACGCAGCCACATTTTCTTATTGTCCATGGTTGCTTTTGCAGAACATGGGAGAACTGAGTACTTCCTACAGAGACAATATGGCTCACAAAATAAAAATATTTACTATCTGGCCCTTTGCTTAAAAAAAATTACTGAGTTTTGACCTATCCCCTTTCACATCTTCATTTTTCTCTCTCTCTTTCTCCCTCTCTCTCTCTCCCCCTCGGTTGCTTTTGGTTTTGTCCTTTTTAGAAGCACATTGCAACCTCTTCTCTAGATGAACTCAACTATCTGATTTCTGCATATTTCTCAGTCCATGACTGCTGCTGAAGAATGCCATGCAAGAAAACAAACTGATAATATTTTAAGACAATGATCACCATTGGAAACCGGGTTTTCAATTGTGCCTGACATAACTTTTTCAATCTCTACAATCCTCTAATTTCTGACACTCTCTTCTCCCTTCTCACTTCTCTCTCTCTGCAGATGACTTTGCTACTGCAACACAGAGAAAATATAAGTCTTTATACTCGTAGTCTTTCAACTACCTGGCACTAAATCAATATACCTGTCTCCATTTGCAACTATTATCTTTCTCCCTGATCCTGTCAAGATGATCTTACTCTTTGTTGTAGGCTACTTTCCTCCTCTGACTTCAGAATTAGTTCTCACCTGACATTAAGAGGAAATTTACATTGTTACCAATTTCTCTACTGAAAATCCAACTTTTTATTTCCACGTAGATGCTTCCCATCGTGGTTTCCATGGACTTTATTGTCTCAATGATTGTCATTTTAGATCTATAACTCTTTTTCTGAGCTTTGGGTCTATATAAGCCAAATTTCTGCTCAACGGAGCAACCATATCCCCACTTTAATTGGACAAGTCTCTCCAGAAAATAAATCTCCTATTTCCTGTTGTGTTAAATGAAGAATAATTACTAAGGTATTCAGTAATGATAAAGAATCTGGGAATTTAACTGTTCTTGATATGAAATTTCAAACTACACACTTTTTTTTTTTGGGAAGCCAAACCCACCTCCAGCATTTTATTCCCACACATGATAAGCTTGTCCAAGGTGTGTGTGGTTTGGATGACTTTATATTTTGTTAGCTTTCCTCTTCCCTCTACATATGGACACTATGTTTTGTCAAAAGGAAACGTGTACACTGGTTGCTTGTTAAAAATAGCAAGGAAGACTATTCAGGACTATAGCAATGGGGGAATAATATAGCTATAGTAGAGAGAGATTGAACTAAAATTTCTCCCAGCATGGAGCTGGAAATTTATAAGCAAAGAGCTGAGGGAGTGAGTCAGTGGATAGAAACTAATTAGATATTAAGGGTGGCGGGGGGTGGGGTGGCGGGGAGCGGGGTTCTTGCTAAACTGCATTATTGCTAAAGGCATGCCAAAGTGATAAGATATCCAGGGCGAAGTGATTCTCAGTGAACTGGCTTAGCAGGCGTCTTTGTTAAACTGGGCCTGAGAAGAGGGACTGGAGAAGAATGATTAAACTTTGGTCAAGATGGGAATCTGTCAGTTTTGGCCTTCTCTAATCTATGTCGTTACGCTGCTCGAGAGCTTGCTAAGATGTATTCAAGAAGGCTAGTGTATTAGCTTGTTCTCACACTGCTGCTATAAAGAAACACTTGAGATGGGGTAATTTATAAAGCAAAGAAGTTTAATTGGCTCGCAGTTCTGCAGGCTGAACAGGAAGCATAGCAGCATCTGCTTCTGGGGAGGCTAAAGGGAGATTTTACTCATGGCAGAAGGCAAAGTGGAAGCACGAATCTTGCGAGGCAGAAGCAGGACTGAGAGGAAGAGAAAAGGTGCCACACACTTTCACCAACCATATCTCATGAGGACGCTATCATGATACAGCATCAAAGGGGGAAATCTGCCCCCATGATCCAGTCACCTCCCACAAGACCCCACCTCCAACACTGGGGATTACAATTCGGCATGAGATTTGGTAAGGGACACAGATCCAAATCATATCAGCTAGTAATAAAGTGTATTAAGATTTAGGAGTTGATATGGTTTGGCTGTGTCCCCACTCAAAATCTCATGGTGAATTGTAAACCCCATAATCCCCACATGTCAAGGGAGAGACCAGGTGGAGGTAATTGAATCATGGAGGTGGTTTCTCCCAAGCTGTTCTCATGACAGTGAGTGAGTTCTCTCGAGATCTAATGGTTTTACAACTGTTCGGCAAGTTCCTCCTTCCATCCTTCTTTTTCCTGCCATTTTGTGAAGAAAGTGCCTGCCTCCCTTTCACCTTCCACTACGATTGTAAGTTTCCTGAGGCCTCCCCAGTCATAGGGAACTGTGAGTCAATTAAACCTCTTTCTTTAATAAATTACTCAGTCTCAGGTATTTTCATATAGGAATGTGAGAAAGGACTAATACAGGAATCTTCAAGGACATCCCATCCAAATTAAAAGTTGTGTATCACTTGCTTCTTTGACCTCATCTACTGTATTAATTACATTTATATGTATATATACACACACACACATATGCAAACATATATATATATATCAGCTTTACTAAATGGTCTCTATATTCTCAGTTTTATTGTTTCATTAGGAAAAGAAATTGGCTGGGATATTGGTAACAGTATATTTCTGCTTATGCTGTAATACCCAAGTTGAAACATTTGATAGAAATTGATTGATGCTTGTTACCTGATGTTTTAAAATAAGGGCTAAATAGTTATATATCTCAATATTATCGTTATCCTGGATGTGACAGGGTACAGATGTGACAATGCATGTTTTTATAGTGTGTTCTACTGGTGATTCAAATAACTAAGGTATTGCCATTGGCAACATAATTTTTGTAAATATTGAAAGACTCTGGGAAGTTTCTACAATAAAAAGACTTTTTCTCTTCAATTTCCGTAGTGGTTGCATTCTGAAAAATTTAGTTTGTATTAAGCCATTCAAAGTATTTACATGTAAAATATTCATTTCTTGACTAAATAATTACAGATGATCACTTACGTGGCTATCCATTGGGGCATTTGATGGGAATATTTTTTACAATGTAGGATCGCAGGATATCTAGTATTGTTTGTCCTCACATTGGAAATACAATTACTGCCTTCTGATCGTTTTGACAATGGAGACACTCAAGCATTTCTAAACAGAAAAAGCTGGTACAAGCACACTTGAAGCACAATACATCTGAAAGGCACATGAAGAGTTCAATAAAATGTTTAACAACTGAAAAGACTGCAGAAATAAATTTAAGTATTCTGTCTATACTAAAATCCAAATGTAAATTATATTAGAGTTGCAGCTATTTAATACGCTATTTCAGCATTCACATGCTATTTTCATTTTCTATTCAGATGTTTTTTCCACTGCCAGACACTTTCTAACAAGTCCTTCAAACCCTCTTTATAATAACTTATGAAAATATTTGTTACATTATGCTCAATGATTTCCTCAATTAAAATGATATATAAAATAAGAACAAGTGAGAGGAAAAAAACATAGTTTGTGCATCTGTTTTGTGATAAATATAGTAGTTAGATCTATTTTATATAAATTTTCTCATTAAACCCACATCAAACTTTTTCTCCTGTATTTTTTAAATGGAAAATGTGAGGTTGATAGGAGTTAATTAAGTCTACTAATAGCTGACGGAAATGAAACTATCATTACTGAGAACTATGGTTGGTTTTTACAATTATTTCATTTTTTGTTGGTTTGTTTTTGTTTTTGTTTTTTGAGATGGAGTTTCGTTCTTGTTGCCCAAGCTGGAGTGCAATGGCGTGATCTCAGCTCACTGCAACCTCTGCCTCTTGGATTCCAGTGATTCTCCTGCCTCAGCCTCCTGAGTAGCTGGGATTACAGGCACGTGCCACCACGCCCAGCTAATTTTGTATTTTTGGTAGAAATGGGGTTTCTCCATGTTTGTCAGGCTGGTCTCGAACTCCCAACCTCAGGTGATCCACCCACCTCCGCCTCCTAACGTGCTGGGATTACGGGTATGAACCAGCATGCCCGGCCAATCTATATCTTTTAAGTGTGAAATGCTTTCAGAAAAATATTTCAACCAAAAGGGAGAAATGTGGAAGTTGTGAGCACCAAAATGGAGTCACTTACATCAAACCATAAAAAAATGAAGCTGGGAGGCCATGAAAGAGGGGCCTTCATGTACATATGTCTATAATAAGAACTGCTGCAATGGTTCTCTCAAAAACCACGAAAATGTTAGATATGATAATTCTATGAAGACATCTCTCCAGCAACAGCCAATATTATCAATGAGTATTTGCCAACTCTTGTAACAAGCTTCTCTGGCCCATGAGGTTTATTACAAAACTTACATAAAATTTCTCTTTTAAGATTTTTGCCTTCCTGATATGGTTTAGATTTGTGTCCCCACCCAAATCTCATGTCGAATTGTAATCCCCAATGTTGGAGGAGGGGCTTGGTGAGAGGCGATTGGATCATGGGGGTGGATTTCCTCCTTGCTGTTCTTGTGATAGTGAGTTCTCATGAGACCTGCTTGTTGAAAAGTGTGTGGTATTTCCCCTTTGCCCTCTTCCCCCTGCTTCGGCCATGTAAGACGTGCCTCCTTCCTTTTTGCCTTCTGCCATCATTGTAAGTTTCCTGAGGCCTCCTCCAATCATGTTTCCTGTACAGCCTATGAAATCATGAGTCAATTAAACCTCTTTTCTTTATAAATTACCAAGTCTCAGGTAGTTCTTTGTGCTAGAACAAACTAATACAGTCCCTCAGCTTCTTTGGTGCCTAAGGTCCACCATAGCATGTGTATTTCAAATTGCAATTTACTGCTATTTCCTGAATACACTCCACTCTTTATTTTAGAGAGTCAGTATCTCTGTTGTTTAAGTTGACATAATCTAATGTCAGAAGCAAGATGCAAAGGCTCCAAGCCTTCTTTGTTACTTACAGTTACAGCACTGTTATCCAAACAGTAACAAAGAAAGCCTTTGGAAGGCTTTCAAGTATCTGGCGATACTTGAAATTGTGTATGATACTCACCTGAGCCTATTGTGATCTTCACTTGTACAAGTTGTCTTTATGCTGCGAGATAAGTCCTCTCTTGGTTTGAGCTCCCACCTTTTCAGTGAACTCTTACATTTTGGGGGATCTGCTCTTGTAAAGGACATCCTTTCTGGTGAGTATTCTTTTGGTTTAATTTTTGGTTTGGTTATTTGTGCATGAATTTAATCTCATTAGGAAACAAGTTAAGTTGAATAGACCAACTAGTGAATTAATCCGTCACCAAAATATATGTTTTTGGCATTTACCTGTTTATTTTGAAACTCTTTGTAAGAAATGTAAACCTGTAATGATAATCTCTGCTTTGTAAGGATATCTCCCTCTCTGACACCTAAAACACTAGATGCTTTCACAAAGCAAAAGGAAGAGACCTAAATCTATCTATCTGTGTAAACTCACCCTTGACCATTTCATTTTGAAGGCTTCCTATATATGCTTTTTTTCATCTCAACAAATAGTGGTGTTTAAGTTCTGTACCTTTGAGATTTAAATTTTCTACATTCCTTCACCTAAAAATCATCTCTTTGGAAGTACAAATTTTGGGTGGCCTAACTAACACTTGTTTATGGGCCAATTGAACAGATCATTAAAAGACAGATAGTCTGAAAGAGGGAGTAAAACTACTTGCAAGCCAGGCAAATAATTCTTAATGCAAGTTGTAAGTTCTTCCTCTGTCTGTATTTTTCTACGTGTGTGTGTGTGTGTGCGTATGTACAATTTTTTCTACCAAAATTCATAAACGGCTCTACTTAATTGGCTTACAGAGAAAACATAAGTGTTTAAACTAAGAATTCTCTCAGAAAAACAGAAACTCAATTGCCTTTTGGCTTATGTGATGAAATAATCTTTGGCAGACAAAGCTAGTTTTAAAATTTGTTGGCAAAATAAAAACAAATATTTTCAGAATTGTCAGCATTAATTACAATGTACAGATACAGTTTTTAAACCTAAAGTTACTGGTGAAACAAGCTTGCTATTACTGAGATGTATAATGAATGTCTTAAAGCTATAAATCCACTCATCGTTGTGTTTAAGGAGGAACTGAAGCACAATTGTTAAGAACAAGTGAATTAGGTGAATATACATTGACAAAAGGTTGATAATAAAGTTGTCAGAATTTCAAAAATAATTTAGTGTGACTTGAAATCTTAAAATCATGTTATATTAAATTAAGTAACACTTTACTGATTTAATATTTGAGTCATTTCTAAGGAAAATACTGAAATATCAATTGCTTAACAGAAGTTTAAAATATACGTAATTTGGCATCTTGGTTTCACATGTTATGGAAAAGCTAAACATATTTGGGCCTGTTAATTAAAGGCATAAAAATTATTTTATGAGATGGTGTTCATCTGCAAAATACTAACATGATGCACTTCAAAATGCTTACTAATTTTCACTAGAAATTAAGGTTACTAAGAGTTAATTAAAATTAATATTAGAGTAATTTAAACTAGAAATAATGAAGGGAAACAAATCTGTACGCGAGGGAAGGAAAACACATACAGAAAGTTATAAGTAAGAGGTTGTGTTTTTGTTAAGGGAAAAAGAGAGTATTTTTTGTCTAAAAGTAGAATGTCTTACTGTTCCAAAAAGAAAAAGAGAAAAAATATAGACAAAAACTGAATAAGATAACTGGATGACAAATTTATAGAAAGTTTGTGGAAGATTAATCTTGTGAAAAGAATTTTATGTGTGACCAAGTTGGCTAAAGTTAAAAGGAAATTATTTATAAATATTCTGAAAACTTGAGCATTATTATCAAAAGTACAGGAATGGAAAACTTGAAATTTGTCCCCTGTGCTGAAACAACAAGCTTTTCTTTGAGTATTGACCTGCTCTTAATAGAAAATAGTGAAATGTTTTCTCTACCTTTTAGATAACTGGCCTAATAAACCAAGATTTTTTGTTTATCAAGGTAATTTCTTATGCTTTATGCTCTCTTTTACTAGGTCTTTGATTACTTGAGAAAAGTGAGTGAGGTGGGGCCAAGATGGTTGACTAGAAGCAGCTAGTGTGTGCCACTCTCACAAATAGCAGAAAGAGTGGTGAGACACTAGCTCTTCAACCGGAACATCCAGGTGGACACATAAGGATTCATCAGTGACATAGTGTGACCTTCGGATCACGGAGAAGAGTGAGACAGATCAGCCATTCACCCAGGAGTGGCACAGACCCAGGGGAATCCCCCTACAAGAAAATGGTGAGTGAGTGAGAGTCCCGTGGGATGCATATTTCTGCCACGAACCTTTGAATCCCTGGGCTCAGGAGATACCCCAGCTGGGGTCTCCAGACCAAAACAGAGAGCCATGTGGAGTCTGGGTAGAGCTGCTTCTTAGGTAGGTGTGGAGTCCCAGTAGCATTTGTTCCCTGGGTACCCCAAAACCAGGGGCTGCAGCTCCAGCAATTGGGAAGGCCAAGTTTTCTTGCACGCTCCCCAGAAAAGGGGCCAAGTCCATGGGGCTGAGCAGTGATAGACTGCAGACCTCACCACCACTGAACCTTGTAGGATAAGGCCCACTAGCCTGGGATGCTAGTGAGGCCACCCTAGTCCTCCTGAGTTCTCCAGCTGGGAGCAGCTCTACACTTCTCCGGCATGCAGCTCCCAAAGAGAGAGGCAGTCCACCTTTTTGCTGTCTCGCAACCCTCCCTCCTGCTGCTCTCAGGCTTGGGAGGGTGCACAGCAATTAGGGACTATCACAGAACCCCAGCACAGTGCATCTGGTGAACTTAAAAAAATCAACAAGTGAAAAACAAACAATCCCATTTAAACGTACACAAAGTACATGAACGGACACTTTCAAAGGAGGGCATACATGTGGCCAGAAAGCATATGACAAAATGCTCAACATCACTAATCATTAGAGAAATGCAAATCAAAACCACAATGAGATACCATCTCACACCAATGAGAATGGCTATTATTAAAAACTCAAAAAATAAGAGATGCTAGTGAGGTTGTGGAGAAAAGGGAATGATTATACAGTGATGGTGGGAATGTAAGGTAGTTCAGCCATTGTGGAAAGCAGTGTGGCCATTTCTCAAAGAACTCAAAGCAGAAGTGCCATTCAACTCATCAATCCTACTATTGAGTATATACCAAAAGAAATACAAATCATTCTACCATAAAGACACATGCACGTGTATGTTCATTGCAGCACTTTTCACAATAGCAAAGACATGGAATCAACCTAAATGCCCATCAGTGGTAGACTGGATGAAGAAATGTGGTAGATATACAACATGGAATACTATGCAGCCATAAAAAGAATGAGATCATCTCTTTTCCAGCAACATGAGTGGAGCTGGAGGCCATTATCCTAGAAAACCCAATACCATATGTTCTCACTTATAAGGGGAGCTAAACATTGAGTACATATGGACACAAATGGAACAACAGACACTGGGCCTACTTTAGAGTGGAGGGAGGAAGGAGGATGAAAATTTAAAAATTACCTACTGGGTACTATGCTTATTATCTGGGTTATGAAATAATCTATACACCAAACCCCGTGACACACAATTTACCCATATAAATGCGTAAGTAACCCACATGTGTACCCCTGAACCTAAAATAAAAGTTAAAAAAAGAGAAAAGTAAATGTTCTCAGTATTAAAAAGCTATGTTTTTGTTGACAATTATGTAAATTTCTACATTTATTTTTTGAAATCTTTTAATTTTCATTTTGGTTACCTGTTATCATACTCTGATAAAGTGTTTTAAACTGTTTGATGTTTTTGACAAACTTCCCAAAATAATATTTTAAATTAACTCTTTTTGCCCTCAAGTTAATTTTGATATTTCTCATTTGGACCCCTGGAAAGATCAAAGAATGTGTATCTCACATTGTAAAGAGATATATTAAACTAATGAGACTTACTTGATATATTAAATTATATAGGGAGTATTGTCAAATACTAAGTGGTGCTAAACCTTCTTTAAGTTGTATTTCAGAATGTTATTGATATGTGTTACAAAATTATATTGAATTCTTCAAAATCTGATATGTTATCGGTCATAATCTTGGTTATTATCTTCAAGTTTTGTATGCCACAGAAATAAACAAATTTCTTTGTCAATTACATTATTATTATAATAAACTCCATGAGATTTTTAACCATGGCCACTCTAAGTCTGTCATCCACAGGGACCGACTGCTTTCATTCTTTTCGAAAAGCATTTGCCATCAGCTACAATAAAAAATTGCTTCTTCTCTGAAACTGATGACCCATTAAGGTTTAACCCATATACTCCTCTATATACCTCTACAGCCTCCCCAAATCAAGTTGATATATTCCCCTAGCAGTCTGTGCAATGGAGACCAACACTACATTCTTTTAGATTGTTTTAAATTACATTTTTGAACTTCCAGTTTATTACATACCAAGAGTTGATTACAACCTCCTTGTTTCATAAGTGGAAGCTATGTTAGGGTTGG
Source organism: Homo sapiens (assembly GCF_000001405.40). Taxonomy (NCBI): domain Eukaryota; kingdom Metazoa; phylum Chordata; class Mammalia; order Primates; family Hominidae; genus Homo; species Homo sapiens. Next base: position 70,319,607 of record NC_000005.10, on the reverse strand, counting down.
ATGTGGGTGCCATAATTTCTTCAAGGATCCTGGACAGAGACCCACATCAGGATCAGAAACCCTACGATAGCATTGCAGATCTCATGGCTCACTAATCCTTGAAGATTATAATTTTCATCCTACTATCAGTTGCACTTTCTGTCACTTTTACTGCATTAAGTCTCCCGGTATCAAACAGAGCTCTGTGGTGTCACTGACTGAGGAATGGAATAGAGATGTCCACAAGGGGTCTTGATATCATGACTGCACAGAGATGTGAAAGGAGAGACCACTTCCTCACCACCCAGCTACTTCACTTCTCTCCCGGTATCAGCCCTATAGTCGGACCTAGGCTTTCAGAAGTGTAAGTGTGCAAACAAGTTTCGGTTGGACTTTAAGAGGACACTTTGTCATAGAAGAAAATCCAGTATCTCTAAGCTGGTTTTCTTTTCAGGAAAACATCCTGAGGGACCAGTAAGCAGGGAGATCCTTTTTCTAGTTTGCCTGTAGAGTTAGGAAGACAGTTGATTTTTCAGTCTTTTACAGGATGCTTAAACAAAGCTGTGTAATTACATAAGGTGGATCTTTATCTTGCCTAAGAAGATAAAGTGGGAATCTTCACTCCGCCAGGGCAAATTTCCAAGGAGCTCATTTATTCCATGTCTTTCAAACTTTCATGAGATACATTTCTCTTTCACATTGTTGCTGATTTCCAAACAGCTGTCAGCTAGTTTTTTCCTCCCCCTTTCCTATTCTTCACTATTTTGATAGCAAAGCTCATAGAATTAGAGGACTTAGAAGATGCTTTGTAAACATTGCCACAAAGGAACTGCTGAAATGATTCACAGGAAGACTGGTCAGTTGGGAGAAAGATCCTAAAGATGTTACACTGGTTTTCAACAACATGCTTAGAGAATTCTTGAAGCAGATAGGTGTCAACCCAGTGAAAACAACATTTTGATTTATTTTTTTTTTTAAGTTTATGGTGATTGTGTCGGTTTCTAAAATAAGCAAATATTCAAGTCAAGAGATGTTTTGTTTTTTCTTCTGCCAAGAATGGGGTTAGGGGAGCAAAGACACAATTTGGGAAAGGACATATGTGCTATTATAGGGATCACCTTTAAGTTTCTGGGAAGGAATGGGCACGGGTGAGTAGGTTGGCTCAACATTGTCCTGCACTGCTTATTAGGACCTGAGACGTGCAAGGGAAATGTGGGTGACATCAGGGCACCCAGGGCACAGCCCCACTAACTGCTGTGCTGAGTTTCTGTAGCCTGCCACGTTTCCCTTGGTGAAGTAAATGAAGATCAAGGAGTCATTTTATGATGTCCTGGTGCTGAGAATAATAAATGTCTTGTTACAAACAGATGTAACAATGGTTTTTTTCTGGATTATTATCAGGGTGGTCAGCTCTGGGTTAAGCACCCACATCCAATTTGTACAATAATATTGATACATAGGGCTACGCTTATTACTGCTCAAGCATTCTGTTTTAATAATTGTGTTTTACTTCTAAAGGTTAAATAAAAGCAAAAAATGGGGCTAAACTATCAAACTGTTCCCCTATTTGTTTTCTCCAGTGTACAACATATATATGTATATATTTTATTTTATTGAAGATGCAGTAGGATACCTGCCATTTAAGAAAATAAATAGAAAATTTAAAATCCCAACAAATGAGAAAAAGAAATTCAGTACCCAAGAATAGGGCTGGTCCAGCACCACCCCGAAGTAGGCTGTGGTTTATGGAGTGAAGAGCCTTGCTCCCTTTACATTCGCTCATGCTCCCACACAAGGCTAGCAGTAGAAATGCTTGAATTCTGCTTGGCTTGCCAAGGGGACTCAGGAGTCAACCAAGGGAACTATTTGGCTCCACGAGGAATGGACACCTCAGGATGCTTCCTGAACAGGGCCTAGTCAGGAAGTAGCCTGGATGTGCATAGTCATGGTCACCTTATGAAAATGTGTGGCAGGTGGCTCTCGGGAAAAACACCAAGCCTGGATCATCTGTGTGGCAGCTTTGCCTGGGGAGGTAACAGCTCCAAATTGAAACTGAACTGCATCCTACATGCTTTACCAAAGCAGTGATGAGAGTGATCAGTGCATGTGGTGTGAGTGGTAGGTTTAAAAAAAAGGGAATTTTTTTTTTTTTTTTTTTTTTTTTTTTTTTTTTTTTTTTGAGACGGAGTCTCGCTCTGTCGCCCAGGCTGGAGTGCAGTGGCGGGATCTCGGCTCACTGCAAGCTCCGCCTCCCGGGTTCACGCCATTCTCCTGCCTCAGCCTCCCAAGTAGCTGGGACTACAGGCGCCCGCCACTACGCCCGGCTAATTAAAAAAAAGGGAATGTTTTACGCTCAGTGTTTCCTCTGTCTTTGGGCTACTCAATCTGGACAATAGGTAACCATTCTTTTCAAGGAATCAACCCAACTTTGCTGGCTTGGTTTGTGGTTTGTTTCATCCCTAGCTATGAGCATGCTTTGGTCTATAAACGTGGCTTGTCTCATAATACATTCCCTTTCTGTAATTTTTTAAATTTTTTATTTCCATAGGTTTTTGGAGAACATGAGGTATTTGGTTACATGAGTAAGTTCTTTAGTGGTGATTTGTGAGATTTTGGTGCACACATCACCCGAGCAGTATACACTGAACTCAATTTGTAGTCTTTTACCCCTCATGCCTTTCCCACTCTTTCCCTTGAGTCCCCAAAGTCCACTGTATCATTCTTATGCCTTTGCATCTTCATAGCTTAGCTCCCACTTAAGAGTGAGAACATGCAATGTTTGGTTTTCCATTCCTGAGATACTTCACTTAGAATAATAGTCTCCAATCCCATCCAGGTTATTATGAATGCCATTAATTCATTCCTTTTTATGGCTGAGTAGTATTCCATCACATATATGTATTTATGCATATATATATATATACATATGCATATATATATATACATATGCATATATATATACATATACATACACACACACACACACACACACACACACACACACACATAAATATATACCACAGTTTATTCACTCATTGATTCACGGGCATTTAGGCTGGTTCCACATTTTTGCAATTGCTAATTGTGCTGTTATAAACGTGCATGTGCAAGTATCTTTTTTGTGTAATGACTTCTTTTCCTCTGGGTAGATAACCAGTAAGATTGCTGGATCAAATGGTAGTTCTACTTTTATGAATTGTCCTTGTTTTTCTTTAAAAGTTAATACTTTTGATCACTATAGTTTGTTAGTGTTGGATTGTTTCCACTTTGAAATTTCTAAACTTTTTCCCTTCATAATGTTAAAACAAGTTATGTTAGATGCCCTTTCAACATGAAAGGTCTGTAGTTAAGATATTACATATATTTTATTGTTTATAATAAAAATCTAGACATAAGAAGTGCCAAGTGTTAATTATAATATTTTGCACAGTATCTTTTTTCCCATGATGTGTTAATATCTACAATTTCATTAAATGTTGATGTTATTCTCTATTGAGATTCAGAAGCCTAGGGAGCTATGTGTTCATTTTGGTTATTTTTGTTGTTATTTCCCTGAAGCAAAAGACTACATGGCCTTCAGTGCAACAACCTCAGTCCAATTCTGAAGTTTATTATACTTGCTTGCCTCTTGGCTATTTAACTTCTGAGTGCAAATCATTGAACTCCCTAATGAAGTATTGTAGAGAATAAATTAAAATGAATAAAGAAAAATACTTCCTCTTCAAGGAGGTTCATGAAAAGGACTCTAACAAGTATGCTGGAATTTAGATTTCTTATGAGTTTAAGATTATACCACTGGACTGGGAAAGAATTTCCAGGACTCTAATGAAGAAACGATGGCTTCTTAAAACATCTAACCCAGATCAAGTAGAATAAGTTTAATGAATGGGACTAAACAAACTGATGGCAATATTTTCGAGTGACTTTTTGTTTAACATTTTGCTGTTTTTTTTAAATTTTTTGTTTTCCAGATTTGAGAAAACTTTTAAAAAGCTATCTATAGCATACAGCAATTTGGTAAAGTATACTTTTATAAATAAAAATGGAAATATTTATTTTTTCTTCCTACCTGCGGCTGCAGTCTTCAGAGAGCTCTTATTGATATTTTTATTTTATGGCAACATAGTTATTTGCATTAATTCAATAAAAATCTATTCTCTTTGTAACAGGATAGAATTACAAACATTGGTTATATTATAAATGGTTTGACTTGAATGTGATATTTGAGACTATGCACAGGATGCCTAGCTTCAAGGATTCCCAAGCTCACAGTGAGTGAATAAACATTTTTACCTCTTGACAGGCCAGGAACCTCCAGATATATTGGAGACCTCAAGAAGAGAGAAATTCATGCAGATTTTTAGATACTGCAGCCAAAGTCTGATGTTCGCCCTCCTTTGACTTCTGACCCTTGAAAGGCTTTTAAAAGTCTAATCTGAGATTTCTTATCAAAAGTTCCGTCAAAATAAACTTAAAAACAGCCCATGTTTCATCCCTTTTCTTGCTATACTGTTGTCAATAATCATGCCAAGTTTAATGAGACTAAACTTATTCAGCAGACAAATTAGTCTTACTCTGATTATCTTTAGTAGAAATAGGGATGATTGTACAGAGAAAAATTATGTTTCTGAAGAAAAACTGCAGTACACCTGTTAGTAGATTGTAGTTTTCTTTGTTGTTTTCAAGTTTTTGTCATCTATCTCTAAATTAGACAGGGCACTTAATTATTCTAATTTCCTCCAACGTCTGGCTACGATTCTCCAACTAAGAACATAAACTGCCTTGTTCCTAAAGTCCTATAAGTTGGAGCCAGAAAACTCCATGTAAATTTCAAGAGAGAAATCTCATGGCTATTGTGTGGGCTACAAAGAGAATTGACTAAAATGCCCCATGCTATACCCAGGAACATTCAAACTACAAACCAGAGTAAGAAGTTGATGACATCACAGTGTGGAAAGCTTTTCCCAAGACATTGTAACAAAACTGGACTCTTATCCTTCTTATTTTTTTTTTTTCTTGCTTATGCCTACATTTTTCACTTGGCAGAATAACGCTGTGGTTAGAATTTCACATTCAGTAGCTTCCGTAACTGAATGAAGTTTTGGATCTGTCGTGTCAAACCCACATCTTTACATGACCTAAGGGATCCTTTAGTCCACCCAGTGGGTAACTATGGCAACATCCCTAATTTATTTGCCACCTTGGGTTTCGTTGCAGGCTTCACTGCAAAGGCTATTGCCGCCCAGCAGTGCTCATTAAAGTATCTTGCTGAGTAGCCGTAGATAACACAACAGGACAGGATGAGATAACTCTCAATTATCTACTGGTTGAACAAGAATGTCTGTGCCATTGCTAATAACTACATGCTGTACCTGAATATATTTCTCTGGGGAAGTCAAGACCTAATTGCATAAAATAGCAAGACAGGCTTTATGGCTACAACAGATCTCACTCAGTCTCACATAGACTTTTGATTCATTAGTTGGCTGCCTTTGGGTCCATGTTCATAGACAATATTTCATGTTACTATTAATTTTGTACCGCATCATTCTTTTTAAACTTTTTATCTGTTTCCTGTCCAACCTCTGCAGAAATGATGCATCTAACAGAATAACACTGGTCCAGAACTTCCAAATGGTAGTCAATGCCTATGGAACTGACAAAATTGAACTTAGCAATGAACTCCAGGCAGATTTATCCTGAGAGCCACTCCTTCTGAACCTCTTTGTTTCTTAAATGTGACTAAAAGGGTTTTGACATCTGCTCTTAGTTGCTGGCCATTCACCTCTGATGCAGGATCAGACTAACTAGGAAAGGTCCACTCCAGCACCAAGAAACAATCAAAACCTAACTATAGGCTGATTAATCAGCAATGCTTTCAGAAAAAATTCTTGGTCAAAGGGGGGAAATGTTAAAGTTACAAGCAAAGAAGTTGACTCACTGAAGTCAAACCACAACAAAATGGAGCTGGGAGAGTATAAAAGAAGGCCCTTCATGCATGGATGTCTCTAAAAGAACTATTGCAAGGACTCCCTGAAAACTACAAAAATTTTAGATACGACGCTTCTATGAAGACATCTTCCCAGCAATAGCCAGTATCACCGATGAGTATTTGTCCATACCAAGCAATAAGCTTCTGGGGCCAAAGAGGTTTATTTTAAAATAATTTACATGAACTTCACCTTTTTTTTTCTTTATTTCTTCTTCTTCTTCAAAAAACAAACAAAAGTGATATATGTGCAGAACGTGCAGGTTTGTTACATAGGTATACGTATGCCATGGTGGTTTGCTACACTTTTCAACCTATCATCTAAGTTCCCTCCCCTCACCCCCCAACCTCCAACAGGCCCCAGCGTGTGTTGTTTCCTTCTCTGTGTCCATTTGTTCTCAATGTTCGAATCCCACTTACGAATAAGAACATGCGGTATTTGGTTTTCTGTTCCTGTGTTAGTTTGCTGAGGATGATGGCTTCCAGTTTCATCCATGTTTCTGCAAAGGACATGCTCTCATTCCTTTTTTATAGCTGCATAGTATTCCATGGTGTATGTGTACCACATTTTCTTTATCCAGTCTATCAGTGATGGGCATTTGGGTTGGGTCCATGTCTTTGCTATTGTAAATAGTGCTGCAATAAATATATACACGTATGTTCCCTTACAGTAGAATGATTTATATTCCTTTGGGTATATACCTAGTAATGGGATTGCTGGGTCAAAAGGTATTTCTAGTTCTAGATCCTTGAGGAATGCCCATACTGTCTTCCACAATGGTTGAATTAATTCACTTTCCCACCAACAGTGTAAGAGCATTCCCATTTCTCCACATCCTCTCCAGTATTTATTGTTTCCTGACTTTTTAATAATCTCCATTCTAATTGGCGTGAAATGGCATCTCATTGTGGTTTTGATTTGCATTTCTCTGGTGATCAGTGATGTTGAGCTTCTTTTGTATGTTTTTTGGCCACGTAAATGTCTTTTTTTGAGACGTGTCTGTTCATATCCTTTGCCCACTTTTTGATAGCGTTGTTTGTCTTTTTCTTGTAAGCATGTTTAAGTCCCTTGTAAATTCTGGATATTCGATCATTGTCAGATGGGTAGATTGCAAAAATTTTTTCCCAGTCTGTAGGTTGCTTGTTCACTTTGATGATAGTTTTTTTTTTTTTTTTTTTTTTTTTTTTGCTGTGCAGAAGCTCTTTAGTTTAATTAGATCCCATTGTCAATTTTGGCTTTTGTTGCAATTGCTTTTGGCATTTTTGTCATGAAGTCTTTGCCCACCCTGCCTATGTCCTGAATGTTGTTGCCTAGGTTTTCTTCTAGGGTTTTTACGGTTTGGGGTTTTACATTTAAGTCTTTAATCCATCTTGAGTTAATTTTTGTATAAGGTGTAAGGAAGGGGTCCAGTTTCAGTTTCCTGCATATGGCTAGCCAGATTTCCCACATTATTACTGAATATGAGATCCTTTCCCATTGCTTGTTTTTGTCAGGTTTGTTGAAGATCAGGTGGTTGTAGACGTGTGGTGTATTTCTGAGGTCTATGTTCACCTTCATTGGTCTATATGTCTGTTTTGGTACCAGTTCCATGCTGTTTTGGTTACTGAGGCCCTGCAGTAATGAAGTCAGGTAGTGTGATGCCTCCAGTTTTGTTCTTTATGCTTAGGATTGTCTTGGCTATATGGGGTCTTCTTTGATTCCATATGAAATTTCAAATAGGTTTTTCTAATTCTGTGAAGAATGCCAACGGTAGTTTGATGGGAAACTTCACCTTTTACCCTTAAAAAAGCTTCGGCTCCCCCAGCTTTTTCAAATGTGCCTATGGTTCAGTACGGTACACATATCCCAAATTGCAGTTCATTGCTCTTCCCAGATAAACTATTTTGAAAAGTCAGTCTCTCTGCTGTTTATTTTAATAATTTTTAATAGAAGTACATCTTTCTTAAAAGCATAGCAAAAATTTTAAGTACATTCACAATAATAATAATTAGGAAACAAATGATCATTGCTTTGATTTTAAGAATTATTAATTTCTTTAATTTTTCAAGTTGAAATATAGAACATGTTTTATTTAGTTACCAATTTATTTCTGTATTTTTCATGAAACAATTTACTTTGGTAAGAAATTTCAAGGAATCTGTGGCATAAATACATATTTGGTCAATGTTCCTTGACCCAAAGTATTAAGGCTGGGTTGTATTTAATTCAGTGACTAAGTAATTTAGTCAGGTTATTCAATAAATTAATGAGGTAATAATCTATAAATTGTTATAATCTGTAAATCTATAAATCATATGTAAAATTGTATTATAAAAAGCAAATGAGTATTTCTAACAATAGCTAGTTCCGACAATAAAATAACTTCACTTTTAGTTAGCAAGCCCGTATTACATTTCTAAATATTGAAGTCTGTGCAGTAGTTAATGAACTTTTAGTCAATTATTGAGAAAAAAACTTTTAGTACAGTAGAAGATATAAAAAACATGATTGAGCTCAATTTCTCTTTTTTAAAAAATCACTGATTTCTTGGTCAAACTTTTGCTTCTTTTGGAACTTTTGAACTTTGTGGCCATGTGAAATGGCACTCTGAAACTTCTAGTAGACTCAAATTGAGGTAACTTTCTTGCTCACGACAATTTTATGTCCGGTTTCTAATATAAGCCATTATTTCTAACACATGCCATGGTTCCATGTTTGAACTAATGTTAATACCACCTGCCCCTACATGACTGAGTCTGAGCACATCCCTGGGCCACATCAAGCACCATGGCAGATTAATCATTCCTTATGGTTTTAACAGGCAAGCTGGGGAAAAAAAATAACTGTCTCCTCCAACTTTGGTTATGCGTGAGTTTCTTACCTTTTAATGGTGAAAAATAAACTTATCTGTCATAGGAGAAAATAACATTACACTCATATGGAAGCAGAGGTGAGAAGTGAAGCCTTAGTAGTGATGTCATCGTTGCCAATTACTGAAGCCAGGAAGTTAGGAATCATCAGTCTTTTTCTTTTGAATTAATGTGACAGTAGTCGAGAGAGAGAAAAAAGTAGGCATGCTGTATGTTATTTAGAGGATAAGATCTATAGATTTGAAATTGATTTGGCATAAACCCACAGGAAAGTGAAGAATCAAGCATGTATTCTAAGCTTCTGGCTTGAGCAAGTGAGCAATCAGCAACATCAGCCCTATGACTTACTAGATTTTTACTGAGGTATACTTTGTAATGTAATAGCTGCGAGAAACTGAATATCATTGAAATTTAGAAAAGGTTATGACAATGTCATTGGGTTAATAGATAGCCTTTTCTTACAAAGATTTGTAAAAAATGAGAGGCCCTAGACATTTGCTGTGTATATTATGCATAAAAATACCACCTCCAGTGAATTCGTTTGGAAAAGAAACTCAAAGCAAGGCCAGACAAAGGAAACAAAAAGAAAAGAAACGAAAGGGAAAGGACAGGGAAGAAAAGGCAAGAAAAAACAAGACAGACAAAAAATTGGAAAAATATGACAGAGAGAGCAAGAATTGTATATATCATAATTTTATAATATTTTAAATTTATAAAATTATTTTTTGACTTTTTTTAATTCAAGAAGACCCTGGATATAAGTCCATCAGTATATAAATAATTGCTAAGAACTGGGACTAAATTTTAAATAAACTACACTGTTGAAAAAGCCAATATTTTCAAGAAAATTGACCAAAAGGTATCCTTGTCTTCATTTCCACTGACATCTTATGACTGCCATATTTTTTCAGCTATGGCTCTTTTTCTACCAATGGCATGTCACAAAAATGTGTGAACCTCTGGTCACTCTAATTAGTCATACCAATATTGCATAATTTTACCTCAGAATGTTTTTTCCAACTACATTCTTTCTCCAGGGGCATTTATATTCAATGTTTTTTCCAGGGGCATTTACATTCTGAATACCGTGCCTCAAAGTCAAACTGGTTAGCATTACAATCTTGTCTGGTATTATATATGCATTTATTAATGTACAAATTGACCTCAGAAATAGAATATATTTGTCAGGAGTTTTAGGTCTTGTGTTCCCAACACCTAACAATAGATACTTGTTGAATAAATTATGAAAGGGAAAAATAATTTTTAAGAAATTTTGAAAACTTAAAAAGGAAACAAAGGTGCCACAATGGAAACAAAATTTCACTTTTTTTTCTCTGAGTTTAGAGTAAATCTCAGATTCAAACACATCTGAGGATGTACAATTATCAATTATGTAATTCCAAGGGAAAGTAATTTGTACTTACAGGTTAGATATGATAATCAATTCACTTAATTCTACTCGTTTCCTTTAAAAAAAAAAAAAAGAGGCTGTCAGAAATAATACATCACAGTAAAACCTCCTATCAAACAAGAAAAGATTGTATTTGGGAAAACATTTTCATAGACCTAAATTGAGTAATGTTTCCAACTTACATTTCACCAGTTAAGCTTCCCATTAGAAAATGTGTTTGTATGACACCAGTTCCACTTGCATTTTTTTCCCATAGGTTTCCCAGCAGACGTTTACAATCCTTTAGTGATGTTATAGCCAGAATTGTATTAGGTAATAATATAAAATCCCTAAATTTTATGTACAAACCTTCACTGATATTTTTAGTTATCATGAAAGAATCCTTGTATTTATTTCTATTCTAATTCTCCTCATGTCATTGGTATTTTATATGTATTCATTGTAAACATGTGTTGAATGTTCTAAATTTATACAAGCAAAACAATGTACATATTCTAGAGCTTAATATTTTCCCTCTCCCTGTTTTTTTTTCCGTGGCTTTCTCTTGCTTTCACTATTGCAAACTCTGACCCTGAGAGGCAAGAGTCGTGACCATTTAGTAAGATGTATCGTTGAGTATCATAAAATAGTTGGATAGTCTGCTATTTTTTATAGTAGCAAAAATAGAATGTTCATATGCTTGCCCACGATTTTTATACATTTTTAAATTTGTCTACCACATGCCTAAATTTACCAAATTAAGTCCGTGTATATAAAACATTTGCACAAATGTTACTCAAGTTGTCTGAAATAAAAATACATGTATTTTGCAATTTAGAGCACATGACACTAAAGATGTATAGCTCCGTTAACTCACCTTTTGAACAAATTTCAGCAAGAAATTTCAGAATGAATATAAAAAATTTAAGAAATATTCTAATATATAGTAGCTGAAAAGTTTACAGAAGTAAAGAAGAAAGACACAAATTAGTAGATTCTGAAGAATTATCTATACGAACCCATAACTATTCTCTTTATTTTGGATATTCTATTGTTTCCTTATAATTTGTTTATAAGTTTCCTTATAAATAAACAAATTATAAGGAAACAGTGGAATATCCAAAACAGAATATGCAAGCCAATTAACAATCACCATTTTTACCAACAAAAATATTGAAAGTCAGAAAATTGTGGAATATCTTTGAAGTGCTAATAAATGATAATGGCAAATCTAGAATTTTATGTCAATTAGATTTAGAATTCAAGAGCAGATCAAAATAGAGACATCTTCAGACAATCCAAAAACTGAGAGTTTACTACCAAGAATAGTAACTTTTACAGTATGTACCATAGAATAAAGGATAATTAACTGGATGTAAATTCCAAAATATTAGAAGAAGAAAGGATGTGAAAAAACATATATAAGCAGTCACAATTTTATTTAACAAACACACCAACAATATGTGATTTGTGGGAATAAGAAAAACAACATGAATATAAAATAATGAACAATTTGTAGCAAATATTTTTAAATAATTGCAATTAAAGAGCCCTAAGACTTTGTATTGTTTGGGCTTGGTGTTAGTAAACTTTATATTTTATGTTAATAATGTTTATTAGAATATCAAAATTGCCTAGCAAAAGAAAACTGATAATGTGAATAATTTCCAAAATAAAAGAGATAAGTTACAAAAAATGTTAAAGTAAACAAATGCAAAACAAGGCAAAAAAAAAAAAAGTCAAAGTGAGAAAGACCAGCAAAGTGAATAAAAGGAAGAAAATATGACTTTAAATATAAAAAAATAAATAAATGAAAACCTAAAAAATAACATGCAAGTTGCCAAAAGAAAACGATTTACTTGACTGAATAAAGGTCGTTAAAGGATTTCTTCAGCTGGTGAGCACCAGGCAAACCTGAAGACTAGGTGGTTCCAGACTGAAGTAGGATCAGGCGTCTAACAGAAGTCTGTGGAGTATGCCTGGTTTAGGCTGGACAGATATTTTCTGCTTTAACTGAAGTTGAGTTTAGGTTTTTGGGTTCTTTTCTGTTTGTTTTTGTTTTATCTGTTTATGTTCCACTTTCAGAGTCTCATTATCCATCAGAACAATATTATATGAGAACAGTCTTTGCAGTTGATGGGCTAACCACGTTCCCTGGGTGGGGCAGGGGAAGTAGACAAGAATAAGAATGAAGTGGATGTAAAGGAAGAAGGCAAGGGGCGGGGGATTATTACCCTCTAGTATGTTTGTTTTAATCGCTTTACACGGTTACTAGTTTTCAAATTTACTAAATATTTTATATGATTCAAATCATTAACTGAGAAATTTCTTTCAAATTCAGTGCTCTTTGCAAAGTACTGGCTAGATGTTGGAATCCAAAAATGAACTGTGAAAAAAGGCCCGTGTCCTCAGGAACTTATGTTCAGAAGAAATGGAAAAACAAAATTAAATAAGTGGATAAATACATGTGTGTTGTTTTACTAAGACCTTATTTATTAAATATTTTGCTAAGCCTATAATATTAAATCAGCTATTTATATATCTCTATATAACAATGGTTCTAGAGTCAGGAGGTTAACCTTGTGGATTCCTCAGTGACCTTGAGTAATCACTCAACCAAAATACATTTGTATTTAAATACGAACATAAGTTCGAACATTACGTTGTTACCCTAGCCACTTCACAAAATACGTTCGAACACTAGGTTGTTACCCTAGACACTTCACAAAATATTTGAAAAACACATGGATAGACAATTTGATGATTCTATAAATCTGGTAAATGAATTAGAAATATTATAAAAGGTTTTTCTGAGAGGATACCATCGAGCAAAAAGAAAATGACTAGCATTTGACACTATGTAACTTTAAATCTATATTTCAGGGACCTCTGTCACTTTCTTGGGGAATTGAATCACCTATTCCTACTTAGCAGCATGAAAATGAGTTGAATCTCCAGGTTATAGCATTTGAAGGCATGCCTGAGAGGAGCAGATTCAAAAATCAACAGGTGGTTGATGTTTTCTGTGGGGAGCATTCCTGCCTCAGTCCTGCTGCTGTGACCCATTCCTAAACAGCTTTGGGGTCTACAGTCCCCCTTGGTACCTGCTGGGGATTTGTTCCAGGACCACCACCAATCCTACCACCATCATCCCTTCATAGCAAAAGCCAGAGATGCTCAAGTTTCTTATATAAAATGGCCTAGTATTTGCATATAACTTACACACACCCTCTTGTATACTTTCTATCATTTCCAGATTACTTACATTAATAATACTGAATACAATATAAATGCTATGCACATAATTGTTATAAGGATTGTTTTTTATTTGCATTGTTTTATTGTTGTATTTCTTTTTAAAAATTATTTTTGGTATTTCTTTTAACAAATATGTTTGATTCATGGTTAGTTAAATCCACCCACAATGGGGGTATGGAGGGTCAGCTGTATTCAGGAATTTGCATTAACAGACTTAAGAGCCTAGTAGATTCTTTGCTTAAATGAACTCTGTGCAGACACAGCATTCAACATTTCTATTTTGATACTTTAAGCAGACTGCAGTGTTTGACAAGCTATTTCAGTAATATGCAATAATCTTTACAAAATAGACATAGATGTTCTGTGACCCCAAATTCTCTGAAACTCTAAACTCAATTATTGAATCTATAGTGGTGTTTCTGATCAGATTACAAGATGAAGGAAGCAATGGAACTTGGCCTAATGTAATGAAAAATATTGCTATCTCTCCACTGATTATTTTGGATGATGGGAGAGCTGTATAGCCATTTAACTAAAGAGGAATCCTTTCAGGAACTACTCTGAAGTACTTTAAGAGATGGAGTTGCTGAAGAAAAAAGATTGAAAACAATTGGCTTAGCTGTTCAGAGCATGGCAAGAATGTAACTATAATCTGTCATTGTGTGGGCAGACAGATGGCCTGAAAATTGAATAAATTGGAAATCACTGGAAGGCAGCTATTTTGTCCTTGAGTGCATTAGGTATCTTGGAAAAATGTTATTAAATGGTGAACAATTGCTATCGAAAAGTTTCTAGTTGTTTGGAACATAGAGTTACATAAAGTCAAGATTCTATTATTATTCTAATAATAGATAAAATCCGAATGTAAAGAAAATGTTTCCTATGAACTATGTAATTTAATTCTTATCAGAGCAATACTTTAAACAATTATTTGATTAGCCTGTGTTTGTGAATGTATATAAAGTAAGCAATAACCTTATTTTCTCCTCTTTGTAATTTAATTCATTAGAAATTGAGAATCTCAGACTTCTCTCCAGCCCTATTAAATCTGCATCTTCATTTCCAGGTCACTCATACACTGTTTAACTTTGAGAAGCACTGTTGTATATTGTCTTGAGAGTCCACACTATGAAATAAATTGGCCCTTATTTACTCCTCAATTGAAATTCTTCAGACTTTCTTAAAGTTTCTAATTCTAAATAAGTCCCAGTTAGTGGAAATGAACTGAATTTAGTTTAATTTTTTTTATCATGCATTGCTGTCCAAAAGAAGAAAGCTTATTTCTGCCAACTTCTTCTTATCCTCAACTTCCAACCACTGTCACGTCTGTCTTCTTTCTTTTTAATATTTTCAGGTGAATTAGAGGTTTGTCAACCGCAAGAATGAAATATATGGTTTATGGCCTATTTTTATGTAACTGGTCATTCTGAGATCTGGAAAACACTACCTGTGTTTATCTGCAACTAAAATCTAGACACCTGAGCCTACACTGCATAGCGAAACAGGTCACTAGAAAAACACAAGCAATTTAGAAAGGCTTTTAATATTGAACAGTTGCATTTTGTTTCTATTCATGTCTATCGCTTTCTCTTTTTTATTCTAAATTGCTTTATTATATTCTATATTTAATATTCTATCATTAACATGTCAATAACAGTCAATAATAATTGAGGACTCAGGTTTTGTCAATACACTGATTTATAATTAGTACAATATGTTATGAGTTTCCTTCGCACATTAATATTATCAGCTCTTCATTTTTTGTTGTTCACAATATATCTTCAACTACCTTTTTATTTTTAGGCAATGTACATATTACAATTTAAGAATAACATCTTCTTTGTTAAATATTTATTTCCACCCCTTTTCAGAAAATTAGATGGTTTACATTTATTGTTAGAAATAATATAAAGCTTTTCTGGTTTTGTGCTTCTAAATAATATTATTAATATATTCTTTTGTAATTACAAAAGCTCCTTGTTTTTGTTTTGTAATTCCTTTCTCAATAAAATAGAGCTGCAAATATTTTGTTCCTTTAAATATTTCAAATAAATAATTTTCATTTATAATAAAAAATATAAAATATGCCAAAGAATTTATTATTTCAAAAAATATGTCATTCACCAATTTGCTTTTAGATTTGTGAATACAGTCTCATTTTATTTTAATACTTTAATCATAGATCTTAACTTTTTTATAATTAATTTTAATTTGTATTTAACATGGTAATAATATTTTTACTTAATTTTATATTGTTGGGTTAGTAGTCACTGTTAGTACACATAACTATTTTACTTTTTCAACATGTAATTTTCATTAATCTTATTCAGATAAAGTTCATTTTCACTATTTTTCTTCAATTGGAAATATTTCATATTTTAAAGACTTCCATTCCTAACAAATGTGGAATACAACATTTTTAGCTCAAAATATTTTTCAAAACAAAACAGAATTTTTCCAGTCTTCACATATAAAACTAAAGCAACAAGCTCAAGTCTATCCAGACATTTTATACTTCAGAAACGAAAATACTAATCTTACGTGTTTATGGCGGATGTTTTTCTTATAATTTTAGTTAAAAAATATTTGTAGAAGGTTTTTATAGTAATATAGTCAGAAAATTAGTCTGCATTTTTACCTACAAATTAAGCAGTATTTTAAAAATTAGCTCAGGAAATTTTATTTTATATTGTATTTTAGTCTGCATTTGAATGATATTTAAATTCTTAGATTTTCACTTTAGATGTGGGAACTCCGGTGCTTAATTCTATCCTCTTTAATTTTATATCTGTGATTTCTTCTGCTTTGTTTTCAGTTCTATTTTTTTCCTGCACTGCAAAAGAGTTTCTAAAGATTGTATTTAATATTACAAGCTTCATTTAGTGCTCTATCATTTGGCATTTACATTTTTACATAGTTTTAAAATTATATATATTTCTTTGTATTTTTTATCTAATTTTATACAATTTTAAAAATCATGCACCTCTAATATCTATTGACTAGGTTTAGCTTTCATTTCAGAGATAACATTAATAGTGAAAAATATTATCTTAAATGCAAAGATATTCATTATTTAAAAATTGATCAATGACATTCACTAAATTATCACAGGGACGAAAACATAAAATGATCATCTGTAGAGATGCAGAAAAATAATTTGACAAAATTCAGCACTGATTTATAAGAATTATCAGCAAAATAAGAACAGAAATGAAAATTGACCAACAACCAGAAATGACAGCAACAACAAAATACCAAGTCAGTAAAGATGGAGAGAAATAGGGAAGCAGTGAAGGTAGATGTCATTTCTGTTTTTAGTGGTGGAGTACAAGGTGTTCTTGTGCTTAAAGGTCATGTTCTTGTGATAAAACGCACTGCAGAGACAACACAGTTTAATTGGCTGAGGCAGGTGACTCCCTTTAAGCATCAGGGTGGAACAAACTACACGACAAAATGTAATTTTAAAGACCACTCTCATTCAAATGTAATAATATCAAAGCACCCTTAACTCATTAATGAGTGAAACAATGAGTGTCATGGTCTGAACTGTGTTCCCCTCCCCAAACCCGTATGTTCAAGCCCTAACCCCTAGTTATACACATAAGGTAAATGAAACCTCATTTGGACACAAAGTTTTTGCAGATGTAATCAAGCTAAAATTATGTCTGTAGGTGGGACTTAAAATAACATGGGTTGTCTTTATAAGAAGAGGGAACAGAAACAGATAGGATGTGGAGAGGACCATGTGAAGAGAGAAGCTGAGACTGAAAAGGATTTATGTATTAATATTGACAGAAGCCAAGGAACACCATCTGAAGTTCTGATGGCAACATCAGAAGCTAAGAGAAAGGCATGGAAAAGATTCTCACCTAGAGCATCCAGAGGAGAGGTTGGTCCTGCAGACACCTTGTTTTCTGACCTCTGACCTCCGCAACTGTGAGGGAAGAAATTTCTGTTGCTTAAAGACACACAGCTTGTGGTACTTCATTATAGCAGCCCAAGGTAACTAATATAGATGACAAAATTGGTTCCAAGGGTGTTTGAGGAACTGGACCTTTATAGGCATTATTTTCATAATACTGCATTAAGCTATGATAACTGGACTAGATTCAAAATTGGATAATGCCCTAAATGCAATAAAGCTATAATTTTGAGATAAAATTTTAATAGCTTTATGAGATATAATTAACATCTGGTATACTGCACATTTTTGAGGTGTGAAATTTTTAAACATTAACATACGTATATACTTGTAAAACCATCACACTAGAAAGAGATCTCAAGCCTCTTCTTTTGACTTTCAACACATTGTCAATCCAGTACTAATCTGGTTTTATTACCATATATTAGCTTTTATTTTCTACAATTATATATCAGTAGAATTATAGAGTATGAATTCTTTTTGTCTTTTTTCCTTAAGCATAATATTTTTGAGATTCAACAATTTCTTGCATGTTGAAGTAGCACCTTTTTTTATTGTTACGTATTATTTCATTTCATAGACATACCACTATAATTTATTTACTAAACTCTTGACCAGAGGTTCTCAAATGAGGGACATTTTACCTGCCGGGGACATTTCCAATGTTTGGGGACACTTTTGGTTATCAGAGGTTTGTGGAGGAGGGGATAGAGTGTCCACAGGCCAGGGTTCCACAAAGGATAGCTCCCCACAACAAAGAATTAAGCCACTTCAACAGCTAATAGTGCTGAACTTGAGAACGCCGCTCTTGGTGGACAGTTGCATGGTGTCTGTTTTTGACAATAATGAATAAAGGTACTTGTGCAAGCCTTTTTACAGACTTATGCTTTTCTCCCCGCTAGGATAAATGCCTAGGGGTAGAATTGGTACATGTAAGGTAGATTTAGTTATCCAAAGTAGCTGTACTGTGTTACACTCCCACCGTCGATGTATGCAAACTCTAGAGTCTGGTTTCTTGACATCTATGCCAAATATTGGTAACACAATTTTTAAAATAGTAGCTTTTCTAGTAGATGTGTATAATTATCTCATTTTATTTTTTATTACTAACGATATTAAGAAATTTTTCATTTGCTTATTTGCTATTATATCATTTTTGTGTAGCATCTGTTAGTTTTTATAGCTCTCTTGTTTCTATGTTGTACATTATATTTATATATTCTTGCTCTTATTCATAATAAATAGTATATATAATTGTGTAATTAAAAATAAACATTAAAGTATAAATATATTTACACATTTCTGTAGTTTATCATTATATAATTATTGCTTTCTGAATAAAAAGAAATGTATCCACAGTTTGGATAAAAAGAAGTGCTTTCATGTAGTTTACTAAGACATTTTCTGTGCTTTATATTTGAAGCCTATGCTTTCACTTTTACACATTGTTCCATAATATATTTTGGACTCCTTTAATTTTGAACTCATTCACGCTTTTGTTGTGAGGAAGGACTTGAGGTTTGTTTTCTTCACATTTATCTCGTAGTTCTGCACACTTTGTTAAATAAAATTATCTTTCCCCTTTGAATAACTGCAGTATCTTTGATATTATATTATTCATATAAGCATGGATCTATTTGTGAACTCTATTCCATTCCATTACTCTAATTGTTTATCCATCTACTAATAACACATTCTCTCGATGACTATAGCTTTAAGTTATTGCATGGTGTTAGGAAGTGTGAGTATTCCAACTTTTTTTTCAGCTTTCTATCATTTGTTTTTGCTCTCTTGATGTACATTTTTAAATCAGTGTGTCAATTTATATAAAAATATCTTTTGTGATTATGGTGAGGATTTCTAGAATGATTAATTTGGAAAAACCAAAACCTTTTACACACTAAAATTCACTGAACTTTCAAGCCATGATTATTGTATTAGTTTGTTCCGGCATTGCTATAGAGAAATACAGAAGATTCGACAATTTATGAAGAAAAGAGGTTTAATTGCCCCACTGTTCTGCAGGCTATACAGGAAGGATGATGCTGGCATCTACTTAGCTTCTGGGAAGACTCAGGAAACGCACAATCATGGCAGAAAGCAAAGGGGGACAGGCACGTCACATGGCCAGAACAGCAAGAGAGTGAAAGGGGAAGCTGCTACACACTTTTAAATGACCAGATCTCATGAGAACTCACTCACTCACTATTATGAGAACAGTATCAAGAGGGATGATGCTGAACCACTCATGAGAAATCCACCCCATGATCCAATCACCTCCCATCAGGCCTCACCTCTAACATTGGAGATTACATCATACCAGATTTGGGCAGGGACACACATCAAAACCATCAATTATTGTATGCGACTCCATTTATTTAGAACTTTCCTACATCTCCCAACACTTTTGCTAGTTTCCTATTTAGAGAGATCTTGCATGTAATTTGTTAAAATCATATATACATATTTTATTTTTATTAGTATTTTACATGGATTTGATTTTTATCATTAATTGCTCATTGGAAATATATAGAAATAAGTTAATGGGTTGACT
Source organism: Homo sapiens (assembly GCF_000001405.40). Classification (NCBI taxonomy): domain Eukaryota; kingdom Metazoa; phylum Chordata; class Mammalia; order Primates; family Hominidae; genus Homo; species Homo sapiens. The sequence continues at coordinate 70,299,665 of NC_000005.10, read as the reverse complement.
TATTTTTTCTATGATGTGGCTAAAATTACTAGTTTATTCCAGCAGCTGATTTTTACAGTCACTAGAAGTTTATGTGTAGGTAATGGAGTTGTTTAAAAATTTAGAATTGTATTTTTCATTTCTTAACTGTGTATGTTTTACTTATTTATTTGATTTGTCTCACTGGTTAATTCCTCCCATACAGTAGAGAGAACAATAGTGAAAGAGGACACTTTGTCTTCTTCTGGATCTTAAATGAATAATTTATTAGTTCAAACTTCAGTGTGATATTTCCGTAGATGCCTTCTATTTGCTTAAGGATGCTTCTTTGTATTCTATTGGGGCGAGATATTTTTATTATAATTCTATCTTGAAAATGCCAAATGTTTTTTCTGCCTCAGAGGAAGTTTATATATTTTTTTCATTTTACTCAGTTAATGTGGTGAGTTTGAAAATTCAAATACTTGAAAAATCACGTTCCCATCAAACACTGCTTCTTACTGTGCCTTTCTAAGAGGACTACCTTCAACTTGGGCATTTAGAGGATACTTCCCTTCCTATAGCTCAGGGTTTTTTTGTATTTTTTTTATGTTTAAATTTTAGTGATATTTCTTTTATGTGTTTTTAAAATATTTTATGGGCTACTGCATTGACCCATTTGTTTCAACTTTACAGCTCTAGTTAAATATAAAAATTAATAAAATGTCAACACTCAAGTATTACATATATCCCTTGATCTGGTGATTTAGGACTATGAGAAAAATGCTCAATTTCCCTCGATAGAAGGAAGTATGAACTTTTTTATTTATTTATTACTGTAGTCTCACAGCCTAAAAATCAGTAGGTCTCCACTGGTCAGCAAGCAAATGATCATGATTGTTTTTCTGAATTTTTGACAATTTCAGAATAGGCAAGAAAGCTAAGTTTTAAAAATAAAATGCCAACATCAAGAATTTAAAATCAAATTCGTCACAGTGAATCCCAACAGGAAATAGTTCTTCATTTTATGATTACTCAGAGATTTTGCTTGTTGTAGTGGTCTTCCTTCTGGCTCATAATTTTTTGCTACTCTGCAGCAGAAATAATAAGAAATATTTTCCCAGTCCACAGCGGTGAAGGAGAAGAAAACTATAAATCAAAAGTAGCATATTCTGTGGATCATTTATTGAAATAAACACAGTGAGTACAAGATGGGTAATCTATTTGCATAATCAAAGACACCCTTCATCTGTGTCTATTTTTCTCTTTTCTTTTCTTTTCTTTTTTTTTTTTTTTTTTTGAGACAGAGTCTCACTCTGTTACCCAGGTTGGAGTGCAGTGGCATGATCTTGTCTCACTGCAGACTCCGCCTCTCGGGTTCCAGCAATCTTCCTGCCACAGCTTCCTGAGTAGCTGGCATTACAAGGTATGGGCCACCATGCCCGGCTAATTTTTGTATTTTTATTAGAGATGGGGTTTCGCTATGTTGGCCAGACTGGTCTTGAACTCCTGGCCTCAAGTGATCTGCCCGCCTCAGCCTACCAAAGTGCTGGGTTACAGGCATGAGCGACTTGCCTGGCTATGTCTATTTTTAACATAGTTATAGTGAACTATAATTATTTTTACATAAAAACTATTCTTACAAATGTTATATGTATTTTAAGAGCATACAAACTTACAGGTTTTTTTATTTAATAAAAACCAGTGGCAGATTGATAATGCAGAATATATTATTTGTAAAAAATCATTTGTTGTCATACAAACATATATTTTATTTGAAAATTATACTTTTGAATAGCTTTTTGGAAAGTTAAAGTATTCTCATTTATTGCATACATTTGTCACCAAAATTATACGAAAGAGTGTTTGATTCAAAATGTGTGTGTGTGTGTGTGTGTTCCTATATAGGACCCAGATAACACATATATATTAAATAAATAAATACATGTATATATATATATCATGCACACACATTTAAATATAATGTAAATGTGTGTGTGTGTGTGTGTGTGTGTGTGTATGTGTATGTGTATGCAGATGCCCCTCTGGAAACAAATTTAAAAAGAATCCCCTCTTTTGAGTGTATAAAGAAGTTCCTTTCTTAAGGAATGGATAACAGGGGTTGGTACTTTGGCTGAATTCCTCTTCCTCTTACTTTCATTAGACTTGGCACTGTTGCATAGAACACAATTTTCCAAAATGTAATGTCTGTGTTATGCCTACAAATGTACCATACATAACAATTTGTCATTTTCTGTAATTACATACTGACCTATTTAACATTTATCTAACCACTTATATATCTTAATCAAAATAAATCAACCCATGTAAATTGTTTATTTCTATTGTCTTTCTCAGTATAATGCACAAGATACCTTTCTATCTCTATATGTATTTGTCATTTTCATGTCTGTCCCTACATGAGTTGACTCTATTTTTCTGTTACATAGATATGTGATGTTAGTACAATATATGTTAACTAAAAATGGATGATGCAACCTTTTAAAATTATGACCATCGCAGTGAAAATTATGTCTCTAAAATATCAGGGGCTTAGGTATTTTCAGATTAAATTAGGAAAAATAGAGTATCTTTCCATTTATTTATGTGGGCAAATTTCCCATTTGTTCACATTAAATCTTTTAATGGCATATTGCCTAAATCTTTCTCAGAAAAGCTTAGCCAAATTGCCTAGGATGTTTCCTTTCTCCCATATTACCATCACTGTATACCATCATATTTCTAATAATTTTAATTTTGGAACATGAAAATGGTATTTCAATTTAAATGCGTATGTTTTTCTATTTGCAAAGAGATTAAACATCTCTTCAAGTTTTTAAACTATATGCAGCCCTTCTTTTCTGCTATACCTGTTCATTTCCTCAAGCTATTTTTCCATCAGACAGTTTCATGTTTTCTCATTGATTTGAAGCTTCTATTAAAGTATTGTATACACATGGGTAAATGCACATAAGTTTAAAGCTTAGTGAGTTTTAAAATACTATGATCATCCAGAATAAGAAAATGTAATAGTCACACACCTGATTTCCACCCATCCCTCCTAACATAACACTATTCTAACTTTTACCAGTAAGGAATCAAATAGTGTGTGTAGTGTTTTGAACCACATTTTTTTGCTTAATATTATATTTGTGAGACGAATTGACTATATGACCTGCAAATGAAACTATTTATATTTATTTCTCTAATATTTTATTAGGTGATCATATTACAACTTATTTGTTTACTGTACTCTTTATAAGTATTTTAGTCCACTTTTGGGCCACAGTTTGGGGTTATTTTGGTGTTATTCTGAAAAGTGTTTTCATGAGTACACATTTTTTTTAGCTATATATATGCATGCATTTCTGGAGAAACCATCTTTACAAGTAGAATTTTGGGGCCTAATACATATCTTTATCCAAATTATTTGAACTAAGTTATGCCAATAACATCAATTTGAGTGTTCTAATTAGTCAACATTCTCATCAATACTTTGCACTTTCTCTTCAACTTAGAATTCTAAAATATTCCTTTCAAATTCAGGATTCTGAATGACAAGTACTTACATCTCATTGTGGTTTGAATTATTTTTTCAGGTAACCAATATAAATAAAAACCTTTTAATAAGTTCATTGGTTATTTGAATATTTTATTTTTGAAGTGTCTAAAATATTTTCTTTCTAATCCAGTCCAGTTATTTTTCTGTGGTTTGCTTCTTGTTGTCTTATTGAGTTCATTGCCTTTTTAATATTCTTTTCCGGTTAACATTTCCCCCTCATTGATCTGAAATGTTTTCATTATATACCACCTTTCCATATCTGTCAATGTCTTGATTTTCTATATGATCTTCATCTATCTGTAGTTATAACTCATTTTAATCATAGAAGCTTTAAGAATTGCTTAATATTTTGTATTGACTCCAAATTCCATTGATTTTATAGGATATTTCTAGCTATTCTTGCTTCTTTATTCCTCCAAGTAAATTTGTCTATTTTTCTAAATCTGGAAAAAGAAATTCTAGAAAATGTCGTTTTGTTATGACACAGAAGATATAAGTTTATTTAAAGAACTGGCACATTTATGATTTTAAGGCTTTTTCAAGAGCATGGAATTTCTTTCCCCGTGCTCAAGTCCAAATTTGTGCCATTCAGAAGTGTTTTCTAGTTTTTTTTATATATAGGTTTTAAACATTTCTGGTTAAGTTTATGCCCTCACATTTTATTTTAGTTTGGTTAATGACGTTTTACATGTGTGAGTTCCCTCAATTATTTCTTTTAAATGTTCTGATTCAATAGGAACACTCTCCTTAGTATCCTTAACAGAAATGATTCTTGTTTATAGAATTGCTAAATAAGTAAAGAAATTTTAAGTTAAATCATGGCAAGGAGTTATAATTATACTAAGCTTTTTTGTTCCTAGAGGTTTTGGCTCACTCATATGGTAATCTATATGAAAATTTTTCTGTGATATCTAATATTAGAAAGATCCTCAGTGATAGAATAGTGTTTCTTCCTAGCTGATTCATACATCTTTCTCTGCCAACATTTTGTTTGTTGAAGTGTTCCCCAACATATGACTCATTGCTTACTAAATCCCTATTGAGCAGCCAAAGCCCTGGTGACTAATTATGTCATTAATTTGGGAAAGTCAGAGACAATAAGACTGTCAGTTGAAACTTTGTAGGAGGTAAAAAAGTCACTGCTGTCAGCTGCAAAGATCCTTAAAACGGTCTTCAGTAAAGTCAAATTTTGTGACAAGAATTATTGCATCAAAGTCGGGGAAATACCTCTTAGATCAAATAAGATACATTGAAAAGCCAAAAATTATTTTTATCTCACTTTGGGTTCTCATAAGGTCTACCCACTGTTACTTGGATATGAGACTTAACAAATGGAAAAGAAGACAGGGGTACTGTCACACTGTATTTTCCTATGGCCTAATGACCACAATGGTTGATGAACTGCAGTAAAGTTTCTATAATATTTTCCATCTATTCATTTGCTCAATCACCTTGTAATGGTTATGTTGGTTAATTCCAGTCTTTCATGGGTAAGCAACAAAATGAGACTTAATTTGAAATATCCAGTATTTTTCTATTCTTACAAATAATTTTCAGGATCAATGCACTGAGGATTAGGAATGGCAATGTGTATTACTACTCTGATACCAACTATATCCAATCTAATGTTGGAATTTGTTTGACAAAGTGTTGTGTATTTGAAAACAGGCAGCACTGAATAAAAAGAATATGGGCAAAAGAAAAATGGAAGTGTTTTGAATAGAAGTCTAAAATATTTATTGATCAATGCTGAACTGAGTAAGCAGGAGATGCCTGTACATAAATGACATTATCCTGATCTAGTAACAGGGAGAAGCAGAATATCTGAAAGCTGTTTATTAATTTGATAATAATAAGATTAGAAACATGCAAATCAAGATTAATAGTATTCACTTCTAATTGGGTTTAGGTAGACTTTGACTATTTTGCTTCTGATGTTCTTATATTTTTAATTTTCTATAATGATCATATAACATATAATATTTTCATAATATTAAACATTTTAGAATTAAACTCCATTAGAGTGTGTCTTTCCTAAAGTAATATAAACATCCAATCTTGTCCTTAACAATTCTGTTCTCAAACATTAGCCTATTCCCTCAAGCCAGTGTTGCTTTCGACCCATATTGTCCATCATTTCAATTTATCTCAAAGTTTTTTATTGCAACAATTAAATGCTTTGAATGATACCCAAGGCATAGTTCTATTTCAACAAAATTTCAAAGTTAATAGTTACATCAAATTTTGTTGGTGCTCATTGAATTTGGTTATTAAAACCATAAGTAGTATGTTTTATGCTGACTGAGGGAGATAAAAGTAGTAATGTTTAATATTCAAACTGTGATGACTGAAAAAAAAAATGAGGCCTGTAAAATCTTATTTAATGTCAAATTTTAATTAAACAGGCTTAGCAGACCAAAATTAAAATCTCAATTATTTTTAAATTATTAATGACAGACAACTAGATTGAGTGAACACTGGCATCTCTTTTCAAATAACTTAGTTTAGTGGATGAGTTAAACATAAACTAGTTATTATAATGCAGCGAAGTATGTGAAAAATTTAATTTGAACCCTACTTAGCTTAAAATCCTGACATTCTAGGATGCAAGTCCTGCAAACTTTCCATATGTAATCAACAATTTTCTAAACATGCATGCTGTATCTCTCCTGTGTGACTTTGCATACATCATTCCCACATTCTAGATCATCCCGACCCACCTTAAGTGACTGCTTTTGCATAATCTCCCTTAAAATTCTAACTCAAGCACTGCATCTTTTGAGTCCTTCCCTAACATCTTAACATCTTCCTTCTTTCATTCATCATTAACTATAGTTAGTTATTATAGCACCTGTTAGCACTGTAAAATTATGTGTGTTACACAAGTACAACATGCAGACTAAGGTCGTGTATTACCTAGCCTCATACCAGCGTCACCTAGAACAGCAAAAATGTATGCAGATTAATCACAATATATTTGGATGTACAAAACATATTGAGAGCAAAATATGATGGAAATTTAGGTGATGCTCTTTGAGCATTGCTTCCATTTTCCAATAATGTAACCAGGAATCACTGTTCATGTAATTAAAGAACAATAAGTCTATGTGAATCAAAATATACATATACATGCAAATGTTAAACCTCAGTAGGAAGAGGCCCATTCTCTTGCTTGCTGATATATATATATATATATACACACACACACACACACACACACACACACACATATGTATGTTGTGTGTATATGTATATACACACAACAATCTATAGGCTTGCCTTTTAAAATAGTATAAGCAACAAATTTTAAGAGAAACAATAATGAGTGTGTAAAACATTAGATATGTGTATGTACCTTTGCTATTATTTGTGGAAATGGGGCTATAAAATAAGCTCCTTTATTTTCTTTTGTAAAACATTTCTTTAATATGAAGTAATGCAATACGTATTTATGTTCTAAGTGTTAATTTCCTTGGATATAAAATAATATCTTGTTCCTTTGATTCTCTTACATATAAGTGTATTTACTCAGATATTACTCCAAATACACCAGATATATTCAAAGTTGAAAAAATATATACTTTGGAATGTATTATCATCTTATGTCACATGAAGAAATCAAAATCTCTGGCATCCAAGTGCATTCCAGCCTGAAAAAAATTATGCAATTGTGAATTTAACAGAAAGCAAATTGCTCACATATGGAGTCAACGTGAAGCTATATCAATATTTATTAAAAGTTTATATATTACTTTTGATCCCCTGGAGAGAAATACAAAATTCAAATAATTATTCTATTTTTATATCCCAATTTGTAATTATGAAACTCTAGCATTTTAATTTTTCTCTTTCAAGTTTACCTGAAGCTTCACAAAATTCTGTGAGGAATCTATTATAACAGGTATTTTGCTTATTTCCACACAAACAGAAGGAAATGTGTATTTTCTATGCCCTGAAGAATTTACTCTTTTCTGTAAATGACATATGGTAGTTAATTCTTTTTGGTAATAAAATATTCCTGTTTTTAGGCCGAACAGCCTTTTCATTTAAATTCAGGGCAACATATCAAAGCTTTGCCGTAATAATACAGAGTAATCGACTAAAGTAATATAGAATTTAAATAACAAAGAGTTTAAACAATTTAATATGTCTTCTATTAATTTCAAACTGAAATTTTACAGAAATTATTTGGAATATGCTGCCAGAGTACACACACACACACACACACACACACACATCACACGCTCACATCACACACTCACACCCAGCTAAAGGAAATTACCACAGCTATAATGATTTCATTAAATATCTGAAATTAAAGTTTCTTTTGGATTTTCAGCTGAAGCTCATAGTAAATAAAAGTAATATGATCATTGTTGCATACTGTGAATCAACAGCACCCAGAAACCTTCGACTTTCTATATTTACACAGCTTAATTATCCGAACTGAAACCTGAGGCCATCTGTGTCAACATGATTTCACAATTCATTCCAGAAAATTATTTTTCAGGAAAGTAAGGCTGCAAACCAATAAATAACTTATTGTTTGCTTCAGGAAATTTCTGCAAATCAATTTATGTCAGTAAGCAACTCTCCTCTGGGCCAACAGATTGCTCACCTGGGCAGGTAGCAGCTTGTGTCAATTAACAGTTTACTTATGAAGACTTCTGTCATGGCCCTTAACTCACAGTGTCCCCCAATCCTAAACTCTATGTCCTGAACATTACCTATTCTTATCAGTCATTGGTCTTGAAAGGCCCCGGGCAACCATCTGAGCCCAGACTTCAATACTCTATCAATACCACCTTATCATCTACTTTTCTAACATGACCCCTCAAGGTGGTGACCCCACTTACAGTCGTCTTTTATTGAATTTAGCTTTCCCTAATCAACATGCTAGTCTATTGGATGCAGTGTCAGAGGCAAAAATCACAGAGGTTCTGAAAGCATCAGCCCATGGTTTTCTAAACATCATGGTTCAAGACCCTTAACACGAAACAGAAAGTTTCCCCGAGGCGCCGTAAACAACCCATTTGGGCGCTTCCCTGATAATTATAGTGAAATCTGGCATCTAATTTTTTTTGGTGGACTCTCAAATTTTATATTTATGTTTTGATTCCTAGAAATAAAAAATGTTTTTATAAGGAATTCTTTGATCGTTTATGTTTTATTCTTGATAGAAACCTACTACTTTATAACTTCGTTTATGTTTTACTCTTGATAGAAACCTACTACTTTATAACTTCGAACATTATTGATGTTCTTCCTGTATTTCTGAGAGGTGACAGCTTGCTGGCATCCCTCGCTGGCTCTCGGCGCCTCCTCGGCCTCAGCCCACTCTGGCCGCGCTTGAGGAGCCCTTCAGCCCGCAGCTGCACCGTGGGAGCCCCTCTCTGTGCTGGCTGAGGCCTGAGCGGGCTCCCTCTGCTGGCGGGGAGGTGTGGAGGGAGAGGCGCGGGCCGGAACCTGGGCTGCCTGCGGTGCTCGCAGGTCCAGCGCGACTTCCGGGTGGGCGCGGGCTCAGCGCGACTTCCGGGTGGGCGCGGGCTCGGCGCGCCCCGCACTGTTGAGCGGTCGGCTGGCGCCGCCGGCCCTGGGCAGTGAGAGGCTTAGCACCCGGGCCAGCAGCTGCGGAGGGTGCACTGGGTCCTCCAACAGTGATGGCCCGCCGGCGCCGCGCTCGAATTTTCGCTGGGCCTCAGCCACCTCCCCGCGGGGCAAGGGGGCAGGGCTCGGGACCTGCAGCCTGCCATGCTGGAGCCCTCACCCTCCTCCCCGCCCCCGTCCCCTGCCCCCCGCCCCCCGCCCCCCGCCCCCCAACCGCAGGCTCCCGCGCGCCACCCCGAGGGGACGGGCGCCACCTCCTGCTACGCGGCACCCGGTCCCGTCAACCGCCCAACGGCTGAGGAGTGCGGCAGCGCGCCAGAGACTGGCGGGCAGCTCCGCCCGCGGCCGGGATGCACTAGGCAAAGCCAGCTGGGCTCCTGAGTTCGGTGGGTACTTGGAGAACTTACTACGTCTAGCTGGAGGATTGTAAATGCACCAATCAGCATGCTGTGTCTAGCTCAAGGTATGTGAACGCACTAATCAGTGCTCTGTGTCTAGCTAATCTGGTGGGGACTTGGAGAACTTTTGTGTCTAGCTAAAGGATTGTAAACAGACCAAGCAGCTCTCTGTAAAATGAACCCATCAGCTCTCTATGAAATGGACCGATCATCAGGATGTGGGTGGGGTGAGATAAGGGAATAAAAGCAGCTGCCAGAGCCAGCAACAGCAACGTGCTAGGGTCCCTTTCCACAGTGTGGAGGCTTTGTTCTTTTGCTCTTTGCAGTCTTGCTGCTGCTCACTGTTTGGCTCTGCGCAGAGCTGTAACACTCACCGAGAAGGTCTGCAGCTTCACCCAAAGATATTCCAAAGATACAGAAAACTATATAGAGACATTTTGTATAGTTCTAATAGCATATAATCCACAGGTCCCTGATCTATAATATGGGTTTTTTATAAAATTGTTTTTTTGTATGCTATGAGGAATTTTACTTGTTAAAAAGAAGAGGTGGAAAGGCAGAATATGAAAACTATGAAAATGACATAAGAGACTATGAATTAGGTGAGAAACCAGAGAGGTTTAGAAACCTGTAGACATTGTGCATCCCCCAATGCCTTTCCCCTTAAAAAAAATTATATTCTAATCCAGTCCATCAAATAAAGTCTACGTTCATTAGAAACATATTCTCTTGGTTTTTATAATTTCAGTTTTTTTCAGACACAGATAGTGCATATGCAGATTTGTTACTTTTGTACAGTGCACCCTGGTAGTGAGCATAGTACCCAGTAGGTAGTTATTCAGCCCATGCTCCCCTCTTTCCCCCACCCCCGTAGCCTGCAGCATGTCTTGTTCCCATGTTAATGTTCCTGTGTGCTCAGTGTTTAGGTTCCACTTATAAGTGAGAATGTGTGGTATCTGGTTTTCTTTTCCAGCACTAATTTGCTTAGGATTATGTCCTTAGCTCCATCCATGTTGCTGCAAAGGACATAATTTCATTCTTTTTTATGGAGGCATAGTATTCCATAGTGTATATGTACCACATTTTCTTTATCCAATCCACCTTTGATGGGCACCTAGGTTCATTCCATGTCTGTGCTATTGTGAATAACATGCTGATGAACGTACGAGTGCATGTATATTTTTCTGGTAGAATAATTTATTTTCCTTTGAATATATACCCAGTAATGGGAATGCTGGGTCGAAGGGTATCTCTGTTTTAAGTTCTTAGAGAAATCTCCAAAATACTTTCCACAGTACCTGAACCAGTTTACATTTCCATCAACAGTAGTGTATAAGCATTCCCTTTACTCTGCAGCCTGGCCAACATCTAATTTTTTTACTTTTTAATTATAGCTGTTGTGACTGATGTGAGATGGCATCTTACTGTGGTTTTTGCTTGCATTTATTTATTTGATGATTAGTAAGGATGAGTGTTTTTTCATATACTTGAGTGTCTTCTTTTGAGAAAATATCTGTTCATGTCCTTTGCCTTTTCTTGATTTAAATTTTAAGTTCTGGGGTACATGTGCAGGAAGCGCAGTTTTGTTACATAGATAAACGTGTGTGGTGGTGGTTTGCTGCACCTATCAACCCATCACCTAGGTATTAAGCCCAGCATGCATTAGCTATTTTTCCTGATGCTCTCCCTCTCCTCAACCCCCTACAGAAAATTATAGTGTGTGTTGTGTGTTGTTCCCCATTGTGTGTTGTTCCCCTCCCTGTGTCCATGTGTTCCCATTGTTCAGCTCCCACTTATAAGTGAGAAGATGCGGAGTTTGATTTTCTGCTCCTGTATTAGCTTTGCCCTTTTTAACTGGGGTTGTTTTATGCTTGTCATTTTTTCTTCCTTATGGATTTGTTATATTAGATCTTTATCAGATGCATAGTTTGCAAATATTTTCTCCCATTCTGTAAGTTGTCTGTTTACTCTGTGGATAGTTTCTATTGCTGTGCAGAAGCTTTTTAGTTTGATTGACTTTCACTTGTCAGTTTCGTTTTTGTTGCAATTGTTTTTAGAAACTTAGCCAAAAATTATTTGCCAAGGCCAATGTCGAGAAAAATATTTCCTAGGTTTTGTTTTAGAGTTTTCATAATCTGAAGTCTTACATTTTAACCTTTAATCCATCTTGAATTAATTTGTGTGTATGGTGGAAGGTAAGCATCCAGTTTCACTCTTCTGCTTATGGCTAGCGAATTATCCCAGCACCATTTATTGAATAGGGTGCCTTTTCCCCATTGTTTGTTTTTGTTGGCCTTGTCCACGATCCAGATGGTGGTAAGTGTGCAGCTTTATTTTTGAGTGTTCTATTCTGTTCCATTGGCTTAAGTGTCTGCTTTTGTAACAGTATCATGGTTAGTGTACACTTATAGTATAGCTGGAAATTGGGTAGTATGACGCCTCTCTGGCTTTATTATTTTTGCTCAGAATTGCTTTGGCCATTCTGGCTTTTGGGGGTGTTCCATATAAATTTAGAATAGTTTTTTCTAATTCTGTGAAGAATGATGTTGGTAGTTTCATGGAGATAGCCTTGAATCTACAAGTTGCTTTGGGCAGTGTGGCCATTTTAACATATTGATTCTTTTAATCTGTAAACATGGAATGTTATTCCATTTATTTGTGTTATCAAAATCTCCTTCCTTCCTTCCTTCCTTCCTTCCTTCCTTCCTTCCTTCCTTCCCTCCCTCCCTCCCTCCCTCCCTCCCTCCCTTCCTCCCTTCCTTCCCTCCCTCCCTCCCTTCCTCCCTTCCTTCCATCCTTCCTTCCTTTTCTTATTTCCTTCCTTTTTTGAGACAGAGTCTCACCCTTTCACCCAGGCTGGAATGCAGTGGAGTTATTATAGCTCACTGCAGGCTTGAACTCCTGGCCTCAAGCCGTCAGGGTAGTTAGGACTACAGGCATGTGCCACCATGCCTCGCTATTTAAAAAAAAAAAAAAAATTTGTATAGATGAGGTTCCACTATGTTGCCTAGGTTGGTCTCAAAACTCCTGGGTCCAAGCGATATACCTGCCTCGGCCTCCCAAAGGCATGAACCACTGCATCCAGCTTCAGATTTCAGCTGTGTTTTGTAATTCTCCTTGTGGAGATCGTTCACATCTTAGGTTAGTTGTATTTGCAGGGATTTTATTTTCATCCTAGGTGTTGTAAATATGATTGTGTTCTTAATTTAACTCTCAACCTGGATGTTGTTGTTGTATAGAAATGCTACTAATTGTTGTACATTGATTTTGTATCCTGAAACCTTGCTAAAATCCTTTATCATTTCTAGTAGACTTTTGTTGAAGTCTTTAAGGTTTTTTAGGTATAGAAGGATATTGTTGGGTGAAGACAGATAGTTTGCCTTAATCTTCACTTCCTATTTGGGTGCTTTTCTCTTTTTCTGTTGCAAGATTGCTCTGACTAGGATTTCTGGTACTATGTTGAATAGGAGTGGTAAGAGTGGATGTCCTTGGCTTGTTTCATTTCTAAAGGAGAATGCTTTCAGCTTTTGCCCATTGAGTATTATATTGGCTGTGGGTTTGTTGTAGATAGCTCTTTTTTATTTTGAAGTATGCTTATTTGAAGCCTCAACTGTTGAGGGTTTTTTTTTGTTTTGTTTTTTCATGAAGGGACACTGGATTTAATTGAAAGCTTTTCCGGCATCCGTTGAGATGATCATATGGTTTTTGATTTAATTCTGTTTATCTGGTGAATCACATTTATTGATTTGCATATGTTGAACCAGCCATGCATCCCAGGAATAAAGCCTGTATTGTCATAGTAGATTAATTTTTTGATATGCTGCTGATGGATTCAGTTTGCTAGTACTTTGTTGAGAATTTTTGAGTCTATGTTCGTCAACAGTGGTCACCTGAATGTTCTTTTTTTTTGCGTCTCTGCCAGGTTTTGGTATTAAGCTGCTTCTGGCTTCACAGCGTGAGTTAGGAAGGAGTACGTTCTCTTCAACTTTTCTGGAATAGTTTCAGTAGAATTGTACTAGTTCTTCGTTATACTTCCGGTAGAATTTTGCTGTGAATCCATATAGTCCAGGGCTTTTTGGCTTGGTAGATTTTTTATTACTTATTCAATTTCAGAGCTTCATATTGGTCTCTTCAGTATTTCAGTATCTTCCTGATTCAATCTTGGAAGATTGCCTGTTTTCAGAAATTTATCCATTTCCTCTAGATTTTCTAATTTTTGTGTCTAGAGTTATTCCTAGTATTCTCTGAGGATTATTTTGTATGTCTGTGGGACCATTTTTAATGTCGTTTTTGTCATTCTGATTTATATATTTAGATCTTCTCTTTTTTTTCTTTGTTTATCTAGCTAAAGGTCTATCAATCTCTTTTTTTAAATCAACTCTTGGTTTCATTAATCTTTTGTATGGATTTTTGCATCTCAATTTCATTCAGATCTTCTCTATTTTAGTTGTTTCTTTTCATTCCTAGCGTTGATGTAGGGTTGTTCTTTTTTTTTTCTTCCCTAGTTCCTTTAGGTGTAGTGTTAGATTGTTAATTTGAAGTATTTCTAACTTTATGATAAAGGCATTTAAACGTTCCTCTTAACACTGATTTAGCTGCATCCCAGAGATTTTGGTAATTTGTGTTCCCATTTTCATTAATTTCACTTTCTTAAAATTTCTCCCTTAATTTTGATTTTCACACAGAAGTTATTCAGGAGAAAGTTGTTTAATTTTCATCTATTTGTGTAGTGTTGAGAGATGTTGGTATTTATTTATATTTTGATTACATTGAGATCTAAGAGTGTGCTTGATATGATTTCATTTTTTAAAATTTATCCAGACTTGCTTTATGACCAAGCATGTGGTCAATGTTAGAATATGTTCCCTGTGCAGATGAGAAGAATGTATATTCTGTGGTTATTGAGTGGAGTGTTCTGTAGATGTCTTATTAGGTCCAGATGGTCAAGGGTGAAGTTTAAGTACACAGTTTCTTCCTTAGTTATCTGCTTTGATGATCCAGTGCTGCCAGCGGGGGTGTTGAAGTCTCCTACAGTTATTGGGTGGTCGTCTGTCTTTTTGTAGTCCAAAAAGAACTTGTTTTATGAATCTGGGTGCTCCATGTTGGGTGCATTTATATTTAGGGTACTTAAGTATTCTTGTTTGATCATATACTTTCTCATGACATAATGCTCTTCATTCTTCAATTGTTCTTTTTAATTTTGATTAAAGTCTGTTTTATCTGATATAAGAATAGTTACTCCTGCTTTTTTGTTATCATTTGCATGGCAGATTTTCTCCATCCCCTTATTTTGGGCCAGTGGCTGTCATTACATATGAGGTGAGTCTCTTGAAGACTGCAGATGGTGAGCCTTGCATTTTTATCCAGTTTGCCATTGTATGTCATTTAAGTGGGGGTGTTTAGCCTATTTACATTTATGGTTAATGTTGATACATGAGATTTTGATCCTATCATCACGTTTGTAGCTGGTTTTTAGGTAGACTTGATTGTGTAGATACTTTATAGTGCCTGTGAGCTATGTACTTAAGTGGGTTTTTGTGGTAGCAG
This sequence comes from Homo sapiens, assembly GCF_000001405.40. Classification (NCBI taxonomy): domain Eukaryota; kingdom Metazoa; phylum Chordata; class Mammalia; order Primates; family Hominidae; genus Homo; species Homo sapiens. Next base: position 70,284,593 of record NC_000005.10, on the reverse strand, counting down.
GTGTCATTCTTTTTACTCAATGTATAGCACTCCCTTAAGGACCTTTCATAAGGCTGGTCAAGTTGAAATTGATTCCCTCAGTATTTGCTTATCTGAGGAGAAATTTGTTTCTTCTTCACTTAGGAAGTTTAGTTTAGTGAAATATAAAATTATTGCCTGGAATTTATTTTCATTAATGATGTTGGACATAGGCCCTTAATCTCTTCTGGCTTGTAAGGTTTTTGCTGAGATATTTACTACTAGCCTAGTGGAGTTCTTGCTTTATGAAAACATGACCTTTCTCTCTAGCTGCCTTTAAGATTTTTTTTTTCTTTTGTATTTACTTTGGTGAATATGATGACTGTGTGCCTTAGGGATAGTCACCTTTTATAGTGCCTAGCTGGGTTTGCTGTATTTTTTGGATTTACATGTCACTCTCTCTAGCGAGGTTAGGAAAATTTTCATAGACTCTATTCTCAAATCTATTTTCCAAGTTGCCTTTTCTCTTTGTTTCTCTTCTAGGAATGACAATGAGTCGTAGATTTGGTCTCTTTATATAATTCCATATTTCTTAAAGCTTTGGTTCATTTTCTTTTTTTAATTCTTTTTTAAAATTTTCTTTTGACTCAGTTGATTCAACGAACCAGTCTTTGAGCTCTGAGATTCTTTCCTTAGCTTGGCCTACCTTCTGTTAATATTTCTTACTGTATTATAAAATTCTTATACTGAATTTTTTCTGCTCTAGAAATTCAGTGTGGCTGTTGTTTAAAATGGCAATTTCATCTTTCAGCACTTACTTAGATTGCTTTACTGGATTACTTGGCTAGGGTTTCAACTTTCTCCTTAATGTTCATGAGCTTCCCTGCCATCGAGGTTCTGTATTCTATGTCTGTTGCAATTATTTTAGACTGATTAAGAACCATTGCTTGGTAGCTAGTGGGCTAATTTTGAGGTAAGAGGACACTCTAGCTTTTTGAATTGCCAGAGTTCTTGCACTGATTTTTTCTCTTCTGGTAGGGTTAGTGTTCCTTTAACTGTAGTGTATGTTGAGTATAGGCAATTGGTTTTGTTTCTGGATGCTTTCAAAGGGTCAGGGCTTTCTCTGTCCAGGATTTTTATGTATGAGTAATTCTTGTGTTTGGTTTCACAGGTGTATATGTAGCAGGATAAATTTTGATGTTGTAGTTTGGGATGTGATCCAATGCATAGTGCTTAAGAGTGATGGCCAGTGGCTAGCCTAATACCCAGTGGCATGGCTGTTTTATACTTCCTTTTGTTTGCAGGTGTGCTCTATAGTGGGGGTGGGAGAGATGCCTCCATCACCAGATGTGCTCCTGGGCCCTGGGGGAGTCTCCTGCAATCACTGTGTTTCTTGTGTTAGGTGTTCTAGGCCACAGGTCTCTCTCAGGCAGAGGCCCTTTCCTAGGAGCCATTCTGGGGAACTAGCTGTAGTGTTTGGGTTCCCTGCACAGGCTTCCTCCCTCTTCAGCTCAGCTTCATTGCTGCCTCTGCATCCACTCAGCATTTTCTCTCTCAAGATCTGCCTAAATTACGGTGGTTTACTCCATAATTTGGTATCTCTCAGTGGGGGTGGTGCTTCCTGACCATGTCAAATTGACCATGTATTGTCACAGAATGAAAACCTCTTTGATAGACTTTGTAACATTTTTGAATATTACATTCAGGAGTAAAATCTTACGCAGTGTGATCCCAGCTATCTCTTCACTTTTGAGAATAACCTTAAGTAATTAAAGGATAATTAAATATGTAATTAAAAATGGAAAAATATAACAGCTACACTTCCAGATGTCAACTTCTTTCAGAAAATTTTAAAATCTCTTTAAAGAAAGGTAAATTGAGACCAAAATAGATTAATAGCTTTATAAAAATAAGTGCTCAAGGAGGGTGTTACATGTGAAAATTAAACTTGGAATTTGTCATTTTACCCGTAAAATTACTGAGAGTAATTTCCTTGAAATGGAAATAACTTTACAAATTTTTAATTAACAAAAATGCTGAAATATTACTCCGCTTACCTTTATGTAACCTCTTCCTTGAAAACAACAATTTACTCATCTGGTGTGTGACTCTGATAACCTTCAATCATTCTCTATATCTGACACCATGACTAGTAACTTAGATCTTTAACTAAGCAACCTTTCTTTCCACCTTTGTGATATTATATCTAGTAATTTAATAACAGACAATCTATGTTGCAAATTAAACTTCCAAATTGAATAGTAATTTTCAAATCCCAAGGACCCATTTCTTCTGCCTCAATCTTAATTAGGTCTTAGTTAATAGAAAAATTAACTGGCTGGGTGCGGTGGCTCATGCCTGTAATCCCAGCACTTTGGGAGGCCAAGGTGGGCGGATCACCTGAGGTCTGAAGTTCGAGACCATCCTGGCCAACATGGTGAAACCCCATGTGTACTAAGAACACAAAAAATTGACCGGGTATGGTGGTGGGTGGGTGCCTGTAATCCCAGCTACTCAGGAGGCTAAGGCAGGAGAATCACTTGAACTGGCGGGGTGGAGGATGCAGTGAACCGAGATCCCAGCACTGCGCTGCAGCCTGGGCAGCAACAGTGAAACTCCTCAGAAAAAAAAAAAAAAAAAAGAAAAAGAAAAAGAAAAAAGAAAATTAACTAAATCAAGCCTAAATAAAACATATTCACAAAGTGGCAGACTTTTTTAATCCAAAAATTTAACTGTATTAATGTCTCATTTACAGAACATTATTTTACAATGAGGTTTTACACATCAATCAGTTGAGTCACTTCTTTTTTTTTTTTGAGATGGAGTCTCGCTCTGTTGCCCAGGCTGGAGTGCAGTGGTGTGACCTCAGCTCACTGCAACCTCCACCTCCTGGGTTCAAGCGATTCTCCTGCCTCAGCATCCTGAGTACAGGCACTACAGGCACGTGAGCAAGAGAAGCTGACAGATTCAAATGTTCACAAACATTTATGTTCTATTTTGATAGATACATAAACTATGTTTCTCATTCTTATATACTTTATATTAGGGCATGGGATTAAAGTCAAAATAGTGGAAAATTAGTAGAAATAACATATTTTATATCCAATTTAGTCTCCAAAATCCCAACATGCACTCTTCTGTATACGTTTTTCAGTATGCTTGACTGGAACGGCCAATTCTACAGTAGTCTTGGAAGCAACATACTGCAGATTAAATACCTTAGTAGCCTATGTTCTTGAATGCGGACATAAAGGAGCAATGCTTTTCCTATCTTAAAAAAACAGTTTATATGAATGAAACTTCTGTTCTGTTTAAGATATTATATGTTGTTGAGTGTAGTTGTCAAAGCAACTAGCACGATTCCAAGTAATATAGAAATCACCAGCTTGAGTTGGGTCTGCCATAACAGCACCTAAAACGTATCCACTAAATTAGTATTAAATGGACAAGTAAACCAAACTCAGAGGGTTGAAATGAAGACTTGTAATACCCAGTGAAAAAAAATTATTGAAACTACCATCTAAAATTAATTGGAAGCTTAATATTACCTCTAGGAAAGAGTGTGGGAAATGAGGAAAGGCAAAAGGTAATGTGTTCATGTTTGTTCTGTTCCATAATCCAAGAAATAGATAAACACAGGCAAAAAAAAAAAAAAAAAAAAAGAAAAAAGAAATATCCTGTCTTTAGAGTGGAAAGAAAGTGGATAGAGTTGAGTTGCTAAACCTTAGCATTATTGACATTTTATGCCTGATATTCCTGCATTCTGTGGGAGGTTATTCTTTGCATTGTTGGATATTAATAGTATCTTTAGGCTATACCACCACATACCAGTAGCATCACCACCTAATCATTATAATTCAAAATGTCTCCAGACACTGACAAGTGTTCTATGGAAACAAAGTCATTCCTTGTTGGAAACCACTTGTAAACAAAAAGTCTAGTAATGGTGGAATTATACAGTGACAGAAAAGCTCAGGTTTTTCTGATTAGGTTGAAAAAGCTGCTCAGAAATTAAATCCTACTGTGTTCATAAAAAACAAGGAACCCAGCCCTGAAGCAAAGAACTCATCAGGGAAGTTGTTTTCTCTTTCAAGTCTATGATTTCAAATGACCTTAAAGTGGTCATCTTTACAGTCAGAGAAGCATATGTGTGTTGGGGAGGAGAAAAAAGAAGGAAATGAGGCAGACTTTAGAATTATACCTAGGAAAGAACTGTATGTTTGGTTATAAACTAGATCCAATAAATAAATAAATGGTTTCCACGTAACTACTTGGCAAAGGTACAATAAGCCTATTGTGAGAAAAAAAAATTAAGGCTTAAAATATCCTCAAGCATCCCAAATTGCACTAATCAGTGCAATTGATTAGTCATGCTGAGAAAACACTCATTGTTCTAATTTAAGATGGAGGCATGGAGAATAAGAGAAAATGTAAATTACCTCAGAAAGTAAATCTATGAGCCACAGGGACAATGGACCTTAAAGTTATTTCCACAGGACATGTTTATGGTTTCATCAAATAAATATTTGTACTGCTCAGAAATATTTTTGTCAGTGCTCTGCAGACTTCTTTGTCTTCTGATAGGAGCTTCACCATGGTAACTTAGATTTTACAGATAATTTGTCTTTTGACTTTATAGGACACTAGTCCTCGTTAAGTCATATAGTGGCCTGAGGGAGAGAACTGCACGTCATGAAACATCCTGAACTCTAAGTTGTAGGCAGTAACTGGGCAAAACTTTAAGTTGTTTACAGAGGGAAGAAAAGTGAATTTTTCATATATAAAGAAGTGTGCAAATTGTATTTCATGAGTAGTCTTTTGTCTTCTGGAATGGTGATATATACAAAGTAATCTGGGAAGATACAATTTGGTAATAGTAGATCCTTCGTTAACTTGAATTATTTTTTGCAGGAAAGATGCGTCTTTAGCCAAAATTACTTATGGTAAACTGTTATGTAAGCAAGAAATCACCTTCTACTTGGTTTAAGCTATTCAGTGTACTCTCTAGATAGATATGACACAAAGCTAGCATTATGATACAGTAAACCAAGTGTTAATGTAACTTTATGTTGATTTTGACTACATTCTGAAAATAATAAAAGTCATCTGGTATTTTAGGCTTACGATATGAACTTGATACTATGATAGGTGTCTGAAATGTTTATCTCATTTGATTCTTAGAACAAACTTATATTGTGGGTACTAATACAGTACTGATTTTTTAAATAAGAAAAAGGATTGCAAAAAATGTAAAAAGTCTTATTAAAGAGTACAAAATTCTATCTCCAAATGTGTAATGAATTTTATATAGTCAGTTAATATTTGTTTAGCTCAATAAAGTAATGTTCGGTGTAATAGTTGATTTCTTTAATGTTCATTCAGAATCACATTATCAATTTGAAATTAATTCACCTATTCGAAGAAGTTGCTTCCTCCAATTAAGACAGTATAGTAAGCAAAATAATGGTTTACAAAACAAACAAACCAACAAAAAAAAAACCGCATGTCCTGATTTCTGGAAGCTGTGAATATGTTAACTATCTGGTAAAAGGGGCTTTGCAAGTATTATAATGTTAAGGATGGTAAGATGAAAAAGTGTCCTTTTGAGTTCAGTGTAATCAAATGGGTTTAAACTAGGGAAACATTCTTGGCTAGAAACATAAGGTGGTATGATTTCAAAAGAATGGTCAGAGAGACACAGCATTTCTGGTTTGAACAAATGAAAGACCATAAGCTAACAAATCAGGACAGCCTCTGGAGGCTGGAAAAGTCAAGGAAACTGATTTTCCCCTAAAACCTTCAGAAAGGAACACAACAGTTCTCACTCTTTGATTTTAGCCTCATAAGATGCATTGCAGACATCTGACAAACACAATTGTTTGACACTATATTTGTGCTATTTTAAACCACTAACTTTGTAGTAATTGGCTACAGCAGCAGTAAGAAAATAATGCAGAGTGTTTCTATAATGGAGATAAAAGTATAAACAAGAGGCAAGGATTTCCTTCCTTCACAGTGTTTATAATATACTAAGAAAACAAACATTAAATACACAGGGCCCCAATAGATTATTCCACTTTAATTTTAGCTGGCACTGTGGAAGGAAAATAGAAATTCTAGAATATAGTGAATAGGAATATAACTTATTCTTATGTGGGAAGAAATGCTTATTACTGAATACTATTTGGGCTGAAAATAAATGCACTGTAGTTACAGTAAGTACAGTAAAAAAGGTAGTTTGCTATAAGGGAACAGAGCCATTGAAATGTAATGAAAGTCATCAAAGTTTTAGGCACTAACTATAAGTTGCAAGGAGTTAAACAATTATAAGCAGTCCGATTATTAAAAAAATATGTGCCTGATTCTCAAAATCACAAGTATTCTTTAAGATTGCTAACCGTAGTAGTCAGTTTTCACAATGATATAAAGAATGACTTGAGACTGAGTAATTTATGAAGAAAAGAGATTTAATTGATTCATAGTTCTTCAGGCTTTACAGGAAGCATGAATGGGAGGACTCAGGAAACTCAGAAAATCATGGTGGAAGGCAAAGGGGAAACAAGGTTCTTCTTGACATGGCACCAGGAGAGAGAGAGCACAAGGAGGGAAGTGCCACACACTTTTAAACCATCAGATCTCTTGGAACTCACTCACTATCATGAGAATAGCATGTGGAAATCTGCTCCCATGATCCAGTCACCTCCACCCAGGCCCCTCTCTTGACATGAGGGGATTACAATTTGAGATGAGATTTGGGTGGGGACAGAGGGCCAAGCCATATTATTTCTCCTCTGGCCCCTCCCAAGTATCATGTCCTTCTCACATTTCAAAACCAATCATGCCTTCCCAACAGACTGAAAGTCTTAACTTATTCCAGCATTAACTCAAAAGTCCATGTCCAAAGTTTCATCTGAGACAAGGCAAATCGCTTCTGCCTATAAGCCTGTAAAATCAAAAACAAGTTAGTTAATTTCAAGACAACAGTGGGGGTACAGGGATCAGGTAAACACTCCAATTCCATAAGGGAGAAATTAGCCAAAACAAAGGGTCTGCAGGCCCCATGCAAGTCCAAAACCCGACAAGGCAGTCATTAAATCTTAAGGCTCTGAAACAATCTTCTTTGACCTCATCTCTCACGTCCAGAGCATACTGATGCAATATCTGGGCTCCCATGAGCTTTGACAGCTCTGCCTCTGTGGCTCTGCAAGGCACAGCCCCCACAGCTGCTTTCACAGGCTAGGATTGAGTGCCTGTGACTTTTCCAGGCACACTGTGCAAGCTGTCAGTGGATCTACCATTCTGGGGTCTGAAGCACTATGACCCTCTTCTCAAAGCTCCAGTAGGGAGTGCCCCAGTGGGGAATCTGTGTGGGGGCTCCAACCCCACATTTTCCCTCTGCACTGCCCTAGTAGAGGTTCTCCATAAGGGCTCCACTTCTGCAGCAGACTTTTGCCTAGACATCCAGGCATTTCCATACATCCTCTGAAATCTAGATGGAGGTTCCCAAACCTCACCTCTTCCCTTCTGCACAACCACAGGCCCAGCCTCATGTGGAAGCCACCAAAGCTTGAGGCTTGTATTCTCTGAAGCAATGGCCTGAGTAGTGCCTTGGACCCTTTTAGCCACAGTTGGAGCTGAGCAGCTGGAACACTGGGCACCATGTCCCGAGGCTGCCCAGAGCAGCAGGGCCCTGGGCCCATCCCACTAAACAATTTCTCCCTCCTAGGCCTCCAGGCTTATAATGGGAGGGGCTGCCTCAAAGGTCTCTGAAATGTACTGGAGACGTATTCCACATTGTCTTTGCCATTAACATTTGGCTCCTCTTTACTTATGCAAATTTTTGCTTGAATTTCTCCCAAGAGCGTGGGTTTTTCTTTTTTACTATATGGTTAGGCTGCAAATTTTCCAAACTTTTATGCTCTGCTTTCCTTTTAAATATACGTTTCAGTTTCAAGCCATCTCTTTCTTCATGGACATGAGCATAAACTTTTAGAAGCAGCCAGGCCACATGTTGGAAGGTCTGTTGCTTAGAAATTTGTTTCACCAGATACCCTAAATCATCTCTCTGAAGTTCAACATTACACAGATCTCTAGGGCCGGGTCAAAAGGCTGTCAGTCTCTTTGCTAAAGCATAGCAAGAGTAACTTTTTCTTCAGTTCTCAATGAGTTCCTCATCTCCATCTGAGACCCCCTCAGCCTGGACTTCATTATCCAAATCATTATCAGCATTTTGTTCACAACCATTCAACAGGTCTCTAGGAAGATTTAAACTTTCCCATATCTCCCTGTCTTCTTCTGAGTCCTCCAAACTGTTTCCTACCTCTGCCTGTTACCCAGTTCCAAAGTTACTTCCATATTTTCAGGTATTTTTATAGCAATGCCCCACTTCTCTGGTACCAATTTTCTGTATCTATCTCTTCTCAAACTGCTATAAAGAACTACTGGGTAATTTATGAGGAAAAGAGGTTTAATTGACTCACAGTTCTGCAAGCTTAACAGGAAGCACGACTGGGAGGCCTCAGGAAACTAACAATCATGGCAGAAGGTAAAGGGGGAGCAGGTGCCTTCTTCACATGGTGTCAGTAGAGAGAAGAGCCGGGGGGAAGTTCCACACACTTTTAAACCATCAGATCTTGTGAGAACTCACTGACTGTCACGAGAACAGTATGGGAAATCCACCCCCATGATCAAATCACCTCCTACCAGACCCCTCCCCTGACACGTGGGGATTACGATTCAACATGAGATTTGTGTGGGGACACAGAGCCAAAGTATATCACTCACCTAATAAGTGCTTATCTTGATTAAATTGTATGGAAAACTACAACTTAAATTATGTGATCAGAAATTCTATCTAATGATAGACATTAATTCAAATGCCACCATGTTCTCCTGTCAGCTTCTCATATATTGTCATGGATATGATTTAATTGTCCTTCAGTGTCATGGAACGCATCCTGAGATTCAGCTGATGAAGTTGCAAACTGGATAAATATAAATGATGATGTTTCAAAAAAGAAAATCCTCACTTAGTAAAAAAATGTTAGGTTTATTTTACACTTTCTTGACAGCTGAACTAATATAAAAAGCACTCACCTTGTTTCTTTCAGTTTTGTGTATGTTTTGATTGTGTCAGCTGAGTTCTTCTTCACGGGATTTTCTATGTGTCAGAGACACTTGTCCCCCATTCTGTTTTCCTGTGTAATCTCAAAATTGACAAGGGTCTTCACTGTATGTGAAAAGGATGTCTGTGTTGCTTGATTTTATGTGTGACTACTGTTTGCGATTGTCCTTTTCCCAATATGACATGTAATTTTACAGCACAGATAGTTTTTCAAAAGAATTACATTCCCAGGCTTAGCAGAGGGAGCGGCCTACTTATTGAAATGTGAAATCGAATCTCTGAAACAGAAACACCAAATTATTATACTAATCTGTAAAGTAGCTATAAAACGTTATTTTTCAGAGTGAAGTATCTGTCAAGATGGCTAGTTTTGGTGTATAATAGAAACGGTATTTTATTCCTTTTATTTCTGTAAACAGATTAAGTCTGTGTGTGTGTGTGTGTGTGTGTGTGTGTGTGTGTGTGTGTACATGGGATATAATACAAATCTACCTCGACTTATAATGAGTTACATCCTGATAACCACAGGCCAAGATGTGTTATGATGGATCTGGATATACTCATAAGTTGAAAATATTTTAGGTAAAAAATGCATTTAGTACATTTAACAAAAATACTGGCAAACCGAGTCCAGCAGCACATCAAAAAGCTTATCCACCAAGATCAAGTTGGCTTCATCCATGGGATGCAAGACTGGTTCAACATACGCAAGTCAATAGATGTAATCCATCACATAAAGAGAACCAAAGACAAAAACCACAAGATTATCTCAATAGATGCGGAAAAGGTCTTTGACAAAATTCAATAGCCCTTCATGCTGAAAACTCTCAATGAACTAGGTATTGATGGAACATATCTCAAAATAATAAGAGCTATATATGACAAACCCGCAGCCAGTATCATACTGAATGGGCAAAAACTGGAAGCTTTCCCTTTGAAAACTAGCAGAAGACAGTGATGCCCTCTCTCACCACTCCTATTCAACATAGTGTTGGAAGTTCTGGCCAGGGCAGTCAGGCAAGAGAAAGAAATAAAGGGCATTCTATTAGGAAAAGAGGAAGTCAAATTGTCCCTGTTTGCAGGTGATATGATTGTATATTTAGAAAACCCCATCATCTCAGCCCAAAATCTCCTTAAGCTGATGAGCAACTTCAGCAAAGTCTCAGGTTACAAAATCAGTGTGCAAAAATCACATGCATTTGTATACACCAATAACAGACAATCAGAGAGCCAAATCATGAGTGAACTCCCATTCACAGTTGCTACAAAGAGAATAAAATACCTAGGAATCCAACTTACAAGGGATGTGAAGGACCTCTTTAAGGAAAACTACAAACCACTGCTCAACGAAATACAAGAGGACACAAACAAATGGAAGAACATTCCATGCTCATGGGTAGGAAGAATCAATATCGTGAAAATGGCCATACTGCCCAAGGTAATTTATAGATTCAATGCCATCCCCATCAAGCTACCAATGACTTTCTTCACAGAATTGGAAAAAACTAAAGTTCATATGGAATCAAAAAAAGAGCCCATATTGCCAAGACAATCCTAAGCAAAAAGAACAAAGCTGGAGGCATCACGCTACCTGACTTCAAACTATACTACAAGGCTACAGTAACAAAAACAGCATTTTACTGGTACCAAAACAGAGATATAGACCAATGGAATGGAACAGAGGCCTCAGAAATAACGCTAAACATTTACAACCATCTGATGTTTGACAAACCTGACAAAAACAAGAAATGGGAAAAGGATTCCCTATTTAATAAATGGTACTGGCTAGCCATATGTAGAAAGCTGAAACTGGATCCCTTCCTTCACCTTATAGAAAAATTAATTCAAGATGGATTAAAGACTTAAATGTTAGACCTAAAACCATAAAAACCCTAGAAGAAAACCTAGGCAATACCATTCAGGACATAGGCATGGGCAAGGACTTCATGTGTAAAACACCAAAAGCAATGGCAACAAAAGCCAAAATAGACAAATGGGGTCTAATTAAACTAAAGAGCTTCTGCACAGCAAAAGAAACTACCATCAGAGCGAACAGGCAACCTACAGAATGGGAGAAAATTTTTCCAATCTACCCATTTGACAAATAGCTAATATCCAGAATCTACAAAGAACTTAAACCAATTTACAAGAAAAAAACAAAGCCATCAAAAAGTGGACAAAGGATATGAACAGACACTTTTCAAAAGAAGACATTTATGCAGCCAACAGACACATGAAAAAATGCTCATCATTACTGGTCATCAGAGAAATGCAAATCAAAACCACAATGAGATAGCATCTCACACCAGTTAGAATGGCGATCATTAAAAAGTCGGGAAACAACAGGTGCTGGAGAGGATGTGGAGAAATAGGAATGCTTTTACACTGTTTGTGGGAGTGTAAACTAGTTCAACCATTGTGGAAGTCAGTGTGGCAATTCCTCAAGTATCTAGAACTAGAAATACCATGTGACCCAGTGATCCCATTACTGGGTATATACCCAAAGCATTATAAATCATGCTGCTATAAAGACACATGCACATGTATGTTTATTGCGGCACTCTTCACAATAGCAAAGACTTGGAACCAACCGAAATGTCCATCAATGATAGACTGGATTAAGAAAATGTGGCATACATACACCATGGAATACTATGCTGGCATAAAAAATGATGAGTTCATGTCCTTTGTAGTGACGTGGATGAAGCTGGAAACCATCATTCTGAGCAAACCTTCGCAAGGACGGAGAACCAAACACCGTGTGTTCTCACTCATAGGTGGGAATTGAACAACGAGAACACTTGGACACAGAGTGGGTAACATCACATGCTGGGGCCTATTGTGGGGTGGGGGGATGGGTAGGGATAGCATTAGGAGAAATACCTAATGTAGTTAATGAGTTAATGGGTGCAGCAAACCAACATGGCACATGTATACATATGTAACAAACCTGCAAGTTGTGCACATGTGCCCTAGAACTTAAAGTATTAAAAAAAAATACACTTAAGAAATGTGCTCAGAACACTTACATTAGCCAGTCCAAAAAAAAAATCTAACCTAAAGCCTATTTTTAAATAAAGTGTTGAATATCACATGTAAATTATTAAATACTGAATGTGAAAAACGGAATGGGTATATGGGTAATAAAAGCATTGTTTCTACTGAATGTTTATCACTTTTGTACCATGATAAAGCTGTAAAGTTGTACCATTGTAAATCTGGGACCATCTGTGTTACATTCAAGAGAAAAGCTCAGTCGAACTAATAAATAAATCAAAATTTCTTCTGATTATTTAGGTGTTTTTTCCTGTTAGATAATTAAGACATCCAACTGTTGCTTGCTGCTTCACCACACAGACCATACACAGATACAAATACACACTCCATGAATGAGCATATGTGCTTGTTTAAAGAGACATACTAACCAAACAGTTGTATGCTGCCGTGATATTGATTATGTCATCAAGTTCCTTATTTAACAAAACACAGCTGTGTATGAAGTATTTCTCTAAAATGTACATTCAATAGCAACTGGTTTTGTTCAGTCTTATGTACCCATATTATTTAAATGAGCACCTGGAGTCTAGAATTAACTAAAAAATATCTATGTTGATGCATATTAAGTTGATTTTGAAGTCATAAATTTTGACAAGAATTGATACTATGGCACTGTCATAACTTTACAAAAGATGACCTGAACTAACATGATTTTATGCTTTTACCAGTGGAACTCCCTGAAATATATTCAGATAATTTGTTATTAAAGCAAAACTAAGTTTATTGAAACCCTGTGCCAAGAAAGTACACCATTTTGACATACTTTTGCAGTGTTTCAGCAGGGAAGAGTGAGAGGAAGATTTTTCATGTTTGTGGAGAATGGCTTAAGAGAGTTAAATGAGTCTTTCAAAGTGAGTAGCTGATTGAAATTGAGCTAAACTCAGAGCATAATAGTTTAGATAGTCTAAGAAATTGAAAAAAAAGTTGATGCCAAGCATACAAGAAATAACACCACCAAAAAATAGACCTAAATACAGACAAAATTAGATTAAAAACAAGAATATGTTCAATGTTAATAAAAGCAAAAGGAACATAGACATAGTTATGGAGGAGTTTTGTTTTGTTTTAATAAGATAAAAATATGGTTAGTTTTATAGCAATACACCTGGAAATCTGGATCAATTCTGTCCACTATAGTCATTACTAGTGACATGTAGATATTGAACACTTGAAATATGGTGGATTTGAATTGATTTATGCTATATGTAAAATACAAACTAGATTTAGTTTAAAAAATGTAAAACTGAATAATTTTAATATTGTTTTATGCTGAGATGACAATATTTTGGATATACTGGATTAAATACATATAAAATATTGTTAAAAATCAAGTAGTATAGTAAAATTGGTCTTTTTGTTTTACTTTTTTATTTTGTTTTGGTTTTTGAAGGGATAGAAATCATGGCTAAGATGGACCCTGGGGCATATCATTGACCATCATGAAACATGCACTGATTTGCCAAATGTATTATTTTCCTGTGGCTGTTATAAAAATCACAATACACTTAGTAGTTTAAAACAACATAAATTTATTGTCTAGCAGTATTCCAGGTTAGAAGTTCAACACAGGTCTTACTGATTTAAAATCAAAGCATTGGAAGACTGCATTCCTTCTATAGGCTCTGTGGAATAATCCATGACCTGGCCTTTCCCAGGCTTTAGAATCCAGCTGCATTCTTTGATGCATGTTCCCTGTCTTGGGCAGCTTGGAATACTGTAAGAAAATACCATAGACCGGGTGACTTAAACAACTGACATTTATTTCTCAGAGTTCTGAAAGTTGGGAAGTCCAAGATTAAGGTGCTGGTATATTTGGTTCGTGGTGAGGGCCCACTCCCTCTCTGGTTAGTAGATGGCCTCCTTCTCTCTGTGTTCACATGGCCTTTCCTGGATACATGTTTACGGAGAGAGAAAGAGAAGGGTGGTTGGGTGGGAGGTGGTCTAGTATCTCCACCTTTTCTTATAAGAACACTAACATTATCATGAGAACACCACACTTAGGACATTATCTCAACCTAGGTTCCTCCCAAAAGCTCCATCTCCAGATACTATCACACTGCCAATTAATAGATCATTGAAAATAATCTATTAATATTTGAACAATGCCAATCATCTTCAATAGATTAATTTTAGGGAGACACAAATATTCAGTTCATAACAGTTCCTTTCCTTGACCTTCAAAGCTACAAATGAAGGAGCAAGTCTTCACATTCTCCTTTTATATCTCCCTCTTCTACGTGTAAAGAATCTTATGATTGCATTTGGCCATCTAAAAATCTATGATAGTCTCTCCATTTCAAAATCCTTAACTCTAATTGCATTTGCAAAGTCTGTCCTGCCAGGTAAGCTAACAAATTTATAAATTATCTGGATTAGGACCGCATCATCTCTGAAGAGCCATTATTCTGACTACCACATCAGTATGTTAGTTTATGTCAAGATTGCTGTAATAATCAATAGGTTCTGGTACCACAAATCCAGTAGCAGTCATTAAGGTTGATTGAGTTTATTGATTGCTTTCAGCTCCATTCTGCTATTAATCACTTTTGGGGATATAAAATGAAGACCTTATCACATAGAGGAAGAGGTAGATGTGATAGGAGCTTGAATATGTAATAAGAATTTTTTATGATATGTAAATGTGAGAAATGAATTAAGTATGTGCCATTTGTTCTCTTCTTTTTAAGACATTTCTTTCTAAAGGTTTAGTGACAGAAGTTGCATTCTATTAAAGATCCCTAAGTGCTGTTCTGCTGTAGGCATAAGCTTTCTTTCCTGGGTGCAGCATGTTAGGATTTAAGATTTCTATTTATCTAATACTCTGCTGTTTGTCAGATAAAATAACAATAAATAGTGAGTCCAATTATTGATAAACCCAGATGTTTCATATTTAGGAATCGATGTTAAAAAAAAAAAACTCTAATTGGCATCCTAAGGAAAATGTGTGCAGCTTAGCACTGATTCAACTGCATGTTTAGCCAAATTGTGAACAAATTACGGCCAGCTTCCGGACTCTTCTAGAGAGTGACTAAGGACGGCATAGAGGAATTAGGAATAGTAGCTTTATAGGTAAAATAATTAAATGTAACCTTAAGCATAAAAAGATAAAGTTAACTAGGAAAATGAAAACTCAAGATATACAGATTAAATATGACAAACAATGGATCTTTTTTTGTGGATCTTGGTTTGCAGATACCGATATCTCATATAGTGATTCACTTGATCCAAAGGCATTTGATGGAAGCTGTCTTCTCCCAAAGACTATTTGCTTTTGGAAGAATCCTAAGAGTCATTAGTTAGAAGTTTTTGGTAGGGATACTTTCCTGTAATATGAAGATGACCTAAACCTCTTTACTTGAGAGATAGGAATCAAAGGATCAGTCTTTTAAAGACTATGGGTTTGCTAGTTGTTAGCTGTGCCTGATAGTGACTTTTTTCCTATGATCTTTCCCTGCCGTGTCTCTTAGAAGACAAGGTATCCAGGTATGAAAACCAATTTTGCAGACATTGTTTAGGATACTAATGGGGAAAGTCTTCAGTAACTTTTGTTGAAAGAATGGATTTCCTGAGTCCTTACAGCATTTAGTTAAATAAGTGTAGATTTCTAGAATCAGAGCTAATATTCCTAGACACTTGGTTTAGCTGTTACTAACTCATGAACCACAGAAAGAAGAAATACCTTAGACCATGCAAGTTTGACGATGTCTGTGAACTTTACCAACTTTAGTTTCAGAATTCCATCTTTCTACCTTCCCAAAAGGTTGAAAGTGATATGGACAGTGAAGTCTGATTAATTGACAGAACTTTTCCATGTTAATAAAAATTCCGGTAAAATGGTTTCCTTGTTACTAGAGATATAGTTTGGGATTCCCCAGGCTGAAAAAAAAAAAAAAGGATTTTCTCCATGCCAACAAGAGACAAATAATGATCAGAACATATTTAAAATCTATTGCCAGCACTTGTTATGAAAAATTCATTTAGATTTTTACTGAGACATTTTACAGTTTTGTTAGGATTAATCTGACGAAGGTTGAGACAAGTTGTAAGGATATAGTTATATAAAGATATACTTACCAATTTTAGCAAAATTTTCCCCCAGCTATTGGTTAAATACATTGGTCAATTTGTCCTCATTGTGCCAGAAAAGCTCAGCAGTTCTGACTAAAGTTTATGTTAACCCATTGCCAGTAGAATGAAAGAGTTGAATCCTCTCTTAAATTATAATATATAGTTGACTCCTCAACAACACAGGTTTGAACTGTGCAGGTCTGCTCATATGTAGATTTTTTCCTATAAATATATTAGAAAATTTTTGGAGATTTATGAAAAATTGAAAAAGATAACAGGTGACCCATCTACACAAGAAATATTAAAAAACTAAGAAAACGATGTCATGAATGCATAAATCATATGTAGATACTAGTGATCATTTAATACAATGAGATATATATGCGTCTATTATAAAAAGTTAAAATTTATCAAGACGTAGGCAAACACAGAGCATACATGCAGCCAATTGAAGTTTAGAGAAAAGTAAAACAAAAATATACAAAAGTAAATCATAACTGCACAAAATTAACTGTAGTACATACTGTACTACTGGGATAATTTCCTAGCCTCCACCTGTTGTTCTTGCAGTGAACTCAAGTGTTGTGAGTATTCACTTAAAATGCCACATAATGCTAATCATCTTCTTGTGAGTAGCTTGTCTCTCCAGTAAATTAACACAGTAAAAAGTGTTCTCTCATGTTTCTCCTGTATTATTCATGATGTCTAGTGCAATACCATAAACCTTGAATAACACCTTCAGACCTATAAAAAGTGCTGCTAGTGATGCTGAAAGTTCTTCCAGGAAACAGAGAAGGGTCCTGACATTACAGGAAAACAATGAATTGCTTGATAGGTACCCTAGATTGAGGCCTGCAGCTGTGTGTGCTGCCATTTCAGAAGAAGGATCCATCTTGTAAACACAGGATTGTAAACTTATGAGAGAAATAAATATACTGTAGTACTGTAAACGTATTTTTTCTTCCCTATAATTTTCTTAATAACACTTTCTTTTCTGTAACTAGCTTCATTGTAAAACTACGTTGTAAAATACATACAGCGTATGAAATATGTGTTAAGGATTGTCCAGTCAACAGTAGGCTGTTAGTTTAGTTTTGGGGAGTCCAAAGTTATATGTGAATTTTTGACTGTGCTGGGGTGGTGGGGAGGGGTTAGGGAGGTTTGATGGCCCTAAACCTTGTGTTTTTCAGGAGTCAACTGTACAATTTAGAAGAATATGATTTAGAATTTCCCTGAGATTAAGAACATATTAAATGGTGGGAAGGATATTGATAGACCTCTAGATCTAGTGACACTATCAACTTTGACTGTGTCTGTTTGATGAAGGAATTAAAATCTAGTAACAAAAGCATTTTGTAGATAGTTATTGTACCAGTCTTTGTTCTTGAACATCAGTGTGTTTTTTTGAACTGAAAATCACACATTGAATGAAAGGCTTCATCTCAATATATTTTATTTACACATAAATTTGAGCTGTTTTTTGTTCACAAGTTTGGCCGATAAAAGAGCCCTCACAATAGCTTTAATTACCATTTAAAATTACAAATTAATGTGATTTTTTAATTTTTCTCTCTTTTGTAGGGTGAAGGAGCAATGCTTTTGGTTACTCAGTATTCTCTCAAGAAAATTTAAAGATAGTTTATACATAGAAGATATTTTAACAGGCTATATTCTGAACTTGTGGCCCGGATTTGGAAAAAGCAATATATCAAGTATGGTTCAAGGGGACAAGAAAGAGAGAAGCATTTGTTACCATTTTTCCAAGTCAAAAATATTTAATCAGATAATATTTTAAAAGCCAGCAATAATTAGTAATGATTGGTATAATGTTTTTGTCAAAATTATTAAATAGGAGATAAAATTAAAAGCTTTATTTTTTTGCATTCAAATAAAATTTTAAGTATTTTGATGAGCATATTAAATCAACAATGCATGTATTACATTGAACCTGACTTCTTAATAAGTTGCAACCAAATCTTTAATGATAAGTTTAGGTCAGAGAGATAATTTTGAGATTTGTCACCATAAAGATAGGGTATAATGTGATGTAAATAATTAAGATCAGGTGGAAAGACAAATAAGATTGAAGGAAGACCCAAGACCAAGGTTTGAGGCACTCTCAGAAGTTCTAAAAAAAAAATTTAGACTATGAGTAAAGAAGGATTGATCAGCAAGGTGAAATGGATCAAGGAAATGTGGGCACTCAGAGGTACAGAGGGGTTAATTGCTGCTCAGAAAATACTCAGACGAATGCTGAACAATAGATTAGATAGAACCGATGTCCTAGAAATCATGAAGATAAGTGACTTTATTAAAATACATATTATAAACAAAGAAGGAATTTACTGTTCGAAAAGTTGTCTTGAAGAATTGTTTTGGGAGAAAATAAAAAATAAACCTTATTTTCTAAAATACACTAAAACTAATTCCAAATGAGTCAAAGGATTGTGTACAGATATTTTAAATTAATAAAACAATGTTAGTGCAGATTCTCTTTAATTACTTCCCTGATTGTTTTACCTATAGTAACTCATTTAATTCTACTAGCAATCTTTTCATGTTGGATACAGCTATTCAAATTTTCTTTTGTTATTGCAATAGCCTCCTAACCATTCTTCCACAAAATTGAGGCGCTAAAAGGTTGTGAAATTTCCTCTATGCCACAGAGCTTTTTAGTGATGATTTGGCATTTGGAAGCACATCTTTGAAATGTTCATTTTTCTCTGATGGCCAGTGATGGTGAGCATTTCTTCATGTGTTTTTTGGCTGCATAAATATCTTCTTTTGAGAAGTGTCTGTTCATGTCCTTCGCCCACTTTTTGATGGGGTTGTTTGTTTTTTTCTTGTAAATTTGTTTGAGTTCATTGTAGATTCTGGATATTAGCCCTTTGTCAGATGAGTAGATTGTGAAAATTTTCTCCCATTCTGTAGGCTGCCTGTTCACTGTGATGGTAGTTTCTTTTGCTGTGCAGAAGCTCTTTAGTTTAATTAGATCCCATTTGTCAATTTTGGCTTTTGTTGCCATTGCTTTTGGTGTTTTAGACATGAAGTCCTTGCCCACGCCTGTGTCCTGAATGGTAATGCCTAGGTTTTCTTCTAGGGTTTTTATGGTTTTAGGTCTAACGTTTAAGTCTTTAATCCATCTTGAATTAATTTTTGTATAAGGTGTAAGGAAGGGATCCAGTTTCAGCTTTCTCCATATGGCTAGCCAGTTTTCCCAGCACCATTTATTAAATAGGGAATCCTTTCCCCATTGCTTATTTTTCTCAGGTTTGTCAAAGATGAGATAGTTGTAGATATGCGGCGTTATTTCTGAGGGCTCTGTTCTGTTCCATTGATCTATATCTCTGTTTTGGTACCAGTACCGTGCTGTTTTTGTTACTGTAGCCTTGTAGTATAGTTTGAAGTCAGGTAGCGTGATGCCTCCAGCTTTGTTCTTTTGGCTTAGGATTGACTTGGCAACGCGGGCTCTTTTTTGGTTCCATACGAACTTTAAAGTAGTTATTTCCAATTCTGTGAAGAAAGTCATTGGTAGCTTGATGGGGATGGCATTGAATCTATAAATTACCTTGGGCAGTATGGCCATTTTCACGATATTGATTCTTCCTACCCATGAGCATGGAATGTTCTTCTATTTCTTTGTATCCTCTTTTATTTCATTGAGCAGTGGTTTGTAGTTCTTCTTGAAGAGGTCCTTCCCATCCCTTGTAAGTTGGATTCCTAGGTATTTTATTCTCTTTGAAGCAATTGTGAATGGGAGTTCACTCATGATTTGGCTCTCTGACTGTCTGTTATTGGTGTATACAAATGCGTGTGATTTTTGTACATTGATTTTGTAACCTGAGACTTTGCTGAAGTTGCTCATCAGCTTAAGGAGATTTTGGGCTGAGACAATGGGGTTTTCTAGATATACAATCGTGTCATCTGCAAGCAGGGACAATTTGACTTCCTCTTTTCCTAATTGAATACCCTTTCTTTCCTTCTCCTGCCTAATTGCCCTGGCCAGAACTTCCAACACTATGTTGAATAGGAGTGGTGAGAGAGGACAAATCAAAACCACAGTGAGATACCATCTCACACCAGTTAGAATGGCAATCATTAAAACGTCAGGAAACAACAGGTGCTGCAGAAGATGTGGAGAAATAGGAACACTTTTCCACTGTTGGTGGGACTGTAAACTAGTTCAACCATTGTGGAAGTCAGTGTGGCGATTCCTCAGGGATCTAGAACTAGAAATACCATTTGACCCAGCCATCCCATTACTGGGTATATACCCAAAGGACTATAAATCATGCTGCTATAAAGACACATGCACACGTATGTTTATTGCGGCACTATTCACAATAGCAAAGACTTGGAACCAACCCAAATATCCAACAATGATAGACTGGATTAAGAAAATGTGGCACATATACACCATGGAATACTGTGCAGCCATAAAAAATGATGAGTTCATGTCCTTTGTAGGGACATGGATGAAATTGGAAATCATCATTCTCAGTAAACTATCACAAGGACAAAAACCCTAAGATCGCATGTTCTCACTCATAGGTGGGAATTGAACAATGAGAACACATGGACACAGGAAGGGGAACACCACACGCTGGGGACTGTTGTGGGGTGGGGGAAGGGGGGAGGGAAAGCATTAGGAGATATATCTAATGCTAAATGACGAGTTAATGGGTGCAGCACACCAGCATGGCACATGTATACATATGTAACTAACCTGCACATTGTGCACATGTACCCTAAAACTTGAAATATAATAATAATAAAATTTTAAAAAAAATGTTCATTTTTAATTATAGCACTACACCATGCACTGAATCACGGAGGGTAAAAATGCACACTGTTAATAAGAAGGAGGGAGTCAATCTCATTAGTATTATAATATTTATACTGAATGAGACTCCATTCCCGAAATTCACAGAATTAAAATAATAAAAATAAAAATTTATTGCTAGCCAATTTGCAGCAAAAAAGATTCATTCTCATATTCTGCTATGAGAAAATAAATGAAATTGAATTTTAAAAGACATTTTTGGAAAGCCCTTTGAATTAACCAGAAAATTGTTAAATTCGTAGTTTTTTTGACTAACATTCTTCTTCCACGTTAACAGAATTTATATATAAGTGACACTCATTGCATATACTTTTAAGGGGTAAAATAATTACTAAATTTATGTACACTATTAATACTTCATTGTATAAAATTGCATATATACCCATATGCAAATGTGCACAGAATCAGTAGGGTAACCATAGACATAAAATGATCAGTGCAGGATATTTTATTTATGCATTTTATATATAATATACTTTTCATTTAATATTTTTGCTAATTTTATTGAATTGAATATTTATGCCTTGGTTATAGAACAACTAAATTTATTTTCAAAGAAACTCCATTATTATTGTCTGCAAGAGTAAAACTTATAAACAATCTAAAAATTCAACCAAATACAACCATTTACAATTGTGCCCTAGTTGAATTTGTAATCGTAGGAGAAAACACAGGTGTTGAATTTTTTGAATTTCATTTAAAAAATAATTGACACAATCCCTAAGGTATCATATAAATTAATTGAATTGTTATTGTCTTGGGTTAACATTTATTTCTAGAGTTTTTTTTCCCCTAATATCTGATTTTTTCCATTAACATTACTTATTTGGATAATCAGAAAAAAATCAACATTGCCAAAAGATAGATAATACCACAAGCGAAATATCTATGATAATGATAGGAAAATGCTTTGAATTCAGGCTGAATGAGAATTAGTCTAGGAAAACAGCTTGGACCCTCTCATTCCTGTTAATGTCATCTCTGTGTTTAGCACTGCTGCTATTCCTCAGCTACTAAGAAATGCTCTATTGCTGGGCATGGCATATGGGAAGCCAAGAAAAATGACTGGCTGCTTGGTGACAGCTCTCTAGTCCTCATGCCAAGTTCTGCCAGTGATTTAAATATTAAGTAATGGAAAGAATTTTGAAATCCAGGATGATTAGAAAAGTCATTTTCTACAAAAGTGAAGCATTGTCTTTAGAGATTAAAATCTATGAAAATAACATTATTGAAATACTAGACTTCAGACTATTTTTCTGAATTACTGTAACTGTTGAAATAGGTCTTTCAGCCCATTAAGATAAACACCACACTTTTCTCTTCATGATCTCCAGCTGTAATTTTATAGTGAAAGGTGCTTGCATAAAAGAGTTCACACTATCTGAAAGATGTCACATGTAACATTGACTGGCAGCCATTTCAGAATGGCAGACAGCCAATAAATCATTCAGAACTATGTGTCACTCGTTGTGGCTTTAAAATTGTATTCCTTCTCCTTTGATAAAGAACATTTCAATGTCAAATAGTTTGTTCTATTTAAACTTATACATCAACCAGAATATTGAGATACACAATAAAATTAAATGATTTGGTAATACCTTTAGAATTTATCTAAAAACAGCCGTATGTATTTGCATGACAGATTTGGTTCACAAACCGATCAAGTTGTTAGTATCAAAGGCATGTTTTAGTGCTGATTTGTGTATAGATAAATTTAGGAAATTACATAAATAGAAATACTTCTTTATAAAATTCCTTGACCTTGTGATATCTTGGTATTAAGAATCTTAAAGGAATCATTTAAAAAAATTCAAAAGCAAACAATTTCGATTTTACAAGAGCTAAGAAAAAAACATTTTGCTATGGACACAGATCGCTCTTCAAGAAAAGATTTCTTTCCCCCTTGGCTGCTAGGAGCAATATTACAAAGCAGCCTTCAGCTCTCAGCTCCTTCAAAGTTTGCCTCAGCTGTAACCATTGTCTGGCTCAATGTTAGGGCATCCTGGAGCACTGGACATGCAAACACGAATGGAGATGAGGTTATAAAGCCTGGCCATTTTGACCCACCTGAGAGGATTCTGACAGGTCCTTCCAGTGCCTGAGAAACCCAGGGCTCACATGCTTTATATTCTGATCATTCTGTAGGGGTTGTTCCCATGGGTGATAGAAGCTGCCAAATATAAAGAGGCAACCATGCAAATTTTTAGGAATTATTTCCAAAACTCTCATAACAACATCATATATATTTATTGGTTGTTTAAGTAGATTTCTGAGGAGTAGATAGCAACGATAGAAGTGAAAGAAAGTAAATGCAGTTGTTAAAGGATTAGTCTTCCCATACTTAGAAAGTACACAAGTTGCATATACACTATGTTCCTTCCCTAGAGCAAGTATTTCAATGCAGTCGTGTGTGTGTGTTTGTGTGCTTGTGTGTGTGTGGTGTGTGTGTGTGTGTGTGTGTATGCTAACTGAACTCATTATAGATTTTATTGGATCAGATATATGAAGAGACTTGGAAGACTTGGGTTTGTCTGGAACTGGGTGAAATAGAGAAGGACGATCATTGACATAGAAAGCTGATTACTTTGTCCTTTGAGTATAAATAGTCTTACAATAAAATGGCATCTCCACTGTCTAAAACACATTTTTACATTTGCTCTCCTTCTGAAATTATTTATGTGAAATTAACAAATGTACTTATTACCTTAGAAACAAACGATCCGTAATTTATATTATTTATTGTATATTTGTAGATCCACTTAAAATTGATTTGCAATATAAGGAAAAAATGCGTTTTATAAGTTGTTTGCTTTGTGTAGTGCATCTTGTTAACCGTAGGACTACTGTTGCATTGAAACAAAATAGAATTAATCTGTTCAGGTAAATAGAACTGGAAGTGAGATTTGTTGTCACTCCTTCTCCTTCAAGTACTGACCAGTCTTTTAATTCACACATAACTAACACTCTGTGCAATAATATTTTTTTGTTCTCTGTCTTTTCAAACAGAACTCAAGCTCCATGAGGAGATGTTTCATTGTCGGTGAGCACATTCTTGTCAATTAGTTCCTTCTTGTTTCTTACTATAGCCCCTGTGTCTAGAACCTTTCCAGGTATTCAGTAGCCATTTAAAAATTATTTGTTGAATGAATTGTTATTTTAAAGAACATCCACAAGTTTTGCCTGACTGGGCATGGGAATACATGCCCATCTTTGGACTGAATGTCCATTTTTCCCTTCTTTGATTTATCAAAATATTGGTTAAATGATCAGGACTACCGTCAGAAGGAATTTTATATCTAAAAATAGTTTACCTTCTATGGATGTAAAAAATAGTTGTAGTAGTTCTGGCTTTTATATTATTCGATGTTTCAAAGCGGTTTTTTTTTTCCATCACCATATTCTACGTTCTTGAAAAGTACTCGTTCATGTGACTGCTATCATTTATGCTTGTGCAGCACGTAGATACAGGAGAGAAGATAAGGAAAATGCTTACCCTGTGTCTCCTTCCCTGTAACACAGTTTTTTTTACCATATTGATTCTCCACTTTCTACTCCCTAAGTAAAATTTTGCAACAGGCATTTGGGAAACTCTGGATACAAGAAAAAAATTTTAATATTGTACAAAGAGACAAGAGGTGACTTCTTTTTTATTTTTCATTTAGAGTTTATAGTTTAATTAAAGAAAATGCACATATATCTAAAGATAATCATGGATAATACACTCATGTAATTACTACTTTCAGTGGTTGTAACAACAGCCAAAGCACAAACAGAAATGAGAAAGAATTATCAGCATTATGCAAGTACATATCCTCTTTAAGAATTCCTGTTATAGTGAAAGCATTAAAATAATTGAACACGTACAGAGACCATATACTTTGTGATCTTTTTAAAAAAGTATTCAAAATATATTTCTGTGTGCAAAACATTTTCATAATGGTCTTGTTTAAATGAAAGTATTTAGAATAGCACATTGTAAAATTATGCTGCAGAGCACAAGTATTTTTCTCTTTAGAAGACACATAATAAAATAGAATCATCAGTGTTTTTTCATAAACATGAATCTTTAGAGTGTTACTTGATCCTGCATAATAAGGGTACTTTTTTGCTTAATGTAAGCATAGTATACTAATTCTTTTAAACTTCAGAAAGCATATTTACAGTCTAGGCAGATGGGACATGAAGGTCACACAGCATGAGCGGTGAAATATCTCATTTACCTAGAGTTCTAGAGAGAATTTTAGGAACTCTTATTTATTATCAGTGCATAAACAAGAGTAAACTCTACAAAACTGTTTGCAAAACTCTCCTCTTTCTACTCAGAAGGCTTTCCCTAGAATAATCATTATGGAGTCTGTCCATCCTTTACTCATTCACTGCATGGGGACAGGTGTTAGTTATGAGATTGGTGAATTTAGAAAGCTAACCAATTTCATACCTATTTTGGGATTCTCAATTCACAAACTTTTGTGCGTTTCTTAATTATTTCCTTTCTTTTTCTTGTAGAGAGCAGTCATGATGGCCTGCACTCCACACAATGCAACAGAGTGAAAGAGCAGGTTCTGCTTCTTTGGTGTAGTCCTGAAGCTTCCTAAGAAACTTCACATCAGGTGATGGATAGGAGCAACCCTGTAAAACCAGCCTTAGACTATTTTTCAAACAGTAAGTAATAAAGGTGACGTTTTGATCTTTATCTGCTTAATTACTTCTGCTATGATTCTATTGATTCTAACATTGAAGGAGCAGTAAATTTATATGTATTATCCAACTATAAAACAATAAATAAACGATATGTCAAATACATTATCACATCCTTATGTTCTTATGATAATATTGTCCTTTTTTTAACAGTTTTTATTCTTATTTGTTGATTGGTTTGTCTTTATGTTGTCCTTTCTACTATCAAACTGAACATGTTGAGGTCATAGGCTATCAAAACTGTACATTTCTGATGCTAACCATAGAGACTTAACAACAGTAAATAGGCCAAAATGGAATGTTGTTAGCCATAGTGTGTATTATTATTTCTTTTATACATGTGGTCACTGTTAGAGGAGTTTATGACTTTTTGCCTAGATTAATGACACACAAACCATCTACAAACGAATCATACCTTATTCCCTCACTGTAATTTTTAATGTTGCTATTTTTGCCTGTTAACATTCCATAGGTTTATCACATTGCTTAAAGATTTAATTTAATTTCTGTAATTGTATATGTCATGAGAGATTGCTTTTAACCTTCCAATGTTCGTGGTCTCATTTTCACTAACATAATCCCAACTTTAGCTGCGCACAATACCACATTTCCCAGCATTCCTTGCATCTGGATATAGCTGTATTCAAATAAGCCGTGTGAAACTTCTGGGATGGCTCCTTAAGTGCAGTTGACTCATTAGGGAGGTATGTCTTTTTTATTTTTCTACACTTTGTGCTGCTGTCCTGGAGTACAGACATGGTGGCTAGAAGCATGAAATCACCTTGAAGGTAGAAGTCATGCATTGAAGTTAGTAAAAGTGAAATGTAAGTGTATAGTTTCCTGATGAAAATGGGAAGCTTATGTACTAGCAACAGAATGCTTATTATGCAGGCTTCCTATATGTAAAAGAGGACAAATTCTCATTTTATTAAGTTTCTGAAAGTAGATTTCTAAATGCTGGTTCTATTTTTTATTGAAAGTAATGGCAAAAAACGCAATGCCTTTTGTACCAACCTAATAGTTAATAAACATATCCTCAAATGAAATGTCTTAGAATTGTGTTCATCAAGTTAATATTAATAATTTATTAGAATAGCACTCTAAAGGGTTGCAGCCTATGCATGAAAATACTTACAAACTACTACATGATAGTCAATTCTTTTTGGCAAGACTGCTATTTACATGGACACAAGAGTTATTATAAGAATGTTGTATGTATACATGAATAGTGTCTGTTAAACACTGGATATAATAAAAACAATAGTTTTTCTGTTAATTATAACAATCTGAACATTTTTGTGATTATATTTCACAAATGACACACCATTTTATTTGCAGATTTTTCTTATCCCCAAAGTTTTTGTTAATTTATTACCAACACAGCACACAAGTCTAGTGGCAATGCATTACCTCTGCAGTTGATTTTGAAGTAAGAAGGCCTATTTATTGCATTCATTCCTGCTTAGATGACATCTTAAATTTGTTAATTGGATTATTATGCTCTATTCTATACATTTATTGATTTATAGATTTTGTGGACACAAATTTCAAAACATATTCGAAAATTTGGTGATAGCTTTTTAGAATCTATTCTTCAACATAGTTATTGAAAGTGAACAAGAAGGACCTCCTCTAGAGATTAGGTTGAGAACCACTTCTTTGATTTGTTAAATATGTGTACATGGATACCATGTGGCTTTATTATGAGGAGCCACTTAAGTGGCTGAGTTACAATTCACAAAACATTGTCACAGGGAAAATATCAGGACAAATTTTCAAGTCGCATGCCAAGAAAAGAAACTTTCTGAATGCTTATAAGAAATACCTTAATTAATGGGAGCCCTTCAAAGTACACAAAACATCATAACTAGGAGTTGCAACACAACCAGCAATTTGCTGATTGAAATGCATTCATTCATACTGACTTCACCTGCTGAATGGAATATTGTGCTGTACTGTCCTTAGCTATGGAGAGAGAATTAAGGAATATCCCCTTCTGGTGTTCAACAACAACGAAAGAGCAAGAAAGATATATTCCTAATTTTTAAAGAAGAATGTAGAGATACTTAAACAAGACAATGAAGGTGGTAGAAAGATTATTACCATCCCCAAAGTGTTTGCTCATTAAAACATTTTGTGATTTTCTCTGCCAATATCATACCTGTATGGATAATTGTTTTCCTATCCACACAGTTATGAGAGTGAGAAGATGGAATATAAAAGATGGAACAAGAGGGAATCTGTGTGGTGACCACAGTAATCACAGGCTGGTTGGGATCCTAAACTCGGCCACAGCACAAAAGCATGTTCAAGTTTAAAGTCATGAGAGAGGCCTGGCATAGTGGCTCACACCTATAATCCCTGCACTTTGGGAGGCCAAGGTGGGAGGATTGCTTGGGGCAAAGAGCTCAAGATCAGCCTGGGCAACATAGTGAGATCCCATCTAAAAAAATGTTCTTTAAGTTAGCCTTATGTGGTGGCATGTTCCTGTGGTATCAGCTACTCAGGTGGCTGAAGTGGGAGGGTCACTTGAGCCTGGAGGTTGAGCCATAATCATGCCACTGCACTCCAGCCTTGGTGACAGATTAAGACTCTGTCTCCAAAAGTAAAACACCAAACAACACAAAAAGTAAAGTCACAATAAAATGAGATGCTATTAAGGTTGTTTTAGGTTGATTTTCAACTAGACCAGCATTTAGCCTGTACAAAGGCATATACAAAATAAACCCTAAACCTAAATGGGATTCAGCAGCAGCAGTGTGGGTTAAAGAAGCCACCAGTTCCCTGGAGGCCAGAACCACAGGCCTGTGGCCTTTTTTATTGTTTTGACAGGGAGGTGGAAAGCAGGAGTATAACTACATTCAAGTGTCTGCTCTGTTGCTGTAGGAGAAAATCCGTGCTGTAGCACATCAAAGTTTTTCCAAATTTTATTTCTTAGGACATCTTTGGGGTTTATGTAAGTATTAAATAGAGCTCCCCTAGCCCAGGCTTACACAGGACATATGTCTAGTGTCATAGGTCTGTATGCTTAAATTATAGCAGAAAGTTTGCTAAAATTTAAGTGAAGTAATGTTGAAGGTTGAATCATTTGAAACAAACTACCTGCACCAAAATATTCTTTAGTGTACTGATTTCTATCCCACCCCTAATGAGGCTGAATTTTAATCTTAACTCTGCTTGTAATTAGGTATTTATATGTGTCTGTTATTCATTTTTTAACAAGATGTCTCTTCAGAGATAAAATGAGGGTAGCAAAAAATAATTTTAATAGCCATTTATATGGCTTTGATAACAATTGTCTGTTCTACTTATCTGACTGATTCTAAACTCTAAAGGTTATTTTACAGTTAGTAAATTACATAATTTTTATGCAACAATTTGCCTGCCAGGATTCCTATAATACTTGTCAGCTATCAGTAGGTATAAGCCTGTTAGCCTCTAATGTGAAGATAATATCTCTTTAAGTTATAACGCATTTACAATTGTTACAGTTTCTAAGGTCTTTTTGAAGTTAGAGATGCATCTGAGGATGATGGTTTTCAAGGAGATAGCTCTTTGACAAAAAATGACAATATGGGACTTAGTGTTATATTAATTTACACATTATGTTTTTGCTATAAAGATAAAAGGTGTGCTATACTACCTATCAATTACTGTATGCCACATTTTGTAGAATTGTTTTCCATATTATTGTAGAATGTGGCACTTAAATAGTATCATGAAAAAAGTTTATTCAAGAAATAAGACATTAATGAAATATAATTAATATATAAAGACTATATTTAAAAATAATTATGTATTTCTAATCCTAAACTTTTTAAGGTGACATTATTTTTTTCTGTGATATGATTTCAGTTGAGAAGAACTTTAAATTTTAATAAGATTTTAAGATGATTCAGTAATGTTAACATACTTTTCTTCTGTAAATTTTGTTAACAATTTAGCTGCATTAATTAAATATTTATGTAGCTAATTTTAATAGTGATATTTTAATACAATTCTTAATTTTACTCCTGGCTTTCAATCATTCATATATGTTTTTAAAAATTGCTTTTTCCATTGCTTTACTTCTTAATTACTTTTATCAAAGTCTTAATTGTGTGTGGTTGATTTTAAAAGTTAAATATTTCTATAAGATTTATAAAGACAAACTGGGTACAGTGACTCACACCTGTAATCCCAGCACTTTGGGAGGCCGAGGGGGTAGATCACTTGAGGTCAGGAGTTCGAGACCAGCCTGGCCAACATGGTGAAAGCAGTTTCTACTAAAAATACAAAGATATGCCTGGTGTGGTGGTTGGCCCCTGTAATTCCAGCCACTTGGGAGGCTGAGGCAGGAGAATTGCTTGAACCTTGGAAGCGGAGGTTGCAGTGAGCTGAAACCATGCCATTGCACTCCAGCCTGGGCAGCAAGAGCGAAACTCCATCACAAAAAAAAAAAAAAAAAAAAAAAAAAAAAAAATATATATATATATATATATATATATATATATATTATATATTATATATATGTATGTATGTATATATAAATGTATATGTGTGTGTATATATATAGATACACACTATATATATATATATATATATATATATATATATACACACACACACAATAGAAATGTCCTGGCTATATCTATATTAATAGGTTTTGCACATTTAAACCAAAGTCACACATATGGTTTGATTCTAATTAATTCTAATGCATCTTGCAGGTTTCAAACTGTATTCTATTATGTAATTATCTGCTGATCCACTCTGTATCCTGTTGTGTAAGTTGCGATGATTAACCTCTGCCTTTACGATGTAATCCAAATGTAGCATATAGACCTCAATGATAAGATTGATCATGGTGCATTTAATCATTAATTTATTATTAATCTCTTTTATCCTGGTACTTAGAGTGCAGATTTTTCTCAACAACTATTTACGCAATCATTAAATGAAATATAGCCTTGTGTCACTTAGCAATGAGGATATGTTCTGAGAAGTGTGTGGCTAGGTGATTATCTTACTGTGCAAACTTCATAGAGTGATCAATCTATAATGGTGATAGCAATTTTTCAACCCTATTATAATCTTAATGAGCCATTGTTTTACATGCTGTCTCTTATTGATGTAAACGTTGTTATGTGGCACATGATTATGTAAAAGATATTAATCCATTCATTATTTATGCATTCATCCATTTGACCTATGGTAGTGTTCTATTGAAAATGAGTCATCGTGATACAGAAATCCACTGTTAGTTGTTTTTACTTTCTCTTGTTCGTGGGGAAGAGTGGGTATTGATTTTAAAAGTCTAAAGAATGGGGTATTGTGAATAGTGCCGCAATAAACATACGTGTGCATGTGTCTTTATAGCAGCATGATTTATAATCCTTTGGGTATATACCCAGTAATGGGATGGCTGGGTCAAATGGTATTTCTAGTTCTAGATCCCTGAGGAATCGCCACACTGACTTCGACAATGGTTGAACTAGTTTACAGTCCCACCAACAGTATAAAAGTGTTCCTATTTCTCCACATCCTCTCCAGCACCTGTTGTTTCCTGACTTTTTAATGATTGCCATTCTAACTGGTGTGAGATGGTATCTCATCGTGGTTTTGATTTGCATTTCTCTGATGGCCAGTGATGGTGAGCATTTTTTCATGTGTTTTTTGGCTGCATAAATGTCTTCTTTTGCGAAGTGTCTGTTCATGTCCTTCGCCCACTTTTTGATGGGGTTGTTTGTTTTCTTCTTGTAAATTTGTTTGAGTTCATTGTAGATTCTGGATATTAGCCCTTTGTCAGATGAGTAGGTTGCGAAAATTTTCTCCCATTCTGTAGGTTGCCTGTTCACTGTGATGGTAGTTTCTTTTGCTGTGCAGAAGCTCTTTAGTTTAATTAGATCCCATTTGTCAATTTTGGCTTTTGTTGCCATTGCTTTTGGTGTTTTAGACATGAAGTCCTTGCCCACGCCTGTGTCCTGAATGGTAATGCCTAGGTTTTCTTCTAGGGTTTTTATGGTTTTAGGTCTAACGTTTAAGTCTTTAATCCATCTTGAATTAATTTTTGTATAAGGTGTAAGGAAGGGATCCAGTTTCAGCTTTCTCCATATGGCTAGCCAGTTTTCCCAGCACCATTTATTAAATAGGGAATCCTTTCCCCATTGCTTATTTTTCTCAGGTTTGTCAAAGATGAGATAGTTGTAGATATGCGGCGTTATTTCTGAGGGCTCTGTTCTGTCCCATTGATCTATATCTCTGTTTTGGTACCAGTACCGTGCTGTTTTTGTTACTGTAGCCTTGTAGTATAGTTTGAAGTCAGGTAGCGTGATGCCTCCAGCTTTGTTCTTTTGGCTTAGGATTGACTTGGCAACGCGGGCTCTTTTTTGGTTCCATACGAACTTTAAAGTAGTTATTTCCAATTCTGTGAAGAAAGTCATTGGTAGCTTGATGGGGATGGCATTGGATCTATAAATTACCTTGGGCAGCAAAGACTTGGAACCAATCCAGATGTCCAACAGTGATAGACTGGATTAAGAAAATGTGGCACATATACACCATGCAATACTATGCAGCCATAAAAAATGATGAGTTCATGTCCTTTGTAGGGACATGGATGAAATTGGAAATCGTCATTCTCAGTACTATCGCAAGGACAAAAAACCAAACACCGGATGTTCTCACTCATAGGTGGGAATTGAACAATGAGAACACATGGACACAGGAAGGGGAACATCACACTCTGGGGACTGTTATGGGGTGGGGGGAGGGGGGAGGGATAGCACTCGGAGATATACCTAATGCTAGATGACGAGTTAGTGGGTGCAGCACACCAGCATGGCACATGTATACATATGTAACTAACCTGCACATTGTGCACATGTACCCTAAAACTTAAAAGTATATAAAAAAAAAAAGGGGGGGTATACACACAATCAGGTGTCAAGCAGTGGCACCTCGTGCAAAATAATAAACTCATCTAAGATCCTAGCAGTTCATTCTGAAAATAAAGCTGGAAATATATCTTGGATATGTAAAATGTGAGTGTAAAAATTAATGAAACTAAGCAATGGGAATATGAGTAGTAAATTATTTGAGAAAATATTATAACATTTACTTTTTTAAATTTCAAAACTATATTTCCTTATTTAAAACTGAAAATTTTTGTGTACATATAGGAAACTAATTGTGTCATTTTTCTTTTTGTTACAATATAGAGTGATGTTTCAAAACACAAACATAATAGGTAGAGTCAATTACTTAGGGGAGTCTAAACCTGGAGGTAACATTAGAAATAGAAATAATAAAATGCAGTGTTTTTGGATTTGTCTGTTAAGATTATTTTAATCCAGATCATATTTAATGGTTTACATAGTTGTATATCAAATTTGGTTTCAGAAATAAATTATACAGTAAATTTAAAAATGCAAAAAATGTATATTGTTATACATTCTGTAACCTATGAATCCATATAACTTGGGCAAGAAAATTATATAATTAAAAATAAAACCTTTCTGTTCTCAATTATGTTTTAGGGACAGCTATATAGTTCACACTCACAAAGGAATCATAAAAACTCTATGTATAATCTTGGAAGTAAAAATATCTGTTGTATCATATTTATGAAGTATACAATTGATTAAAAATGATAATGTCTGTCTTCTATCCAACGGCAATAACAGAAGATAATGGCATATAAGTAGGCCTGTCTCCTTTTTTTTGGCATTGATTTATATATCTTTACTAGCTTTGTTGTTTTAACTCCAATAAAAGATTATTTAGTAAGCCAAAGCAAAAAAAAAAAAAAAATCCTGTGAGCAGCCACAAACTGAAAGACTACGATTTTTAGTCAATGTCCTAAGCGACACAGTAATTTTAGGTTAACCAATGTGTCAAAGAGAATGAGGAAAAATTATTACAAAAATGAATAAATAAACTGGTCTAGGTCAAACCGTACTCCTTCTAAAGAGAGTAGTCAACTGATATTAAAGCCTGTGACGTAGTATGTGCCATATTGAGTATGCAATATCTAAATATTTCTTTTTTTTCTTTCTCCAGCTACTGCAAACCCTAATTGTTTCCTTATCCGATCACTTTAAAGTCATTCAGCAAATCATAATTATGCCATTGTTAACATCAGAAACTGAAAACCTACTGTCAAAAGTGAGCTAAAATATCATATTTGGATTTATTTATAAATTTATTTTATAAAAAGATTGACTTTCAATTTGAGAATAACATAAAAAATCAATTCATTCCTCTGTGCATCAATATTGTATCATTGGTAGTTTAAACTTTTCATCTAATATTAGATTGCATGCAGGATTTTATATCTAATTACTCTGGCAGATGGCCTTTAGAAAGTTCAAAAATAAAATGCAGCAATTCATATTGGCAGATTTACTATTGAGACCAATGCTTTCTTAACTAAAAGGTTTTGTTTAAAATCGTTAGTTTAGGAAATCTGATAAAGATTTTTGAATATCAGAGCGTTTAAAAGAGATTCTTACTTTACATCTGGCATATTTCTTGTGTTACATATTATAATTTCATTGAACATGGCTGTCTGTAAAACTATGTATATGATCCGGAAGAGACTCAAATTAAATTAAGTTTTAACAGCCATCAATTCATTTTAAAATGACACAGGCATGAAAAATGATCTATCAAGATTTGTAAATCTTATTCTGTTAGCTATTGCTAGAGATAGTCTAAAGGTATTCTACTTGGAATTTGAGATCAAGACAAAGATTTTCTGTTAGTAATAATATTCAGATTATTTTTATTTTAATGTATAAATTTAAAATTCTTAGAATATTTTCAACAATATTTTCCATTTCTAAATTTATTTTATTTCTAAACAAATGTAATTACTTTATTTATTAACTTTTATTTTCAGTTCAGGGGTATATGTGCAGGTTTGTTATATAGGTAAACCTATAGGTAAATAGGTATACAGATTATTTTGTCACCCAGGCATTAAGCCTATGCGCGTTAGTGAAAAATGTTATTGCTTTAAATATCCAAATTATTCAGCTGCATTTGATCTCATTCTTTAGTCCAATGTAAGTAAGAGTAAAACAATGACATTTAAGGCCACCAGGCTATTCTCATTTTTGGAAAAATGCTGGATTACATTACCAGCATATTAAATGAGAATATCAAGGTGTAATATCTCCCTAGAAATTGTCTCACCTTCAATACTATTGACATTTTTGGACCTGATAATTTTGTTGTGGGCTCTAGCCTCATATTATAGGAGGTTTACCAGTTTTCCTGCCCTAAACTTACCGGATGTGAATAGCACACTCCACTACCTACAGCAGTAAAAACTAAAATTGTCTCTAAACATTGACAAATTGTCCCTGGTAGTGAAAATCACCCCTGGTTGAGACCGTGTTGTTGAAAATAAAACAAAAACTTTCACATCAATAAATATGTTAGGCTGTGTATGTTAAGGATTAACATTAAGACAATATGGAGCAAGCACTACATGAAAGCAGTGACGATTGGGAATTAGTGGCACATTATCCTAATAGTTAATATAGTGACTGTAATATCTAAATATCATCCTATAGAGTTTTTCTTAGATTTTTTCATTAGTATAACAGGATGTTGTGTATGTTACACTGTATATACTGTTATTTTGAGAGACAATTTTGGGAGATTTTGCCAAGGTATTTTCAATTATAGGTCTTTAATACATTCTAAGCAAGTGGGTCTCAAAAATGGGAATTTTACACCCCACATTCTTCTTCCCATCCGGTGGACATTTGTCAATGTGCGCAGATATTTCTGATTAAAAAAAAAAAAAAACTGTGAAAGAGAGGGTGTGCTACTGGCATCTGGTGGTCGAGGCTAGGGATGTTGCTAATCATCTTACAATGTACACGATAGTTCCCCACAATGACTTTGAGAAACCCTGCTCTGACACTACTGCAGGATGAATTTTAAGCACAATTATAAGAGAGGACCTAGATATTGAGTTTTAAAAGGAGAAAATATAAGTACAAAAGAAGAATGAAGATTGTTACAACAGGGGCAAGTAGAAGTTAGAAGAAAATGTGATAAAGTAAATCTACATTTTAGAATAGTACTGGAAGTTATTATCAGGTGTTACAGACAAGTTTGAGACTTCCGTAAGTGACCTAAAGAAATTATGGACACTGCAAGACTAAATAATCATTCATTTAGGAAGGAGCTTAAATGCACTTTCTCAAGGCCGGGCGAGGTGGCTCACGCCTGTAATCCCAGCACTTTGGGAGGCCAAGGTGGGCAGATCACGAGGTCAGGTGATCGAGACCATCGTGGGTAACACGGTGAAACCCCGTCTCTACTAAAAAATACAAAAAAAAATTAGCCAGGCACGGTGGCGGGCGCCTTAGTCCCATCTACTCGGGAGGCTGAGGCAGGAGAATGGCGTGAACCCGGGAGGCGGAGTTTGCAGTAAGCCGAGATCCCGCCACTGCACTCCAGCCAGGGTGACTGAGTGAGACTC
The DNA here is from genome assembly GCF_000001405.40 of Homo sapiens. NCBI lineage: Eukaryota > Metazoa > Chordata > Mammalia > Primates > Hominidae > Homo > Homo sapiens. The sequence goes on along the minus strand of NC_000005.10, from coordinate 70,248,365 downwards.
TGTCTCAAAAAAAAAAAAAACTTTCTCAAGCATGCTAAGTCACAAAATTTGAGTTATCCTGAGCTTTTTTTACTTTAAGCTATCAAGCCATTGTTTGGAATCTTCAGAACCTCTTTAGAGTTTGGGATTTAAGAGTCAGTAGGTAGATAGTGAGCTTAAGATGCCAAACACAACATATAAAGCTATAAAAATCCATATGATCTTGAAAGATTAAATGGAAGCCCAGCACAAAACAATTGCTGAGTATATTATTTACATTATCTGAAAGTATGCCAGACAGACACTTTATATGTTAATAAAGATATGAGAAAGAAAATTCCAAAGAGTTTCTAAAAAGTGAACAACCACAAAATTTCAATAGCTTGCAACAAACATTTTCTTCTCACTCATGTTACCTGATGGAAAATCAAATGGCTGCCTGGAGACAGCATGGAGGGAGAGACTGATTACTGAGGTGCACAAGAAAACTTTTCATAATGATGGTTGTGAATGTAGTGATATTTCCAAAAGTATATACATATATATATATATCTATCTCAAATTTGACCACATCACACATTTCAAGTATACTGAATTGACTGTGCATCTCTTATTATACCCCAGGAAAGTTGAAGATATGACAATGAAAAAAAAATTCTTCCACCGACTACCCATCAATTTTCTTCTCATTAGCCTCACAGATTTCACAGTTAATTAAAGGGAAGATGCAAATATGTTCAAACTGTACATATTCTGAGGCCCATACCTTGCCATTAGCTCAATAAAGAGAGACATTGTCCCTGGCATGAAAATGAAAAACTTGCACACTCCCTAGGTGGCTTCTGGACACTCTTAAGACATGAACACACTTTGGGGGCTCACCCTGTCAGGCTTTGCTCTCCGAGCTTAGATGAGAAAAACACAAAAATAAAACCAAAAGGTGACATTTAGGTGCCCATCAAGAAAGATGTGTTGGGAACTGGACAGGTCAGGGCTTTAAGTACTGTATCTTACTGTATGTTTAAGTACTGTATGTTACTGTGGAAACTTACCCATTTTCCCCTCAGAACAACTCTGTCTCAGGAGGTGAGTCTGAGAGCTACTGTTTCTTTGTAAAGGTTTTATCTGATCAGGCCCACGGTCACCACGTCAGCCCCACTGCCCCTAAATAGTTTGAATCTTGATGTTTTGATTTCAAGGACTTCTGATTCTAGCTACATAGCTTTGTCCATTTCCCACCTTACCACTATTTACTTTGAATTTTGTTGCATGCCGAGACCAGTGACTGCCACAAATGTGACTGTTCCTAGAATCTGCTTTCTGCTCTGATCTTTAGTCAGTGCGCAGACTCTAACATAAACTCCTTTCTATCGTATTTTCTTGAGTCCAAGAGCCCATAGATTGTATAATGCACTATTTTATGTCCCGTTAAGCAAGTAATTCGCATTGTGGCTAATTAAACTAAGACATACCACTGAATTGTAAAATGCATTATATTTTCAGGAGATATTAAAATATGAAATGTATAGGTCTTGGAATAGATGAATTGTGACAGTATCTTTGGAAAGCTAATTCAGTTGCAGTATTGCTTAAGATGTCTTTAAGAGCTGACTTCCTTTAGTTGGAATACATATGTAAATTATTTGCAGAGGAGATTTACCTCTTTTATCTCATTCATTTGTTTATTCAGTCATTTATTGATATCAATATGGACTAAGGAAAATTACATTTTTGGGTATAATCCAAATATACTACCAATTAATGTATTGTGTTGCTAAAATTATTCTAGAAATTGAAAGACCTTTCACCTGGCCCCTGTGCTTGTTTGACATATCTCACAAATAGATTTTTGTTAGTATTTTCATAATTTCTGGCACTAGAGGATGTCCCAGGCTCATCTTGTGTATTTTCTTCCCCATTCTTAGAATCAGCCACTTTCAAAGACGCCCTGCTTTCTATATATGAAATCAATATTTAAGTGCTAGCTGTGCCTGTAGCTAAGGGAGTATCAATTTTTTCATAGCTCTCTAAGATGAGAGAGCAAAGAAACAATGTGTATATTCTTACACATATGTAGACACATATCTTTAAATATTTCTATATGTAAACATCTATATTAGTCCATTATCCCATTGTTATAAAGAACTACCTGATCCTAGGTAATTTATAAAGAAAAGAGCTTTAATTGCCTCACAGTTGCACAGGCTGTACAGGAAGCAAGGATGGGGAAGCCTCAGAAAACGTACAGTCATAGCAGAAGGCAAAGAGGAAGCAGGCACATCTTACATGGCTGGAGAAGGAGGAAGAGAACTAAGGGGGAGATGCTACACACTTTTAAACAACCAGATTGTGTGAGAACTAAGTCATTATCACAAGAACAGCAAGGAGGAAATCTGCCCCCATAATCCAGTCCCCTCCCACTAGACCCCTCCTTCAACACTGGCGATTACAATTGGACGAGAGGTTTGAGAGGGGACAAAATGTAAACCATATCACCATCTATGTCTGTATTAAGCTAAACATGGGTTCTTACTGATGTCACTACCTCTAACCTAGTCCCGCAAGCATCAATGCCTTCCTGTATCTCTAAACCCCCACTCCAACAATAAAAATCCTGACTCTTACTTTGTGACATCTATTTAGTTAATTGTTCACTTCCAGTATATGTATATAGCTGTACCAGAATTGATAACCTGCCCTTAGTAGAAGAACATCTTTATCAACTAAATTAAGTGCCTTCGTACAAGTTTCTTTTGCCTTTCATCTTAAGAGACTGCACTCATTTTCAATATCACTTTGACTAGCACCCTTTCCCTTAAGTCCCTCACTGAAGTTATTTTGTATGGTTCATAATAGAGCTAGATAAATTTGTAACAGTCTGCATTCCATCCTGAGATTCTACAACCTTTTAATTAATTTTTAATTAAAAATATAACTTTTATTTTGGTAAATATTAGCACTTCTGTGCCACACTACTATATATAAATATCAAAAAAAGGTCCAGAAAGCTATAGAAAATTTGAGTAAAGTGCTGAATGTTGAACCTAACAATAACTGGGCTAAAGTAAGTACAGAAGGCAATTTTTTATTTATGTAAATTTATGGGATACAAATATAATCTTATTACCTCCATAAAGTACATAGTGTTGAAGTAAGGGTTTTAGAATATACATCACCTGAAAAATGTACATTGTGCTCATTACATAATTTCTCATCATCCCCTCCTCCCACCCTCCTGAAATTTCCAAGTCTCTGTTGTCTATCATTCCACATTCTATGTCCATGTGTATACATTATTTAGCGTCCAGTTATAAGTGAGAACATGCAGTATTTGTCTTTCTGTGTCTGATTTGTTTCACTTAAAATAATGACCAGTTACATCCATGTTGTTACAAAAGACATGATTTTATTCTTTTGTATAGCTGAATAGTATTCTATAGCGCATATGTGCCAGATTTATTAATGTAATCATCCACTGAGGGACACATTGCTATTGTGAATAGTGCTGTGATAAACATATGGGTGCAGATACCTTTTTCATACAATTATCTGTTCTCCTTTGGGTAGATCTCCAGTAGTGGGATTGTTGGGTGAAATTGCGGTTTTATTAAGAATGTATATTCTGTAGTTGCTGGGTAGTATTTTCTGTAAATGTCAGTTAGGTCTATTTCATCTAAGGTTGAATTTAAGTCTTAGGTTTATTTGTTTTCTGTCTTGATGATAACATTTAATGCTGTGAGTGAGATGGTAAAGTCCCCCAGTATTATCGTATTGCTGTCTATTCCTTTTTTATGTCTAGTAATATTTATTTGATGAATCTTGGTGGTCTAGTGTTGGATGCATATGTGTTTAGAATTGTTATATCCTCTTGCTGAATTGATCCCTTTATCATTATGTAATGACTTCCTTTGTCATTGTTATACTGTTTTAGATTTAAGTTCTGTTTTACTTGATATAAGTATAGCTATTCCTGCTTGCTTTTAGTCTCCGTTACATGGAGTATCTTTTTTCACCCATTTACTTTAAATCTGTATGTGTCTTTACTTTTCAGTCTGTATGTGTCTATATGTTTCTTGTAAGCATAATATTTTTGGATCATTTTTTAGTTCGTTCCATCAATCTACCTTTCTTTTTTTTTTTTTTACTTTTAGATGGAGTTTCACTCTGTCATCCAGAGTGGAGTGCAGTGGCGCAATCTTGGCTCACTGCAAACTCCGTCTTGCAGGTTCAAGCGATTCTCCTGCTTCAGCCTCCCAAGTAGATGGGATTACAGGTGCCGGCCACCACGCCTGGCTAATTTTTGTATTTTTAATGGAGATAGGGTTTCACTATGTTGGCCAGCCTGGCCTCGAACTCCTGACCTCGTGATCCACCCACCTCGGCCTCCCAAAGTGCTGGGATTACAGGTGTGAGCAACTGCACCTGGCCCAATATCTATCAATCTATATATTTTAAGTGGAATGTTTAATTCATTTACATTCAAGGTTAATGTTAATACATGAGGTTTTCTTTCTGCCATATTGCTGTTTGTTTTCTACTTGTTTTATAAGTTCTTTGGGGTTATTTTGTTGTTGTTTTTTGTTTTTCTTTCTGTGTGTCTCTTTGTCTTTGTGGTTTGGTGGAAATCTGTTGTGTTGCTATTTGATTGCTCGTCCTACTTTGTGTGACTGTTTTACAAGACCTATGAGTTTGCTACTTTCATGTGTTTTGATGATGATGATGAATGTTGACCTTTCATTTTTGTGTTTGGGACACCTTTGAGTATTTCTCATAGGACTCGTTTGGTGGTGACGAATTCCCTCAGTGTGTGCTTGTCTGGAAAATACTTTGAATCATTTCAAGAAAATTAACAGTGAGTTATGTCAATCAAGCCATTGGTTTGTATTTGGTGGCACATTTACTCTGTATTATTTCACACTAGAACCATCTGAGTTAAGTTTTATTATTTGCTATATGTTGCAGATGAAGAAACTGAAGCTGAGAGAGGTTTAGTGAATGACTAAAAAGGTTGTCAGGCTGCAGGGAAAAAAACAAAACAAAACTGTACGACTAGCCTGCAATGCTTCCCAAAGTATGTAGCTTATTATTATTGGTCACTTTTTGAGTACAAAATGCTGTGCTATGTAACAGAATAATACAATGTACATATACATATCAATTAACATAAGCATAACTGTAATCACATATACTGATAAATAAAAATATAAAGTAATATATGGTAATGACCCAACCATTTGCCTAAGTTTCATGTATTACAGAAGTTTTGAGGAGGGACTTCAGCTGTATGCAAATCAGCAATTCGGGTTGTACAGTTGATTACCCATTAGTTCAGAATTTTAATAATTTAAAATATATTTATTAAGAACCTAACAATTGGAAGACCTTACAATAGGTGGGAAAATTCGACAGATGAATAATGCTTAGGAGATATCAGCATGTTTTGGAAGGATATTCCCATGAAGAGAAAAAGTATCGTGGGAAGTGTGGGAAGTGTTATGGTGCGAGAGTAATACAGGTTCCAGCATGTGTTTACATTATTTTGTTGGAGGTGTTGGGGAACCTTTCATGGAAGGTGTGTGGTAGACTGTTGGACAGGTTTCCTCAACTTTCGTTCCACTCTTTGAAGAGGTTAGAAAACTAAAACAAAACAAAACAAGCAATGCAGCTTCCCTTGAGCTAGCTTTATGAATGCAGCTTAGACCACTTACCGATTGTTTGCATATGAATCAGACTTAGAAAAATGGAAGAGATCAAAGCCTGTCTTGCTATTGTTGATTCTGGCAAGTGAAATCATGGGGACAATAGTTCAGAAGTAGTGGAAGTGGTAGGATTCAATATCCTTGTGCCTAATCCCCAGTTTCATGGGCATAAGAGGCTTAAAGTTTTAATAGCAGGAGCATCTTTTTGACCCAGGATTGCAGAAATGATTGCGTGCCTTTGAATTCAAGAACTCAAAACCTTCCTCCATGCCACAGCTACTTTAGTTATTTTAGCCCTTCCTATTGTATATGTATGAAATGCACTTTCTGCTTAAGATACCTATTGCGGTTTTTATTTCCTTATTAAAACCTTGGAAAAATATAGCACTTAAATTATGTTTTGTAGAAATTCACTAAGCAAATAAAGCTAAAGGGGGAGAGAGTTAACCTTCTCTGCCCCCTTTTTATCAGAAGTTAGTTGTAGAAGAAATACACAATTTTTGCGCAATTTTAGCACCATCTAAGTTCTGTAGGTCTGGAACACAGACTGGTTAAATGAGCATTTCAGGAGCACTATAGTTGCAAAGTTAAGCAGTCACCACAATTTTATGTGTCATACAAAGATTTTTAACTTTATGTTTAAGCAACGAGCCTAGAAGCAAATGGTATTTCCATCAAGAATCGTCTCATATAAAGTAGAGCGTTTTGGAAAATGAAGTTATTAATAGATAAAAACATGTTTATGCAGTTGGTTTCTAAGTATGACAAACCTATTTCTTGGTAAATTGCAAGTCCATTCCACCTGTGTTTGTAGGCTCATTTGCCTAAAAGTCTTGGGATTTTTTCTGATGATCTATTAAATTTTCTTTCTGATTATCTTTTCTAATGCTGTAATAGCATTTCTAACACTGTAATGAAAGAGAACAAAAGTACACGCTTGCTCATCATTTACTAATTCTAAAAATATATATTGAATACATCTATGTAGCAGGTACTGTGGTAGGTGTGGAAGATAGTTGAGACAGGTAACAAGCCCAACATTACGGAGCTTAGCATCACCACCTAGAAGAGTTTTTAAAAAACATAGATAAGTGAATAATGATTATAAAGACAAAGAGATTCTTGCCATATAATTACATATAAGCAAATTTAGGATGTGATGAAAGATTTTGATATTGGTCTTCTGATTTGGCTGTAGGATGAAGTGTTTATAAGTCATCCCAAGGAAGAAACAATTCAGATGAGAACTATTCAATGGATTTGCAATAACAATCCAAAGATGGAAGAAGACACTTCTAGGTAGACAAAATTGCAAGTATAGAGAATGTAAATTAAGAGAGAGCTTAGCTTTCAGATGAATTAAAAGATTGTGGTGATCAGAATGTAGAGATTGACGAGAGACAAATGAAATAAAACTAGAAGGACAAGTAGAGATTTGTGGGTCAAGTTTTAAAATTTTATTATAAATGCACTGATACTGTTCTGAACATTTTCTTACACATGGAAATTTAATGATTATGGCTATTGAAAAATGTAACTCTTCATTTATATTTTTCCGAGAATGAAATCGGTGGAATTGCTGGGGGGTGAAAATGTCCAATGCGAAACAGGAGGCTAATTTAAGAAGGGATACTGCAAAATTGGTCATGATGGCTCAAACTGCTGTTCATAATAGAGAGAAGAAAATGGATAGAGTTACATATGGATGAGAGTAAATTGACAAGGCTAAATGCTAAAACGTGGGTAGTGACAGAAAGTAGGTGTCAAAATAGACTTCCAGGAAAAGAAAAAATGGGTCTACAAAAGAGCCAAATGCTGATGTGGGTTACATGATCCTGAGCAGATGCAGATGTAATTGGTTAAGTAAAGTAAGTTCTTAAGATAGATTTGGCCTGGCGCTATACATTCTAGAGCCCCTGAATATAAGTGGGATATAAAACCATGGGAATGACTGTATTTGTCTAAGGAGAGAATTTGGCAGAAGAAAAGGAGACATAAGATGAAATGCAGAGGAAATTCAAATTTAATTGGCAGGTGTAGGAAGACAAGGAGATGACAAAAGGAACTGGAAATGAGTAATCAGAGACAGAAAAGTAAAAGTAAGAGTAGAATGTCATGGAAGGCAAATAATTGGAATGTTTCAAGAACAGGGAAATGGGCAATAAAGAGAAGAAAAAAATAGTGACCAGAGGGTATAGTAATGTGTAGAAATTCATCCTGTGTTAGGTTTGATTGCTTAGACGTTTTATATAAAAATCTTTCCCAGAGAGTAATAAAACAGAAGTGAGGTTAGAGAAAGAACATACGATTTAGCCAAAAGGTGGGAAAAGTTAGGAAATGAAGAATAAATATGTTTAAAGATAATGTTATGGCTACTCAATGTACAACCTCTTTTCTTTCATTATTTTTAATTGTCATATTTAAAAATAGTAATTACCACTTTTAAAAATTGTCTTATTATTTGTTACATAAGAAAATGCATTAATTCAAGCCACATAGTATCATTTATATTATGACTGTCGAAACATTACTAGAATTACTAGAACTATTAACCTAATGGCCTGAAAATTTCAACTCACTTCCCTAGCTGTCCTGATGATCATTAGTGAAAGGAAAGACTCCATTAAATAATGCTTACTTATAGAGAACTGGTTATATCTGTCTCATTTCCATACATATATCTGTATAAATTAATTTGATTAATAAAACAAACACAAGGCACAAACAACAAAACACAGTTTATAAATGTCATTGAAAAATGCATGCCTGTACAATTTGGGTATTTGTAATTGTAAATTGATATACTTCATTTTTTATCCAGGAGTTACTTAGATTGAAACTTTACCTAATGTATGATAAAATAATACGTGATTAAATTTAAAAACATGATGAATTTATTTAAAATTGGCTTCAATAATGTCAGAAAGTAATAAAATAAAATGATTCCTTCAAAGACTGCACCTGTTTATTGCCTGAGATTATCTCTCTTGGCCACAAATCAATATTACTTTCTTTCATTCATCAGTGATAAAGCTTTTCAATAATTCTAATTTTAAAGGATGATTACAGCAAGTATATAGTCATTGATTGCTTAAAGGTTGCAGCTAAAATGAACACAATGGTCATTTTATTTTTAATAAATGAGCCCTTTTGAAAAGTCAAGCATTTTTCCTCTCACAAAACTTTGTGTAATAAGATTATAGATTTGATCATGTATGAGTTTGCACTGTGTGTGTGTATATATGTGTGTGTGATTTCAGCGATAAAGTTCACTGTTCCACAGCTGGCAATTTCTTCTGCTTAATTGAAAATTCCGTTTTAAAATATTTCTTTAAAGTTCTAAAATGGGTTTAAATGGGTTCATGAGCTGTAATACTATTAAAAATATATATATATCTACATATTTGTTGATTCTTCTCAGTTTAAGAAGTGGAGCTTCATACTCCTCCCCTTGAAGGCAGGCTAAGCTGAGTGACTCCCATCTAAGAAATAAAACACCGCAGGATTGGAATGTTACCTTGTGAGACAAGGTCACAAAGGCTAGGGTTTTAATTTTGAGTGAACTAATTTGCTCCTTACTGGTGTTTCTCTCTCTTTCTCTCCTTCAACTCTTTACGAGCCCAGCCACCATGCAAATAATTCCAAACTATCTTTTCTAGAAAGCTCACATGAAGAACCGAGGCATCCTATCTGATATCCAGCCAAATGATTAAACATTCTAGAAGCAGACTATGATGCACTGAATTTGTGAAATCCTAACCCCCAGTGTAATGATAGTAGGAGGTGGAGCTTTTGGTAGATGATAGTCTGTCTTCATGTTGGGGATTAGTGCCTTGATTATTATTTTTTGTTTTTATTTTTATTTTTATTTATTTATTTATTTATTTTTGAGACAGAGTTTTGCTCTGTTACCCAGGCTGGAGTGCAGTGGTGCCATGTCAGCTCACTGCAACGTCTGCCTCCTGGGTTCAAGTGTTTCTTCTGCCTCAGCCTCCTGAGTAGCTGAGTAGCTGAGACTACAGGTACGCACCACCACACCTGGCTAATTTTTGTATTTTTAGTAGAGACGGGGTTTCACCATACTGGCCAGGCTGGTCTGGAACTCCTGACCTCGTGATCTGCCTGCCTCAGCCTCCCAAAGTACTGGGATTACAGATGTGAGCCACCGTGCCCAGCCGGGGATTAGTGCCCTTATAAAAGAGACCCCAAAAAGCGTCCTTGCCCCTTCTGCCATGTGAGCTAGAGGACAGTAATCTATGAACTAAAAAATGGGCTCTGACCAGACACCAAATCTGCAAGCACCTTGATTTTGCACCATCCAGCCTCCGGTACCATTACAAACGTTTCTGTTGTTTATAAGCTACCCTGTCTATGGTATTCTGTAGCGACAGTGCAAACAAACTAAGACACGGACCTTCCAACACAAGTTAAAGGCTTCAGGGGATGCTGCCTGGGTCAACAACATGACAGCAACCTTTACTCATGAGAGACTTTGAGTCAGAACCACCTACCCAAATCCATCATTTCCCTGACTTCTATGAATTGTGTCATACATATTTGTTATTTTAAGCCATTAAGTTTTAGGGTAATTTTTAAATGGAAAAATACATGATCATAGGTAAACTATAATTAATAGAAAAATCTAATGCCAATAATATTTACCATTGATTGACCGTCAAAACTCCATTAATTATTTGCTTTCCATTTATATTTATTTTTGGATTTCTTTTTTAAGAGAATGGCACCTGTGACAGCATACTGTTAATATTACCCTTTTATCGTACTTTACCATGCCATCTCTGAAGAATATTACAGACCATTTTGGAGCATGGTGAATAAGAAATTTTCACCTTAGGAGTTCACTTGAATAGTCATTTTTATATTTGTGACTGCAAATCACTCTTAGGGGCTGTACTTCCTTAGTACTGGTAGCATTATTATCCAATGGACTTTTATAGCTTTCATTAGGTTTTCTTTTGTTTTTGTTCTTTAAAGAACGTTTTACTTATCTTAGTATTTCATTTTTCATCTATATTATGAGGCAGTAAGAGTCTTCTGTTTTTCCAAAGTTGAGACTGCTTTATATTTATTTCGTATTGTCTACAGCTGTAGTGTTCAATACATTAGCCACTAGCCACATGTGGTTATTTAAATAAGATAAAATAAAAATTGGCCGGGCGTGGTGGCTCACGCCGGTAATCCCAGCACTTTGGGAGGCCGAGGCGGGCAGATCATTAGGTCAGGAGATCGAGACCATCCTTACTAAGACGGTGAACCCCCATCTCTATTAAAAATACAAAAAATTAGCCGGGCGTGGTGGCGGGCGCCTGCAGTCCCAGCTACTCAGGAGGCTGAGGCAGGAGAATGGCGTGAACCTGGGAGGCAGAGTTTGCAGTGAGCCGAGATGGCGCCACTGCACTCCATCCTGGGGGACAGAGCGAGACTCCATCTCAAAAAAAAAAAGAAAATTAAAAATTAAGTTCTTTAGTTGCACTAGCCATATTTCAAATACTTGATGGATACATGTGGCTAGTGGCTAACATAAGGGATAGCACAGATATAAAACATTTGCTCGTCATATAAAGTTCTATTGGATAGTGCTGGTCTGTAGCTTATAGGATGGTATCTTAGTCTGCTTCAGCTGCTAAAACAGAATACCATAAATTAGGTAGCTTAAACAGTAGATATTTTGACCAGGCGTGGTGGCTTATGCCTGTATTCCTAACACTTTGGGAGGCCGAGGCAGGTGGATAACTTGAGCTCAGGAGTTTGAGACTAGCCTGGGCAGCATGGCAAAACCTTGTCTCTACGAAAATTAGCTGGGCGTGGTGGTGCACGCCTGTAGTCTGAGCTACTTGGGAGGCTGAGGTGGGAGAATTGCTTGAACCTGGGAGGCGGAGGTTGCAGTGAGCCATGATCGCACCACTGTACTCCAGCCTGGATGACAGAATGAGACTCTGTCTCAAAAAAAACAAAAACAAACAAACAAAAAAACACAGATATTTCTCACAGTTCTGCAGACTGGAAGTGCAAGATCAAAGTGTTGGCAAATTATGTTTCTTAAAGAGGGCCTGCTTCCTAGATTGGAAATGGCCATCTTCTCTCGGTATCCTCACATGGTAGGGAGAAAAGCAGCTCTAGTGTCTCTTATAAAGGAAGTAATGCCACCATAGGGGCTCTATTCTCATGACCTCATCTAAACCTAATTCTCTCCTAAAGGCCACGCCTCCCAGTATCCTCACCTTGGGGGTTAGGGCTTTATCATATGAATTTTTTTTTTTTTTTTTTTTTTTTTGAGACAGAGTCTCGCTCTGTCTGTCACCCAGGCTGGAGTGCAGTGGCACAATCTCGGCTCTCTACAAGCTCCGCCTCCTGGGTTCACGCCATTCTCCTGCGTCAGCCTCCTCAGTAGCTGGGACTAAGGCGCCCGCCACTGCGCCCGGCTAATTTTTTGTATTTTCAGTAGAGACGGGGTTTTACCATGTTAGCCAGGATGATCTCGATCTCCTGACCTCATGATCCACCCGCCTCGGCCTCCCAAAGTGCTGGGATTACAGGCATGAGCCACCGCGCCGGGCCTATCATATGAATTTTGAGGGAACACAAACATGCAGTCTGTAGCAGATGGTAATAGGCTGACATATTACACTTGTTGATGTAAATCTGATAGGTTTCTTTCTCTCCAAGGACAGCTTTTTAAATATTTAACAGTATCAATAATTTTTCAGGTTCTGTGAGAATTTTATAATTTATAATTTGCAGACTTAATGTATAATCTATTTTGTCCTAACAATTACAAATATATTTTTTATTTCAGATTGTATATATTCCTACCAGATGGAGATAATTACAGCTTTAAAAATTTTTATTTTTTCATTTTATTTCACACATTGACATTAAATTTTTATGGACACATAATAACTGTACATATATATGGGGTAGAATGTGATGTTTTAATACATGTACTCAATGTGTAATGATCAAATCAGGGTAATTTGCATAATGATTTTTCTGTAGGGAGAAAATTCAAAATCTACTCTTCTGGCTATTTTCAAATATATAATATGTTATTGTTAACTATACTCATCCTACTATGCAATAGGACACCAGAACTTATTCCTGGGTTCTACATCCGTTAAGGCAACCAAGGATTGGAAATATTGGAAAAAAAAATTGCGTCTGTACTGAACATGTACAGACTTTTTTCTTGTCCTTATTCCTTACACAATATAGTACAATAACTATTTGCATGACATTTACATCGGATATTATGAGTGATCTAGAGTTGATATGAAGTATATGGGAGGATGTGCAAAGGTGATGTGCAAATACTATGTCATTTTATATCAGGGACTTGAGTATCCTTTGTTACCCTCAGGAGATCCTGAAACCAGTCCCCCATGGATACTGAGGGCTGACTGTATAGTCCTATCCTCACGGAACTTTCATTCTAATGGGGGAAGACTGACTATAAACAAAATATATGTAATAGGTGGTGGTAAGTACCGTGGAGAAGTAACAAACGGGGCAAAGTGAGTTATACAGCTCCATTCTTAGAAACCTTGGAGTACTTTTCTTAGTTTATACTTGTGGTGGTTTCCTTTTGTCTCCTTTATTACATGGGACTCTGACATGTGCCCATAGCTAGGGTGACAGTAGGATCTACCCGATAGTAGGGTGGCAGTAGGATCTACCCAAAAAGCGTCCTGCTGATACAGGACCAAAGCATCCTGTTGTTCTCGAGCCTATAAAAAGAGCTAATGGTCTTGCTTCTCTTAACTGTGGCCTCCTACACTGTGTTTTGGATGATTGGTGATGTCTTGGATATTCTGTTTCTTTGGAACTTTGAATATACAACACTTTACTAGGGAATTAGCAATGGAAGCAGAGCAAAGATGTACAGAGGAAACAATGCGTAACTCTGATGGAATTGAAGTCATGAGGCAGCAGAGAGCTTAAATTACAGCTTTAAAAATTTTTATTTTTTAGAGGGAATTTACTTGGGAGTAACAGCAGTAATAGTTAACGGAGCCAGAATGCTTGAGTCATATAATTGCAAAGCAGAGTTGGGAGCAACAGATGCTAAAGAGTAGTTGCTGTAGTTCCTCTTTGGGTCGTAGGAGCAGTTGTCATATTCCTATATAGCTACTGCATGAAGAAGAGTTCTTAGTGAGGCCTGGGTGAACAGCTCTTCTTAGTATTCTGTGTGACCCCATTTGACCTTTTAACAAATCCCTAAGTAAATAAATAGCCCCTCAGGTAAACTAAGTTTTTCTCTGCTGTTTTTTTGCTTGAGAGAGCTATAACTGTAATAGACTTATATTTCTGAACATTTCAGTGCTTGCCAATATTTGGTAATATTTATGTTTCCTATATTTGTAATGAACATTCTTCTTCCGGTACATTTTTTGTTAAATTATTGTTTGATGGATAAAAGTTCACCCTTTATTGTATAAAATTGACTGAGATTAATTTATACACATTGACAATGGGTAAATAGAATTTTTCAGATTATTAAAAGCTGAAGGATGCCCACGTAAGCAAAAAAAAAAAAGAAAAAACCAACAAAAATAAACCCAAACCCCTCAAACAATTTCGAACACGAAACATTCTTCTGATGCCGGCATCCCTGCTTGCAGGTGTGAAGGGGGCAGGAATCAGCGAGGTGTCCTGGGCTGAGTCCCCGGAGTGGGAAGAGGTGGCAGGAAGGGGATCTGAGGAGGAGAACAGGGGTCCTGGTGGTCTGTGCTTCTTCCCAGACACGGGAGCTGTAGAGGAGACCTCTGCAGCAGATGCTAGGGGGGCCAGTAGGCCCAGGCAGTCTTGGGACTTGGGTCTGTCCTGCTGTGCATCCATAGTGGGTGCTTTAGAAACGGGAGGCCCACCCGAAGTCCCTGTTGCAAGTGAGGACAAAGTGTGGGAAGGCCGTGAGGGTCTGCAGTCCGGGATGGCCTTGTCCTCAACGTGCAGTGCACTGTTGATGCGCTGGAATGCCGTCTCTTTTTCCAGGTGCAGGTCTTCAGCCGTGACCCGGTACCCCAGCTCTAAGGGAGGTGGCAGCATCAAAGGCTCCCCTCGCCTGCGTGGCAGCAGGGGAATCTTGCGTCTACGGGGCCTAGAGTCCTGGGATCTGGGGGAGCCACCCGTTGGGGCGATTGTCTGCCCTGGTGCTGTATCTGCCCCCTTTTCACACCGTGTGTGACCCGAAGAGACAGCCTGAGGCCTGTCCTCACTCACTGTCTTTGAGTAACTGAGGGTCAGCTGGCAGCGGGATGAGGCTGGCCCCCTCCTCTGCTTTAGCCCCGGCAAGCCTCCCGTGGAGCTGTAGGAGCTGGAGATGGCATTTCGTTTGGTGCTCGAGCTCGTCCAGGATGTCTGGGATGTGTGGTTATATCTGATTTCTGAGCTCTGGGCGTGGAGGTCTGTCTGCAGAGGCCCGGGCCTGGGCACAAAGGGAGAGGGGCCTCCATTGTCCCGCAGGGGCCAAAATGCAGACCGTGCATCCCCGGTGACCTCGGGGACCGTTCTCTGATCATCAGGATTTTCTTGGACTCTGGGGTCCTTGTCCTGCTCAGGCATCCCTGCCCCGCTCTCCTTGAGGGCCCTCAACACTATCTTCCCTGGACACAAGTCTGGGGACAGCCGGGTGTTGTGGACCCCAAAGGGGTGACTACCTGCTCCTGGGCCCCACAGAGTCCTTGTGCTCAGTGTAGTGGCTGAGCTGGGGGATGCCCTGGAACTCGGAGCACACAGCACTGGCTTACTGTGGTACCTGTGCAGTGAAATTGAAGACAGAATCACCAGGATGGAACACAGGTCTTGCAGGATCACGGAAAACCTTCTTAGAGTTGTCTTGACACCACTGATGTCGAGTGTGCGGGTGTTTGTAGGATGGCCTGCCACTCAGTCCAGGGGCAGGAGCAACGGGGAGATCCCACAAGCAAAGTGAACTGGGGGATGGGCTGAAGGGGCTCCAGGCAACTGAGCCCTACTCGCAGGTCCTCGGCCTTGGCCCAAACAGGAATGAGGGGCACAGAGTGCCCGGGTAACCGCTCCTGGGAGCAGTGGGGAACTGTCGGATACTTGAACTCTCAAGAGCTGGGCTCTGAGCGTCCTCGTCCAGCTGCCAACTTGGCCAAAGGCTAAGCCAGCAGATTGTTCTGTTGCCGGGCAACGCGACTTCTAAACCTGAGGGAGTGGGCATGTGAGCACATAATGGCACCAGTGACAGAGCGACCATAATGGATGAATAAGCGCAGCCAGGTACCGGCGCAAGGCACCTGCTGGCAATGGCAGGAGGCGGACGTGGGGGGTCGTGCAGTAGGTACTGGAGGGAGAGACGTGGGCACAAAGGTCGCGGGAGGAACAGGTGCCCACAATGGCTGCATATTTGCCCGTGGATCACTGAAGATTCCTGCTCTCCTGCTGAGGTGGAGACTGCAGTGAGCTGAGATCGCACCATTGCACTCCAGCCTGGGCAACGAGTGCAAAACTCAGTCTCCAGATAAAAAAAAGAAAAAGAAAAAAAAGAGGCCGGGTGTGGTGGCTTATGCCTATGATCCTAGCACTTTGGGAGGTCGGGGTGGACGGATCACGAGATCAGGAGTTGGAGGCCAGCCTGGCCAACATAGTGAAAGCCCGTCTCTAGTAAAAATACAAAATTTAGTCAGACATGGTGGGCAGGAGAGAGCATGTGCAGGGGAACATCCATTTATAAAACCATCAGACCTCATGAGACTTATTCACTACCATGAGAACAGCATGGGGGAAACTGCCTCCATGATTCAGTTATCTCCACCTGGCCCCACCCTTGACACATGGGAATTGTTACAATTCAAGATGAGATTTGGGTGCGGACAGAGCCAAACCATATAATTCTTCCCCGGCCCCTCCCAAATCTCATGTCCTCATATTTCAAAAGCAATCGTGCCTTCCCCTAAGTCCCCCAAACTCTTATTTCAGCATTAACTCAAAATTCCATAGTCCAAAGTCTCATCTGAGACAAGGCAAGTCCCTTCCACCTATGAGCCTGTAAAATCAAAAGCAAGTTAGTTATTTTCTAGATACACAGGGATACAGGCATTGGGTAGATACACTCGTTTCAAATGGGAGAAATTGGCCAAAGCGAAAGAGCTACAGGCCCCATGCAAGTCCAAAACCCAGCAGGCAAATCTTAAAGCTCCAAAATGACCTCCTTTGACTCCATGTGTCACATCTAGGTGATGCAAGAAGTGGGTTCCCAGGGTCTTGGGCAGCCCCGCCCCTGTGGCTTTGCAGGGTACAGCCCCCCTTCTGGCTGCATTGAGTGTCTGCAGCTTTTCCAGGCACACAGTGCAAGCTGTCAGTGGATCTACCATTCTGGGGTCTGGAGGATGGTGGCCCTTTTCTCACAGCTCTGCTTGGCAGTACCCCAGTGGGGACTCTGTGTGGAAGCTCCAACCCCATATTTCCCTTTGACACTGCCCTAGCAGAGGTTATCCATGAGGGCCCCCCCTCCCCTCCCCTCCCCCCCACAGCAAACTTTTGCCTGGATTTCCAGGCATTTTCATACATCTTCTGAAATGTAGGCAGAGGTTCATGAACGTTAATGCTTGACTTCGGTGCATCTGCAGGCTTAACACCACCTAGAACCTGAAAGGCTTGGAACTTGCACCCTCTGAAGCCATGGCCTGAGGTGTACCTTGGCCCCTTTTACCTATGGCAGGAGCAGCTGGGATGCAGGGCCCCAAGTTCCTAGGCTGCACACAGCAGGGGGTTCTGGACCCACAAAACCATTTTTCCTTCTAAGCCTCCTGGCCTGTGATGGGAGGGTCTGCTGTGAGGGTCTCTAACATGCCCTGGAGACATTTGCCCCATTGTCTTGGTGATTAACATTTGGCTCCTCATTACTTATGCAAATTTCTACAACCCAGTCTCCTGAGAAAATAGATTTTTCTTTTCTGTTGCATCATCAGGCTACAAATTTTCTGAACTTTTATGCTCTGCTTCTTCTCGAATGCTTTGCTGCTTAGAAATTTCTTCTGTCAGATACCTTAAATCATCTCTCTCAAGTTCAAAGTTCCACAGATCTGTAGGGAACTCTAGAAAAAAATTCTTATTTTCCCTCTTTCCCGCCTATCTTATGCCCGTTTCTAATACAGGTGCACAATGCCTGCAGTGTCTTTGCATAGTAAGAGTGACTTTACTCCATTTCCCAACAAATTCCTCATCTGCCTCTGAGACCACCTCCGCCTGGACCTTGTTGTCCATATCACTATTAACATTTTGGTCAAAGCCATTCAACAAGTCTCTAGGAAGTTCCAAACTTTCCCACATTTTCCTATCCTCTTCTGAGCCTTCCAAACTGTTCCAGCCTCTCCCTGTTACCCATTTCCAAAGTTGCTTCCACATTTTCGGGTATCTTTACAGCAGCACCCCACTCTACTGGTATCAACTTATTGTATTAGTCTGTTCTCACACTGCAAATAAAGACATACCTGAGACTGGGTAATTTATAAAGGAAAGAGGTTGAATTGACTCACAGTTCTGCATGGCTGGGGAGGCCTCACAGTCATGGTGGAAGGCAAGGAGGTGCAAAAGCATGTCTCACATAGTGGCAGGCAGGAGAGAGCATGTGCAGGGGAGCTCCCATTTATAAAACCATCAGATCTCATGAGACTTAGTCACTACCGCGAGAACAGTATGGGGGGAACCATCCCCATGATTCAGTTATCTGCACCCGGCCCCACCCTTGACACGTGGGAATTATTACAATGCAAGGTGAGATTTGGGTGGGGACCCATCCAAACTATGTCAGTATGTTTTGACTTCTTGCTTGATTGCTAGGTTGCATAGAGGACAAACATGGAAATTAATGAAGTACCTTAATATCTGGCTTCAGATCTTAGACAGGATCAGAGGGCCAGCTCAAATTTGCAAGGAGGGGAGGTAGATCCCACCATTTTATGGGTGAATGGCAAAATCAAACAGAAATTATGTGGGATGGGAGATACTGATGCAGGCATCTTTGGAAACATTCTACTTAGCTAATTTTATGCTAGGCTTTAGGTCAAGAAGGAGAGAGAGAGCTGACATGCTGTGGTACACACTTATAGTCCCAGCGACTTGGAAAGCTGAGGCAGGAGGATTGCTTGATCCCAGGAGTTTGAGGTAGTGTGCGATGATCGTTCTTGTGAATAGCCACTAGCCACTGAACTCCAGCTTGGGCAACATTGAGACACCCTGTCTCTTAATTTAAAAAAAAAAAAAAAAAAAAAAGGAGGAAAGAAAGTGGTCTCAGTTTTTAATGTAAATATTTTTAATGGGATACTGATATTTTAAGATTAATGTATATTGTATATCAGTTAACTGCAGGTCAATAATTATGTAAAACTTAAGGTACGAAAAACATTTATTTTTGCTAACATATCTGTGAGTTGACTGTTGTTGGCTTGGTGAGGCTGCAAGCTGCAGATAGAGTCTAGGTATGTTTTCTGTGTGTTTGTTCCCCCTTGGATCAGTGGACTACCTGAGAATGTGTTTCTGTCACAGTGATAGAATCACAAGGAAACTCCAGTTCTGGAAGTACATTTTAAGCCATTGCTTCTCTCATGTCCACTAACATTCAGTCAGCCAAAGCACATACCTTGTCCATGGCTAACATTGATAGTATAGATAAATATACCTGATCTCTAGCAGGAGGAACTGCATTGTCTTGGGGAAAGGTTTTAGATATAGGGAGGGGTGATGAGTTGGGAACAATAATGTAGTCTGCCGCAAACATATTAAAGTGTAACTGGATATGGTTGCTGCAGAATTTTGAACCTTTGTTTTAATTGTGATTTTTACTCTTTCCCCCCTATCTAGTGCCCTTTTGTAATACAGTAATTATCATGATTTTTGTCTGAACTGAAATCTTCTGAGATTAGATTGTCTACGAAAATACAGTCGATCCTCCTTGTTTTCAGCTTTTGTATTTGTGAACTCACCTACTATTTTTTGTAACCCCCAAATCAGTACTCACAGCACTTTCATAGTCATGTGTTTGCGCAGAGTGTCAAAGAATTTGAGTTTGAACAGGATGATATTCTGCCTTCTTTTTCAGCTCTCATACAATAGTCAGGTATCCTTTTTGTGGTCTATTTAATGCCATGCTTTTCCTGTTTTTGTACTGTTTGTTGGTTGTTTTGCCATTTAAATTAACCCCCAAGCATAGTGCTGAAGTGCTGCTTAGCATTCACAAGTCCAAGAAGTCTGTGATGTGTCTTACAGAGAAAATACATGCATTAAATAAACTCCATTCAGGCGTGAGTGCTGTAGTGCCGTTGGCTGTGAGTTCAATGTTAATGAATGAACAATGTATATTATTTATTTATTCTTCATTTAATTAATTATTATTATTATTTTTTTTGAGATAGAGTCTCACTCTGTTGCTCAGGCTGGAGTGCAGTGGTGCAGTCTTGGCTCACTGCAACCTCTGCCTCCTGGGTTCAAGCGATTCCCCTGCCTTCGCCTCCCAAGTAGCTAAGACTACAGGCATGCGCCACCATGCCTGGCTAATTTTTTTTTTTTTTTTTTGTAGTTTTAGTAGAGACGGGGTTTCACCACGTTGGCCAGGCTGGTCTCGAACTCCAGACCTCAAATGATCTGCCCGCCTTGGCTTCCCAAAGTGCTGGGATTACAGGCGTTAGCCACTGTGCCTGGCCAACAATATATATTAAATAAGCACACATACAACAAAAGTAGGTGTTGGTAAGCTTACAAAAGTGTGACCAGTAGCTTGCTGAAACCTAACTTTTTATTTGTTCATGGAACTTTCTAGACCGTAACTACACTGAATAATGAGAATCTGCTGTAATCTTTTTAGGTGCTGTAGATGAGCCATTGGATTAAATTATTACAGTATGTTTCAGACTGCTGTATGTTGAACCCTAGTGAAATGCCTCTCAAACCTTCATAAGGATCACAATCTCATGTCCTTTTTTTTTGTTATTAAATGCCCAGTATGTGTTAGCGATTTAAACAAAATTCAAATATTTTTTTTTTTTTTTTTGAGACAGAGTCTCGCTCTGTCACCTAAGCTGGAGAGTGCAGTGGTATGATCTCGGCTCACTACAACCTCTGCCTCCCGGGTTCAGGCGATTCTCCTGCCTCAGCATCCTGAGTAGCTGGGATTACAGGCACCCGCCACCACGCTGGGCTAATTTTTGTATTTTTAGTAGAGACGGGGTTTCGCCAGGTTGTCCAGGCTGGTCTGGAACTCCTGACCTCATGCGATCTGCCTGCCTTGGCCTCCTGAAGTGCTGGGATTATAGGCGTGAGCCACCATGCCCGGCGTTGACTTCTTAATAATAACCATACTGACTGGTGTGAGATGGTATGCCATTGTGGTTTTGATTTGCATTTCTCTAATGATCAGTGATATTGAGCTTTTTCTCATATGCTTGTTGGCCGCATGTGTGTCTTCTTTTGAAGTGTCTGTTTATGTCCTGTGCCCACTTTCTAATGAGATTTTTTTTTTTTCTTGTAAATTTGTTTAAGTTCCTTATCAGTGTTGGACATTAGATCTTTGTCACATGCATTGTTGCAAAAATTTTCTCCCATTCTGTAGGTTGTCTGTTCACTCTGTTGATAGTTTCTTTTGCTGTGCAGAAGCTTCAAGAAGAAAGGAATCCGATTGGTTCTGTGTCTGTCTCTTTTGGTATTCTCAGAATTATGTAGTCATTCATATAGAAAGATGATTAGGAAAATAGGACAAGAATAGCAGAAATCTACATAAAAATGTAGGAAATTAAAATTAGTTACCAGCATACAAAAAACTTCTGTATGTTATAATTACATACTATAACTCACCCCTCCTTGGCAAATATTCTCTCTCTTTTGACTTCAAAATCATGGCTTATATGTACTTTCTCTATTTCCCAGATGCAAATATAATTAATTGACTTTATTTATCTAGGAAATGTTACTCATATCTTAATTGTAGTCATTGGCTTGAGTGACGGGTTTTGGTAATTCAACTACTATTACTTGAAAGTAGTAGATTTCATAGGATACTGTTATAAAATCTTTTTAACCTCTTTTCTGATTTCAGGAGTAATTAGTAATTGTGGTTTACTGGAAAATTCAATGAATAGGGTGTTAAAGGAAGCAATTCATTAATAATATATGTAATCTATTGGGAGACTGAGGCGGGTGGATCACCTGAGTTCAGGAGTTCGAGACCAGCCTGGCCAACATGGCAAAACTCCGTCTCTACTGAAAATAGAAAAATTCGCCGGGCATGGTGGTGCATTCCTGTATTCCCAGGTACTCGGAAGGCTGAGGCAGGAGAATCACCTGAACTCCAGAGGTGGAGGTTGCAGCGAGTCAGGATCGCAGCACTACACTCCAGCCTGGGTGACAGTGAGACTCCATCTCAAAAAAAAAAAAAAAAAAAAAAAAAAAAAAAAAAAAAATTAAAAAATTAAATTAAAAGCGGGCTGGGCGCATTGGTTCAGGGCCGGGCACGGTGGCTCAAGCCTGTAATCCCAGCACTTTGGGAGGCCGAGGCAGGCGGATCACGAGGTCAGGAGATCAAGACCATCCTGGCTAATGTGGTGAAACCCCGTCTCTACTAACAATACAAAAATTAGCTGGATGTGGTGGCAGGTGCCTGTAATCCCAGCTATTCCAGAGGCTGAGGCAGGAGAATCACTTGAACCTGGGAGGCAGAGGTTTCAGTGAGTCCAGATCATGCCACTGCACTCCAGCCTGGGTGACAGAGCGAGATTCTATCTCAAAAAAAAAAAAAAAAAAAAAAAAAGCAACAGAAGCAAATGAGAGTGCCTGGGAGTGGTCATTGTGGGGCCTTCCCGTTTGTGTGACCCAGGTCATGTCCCTCCCTAAGCCCTGGTCTCTCTTGCCTCCTGCAGGGCTGGTGAATTACCAGATCTCCGTCAAGTGCAGTAACCAGTTCAAGTTGGAAGTGTGTCTTTTGAATGCAGAAAACAAAGTCGTGGACAACCAGGCTGGGACCCAGGGCCAGCTGAAGGTGCTGGGTGCCAACCTCTGGTGGCCGTACCTGATGCACGAACACCCCGCCTACCTGTACTCGTGGGAGGTAATGGTGGTTTGGGACTTGCGTAAGGGAGGTCTTTTGCCCCCATCTGGTAGCCCTGGCTTCAGCAGGAGCCCAGGACAGGTGAACGGGCAGGTGTGGTCCTCTGAGCTTTCTGATGTTTCCCACCCTTGGTGGGAGGCCCAGATTTTTTATTTATTTATTTATTTATTTATTTATTTATTTATTTATTTATTTGTTTTTGTGATGGTCTCACTCTGTCACCCAGGCTGGAATGCAATGGCCTGATCACAGCTCACTGCAGCTTTGAGCTGCAATCCTCCTACCTTGGCCTCCTGAGTAGCTGGGACTACAGGCACATGCCACCATGCCTGGCTAATTAAAAAAATTTTTTTTGTAGGCCGGGCATGGTGGCTCACACCTGTAATCCCAGCACTTCGGGAGGCTGACGCGGGCGGATCACTTTAGGCCAGGAGTTGGAGACCAGCCTGGCCAACATGGTGAAACCCCGTCTCTACTAAAATATGAAAATTTGCAGGGCATGATGGTGCACGTCTGTAATCCCAGCTACTCGGGAGGCTGAGGCAGGGGAATTGCTTGAACCCAGGAGGCAGGGGCTGCGGTGAATTGAGATCATGCCGCAGCACTCTATCCTGGGTGACAGAGTGAGACTGTCTCAAAAAAAAAAAAACTCCTTTTTATAGAGTTGGGGTCTTACTAGGTTGCCCAGGCTGGTCTTGAACTCCTGGACTCAGGTGATCCTCCTGCCTTAGCCTCCCAAAGTGTAGGGATTCCAGGCATGAGCCACCTCGTCTGGTCAAGGAGAAGGCCTGATTTTGAAGGGCAGGTCCCAGGGTCAGCCAGTGAAGGGCAGAGCCTCTGGTTGCTGCTTCTCTGCAGGCCCAGTGGCGACTTCTGGGGTGCATGCACGAGGGGTCTTCCTGCTGTAGGGCAGGCCAGATGGGGCTCAGGCTGTCGGGGCGCTCACACCTGGCGCTTTGGCTGTCGTAGGTGCGGCTGACTGCACAGAAGTCACTGGGGCCTTTGACTTCTACACACTCCCTGTGGGGCTCCGCACTGTGCCCGTCACCGAGAGCCAGTGGGTGAGAGCCAGTTTCATTTGCGGTAGAGGCAGCAGAGGTTGTAGAAATGCTCCTTGAGGCAGATGCCACACCCCAATTTCATGGAGTGATTTGGGCTGAGCCGAGTCTGCAGCAGGCAGAAGGCTCTGAGATGTTGTCCTAGCCTGGGCAAAGGACAGTTCAGAGCTCGGGGGAATAGGGGTGTGCTCAGCACGACTGGGTGGACAGGCCGTTTGTTGTGAATCGTACAGGCTTCCAGGAGCGGGTGCCTGAGGCTTCCAGACAGGCTTTGGGAGGTGGCCAGAGGAGATGCCTGTTTCCGGGGCAGGAAATGGAGGGAGGGCCCAGGCTGGAGAGGTTCAGCCAGGCTGTCACAAGGCTTTGAAGCTTCCCATCTGAGAGCCTGGCTATTGGAGAGTGTGGGTTTGGAACTTGAGGCTAGGAGGTTCTATTCTGTCCTGTGCCAGCCACAGCCTTCGGATGGGCAGAGCAATGATGGGGGGAAGATGTAAAAGAAAAGAACTGAGGAAAGAAGAAGAAAACCAGCTTCAACAACGGTCTAGGCCGGATGCGGTGGGTCACGCCTGTAATCCCAGCAGTTTGGGAGGCTGAGGTGGGTGGATCACCCGAGGTCAGGAGTTCGAGACCAGCCTGGTCAACAGGTAGTGAATCCTGTCTCTACTAAAAATACAAAAATTAGCTGGGCATGGTGGTGGACGTCTGTAATGCCAGCTACCAGGTAGGCTGAGGCAGGAGAATCGCCTCAGGTGAACCAGGAGGCAGAGATTGCAATGAGCTGAGATAATGCCACTGCATTCCAGCCTGGGCTACAGAATGAGACTCTGTATCTCAACAAAACAAAACAAAACAAAAACACAACAGTCTGTTCTGTGGAGGCCTTGGGCAGATGCTGGGAGCTCTGAGCACGGACTGGTCCCTCTGTTGGGAGCCTCTTCCCTTCATCCCTCCTGGTTAACTTGACTCAGCATAAAGGCCATTTCTTCTAAGAGCCTGTCCCTGACTCTCCAATCGGGGATGTGTCTGTTGTCTCATAGAGTGCCCAATTCCTGCCACCACTTGTCATTTCCATTCGCAACATTTCTTTCATTGTTTGTTTTTCAGAGTCAGGGTCTCACTCTGTTGCCCAGGCTGGAGTGCAGTGGTGCAATCATAGCTCGTTGCCATCTCGACCTCCTGGGCTTAAGCGATCCTCCCCACTCAGCCTCCCAAATAGCTGGGACCACAGACGTGCGCTGCCTTGCCAGGCTAAATTTTAATATTTTTTTTTCCCCACGAGTCAGAGTCTTGCTCTGTCTCCCAGGCTGGAGAGCAGTGTTGCGGTCTTGGCTCACTGCGTCCTCTACCTCCTGGGTACAAACAGTTCTCCTGCCTCACCCTCCCGAGTAGCTGGGATTACAGGCTCACGCCACCATGCCCAGCTAGTTTTCTTCTTTATTTTTTGTTGAGATGGGGTTTCACCATGTTGGCCAGGCTGGTCTCGAACTCTTGAGCTCGTGATCCACCTGCCTTGGCCTCCCAAAGTGCTCACAGGCTTGAGCCACCATGCCCGGCCCTAATTTTTAAATTTGTTGTAGAAACAAGGTCTTGCTATGTTGTCCAGGCTGGTCTCAAGCGCCTGGTCTCAAGTAAGCCTCCCAAAGTGCTGGGGTTCTAGGCTTGAGCCACCTCGCCTGGCACTTGCACCGTTTTTCTGTGCATGCATCTCCACTCCCACTGCCCAGGACCTGTGGACTTAGATTTGAGTCATTACTGAGCACCTAGCACCCAGCCTCATGCCTACCTCCCACCTCGCACTACCTGTTTGCTTGATGCATTAATAAATATTCCACCTGAATCCACAGCCCATTCACTCCTGTGTTCAAGAGCTATTTCAGGAAGTGAACCTCATTTCTGGCAGTGTTCAGTCCAGTGACCTCAGCTCTGTGTACCCGGCAGGGTGGCTACGCCTCTGGGGGAGTTGGATTCAGGGGTGGGGGAGAAAGAGTGTTGTTAGAGAGCTCGGTCTAGGACTAGAGGAACGTGCCCTTATGTAAAATACATCTCAAGTTAGGGAAGAAAGCAGCGGCTCTGTGCTTTGTTTTTTTTTTTTTTTTTTCTTTTCTTTCTTTTTTTTTTTTTGTTTGTTTGTTTGTTTGTTTGTTTGTTTTGGGGCAGGGTCTTGCTCTGTGGCCCAGGCTGGAGTGCAGTAGCGTGATTTCGGCTCACTGCAACCTCCACCTCCCGGGTTCAAGCAATTCTTGTGCTTCAGCCTCCCGAGTAGCTGGAGTTACAGATGCGTGCCACTAAGCCTGGCTAATTTTTGTATATTTAGTAGAAATGGGGTTTTGCCATGTTGGCCAGGCTGTTCTTGAACCCCTGACCTCAGTGATCTGCCTGCCTCAGCCTCCTGAAGTGCTGGGATTACAGGCGTGAGCCATCGTGCCTGGCCCCCAGTTGTGTTCTGGCAGGGGAAGATGGGACGGAGAGGATGGGAGGGTGTCTGAGCCTTTCCCGGACTGACGGAACCTGTGTCTTCTCTCTTTTGTGGACAGGATGGTGATTGCTCACACCAAAGCCTTGGACCCCTCCCAGCCTGTGACCTTTGTGACCAACTCCACCTACGCAGCAGACAAGGGGGTGAGCCTGGGGGTCCCCACCCCATTTCTCCCTGCCTTTGCCTGGGCTTGTCCTGAAGCCTGCTCATGGGAACAGCTGGAAAGAACCATGTGCTGCCAGTCTGAGCTTTTTATTTTGTTTTACTTAGAAAGATAGAGACAGGGTCTTGCCATGTTGCCCAGGCTGGTCTCGAACTCCTGGGCTCAAGTGATCCTCCTGCCTCGGCCTTCCAAAGGGCTGGGGTTACAGGCGTGTGCCACCGCACTCAGCCGCAGCCAGTCTGTTTTCAAAGATGGTCTTTGGGTTAATGACAATTCTCTCTCTGCTTACTCTCCAGGCAGTGTGGCTTTCTGAATCCAAGGAGGCTGGGCATAGGGAGATGGGATTTGTTTGCCCGGTTTGGACTCAGCATTTTTTGTACTCGATTTAATAGACTCATAAAATGTCAAAGGTTTAAGTGAGCTTAGAGTTGATCTGGCCCAAACCTGGCTGATCAGAATCTCCAGGGGAAGTTTTATTGAAATGCCAGATCTCTGCGTTCTGAGATCCTGATTTAGTAACTCCAGGGTTGGAACCTGAGTTTTTTGTTTTTTTGTGTGTGTGTGTGAAGGCAAGGTCTTACTCTGTTGCTCTGGCTGGAGTGCAGTGGTGTGATCACAGCTCACTGCAGCCTTGAATTCCTGGGCCTAAGCAACCCTCTTGCCTCAGCCTTCCAAGTAGCTGGGACTCCGGGGGTACACCACTGTGCCCGGCTAATTTTAAATGTTTTTGTAGAGATGGGATCTCACTATGTTGCCCAGGCCAGTCTCAAACTCTTGAGCTCAAGTGATCCTCCTGCCTTAGCCTCCTAAAGTGCTGGGATTACAGGCATGAGCCACCGTGCCTGGCTGATACTAGCATTCTTTTTTATTTTTTATTATTTTTTTAAGATAGAGTCTTGCTCTGTTGCCCAGGCTGGAGTGCAGTGGCACAGTCTCAGCTCAGTGCAACCTCCGCCTCCCAGGTTCAAGCAATTCTCCTGCCTCAGCCTCCCAAGTAGCTGGGATAACAGGCACATGCCACCACGCCTGCGCTTGATCGTGGGAGGCAGAGCTTGCATTATTGTGCCACTCCATTCTAGCCTGGGCAACAGAGCGAGACTCTGTCTTCCAAACAAAGCGGAAAAAGATTATCTGCGAGAATGACTGCATTGGCCCCTTGGGTGGGAGGGCTTCTCCAGGGCAAGGTGAGGGGATGCCCAGTGCTGGGAGTGCTGCCTGGAGAGGAGTCAGTTCCAGTGGCGGGGGCCCTGGGTTTTGGCTGAGGACTGCGTGTTGGCAGCTGCTCTGCCTCTCACAGCCCTTCCCAGCTGCACACGTCGTGAGCGTCAGTGTGCAATCACAGGCCTGCCTCCTTTGGGCCACTTTGTGACCATGTTTTTTGCTTGTGGGGCAGGGTAATTTCAGGATCCAAATTGGTGCAGTTGGATGTTCTCAGCCCCGAGAGGCAGCTCTTCCCGTTCTAGGCTTTTTGTTTTGTTTTGTAGAAATGGAGTCCTACGACGTTGCCCAGGCTGGTCTCAAACTCCTGGGCTCAAGTGATCCTCCCACCTTGGCCTCCCAATGTGCTGGGATTACAGGCATGAGCCACTGTGCCGTGCTGATTTTCTTGATACTATTTTTTGTAGAGCTGGGGTCTTGCTGTGTTGCCCAGGCTGGTCTCGAACTCCTGGCCACAAGCCACCCTCCTGCCTCAGCCTCCCAGAGTGCTGGGATTACATCCCCTTCTTACCTTCTCTGTCAGAGGAGCCCCCACAGCATGTGAGTACTGAGTCATGCGGTCTTGTGGTTGCTGAACGGGCTCTGCTGCTCTGGTCCTAGGCTCTGTATGTGGATGTGATCCGTGTGAACAGCTACTACTCTTGGTATCGCAACTACGGGCACCTGGAGTTGATTCAGCTGCAGCTGGCCGCCCAGTTTGAGAATTGGTGTAAGACATCACAATCCCATTATTCAGAGCGCGTATGGAGTGGAAACGCTTGTAGGGTTTCACCAGGTAAGCGGTGTTGAACTTTCTGCTTGTGTATTCTCTCTGGGCAGAGATGCCACTTGCCTCCCCCACCATGCCATCTCTGAAGAATATTACAGACCATTTTGGAGCATGGTGAATAAGAAATTTTCACCTTAGGAGTTCACTTGAATAGTCATTTTTATATTTGTGACTGCAAGTCACTCTTAGGGGCTGTACTTCCTTAGTACTGGTAGCATTATTATCCAATGGACTTTTATAGCTTTCATTAGGTTTTCTTTTGTTTTTGTTCTTTAAAGAACGTTTTACTTATCTTAGTATTTCATTTTTCATCTATATTATGAGGCAGTAAGAGTCTTCTGTTTTTCCAAAGTTGAGACTGCTTTATATTTATTTCGTATTGTCTACAGCTGTAGTGTTCAATACATTAGCCACTAGCCACATGTGGTTATTTAAATAAGATAAAATAAAAATTGGCCGGGCGTGGTGGGTCACGCCGGTAATCCCAGCACTTTGGGAGGCCGAGGCGGGCAGATCATTAGGTCAGGAGATCGAGACCATCCTTACTAAGACGGTGAACCCCCATCTCTATTAAAAATACAAAAAATTAGCCGGGCGTGGTGGCGGGCGCCTGCAGTCCCAGCTACTCAGGAGGCTGAGGCAGGAGAATGGCGTGAACCTGGGAGGCAGAGTTTGCAGTGAGCCGAGATGGCGCCACTGCACTCCAGCCTGGGGGACAGAGCGAGACTCCATCTCAAAAAAAAAAAGAAAATTAAAAATTAAGTTCTTTAGTTGCACTAGCCATATTTCAAATACTTGATGGATACATGTGGCTAGTGGCTAACATAAGGGATAGCACAGATATAAAACATTTGCTCGTCATATAAAGTTCTATTGGATAGTGCTGGTCTGTAGCTTATAGGATGGTATCTTAGTCTGCTTCAGCTGCTAAAACAGAATACCATAAATTAGGTAGCTTAAACAGTAGATATTTTGACCAGGCGTGGTGGCTTATGCCTGTATTCCTAACACTTTGGGAGGCCGAGGCAGGTGGATAACTTGAGCTCAGGAGTTTGAGACTAGCCTGGGCAGCATGGCAAAACCTTGTCTCTACGAAAATTAGCTGGGCGTGGTGGTGCACGCCTGTAGTCTGAGCTACTTGGGAGGCTGAGGTGGGAGAATTGCTTGAACCTGGGAGGCGGAGGTTGCAGTGAGCCATGATCGCACCACTGTACTCCAGCCTGGATGACAGAATGAGACTCTGTCTCAAAAAAAACAAAAACAAACAAACAAAAAAAAACAGATATTTCTCACAGTTCTGGAGACTGGAAGTGCAAGATCAAAGTGTTGGCAAATTATGTTTCTTAAAGAGGGCCTGCTTCCTAGATTGGAAATGGCCATCTTCTCTCGGTATCCTCACATGGCAGGTAGAAAAGCAGCTCTAGTGTCTCTTCTTATAAAGGAAGTAATGCCACCATAGGGGCTCTATTCTCATGACCTCATCTAAACCTAATTCTCTCCTAAAGGCCACGCCTCCCAGTATCCTCACCTTGGGGGTTAGGGCTTTATCATATGAATTTTTTTTTTTTTTTTTTTTTTTTTGAGACAGAGTCTCGCTCTGTCTGTCACCCAGGCTGGAGTGCAGTGGCACAATCTCGGCTCTCTACAAGCTCCGCCTCCTGGGTTCACGCCATTCTCCTGCGTCAGCCTCCTCAGTAGCTGGGACTAAGGCGCCCGCCACTGCGCCCGGCTAATTTTTTGTATTTTCAGTAGAGACGGGGTTTTACCATGTTAGCCAGGATGATCTCGATCTCCTGACCTCATGATCCACCCGCCTCGGCCTCCCAAAGTGCTGGGATTACAGGCATGAGCCACCGCGCCGGGCCTATCATATGAATTTTGAGGGAACACAAACATGCAGTCTGTAGCAGATGGTAATAGGCTGACATATTACACTTGTTGATGTAAATCTGATAGGTTTCTTTCTCTCCAAGGACAGCTTTTTAAATATTTAACAGTATCAATAATTTTTCAGGTTCTGTGAGAATTTTATAATTTATAATTTGCAGACTTAATGTATAATCTATTTTGTCCTAACAATTACAAATATATTTTTTATTTCAGATTGTATATATTCCTACCAGATGGAGATAATTACAGCTTTAAAAATTTTTATTTTTTCATTTTATTTCACACATTGACATTAAATTTTTATGGACACATAATAACTGTACATATATATGGGGTAGAATGTGATGTTTTAATACATGTACTCAATGTGTAATGATCAAATCAGGGTAATTTGCATAATGATTTTTCTGTAGGGAGAAAATTCAAAATCTACTCTTCTGGCTATTTTCAAATATATAATATGTTATTGTTAACTATACTCATCCTACTATGCAATAGGACACCAGAACTTATTCCTGGGTTCTACATCCGTTAAGGCAACCAAGGATTGGAAATATTGGAAAAAAAAATTGCGTCTGTACTGAACATGTACAGACTTTTTTCTTGTCCTTATTCCTTACACAATATAGTACAATAACTATTTGCATGACATTTACATCGGATATTATGAGTGATCTAGAGTTGATATGAAGTATATGGGAGGATGTGCAAAGGTGATGTGCAAATACTATGTCATTTTATATCAGGGACTTGAGTATCCTTTGTTACCCTCAGGAGATCCTGAAACCAGTCCCCCATGGATACTGAGGGCTGACTGTATAGTCCTATCCTCACGGAACTTTCATTCTAATGGGGGAAGACTGACTATAAACAAAATATATGTAATAGGTGGTGGTAAGTACCGTGGAGAAGTAACAAACGGGGCAAAGTGAGTTATACAGCTCCATTCTTAGAAACCTTGGAGTACTTTTCTTAGTTTATACTCGTGGTGGTTTCCTTTTGTCTCCTTTATTACATGGGACTCTGACATGTGCCCATAGCTAGGGTGACAGTAGGATCTACCCGATAGTAGGGTGGCAGTAGGATCTACCCAAAAAGCGTCCTGCTGATACAGGACCAAAGCATCCTGTTGTTCTCGAGCCTATAAAAAGAGCTAATGGTCTTGCTTCTCTTAACTGTGGCCTCCTACACTGTGTTTTGGATGATTGGTGATGTCTTGGATATTCTGTTTCTTTGGAACTTTGAATATACAACACTTTACTAGGGAATTAGCAATGGAAGCAGAGCAAAGATGTACAGAGGAAACAATGCGTAACTCTGATGGAATTGAAGTCATGAGGCAGCAGAGAGCTTAAATTACAGCTTTAAAAATTTTTATTTTTTAGAGGGAATTTACTTGGGAGTAACAGCAGTAATAGTTAACGGAGCCAGAATGCTTGAGTCATATAATTGCAAAGCAGAGTTGGGAGCAACAGATGCTAAAGAGTAGTTGCTGTAGTTCCTCTTTGGGTCGTAGGAGCAGTTGTCATATTCCTATATAGCTACTGCATGAAGAAGAGTTCTTAGTGAGGCCTGGGTGAACAGCTCTTCTTAGTATTCTGTGTGACCCCATTTGACCTTTTAACAAATCCCTAAGTAAATAAATAGCCCCTCAGGTAAACTAAGTTTTTCTCTGCTGTTTTTTTGCTTGAGAGAGCTATAACTGTAATAGACTTATATTTCTGAACATTTCAGTGCTTGCCAATATTTGGTAATATTTATGTTTCCTATATTTGTAATGAACATTCTTCTTCCGGTACATTTTTTGTTAAATTATTGTTTGATGGATAAAAGTTCACCCTTTATTGTATAAAATTGACTGAGATTAATTTATACACATTGACAATGGGTAAATAGAATTTTTCAGATTATTAAAAGCTGAAGGATGCCCACGTAAGCAAAAAAAAAAAAGAAAAAACCAACAAAAATAAACCCAAACCCCTCAAACAATTTCGAACACGAAACATTCTTCTGATGCCGGCATCCCTGCTTGCAGGTGTGAAGGGGGCAGGAATCAGCGAGGTGTCCTGGGCTGAGTCCCCGGAGTGGGAAGAGGTGGCAGGAAGGGGATCTGAGGAGGAGAACAGGGGTCCTGGTGGTCTGTGCTTCTTCCCAGACACGGGAGCTGTAGAGGAGACCTCTGCAGCAGATGCTAGGGGGGCCAGTAGGCCCAGGCAGTCTTGGGACTTGGGTCTGTCCTGCTGTGCATCCATAGTGGGTGCTTTAGAAACGGGAGGCCCACCCGAAGTCCCTGTTGCAAGTGAGGACAAAGTGTGGGAAGGCCGTGAGGGTCTGCAGTCCGGGATGGCCTTGTCCTCAACGTGCAGTGCACTGTTGATGCGCTGGAATGCCGTCTCTTTTTCCAGGTGCAGGTCTTCAGCCGTGACCCGGTACCCCAGCTCTAAGGGAGGTGGCAGCATCAAAGGCTCCCCTCGCCTGCGTGGCAGCAGGGGAATCTTGCGTCTACGGGGCCTAGAGTCCTGGGATCTGGGGGAGCCACCCGTTGGGGCGATTGTCTGCCCTGGTGCTGTATCTGCCCCCTTTTCACACCGTGTGTGACCCGAAGAGACAGCCTGAGGCCTGTCCTCACTCACTGTCTTTGAGTAACTGAGGGTCAGCTGGCAGCGGGATGAGGCTGGCCCCCTCCTCTGCTTTAGCCCCGGCAAGCCTCCCGTGGAGCTGTAGGAGCTGGAGATGGCATTTCGTTTGGTGCTCGAGCTCGTCCAGGATGTCTGGGATGTGTGGTTATATCTGATTTCTGAGCTCTGGGCGTGGAGGTCTGTCTGCAGAGGCCCGGGCCTGGGCACAAAGGGAGAGGGGCCTCCATTGTCCCGCAGGGGCCAAAATGCAGACCGTGCATCCCCGGTGACCTCGGGGACCGTTCTCTGATCATCAGGATTTTCTTGGACTCTGGGGTCCTTGTCCTGCTCAGGCATCCCTGCCCCGCTCTCCTTGAGGGCCCTCAACACTATCTTCCCTGGACACAAGTCTGGGGACAGCCGGGTGTTGTGGACCCCAAAGGGGTGACTACCTGCTCCTGGGCCCCACAGAGTCCTTGTGCTCAGTGTAGTGGCTGAGCTGGGGGATGCCCTGGAACTCGGAGCACACAGCACTGGCTTACTGTGGTACCTGTGCAGTGAAATTGAAGACAGAATCACCAGGATGGAACACAGGTCTTGCAGGATCACGGAAAACCTTCTTAGAGTTGTCTTGACACCACTGATGTCGAGTGTGCGGGTGTTTGTAGGATGGCCTGCCACTCAGTCCAGGGGCAGGAGCAACGGGGAGATCCCACAAGCAAAGTGAACTGGGGGATGGGCTGAAGGGGCTCCAGGCAACTGAGCCCTACTCGCAGGTCCTCGGCCTTGGCCCAAACAGGAATGAGGGGCACAGAGTGCCCGGGTAACCGCTCCTGGGAGCAGTGGGGAACTGTCGGATACTTGAACTCTCAAGAGCTGGGCTCTGAGCGTCCTCGTCCAGCTGCCAACTTGGCCAAAGGCTAAGCCAGCAGATTGTTCTGTTGCCGGGCAACGCGACTTCTAAACCTGAGGGAGTGGGCATGTGAGCACATAATGGCACCAGTGACAGAGCGACCATAATGGATGAATAAGCGCAGCCAGGTACCGGCGCAAGGCACCTGCTGGCAATGGCAGGAGGCGGACGTGGGGGGTCGTGCAGTAGGTACTGGAGGGAGAGACGTGGGCACAAAGGTCGCGGGAGGAACAGGTGCCCACAATGGCTGCATATTTGCCCGTGGATCACTGAAGATTCCTGCTCTCCTGCTGAGGTGGAGACTGCAGTGAGCTGAGATCGCACCATTGCACTCCAGCCTGGGCAACGAGTGCAAAACTCAGTCTCCAGATAAAAAAAAGAAAAAGAAAAAAAAGAGGCCGGGTGTGGTGGCTTATGCCTATGATCCTAGCACTTTGGGAGGTCGGGGTGGACGGATCACGAGATCAGGAGTTGGAGGCCAGCCTGGCCAACATAGTGAAAGCCCGTCTCTAGTAAAAATACAAAATTTAGTCAGACATGGTGGGCAGGAGAGAGCATGTGCAGGGGAACATCCATTTATAAAACCATCAGACCTCATGAGACTTATTCACTACCATGAGAACAGCATGGGGGAAACTGCCTCCATGATTCAGTTATCTCCACCTGGCCCCACCCTTGACACATGGGAATTGTTACAATTCAAGATGAGATTTGGGTGCGGACAGAGCCAAACCATATAATTCTTCCCCGGCCCCTCCCAAATCTCATGTCCTCATATTTCAAAAGCAATCGTGCCTTCCCCTAAGTCCCCCAAACTCTTATTTCAGCATTAACTCAAAATTCCATAGTCCAAAGTCTCATCTGAGACAAGGCAAGTCCCTTCCACCTATGAGCCTGTAAAATCAAAAGCAAGTTAGTTATTTTCTAGATACACAGGGATACAGGCATTGGGTAGATACACTCGTTTCAAATGGGAGAAATTGGCCAAAGCGAAAGAGCTACAGGCCCCATGCAAGTCCAAAACCCAGCAGGCAAATCTTAAAGCTCCAAAATGACCTCCTTTGACTCCATGTGTCACATCTAGGTGATGCAAGAAGTGGGTTCCCAGGGTCTTGGGCAGCCCCGCCCCTGTGGCTTTGCAGGGTACAGCCCCCCTTCTGGCTGCATTGAGTGTCTGCAGCTTTTCCAGGCACACAGTGCAAGCTGTCAGTGGATCTACCATTCTGGGGTCTGGAGGATGGTGGCCCTTTTCTCACAGCTCTGCTTGGCAGTACCCCAGTGGGGACTCTGTGTGGAAGCTCCAACCCCATATTTCCCTTTGACACTGCCCTAGCAGAGGTTATCCATGAGGGCCCCCCCTCCCCTCCCCTCCCCCCCACAGCAAACTTTTGCCTGGATTTCCAGGCATTTTCATACATCTTCTGAAATGTAGGCAGAGGTTCATGAACGTTAATGCTTGACTTCGGTGCATCTGCAGGCTTAACACCACCTAGAACCTGAAAGGCTTGGAACTTGCACCCTCTGAAGCCATGGCCTGAGGTGTACCTTGGCCCCTTTTACCTATGGCAGGAGCAGCTGGGATGCAGGGCCCCAAGTTCCTAGGCTGCACACAGCAGGGGGTTCTGGACCCACAAAACCATTTTTCCTTCTAAGCCTCCTGGCCTGTGATGGGAGGGTCTGCTGTGAGGGTCTCTAACATGCCCTGGAGACATTTGCCCCATTGTCTTGGTGATTAACATTTGGCTCCTCATTACTTATGCAAATTTCTACAACCCAGTCTCCTGAGAAAATAGATTTTTCTTTTCTGTTGCATCATCAGGCTACAAATTTTCTGAACTTTTATGCTCTGCTTCTTCTCGAATGCTTTGCTGCTTAGAAATTTCTTCTGTCAGATACCTTAAATCATCTCTCTCAAGTTCAAAGTTCCACAGATCTGTAGGGAACTCTAGAAAAAAATTCTTATTTTCCCTCTTTCCCGCCTATCTTATGCCCGTTTCTAATACAGGTGCACAATGCCTGCAGTGTCTTTGCATAGTAAGAGTGACTTTACTCCATTTCCCAACAAATTCCTCATCTGCCTCTGAGACCACCTCCGCCTGGACCTTGTTGTCCATATCACTATTAACATTTTGGTCAAAGCCATTCAACAAGTCTCTAGGAAGTTCCAAACTTTCCCACATTTTCCTATCCTCTTCTGAGCCTTCCAAACTGTTCCAGCCTCTCCCTGTTACCCATTTCCAAAGTTGCTTCCACATTTTCGGGTATCTTTACAGCAGCACCCCACTCTACTGGTATCAACTTATTGTATTAGTCTGTTCTCACACTGCAAATAAAGACATACCTGAGACTGGGTAATTTATAAAGGAAAGAGGTTGAATTGACTCACAGTTCTGCATGGCTGGGGAGGCCTCACAGTCATGGTGGAAGGCAAGGAGGTGCAAAAGCATGTCTCACATAGTGGCAGGCAGGAGAGAGCATGTGCAGGGGAGCTCCCATTTATAAAACCATCAGATCTCATGAGACTTAGTCACTACCGCGAGAACAGTATGGGGGGAACCATCCCCATGATTCAGTTATCTGCACCCGGCCCCACCCTTGACACGTGGGAATTATTACAATGCAAGGTGAGATTTGGGTGGGGACCCATCCAAACTATGTCAGTATGTTTTGACTTCTTGCTTGATTGCTAGGTTGCATAGAGGACAAACATGGAAATTAATGAAGTACCTTAATATCTGGCTTCAGATCTTAGACAGGATCAGAGGGCCAGCTCAAATTTGCAAGGAGGGGAGGTAGATCCCACCATTTTATGGGTGAATGGCAAAATCAAACAGAAATTATGTGGGATGGGAGATACTGATGCAGGCATCTTTGGAAACATTCTACTTAGCTAATTTTATGCTAGGCTTTAGGTCAAGAAGGAGAGAGAGAGCTGACATGCTGTGGTACACACTTATAGTCCCAGCGACTTGGAAAGCTGAGGCAGGAGGATTGCTTGATCCCAGGAGTTTGAGGTAGTGTGCGATGATCGTTCTTGTGAATAGCCACTAGCCACTGAACTCCAGCTTGGGCAACATTGAGACACCCTGTCTCTTAATTTAAAAAAAAAAAAAAAAAAAAAAGGAGGAAAGAAAGTGGTCTCAGTTTTTAATGTAAATATTTTTAATGGGATACTGATATTTTAAGATTAATGTATATTGTATATCAGTTAACTGCAGGTCAATAATTATATAAAACTTAAGGTACGAAAAACATTTATTTTTGCTAACATATCTGTGAGTTGACTGTTGTTGGCTTGGTGAGGCTGCAAGCTGCAGATAGAGTCTAGGTATGTTTTCTGTGTGTTTGTTCCCCCTTGGATCAGTGGACTACCTGAGAATGTGTTTCTGTCACAGTGATAGAATCACAAGGAAACTCCAGTTCTGGAAGTACATTTTAAGCCATTGCTTCTCTCATGTCCACTAACATTCAGTCAGCCAAAGCACATACCTTGTCCATGGCTAACATTGATAGTATAGATAAATATACCTGATCTCTAGCAGGAGGAACTGCATTGTCTTGGGGAAAGGTTTTAGATATAGGGAGGGGTGATGAGTTGGGAACAATAATGTAGTCTGCCGCAAACATATTAAAGTGTAACTGGATATGGTTGCTGCAGAATTTTGAACCTTTGTTTTAATTGTGATTTTTACTCTTTCCCCCCTATCTAGTGCCCTTTTGTAATACAGTAATTATCATGATTTTTGTCTGAACTGAAATCTTCTGAGATTAGATTGTCTACGAAAATACAGTCGATCCTCCTTGTTTTCAGCTTTTGTATTTGTGAACTCACCTACTATTTTTTGTAACCCCCAAATCAGTACTCACAGCACTTTCATAGTCATGTGTTTGCGCAGAGTGTCAAAGAATTTGAGTTTGAACAGGATGATATTCTGCCTTCTTTTTCAGCTCTCATACAATAGTCAGGTATCCTTTTTGTGGTCTATTTAATGCCATGCTTTTCCTGTTTTTGTACTGTTTGTTGGTTGTTTTGCCATTTAAATTAACCCCCAAGCATAGTGCTGAAGTGCTGCTTAGCATTCACAAGTCCAAGAAGTCTGTGATGTGTCTTACAGAGAAAATACATGCATTAAATAAACTCCATTCAGGCGTGAGTGCTGTAGTGCCGTTGGCTGTGAGTTCAATGTTAATGAATGAACAATGTATATTATTTATTTATTCTTCATTTAATTAATTATTATTATTATTTTTTTTGAGATAGAGTCTCACTCTGTTGCTCAGGCTGGAGTGCAGTGGTGCAGTCTTGGCTCACTGCAACCTCTGCCTCCTGGGTTCAAGCGATTCCCCTGCCTTCGCCTCCCAAGTAGCTAAGACTACAGGCATGCGCCACCATGCCTGGCTAATTTTTTTTTTTTTTTTTTGTAGTTTTAGTAGAGACGGGGTTTCACCACGTTGGCCAGGCTGGTCTCGAACTCCAGACCTCAAATGATCTGCCCGCCTTGGCTTCCCAAAGTGCTGGGATTACAGGCGTTAGCCACTGTGCCTGGCCAACAATATATATTAAATAAGCACACATACAACAAAAGTAGGTGTTGGTAAGCTTACAAAAGTGTGACCAGTAGCTTGCTGAAACCTAACTTTTTATTTGTTCATGGAACTTTCTAGACCGTAACTACACTGAATAATGAGAATCTGCTGTAATCTTTTTAGGTGCTGTAGATGAGCCATTGGATTAAATTATTACAGTATGTTTCAGACTGCTGTATGTTGAACCCTAGTGAAATGCCTCTCAAACCTTCATAAGGATCACAATCTCATGTCCTTTTTTTTTGTTATTAAATGCCCAGTATGTGTTAGCGATTTAAACAAAATTCAAATATTTTTTTTTTTTTTTTTGAGACAGAGTCTCGCTCTGTCACCTAAGCTGGAGAGTGCAGTGGTATGATCTCGGCTCACTACAACCTCTGCCTCCCGGGTTCAGGCGATTCTCCTGCCTCAGCATCCTGAGTAGCTGGGATTACAGGCACCCGCCACCACGCTGGGCTAATTTTTGTATTTTTAGTAGAGACGGGGTTTCGCCAGGTTGTCCAGGCTGGTCTGGAACTCCTGACCTCATGCGATCTGCCTGCCTTGGCCTCCTGAAGTGCTGGGATTATAGGCGTGAGCCACCATGCCCGGCGTTGACTTCTTAATAATAACCATACTGACTGGTGTGAGATGGTATGCCATTGTGGTTTTGATTTGCATTTCTCTAATGATCAGTGATATTGAGCTTTTTCTCATATGCTTGTTGGCCGCATGTGTGTCTTCTTTTGAAGTGTCTGTTTATGTCCTGTGCCCACTTTCCAATGAGATTTTTTTTTTTTCTTGTAAATTTGTTTAAGTTCCTTATCAGTGTTGGACATTAGATCTTTGTCACATGCATTGTTGCAAAAATTTTCTCCCATTCTGTAGGTTGTCTGTTCACTCTGTTGATAGTTTCTTTTGCTGTGCAGAAGCTTCAAGAAGAAAGGAATCCGATTGGTTCTGTGTCTGTCTCTTTTGGTATTCTCAGAATTATGTAGTCATTCATATAGAAAGATGATTAGGAAAATAGGACAAGAATAGCAGAAATCTACATAAAAATGTAGGAAATTAAAATTAGTTACCAGCATACAAAAAACTTCTGTATGTTATAATTACATACTATAACTCACCCCTCCTTGGCAAATATTCTCTCTCTTTTGACTTCAAAATCATGGCTTATATGTACTTTCTCTATTTCCCAGATGCAAATATAATTAATTGACTTTATTTATCTAGGAAATGTTACTCATATCTTAATTGTAGTCATTGGCTTGAGTGACGGGTTTTGGTAATTCAACTACTATTACTTGAAAGTAGTAGATTTCATAGGATACTGTTATAAAATCTTTTTAACCTCTTTTCTGATTTCAGGAGTAATTAGTAATTGTGGTTTACTGGAAAATTCAATGAATAGGGTGTTAAAGGAAGCAATTCATTAATAATATATGTAATCTATTGGGAGACTGAGGCGGGTGGATCACCTGAGTTCAGGAGTTCGAGACCAGCCTGGCCAACATGGCAAAACTCCGTCTCTACTGAAAATAGAAAAATTCGCCGGGCATGGTGGTGCATTCCTGTATTCCCAGGTACTCGGAAGGCTGAGGCAGGAGAATCACCTGAACTCCAGAGGTGGAGGTTGCAGCGAGT
This sequence comes from Homo sapiens, assembly GCF_000001405.40. Classification (NCBI taxonomy): domain Eukaryota; kingdom Metazoa; phylum Chordata; class Mammalia; order Primates; family Hominidae; genus Homo; species Homo sapiens. The sequence continues at coordinate 70,208,289 of NC_000005.10, read as the reverse complement.
CAGGATCGCAGCACTACACTCCAGCCTGGGTGACAGTGAGACTCCATCTCAAAAAAAAAAAAAAAAAAAAAAAAAAAAAAAAAAAAAATTAAAAAATTAAATTAAAAGCGGGCTGGGCGCATTGGTTCAGGGCCGGGCACGGTGGCTCAAGCCTGTAATCCCAGCACTTTGGGAGGCCGAGGCAGGCGGATCACGAGGTCAGGAGATCAAGACCATCCTGGCTAATGTGGTGAAACCCCGTCTCTACTAACAATACAAAAATTAGCTGGATGTGGTGGCAGGTGCCTGTAATCCCAGCTATTCCAGAGGCTGAGGCAGGAGAATCACTTGAACCTGGGAGGCAGAGGTTTCAGTGAGTCCAGATCATGCCACTGCACTCCAGCCTGGGTGACAGAGCGAGATTCTATCTCAAAAAAAAAAAAAAAAAAAAAAAAAGCAACAGAAGCAAATGAGAGTGCCTGGGAGTGGTCATTGTGGGGCCTTCCCGTTTGTGTGACCCAGGTCATGTCCCTCCCTAAGCCCTGGTCTCTCTTGCCTCCTGCAGGGCTGGTGAATTACCAGATCTCCGTCAAGTGCAGTAACCAGTTCAAGTTGGAAGTGTGTCTTTTGAATGCAGAAAACAAAGTCGTGGACAACCAGGCTGGGACCCAGGGCCAGCTGAAGGTGCTGGGTGCCAACCTCTGGTGGCCGTACCTGATGCACGAACACCCCGCCTACCTGTACTCGTGGGAGGTAATGGTGGTTTGGGACTTGCGTAAGGGAGGTCTTTTGCCCCCATCTGGTAGCCCTGGCTTCAGCAGGAGCCCAGGACAGGTGAACGGGCAGGTGTGGTCCTCTGAGCTTTCTGATGTTTCCCACCCTTGGTGGGAGGCCCAGATTTTTTATTTATTTATTTATTTATTTATTTATTTATTTATTTATTTATTTGTTTTTGTGATGGTCTCACTCTGTCACCCAGGCTGGAATGCAATGGCCTGATCACAGCTCACTGCAGCTTTGAGCTGCAATCCTCCTACCTTGGCCTCCTGAGTAGCTGGGACTACAGGCACATGCCACCATGCCTGGCTAATTAAAAAAATTTTTTTTGTAGGCCGGGCATGGTGGCTCACACCTGTAATCCCAGCACTTCGGGAGGCTGACGCGGGCGGATCACTTTAGGCCAGGAGTTGGAGACCAGCCTGGCCAACATGGTGAAACCCCGTCTCTACTAAAATATGAAAATTTGCAGGGCATGATGGTGCACGTCTGTAATCCCAGCTACTCGGGAGGCTGAGGCAGGGGAATTGCTTGAACCCAGGAGGCAGGGGCTGCGGTGAATTGAGATCATGCCGCAGCACTCTATCCTGGGTGACAGAGTGAGACTGTCTCAAAAAAAAAAAAACTCCTTTTTATAGAGTTGGGGTCTTACTAGGTTGCCCAGGCTGGTCTTGAACTCCTGGACTCAGGTGATCCTCCTGCCTTAGCCTCCCAAAGTGTAGGGATTCCAGGCATGAGCCACCTCGTCTGGTCAAGGAGAAGGCCTGATTTTGAAGGGCAGGTCCCAGGGTCAGCCAGTGAAGGGCAGAGCCTCTGGTTGCTGCTTCTCTGCAGGCCCAGTGGCGACTTCTGGGGTGCATGCACGAGGGGTCTTCCTGCTGTAGGGCAGGCCAGATGGGGCTCAGGCTGTCGGGGCGCTCACACCTGGCGCTTTGGCTGTCGTAGGTGCGGCTGACTGCACAGAAGTCACTGGGGCCTTTGACTTCTACACACTCCCTGTGGGGCTCCGCACTGTGCCCGTCACCGAGAGCCAGTGGGTGAGAGCCAGTTTCATTTGCGGTAGAGGCAGCAGAGGTTGTAGAAATGCTCCTTGAGGCAGATGCCACACCCCAATTTCATGGAGTGATTTGGGCTGAGCCGAGTCTGCAGCAGGCAGAAGGCTCTGAGATGTTGTCCTAGCCTGGGCAAAGGACAGTTCAGAGCTCGGGGGAATAGGGGTGTGCTCAGCACGACTGGGTGGACAGGCCGTTTGTTGTGAATCGTACAGGCTTCCAGGAGCGGGTGCCTGAGGCTTCCAGACAGGCTTTGGGAGGTGGCCAGAGGAGATGCCTGTTTCCGGGGCAGGAAATGGAGGGAGGGCCCAGGCTGGAGAGGTTCAGCCAGGCTGTCACAAGGCTTTGAAGCTTCCCATCTGAGAGCCTGGCTATTGGAGAGTGTGGGTTTGGAACTTGAGGCTAGGAGGTTCTATTCTGTCCTGTGCCAGCCACAGCCTTCGGATGGGCAGAGCAATGATGGGGGGAAGATGTAAAAGAAAAGAACTGAGGAAAGAAGAAGAAAACCAGCTTCAACAACGGTCTAGGCCGGATGCGGTGGGTCACGCCTGTAATCCCAGCAGTTTGGGAGGCTGAGGTGGGTGGATCACCCGAGGTCAGGAGTTCGAGACCAGCCTGGTCAACAGGTAGTGAATCCTGTCTCTACTAAAAATACAAAAATTAGCTGGGCATGGTGGTGGACGTCTGTAATGCCAGCTACCAGGTAGGCTGAGGCAGGAGAATCGCCTCAGGTGAACCAGGAGGCAGAGATTGCAATGAGCTGAGATAATGCCACTGCATTCCAGCCTGGGCTACAGAATGAGACTCTGTATCTCAACAAAACAAAACAAAACAAAAACACAACAGTCTGTTCTGTGGAGGCCTTGGGCAGATGCTGGGAGCTCTGAGCACGGACTGGTCCCTCTGTTGGGAGCCTCTTCCCTTCATCCCTCCTGGTTAACTTGACTCAGCATAAAGGCCATTTCTTCTAAGAGCCTGTCCCTGACTCTCCAATCGGGGATGTGTCTGTTGTCTCATAGAGTGCCCAATTCCTGCCACCACTTGTCATTTCCATTCGCAACATTTCTTTCATTGTTTGTTTTTCAGAGTCAGGGTCTCACTCTGTTGCCCAGGCTGGAGTGCAGTGGTGCAATCATAGCTCGTTGCCATCTCGACCTCCTGGGCTTAAGCGATCCTCCCCACTCAGCCTCCCAAATAGCTGGGACCACAGACGTGCGCTGCCTTGCCAGGCTAAATTTTAATATTTTTTTTTCCCCACGAGTCAGAGTCTTGCTCTGTCTCCCAGGCTGGAGAGCAGTGTTGCGGTCTTGGCTCACTGCGTCCTCTACCTCCTGGGTACAAACAGTTCTCCTGCCTCACCCTCCCGAGTAGCTGGGATTACAGGCTCACGCCACCATGCCCAGCTAGTTTTCTTCTTTATTTTTTGTTGAGATGGGGTTTCACCATGTTGGCCAGGCTGGTCTCGAACTCTTGAGCTCGTGATCCACCTGCCTTGGCCTCCCAAAGTGCTCACAGGCTTGAGCCACCATGCCCGGCCCTAATTTTTAAATTTGTTGTAGAAACAAGGTCTTGCTATGTTGTCCAGGCTGGTCTCAAGCGCCTGGTCTCAAGTAAGCCTCCCAAAGTGCTGGGGTTCTAGGCTTGAGCCACCTCGCCTGGCACTTGCACCGTTTTTCTGTGCATGCATCTCCACTCCCACTGCCCAGGACCTGTGGACTTAGATTTGAGTCATTACTGAGCACCTAGCACCCAGCCTCATGCCTACCTCCCACCTCGCACTACCTGTTTGCTTGATGCATTAATAAATATTCCACCTGAATCCACAGCCCATTCACTCCTGTGTTCAAGAGCTATTTCAGGAAGTGAACCTCATTTCTGGCAGTGTTCAGTCCAGTGACCTCAGCTCTGTGTACCCGGCAGGGTGGCTACGCCTCTGGGGGAGTTGGATTCAGGGGTGGGGGAGAAAGAGTGTTGTTAGAGAGCTCGGTCTAGGACTAGAGGAACGTGCCCTTATGTAAAATACATCTCAAGTTAGGGAAGAAAGCAGCGGCTCTGTGCTTTGTTTTTTTTTTTTTTTTTCTTTTCTTTCTTTCTTTTTTTTTTTTTTGTTTGTTTGTTTGTTTGTTTGTTTTGGGGCAGGGTCTTGCTCTGTGGCCCAGGCTGGAGTGCAGTAGCGTGATTTCGGCTCACTGCAACCTCCACCTCCCGGGTTCAAGCAATTCTTGTGCCTCAGCCTCCCGAGTAGCTGGAGTTACAGATGCGTGCCACTAAGCCTGGCTAATTTTTGTATATTTAGTAGAAATGGGGTTTTGCCATGTTGGCCAGGCTGTTCTTGAACCCCTGACCTCAGTGATCTGCCTGCCTCAGCCTCCTGAAGTGCTGGGATTACAGGCGTGAGCCATCGTGCCTGGCCCCCAGTTGTGTTCTGGCAGGGGAAGATGGGACAGAGAGGATGGGAGGGTGTCTGAGCCTTTCCCGGACTGACGGAACCTGTGTCTTCTCTCTTTTGTGGACAGGATGGTGATTGCTCACACCAAAGCCTTGGACCCCTCCCAGCCTGTGACCTTTGTGACCAACTCCACCTACGCAGCAGACAAGGGGGTGAGCCTGGGGGTCCCCACCCCATTTCTCCCTGCCTTTGCCTGGGCTTGTCCTGAAGCCTGCTCATGGGAACAGCTGGAAAGAACCATGTGCTGCCAGTCTGAGCTTTTTATTTTGTTTTACTTAGAAAGATAGAGACAGGGTCTTGCCATGTTGCCCAGGCTGGTCTCGAACTCCTGGGCTCAAGTGATCCTCCTGCCTCGGCCTTCCAAAGGGCTGGGGTTACAGGCGTGTGCCACCGCACTCAGCCGCAGCCAGTCTGTTTTCAAAGATGGTCTTTGGGTTAATGACAATTCTCTCTCTGCTTACTCTCCAGGCAGTGTGGCTTTCTGAATCCAAGGAGGCTGGGCATAGGGAGATGGGATTTGTTTGCCCGGTTTGGACTCAGCATTTTTTGTACTCGATTTAATAGACTCATAAAATGTCAAAGGTTTAAGTGAGCTTAGAGTTGATCTGGCCCAAACCTGGCTGATCAGAATCTCCAGGGGAAGTTTTATTGAAATGCCAGATCTCTGCGTTCTGAGATCCTGATTTAGTAACTCCAGGGTTGGAACCTGAGTTTTTTGTTTTTTTGTGTGTGTGTGTGAAGGCAAGGTCTTACTCTGTTGCTCTGGCTGGAGTGCAGTGGTGTGATCACAGCTCACTGCAGCCTTGAATTCCTGGGCCTAAGCAACCCTCTTGCCTCAGCCTTCCAAGTAGCTGGGACTCCGGGGGTACACCACTGTGCCCGGCTAATTTTAAATGTTTTTGTAGAGATGGGATCTCACTATGTTGCCCAGGCCAGTCTCAAACTCTTGAGCTCAAGTGATCCTCCTGCCTTAGCCTCCTAAAGTGCTGGGATTACAGGCATGAGCCACCGTGCCTGGCTGATACTAGCATTCTTTTTTATTTTTTATTATTTTTTTAAGATAGAGTCTTGCTCTGTTGCCCAGGCTGGAGTGCAGTGGCACAGTCTCAGCTCAGTGCAACCTCCGCCTCCCAGGTTCAAGCAATTCTCCTGCCTCAGCCTCCCAAGTAGCTGGGATAACAGGCACATGCCACCACGCCTGCGCTTGATCGTGGGAGGCAGAGCTTGCATTATTGTGCCACTCCATTCTAGCCTGGGCAACAGAGCGAGACTCTGTCTTCCAAACAAAGCGGAAAAAGATTATCTGCGAGAATGACTGCATTGGCCCCTTGGGTGGGAGGGCTTCTCCAGGGCAAGGTGAGGGGATGCCCAGTGCTGGGAGTGCTGCCTGGAGAGGAGTCAGTTCCAGTGGCGGGGGCCCTGGGTTTTGGCTGAGGACTGCGTGTTGGCAGCTGCTCTGCCTCTCACAGCCCTTCCCAGCTGCACACGTCGTGAGCGTCAGTGTGCAATCACAGGCCTGCCTCCTTTGGGCCACTTTGTGACCATGTTTTTTGCTTGTGGGGCAGGGTAATTTCAGGATCTAAATTGGTGCAGTTGGATGTTCTCAGCCCCGAGAGGCAGCTCTTCCCGTTCTAGGCTTTTTGTTTTGTTTTGTAGAAATGGAGTCCTACGACGTTGCCCAGGCTGGTCTCAAACTCCTGGGCTCAAGTGATCCTCCCACCTTGGCCTCCCAATGTGCTGGGATTACAGGCATGAGCCACTGTGCCGTGCTGATTTTCTTGATACTATTTTTTGTAGAGCTGGGGTCTTGCTGTGTTGCCCAGGCTGGTCTCGAACTCCTGGCCACAAGCCACCCTCCTGCCTCAGCCTCCCAGAGTGCTGGGATTACATCCCCTTCTTACCTTCTCTGTCAGAGGAGCCCCCACAGCATGTGAGTACTGAGTCATGCGGTCTTGTGGTTGCTGAACGGGCTCTGCTGCTCTGGTCCTAGGCTCTGTATGTGGATGTGATCCGTGTGAACAGCTACTACTCTTGGTATCGCAACTACGGGCACCTGGAGTTGATTCAGCTGCAGCTGGCCGCCCAGTTTGAGAATTGGTGTAAGACATCACAATCCCATTATTCAGAGCGCGTATGGAGTGGAAACGCTTGTAGGGCTTCACCAGGTAAGCGGTGTTGAACTTTCTGCTTGTGTATTCTCTCTGGGCAGAGATGCCACTTGCCTCCCCCACCCTGCCCTGCGCCCACTGCAGTGCTCCCCTTGCTTCAGCTTTGGGCTCACCTCCCGCTACCCTGTCCACGTTCCCTTCTCACCAGCAGCCAGGCCTCTGCCCCACTCGCTTGGTCCTCAAAGGTGGACTCCTTACTGGCCTTGTTTCCAGACAGCCTCCTATCACCCGTGCCCAAGTGGTCTTTCTAAGAAATCCAAATTTTTATGTGTTTTTGAGACCGCCTCTCTCTCTGTCACCCAAGCTGGAGTGCGGTGGTGCGATCACTGCTCCCTGCAGCCTTAACCTCCTGGGCCCAAGCGATCTTCCCACCTCAGCCTCCTGAGTATCTGGGACCATAGGCACAGGCCACCATGCCTGGCTAATTTTTTTACTTTTGTAGAGATGGGGCCTTGTTGTGTTCCCCGGGCTGGTCTTGAATTCCTGGGATCAAGTGACCCTCCTGCCTCAGGCTCACAAAGCGCTGGGATTTACAGGTGTGAGCCACTGTGCCCGGCCACAAATCAAAATTTTTGAGTCCTGTCATTGGCTCCCCCAGGCCCATAGGACAAAGTCCTAACCCCTAGTCAGGACACTCAGTGTCCTCTGCTCTCTCCTGGGTTTTCATCCTCTTCTCTTCTCACTCCTGGCCACTGATCTGTTTCCACTGCCCTCATTTGCTCTCCTGCTCTTGCTTGAGCTATTCTTTCTGCCTGGAATGCCCAAGTTGACACCATAATCACCAACTAAAAGATCCTTTTCTTTTTATTTTTTTAGAGATAGGGTCTTGCTATGTTGCCCAGGCTGGTCTCAAACTCCTGGACTCAATTGATCTTTTTGCCTTGGCCTCCCAAAGTTCTGGGATTAACAGGTGTGATCCACTGTGCTAGCCTTTTTTTATTTTTTATTTTTTTCCTGACAGGGTCTTGTTCTGTTGCCCAGGCTGGAGTGTGGTGGTGTCATCATAGCTCACTGCAGCCTCGAACTCCTGGGCTGAAGCAATTCCCCTGCCTCAGCCTCCTGAGTAGCTGGGACTACAGGCGTGCACCACCATGTGCAGCCTAGTTTTAAAATATTTTGTAGAGATGCAGTCTCGCTATCAGGCTGGTCTTCACCTCCTGTCTTGGACTCCCAAAGTACTGGGAATACAGGCATGAGTCACGACACGTGGCTGAAAAGATTCCTATTTGGCATCTGAGTCTCCTCATAGCTGTCCCCTCTGTGGGGAGGTTTACCCTGCCTGCCCCAGGCGGAGGGAACCTTCCCCGTGCTCTGCCCTGTTGCAGCCGGAACCTGGCTCCCCCAACATTCTCGCCAGGCACCGTTGTTATTTCTTTGGCTCTCTCTTTGATCGGACTGTGGGCTCAGGAGACAGGAGTCCTATTTATTGTTGTTTCCCAGGTACTCTGCAATAGCTGACACAGTACATGCTAAATAATACCTATTGAGGGCATGGGTGAGATCTTAGAGCCATGTTTAATCACTCACTTTGTCTTTTTTTTTTTTTTGAGATGGAGTCTCACTCTGTCACCCAGGCTGAAGTGCAATGGTGTGATCTCAGCTCACTGCAACCTCCACTTCCTAGGCTCAAGCGATTGTCCTGCCTCAACCTCCCAAGCAGCTGGGATTACAGGCACCTGCCACCATGCCCAGCTAATTTTTGTATTTTTGTAGAGGTGGGGTTTTGCCATGTTGGCCAGGCTGGTCTTGAGCTCCTGACGTCAAGTGATTTGCCTGCTTCCGCGTCCCAAAATCCTGGGATTACAGGCCTGAGCCACCATGCCTGGCCTGTCCTCATTTGTTTATCCATCTCATTTTTTGTCCTTCTCACCAAAGATATGTTGCTTTGTCTTGTGGGGTTTTTTTCATGTGGATTCCTGAACCCCATCCAGCCCCTTGTCCCCTCCCCAGCCAGCTCACACTCTTTTGCACAGCTCCTGGGACTCCCGTTGACACACAGGGAACAGCCACCCACAATGGACTGCACTGTTCTGTTTGCACCCTTAAATTTATCGTGCTTACAGAATGACACTTCTGCAAACTAGTCAAGTAGGGGGAAGTGATTTGTGGATATGCACCCTTGTTCATTCTCTTTGAAAAGGTAACCAGCTCTGAATTCTTTCTCCTTTTAGGAGGAGTTTCACTTGTCGCCCAGGCTGGAGTGTAGTGGTGCAATCTTGACTCACTGCTACCTCCGCCTCCCAGGTTCAAGCAATTCTCCTGCACCAGCCTCCCAAGTAGCTTGGATTACAGGCATGCACCACCATGCTCACCTAATTTTTTTTTTTTTTTTTTTTTTTTTAGTAGAGATGAGGTTTCACCACGTTGGTCAGGCTGGTCTTGAACTTTTGACCTCAAGCGATCCACCTGCCTTGGCCTCCCAAAGTGCTGGAATTACAGGCATGAGCCACCATACCCAGCCCCAGTTCTGAATTCTTAAGAAACTCGAGAGGGTCTAGGTGAGCATTGATAGAACCTCTGCAGTGCTGGGTGTGCTGGCTCACACCTGGAATGCTAGCCCTTTGGGAGACCGAGGTCAGAGGATCTCTTGAGCCCAGGAGTTTGAGACCAGTCTGCACAACATGGACCCCATCTCTACAAAATATTTAAGATGAGTTGTGGCTGGGTGCAGTGGCTGACGCCTGTAATCCCAGCACTTTGGGAGGCTGAGGTGGGTGGATCACGAGGCCAAGAGTTCAAGTCCAGCCTGACCAAGATGGTGAAACCCCGTCTCTACTAAGAAAACACAGAAATTAGCTGGGTGTGGTGGCATGCACCTGTAATCCCAGCTACTCAGGAGGCTAAAGCAGGAGAATCGCTTGAACTGGGGAGGTGGAGGTTGCAGTGAGCCGAGATTGTGCCACTGCACTCCAGCCTGGGCGACAGAGCAAGAGTCCGTCTCAAAAAAAAAAAAAAAAAAAAATAGTTGGGTATGGTCGTGCTTGCCTCTAGTCCCAGCTACTTGGGAGGCTGAGGTAGGAGGACTGTTTGAGCCCAGTAGGTCAAGGCTGCAGTCCGCCATAATTGCACCACTGTACTCCCACCTGGGTGACAGAGTGAGACCTTGTTTCAAAAAAGAACCTTTGCAATGATGGAAATGCCCCATGTCTGCACTGTCTGAAATGGTAGCCACTAGCTACATGTGGCTATTGAGGTCTTGATATATGACTAGGATAACTGAATTTATCTGGTTTAATTAAAAAAAATTTTTTTTTGAGACAGCCTTACTCTGTTGCCCAGGCTGGAGTGCAGTGGCGTAATCACAGCTCACTGCTCAACCTCCTGGGCTCAAGTGATCCTTCCTCCTCGGCCCCCCAAGTAGCTGGAGCCACAGTCATGCGCCACTATACCTAGCGAATATTTAGCCTTTTTATAGAGACTGGGTTTTACTGTGTTGCCTAGGCTGATCTTGAACTCCTGAGCTCAAGTGATCCTCCTGCCTCGACCTCCCAAAGTGCTGGGATTACAGACCTGAGCTACCATGCCCAGCCTGGTTTAGTTTAATTTCATTTTACATTCATTCATTCATTCATGAGATAGGGTCTTGTTCTGTCACCCAGGCTGGAGTGTAGTGGTGCAAACCACAGCTTTGACCTCCGGGACTGAAGCAGTCCTCCCACCTCAGCCTCCCAAGTAGCTGGGACCACAGGTGTGTGCCTCCATGCTTGGCTAACTTTTGTACTTTTTGTAGGCTAGTCTTGAACTCCTAGGCTCAAGCAGTCCTCCCACCTCGGTCTCCCAAAGTGCTTGGATGACAGACATGAGCCAGCGCGCCTGACCTAAAGACATATTTTTCCTTCTAGTGTAGTTCAGCCTTAAGACTGTATCAGCAGACAGAGACGGAAAAGTAAGAAAAATTGAGTATCAGGTTATATTTATAAATAAAGCAGTTGCTAATTGATGGTTTTTTTTTAAACCTCCTTTTTAATTCTGGGTTACATCATTCCCTGGCTGTCGTTTCTTTTTTTGTATTTTTTTTTATTATTATTATACTTTAAGTTTTAGCGTACATGTGCACATTGTGCAGGTTAGTTACATACGTATACATGTGCCATGCTGGTGTGCTGCACCCACTAACTCGTCATCTAGCATTAGGTATATCTCCCAATGCTATCCCTCCCCCCTCCCCCCACCCCACAACAGTCCCCAGAGTGTGATGTTCCCCTTCCTGTGTCTATGTGATCTCATCGTTCAATTCCCACCTATGAGTGAGAATATGCGGTGTTTGTTTTTTTGTTCTTGCGATAGTTTACTGAGAATGATGATTTCCAATTTCTCCCTGGCTGTCTTTACCCTAGCATCAGTGAGTCCTGCAGTCCCTACAGCCCCCAGTGAGGACAGATATTTTGGTCACCATCAAGTGGATCTTTATTTTTATCTAACATTTACAATTCTGCCAGTTCTTACTCTTAATTCTCTTTGCCTTGAATCCCAGGATCCACCTCTGATGTTCAGTGAAGAGGACCGGAAAAGTCTGCTAGAGCAGTACCATCTGGGTCTGGATCAAAAACGCAGAAAATACGTGGTTGGAGAGCTCATCTGGAATTTTGCCGATTTCATGACTAACCAGTGTAAGTGGCAGTTTAGCGCATGGGATAATGTACCCGTCCTCATTTTTTCAGGTTGCCTTGCCCATTCTGGACATTTTGGCTGTAAGAATATTGGAAACAAAGGGGGGAACCTGGTTTAATCCATGTAGGTTGTGTTGAGAATTTCCTAGGAAAAGTAAGTTGTGCTTAGGAAGTAGGAAAGCAGTCAGGCCCCCGCTTCCCACGTACGGTCAAAAAGCAAACATGAGAGTCTGCTATAGTGAGATGGAAATGGCTAGCTTGCCTTTTTCTTGTCTATTTCATAGCCAAGGATGAAGGAAAAACTGGACCTCATTATGGATTTACTTTTGGGATACACTCATTATTCCAGAGGAGGGTAAAAGGCTGAGAAGCTTAAGGTATTTCAGTCTGTTTTATGTTACTCATTTGCGAAAAGCAGGCTCATCGAATACAGGTGAGTTTCAACGCGTCTTGAATATGGCAGCATTTAAAAGTCTTCAGACCAGGCATGGTGGCTCATGCCTGTCATCCCAGCACTTTGGGAGGCCAAGGTGGGAGGATTGCTTGAGGCCAGGAGTTCGAGACCAGCCTGTTCAGCATAGCAGGACCCCCATCTCTACAAAAACTAAACAGATTAGCTAGGTGTGGTGGTGTGTGCCTGTAGTCCTAGCTGCTTGGGAGGCTGAGGCAGGCGGATAGCCTGAGCACAGGAGTTGGAGGCTGCAGTAAGCCATGATTACACCACTGCACTTGAGCCTGGGCAGCAGAGTGAGACCTGTCTTTAAAAAAAAAAAAGGAGCTGGGCACGGTGGCTCATGCCTGTAATCCCAGCACTTTGGGAGGCCGAGGCAGGCAGATCACGAGGTCAGGAGATCGAGACCATCCTGGCTAACAGTGAAACCCTGTCTCTACTGAAAATACAAAAAAAATCAGCCGGGCGTGGTGGCGGGTGCCTGTAGTCCCAGCTGCTCGGGAGGCTGAGGCAGGAGAATGGCATGAACCCAGGAGTTGGAGCTTGCAGTGAGCCGAGATTGTGCCACTGCACTCCAGCCTGGGCGACAGTGAGACTGCTTCTCAAAAAAAAAAAAAAAAAAAAAAAAAAAGAAAGGGTCTTCAAAGACAATAAGATCTGTGCTCTCACGTAGGGTGGATGAGGGGCTGCCAAGTTAGCAATGAATGTTTCCCATTTCTTCTTAGTTTATGGACTTTCCATAAACTCAGGATGGCAGTTTGGTTGGTTGGAGAAGGATATGGTGATGGCGGGAGTTACAATACATTACTTATAGGGGAAGATAGGCTTTTGAAAGGTTAAAGCTTAAAAGTGAGAATGGAAAAGGGATGAATGAATGAACATGATGAGGTGAGAGGGAAGAGGTAAAGGGAAAAGGAGAACAAGCAACTCTTCTCTGCGTGGCACCTGGGATGAATGGTTTCTGGGGACATCCCTGATGGCAGTTTTGTGGAGAGGTGCAAAGCTTTATGTGTTAAGAAATGAGCTGTAGGCTCAGTGCAGTGGCTCACGCCTGTAATCCCAGCACTTTGGGAGGCCGAGGTGGGTGAAAAGAAAAAATGGGCTGGGCGCCGTGGCTCACGCCTGTAATCCCAGCACTTTGGGAGGCCGAGGTGGGCGGATCATGAGGTAAGGAGTTCGAGAGCAGCCTGGCCAACATGGTGAAACCGTGTCTCTCCAAAAAAATAGAAAAAACATCCCTGTATGGTGGTGAGCACCTGTAGTCCCAGTTACTCAGGAGGCTGAGGCATGAGAATCGCTTAAACCTCGGAGGCGGAGGCTGCAATGAGCTGAGATGGTGCCACTGCACTCCAGCCTGGGTGACAGAGCTGGGTGGTGGCTCAAGATATGTTTTGTAAACCTGAAGATTTGAGATCATATAAGCCAAATCGAAACTTAATTGGCATTCATAACTTTTGGTTCTAGAGACTCCATGATCAACTAAGAGCCACCAAACATTTCCCATGTAGACTATTTTGACCATGCTGACTCTACTGACACTGTGGTTACTGAATTCACTTTATCTCTAGAAATTAATTCTTACTAATGGATGTCTGTCACTGTAAGATCCTTCTCTCCTCTGAAATAAGGAGAACATTTTAACTTCAGTAGTTTAAACTAGTGTCCTAAACTATAGCATTCAAAATGAGATAATATGCTAAAGTAATACACAAACCAAAAATCCCAGTGGCTAACACAAAAAGTTTTTCTTACTCATTTTACATATCCAGGGTAAGTCAGTAATAGACGCAGACACACCCAGAGACCAAGGATGAGTTGTGATCTGTCTGCACACATAGTTCACAATGCCTGAGTGAGTTGTGCTTTGGCCTTTAAACTTCCACTCATGTTTAATTAATAAAGATTTTGCTCAAATGCCATTTGATGATGAGTTTCATGACGATGATCAACTTTAAAAGAACTTGGAAGTACAATCCTCAAGCGTTTCTGGAAATAGCAGAACTACAATATTTGAGAAAAATATTTTTTAATGTATAAAAAATTGGCAGGGTAGGCTAGCAAGCAAGAGACCTAGAGAAAAGTTGATGTTACAGTCTCAAGTCGAAAGGCAATCTGCAGGCAGAATTATTTCCTTGAGGGATCTCAGTCTTTTAATATAATCAATTGACTGGATGAGCCCTACAATATTTTGGAAAATAATCTGCTTTTCTCAGAAATTACTGATTTTCATGTTAATCTCATCTAACAATACTTTCAGAGCAACATCTATACTGGTATTTGAATATATAACTCTTTTATCTTTTAAAATATCAAATAATACAGTTATATATATATACACACATATGTATATATGTCACCTAAATTGTAGATATCAGAAATCAGAATGCTGTGATATGAATATTTAGTATATTTTAATCATGATAAATTATACATCCTTCTACCTTATGATAATGGATTTTAAGATCTATGCTGTTAAACTCTATATTTATCCTTTAATTCATATCTTGCTTATTTTACATTTATCTGAGAATACATTGGGTCTACTAAATCTTTACTATCATTCACAAGTCTTACATCTTAAGATAACTTTTCAATAAAATAAAAATTCTTCATTGCACCTAGAAAGGAGCAGGGTTTTGAAAGCGATCAATGATTACTCTGATACCTAATATAATAATATAATATAGTAAAAATCAAAATACTTGAATGAAAAATGTAAAATTAATAGTTTTGCTTTCATTGTTTTTATTCCAGTGTCTATTTTAGAATGTTTTTACTCTAATTGTGTTTTTATGCAAAACCAAATGAGCTTTAGATAATTCCATTGATACATTACATATGAAAGTTCTCGTTAAATAGGATATAGCATATTTTACTTAAAAATCCAAATTATAAAATAAAGAGGGATTTTAAGTTGAGTCTAAAATTTTTGTTTCAATTTTGTTTTTATTTAAAGACTTGCTATAATTCTGTGAGAGAGCTATAAAAGTCTGCTCAGAAACATTATAATGTAAAATGGACAGAGAAGGACAATGAGATATTTAATTTGCCACGGCAAAGCCATTGCTGTGAAGAATGGATAATATATGTCAATGGTAATATATGAAGAAATAACACAGGTGAATAGCAGAGGCAATAAATCTGTTTTTACCACAGGACTTGTCTTACACTTTTCTCTTAGTAATAAATAAAATAATTTTCGACCAGATGGAGCTGGCTTGAAATCCTCTTGTTTATGGCAGTACATATCGGTTATGATTCAAAAAATATAGCCCATTTCCAAAAACCTGCAACAAAGAGATACTTTCTCAGGTGAGTGTTCAGATCATTATTCATTACAAAGTGTCAGTTTTGTCTTTATTGATCCTCATTATTGTAAGAAAGTATGTGGTCCTGTCTCCATTCTATTAAAACAACATTGTAGAGATTAGCACTGAGTCTTTCCAGCCATGTGCATCTGTTCATTTCCGTCTCCAGCTTGAGTTTTTCTGTGTATTACAAAATAAGAAAACAAAAATGACACAATAATCTATTTTGTCTGGTTTTGCTCTTTATTAGTAGAAATAGACAAGTGAGGAGTTGGAGGAAGAAATTGCTTCTGATCTGTTTTAGATACAGGTGAAACTCTCCCTCCCTCCCCGCCCTACCCAGTCTTTCTCTGTCTCCCTCCCTGAGCCTATTCTTGCTTCTTCCCTTTACAATTAATTAACTGCTCAGGTCATGTTGAACCAAAAAATAGCGTCTGTAGCCCCTGTGTGCTTACTTTAAGTATATGTTACTGAAAAATGCGGAGTGAGCACTTAACAACTCATTCTCCTGGGAAGCACAGTGCTACTATACCCCAAATGCTTTTCTTTATCATTTTAATTTTTATCTTCTTTACTTACATTTCCAACATCAGTTAAGAGGGTCTTGTAGTTTTCTAACTGAAAGGAGACTGTAAAATCTCCTTGCTCAAAACTCAGATGCAGAATATTATTTTTAGTACAATAAATACATCTACAACAATGGTATTATATCTGGTTTATTTCAAAGTCAAGTTCTAATACAGGTAAACAAATATACTAATAAAGAGATAATGCTTTTCTCATGAAATGTATAATCTAGTAGGAATAAAGATAAACAATTCTTTTAAAAATTCTATTTCATTAAGCAAAAATGCAACTCAGAAGAATAATGTATATTAGCAGTCATTTACTATTTTTCAATTAAATTCCGATATATATGTAAAGTAAATTATTACTAATATCAAACATAGTTTAAAGAATTAGTGACTATGTGCACTTGGATCTCCATATGTAATGTACTATCAGCATCTTCACAAACACAGTAAATTTTAATAGGCAAGTAAAACTTATTTTACTAAACGATGATTACTCCTTCTATATTCATATTCCTAAACACATACAGTTTCTTAATGTAATTAAGTTTTTAACTAAAAAAAGGGAAATGCATTATTGAGGCGATAGGATTACTGGGTGGCTATAAACACATCTGCTGCACAGCTGACATTTATCTTCTACAATGAGCAGTGACAATTTTATTTTTTAATAATCAGTATGGACTAATCCTGATGATTTTTTTTAACATTTTCAAATAGGGCTGCATATGGCTTAAAATTAATATATACATGTGTACCTATATAATATTCTTATTTATTAATGGACTTCCTACATAGCTCATATTGACGTTAGATTTAAATGAAATTCCACAAGGGTTTTCTATAGGTAAGTCATACATTGGATTTCCATATTACCTATGATTATTGAAGTATTTATTTCTGTTTTTAAGACTTCAGAGCAATTTTGCTGGTCATTTGTTTTCTGTGTTTTTATTTTGAAATTGTTCTTTGAGGCATTGTCCTATTACATTTTTAAGGTATGTTAATAAAATAATATTTTTAATGAAATTTTGCCTACTGCTTTCCAGGTGAACTCTTGTTTAAAGTATTAATTCACCAAAAATTACTTATATTCAGAAAATGAACTAAAAAAAATAATATGACGTGTTCAAGAAAGTCGAACAAAAGTTACGTGATGTTTGCAACATACACAACTCCATACCCTTCTCAAATAGTAAAGAGAATAGTAAATAGAATAGGTAGTAAGCAGAGTAGGAATTGTGGAATATGGAACTCTCAGTCACTCAACTGACTTTATTTTCTAGTAATACGGGATTTGAATTATTCAAGCTGAAGCCATTAAATATTCATAGTGCTTCGTATTATAAAGTTATTGATTAATGTCTTTGGTAAAGAACACTATTATTTCTGATTACATCAAGGTCATCCCGAGGAACAGGACCAAAGCATAAAGTTTTATATATGAAATATGAGAAGTTAATACATAATTCATATTTAACAGATAACATAAATGTTAACCCCTTGGAGAATCTGAAGCTAATACCCATGTTCTTCTGGCAATTCTTTATACTGGCAATTTGGAAAATGCCAGTGTTTTATCGCTACCTATTCTTGTATTATGACATGAATTAATACATATCTGCCTCACTATTCCTGTGGGCAAAAAAAGACTGTGAATTATGTGCCAGAGAGAGATTTTACAAAATTAAATGAGGCAAAGTACTTTTCCTCTGTATACTCATTAGAAATATGCTGAGTAGTTCCTTTCAGTTCCTTTCACTTTCCGATAAAATATAATCAGTTCAGCCATATAACAGATATCTTTTAAACTTTTAATGTCCTCTGTTAGAATGAATATGATATTTGGGACCAATTCACATTTTGGAATAATGTACATACTAAGCATAAGTGAAGAATTTAAACATTAACTTGATTTAGGACTGGACTCTTAAGAGGTTTTAAAAAGTTGAAAAACGGAATTCCAACAAATTTAAATGGCTTGTTTAGGGTTTCCACAGGCAATACGGGTGGGTGCAATGGAAAGAGAATTCCTTTAATCTAAACGTGGGCTTTATTCTGGCTCTGCCACATATTGACTGTTTCATACAAATGTAACTTAAACTGCAGGTGTCATGATTTTTCACACATATACAAATAAAACAATGTTGATTATATAGGATTTGTTGAGAAAATGCAATTATGCCAAGTACAAGTATTTGGCATATTATCTCACTTTATAAATATTAGCAATTCTTTTTGTGGAGGGAATAAATCTAACATGCTGGCTTTTAGAATTTCTTCTTATTTTTCTTTCAACTTTATTGCCATGTAACATCTTTAAGTCAATAAATCTGACAATTAGACTGTGGGTAATTTTCTTCCAAATCCATATCTTGTTTTCTCTATCCATAGTAGCATTTTAAAACAACAGAAGGGAACTTTAATTACAGTAGGTTGGGAGCCATTTTCTCCCTTTGGTCATATTTTCATTGAAATTCCTACATTGTTTAATATTAGGACTTAGTTTGAATATCACATCAACAAGGTTGCTCAATAGAAATATTATGGAATCATTTTTCTGTCATGCCACAGAACTTATTAACTGTATGTTCAAAATGCAGCTCAATTCTGATCATTTTTGCTACTTTCACCACTAGCATCCTGGTGCTAACCACCATCATTTATTGCCCAGGTTATTGAAATGGCCAGCAAACAGGTGTTTCTGATTCTGCGTAAGGCACCCTTCAGTACATCCTCAAAAGAGCAATTTGTATAATCACTTTAAAACATGTATCAGGTTATTACCTTTTTCTGTGTAAAACTCTGATCTCTCGTTTCATTCATTGTAAAAGTCAGAGTCTTGCACAATGCTTTATAGATGCTCCACCACATGAAGCCCCCAATTCTTCTATGGACTTCCCTCCTTCCACTATGTAATTTTCTCACTCAGCTTCACGTACAGTATTTTCTTGGTTATTACTAAACATGCAACAGATACGGTTTGTTCTATATCTTCCTCATGCTTTTGGTCAGATGCCATTATCCCAGTGAAGTTTTCCATAGCCACTTTATTCAAATTCCAAACAATCTGTCCCCTTAGACATTCTCCATTCTTAATTTTTTGCCATTGTACTTACTACAGTCTAACACACTATACATGTTACATTTTTGCTTATTGTTTATTGTATAGTCCCTAGAATATTAGTTCCCTGAGGACAGAGATTTCTGTAAGCTTTTCCAAAGATGTATCCCCAAAGCCCGGAATGCTACCTGGCAACAAATACTTGTTATAATGAATTAGAAGTGGGTAGATTCACACATCAGAGACAGCGTAGTGTATATAATGATTTTTTAAAGCATTAGAGTCATAGATATTAGGATTTGTATTATGTCTTCACCATTTACAATTATGCTACCCTCAACAAGTTGTTTAATCTTTCCATTCCTCAGTTTCCTCATGACTCATATATTGGAAATATTGTCTACCTTAGAGCTCTTCCAAGAGTAATATTGAGACAATGTTTCAACAATGTTTAGCACATTGCTGAATATTAATACATTATTTCTATTAATGTAAGAAATTTCATAGACTTGCTAGAAATAACGAGGATGGAATATAGATGAAGATCATAAAACATGATGGAAATAAATGTTGGAAAATGTGGGTGGTATCCTTAGCACACTCTCTAACGTAAGGAGTAAAATCTGTGTCATATGACTTTATCTTTCTTCTGGAAACTAACGGAATTTAGTAACACACTTTTCTTGACCTGAGGATTTGCCCTTACCACAAAATTGTTTTTGAAACTTGAGTGTTTACAATGGCTTTTTACCAGTTCTTTTATGTTCTACCAGTTCCTCTCCAATTTACTATGGACTGAAGTCACACTAATTTGTTAAGAGCAAACAAAACAAAACAAAACAAAACAGTTATTACCTCATTCTAGCCTCAAAGCATCTGCCTTTTCAATGCAATCAAAATTAAATGCAATGAAAATTAAATGCAATCAAAATTAAATGCACAATTCTAATTTTGATGACTTTAGTCCCTGCTTATCTGTTATATTAGGCTGTTCTTGTATTGCTATGAAGAAATATCTGAGACTGGATATTATAAAAATGTTTAATTGACTCACAGTCCTGCAGGCTGTACAGGAAGCACAGTGGCATCTTCTTCTGGAGAGGCCTCAGGGAGCTTTTACTCATGACAGAAGGCAAAGCAGGAGCAGGCACTTCACATGGTGAAAGCAGGAACAAGAGAGAGAGAGTGTGTTGGGGTAGGTGCACTACCATGGAGACAGCACCAAGTCACGAAGGATTCGACCTCATGATCCAAACACTTCCCACCAAGCTCCACCTTCAGCACTGGGGATCTGGTTTCAACATGAGATTTGGGCGGGACATCCAAACTATATCATCTGTCTCCCTCATCCAAGACCATGTGATCCGTAGCTCACTTTTGTCTAGCAACAGATTAAATACAGCATTTTCTGTGTGATATCTTTGTTGAGGTCTTTGCAGATGGCTGTTTCTTTGTCCTGAAACTTTCTTCATCTGCTCTTTCAAAATGAGTGACTCTTCATCCTCGAAGTCTATGCTTATATATTGCTTTTCAGAGGAATCTTTTCTGAACTGGGCATTCTGCCTTCAACCAACTATTTTCTATTATAGTTTCCTGTTTGTGAGTTAATAGTCCTTTTGAAAATTTGACTACTCATTTACCTTCTTGGGTTATTTGAAATTATCTCCTCTTCACTAGATTCTATAGAAGCATAGCCATGCCTGCCCTCTTTACTGTTTCTCTACTGACTTGTTGCAATGAATATTGTCAGTAAACATGGAAATAAATCAGTTATTCAGATATCCTACCTTGGTGCTTGCTTAGATAACTCCACACTGTGATGCCTAATGACCTACACAGGGCTTTCTAGCAAGGAGTGACTTTCTTTCTGCTACGTGTAATAATGATCCATCAACTTAAACATATATTTCCAGCAGACGGTTTCTTGAAACTAATGTCCAGGGTGTAGTTATTCAAAAAAGCAAACTCTTCTCTTGATTTCTGCCATACATTGGTACTCTTTCTCTCTCCCTTTTTTATTTTATTATTTTTTTTTTGAGACAGAGTCTCACTCTTTCACCCAGGCTGTGGTGCCATCCCAGCACACCCTGCAACCCATTGCCTCCCAGATTCAAGCGATTCTCCTGCCTCAGCCTCCCTAGTAGCTGGAATTACAGGCATGTGCCACCATGCCTGACTGATTTTTTGTATTTTCAGTGGAGACGGGATTTCACCATGTTGTTCAGGCTGGTCTCAAACTCCTGACCCCTAGTGATCCATCTGCCTCAGCCTCCTAAAGTGCTGGGATTACAGGCGTGAGCCACCCCGCTCGGCCTACTCTTTTATTTCTGTTTTGTCTTTCCTTTCTCAAGAAAGAAAACAAACCAAAACCAAAACAGTTTGGAAGACTTTATAGTATTCATCCATACAAAAGAACAAGATCATGTCCTTTGCAGGAACATGGGTGGAGCTGGAGACCATTATCCTCAGCTCCACCCATCCTCAGCTCCCACTAACGCAGGAACAGAAAAACAAATGCAGCATGTTCTTATTTATAAATGTGAGCCAAGTGATAAGAACACATGGACTCATAGAGGAGAACACCACACACTCGGACCTACCTGAGAGTAGCGGGTGGGAAAAGGGAGAGGTTCAGGAAAAGTAACTAATGGGTACTAAGCTTAATACCCGGGTGACAACATAACCTGTACAACAAATCCCCATGACACGAGTTTACCTGTATAACAAACCTGCACGTGTACTCCTGAACTTAAACTAAAAGTTAACAAAAGGCCAGGTGCAGTGTTTCACGCACGTAATCCCAGCACTTTGGGAGGCTGACATGGGTGGATCACCTGAGGTCAGGAGTTCAAGACCAGCCCGACCAACTAAATACAAAAAGTTAGCTAGATGTGGTGGCAGGTAATCCCAGCTCCTCTGGAGGCCAAGGCAGGAGAATCGCTTGAATCCAGAAGGCAGAGGTTGCAGTGAGCCGAGATTGTGCCACTGCACTCCAGCCTGGGCAATAAGAGTGAAACTCTGTCTCAAAAAAAAAAAAAAAAAAAAAAAAAAAGTTAACAAAACGTTCTTCTCTAGTTCTAAAGCACCAACACAGAGGTGATCAAAATACTCTAAGAAGCACTGGGAAACATTGAGGGGATGGTTCAAACATCAGAGCTAAGGCCTAATTTCCCAACAGTCATTATTTCTGTGGTATTTTGCATATTAGAGACGTATAGGTTCCTCACCTAATCCTTGTTTTTTCATTTTATTTTTAATACATATGAAAGTCATAATAACAAAAAAAATTCATACATCAGCAGCTCAGCTAGAAATAAAAGTCTCAATCTACTGGAAGCCCCTGTGAACTTGTATCAAATTCCTTTCTCTCTTCATAGAGGAAATAATGACTCCCAAAATGTGGTAATGAACAAATATCTCTAATTGTTTAAAATTTAGTATATGTGCAAGTCTCCACAGACACAATCATGATCATATATTTTTAGAAGTTAAAAACGTGTCTATCATCAGGGCGTGGTGGTTCATGCCTGTAATCCCAGCACTTTGGGAGGCCTAAGTGGGTGGATCACCTGAGGTCAGGCGTTCAAGACCAGCCTGGCCGACATGGTGAAACCCTGTCTCTACTAAAAATACAAAAGTTAGCCAGGCGTGGTGGAGGGTGCCTGTAATCCGAGCTACTCAGGAGGCTGAGGCAGGAGAATTGCTTGAACCCGGGAGGCGGAGGTTGCGGTGAGCCAAGACCACGCCACTGCACTCCAGCCTGGACAACAGAGCAAAAACTCCGACTCAAAAAAAAAGTGTCTATCTACCTTCTGCTTTATTTTGTTTTATATGACATTGATGATGTCCATCTATGTTGGCCCATATAATTCTTATCAATTATTTTAAATGCTGTTTAGCATTGTACTATATAAAAATATCAAAACACAGCTCCCTTTTGTTCATTATATTGCCATTTAGTTTTTTTCTCATTTTTTGCTATTTCAACAAAAAGCTGCTATGAATGTGTATGTGTGTATATATATATTAAATGTGTATATATATGAATGTATATATATATACACATATATATGTCAGAGTTTCTCTAGGATATAAACCCAGGAACAAAATTTAAAAATCATAGGGTGTATTGGATCTTACATCACTGCAGACCCTCTCAGCATTACCTCTTGTTCCAGTCAGAGCCTTGGTTACTATTTTTATGTAGACTTTGGTCAGTTTCATAAAGATGGAAGTGATAGTATGTGGCTTCAGACCAGAGCAAGAATTCACTTTCTGCTGTGGGATTTCTCAGACAATGTTGTGTGGATTGTTGTAGGCATTTTGCTTGTTACTCATAAATGCACTGTCTAGACACATCGAGAAGTTAGCATCCATGAGGCTATGCTTGAAAAATGGAACTCCTAGAGCTGATGGATACATATTTCCCCCGTTGTTTCACTTCAGTGAATGGTCATATAGTATTCCATCACCTAACTTAATAATGTGTTCTAGATTTTACTCTCTCTCCCTATAGCACCCATCCTGTTTCTTATTCTTACTCCACAATACACTCCCAACTTAAACACACAGTCTCTTCTTTAGGTGTTGGGGGTTGGGAGTTATTACAAGATGACATGGTGTATGCATTTATTTCTTTGTCTACGTTGATTGCACTGATTTACAGTCTCACCAGCAGTTCATAAAATCCTTCCTTGCAGCTAAGATATGGGCACAAGACTAAAATTTATATCTTTAGCTGATATCTCATTCCTGAACACTCATCTCATTTGCGACTGCCTTGAATATCAAATAGGCATCTCAACCTTAGTAAGTAAAAGAGAATTCTTTATCTGCATCCTGCCAATCCTGCTTCTTTCCCAGTAATTTTTCACTCAGTAATTTGAGCCATTATTAATCTATTTTCTAAAGCTTCAAAACATGGAGTCATTACCAGCTGTTTTATATACACCATTCCAAGCCATTAGAAAGTCAATTCCATTTCACCTGGAAGTTTATTGCAAATTTGACAATTGTCTCTTACATGAACTACTAAAATAGCTTCTCAGCAGCATCTGTGTGCTGCCATTATCCATCCTTCCTCCAGTCTCTTCCCCACCAGGCAATGGAAGTCATCTCTGGCAATATAATGCATTTCACATTAGTTTCATTTTTCCAGCTGAAAATCTCAAAAGTATTTCATTTACATGCCTAATAAAAGCTAAAGATATAATCTTGCTCAGAACTATAAGCTGGCTTCTCCACCTACCATTATCCTTTGCCTTGATTACTCTGCTCTATATCATCATCTTGCATACCCTAACACATGACTTTTATACTCATTGCTCCATCTGTTATAAACATACTGATAAATAATGTTTCCTCTTTAGCAGTGATTTCCTGATCTAATCAATATTTTGGTATCATATAAACTCATTGGATTATTAGTGATTATCACTAACCTGCTATCATACAATACACATTTAATTTCTTTTCTCCTTGTTTATTGTCTAAACTGCTAGGTAGAAGGGCACTTTATCTATTCTTATCACAAACGTAGGACAACGGCTAGCACAAGGTTAGGAACTTACACGCTATTCGATTAATTGTTGTTTAATAATTGATTAAAAACTCCAGAACTTTGGGTTCCATTCTTATGATGACAATAATATAATGCTAGGGATGCCAAGTGAATAGCAAGTTTAACCAAGTTATCCTGTATGGGGAGCCACAGTTACTTAAAATGTCTGACAATCCACAGTCCTGGTGATGATGTGGAATATCACTCTCTTAATCAATGCAAACAATTTATTTAATAGTCATAGTGCTAAAGATGGCATGCCCTCCAAATGAGCAATTGCACTCTTGGTTATGCATTTATATGAATATGTATATAGGAATAGTCATGATAAAACTACTAATTATTATAAAATTTTTGGAAAAAGCATAACTATTAAAAATGAAATTGGTAACTTAAGACTACTCAATACATCAGTAAAAATGAATGAACTAAGCAAAAACATGGATGAATTTCAAAAACGAAATTTATTTTCATTATTTATTAAGAAAGAAAATTTGCACTGTTTTCAAGTCTAATACCAAACAGAACTAAATGGTATTTCTGGATAAACAAATTAGAAAATAAAATTATGAAAAATGCAAGAAAAAAATTACCACAAAAGTTGGGATAGAAGTTACATTAAGAGATGGCATGGTCTTATACAAAGAAAACCCTAAAGACTCTGAAAGACTCCTAGACTTGGCAAATGACTGCAATAAAGTTTCAGAATACAAAGTCAATGTCCAATAGTCAGTAGTATTTCTATATAGCAATAATATTCAAGCTGAGAACAAAATCAAGAACTCAATCTCATTTACAATAGACACACACACACACACACACACACACACATATAACTGAGAAATACGTTTAACCAAGGAGGTAAAATATTTCTACAATAAGAACTACAAAAGATGGGTGGAAGAAACCTGAAATAAAACAAACTAATGGAAAAATATCCCATGTTCATGGATTAAAAAAAATTAAAAATGACCATGGTGTCCAAAGCAATCTAAAGATTCAGTGCAATTTCTATCAAACTACCAATGTCATTTTTCACAGAATTAGAAAACAACAATCCCAAAGTGTATATGAAATCCTGAATTGAAAAAATGACCCAGATAGCCAAAGCAATTCTAAGCAAAAAGAACAAAGCTGGAGTCAGCACTTCACGCCATTTCAAACTATACTACAAACCTATAGTAACAAGAACAGCATGGTACCAATACAAAAACAGATACATAGTTTAATAAAATTAAATAGAGAACCAAGAAATAAAGCCACATACCTACAACCAACTAATCTTCAACAAAGCGTGCACAAATAAACAATGTGGAAAGGATACCTTTTTCAATAAATTATACTAGAAAAATTGGATATCCGTATACACAAGAATAAAACTGGATTCCTATATCTCACCATATATAAAAATTAACTCAAGATTGATTAAATACTCAAATGTAAAAACCTATAAAATTCCTAGAAGAAAACCTAGGAAAACTTTACTGAATATCAGCCTTGACAAAGAATTTATGACTAAGTCATCAGAAGCAAATGAAACAAAAATAATAATAGGCAAATGGGACCTAAGTAAACTAAAAATCTTCTGCACAGCAAAGGAAATAATCAACAGAGTAAACAGGCAACCTACAGAACAGGAGAAAATATTCACAAATTATGTATCTAACGAAGTACTAATATCCAGAATCTACATGGAACCCAATAAATAAATAAATAAACACATTATGTCATTACAAAGTAGGCAAATGACATAAACAGACATTTATCAAAAGAAGACATGCAGGTTGCCAACAAACATTAAAAAATACTCAAGATCACTGATGATCATAGAAATGTAAATCAATATTGAAGTGTGTATTAGTCTGTTCTCATGCTGCTATGAAGAAATACCCGAGACTGGGTAATTTATAAGGAAAAGAACTTTAATGGACTAACAGTTCCATACGGCTGGGGAACATTCAGGAAACTTACAATCATGGTGGAAGGGGAAGCAATCAAGTCCTTCTTCACATGGCAGCAGGAAGGAGAAGAATGAGAGCCGAGCAAATGTGGAATCCCCTTATAAAACCATCAGATCTTGTGAGACTCACTCACTATCACAAGAACAGCATGGAGGGTAACCGCCCTCATGATTCAATTACCTCCCACCAGGTGCCTCCCATGACACATGGGGATTATGAGAACTAAAATTCAAAATGAGATCTGGGTGGGGACACAGCCAAACCACATCAAAAAGTGATTCATTTGACATGGTCTTCCCTATCTTCTCTCATTTAGGGTAACATTATTTCCTTGAATCAAAAGGGTATCCCTGTAGACTTTGAGTTCATCTTGACATCTTTGAACCATGGATTATCAATTTGCAAATGTTATTCGTTGAATTATTGAGCTATATTCCTTGAAATGCTTTTAAGAATGATATTTTCATTAAAATAAATGAGGGACTCATCCTAATATTTAGGAAGATTTCTCAACATCATCACATACAATTATGAATTATTATGGACACAACAGTGGTAGTTTGGATTTTTATTGTGGTTAAACTTTTAGAAAGTACAAAGTATTCATAAATCTACATTTTAATATTTTATAATTCAAATGAATTTTAAGTAACTATTTTGATATTCTATAAATAAAAATGTCACCTATACTATATAAGGATTCACTCACTTCTCTCTGCATTCTCATCAATACCTGATGTGTTGTGACTTTTAAAAAATAGCCATTCTGACTAGTATAAGGTGACATTTCACTGTGTTTTTAATTTTTATTTCTCTGATGATGAGACTGAGCATTATTTCATATGTTTGCTGTCCACTAGTATGTCTTCTTTTGAGAAATGCCTGTTTATGTACTTTGTCCATTTTTTAATGGGGTTATCTATGTTGTTGTTGAGTTGTTTGAATTTCTTGTCGATTCTGGATATTAGTACTTAGTTGGATGCATAGTTTGCAAATATTTTCTCACATTCTTCAGGTTATCTGTTTTCTCAGTTATTTCTTTTGCTGTGCAGAAACTTTCTTGTTTAATTAAGTCCCATTTGTCTACTTTTGTTTTTGCTAAATTTGCTTTTGAGGTCTTAGTCACAAATTTTTTGCCAAGGCCAATGTCTAGAAGAGTTTTTCCAGGTATTCTATGAGTACTTTTATATCTTCAGGTATTATATTTAATTCTTTAATTCATCCTGAGTTAATTTTGTGGATGGCAACAGATAGGGGCCCAGTTTTATTCCTCTGCATGTGGCTTTCCAATTTTCCCTGCACTATTTATTGAAGGGGATATCCTTTTCCCAGTGTATGTTTTTTTCAATGTTGTCAAACATCCATTGACTGTAGGTAGGTCCCTTTATAAATATCCACTAATAAAGTGACAAAGTGCCTTTGTCACTTTATTCCTGGAATTTCTGTTTTGCTCTATTGAGTATTGTGTCCATTTTTATATCAGTATCATATTGTTTTTGTTACTATAGCCTTATAGTATAATTAGAAGGAATGTAAATTTGTCCCACCTCTATTAAAACAGTATGAAAATTTTTTCAAGTATTAAAGAGCCACAATTCACTCTATCAATCCTATACTGGGTGTATACCCAAAAGAAAAAATATCATTATACCAAAAAAGATATTTGCACTCATTTATTTATAGCAGCAATATTCATAATACCAAAGATATTGAATCAACATGTGTCCATCAACAAATAACTGGATAAAGAAAATGATGTGATATACATATATACATATATACACACACATACACGCACAATGAATACTACACAGCTATAAAAAATAAAATCATTTCACTTGCAGCAATATGGAAGGATAATTTTACACTTTATGTCTTAGTCTGTTTTGTGCTGCTGTAACAAAATACCTGAGACTGGGTAATTTATAAAAAATAGAAAATTATTTTCTGATAGTTCTGTAGGCAAGGAAGTCAATGATCAAGATACCAGCATGTAATGAGGGCCTTCTGTTGCACTCTCAGATAGCATTAGTTTAAATGGCAAGAGAAAGGCAGAACTCTATTTGAGAGGGCTGTTGCAACCTTACAGCATGATACATCTTGTGAAATATGGTTTTGAACATTTTTATTAAAAATGTAGGCATCAAAATCTCTACCATTTGTGTCATGTTATAATAATAACTATAAAACTGCATTATTCAGAATATGTAACAATAAAAATTAATATTAAAAAGTTTTAAAATGTATTTGCTTTTGCATATATCGTTTCTATTGATCATAACAACCAGATGTGATAACCAGGGCCAGATATTTCTACTGTTATCATTAGAAATCAAAGAAAACTAACATATTGGATGGTTTTAAAAATTATAAAAATTGTAAGTGTACATATAAATATTAACTTGTAAGTCATCTTGCAAGTATTATAATCAGATTTCATTTTCAAATCGTGATGAATCTAACATGATACCTAAGTTTGTATATTGAACAATGTGTATACATGTGCACACACTTTTAATTTATATTTTTCTCATTCTGAGTGATAATGCAGCAAAATTTAAAGAGATTACACTATAATTATGTTTAAAACCTTACTTGTACTTTTGAAACAAATCACAGGTTGAGTCATGATAACAGGACAAAATATACTTAGCTGCTGAATATAAACAAAGTATACAGAAACGTAAATCTTGCAAGCACAAAAGTGTTAAAAACAGCAAGATCTAGAGGCTCAAGTACAAGAGAGATATATTATACCAAGAGCAGTAATCTCAAAAATTTATATCCCAAATGTGCAGACTTGATCTTATTTTCAGTCAGTGTGTTCTGTATGGAAGATGAACATGCTCCTGACAACGGAGTATGATTTAGAAAACTATATCCTGCACAGAGGGATATAAAATGTGATTATATACTGCACTTCTGTGCAAAATTTTAAACAGAATTTAATCAATCACTTTGAAACCTAGATGTATTTGTGGAACAATGACATCACTTTGAAATTATGTGTAGTTTGTAAATGCACAAAATTAGTAATGTATTTTGTGTAAATGGATTACTTTGGAAAGAAACTCATAAGAACTACATTATCAGACAAAACATTCTTTGAAAATTTGTGTGCTACAAGGCAATTTGCCATTTCATTTTAATAGAATGTTCCATGCTGAAAATGTCTAACTGCTCAGAAGTGGAATAGGAGTGTAAATTTATTATCTGAGAAAAGAAAATTAATTGACACAGGCCAAAAATGTAATGGAATTAGACCCATGTGCCTTAGTGAGAACTTAGGAACTCGATCTGGGCTCTATGGAGTGACAAAATTATGCAAAAAAAAAATGAAGTATGTCATTTTTGCACAAAGCTCAGGATTTCTCAAAGGAATATTACATAAAATAATGAAGTCTCCTTTATCTCCAAGACAGTCCAGTCTTAGAACGCAATGGAACATGCCATTTGAAATAAAAAACAAATTTTGTTTTTGTTTTGTTTAGTTATGTTTGGTGCTATTTTAAGTATTTAACATTCATAAAGAGAGAATTAGCAATTAATGAGATAAAGTTTAAAAAAAATCTAGAGATCAGGACAAGGTAAAAAAAAATCATTCAGTCTTGCAAATCTGTTATTTAATAGGTCATGTTTTAAGAACTGGGAATACAGATACTATGTGTATTTTAAATAGAAAATTTGAAATGTACAAGAAGTCATTTTTAAATATAGTCACTCTGCTATAAAGTCAATCTCTAAAACTCAATCTTTGTGTCTAACTGAAACTGTACCCTGTGAACAACATCTCCCCATTCCCTATCCCTTGCCTCCAGCATTAACTAGCATTCTACTCTCTGCTTTTAAGGGTTTGCCTTTTTTCGATTGCTAAAAAGTCTATTTTCAGTGTTCTCACAACAAAAAGATAAATATGTGACATAAGAGATGTGTTAAGCAGCTTGATTTAATCATTCCACAATATAAATATATACGAAGACATAATACTGTACCCCTCAAAACAATTATTATTTATTTAAAACATTTAAAAACAAAAAATGAGACAAATATCAGGAAAGTAATTTTATACATAAGCTAGATAATTGCCTATAGCTGCGTATGCTGTGAAATAATTTCTGTTTGAAAAGACAGGAAAAATTATATGGCAAAACCATAGTGCAGTAATAAATTTGCCATGTTTAGTAAACAAAATATAGTTCAATGTGACTGAAGCATACCAAGAGGCAGGAGAATGTGGTGTACACTGTAGTGTAGAGGAGTGTCTTAGTTTGGGCTGCTATACAAAATACCATAGATTGAGTGGCTTACAAATAACAAAAAAAGTATTTCTTACTGTTCTAGGGGTTGGAAGTCCAAAGTCAGAGTGCCAGGATGTTCTGGTTTTGGGGAGGGCCCTTTTGCGGTTGCAGACTGTTGGGTTTTTGTATAAGCACATGGGGAAAGAAGTGAGAGCTCTCTTAGGTCCCTTTTATAAGAACACTAAGCCTATTCATGAGGCCTCTACTATGACAACCTAATTACCTCCTGAAGGTCCCACTACTAATACCATTACATTGACAGTTACGATTTCAATATACAGATTTTGAGGGTACACTTTAAAAATTCAGTCCGTAACATTCTGCCCCAGGTTCCCCAAAATTCATGTCTTCACATGCAAAATGCAGTCATTCCATTCCAACAAATCCACAAATCTTAACTCATTCCAGCCTCAAGTCCAGTCTAAAGTCCAAGGTCTTATTTAAATATTACCTAAATCAGATGCAGGTGAGCTTCACGGTACAGTTCATTCTCACAAAATTTCTCTTCATCTGTGAACCTGTGGAATCAAACAACATGAACTCTCAAAATACAATGGTGAGACAGGCATAGGATAAACATTCCCATTCCAAAAAGAACCACTATTCGAAAAAAATAAAATATATGAATGCTGGATCCCAAGTAAATCTAAAACCTAACAGGGCAAACTCCATCAAACCCTAAGGTTCAAGAAGCATCCTCTTTGGCTTGATGACTCACCTTCCAGACAGTCCCCGACAGCTCAGTGAGGCACTGCTCGCTGCTGACTCTATGCACTGGACCCACTTATGGCACAGTCTTTTGTCAGGGCTGAGGTCACTCACCCAGGGCTTCACTGGATGGCCCTCCCACACAGCTCCTCTGAGCATCATTTCTGTCCTTTGAAATCAAAATGGAGGCAACCTTGGCCCACCTTGCCATACCCTCTGGATTTTTGGTAAAAGCAGCAGCTGTAATTGTCTCCAAATCCCCTTTGCGCCCCTTCTTCCGTAATTTTGAAGGAGAGAATAGCACACATCCACAACTGAATAGCTCTCGGGTCCGGGCCTGTAGGGCTTAAGCATTCCGAATGTCTTCCTTTATTTCGTCCCATTATCTCTGTTTCCTTTAGTCCCAACTGGCAGTGTTTCTCCTGGTATAATCCCATTTCTATTCATGGTTTGTGTTGAGATGTTTGATTAAGCCTGTGGTTCACACCCATATTAATCAAATCAGTAAGGGTCCGAAACACTCTTCATGTTCTCTTCAGAACACACTTTCTCACTTTTTTTGCAATATGGACAGGCTGAGAATTTCCCAGATCTTAAATTATGGTTACTTTTTCCTTAACAATTCCATCTTCAAACCTTTTTCTTTTTCTACATTTGACTCTACGGATTCAGAAGGAACCAAGCTGCTGCTTCTACATGTTGCTGAGAAATCTGCTGGGTTAAATGTCCAATTTCACTGCACACAAGTTCCACCTTCCGCAAAACACAAGAGCATGAATACAATTCAAAGAAGTTTGTTTCCACTTTTCAACATGGATTGCTTTTGCTCCATTTTCCAATAACATTTTCATTTCCATTTGAGACTCCAACAGAATGACCTTTACTGTCCATATTTTATCAATATTCTGTTCATGATTATTTAATTATTTTCTGAGAAGACAGCGTTTTCTTCTATATTTCTTTCCGAGCCCTCACGAGAATTGGCTTTTAAATTTCTTCCACAGTAATCTAGCATTTTGCATAAAACCTCATCAATCTCTGCCAATCACTGAGCCCAAAACCATTTTCACTTTGTTTTAGGTATTTATAATAACAGCACTCCCACTTCTCATGATCAATTTCCATCTTCAGCCGTTCAGGCTGCTTTAATAAAGTTCCATAACCTGAGTGGCTTTTAAATAACGGAATGCACATCTCACAGTTCTGGAGGCTGGAAGTCCAACAGCAGAGTGCCAGCATAATTGGGTTCTGGTGAGAGAGCTCTCTTGGGTTTCAGACTGCTGCCTTCTCAATGCAGCTTCACATGGTGGACAGAAAGAGCTCTCAAGAGTCATTTTTAAGGGCACCAATCTAATTTATGAAGCCTCCACCATAATAAGCTAATTACTTCCCAAAGTTCATTATAAATATGCAGCTTATAGGTCCTGCTACCATCATACTGAAGGTTAAGTTTTCATCACATGAATTTTGAGGGGACACAACATTCAGTTGCAACAAAAAATACTCAGTGGTTTTTAATTACAATATTGATTATGTAAATACAGAATAAATTTTAGCTCTAAACATTATCCATGATGTGATTAATTAAATTACTAGTTTAAAAAATTGAATCTGTAATTTATCTTGCCTCTATAATTATTATAAGAACTTGTAAACTTTTAACTTGTTTTCTTTAATTTGACCATTTCTGAAATTGTATCTCTAAGTATTGATATATACACTTCCTAGTGCATATAAAAGTTATGCATATTTAGAGTAATAAGTAGTGTGTTATCATGTTTTTATATCAGGGCAGGAAGGGAGAAGTTGAAGAACAAAGTGTCCTTTTCAAGAACTTCAGCCCACGTATGTTTCTACAGGACTATAACATGTCACCAGCCACAAGGGCAAGGAGACTGGGCATTGTAGTTATTTGGCAGGACACATTGCTCTTTCAAACAAAAATGGCATTCAGAAACAAGAAAGTAGGGAAGAGAGGTTTTGGTTGGACAACTTGCATTGTTGTCCCTTCTTTTCTTAGACTTCCAAATTCTTGGTTTCAGAATTCTTTATAAGGTTACCCCTCTGAGTAATTTTATCGGTCCATTAAATCTCCCAAGTCCAGGTCCCCAAGCTCTTCTCAACTAGTATGACAGCAACTTGTATAGAGATGTCAATGCAGTACAAATGCTTGTTTTAAAGTTGTTTTAATCCAGCTTCTATCATTCTAAATATTGTTTTAATCCAATATTCTAATTCAGAATATTGAGAATAAACTAATCTTACATGAAATATCTTTTTTCTCCTATTATTTGATATGTGTGTCTATAAAATAACATTTTCTAATTACAGAATGTGCAAGCAAAAAACAAAAAGGGCCTGTGTCCCTAGTCCCATTTTCTTGCTTGGAGGTAACATCCACAACATTTTTAGTTTTCTGTTGTTCTTCTCTAATGCTCCCAATAATATACCTTTGTTGTGGTTATTGTTGTTATTATTGCTCTTGCATCAAGCACTATCTCTTAGTGCTCATGCACATCCTTACCGAGGTCCATTTCTTTACTCTCTGCCCCATTCCAAGTTGTGTTAGGTAGAGGATTATACTGATCAAGTCCTGTTTTTAGCTATCTTCATAACATTAACACTTTAAACCTCAATGTCTTCACTGTTCTACTGTCCTATGAGCTCTAGCAATCTCAAGTTTCATGTCACTTCTCAGACTATGGCAATGGTAATCTGCATTAATGGCAAAATCATTAATATTGATGAAAATTTTTATTTTCTGCCCTTCCCAAAATCATCTACTTCTTTGGAATTTACATTAGCAGGCAACAATGGCAGTGGCAATACTACCTTTTGGAAGGTAACTGTAGCTCCACCCTTATCTGTAAAAAGATATGTATTAAGACCCCCAGTTGATGCCTGAAACAGTGGATAGTAAACATGTACTATTTTTCCTACACATACATACTTATAATAGACTGTAATTTAAAAATTAGGCATAGTGAAATTTAACTAATAATTATAGTAGTTTATTAGTTAAACTACTACTAATTATTATAGTAGTAGTATTTGTTTAAACTAATATACTCATTATGGGAGTAGTATTAAACTAATAGGCTAATTATATTAGTTTAATAATTCTATTAGTTTATTAGTTAAACTAACACTACTAATGATAATAGAATTATATTAGTTATACTAATATATTATGTATAGGAGTAGTATACTTCTATAATTATATAGGAATATAATTATATTCCTTTTACTAATAATTATATGAACATAACTAATAATAGAATTATTATAACAATATACTGTAGTAAAAGTTATGTGAATGTGGTCTCTCTTTCTCTTGAAATACCTTATTATTATCTACTTTTCTTTTTGTGATAAAGAAAACAGGGAGTAGGATGGACAACCTGAGAATTTATCACGTTATGGTACACAATTTCAAAGTTATTATTTCTATAACTTTTATTTAATATTTTTCAAAACATGATTGACCCCTGATAGCTAAAACTGGGGAAAGTGAAACCGCTGGTAAGGGGGGACTGCTGTGTTGCTAAAAGTGTCTTCCTTTGCTAAATGTACCAAGAGTAGATTCTCAAGAGGAGTAACATAGATAGGAATTTACGTTGTAGATGGCCTCAGCTATTGCTAAATATCTACAAATTCACTTGGGAATAATATAAGCAGCCACATCAGCAACAATATCTTGAGTAATATTGTTAATGGAGCATCAGGAATTAGGGCTTTGCAATTATGAGATACATTTTTCCAAAGACATGATGCAAACATCCTTAGCAGTAGAAGAAAAAAGTTGAATTCCAACTCTTTGTCAAGAGGCATTTTTGGGAATTGTTATTATATCCAATTTTCGCCCAGGATTATGTGGCATGATAAATATGCCTTACAATAACGTAGTTAAGAATATTATAGGTAATACATATTTCATCACCTTAAGAAATGTGAATGGCTGTTTGGAGGTATATTAACATCATGTAGATGGAGGTTCAAGACTGCTGAGATAAAATTGAATACATTTAGAAAGACTGATGGCATATTTTCCTGAAGAGAATCTTTAGAAAACCAAAGAGTTAATGTCAGGTTTTCATATGTCTTAGTAGTCTGAATAAAACCTGTTAAATAATTTTTCCTGGAAGAAACATATTAATATTTAATTTTCAAAAAGTGATATTAATAGTTAATTATCCAGTTATCTGGACTTTTTCCAAAAGAGTTTATCTATAAAGAGCATCTACTCTATGAAATGTAGAAATAAACTCAAAGGATAGTAAATCAGTATTCAGTCTGTAAATATTACCTCACTGTGTCCATGACATTTGTGAACTTAGTAACCAAATTTAAGGATTTAATGTGTTTGCTTGTTGTTAACATATATGGAGAGAGAAAAATAAATGGATGAAGTTTCAGAATTTATCTAATTTTCTCCTCCATCAAAGTTAAAAATTAGCTGTTTGATTTCCTATACTGAGCTAAAATTCTCTGGCATTTTATCTTGATATTACTGACATCCTGGAAGGAGTATCTTGTTTGTTTGGCAAGTGGATTTTTTTAAAAAAATAAATTATTGCTTCATAATTTTTATTGTTTATATTTCAAGGTTATGAAAAATGCCCTTAAGAAATAGATGGTATATATATATATATAAAATATATATTTTAATCTGCATGTAGTATACCTGTTGTGACAAAAATAAACGAAAGCTTAATTTCTTGCCAAGTTGTAGACTATTACAGTATATTATTTTAAGCGTTATGCTATACATACTTCTTTTGAAAATTTATGGAGTACATGAGATGTTTTGATACATGCATAATAATCACATCAGGGTAAATTGAATATCCATCACTTCACACAGTTATCCTTTGTGTTACAAACAATCTGATTATACTCTTCTAGTTATTTTTAAATGTACGATTAAATTATTTTTGACTATAGTCACCCTGTTGTGCTAGCAAATGCTAGGTCTTATTCATTCTTTCTAACTATGTTTTTGTACCTATTAGTCTGCCCCGCTTTCCTCCCAAACCCTCACTACCCTTCTCAGCCTGTTAACCTTTATACTGTTTATCTCCATGAGTTCAATTGTTTTAAGCCTTAGCTCCCACAAATAAGTGAGAGCATCCGAAGTTTGTCTTTCTGCGCCTGGCTTGTTTCACTTAACATAATGACCTCCAGTTCTATCCACATTGTAGCAAATGACAGGAACTCATTGTTTTTTATGGCTGAATGGTATTCCATTTTGTATATGTACTATATTTTCTTTATTCATTCATCTCTTGATGGATACTTAGGTTGATTCCAAATTTTGGCTATTGTGAGTAGTGCTGAAATAAACATGGAGTGCAGATATCTCTCTGATATACTATGTCCTTTCTTTTGGTTATACACCCAGGAGTGGGATTGCTGGATCATATGATAGCTCAATTTTTGCTTTTTGAGAAACCTCCAGACTGTTCTCCTTAAGGGTCATACTAATGTACATTCCCACTGACAGTGTGCAAGTGTTCCTTTTTCTGTATATCCTCGTCAACTTTTGTTATTGCCTGAATTTGGGATAAAAGCCATTTTAACTGGGGCCTCTTAACTTTTTCCCCACACATTTCTTAATTCCTTGATGAAAAATGCTAAAAGATAAGTCACTTTCATACTTCCTAGATACAGTTATTCATTCACTCTTTTATTTTTTTAAGTTTCTTATTTAATAGATATGTATTAAATATTTACCTTGTCTCAGCCAATGTAATGTGTGACAGGCATACAAAGATGAATATAGCAGAAAGTTTATGCCTCTTAAGAAGCATAATGAAGTCATTTAAACAAATAATAGCTACAAATTTTGATGAGCACTGTCATAGAGGTAAGAATATTATGGTGGGGTGGGATGGAAGAAATTAAAATATGTCAATCTACTTTGCGTTGTAAGGAAAATCTTGGCAAAGAAGATACATGTTATGATTTGGCTCTGTGTCCCCACCCAAATCTCAACTCGAATTGTAATCCCCATGTGTCATGGGGAGGGACCTGGTGGGAGGTGATTAGCTCAAAAGGGTGGTTTTCTATGCTGTTCTTGTGATAGTGAGGGGGTTCTCAGGAGATCTGATGGTTTTATAAGTGGCAGTTTCCCCTGCATGCTCTCTCTCTTACCTGCCACAGTGTAAGACTTGCCTTGCTTTCCCTTCACCTTCCACCATGATTATAAGTTTAATTATAAGTTCACTTATAAGTTCAGCCATGTGGAATTGTGAGTCAAGTAAGCCTCTTTTGTTTATAAATTATCCATTCTCAGGTAGTATCTTTATAGCAGTGTGAAATGGACTAATAAGATAAACTTCAATAGAATACTTAAGAAATTGTGGTAATCAACTAGTTTATGAATGGAAAGAATCATTTTATCAAAGGAAATTAAGAGCATAACAATGTGGCATTAAAACAGATTAGGGAGTTCTGAGGGTTGTAAGGATGATGGAACAGGTACATAATAGGACAATATGGGAGAATAATTAAAGAAGTCCTGAGGGTAGGTCACTGAGGCCTTATATGTTATAAAAGGGGGATTTTACTCTAGGAATTGGGAAAGTGTTTGAAGAAAGAGAATAGTGTGATTATATTTGCTTTTTAGTTTGAAAAGAAGTAGCCTGGAAATGAATGAGATTACAGCCAGAGAAGAGAAAGAATATATTTTGATGAAAGAATATATTTGGGTACTGATAGAATAGTCCGGGTTAAAGATGATTTGGACCCTGGCACATGGAGGATGCTGTGGGGTCATAAAGGAAGAAATGGTAATAAAAATAACTAAAGTTTTATTGGATGAAGTTTTCAAGCCAACAAAGCATAAAACACAGACACAAAAACGACGTCTAAAATGATTTCTTAGTTTCTTAGTCATGTATTAGGTGTCAACCAAGACAGGGAATACAGACAGAGCAGTAAAGAGTTCAGCCCCAGACTCAATCCTATATGTGATTTTTGGGCCCATCCATAAACAATGACAAAGACTTGACCAAGTGGGTCCCACAGGGAGAGCTGCCCTCCCCACACTAGTGCATAGTCCTCTAATGGCAGTTTCAGTAAGGGCTGCAGGGCCATGCTCACACACAGATCAGCATCACTTGACTGGTGCCTCCCCTGGAGGCCTCTCCACTGTGGGGCCTTGGCAGACCTTCCCCAGGCATGTTTGCCCAAGACCTCCTTTTCATGGGGAGAGGAGGAGGAGTCTTGAAGACAATTGTCTTCCTTCTGATTCAATACTCAGTGCTTTTCCGCTCCCAGCCTTTTCCTGACCTTCCATAAAACTGCAGGCAGGAGCCTGTTGTTCAGGGTTCCTTTGATAGTGAGACAACTCCACATCTGTGCTGACCCATGTGATCCTTGATAGAGCTGTTTCATGAAGGAAAAAAAGGATGGGGACTGGACCGTCAGGGCTTTTTCCAGTTTAACCTCAAAGGTTTGTTAATGTCCTTTTGTCTTGATGTCTTAATTGCCTACTCCAACACCTGGCTCTCTCTCCAGAGTAGTTAAGCTCCTGATGGCTGGGGATAAATTTAATGACTACTGTTTTGTATAAGTTGAGGTTAATCTAATTAATTTACCTAGAGGGAAAATTCTGACCTCTATCTCTGAGACCTCATCTAAAACACAGAGGTCATGAAGATAAATCTGGCTTCTGCCTTCAAGGAGCTTACAGTCTGGTGAAGATGATAGCTGGATAGCTAGACATAACAATAAAACCACAGCTGTTCCCTTGTGATAATTTCTGTTATGAGTTATGTACATTGGAATATGAAAAATATATAAATGGTACATAACCAATTCTAGGAGGTCAGGGCAAGCTTCCTGGGAGAAATGCTGTCTATAGGTAGACACAGAGAGACAAGAATCAAAGCCTCTTCTGAAGAAGGGTTAAATAAATCTCAGGCAGATAGGCTATGCATGACCTGCTTCTTTTATCTGTCATTTTTGTTGTTCAGTTACTTGCTAAATTTTAAGAATTTTATATATATATATTATATTTATAATATATATATAATATACATGTGTATATATATATATATATATATATCTTCTACATATCAGTGCTCTGTCAATTCAGCCTAATTCTGGCAAAAGCATTAAGGACTTCAATATTTACCAGGTTTGAAAGGGGAGCAGTCCTTTGAATTAGAATTATTTGAAAAATGTAGGGCTATTTTGAAACAACTACCCAATTGAAAATGCATGGACACTATAACTATTATACTTGCAGATGCATACAAAAATACTTTTATTGTCACATGGGCACAAAGATGTATATTGAAAGCTGTTCACTGAAACAGTATTT
Organism: Homo sapiens; assembly: GCF_000001405.40. Classification (NCBI taxonomy): domain Eukaryota; kingdom Metazoa; phylum Chordata; class Mammalia; order Primates; family Hominidae; genus Homo; species Homo sapiens. The sequence continues at coordinate 70,169,003 of NC_000005.10, read as the reverse complement.
ATAATAATGAAACCTGGAAGCAACATATCTCTTAATGGGGATATAGACAAGTAAAGTACAACATATACATGTTATAGAAAAAAATGCAGCCTTCTCAAAAATGGGTAAGCTGTATAGATATAGAAAAGAAAAAAGCATTGTATAAATAATATGTACACTTTAATAAAAGTTGTACTAAATTTTAAATGTAATATAAATATCATACCTTCTATATATATAAAATTATCAAAAAGACTGAATTATAATACATGAAGAGTAGGAAAAAATAGTTGCACTGAGTTTTATATTTTCTGAATGTTTAAATCTTTCCACACAATATGTAATAATTATACTTTTAAAATGCCAGTAAGGTAATATATACAAATAGCTAATTAAAGCTTAATAAGAACTTTGGAAAAATCTTTTTAATAAAGGTTTTACATACATCAGGGTTACAATTAAATTTAACATGCTTTTTATTTTGTCAATTTCTTTTATTTAAAAAATACTTAAACTAACTTCCTTTTTGCTTTTTCCTATTAAAAGAAAAAGCATTTTGCCCTCATAAAAGAAAATCAGTTTCAGATTACTAGTAATTATTTAGGTACTAATTAAAAAATAATGAATCTCAGTTACTAAATACACAAATAAGGGAGTTATATGAAACTGTGCAATAGTCATTCTATGGATAGTCATATTTAAAATAAAATGAAAAGAGACTAAAATATGCATTTGTGCTTTTAACTCTGAAAACCTGAATACCTATTCAACTGTTGATTCTGAGTATTTACAGAACTTTATTTCTTCTTTGGACATGCTTTCGCAGTTTTTACCTAATGTATACACATTTTTGCCTTGTTCTTAATAATTAAATATCTGAGAAAAAGATATTCAAAAAGTGGTTTTTTGTGCGTACTCATGATAAACAGTAATATAAAAAGTTACAGAGGTCGGGCCCAGTGGCTCACGCCTGTAATCCCAGCACTTTGGGAGGCCAAGGTGGGTGGATCACTTGAAGTCAGGAGTTTTAGACCAGCCTGGCCAACATGGTGAAACTCCATCTCTACTTAAAAAATAAATAAATAAATAAATAAACAGGCATAGTGGCTCACGTCTGTAATCCCAGCTACTGGGGAGGCTGAGGTGGGAAAATCACTTGAGCCCAGGAGGCGGAAGCTGCACTGAGCCAAGATCACGCCATTGCCCTCCAGCCTGGGTGACAAAGCGAGACTCCATCTCAAAAAAAAAGAAAAGTTATAGAAATAAATATGATGATATGATTTACTGAAAGCAAGTCTCAAATGCCTAAAAAAGGCCAAACTTCCTTTGGTCTTTGGATATCATTCTGGAGGGTGGGTGAGTCTACTTTTGTTTCAAATGTGTTATTTTCATTTATTTTTGAGCAAAAATATCATTTTATAATTTACACTTATTGAACATAAATGTGGAAATACTACTAAATTGTCTCCACATGGAAAATTTCTTGTGACATGTATTTCATCTAACTTGTGAAGTTCACAACTATTTCAAAAAACAGTTAAGCTTGTTCCAAAAACTCACTGCCATCCCACCAAACACACATATGGACTTGAGAATAATTAGGCTTTCAGAAACCACTTTAGTATCCAATTAATTGTAGTTTTCTTCAGAAAGTGGTGTAAATCTGATTATAGTTGCTTCATGTAGTATAAATCTGATTATACACAGTTGTTTCATATAGTATATATCTGATGATATACAATTGCTTCATGTAGTTCAACTTGTTACTAGATAATCCATGTGTAATTGTCACAGAAAATCTTACGTGTACATTTGGACAATGTCTCTATCTCTGTTTCTTTCTCTCTGTTTCTCTCTCTCTCTCACACACACACACAGTCCTTTACAATTACTTTGGGAAAAAAATCACAAAAAGGAAAAAATCATTAATCTGAGATTATAACATAAAATCCACAATTTGTCTGTAAACTATCTTTAAATCTATGTTTATACTTGAAATCTACTAGGCTTATGAGAGTCAAAGACTTCCAAGCTTTGAATATTCTTTTCACTTCAAAAGGAACTGAAAATCTAAATGTAATTTGGTACACCTTTTAAAATATTCACTGCTGCCTGCCAGCTAGCTGCAGGTTATTTTAGCTACTAGAAGCAGCACTAATTTGCAATATCTTTCTAAGACTATCTATAGGTAAAAATTTGACATTGGCTGACTCTAACCAATGTCAAGCTTTAGGATAGCAACGTAATCCCTAAAAGAAAAATGAGAAATAACCTAACTATCTAAACATCAAAAACAAATTAACCTTGCTTGCCCATTTTTAGGACAACATAACGGTTTCTTGAGATTTTCCAACATTTATGAAAAGATAAAAATTAAGATGAGTCATTTAATAGCATGCGTGCTTGAACCAATAAAATGATTTCTTATTTTATGAGTTGTTTTTAAAAAATGAGCCCAGATGTTTCAAATTATAAATAATTTGTCAATTTATGCATAAAGCCAAATTTGAAAAATGTGACTGGTCATTCCCATTAAGAAACTCAACTGAAAATCTGTTTCACTGAATCAAGCTTAAATAAGTAATTGTGTACTTAGATGTAGCTGAATTCTAAGAACTATTTGGACCACAACTTATAGACTATATATTTTGCAAACTGTTTGCTGTTCTCTGACTTCAAGTAAGAGAGAGATATTAAGTGACAAATCATACAACGGAAAGGGAGAGATATTAAGTGATAAATCATACAGTGGAAAGAGAGTTATATAGGAAGACTCTCCATTTTAACTCAGAATAAAATATGTAACCATCTTTAAGTTTTAATGGGGAGACCTGTGTGGCTGACTTTTTTTTTCCCAATCTAACTTCCTCATTTGGAAGAATGTTTTGTTTCTGTATATGAAAACTGAAGGATTTCTATTCAAGGCCACTGTGGTAGACAGAATAATGGCTTACTAAAATGTCGACGTCCTAATTTCTGGAACCTGTGAAAATGTCACCTTCCATGACAAAAAGGACATTGTAGAAGCAATTATTTAAGGATCTAGAGATGAGAATATTAAGATGGGTTATTTGGGTGTTCCAAATGTGAACCCAAGTGGAGTTCTTGTAAGACTGAGAAGATGCCTTCGAGTTAGGAAGGAGATGGGAGATGTGTTATGAAAGCAGAGGTTGGAGTGACAGAATTTCAAGATGGAGAAAGGGGTTATAGCCAAGAATCCAAGCAGCCTCAAGAGAGTAGAAGCTCTTGATTTTCACCTATGTGACTCTATTTTAGTCTTTACTTGCAGAACTGTAAGATAGTAGATTTGTGGTGTTTTAATCCACTAAGTTGGTAGTAATGTGCTCCAGCCACTATGAGACAAATACAGTATACACACACACACACACACACACACACACACACACACATACATATATGTGTGTGGGTGTGTATTAGGAAAAGTAGTAAATCTAAATCTAGACTTTCTCATTCTCACCTAGGTTCTTATATTTTTAATTATATAACTAGTTACATAACATTATTTATATAATACTAGTTATATAACTAGTGCTCTATTATTTTCCTTCTATTTTAATTTTTCTGTTAAAAGAAAGTTTAAGAACATATGTATCCATATATGTATATACACATGCAGAAATATATATCTGTGTATGTGTGTGTGTTTATGAGTATATATATTCAAAGTTCTGAAACGTTTTTCAAAGCAATGCTGGCAATGGAATTCTCATTTCTATTTATCTTTTCTGTGGAGGTTTAAGTATGATTTATTTGGGAATTGCTACATTATCCTGACAAAAATATAACAGTAGTGGCAATATATAATCCCCCAAAAATGTTATATCTCCAGATAACTTTTAATGAGTTGGCATTGACTAGTATGAGAAATACAAGGCACAGAGAGTGATATGGTTTGGCTCTGTGCTGTCACCCAAATCTCATCTTGAATCGTAATTCCCATAATGCCCATGTGTTGAGGGGCCTGGTGGGAGGTGATTGGATCATGGGCACAGTTTCCCCTAGATGTTCTCATGATAGTGAATGAGTTCTCATGAGATCTGATGGTTTTACAAGTGTTTGACAGTGCCTCCTTCACATGCTCTCTCTCCCCTGCTGCCATGTAAGACGTGCCTGCTTCCCCTTCCACCATGATTGTAAGTTCCCTGAGGCCTCCCCAGCCGTGCAGAACTGTGAGTCAATTAAGCCTCTTTCCTTTGTAAATTACCCTGTCTCGGGTATTCTTTATAGCAATGTGATAATGGATTAATACAGAGAGTCTACACATTTCTTTATGTAAGATATACTTGTTTTCTGTTTATAGTTAGCATTTACAAAGTTTACAGTAAAATTTTTACTTACATTCATATAACATTTAAGTTATTCTCAAAATTTTATGCAACCATTTTAGATCTAAAGTGGACTTTGTTTTTTTCCATAGAATAAGTATTTTGTAGGACTTCTCTTCAATATTGGTGTGTAGAAAAAAAAATGTGAACTTCAAGTTTCAATCAATTAAACTTTTGCTTAAACTGAAAAACCATGCCAACACACAAAAAGGTCATCTGGGGTGTGCCATTACATTAGGATTACGTACTGGTACTACACACTCAGTTGTGTAGGACATAAGAATGGATTATACTTAATCCTCTAAAGGATGGCCTGAATTAAAGTGATAGAAAATGAGAGTTAATATTGCTAGTGTTACCATGTAAAATTTAATAATTATTTGCTTAATTATTGTCTTATTAATTTAATAGTTTCTAAAGAGAAATTTCATTAACAAATTAACAGGAACAGCTACAAAATTTGCAGTGTTCAGTGCAAAATTAAAATATAGGACATCTTCCTCAAAAATTATTTAAAACTTGACACGAATGACACCAAAGAATTAGCCAAGTGATGGGCCCCTGCAAATGAGCAGATCACATAAATCTATCCCTGAACATCAATTAGTTATAAAAAAATAAGAATTTAAGGCTGGGACCCATAGCCATAATTTTACCCATACCTGCATTTATATCTGTATTTATATACCTGTAACAGTATTTAGATCTATTTATTCACAATCTCAGAATCAGATTGTAGAGACATTTAAAGATTAACTAATACAAACTTGTCCTCTTACAAAAGAGAAAACTGAGCCGCAGTGCTTTGATTGTATCAGTAGCTAATATTAGAAATAAAAGCAACACATTATCTTAAATATTTTATGTTTTTCTTATTACTACCAGTTTAGTGCTCCTATGTATTTTGTAGTACTTCTCTTCAATATTGGTGTGTAGAAAGAAAATGTGAACCCCGAGTTTAATCAATTAAACTTTGATTAAACTGAAAAACCATGGTCAATCCCAATACACAAAAGGGTCATCTGGGGTGTGCCATTGCATTAGGATTACATACTGGTACTATATGTTGCTGCTACATGCTATTTCACTCAGTCGTGTAGGACAGAAGAATGGATTATACTTAAACTTCTAAAGAATGACCTCAATTAAAGAGATAGAAAATGGGAGTTAATATTGTTAGTGTTGCCATGTAAAATTTAATAATTAATATAATGTCTCATATATTCCGTGGTGATTAATTGGTGTGGAATATTTAAGCCACGAGAATAAGTACTATAAAAGCAAGAATTTATAATAGGGTCTTTAATGATCAGTTCTGTTCTTACACAGCTTCTCCCCACTCCTACTCCTTGGAAGCAACCAAGTGGTATGAGTTGGCCCCTACTCACCCCCTCCCTGGTGTCAGTGGACCACATCAGGGAAGTGAGGTTATTTTTTCACTTGGAGGAAACAAAGATATGTAACTCAGTACCCTACTTTTGCCATGAGGTTGCCAGTGGGTGGAGGGAGAAGACAAACTTCCACCTAACCAGTCTGCAAGAAGGAAGTATAAGTTAGTACTCTACTTTTGGTAGGATGGTATTAGTAGGTCCCATCAGGAAGATAAACACGCACACCCACCCAGCTCTCAGGTTACACATCAATAGGGAACCATCTACGAAATAATAAGAGAGAAAAATTCTCATAATATAAAAAAAAATTCAGGACACAATAAAAATCACTTATAAGACAAAAGAACTAGGAAATCATAACCTGAATGAGAGAAAGACAACAGACACCAACACAGACATAAAAAAGGGGTTGGGGCTGGGCGCAGTGGCTCACACCTGTAATCCCAGCACTGTGGGAGGCCAAGATGGGTGGATCACTTGAGGTCAGGAGTTCAAGACCAGCCTGTCCAACATGGTGAAACCCCGCCTCTACTAAAAATATAAAAAGTTAGCTGGGTGCATTGGCACATGCCTGTAATCCCAGCTACTTGGGAGGCTGAGGCAGGAGAATCACTTGAACCTGGGAGATGGAGGTTGCAGTGAGCCAAGATCATACCGCTGCACTCCAGCCTGGGTAACAGAGTGAGACTGTTTCAGACAAAAAAAAAAAAAAAAAAGAGGTTGGAATTATCTAACAAGGATTTTGAAGAAACCATCATAAAAGTGTTTAAATAAGCAATTATATATTGTATTCTCTTGGAACAAATAAAAGTTAAAATTAAAAATAAATTCAATAATGACTTATAAGTTATAAAAAGTAAACATGAACTAAATAAAATTAAAATACAATAATGGAAATAATAGATGCAGAGGATGGTCACAAAAGAAGAGAGCACAGAGCAGAAGATGGAATCAGTGAATCTGAAAACATGCCAACAGAATTTACTGTCTGAACAAGAAGAAGAAAACCGATAAAAAAAAATTTAACAGCATTTCAGGAAACTTTAGAACAATAATAAAAGAGCTAACATTCATAATCACAGGAGATATAGAAGACGAGGAGATAGAATGTGGGACTAAAAAACTATTAAAAAATAATGACTTCAACCTTCCCAAATTAGATGGAAGACATAAACCTAAATATTCAAGAAACAGAGCAAACCCTAAATAGAATACACCCAAATACATTCAATTTCTGGAAATGAAAAAAAAAATTAAAAATCTTGAAAGCAAACAGAGAAAAATGGCACATTTCTTACAGAAAAACAATAATGTAAACCACAGCAGATTTTCCATCTGAAACCATGAAGGTTGGAAGGAAACAGATAATATTTTTGAAGTACTGAAAGAACAGAACTGTGAACTGTAAATTCAATACCCAGCAATAATATTCTTCAGGCATTAAAGTGACATAGAAAACATTGTCTAATGAAAGAATGCTAAGGTAATGTGTTGCTAACAAACTTACCTTTAAAGAATAAGTTCTCTAAACAGAAAAGAAATGATAAAAGAAGAAGGTTTGCAGCTTTTACAAACATCCATCTAAGTGGGTAAAATTAAGCATAAATATAATGTATAATCAAACTTCTCTTAAGTTTTTAAGCCATTTCTAATAGTTGAAGCAAAAATTAATGACCTATCTGGTTAGATGCTCAAGGAACATAGAGGAAGTATTTAAGATAATTATATCTAAAAAGTAGTGATAGTAAAGAGACTCATATGGAAACAAGTTTTCTACACTTCACTCAAAGAGGTAAAACATCAGTAACAGTAGATCTTGACATTACACATATATTATTTTAACCAGTGCAATTAATAAAACCAAACAAAATCATGTACAATCATGCACTGCATAACGATGTTTTGCTCAGCAATAGACTGCATATATCATGGTGGTCCCATAAGATTATAATGGAGATGAATATTACCTAGTGACATTGCAGCTGAGCTGTCTTAACATCATAGTCTAACATATTTCTCACCTGTTTGTGGCAATGATGGTGTAAACAAACCTACTTCATTGCCAGTTATATAAAAGTGTAGCACATAAAATTCTGTCTAGTACTGATATTGTTTGGCTGTGTCCCCACCCAAATCTCATCTTGAATTGTAATCCTCATGATCCTCCCGTGTCAAGGGCAAGACCCGGTGGGAAGTGATTGGATCCTGGAGGCAGTTTCCCTCATGCTGTTCTCATGATAGTGAGTAAGTTTTCATGAGATCCGATGGTTTTAAAAGTGTTTGAAAATTTCTCCTAGACACACTCATTCTCTCCTGTTGCCTTTTGAAGAAGCCAACTGCTTTTATTCCACCATGATTGTAAGTTTTCTGAGGCCTCTCCAGCCATGCAGAACTATGAGTCAATTAATCCTCTTTCCTTTATAAATTACCCTGTCTTGGGTAGTATCTTTATAGCAGTGTGAGAACAGACTAATAGAGTAAATTGGTACTGGGAGTGGGGCACTGCTATAAAGATACTGAAAATGAGGAAGTGACTTTAGAACTGGGTATCGGGCAGAGGTTGGAAGTGTTTGGAGGGCTCAGAAGAAGACAGGAAGTTGTGAGAAAGTTTGAAACTTCCTAGGGACCTGTGGAATGGTTTTGACCAAAATGCTGATAGTGATATAGACAGTGAAGTCCAAGCTGAGGTGGTCTTGGATGGACAAGAACTCATTAGGAACTAGAGCCCAAAGATCACTGTTACTCTGCCTTAGCAAAGAGACTGGAAGCATTTTGCCCCTGTCCTAGAGATCTGTGGAACTTTTAATTTGAGAAACATTATCTCAAATTGGAACTTATGTTTAAAATGGAAGCAGGGCATAAAAGTTTGGAAAATTTGCAGCCTGACCATGCAGTAGAAAAGAAAAACCCATTTTTCAGGGGAGGAATTCAAGCTGGCTACAGAAATTTGCCTAAATAACAAGAAGCCAAATGTTATTACAGTAGCCAAAACAATGGCAAAATTTTTCTTGGGCGTATCAGAGACTTCCATGGCAGCCCTTCTCATCACAGACCCAGCAGCCTCTGAGGGAAAAATGGTTTCATGGGCTGGGCCTAGGGCCCCGTTGCTCTGGGCAACCTCAGGACTTGGTGCCCTGTGTCCCAGCTGCTGCTACTCCAGCTCCAGCCGTGGCTAAAAGGAGCCAATGTACAGCTCATCTGTTGATTCAGAGGGTGCAAGCCCCAAGCCTTGGAGGATTCCATATGGTGTTGGGCCTGAGGGTACACAGAAGTCAAGAATTCAGGTGTGGAAACCTCTGCCTAGATTTCATAGGTTGTATGGAAATGCCTGGATGTCCAGGTCGAGATTGGTTGCAGGGGTGGAGCCATCATGGAGAACCTCTGCTAGGGTAGTGCAGAAGGGAAATGTGGGGTTGAAGCTCCCACACAGAGTCCCCACTGGGGCACTGCCTAGTGAAGCTATGAGAAGAGGGCCACTGTTCTCCAGACCCCTGAATGGAAGATCCACCAACAGCTTGTACTGTGCACCTGGAAAAGCCACAGACACTCAATGCCAGCCTGTGAAGGAACTGCCCAAGGCCATGGGAGCCCACCCCTTGCATTAACATGCCCTGGATGTGAAACATGGAGACAAGGAGATTATTTTAAAGCTTTAAGTTTTAATGACTGCCCTGCTGGGTTTCAGACTTTCATGGGGCCTGTATCCCCTTTGTTTTGACTAATTTCTCCCATTTGGAATGGGAGCATTTATCCAATTCTTGTACCCTCATGGTATCTAGGAAGTAACTAACTTGCTTTTGATTTTACAGGCTTATAGGCCAAAACGTCTTGCCTTGTCTCAGATGAGACTTTGAACTGTGGGCTGTTGAGTTACTGCTGAAATGATTTAAGACTCTGGGGGACTGTTAGGAAGGCATGATGTTGGGTTGGAAATGTAAAAAATATGTGAGATCTGGGAGGGGCCAGGGGTGGAATGATATGGTTTGGCTCTATATCCCCACCCAAATCTCATCTTGAATTGTAATCTTCATAATACCCATGTGTTGAGGGCAGGATCTGGTGGAAGGTGATTGGATCATGTGGGCGGTTTCCGCCATACTGTTCTTACGATAGTGAGTGAGTTCTCAGGAGATCTGATGGTTTTGTTAAGTGTTTCACAGCTCCTCCTACACACAATCCTTCTCTCTCCTGTTGTCTTGTGAAGAAGATGACTGCTTCCCATTTCACCATGATTGTAAGTTCCATGAGGCCTCCTCAGCCATGCAGAACTGTGACTCAATTAAACCTCTTTCCTTTATGAATTACCCAATCTCGGGTAGTGTCTTTATAGTAGTGTGAGAATGGACTAATACAAGTACATTTTACTTAGTAATAATAATAAACAAATATATTACATTTTTGTGTATTTACTACGCCATATTTTTTATTGTTATTGTAGTGTACACCTTCTACTTATTAAAAGAAATAGACCCGAGGCGGGCAGATCACGAGGTCAGGAGATGGAGACCATCCTGGCTAACATGGTGAAACCCCATCTCTACTAAAAATACAAAAAATTAGCCAGGCCTGGTGGGGGGCGCCTATATTCCCAGCTATTCGGGAGGCTGAGGCAGGAGAATGGCGTGAACCCAGGAGGCGGAGCTTGCAGTGAGCCGAGATCACGCCACTGCACTCCAGCCTGGGCGACAGAGCGAGACTCTGTCTCAAAAAAAAAAAAAAAAAAAAGTAATAGGCAACTGTAAAACAGCCTCACAGTGGTCCTTCACGAGGCATTTCAGAGGGCATTGTTATCATAGATGTCGACAGATCCATATGCATTATTGGCCTAGAGGAGCTTCCAGTGGGACAAGATCTGGAGGTAGAAAACAGTGATGTTGATCATACTGACCCTGTGTAGGCCTACGCTAGTATGTGCATTTGTGTCTTTGTTTTTAACAACAACAACAAAAAAATTAAAAATTAAAAGATGTAAAATTACAAAAAAATCTTAGAGAATAAGGATATAAGGAAATAAAGTATTTCTGTGTACAATATGCGTTTTAAGCTAAGTGTTGTTACAAAAGAGTCAAAAAGTTAAAAATAAGTTAAAAAGTTTATAAAGTAAAAAAGTTACTGTAGGATAAGTTTAATGTATTTTGAAAGAAATAAGTTTCTTTATAAATTTTATAAATTCAGTGTTTATAAAGTCTACAGTTTTGTACAATGATGCCCTAGGCATTTACGCTCACTCACCACTTACTCACTAACTCTCCCAGAGCAACTCCTAGCCCTGCAAACTTCATTTATAGTAAGTGCCCTAATCAGGTATACCATTTTTGATGTTTTGACTGGATTTTTTACTGTACCTTTTTTTTATGTTTAGATACACAAATATTTACCGTTGTGTTGCAGATGCCTACAGTATTCAGCACAGTAACATGCTGTATAGGTTTGTAGCCTAGGATCAATAGGCTGTACCACATAACCTAGGGTGAGTAGTAGGTTATGCTATCTCTATTTACACATAGAATACACTATATGATGTTACACAGTGAAGAAATTGCCTAATGCATTTCTCAGAATGTAATTTTTGTCATTAAGTGATGCAACATTGTATTTAAAACACTATAAATAAATTAAGATGGAAACTTAACATGTTTATGTAACCCATTGGAAAGCAAGAAAAAGACAGAGGAATAAGAAACAGAAACAAATAACAAAGTGGTAGACTTCAACCACAACATACAAATTGTTAAACATAAAAGGCCTATAGAAACCAACTAAAAAACATAGATTGGCAGAGTAGTTAAAAAAACAAAAATCAAAAACGAAAAAACATGGCCAACAATATTGTCCAAATTGCATTTGTACCCCATAAATAAATAATTTTTAAAATTCTGCCTATATAAAACTAACTTCAAATACAGCATAGGTAAGATAAAAGTAAAAAGAGAGAACCAGTAAAATAATTTAAAAATGCAAGTGAGGTTATAGTAATATATCAGCTACATAAATTTTATTTTATTTATTATTATTATTATTATTATTATTATTATTTTGAGACAGAGTCTCGCTCTGTCACCCAGGCTGGAGTGCAGTGGAGCAATCTCAAACTCACTGCAAGCTCCACCTCCCAGGTTCATGCCATTCTCCTGCCTCAGCCTCCCGAGTAGCTGGTACTACAGGTGCCCACCACCACGCCCAGCTAATTTTTTTGTGTTTTTAGTAGAGACGGGGTTTCACCTGTTAGCTAGGATGGTCTCGATCTCCTGACCTTGTGATCCTCCAGTCTCAGCCTCCCAAAGTGCTGGGATTACAGGCATGAGCCAGGGTGCCCGGCCCAGCTACATAAATTTTAAAAAGTAAAAAAAGTCAAATTGCGTTTTTAAATATTTTACATTCCATTGCCATTCAAAGAAATAACATTGTTTTCAATACGATTAAGCAAGTATCATTAGACCTAGAAATAGCCACAATCATTTCTTTAAAAGATTATTAATATTTATTTATTTATTTATTTATTTTTAGGCGGAGTCTCACTCTGTTCACCAAGCTGGAGTGCAGTGGTGCAGTCTCAGCTCACTGCAATTTCTGCCTCACCCTCCCGAGTAATTGGGATTACAGGCACGTGCCACCACATATGGCTAATTTTTGTATTTTTAGTAGAGACTAATTTTTGTACTTTTAGTAGAGACAGGGTTTCACCATATTGGCCAGGCTGGTCACAAACTCCTGACCTCAGGTGATTGGCCCGCATCAGCCTCCCAAAGTGCTGGGATTACAGGCGTAAGTCATCGTGCCCAGCTAAGATTACTAATATTTATAAGCTCTACCTTCTTTCTTGGAGAAATGACTTTATAATTTCACTTTCTAATTCAGTTACCTGTTGAAACTAAATTAAAATATATTCATATGCAAAATGCAAGTAAATAAAAACAGCAGCTTTCTCTATGCTAAAAGGAAGTTCCTTTGGAGCTCATTTCCTTGACAATGCAAGAAAGTACTTCACTGCACTATCTTCATTATGCAAATAAAGGTGCATTTTAGCTCTTTGAAGAAGAAGAGGAAGAACATGTCTCTCAAATGGCAGGAAAGAACAAATTTCCTTAAGGAAGAGTGAGGGAAAGTTCATCAACACCAACCCTAGGTACATCTTCATTCAGACTTGAAAAGCTTTTGAATAGCGTCTGTTTATTCCTGTTAGAACTGAACTGGCAGGAAAAGACAATGGAGAAGCCACAAAGAGGAGTAGCTAGGTAGCAGCATTCAGGTCCACAATGCCTGGATTTCATTATTATTATTCTACTGTATCTTCAGGCAGTTTATGTAAATCATGTTATTGAGTTCTCTCATCTGGAAGATGAGAGTACTAATAGTTCCAGCGTTCTTACATTAGTGCTGCTGCCATTAGTTATCATCATTTAAGTGTCTGTTCTTATTGTTCAAAGAGTGACTGGCAGTTGAGAGTCCCTGGGACCTGAAGTAGGGAGGTAGAGAATTTTGCATTGGAGTATACTGTTATCTTAACCTTGGAGGCCTGAGTGTTCTTAGGTAAAAGACTGCTTTGGAGGCTGCAAATGGAACTAGAATCCCACCAGATCACAGCCATCTGACTTGGTTGCGTTTTTATGGAAACCAGCGTGTTGAGGATGTGAGACTGATATAAAAGCACTAGGATATTCACAGGGTAAAAGTCAGGAGGATCATAACAGCACAGTACTAGAGAACCAGTACGTAGTGGTGTGATGAATGAAAGCCACTGACATAACTTTCGCATCTTGTCTTCCTGTATTCTTTCTTTCTGTGACAGTTGTTGAGATCATGACCTCTTCTGGAATGGTGTTCTCAGAAGTCCTTGGACAATCAGGGTGTACTAGGAGAAAACATGCTGTGAGATGGGATGAAAGTCTTCAGGATGGACACTATACTTTCTGTTATTGGAGGATTCGGTAGTTTGAATAAGCGTTTGAATGAATAAAATATTTGAGTTGAGGACTAAATTCTGATTTTTTTTTTTCATCTTGCCCAAATTCCTATTTAAAGAAACTGGGAGTCAGCCCTACGAATGATAACATCTCTTTACATGGGTTTTTTATTAACCCTATATAATGTGGCTTGCTTTCCAACCTGACTCTGGTACAGCATCACATAACAGACAGCAGACCCTGAAGGATATAAAAATATTTTGCCCTAAAATATATTTCTTTGATGTCTTTTGAAATGGCTGTTGCAAGGCCAGCAAACTGAGGTAGAGGAAATTTGCATCTATGGAGAATCTTCATTAATGCAGCCATGCTTCCCCTTTCTATGCCTTTCCAGGACCTAGGAGTGATTGAGAGTCTGATACCTTTAAAGGTCTGAAAAGAAACATTTACCATCTATTCTCTCTGAGGGCCACCTATGAGGCTTCATCTACTTAATAAGATCCTTGGTCTTTCCCCCACTCTTATCTGAACTCAGGCATTCCTTTCTATCGATTTCAAGACTTTAGACGATAGCATAACTCTCTCAACCAATTGTCAACTAAAGGATCCCTAAAAGCCCCTTATGACGTACAAGCTCCTACCCTGACCTACCTGCAATTACCTGCAGTTGGTTGTCTCCTTGGAATGTATAAAACCAAAGTGTAACCCGGTTGCCTTGGGCACGCTTTCAGAACCTCTTGAGATAGTGTAACCCAGGCCTTGGTCACTTATACTGGCTCTGAATAAACCTCTTTAAATATATTTTGACAGAATTTGGTTTTTGTGTATTTTTCTGTGTATTTCTACCTCTGAGAAGAGGAGTAATTTATACTCTTTAAAAATCATGGTCAGGTATGACTGGTGCTAGAATGAGGATGAAGGGAAGAGAAAGGGAAGAAATAATTCTCCACTCTTTGTTTCCAATTTTAGTTCTTTAAAGTAAAAGTACAAAACATTTTGTAGAGATGTAGTTTGTGGTGGCATGGTTGAAAAACTTCTGCAGTTTATGATTCCTCCACTACAGTGTGATAATGTTTTAAATAGCATTTAAAATGTAGATTCTGTCCAATCCTTACAATTAACTTTTTTATTGTTTGGAATCCATGAAGTTGGTATATGCATGAGCAGATACATATTTATTTAAGAAAAAAAATTAGGCCTTACAGAAAATTGGTTTCTCAGAGACATGATAAAAGTTACCAGATAATGTCTCTCAGACTATATCTATGAAAAAATACATAACCAAATAGACACCAATTGCAAATGAATTAATTACATTGAAATTCTAATAACTTTCATTTCCTAAACTGACATTGATGGAAAAGAATTCTAAGATATAAAATAAGCTCTACTTCATCCTGCTTTCAATAGCACATGATTTAATCAGAATATATAAGTAATACTGTTGAGCACATAAATATTATTTTCATTACTTGATGATAATTATGACTATTTTCATTGCTATAATTTTGGTCATGCCATATTGATTAGCAATAAAATATATACTTAGCTAGAGAGGCAGCTAATCCAAAACTTTTGGGATTTCTTTTTTTTTTTAGATTATTGGTGCTCCTCCTCCTGTCATTGAGGTTAAAATTAAATGTTACATATTCCTTCTCTGTGTATGTGTATCTTATTTCCTCATATTCTACCTCTTCAGAGTAGTGTGTGTGAGTGCATGCACACACACTTGCATGTGAGAGCTTCTAATATCTAAATTAATGTTGAATCATTATTCAGAAACAAAGAGAGCTAACTGTTATCCTGACTTTATTCTTTATGAAGAAAAATACAGTGATTCCAAGTTACCAAGTTAGTGCTGCTTTATTTATAAATGAAGTAACATTTTACAAGTTGTGCATAAGTTAAAATTCAGAAATAAAACTTCATCCTAAAACTCTGTGTGTTGCTTTAAATAATCAGAGCATCTGCCTACTTAATTTTTTTTGTGTGGGTGCACAATAGATGTTTAATGAGATCCTGTCATCTGTCTGCTTTTTTATTGTAAAACAGGAGGGGTTTTAATCCTGGAGGAACAACTGATGTACCTCTGAAAAAGAGAGGGATTAGTTATTAATTGAATTGAGGGTTGTCTTGTCTTAGTAGCTTTTATTCTCTAGGTACTATTTGATTATGATTGTGAAAATAGAATTTATCCCTCATTAAATGTAAAATCAACAGGAGAATAGCAAAAACTTATGAGATAGATGAACATTGTGTGAGTGGCATGGTTTAATTTGTTTGGAAGAAGCACTTGCCCCAGAAGATACACAATGAAATTCATGTTATTGAGTAGAGTAGTAATACAGTGTGTTCCCTTGTGAAGTTCATAACCAAGAATTATTTTAGTAGTGGATAGGTAGGCTGAATAATTGACTTCTTATCATTTTCAGGTTCTGTGTTTGATTTTTTTTACATATTAATTTCTTTGATCCACATTAAGCTCAGTTATGTATTTCCATTTTATAAATGAAAAAAAAAAAAATAGGCACTTGCAAATGTCAGATCACTTGCCTGTGGTCATTCGGGTAGAGATTTGTGAAGCTAAGTTGGTCTTAATCAAATGTCAAGCTTTTTTTTTTCTTATAAAATATAGATTTTAATATGAGTTTTAAAATAAAATTAATTAGAAAAAGGCAAATTACTCAATATATAAAATGTATTGCATTTGTAATAGGTAGGTATTTCATTTTCTAGTTATGGTGGGATATTATTCAGACTATAATTCCCAATGAAAAAACTTTAAAAAATGCTAGTGATTGCACATTTAAAACACCTTTTAAAAAGCATTGAGAGCTTATAAAATTTTAATAAGTGATCAAACCAAATTTGAAGAGAAAAGAAGAACCCAGAGAGGTAAGGATATAACCTTACCAGTTGCAATTTGCCGATCTCTACAAATATTAATATTTATTTTGACAGTTTCAGGGTGAATGAGAAAGAAACCAAAACCGAAGACTAGCATATGTTAAGTCTTCTTAAGGAGCCCTCCCTTAAAAGATTGAGATGACCAAATCTTATACCCTCAGCATAAGGTGAACCAGACAGACCTAAAGCAGTGGTAGCTTGGATCCACTACTTGGGTTTGTGTGACTGCGTGACTCAGGTAATCTCAAAAATTGAACATTTTTTTAAGGTGGTCCTACTCGTATGCCCAGGTGTTAGGGAGAAGCAAATCTGAATGCTTTATAAAAATACCCTGAAGCTAAATCTTACAATATTCTCAAGAACACAGTGAAACAAGGCAAAATAAGTTAAAATCAACAAAAACAACATGAAACATAATTAGACCCACAAAGACTTCAAACATTGGACAATATCAGAGAAAGATAATAAATATTTTACTCTTTAAAAATTTAGTTAAAAGCTTAAACTAATTGTAGAGAAAAAACTGTGTTAGTATTATATTGTGGATGAAATAAGCAAAACATTTAAAATACAAATGTGATTACTTAAATTAAATATAATAGATAATTTACCACCAGATTAGATACCATTGAAGGAATAATTAATATACTGAAATACAGGTCAGTAGAAGTTTTTTTCAATTCAGCATGGAGATGTAAAAAATGAAAATTAATGCAAAAAATAAGGGCACAAAAAGAAATGAGTAATTTTGATCAGAAATGTATTAAAATTAATAAACTGGAAATTTGACATTTAAAAAAAAGCATTGTCGTCCAAGTAGATGTGTCTATTAAATAGTTGTTCTCATATCCAGTAATGTAATTATTATTCCCCCTCATGCAGTTCAGATTCTGGGGTAATCTTTAGACATCAGTTTTATCTTTTATATTATTTATTCTGTTTACTACATTTTATTTTGCTAATGATATTTTTAATTTCTGACATTCTGGAGTATTGCTTGTAAAAGGTATTTTTAAAGATATTTTATGGTTATTTTTGTGATTCCTATTCCTGTATGGACACCAAGGCTATTGACATTTTCTTTAGTTTCTTCTGTTAATTCTATTTTCTTAGTGTTTATATCATTTCATAGATAGGATATTCTTTATTTTTTATTTTTATTTAAATATTTGGTGATTCTTGGTTTTCTCAGCCATCTATTGTCAAGTGTTCTTATTAAGCATTGTTATTAAATAAAGATTATTTCCTCTAATCACATGAGAATCTTTATTTCCCCCAAGTAATTGAAAATTGCAATGCCATGCTGCCATGTGGTACAGCATGGGTTTGGGCTTGCTTTCTTCTTTTTTTTTTAACTTTTATTTTAGGTTTGGGAGTACCTGTGAAAGTTTGTTATATAGGTAAACTCGTGTCATCAGGGTTTGTTGTACAGATCATTTTGTCACCTAGGTACCAAGTACTCAACAATTATTTTTCCTGCTCCTCTGTCTCCTGTCACCCTCCACTCTCAAGTAGACTCCAGTGTCTGCTGTTCCCTTCTTTGTGTCCATGTGTTCTCATAATTTAGTTCCCCACTTGTAAGTGAGAACATGCAGTATTTTCTAGTATTTGGTTTTTTGTTCCTGTGTTAATTTGCCCAGTATAATAGCCTCCAGCTCCATCCATGTTACTGCAAAGAACGTGATCTCATTCTTTTTTATAGCTCCATGGTGTCTATATACCACATTTTCTTTATCTAAACTCTTATTGATGAGCATTGAGGTTGATTCTATGTCTTTGCCATTGTGCATATTGCTGCAATGAACATTTGTGTGCATGTGTCTTTATGGTAGAATGATATATTTTCTTCTGGGTATATATGCAGTAATGCGATTGCTGGTTGGAATGGTAGTTCTGCTTTTATCTCTTTGAGGAATTGCCATGCTGCTTTCCACAATAGTTGAACTAACTTACACTCCCACTAACAGTGTGTGTTTCCTTTTCTCCACAACCTGCCAGCATCTGTTATTTTTTGACATTTTAATAGTAGCCATTTTAACTGGTATGAAATTATATTTCATTGTGGTTTTAATTTGCATTTCTCTAATGATCAGTGATATTGAGTTTTTTTTTTTTTTCACATGCTTGTTGGCTACATGTACGTCTTCTTTTGAAAAGTGTCTGTTCATGTACTTTGCCCACATTTTAGTGGGGTTGTTTTTCTCTTGTAAATTTGTTTAAATTCCTTATAGGTGCTGGATTTTAGACATTTGTCAGACGCATAGTTTGCAAATAGTTTCTCCCACTCTGTAGGTTGTCTGTTTATTTTGTTAATAGTTTCTTTTGCTATGCAGAAGCTCTTAATAAGTTTAATGAGATCCTGATATGTTTAGGCTTTGTATCCCCACCCAAATCTCATCTTGAATTATAATCTCCATAATCACCACATGGAGAGACCAGGTGGAGGTAATTGAATCTGGGGGTGGTTTCACCCATGCTGTTCTTGTGATAGTGAATGAGTTCTCACGAGATCTAATGGTTTTATGAGGGGCTCTTCCCAGCTTTGCCTGGTACTTCTCCTTCCTGCCGCCTTGTGAAAAAGGTGCATTGCATCCCTTTCACCTTCTCCTATAATTGTAAGTTTCCTGAGGCCTTCCCAGCCATGCTGAACTTCAAGTCAATTAAACCTTTTTCTTAATAAATTACTCAGTCTCTGGTGGTTCTTTATAGCAGTGTGAAAATGGACTAATGAAGTTCCCATTTATGAATTTTTGCTTTTGTTGCAATTGCTTTTGACATCTTAGTCATGAAATCCTTGCCTGTTCTAAGTCCAGGATGGTATTGCCTAGGTTGTCTTCCAGGGTTTTTCTAATTTTGTGTTTTGCATTTAAGTGTTTAATCCATCTTGAGTTGATTTTTGTATATTGTGTATGGAAGGGGTCCAGTTTCAATCTTTTGCATATGGCTAGTTAGTTATCCCAGTACCATTTATTGAAAAGACAGTCTTTTCCCCATTGCTCGTTTTTGTCAGTTTTATTGATGATCAGATAATCATAGCTGTGTGGCTTTATTTCTGGGTTCTCTATTCTGTTCTATTGGTTTATGTCCCTGTTTTTGTGCCAGCACCATGCTGTTTTGGTTAACATAGCCCTGTAGTATAGTTTGAGGTCAGATAGCCTGATGCTTCCAGCTTTGTTCTTTTTCTTAAGATTGCCTTGGCTATTTGGCCTCTTTTTTGGTTCCACATGAATTTTAAAACAGTTGTTTCTAGTTTTGTGAAGAATGTCATTGGTAGTTTGATAGAAATAGCATTTAATCTGTAAATTGCTTTGTGCAGTATGGCCTTTTAATGATATTGCTTCTTCCTATCCATGAGCATGATATGTTTTCCATTTTGTTTGTATCCTCTCTGATTTCTTTGTGCAGTGTTTTGTAATTCTCATTGTAGAGATTTTTCACCTCCCTGGTTAGTTGTATTTTACCCTAGATATTTTATTCTTTTTGTGAAAATTGTGAATGGGATTGCCTTCCTGATTTGACTGCCAGCTTGGTTACTGTTGGTTTATAGAAATGCTAGTGATTTTTGTACATTGATTTTCTTTCTAAAACTTTGCTGAAGTTTTTTTTATTAGCAGAAGGAGCTTTGCGGCTGAGACTATGGGGTTTTCTAGATATAGAATCATGTCAGCTTCAAATAGGGATAATTTTACTTCCTCTCTTCCTATTTGGATGCCCTTTATTTCTTTCTCTTGCCTGATTACTCTGGCTGGGATTTCCTATGTTGAATAGGAGTCATGAGGGAGGGCATCAAATCTACACATATCAAATACTAACCTTGAATGTAAGTGGGCTAAATGCCCCACTTAAAAGGTAAAGGGGGGCAAGCTGAATAAAAAAGCAAGACTCAATGGTATGCTGTCTTTGAGACCTATCTCACATGTGATGACACCCATCGGCTCAAAATAAAGGAATGGAGGAAAATCTACCAAGCATGTAGAAAACAGAAAAAAGCAGGGGTTGCATCCTAATTTCAGACCAAACAGACGTCAAACAAACAAAGTTCAAAAAAGACAAAGAAGGGGCCGGGAGTGGTGGCTCACACCTGTAATCCCAGCACTTTGGGAGGCCAAGGTGGGCGGATTACAAGGTCAGGAGATCGAGACCATCCTGGCCAACATTGTGAAACCCCATCTCTACTAAAATCCAAAAAAAAAAAAAAAATAAGCTGGGCTTGGTGGTGTGTGCCTGTAGTCCCAGCTACTCGGGAGGCTGAGGCAGGAGAATCACTTGAACCCGGGAGGCGGAGATTGCAGTGAGCTGAGATTATGCCACTGCACTATAGCCTGGCGACAGAGTGAGGCTCCGTCTCAAAAAAAAAAAAAAAAAAAAAAGACGAAGGGCATTACATAATGATGAAGGGTTTTACTCAACAAGAAGACCTTACTAACTTAAATATATATGCACCCAACACAGGAACACCCAGATTCATAAAGTAAGTTCTTAGAGTACAAAGAGGCTCCCACACAATAATAGTAGGAGACTTTAACACACCACTGATAGTCATAGACAGATCATCAAGGTAGAAAATTAACAATGATATTCAGGATCTGAACCCAACATTCCACCGAATGAGTCTGATAGACATCTACAGAACTCTCCATCCAAAAACAACAGAATATACATTCTTCTCATCTCCACATGGCGCATGCTCTAAAATTGACCACATAATGCCTTTCTTTTCAGTGGTCCATATGTAAGTCTTTTGAAAGTGGCAGCATCTCTACTGCTCATGCTTGTTGCAAGGAACTCTACTGAATACAAGGAACTTTACTAATCTCTAATGCTTGTGAGTAGATTCTGAACTCATCATTTAGAAAGCTAAACTGGGGGCTTTCTTCCCAGAGCAAAGACATAAAACAAACCTCAATTGAGCGTGGGACAGGGAGTCATGTGCTATAAATTTCTTGGACAGTTCTTATTCTATGGACCAATTACCATTCCCTTGTATCTCTAATTTTGGGATTATTTCTGGATTAAAACACAAAAAAAATCAGACTGTAAAAAGTCATCATTTCTACCAGTGTGAGAATATGTATTCCTCACCTTTACTGGGATTCACTGCCAGTATATATGCAAATGACTTATACACACACATACACGCACATACACACACACGTGTGTGTGTGTAGGTATGTCTGTAATAGGTATTTATATGTTTGCCTGTCTTTCTATTAGAATTGAGATACAGCAAAATGCACAGAAATTAAGCATTCAATTTAGTAAGTTTTCACAAATGTACATATTTAATCAATATCTCAATCAACGCAAAAACCATTGTTTCACCTCTGAAGATAATTTTTAATCTTTTGCAAATTATTGAGACTTATTTAATGGCCGAGACTACACAGTCCTTCGTAAACATTCCATGTAAATTTGATAAAAATATTTTCATGAAATTTTTTGTGTAGTGTTCTAAAACTTGAAATTAGACTACATTAGTTGATAGTATTATTAGAATCTTCCAAATCCTTACTAATTTTTATTTGTTCATCTATTGTTTATTTTGAGCCGATGATTAAAATCTTCAACTATGAGTGAAAGTCTATTTCTCTGTTTAGTTCTGTCTGTTTTTACTTCATGCATTTTGACACTCTGTTATCAGTTGTATAAACATTGAGAATTATAATGCATTGCTAATGAGCTTAACCTTTTATCATTCCATCTCTGATATTTCAGCTTATTTTGAATCCTACTTTCTCTGGTATTAGCCAGCTACATCAGTTTTACTTCCTTTCATTTTCAACCAATTTTATGACTCCATCTCAAAAAAAAATGCATTCATTGTACAGAGCATATAGTTTTGTCCTTTTTAAATCCAGTCTCAAAATTGCTAGCTCTTAATTTAAGTGTGTTATGGGTTGAATTGTCTGCCAAAAAAAAACATATGTTGAAGTCCTTACCCCAGTAATTAAGGATGCAACCTTATTGAAAGATAGGATCTTTATAGATGTAATCAAGTCAAAATGGGATCATTAGAGTGGCCTGTAATCCAATGTGACTGGTGGCCTTATGAAAGGGGGAAATTTGGACACAAAAATGCCACCAGAAAGCACAACATATGAACATGAAGAAAGCCATCTAAAAGCCACGGAGAGATGTCTAGAACAGATTCTTCTTCACAGCCTTTAGAAGGAACCAGTACCTTGAATTCAGACTTCTAGCCTTCAGGACTTGAGATAATACATTTTTGTTGCTTGAGGCACCTAGTTTATGGTACTTTGTTATATAACCCTAGGAAACTAATATAAATGTTCAATCCATTTACATTTAATCAGTGATGTCAGTGTTGTTAAATCTACCATGTTACTATTTGCCTACTATTTTCTTATTTGGGTGTTGTTCTCTTCCCTTGGTTGTTGATATTTCTTTCTTCACCGGTTCAGTGTTACCTTCCTTAGAGTAAATGGATATTTTTCAATATTTCATTTTAATTATGCTATTGGCTTTATACCCTTCATACATGTGTTCTTGTTGATTCGATGTTCTTGGATCTCTGCATTGAAATTTTTCATCAAAATTTGAAAACACTGGCAATTATTTCTTCAAATATATTTTTTCTTTCCCGTTTTCTGACTCATCCTTTTGAGACTTCATTTGTGTATAGGTTTGATGGCTTGATATCCCATGTCATTCAATCTCTTATTTTAATCATTTTCCTCTTTTGTTTGAGATTAGATAAATTCAAAAATGGTTTTCAAGGTTATTTGTCTGCTTTTCAGATAGCTGAAATCTGAGAGTATACCCTGCCAGTGACTCTTTCATTGTATATTTTGCACTTGTTACTTCAACAATGTTCATTTCTCAAAATTACCTTTTTCGTTCTATCATTGTGACAATATCTCCATAGTCTAAGGACATATTCATAATATATATCTGTTGATTTCAATGCCTGGGTCATTATGATGTATGTTCTATTGACTGCTTTTTTCCCCTTGATTATTTATTAAATTTTCCTGCTTCTTTGCGTAACTTGTATTTTTGACTAATACACTGTAGAAAATCTAGACGTTGTCTTCTTGTAAAAGGCCCTAAGATAGTCCTTTGAAAGCTGTTAAGTGGCTTCCAGATCCTTTTGATCTGCCATGCCTGGTTTCATTATTTGTTAATGAAAATCTCTTTCATTTTTGTTCTTAAAGATAGGACATAGTCTTTACTGAAAGAAATAGTCCTTGTTCTTAATGCCTGGAATATTCCGTAAAATATCTTCCCTGTGGCTAGTCAGTAACCCAAACATCTCCTTGTCCTGTTACTACTGATATCTTATTCCCACAGTATCTGCTTTCAGCAGGTCTTGCAGATGTTAACCCTGCTCAGGTATAGAGCAGCTTTTGACGAAATTGGTGCCAAATACTTATTCTGGCTTCTGTAGGCCTACCCCATGCCTCTTTTTCCTTTCCTATACAAATTTCAGCCACTTCAGCAGCTCTTAAATAACAACCACTTAAGCAAGTGTAAGCTATTTACAAATATCGATAGATAGATAGAGAGAGAGAGAGATGATATAGATAGAGATTTAATTGTAATTTTAGATTCAGGGGGTATATGTGCAGGTTTGTTACAAAGTTATATTGCTTGCTGCTACTGTTTGGGCTTCCACTGATCCTGTCACCCAGGTAGTGAACTGAATACCTAACAGGAAGTTCCTTGGCTCTTGTCCCTCTACCCCTACCTCTTTTTGGAACCTAATTAAACTAAGAGCTTCTGCATAGCAAAAGAAATTATCAACAAATAAGCAGACAACCTACAAAATGAGAGCTTTAAGCTTTAATTTCTTCCTCTAAACTCATTATTTTTAGAGTCTGCCTCCTTGTTTAATGGGAGAAAAAGTGCCCCTAGTCACATTCTCTGGTTAAATGTGGTACTTACCTCACAGCTTTCTTCTCTCTTGAGTATGAAAAACTTGTACTTCTTGTTTGATGCATAAAATCTGGTTCCTCATATATGTTGCCCAGTTTTATCATTGTTTATAGTGAAAAGGCAAGTCCCTCCAATAATTCTATTATGGCCAAAGACTAAAGTGCCTCTGATATGACTTATGTCCTTCAGAAATTGCTTACTCTTTAGTCTGTTGGTAGAATTCTTCTCAACTTTCCATAGTTATTTTAATAAGTACTGTATTTTCCTATTTCAATGGCAATTTGGAATAAAGGAGAAATAAATGTATTTGTTTGGTCCATCTTTGTGTATTCAAACTGTTAAGTCATTACTTTTCACGTCCACTACACATATTACTGCACAGTAATTCCTTGTTTACACCTATAATCTCCCTCTCCTGTTTTCCTAGTTTCTATTCAAGTATTTGGGGTAACTGATATTTCTTAAAACAATATGTATTCTTGGAAAGAGATGTTTCTAGAATCCCCTTCTTAGGTGACTTATTAGGAAAAATTATAAGAATAAGAACGAGAATAGAGAAGAAAAGTAATTGAAGACATCCACTTCAACTCTAAATCCCCATAGGAGAAAAAAGGCTAGCACTTATTTAAATGCCCTTCTTAGGTGACTTATTAGGAAAAATTATAAGAATAAGAATGAGGATAAAGAAAAGTAATCGAAGATACCCACTTCAACTCTAAATCCCCACAGGAGAAAAATGGCTGGCACTTATTTAAACTCATCTAGGGTTTAGTTTTGCTGATGTTGTTTTTCCAATAATAATCTGTTTCAATTATTATAACAGCAATTTCAGTGAAATACGGTACTTACCAGCTAAGTTTTACACAGGGAAGCACTTTCCTAAACACTTCCCCATCCTTCTTCAAAGTTTGAATCCAAATCTTTTGTACTCCAGGGCTTATTTTGTTTTTCCTACAGCATTCTGCCTTTCTAGAATTAGCACTAGTTACCCTCAGGAAAAGCAAATACATGGACCCATAAAATAATCTTTGGAAGTCTTTCTTCTCCTGCTGGTTACCAAATTATAATCTTCTTATTGTAATAATAAAATAAAATACAAAATAAAAAGAACTATTTTACTCTAATAAGTTTCCCATTAAGCTAAGCCTGCTTTTGTTGTATTAGAGATTAACATATGTAGACAGTGTTCTTTTTGACTGGAAATGGGGATTAGTTATGGTTCAAGTAATGCATAAACAAGATGTATTTTTAAAAATACGTCATATTTATGCATTATATTTAAGCAGCCATTTGTAAAAAGCTGAAACTTATTAGAAAGTGAATTCTTCATAATCATGTGTGTATTTTCAATGTTTAGGATTATTTGTTAGCTTAGGTATAGACTAGATTATTTTTCTAAACAAACAGGAATAAGAAATATAGGTAGTAAAATTTACATGACCTGGTAAAATTTAAAATATCCATTCTGACTAACAGGCAGTGATGAGAACAATAAATAAAATATATCTTGGTTTAAATTCTAAGTAAATATATTTGACAATATAAATATAAACATACTCATATGAGTGAATTGCTTCTAATTCTGGCTTTTAGCTAAATAAGCACTTAATGCTAGTAAGAAAAATACATTATTTCATAAAGATAACAAATTCTTTCAGAAATAGTAATTATATTTTTAAAGAGTTTGGGGAAAATAGAAGTGTATACTCTAATCTTATAGCAAAGTTTCTGCTAAGTTTTTGTGATGCCAGTGTTTTCATTATGAATCATTTCACTGTCAAACAAAATGTACACTGTTGATTAAACACAGGCAAAAAGAGACGGAAAGAAAAAGGTATATTAAAAAAAAGACCTTTGGTTATTCTGGCTGCCACCAATTGCTTTCTTGTTTCAGCTGAATTTTGAAGTAGCTAATCATATTTTGGCATTTTCTTGTCATCAAAGCATTTCGTGAAATTATCCCATTACAATGTTTTTCTCAGAGGCAAAATTAACATGGTTGACAGTTTAATTGACATATTTCTTTTTCGTTGTGTGCCTTTGCCAATTAAACAAATTGCACCCTATTTTGATGTTCATTTTGTTAATTATTTGTAAAACTGTAGACTCTGATTTTTTTTTTTTTTAATTTTCAGGTGTCAGTTTCTTGGTCGGGAATGAAAATAGTGCCAACCTGTGATACCTTCACTCTAATTTTACTTTCTGAGGAAGTTTTCTGTAATAGTTATTTGGTGATAATTATTAATACTGGTGAGTTTTAAAATTTTTGCTTTCAGCAATTTTCCATTTTTTTCAACATACTTATATCGCAATGAGGCAACCAAATATGAATCCTGAGAATGAAGATGGAAAATGAATATTTTAATCCAATATCGAGTTGTTCTTTCAACATTTTTAGTTTTAGTTTTAATCGAAAATATAAAGTTACATAATTGTGTGAGGAATAATTTTTGCAGAGAAATTTTTAAAAATTCACAAAAGGAAAAAGAAACCTTTACCATGAGTCTATAACATTGAAAGACTGTGTTTAAGTTATTTTAATAAAGCCAAACCAACACTTTCAGCAGGAACTAAATGGCAGCATCTGATTTCACGCTGATACATATGTATTAGTGTGGTGCTCACTTTTACCCTTCATTTTACCTTGGGTCTTGCCATTTTCTTTCTTTTTATTTTTATGTTTTTTTGTGTTTTGTTTTCTTTTGGAAGAGGTAATTTTTAGGGAGAAAAAAAACACTTTTTCCTCATAGGTCGATTTAAAATGTTGGCCTTACCTTAATCTCCTCTCTCAAACTCAATCCACTATGTAATGGGTCAACATACTTTTCTGTGAAGGAGCAGATAGTAAATATTTTAGTCTTTGCAGGCCATATGGTCTCTGTTGCCAGCTCTTCCATTGTGGTGTG
This sequence comes from Homo sapiens, assembly GCF_000001405.40. Taxonomy (NCBI): domain Eukaryota; kingdom Metazoa; phylum Chordata; class Mammalia; order Primates; family Hominidae; genus Homo; species Homo sapiens. The sequence goes on along the minus strand of NC_000005.10, from coordinate 70,141,674 downwards.
AAAGCAGCCATAGACAACACAGAAATGAATAAGTGTAACTGTTCCAATAAAAACAGATGATATGTTGAATTTAGCTCACAGAGTTTAGCTTGCTGCCCCTGCAGGAGGCCTTTGGAGTAAAAGCTTCCTGAGAGGAGGACTTTTTGTCTTTTTTGCTCAAGTTCTAGCTCCAGTACCTAAAATAGTGCCTGTCACGTAGGTATTGATGAATATTGGAACCTGTTGAACATACACCTAAAATAAAACATTTGGCAAGATACAGTACTACACAATTTGGAGAACACTTGGCTCCCATAGAAATCAAAGCCTTCCTGAGTAATTAATTATTTGGCCTGATGATGAATTACTGTGCCTGAGATGATAGAGCTAATTTATTTTTCAATTCACTCAGGGGACACACGTTATTTTCACTGTGAATTTGGTTAAAATGAAAAGATTTCCTGCTCTAAGTCCTGGATAGACCTTTATGTAATAGCATACTCTTCACTCTTTTTGAATCGCATGCAGTTGTCAGACTGGATGATTTCCAGACAGAGGTTCCAAGTCTTTCATCATGTTTGGGTTAAAGACCTCATTAACATACTAGTCCTGCCATTTGAGTCTGTTCTCTTCACGGAATATTTTCACCTGAATCAGTGGGTATAATTCATCAGTGTCTGGTTGCTTCAAGTTATTTTTCTTAATGCTGATGTTAATGCATGCCCATCTTTATGCCTCAACACATTGCACAATGAAAAACAAAAATTATTTTGGAAGACACAGCTGACATCTATATGAAATATTCAGTATCAGTGATTGAACTTCAGCAAGCTCCTGTGGCCAGCAGGGTTTTACGGAGGTGCAACTGCTCTCCCACGATCACTTATCATAAAGCCAGAGACAATTGGGCCAATGTAGCCTCTTGCCTGCTTTTGTGTACAAAATATAAATAGAATAGAGCAAATAAGGAAAAATAGTCCCGCAGCTGGAAGGCAACTTTAAAGAAAAATGATGTTCATAGCTGTCTTGCCAGTAGCTGGCAAAGCAGTTTTTATAAGACATATTTAATGTTTACAACCACTTGGAGGCTGGGGAAGGAGTAATACTTTGAAAATATGTTTAATGTTGTGAACCACTCTGTGGCCGAGAAGCAACTCCGGCTAAAATATATTTAATGCTTAGAGTCATTTGGCGGTTTCGAAAAAAAGAAACTTCTTGTTAATTTTTAACATTTATTGCTGATCAGTGGCTGCTAAAGTAACTATCAGTACAGCATGATTTATATTTAGGGACACGCTGTGCTGCTACTAAAACAATTCATACTCTTCTCTCAAGGCTACACAAAAAGTGTCAATAGCATTACCTTTGCAATTGCACCACTAATAAAAACATAGGAATCAAACAGACGAATAAAATGCTCCCTGCCCACACAGCCATAACATCCTATGGCCCTGAAAATAGTTCTGCCAAGCTGCGTGCAGTGGACACTTCACGGCTGGCACAGGAGAGATCACAAGGCCTTGCTCAATTTCATCAAAAGTGTTAAAGCGACTCAGCAGATTGTGAAGCACAAGTGGAAGCTGATAATTGGTGTTTCTTACAAATCAACGGCTTGTCTCCACACATCAAGGTAAAGGCGTCCTCTACACCAAAGAAAATGTAAATTGGGATAGAAGGTCATTATGTTTTTAAATAAACTTGGTTAAATTTGTAGAAAGGGCAATGGTAAATACTGAGCTCACATGTCAGATGGAGAGAAAACTTGAGAAAAGGGAAGAAGATAATGAGCTGGAACCTTTACCATTTAGACTTTCTCTGGCTAGCTTTCTGAGAATGATCATCAAACTCTTATGAGGACCCTTTCCAATGTATTGACTGCACTTCCCCAGGGATTGTGGCAAATGGTAAATATATATTTTCTCCTTGCTACTTGCAATAACCCTGCTCATAAAGTGTTACTATTATTCACTTGCAGGTGAGAAAATCAATGTAAAAGAGGAGAAATAACCCACACAACCACATACAACTAGGAAATGATAGATGGATCTGAAAAAAAGGATATGCACTCTTAACAAGTTCAACACCCAAGTACTATTGCAAGTACCAGCTGTATTTCATGGAAAAAAAAAAAAGAATAACTCAAAAGGCAGAACGAAGAGCCTAGAGGTCAGAGATGAGAGGCATGAATAATTATTCACAGGCGTTGAATATAATCAAATGACTTGCAACATTTACCACTGGGATTTTAAAATGTGGTGGACCAATCATTCTTTTAGTCTGTGCATTTTCCCATTTTTTTCAACAGGAATGTCTAGAGACATTATTCCTGTTTTGCCACTGTATTTTTGGTGAATGTGTAGTAAGTAACTGGCCTCTTTAGTATCACAAAGCTGGATGAAGAAAATGTGGTACATATACACCATGAAATACTATGCCGCCACAAAAAGGAAATGAGATCATGTCCTCTGCAGGGACATGGATGAAGCTGGAAGCCATTATCCTTAGCAAAGTAACGCAGGAACAGAAAACCAAACACCACATGTTGTCTCTTAGAAGTGGGAGCTGAACGGTAAGAACACATGGACACAGGGTGGAGAACAATACACACTGGGGCTTGATGGGGGGTGGAGGGGAGGGATGGGGAGCATTAGAAAAAATAACTAATGCATGCTGGGCTTAATACCTATGTGATGGGTTGATAGGTGCAGCAAACCACCCTGGCACATGTTTATCAATGTAACAAACCTGCACATCCTGCACAGGTACTCCAAAACTAAAAGTAAAAAAATCTAAAAGAAAAAAAAAAAAGAATTAAACCCAAAATCACTTCCCCATCTGGACTTGATTTAGATGAAAAGCTTCTGGACTTTGAGCTGATGCTATAGTGGGTTGAAAATTTTGGGGTCCTCAGAAGGGGATGAGGATATATTGCATGAGAGAGCAACATGAATCATTGAGAGCCAGAGTATAGAGAGTGGTAGGTAGACTGTAGGAGAGCCCTCAATGATCCCGGCTTTCTTGTATTCGCGTTGCACTTACTTGTATAATATGGCAGATGGGATGTGATGTCACTTTCAAGATTAGGTTATAAATAGACTATGGCTTCAATCAGAGGGTTTTCTCTCTGTCTAGCTCTCTTTTGGGTAGTTCATTCTGAGGAAAGCCAGCTGCCACGTTATGATGTAGGCCTGTGAGGTCCACGTAGCAAAGAACATATGGAAGATTTCTACCACCCCCTAACTAAGCCTTTAGATCAGACCGCAACCCCAGCCAACAAGGTAGCTACAAACTCTTGAGAAGCCTTGAGACAGAGGTACTCAATAGAGCCATTCCTATGAGAAACGTAAGTATCTGCTGTTTTACACCGCTAAGGTTTTAGCTAATGTATTATGCCATAATAGATAAGTTATATACAACCTTTATCAAATAATAAAAGTAACCATCATCAGTAATGAGACAAATCAAAAACCATGGCCCACCCAATAGAACATAATGAGGAGAGTACAGAATTGCTTCTGGGATATTTCTGACAAAGATGTATATGCTTCATTCATACATGAGGAAACATCACACATACTCAAGATGGGAGAGCCATTCTAAAAAATAACTAGGCAGAAATCTTCAAAAATATTAAAGTCACGGAAACCAAGAAAAAATATGAACCTGTTCCAGATTAAAGGAAACTAAACAGACCTAACATTTTAATACAATGTTTGATTTTGAACTTGAACTTTTTGTTATATAAGACACTATTGAGACAAGTGCTAATGCTTGAATAGGGCTGAAGGATTAGATTATAATAATACATTAATGCAAATTTCCTGATTTTAAACATTGTAGTTTGATTGCACAAGGAGAATGTCTTTATGTGTGGAAAATAAATAGTCAACATTCTGTCTTCAAGCTTCTGAGAAAACTCTGCTTTTAGGGCATAGATAGAAGTGGATGATAATTCACCTGTTCCTCTGCTACTAATTGAGCTGCTCTCTGTTTCCATGGCTGGCTCATGGGATGAGAGAATATATCTAGTTTTTTATGTTTCAATTTGTCTCTCTATGGCATTTTTGTGAAAATAAGGAAGTGTGGAGACTTATATATGTTTCTAAATTGTAATAGTTCATTAATGTAAAGTACAGACACAGTCTTCACTTTTCCTTCTTAGACCGTTTAAATATGGCCACGAAACAAGTAGTCTCTGGTTGGCTGGGCACTGTGGCTCATGTCCTTAACACCAACACTTTGGGAGGCCGAGGCAGGCAAATCACTTGAGGTCAGGAGTTCGAGACCAGCCTGGCCAATGTGGCAAAACCCCATCTCTTCTAAAAATACAAAAATTAGCTGAGTGCGGTGGTGCACACCGGTAATCCCAGTTACTCGAGAAGCTGAGGCAGGAGAATCACTTGAACCTGGAAGGCAGAGTTTGCAGTGAGCCAAGACCGCACCACTACACTCCAGCCTGGGCAATAGAGCAAGACTCCATCTCAAAAAAAAAAAAAAAAAGAAAAAAGAAAATAGTCTCTGGTTAAATAACCTCTGAAAGACTCCACCAAAAATTTCATCTTAGCATTTCTCCCCAAACTTCATGTAAAATAAAATAGAGTTGAGAGAAAAATAGAAAGGCAAGGGAGTACCTGTTCACTATTTTTATTAAACCAGTGTTCTACTTTATTTTAGGTGTATCTTTTCTTATTTAAATGTCAGCTAAACTTTCTTTTTAAGATATTGAATGAAAGATGCCCATCCTTCAGGTTTCGTTTAAGCAAGAATCCCCATTCTCAAATAATATAATATAAACTTTCCAAATTCTTAAGTAGATCATCTGAGATTGAAAGCTAAGTTTAACTTTCTCAAAGATATTTTAGCCGCCATGACACCTAGACAAAGTGGTATATTAAATTCTGATTAATTTGGTCCTAAAGCACCTAAGAATCATTCTTACTTTCTTATCCACAGGGGTTATTAAGTTTTCACATTAAAAAAAATCCAACAGTGAATAATACTGCATTGGGGTTACTGTAATTGTTAAGTAAAATAAGAAATACAAATCTTTAGTTAGATCACATGGCACCTGACTACTGCTTAGAAAATGGTAAGACTTACTACATAAATCATGAGTCACTATTGACATCTACTATATCATATCATAGGTTAGGTATCTAATTATAAATAGTCAAATCAGCTGACTCAAGGTGGCATAGCTCAAGCAGAGGAAGATAATACAAGTTGAGTATGGATTTAACACTCTAAACCTGTCAGCACTGTAGGAAAAGTAACTTAAAACTGCACACCCCACTTATGCATAATCATCAGATATAAAGAGGGTACATTCCTGTAATTTATTGTTGCTCTAGTGATCTTAAAGAATTAAGTCCACATTCATAAAGTCCAAACTTGTCTCCAAGGATTTGCTTTGACTTTGGGAGTATCTGGATCATTAAGTAATTTCCGGAGGTCAGAGTAAAAGCTTTTTATCTCTAAATATTACTTCCCTGGAAAATTAGATGTAGCAGAAGTCAGTAACGGAGTGACCTTTGTCTTAAACAATTCATAGATTCACTGAAATTTTCTTCAACTTTAGGAAAATTAAATATATTCCACAGTGCTGTAAGTCTTAAATATTGATTTTCCTCTGAAATCTTGACTCATCCTACCCACCAACATTCTCCCTTTGTACACTATGTTCTTTGTAATGTTCACGTTACACAAGTGAAAATTAGTAACATTAGTAAATTTTCATTGCAGGTTTATTTGTTCATATTTCTGGATATATAATCCATTACTGTTAAACTTCATATCAATGTTCCGATATTTCTTCATCTTATGTTTTATGTTACAAAACAGGTTATTTCACTATATGTATTTTTAATTGATTAATTCTTCCCTTTTTTGGAAATGAAACAGCCCTCTCAATTATTGGGACAGAAAAGTTATTTCATAGGGAATACTTCAAACACTGATATCTACAACAGGCAGTAAGATTCGTCACAACAATTGGTATACTGTCAATATACCATACAAAGTTCCATCTGGTCTTGATTAAAAATTATTTTAGTTTTCTCAGGAAAATGATACAGAGGGAGAATTGCCTAGATTATATGAGAGAAAAAAAAGTAGAGAGAAACATAATGTTTTCTTAGATTATTACAGCAGTGAACTATTTCCACCTGGTAAGAAGGGTGCACTTGAGAATGGGGTTCAAGTACTCTAGGAACATAGATGTAAGTTCTGGATGCACAGTAGTTGTTGCTTAGCTGTAAGCTGGAAATTTCAAGGCAGAAACAGCAGATACCACAACTATAACTGGGTCTCCTTGTTTTTTGTTTTATGTGTATACGTGAGATTATGGGGAAAGACAAAAGTAATGCATAGAGATTTATTTTTTAACATTCAATTCATAAGCAGTGTTTATACCTCTTTGTACTTACTTGAAAAGTGTATATTATGTAAATTTAGTATAAAAACACTTGGACTAATTCATACCATGTGGTAAAATTTCACATTCAAAAGAAATACCCTTCTGTTATTAAAAATAAAAAAAAAAGGAGCCAGGAGGGTGGCTCATGACTGTAATCCCAGTGCTCTGGGAAGCCAAGGTGGAGGGATCATTTGAGGCCAGGACTACTTGAGAACAGCCTGGGCAACATAGCTAGATCCCTTCTCTACAAAAAGTAAAAAAAAAAAAAAAAAAAAAAAAAAAATAGCTAGGCAGGGTGGCACATGACTGGCTATTAAGGAGGCTCAGGTGGAGGGATCTCTTCAGCCCAGGAATTTAAGGCTTCAGTGAGCTAAGATTGGGCCATTGCACTCCAGCCAGGGCAACAGACCAAGACCCAGTCTCAAAATAAATAAATAAAAATGAAAGAAAGCAGTGCACTGAAAATCAATTTAAGTATTTACTGGAGTTGTCTTGAAGGCCCAATGGGAAATGTCAGTAAGGGCACATGAGAAAACACTTTAAGAACCTATTCTTCCAAAGATCTTTCCAGTATCTTATGACAACACAGTAAATTATACCCACTCCAACTGCAAAAGCTGAAACTACTCTGCTTTCTCACTTACCTACACTTTTGACTTTCCAAATACATTTCTCTCTTCGGATATGAGCTGCAAACTCCTTATATAAAGGCTCCAACTCTGCAGCCCTAATTATTCTAGTTGGCCCAAGAAAAATCCTAATTGTTTTATCTAAGGAGACGGAATTTTCCAATACTGTAGAGGCATGTGTGTGTGTTTGCTTTAAGGAAGCTGTTTTGGTAATAAAAAGTCACTGAGGGTCATAAATTCATGTTAACACATCCAGTGTACATGAAGTAGGCACCGAGTTAAACTATTTGTCTACTATATAGCATGTCATCTTAAAAGCCTTATTTTTTCCTCAAAATATTAACTTTATTTTTCTCCCTGTAAAATCAAGACACAGTTAAAATGTAGCCTTCCTCATTTTCTGGGAATACTTTCTAACAAGATATGCTTCTTTCCAATTGGACTTCTAAATTTCTAGCAATTCTAACAGTGCATAAAAGAGGCAACCCCAAAAGTGTAGCAGGTACTGAATAACAGATTTGCAGCCTTGGGTATCCACATTAAAATTTGAAATCTAAGTGAATTACTTCAAGCTGATTTCTTAGGTCAAGGAGAGATTATGGTCCTTAAATGCCTGATAAGGTCACATACACAATTTCAAGTGCATTATAGTAAATCCATGTGACAGCTCCTACAGCTACTAACCTGCTTCTGCCCTCACGGTAGCGTGCACAATCTTCATCGCATGTCCTGGGTGGTGGTAGGAGCAGTAGAAACCCCCTGGGTCATGTCAGATTTAGAAAATATAAGCAATGGCTCATACACGAATTTTAAGTTGTAACCTACATGTGATAAGTTGCTTTATCTTCCAAATGTAATAAAAACCAGAAGTTACTTTGAAATAAATTGAAGGATTAGCAGTGGTGACTGAGGAATAAAAATTATAATTTAAAATTGTCCTTAAGGCTGGAATTCTTAACTTATTGACCTTATATCCTACATATTATAGGACTTTGTAAATTTAGGCTGATATGGAAATGTATATTTATATCAAATTTAAATTTTTAGAATGATGGTGCTACTATATTCTAATTGTTAATTTGATAATTGTAATTGTAATTTGTTAATTTGTTCTAATAATATTTTCATGACATTATTCATTTGCTGCTTGGCTTGATGGCATAACAAGTATGGGTTATTTACCCTGAAAAGGAAACAGTATCACCCTTCCAGAATCTCTATTTACAGCTACAGAAGATGCAACACACCTGTTTCTGGACCACTTCCAGATCAGATGTGATGCATGCTTTAGATCATTTACTTTGATCTAGGAATTACTGTCTGGCATTTCGTGGTGTAGGGTAGGTGTCTCCAGCACTGTATAGGTGTCTGGAATTGAGATAAGAATCAATTTCAATACAAAATACATTTTTTGCTTAAAGCACGCAAGGATTCTATGAATTCAGGTAAATTCACAGGGTGGAAAACAGGAACTAATGTTATATATTCCTGTAGTTATCTTCATAATGAAGCAGAAAGAAAAACAAAAAAGTTACAAAAATAAATGAAAAGAACTGTATTTTCTAGAATTGAAAAATAATTCTTTTAGATGATAGATAAGATGTTTACATCAACCTGCAAAAAGTCAATGTTGAAGAGGTCTCATTGTATCTCACAGAATTTTGATTTGCCTACTCACCCACAGGAGACATTTCTGGGACAGTAGCAACATAAGGTCCATCCCAAAACTTTGGCTCATTATCATTAATATCCTGCACTTTGATGATGAATTCTGATTCAGGCTCCAGGGGCTTTCTGGTTTCTATGTCCACAGCCTGAGCACGAAGAGTGTAGAAAGGTTTTTCTTCTCTATCTAGGCTCCTTATTGCATGAATGTCCCCTGTGGTTTCATCAATGGTAAAAACGGTGCCAGCGCCATCTCCTGAGAGGGTGTATTTCGCAGTGCCCTCTCCCTTGTCTAAGTCGGAATGGAGCTTTAGGGAAGAGAGGGAGAGAGAGAGGAAGAGAAAGAGAAGGACAAAGAAAGAACACCATTAAAAGGATGTTGCCAAATTAAAAAGTCATAATTTGCAATACAATTCCTTTAATCAAAAATGTTAAATAAAAATCTTATGGTTCTGTTTTCTTGTTTTTTATTTCTCCAACTTCTTTTTATAAAAATTTCAACACAAAAAGTTGAAAACTGTGCAATGAACACATATACATATACATCCAAACATTCCTCCATATGTGTGCAATGAACACATATATACCTATACATCCAAACATTCCTCCATTCGTCTATTAATCTGCTTGCCTTATCAGATAGGTCTCATATCCATTCTTCTGTTCATCCTTCTCTTAACCCATTTTTTTTTTGAGGTGTTACAAAGATCAGAACAAAAGTACAACCTCAGATATAGCAGCAGGCAAAAAAAAACAATAAATTTTGAAAATTTGTATTTAGTTCTTCTGTATCCCTTTGGGATAACATTTTCATAAAATGAAATGCACAAAACTTCAGTGTACTTATTGTTTCATTTTAAATAAACATTGCAATAAAAATAAATTAGCTCATAGACACCACAAAATAAACTTTCCAAGTGTTCTGAAGATGAAATCAATGACCTGAATCCAGTGGGAGATAGTGCAAAGGAACTCAGAAAACACTAAGCATTTTCATTTGTAAAGAAGGGAAAAATCTGGCAAATCAAGAGGTTTTCAGTGATATAGGGCAGAGCGTCTCATTTTAACAGGCTGAGTTTGAATGAGTTTACCACTATGATTGGTAGAATCACTGATTATCCTTTCAGATTCAAAATAGCTTGTTCCAATTCATTCTATATAGAGAATATTTATGTTGAGTAATATAGGAAAGCATTGAAATTCTGCTAATTTTTTTTTAAAATTCAACACATGTATGGTACATTACATTATAGCATGGAATAAGATACACATGAATAAGCGATAAGGAAGAGAACTAAAGAGTAGAGAGAATTATCAGTGTAATGCCATAAAGCAGCGTTGTTCAAACCGGAGACCAAGAATAAATGAAAAATGGACACAGTCTTAAAAGTATATAAATTATGTGTAAATAAATATATACATAAAATATTACATAAAATAAAATAGTGCATCATATACAATTTTCTAGTAGTATATATTTGTATAAATATATTCTTATACATAATATAATTATATATACATATATACATAACAGTCATAAATAATATTTATATTAATTTTTATGCAGATGCTGATTTAAATGTTTTAAACTATTCTTGCTCATTTGGGTATAGCCATTTGATTTCAGCATCCAAATTTTTACATGTAACAGCTTTTTCCAGACAACAGATCACCCAAAAGAAAATTAAACTTTTGCAGCATTTCTAACCATTTGGGCTATGCCTTAAAAATCTGCATATGAGCACTGCTCTTTGCAAATCATTGCTTAAGAATGAGTTCTGTTTTCCTAACATTTCAACACACACAAAAACTCTGAAAATATTTTAAATTATATAAATATCCTGTTGCAAATAAGCTTCCTGTGTATTAGTATGAGTAATTAAAAGCACAAATATAGCCCAAATAAATACAAGTTCAACTGTGGCTACATCTTTGCTCTTAAGCTCAAGAGCGTGCTTTAAGTTCAATAAAATAATATCATTGTTCATATTAATGTTATTAAGGTAAACTTATTCATTTTGTGACCCTGCATTTCCTTCAATATTTGTTCTAAAACTGTTTTGTATGAGAGTATAAGCATAACCATAAAAACCTGGTTGGGTAATATAATAAAAATAATGTGGCAACAATAAGAGGGAACAAGATTTTGGCGTTCCTTTAAAAGTTTCTGTATATTTTACTTAAGTATAAAGAAAATTGTTATGAATGATAGGAGGAAGGATTTTTGTCCACCTATTAAAAAAAAAAACTGCTGTGAAGCATAGGAAGTTTCAAGCATAAAATCAAGCAGTAGATAAATGTTCTTTGAACTTACGAATTTCAAATTATAAATTTCAACCATGCTATTAAAGATATTCAACACAGTGGATATTCCTTTTGCTTTCAAATTTATCTAAATATATGAGACAGGCAAAAGCTCAATGCAAAAGGCATGACTTTATAAAATGGATCCATTTTGCCAACAGCTCAAAGAATTATGGTAATATTGTGGGAACTGAGTGAAAATTCAGAGTAGGTTTTGAAATGGATACAAGTAGAATTTTAAAAAGAAAAAAAAAAATTTCTGTATTTAGCTAAAATCATAACTGTTTCCTTTGCAAACTGACATAAAAATGAAGAAGCAAAATGTGTCTTTAGTTATATCCAAGTTCCAAATTCAAGTTAATTACTGCTGCTCCTCACTCTTCTACCTTTTCCTTCAAATTTAAAGATGGGCTTTGCAGAGATTAAAGCTTCAGAAAAAAATATGGGAAAATATGTTAAAATGTTGACCTGAAAATGAAGTGGATGACTATAAAACTCTTGAGAGAATTAGACTTTTTGTAGCAGTTTATTACATGATAATACCTTAAAGGAGATCACATTCAGTGACCTGCGTTGACAGGTAATATTTAAAATTAAGTATTAATGCTGATTAATTCAGGCAGATGGGTGGTAGCCTAAAGTATAGACATTTTTCCAATATTAATTTTGATATTAAATAAATGACATCGGCTCTTGTTGGATATTGTAAAATTTCCTTTACTTCAACTGTAAAATAATTTCAACAGTGAAAGGTATAAAGTAAGATGAAAATTTCCATCATGATCTTACCTAGAGATAACTTCTCTTTTTTTGAGTCGAAGTATCGCTCTCGTTGCCTAGGCTGGAGTGCAGTGGCGTGATCTCGGCTCACTGCAACCTCCACCTCTCGGGTTCAAGCAATTCTCCTGCCTCAGCCTCCAGAGCAGCTGGAACTACAAGGCGCATGCCACCATGCCAGGCTAATTTTTGTAGTTTTGATGGAGACAGGGTTTCACCATGTTGACCAGGCTGGTCTCAAACTCCAGGCCTCAAGTGATCCACCCGCCTCAACCTCCAAAAGTGCTGGGATTACAGGCATGATCCCCCATGCCCAGCTGAATTGGAGGAAATTTTAAAAGTTAATTTTAAAACTGCTTCTCTTTTATGGGAAAGGAATATGTTTTTAAATGGTATTCAGTGTGCTCTTTTTTAAAAAAATCAAAAATTATCCATTAACATCCGTTACTTTTTTTGTTTTTGGTTTTTTTTGAGATTGAGTCTTGCTCTGTTGCCCAGGCTAGAGTGCAGTGGCATGATTTCAGCTCACTGCAACCTCCACCTCCCAGGTTCAAGCGATTCTCCTGCCTCAGCCTCCCAAGTAGCTGGGATTACAGGCGCCCGCCACCACACCCAGCTAATTTTTGTACTTTTAGTAGAGACAGGGTTTCACCATCTTGGCCAGGCTGGTCTCGAACTCCTGACCTCGTGATCCACCTGTCTCGGCCTCCCAAAGTGCTGGGATTCCAGGCGTGAGCCATCACGCCTGGCCTAATAGCCATTACTTTTTAATGCATGGTAATTTTTTGTTCAGTAGATAAATATATTGTTATCTTAAAAAGATTTTTTGTATTTACTTTTGAGACTGGGTCTCAGTCTGTTGCCCAGGCTGGAGTGTAGCAGCCTGATCATGGCTCAGTGCAGCCTCTACCTCCCCGGGCTCAGGTGATCCTCCCCCTTCAGCCTCCTGAGTAGCTGGGACTACAGAGGTGTGGCACCATGCCCGGCTAATTTTTGTATTTTTTGTGGAGATGGGGTTTTGCCATGTTGCCCAGGCTAGTCTTGAACTCCTGGATGTGAGCCACTGCGTCTGGCCTATTATTTTAAATATAGTTCTCTTTACTGCCAGTAGCTTTCATATAACCCTAGCGACTAGATTTAGTCACCACTGCTTAATTCCAAAAAACAAAAGCTCCATCCTATATTTACTGTAAATCAGTCTCTTTGATTGTATTGCATGTTTTATTTCAAGAAAAAAGTTAACCTGAAGATTTAATTTTAAATAACTACACATGTTGTCACTAATAGAAATAACAAATAATTATATGAGAATAATGGTAATTCTCCTAAGTTTTGTGGTAAATTTTTTGGCAATTTTATTGAAGTATAATAAAATTCAACAATTCAATACGTCTTTATAAATGTTCATTGTGATATAGGACAGCTCTATCACAGTACTGGGGTAAATTTTAATTATATTTATTAATTACAGATGTGAATTTCTTCGGAGTAAGAAATCCTCAGAGGAAATTACCCAGTATATTCAAAGCTACAAGGGATTTGTTGACATAACGGTAATGTATAACAGCAATTTTTTTCTCAAGTTTTTGGATTACCTGTAAGTGTCTGACTCAGAAGGGCATAGGCATTCTTTTTATGTCATGGGTTTGATTTCTTTCTTCCTTTCTCCTTTCATTCCCCTGGCTCCCATCTTCAAAGTGAAAAATATCACATTCACTTGCTGACCTAGAGCCTTTTTCTTTTTCCAGGGCTGGCTTCTGACGGGCTCTGCTTGCCTTCCTGATAGTCTTCCCCTTTATGAATGAAGCCACTTGCCCCAGCTTCCCTCTGCTGCCCCTATCTGCAGGCTTGCTAAGATCTCCTGACCTAGGCGCTGTCACCCACAGTGGGCTGCAGAGCTGGCTCTTCCTAGCTGGCTAACTATCCTGAATCAGTAAAAATTTCCTAGTGGAGAGTGATGGGAAATCGAATCCAAACTGGCTTAAACAAAAATGAGAATTTATTGATTAACATGACTCAGGAGACCAGAACTCTATAGAGAACATGGCCTGACAGTGGGGGAAGAGAGGTGTTTCCTCAAAAAGAAACTGGGTGCAGCTTTCCCAGAAGAATCAGTTGCTCAATATATAATACCCTGATGAATTTAGTTACCATTCTATGTCTCTTACTTCCTCATTCGTCAAAGTACATCTGTGATATTTAAATGCAGGTCTGTTTTCAAGGTCAGTTTCCGGAAACAGTGACCCTGAGAAGGCTTCCTCCTGAGTATGCATAAACATTCACAGCTTGCATGCGTGTGTGTGTGTGTGTGTGTGTGTGTGTGTGTGTGTGTATGTTTGCTTGCACTGCATAAAAACAATTGCAACATCAACAGAAATAAAAATTAAAGGAATAATTCTCCTCCGACTCTGCCGTTCCATCCAGTGAAACTCTTCATTCTGGGGTAAAGTTCCTTCAGTTCTTGTTCATAGATAGGTATATACTTCATAAGTCAAACAATCAGGCTGGGCGCAGTAGCTCATGCCTGTAATCCCAGCCCTTTGGGAGGCCGAGCTGGGCAGATCACTTGAGATCAGGTGTTCGAGACCAGCCTCAAGACCTCCAACATGGGCCGGGTGCAGTGGCTCACGTCTGTAATCCCAGCACTTTGGGAGGCCGAGACGGACGGATGATGAGGTCAGGAGATAGAGACCATCCTGGCTAACATGGTGAAACCCCATCTCTACTAAAAATACAAAAAAAAAAAAAATTAGCCCGGCATGGTGGCAGGCGCCTGTGGTCCCAGCTACTCGGGAGGCTGAGGCAGGAGAATGGCGTGAACCTGGGAGGCAGAGCTTGTAGTGAGCCAAGGTCGTGCCACTGTGCTCCAGCCTGGACGACAGAGCGAGACTCTGTCTCAAAAAAAAAAAAAAAAAAAAAAAAAAAGACCTCCAACATCGTGTCTGTCTCTACTAAAAATACAAAAAAAAAAAAAATTAGCCGGGTGTGGTGGCACATGCCTGTACTACTCGGGAGGCTGAGGCAGGAGAATCACTTGAACCCAGGAGGCGGAGGTTGCAGTGAGACGAGAACCTGCCACTGCACTTCAGCCTGGGCAACAGAGTGAGACTCTGCCTCAAAAAAAAAAAAAAAAAAAAAGTCAGATAATCAACAACTTGAATTTTAATTTCCCTCAGGGAGAACATTTTGTGAATTCCTGGGTCCAGAGAGAATTACCTATGGCATCAGGTAAAAACTCAAACATTTTCCAAAGGCTTTGCTTGTTTATTTCTTCTTTTGATTTTTTGTCCCTATCTCTTTTTGTCGTCCCCCCCGCCCCGCCCCGTTTATTTTGAAGCAAACTCTAGACATCATTCCATCTGTAACTGTGAAGGGACAACTTGAACGCTGATACTTGCAATATCAAAGCCTACTGGTCTCTTTAATTTGTGCAGCAGCAATAAAGATATAGAAAAAAAAAAGACTAAAGCCTGCTGGTCTCACCTTGTGCTTTTTATTCAAGCTTATTGCAATGACAGCATCTTTGCTTACGAAGAACTACGGCTGGACTCTTTTAAGGACTGGCCCCGGGAATCAGCTGTGGGAGTTGCAGCACTGGCCAAAGCAGGTCTTTTCTACACAGGTGAGTCAGTAGGTTGTGCCCACTTGCTTGCTTGACCTTTAATTCCCACATAGACTTTATGCTCCTGGGCTTACGTTTAGCTACACTCAGCAATGTCCACTAGCTTCAGCGTTTCTTTTTCTTTTCTTTTTTTTTCCCCCTTGGAGACAGAGTTGCCCAGGCTGGAATGCAGATCTTGGCTCACTGCAACCTCCACCTCCCGGGTTCAAGAGATTCTCCTTCCTCAGCCTCTGGAGTAGCTGGAACCACAGGCGCCTGCCACCACGCCCAGCTACTTTTTTGTATTTTTAGTAGAGACAGGGTTTCACCATGCTAGTCAGAATGCTCTTGATCTCCTGATCTCGTGATCTGCCCGCCTTGGCCTCCCAAATGCTGGGATTACAGGTGTGAGCCATCGCGCCAGGCCTCTCTTCAGCATTTCTTATAGATTCGTTTTCTTTTCTTTCTATTTTTTTTGAGACATGGTCATCCAGGCTGGAGGGCAGTGGCGAGATCATGGCTCACTGCAGCCTCAACCTCCTGGGCTCAAGTAATCCTCCTGCCTTGGCCTCCCAAAATGCTGGGATTACAGGTGTGAGCCACTGCACCTGGCATACATCTCTTTTCTTTCCTGCATCATAAATCCTCTCCCAGTTTTCTATTCCTCCCTTAGGTGGTAAACCTTCAAATTTGAAACCTTAAGGTCTGGACTAACAATGAATACAAGTATTCTATTTGTGATAATTATCATGTCTTTTCTTTCTACACATTACTCTCCTCACCTCTTGTCCCCTGACAAAGTGCTCCTAGAAACTGTCACAGGACACTTCTGCTTATATTTCTTTAATCAGAACTTAGTTGGATGGGCCGGGCATGGTGGCTCACGCCTGTAATCCCAGCACTTTGGGAGGCCGAGGTGGGTGGATCACCTGAGGTCAGGAGTTTGAGACCAGCCTGGCCAATATGGTGAAACTCTGTCTCTACTAAAAATACAAAGAATTAGCCAGGCATGGTGGCGGGTGCCTGTAATCCCAGCTACTTGGGAGGCTGAGGCAGGAGAATCGCTTGAACCTGGGACGTGGAGGTTGCGGGGAGTCAAGATCATGCTATTGCACTCCAGCCTGGGCAACAAGAGTGAAACTCTGTCTCAAAAATAATAATAATAATAATAATAATAATTATTATTATTATTATTATTATTATTATTATTATTAGTCAGATGACCATACCTAGCTGTAAGAGGAGCTGGGAAACCTAATCTTTTTCCTGGGTGACAATGTGCCCAGCTAAATATTGGGATTTCTATTAGTATGGAAGGATTTGAGATAATAGGAACATGGATAGCAATCTTTGCCACATTCTGCCTGCAGGAGAAAATCAGGAAATTAATTTTCATGATTCCTAAACACGTAGAGCCTTCCACCAGATTGTGGCATTTTCTCTTTAGCTGCTGGTCATTAGGAAGCACCTCTGCAATCTATAAATGATGGGCTGGTTCCTGTCAGCTAAATCTCTGCCTGAAATACAAGATGATCAGGGAAAGGTTCCTAGGTACCTTGCTGGTCTTGCTCAAACCGAACACATGCATAAGTTACAGTGGAGGTTAATGCAGATCTTTAACTGAGAGATCAAGTAGTTGTCACAAATACCATAGAGCAACACAGAGAAGCAGAATATAGTTGTCACTCTACCTAACAGACATGTGCCATTGGAAAAAAAAAATCTGACTGCCTCACAATCTTAAGCCTTTGGAAAGAGTGTTTGCCATTTCTCCCTACTCTACTGTGTCTTCCTCTTGTCAGCCTTCCGCAAGACCCCTCTGACCAGTGTGCTCCCCCTCTTCCTTTCCAATCCTCCACCACTCCACACAAATCCTAATCATCTCTGACTGTTTTCAGATCTTGCAAGCTCTAGGATCTCATATTTCTGGGAGGCTTTCCTCTGCCCCAGCTTTCCCAGAGTGGAAGGAAGATGAGAAATGCTCTGTTTCTAGTTTGATCCTTTTGCAGAGCTAAATACCAATTTCTTTCCAAAGAAATATAATTTCACAAAGAGACTTAATCCTATTTCTGGTGTAATAAACATGGCAATAATGTGGTAAGAGGCAATTAATTCTTCATGCATTCACTTACATAAGGGCTGCTAGATTTGCTGGTATTTTTTTTTCCGTGAGCTCTAAATATATTCTTTCTGATTCATTCATTAAACGAATACTAATTGAGTGCCACATGAGTGTCAAGCACTTTTCTAGGTTCATGTCATTCATTAGTGAGCAAAAACCTCTACCCTCATAGAGCTTATTTTTATTTTTATTTTTTGAGACAGAGTTTCACTCTTGTTGCCCAGGCTGGAGTGCAATGGCGTTATCTTGGTTCACTGCAACCTCCGTCTCCTGGGTTCAAGCGATTCTTGTGCCTCAGCCTCCTGAGTAGCTGGCATTACAGGCATGTGCCACCATGCCCAGCTAATTTTTGTATTTTTAGTAGAGACAGGGTTTCACCGTGTTGGCCAGGCTGGTCTCAGACTCCTGACCTCAGGAGATCCGCTGGCCTTGGCCTCCCAAAGTGCTGGGATTACAGGCATGAGCCACTGCGCCCAGCCCCCTCATGGAGCTTCAATTCCAGATTCTGGTTGCCAATCTGTTTGTTGATCAAAGGAGAATGGGGCAGAGGGATGGTGTGCATCAAAGTGCATGGTGTGTAGGAGCATTCAATGACTACTTGCCAGTTACCCCATTGGTGGACAGAGTCTTATATAGAAAATTGCCTCACTGGTAACCAACTTCTGACTGTCACAAAACCCAACTGGAGACTGAATAGGCTTTCACTATTACAGGTCTGGTGGTTATTATCTGCATGTTAATGGACAGATGCCCATGCCAGTGGCACTGATCAAGTTTCCTTACTTTTAGGTATAAAGGACATCGTCCAGTGCTTTTCCTGTGGAGGGTGTTTAGAGAAATGGCAGGAAGGTGATGACCCATTAGACGATCACACCAGATGTTTTCCCAAGTGAGTGGAATGAATGTTAACCATCTGCAACTTTGGATGCACTTCAACAGTTTTTTTCTTTTTCCTCATTTCCTGCCTTATTTTATCTTTAGATTGAGTCTTTATCCACTCCTCGGATTCAGGCTATGAAGGATGAGTCTTCATGTCTTTCATCCCTTTGCTCCATGACCCCCTTCCTGTACTAGCCTTCCCCTCTTTATAGTTATGGCATAGTTTTGGCTAGATTCATATATTCACATTACATGTTTACATTATCATGACTATACAAATGCTATGTGGAGCTGAAGCTTGTGGTAAATTTTTATTTATTTTTCCCTTCCTGTATATCCTTTTATTTTTTTAGGAAGTAATAACTGTCCTGTTGGTATGTTAGCTTATTTTTTTTTCCTGAGGTAAAATTCAGGTAGTAACCATTTTATTTATTTATTTATTATTTTTTGTGACAGGTTCTCTCTCTTGCCCAGGTTGGAGTGCAGTGGTGCAATCATGGCTCACTGCAGCCTTGACCTCTCTGGCTCAAGCAATCTTCCTCGCTCAGCCTCCCAAGTAGCTGGGACTACAGGCACATGTCTTCACACCCAGCTAATTTTTTTTTCTTTTTTTAAGAGACAGGGTCTCTCTATGTTGCCCAGGCTGCTCTCAGACTTCTAGGCTCAAGCAGTCTTCCCATCCTGGCTTCCCAAAGTGCTGGGATTATAGGCGTGAGCCACCATGCACAGCAATTAAACCATTTTAGAGTACACAATTCTGTGGCATTTATTATAGTACATTCACAATGTTGTGCAACCACCCCCTCTATCTAGTTCCAAAACACTTTCATCGCCCCCAAAGAAAACTCTGTATCCATCAAGCAGGCCCCCCTCCTCTCTCCACCCCACTCCATGCCCAGCCCCTGGGATACACCAACCTAATTGGTGTCTATGGATTTATTTGTTCTGACTATTTCCTCTAAATGGAAGCATACCGTTTGACCTTTTGCATTTGGATTCTTTCACTTGGCATATTGTTTTGAAGTTTATCCATGTTGTAGCTTGCATAAGTACTTCCTTCCTTTTGAGACCAAGTAATATTCCATATGGATACACTGCATTTTATTTATCCATTCATCTATTTGTAGATATTTGGGTTGTTTCTACCTTTTGGCTACCATGAGTAATACCGATAGGAACATTTGGGTACAGGTATCTGATGGAGCATGTAACTGTATTCAAGTCTCTGGGGCATATACCTAACAACGATATTGCTAGCTGTATAGTAATTCTATGTTTTTACTTTTTTTTTTTTTTTCTCACACAGAGTCTCACTCTGTCACTCAGGCTGGAGTGCAGCGGTGCAATCTCAGCTCACTGCAACCTCCGCCTCCCAGGTTCAAGCAATTTTCCTGCCTCAGTCTCCTGAGTAGCTGGGATTACAGGTGTCTGCCACCATGCCCGCCTAATTTTTTGTATTTTTAGGGTTTCACCATGTTGGCTAGGCTGGTCTCAAACTCCTGACCTCAAGTGATCCACCTGGCTTGGCCTCCCAAAGTGCTGGAATTACAAGCGTGAGCCACAGCGCCTGGCCTGTTTTAACTTTTTGAGGAAATGCTAAACTGTTTTTTCCACAGTGCTTGCACCATTTTAAATTCCCACCAACAACAATGTTGTGCAACCACCCCCTCTATCTAGTTCCAAAACACTTTCATCGCCCCCAAAGAAAACTCTGTATCCACTAAGCAGGCCCTCCTTCTCTCTCCACCCCACTCCATGCCCAGCCCCTGGGATACACCAACCTAATTGGTGTCTATGGATTTATTTGTTCTGACTATTTCCTCTAAATGGAAGCATACAGTTTGACCAACAATGTATGAGGTTTCCCATTTCTCATCAACACTTTTCTATTTTTAAAAAAATTATAGCCATCTGCTTAATTTTTTTTTTTTTTTTTTTTTTTTTTTTTTTTTTTTGAGATGGAGTCTCACTTTGTCGCCCAGGCTGGAGTGCAATGGCGTGATCTCACTCACTGCAACCTCCGCCTCCTGGGTTCATGCCATTCTCCTGCCTCAGCCTCCCGAGTAGCTGGGACTACAGGCACCTGCCATCACGCCCGGCTAATTTATTTTTTATTTATTTTTTTAGTAGAGACGGGGTTTCACCGTGTTAGCCAGGATGGTCTCCATCTCCTGACCTCGTGATCCACCCGCCTCAGCCTCCCAAAGTGCTCTGATTACAGGCGTGAGCCACCGCGCCCGGCCAGCCATCTGCTTAATTTTTATGTACATTGCTTATTTTTGTTTCTTGAGATAAAATTCATGTATTAATAATTTTATTTATTTAAATGAAATAAATGAAGATGAACACCAGCTCATCTTCAACTTATCCCAAATGTTTAAATCTCCTCTTAAGTCATTCAGACCTACCAGATATCTCATCATTTTCATTTCTTGAAAGAGTCATCATTTTTTTTTTCTTTTTCTTTTTTTTTTGAGACGGAGTCTGGCTCTGTCACCCAGGCTGGAGTGCAGTGGCATGATCTCGGCTCACTGCAGACTCTGCCTCCCAGGTTCAAGCAATTCTTCCTGCCTCAGCATCCCAAGTAGCTGGGACTACAGGCATGCACCACTATGCCTGGCTAATTTTTGTATTTTTAATAGAGATGGAGTTTTGCCACGTTGGCCAGGCTAGTTTCAAACTCCTGACCTCAAGTGATCCGCCTGCCTCAGCCTCCCAAAGTGCTGGTATTACAGGCGTGAGCCACTGCGGCTGGTCCATTTTCATCTTGGAGGAGTCATCCATCATTTTCACCTCCTTGAATGAGTTTCCCTGGAAGTCTTCTGGCCTGCTGGATTATGAACAACTTGTCCTATAATCATCCTGGGATCCAGGGATCTTTCTTCACAGGCATCCTGGAGATTATCTCCTCTGTTGTATCTCCTGGATCTAATGTCATCCTCTTCTTGGTTCACTCGCTCATTTTGTTGGAACACTTCATCGGAGTTCCCTGGGAAAGACTGCATAAGAAATACACACTTTTAGTTGCATATAATGCATATACAGACATATAGATCTATCTAGATATATGTTTTTCCTGTATTCTCACACTTATTTGATAGTTTAGCTAGGTGTAGAATTATAGGTTGGAAGTCATTTTAATTCTAAATTGTAGAGGCACTGCTACATTTCTACTGGTTCCTAATGTGCTGTCGAGAAGTTCCATGCCTTTCTGCTTGTCAATCCTTTTACTGCAAACAAAATTTTTTTTTTTCCTCTGCTGGAAGCTTTCAGAAAAATATCTGTTCTAAAATTTTATGAAGAAATATTTCTTTTCTATGAATCTTTAAACTTAATTTTTTTTTACCCATCAAACTCTTTAGAAATGTTTAATTGCAAGAAGAAATTTGTGTTTTCACTATGTAATTAGTAAGAGTTTTTTTTTTAGAAATGAATATGAACACATACAGATTTTAAAATGAATGCTTCCTGCTCATTTGTATAGTGGTAAAAACAAAAATAAAACAAAATGAATACTTCTATCTAATTTTATTGCCTTGAAGGTATTTTGATAGCAGTAGTTACCTCATTTTTCTTTCTTATTTGGGCTTAGTGTATAATAAATTATTGAGAACAATGGGGACATTCTACTTAATTCTTGGAAGGATAAGCTAGGATGCAGTCTAGTCTTATTTAGAACTTACTCTGGAATCGATCAACTCCCTTTTATACTATTATTATTATTATTAGTTTTAGTGTTTTGTTGTTGTTGTTTTTGAGATGGAGTCTCACTCTGTCACCCAGGCTGGAGTGCAGTGGCGTGATCTCGGCTCACTGCAACCTCCGCCTCCCGGGTTCAAGCGATTCTCCTGCCTCAGCCTCCCAAGTAGCTGGGATTACAGGTACCTCCCCACCATGCCTGGCTAATTTTTTGTACTTTTAGTAGAGACGGGGTTTCACCATGTTGGCCAGGCTGGTCTTGAACTCCTGACCTCAAGTGATCCTCCTGCCTCAGCCTCCCAAAGTGCTGGGAATACAGGTGTGAGCCGCCACACCTGGCCTTTAGTGTTTTTTTGTTAAGAGACTGGGTCTCGGCTCTGTCACCCAGGCTGGAGCAAGTGCAGTGGTACAATCCTAGCTGACTGTAGCCTCAAATTCCTGGGCTCAAGTGATCCTCCCACCTCAGCCTCCCAAGTAGCTAGGACTACAAGCATGTGTCACCATGCCCGACTAATTTTTTAAAGTTTTTTTTTGTAGAGATGGGGTCTTGCTTTGTTGCCCAGGCTGGTCTCAAACTCCTGGCTCCAAATGATCCTTCTGCTTCAGCCTCCCAAAGTACTTGGATTACAGGCATGAGCCACTGCTCCCAGCCAACTCCTTTTTGGATTTTTACTCTTCCTTTGCCTCTTAAAAAAACTGCAAACCAGTATGTCTCCAAATGATTACCTAAAATTTTTATGTATGCTTTAAAGAATGAATAAAAAGCAACCTATGAACCTCCTAGTAAAGTCAAGAAATTGGACATTATCAATGCCTTAAAAGACCCCTGCGGCCGGGTGCAGTGACTCACGCCTGTAATCTCAGCACTTTGGGAGGCCGATGTGGGCAGATTGTCTGAGCTCAAGAGTTCGAGACCAGCCTGGGCAACATGGTGAAACCCCATCTCTGTTAAAAAACAGAAAAATTTAACCGGGCCTGGTGACACACGCCTGTAGTCCCAGCTATTAGGGAGGCTGAGGCAGGAGAATGGCTTGAACCTGGGAGGCGGAAGTTGCAGTGAGCCAAGATGGCGCCATTGCACTCCTGGGCGACAGAGCGTGACTCTGTCTCAAAAAAAAAAAATCAAAAAACAAAAAACAACTCTGCATGCCAACCACCCCCTAATTCTGATTATATCCCTGTCCCTCCAATCCAGAGGTAAATGTGATGCTCAGTTTGGGTTAATTATTCCCTTGCTTCTCTTTGTGGTTTTACCAACTACATATACATCCTTAAACATATTTAGCTTTGTCTATTCTTGAAGTTCAAATAAGAAGCATACTGCATGATTCTTCTTGTAATTGGCTGGTTTTACTCCACGATGTTTTTGAGATTCATCCATATTTATATGTACTACACAGTTGTAGTTCACTTGTTTTCATTGGTAAATAGTGTATTATTTTATGAATATATAATAACTTATTTTACTGTTGATTAACCTCGTGGGTCGTTTTCAGAGTGTTGCAAATTCAAATAATGCCCTATGAACATTCTTGTACATATTTTCCAGTGCTCATGTGTGTTTCTCTAGGATACATAACAAAGTAAAGAATTGCAGAGTCATAGAACTTTGCGGGTGTTCAACTCCACTAGATAATGCAAAGCTTTTTCCCAAGTGGTTGCACTGATTTACATTCCCATTGGCCTAGATGCGTTTCTATTGATTTGCTTCCTCACTAACTTGGTATTGCCCAAATTTTAATTTTTGTCAGTGTAATTACTAATAATGTTAAGCTTATTTTCTTCTTCTTTTTTTCTTTCTTTTTTTTTTTTTGAGACGGAGTTTCACTCTTGTTGCCCAGGCTGGAGTGCAATGGCACGATCTCGGCTCACCACAACCTCCGCCTCCCAGGTTCAAGTGATTCTCCTGCCTCAGCCTCCCGAGTAGCTGGGATTACAGGCATGTGCCACCACGCCCAGCTAATTTTGTATTTTTAGTAGAGATGGGGTTTCTCCATGTTGGTCAGGCTGGTCTCGGACTCCCAACCTCAGGTGATCCACCCACCTCAGCCTCCCAAAGTGCTGGGATTACAGGTGTGAGCCACCGCGCCTGGCAGTTGAGCTTATTTTCATATTTTCCTGCAGAATAGTCTTGTTCTTTCTCTTCAAGAGTGTGTCTTAGCTATTTTTTTGCCCTTTGGTCTTTCATATTCCAGAGAATATATTAAATATCCCAAGCAGGCATGGTGGTTCACACCTATAATCCCAGCACTTTGGGAGGCTGAGGTGGGAGGAGTGCACAAGGCGAGGAGTTTGAGACTAGCCTTTGCAACATAGCTAGACTCCATTTCTACAAAAAATTTTTAAAACAAACAGGGTGTGGTAGCATGCATCTGTAGTCCCAGCTACCTGGGAGGCAGAGGCAGGAGAATCGCTTGAGCTCAGGAGTATAGGTTGCAATGAGCTATGATTGTGCCACTGTACTGTGGCCTGGGTGACAGAGTAAAACTTTGTCTCTAAAAAACAGAAATATCCCTCTTTATCCTTGATAGTATTTTTTAGGCCTTTATTAGTTTTTTCATGTTACATCTTTTAGATTATTTTCTTTTTAATCTATCTGTGACTATATTTAAAGTCAATTCTTGTTTTTTCCTTTTCCTTTTTGTGGGTAACGGGGTCTCACTATGTTGCCCAGGCAGATCTCAAACTCCTGGGCTCAAGCTGTCCTCCCACCTCTGCCACCCTAAGTGTTGAGATTACAGGCATGAGCCACTGCACCCAGCCTTAAAGTGAATTGTTATAGGCAACAACACAGTGGGGTCTTTTATTTTATTTTTTATTTGTTTATGAGACAGACTCGCTCTGTTGCCTACGCTGGAGTGCAGTGGTGCAGTCTTGACTCACTGCAGCCTGGACTTCCCAGGCTCAAGCAATCCTCCCACCTCAGACTCCTGAGTAGCTGGGACTACAGGCACATGCCACCAAGCCTGGCTAAGTTTGTTAGTTTTTTATAGAGACAAGGTCTCACTATGTTGCCCAGTCTGATCTCGAACACCTAGCCACAAGCAATTCTCCTGCCTTGTCTTCCCAGAGTGCTGGGATTACAGGTGTGGACCACTGAACCCAGCAGGTCTTGCTTTTTTTTTGAGATGGAGGTGTGAGCCACCACATCCAGCCAGGTTTTCTCTTTTTTTTTTTTTTTGAGACGGAGTCTTGCTCTGTCGCCCAGGCTGGAGTGCAGTGGCACGATCTTGGCTCACTGCAAGCTCCGCCTCCTGGGTTCACACCATTCTCCTGCCTCAGCCTCGCGAGTAGCTGGGACTACAGGCACCCCGCCACCACACCTGGCTAATTTTTTGTATTTTTAGTAGAGACGGGGTTTCACCGTGTTAGCCAGGATGGTCTCGATCTCCTGACCTCATGATCCACCTGCCTTGGCCTCCCAAAGTGCTGGGATTACAGGCGTAAGCCACCACGCCTGGCCAGGTCTTGCTTTTTAAGAGTCTGACAATAACTGCTTTCTAATTGGAATGTTTAGAACGTTTAAATTTAATGCAATTATGAATATGGTTGGATTTAAACCTATTTTACCATTTGCTTTCTATTTATTTCATCACTTCTTTGTTTCTTTTTCTTTTCCTGACTTCCTAGGGTTTAGGGTTTTTTTTTTTTTCTTTTTTCTACCCCTCCTTGAGTATTTTTTTTTGTACTCCATTTTATTTCTGTCAGCTTATTAGCTATTAATCCTTATTTTACCTTTTTACTACTTGCTCTAGAGTTTACCATATGCCTATTTAACATATCATAGTAATCTTCAAAAATATTATAACAGCTGGGTGCAGTGGCTCATGCCTGTAATCCCGGTAATTTGGGAGGCTGAGGCAGGCAGATCACTTGAGGTCAAGAGTTCCAGAGCAACCTGGGCAACATGGTGAAACCCCGTCTCTACTAAAAATACAAAAAAATTAGCTGGGTGTGGTGGCGCACACCTGTAATCCCAGCTGCTTGGGAGGCTGAGGCACGAGAATTGCTTGAACCCAGGAAGCAGACGCTGCAGAAAGCTGAGATCGTGCCACTGCACTCCAGCCTGGGTGACACAGTGAGACTCTGGGTCAAAAAAATATATAACACTTGACATAAAATGTATGAACCATACAATAGTATATTTCCATTTCTCCCCTCTCATCCTTTGTGCTATTGTCATACATTTTATTTCCATGTACTTTAATAAATCTTACAATATAATGTTATATCTTTGCTTTAAACAATTTAAGTACATTTTTACAACGGCAAAAGTCTTTCATATTTGCCCTCTTAGTTATCTTATCATTCCTGGTACTTTTCATTCCTTTGAGTAGAACCAAATTTCCATCTGCTATCATTTTCCTTTTAAATGATGTGCTTCCTTTCACTTTTTTTTTTTTTTTTTTTTTTTTTGAGATGGAGTCTTGCTCTGTCTCCTAGGCTGGAGTTCAGCGCCACGATCTCGGCTGACTGCAACCTCTGCCTCCCGGGTTCAAGTGATTCTCCTGCCTCAACCTCCTGAGTAGCTAGGATTACAGGTGCCCACCACCATGCCAGGCTAATTTTTGTATTTTTAGTAGAGATAGAGTTTCACCATGTTGGCCAGGCTGGTCTTGAACTCCTGACCTCATGATCTGCCTGCCTCAGCCTCCCAAAGTGCTGGGATTACAGGGGTGAACCACTGTGCCTGGTCCCTTTCACATTTTTTGTAGTGCAGTTATGCTGGCAACTGACTTTATTTGGCATTTGTTTGTATGAATAAGTTTATATTTTACCTTCCTTCATAGTTCTTTTCCTTGATGGGCCTATTAAAATATTTTTTTTCTTTTGTAAGCCACTTCACCCCTTCCCTATGGGTTTGTTTTTATTTACCTCTACATGGCTGACTTTGGACAGAAACGTTAAAAGTTCTACTTGTTGTTTTCCTGAAGCTATGCTTCTATTTCTGGACTCATCGCCAAGTCACCTGAAGGCAATACAAATGAAGTATCTGGGCCACATGCAGTGGCTCACGCCTGTAATCCCAGCACTTTGGGAAACTGAGGTGGGAGGATACCTTGAGCCCAGAAAAAAAAAAAATTAGCCTGGCATGGTGGCACGTGCCTGTAGTCCCAGTTACTTGGGAGGCTGAGGTGGGAGGATCACTTGAGCCTGGGAGTTGGAGGCTACATTGATCCTTGGTCGTGTCACTACCCTCAAGCCTGGACAAAAGAGTGAGACCTTGTCTCAAAAAAAAAAAAAAAAAAGTGTCCCTTTGCTTTACTCCTGCTCTCCAGTGATTCTACAGCATGGAATAGGCCACTGACTTACTCACATGTATAGTTCTCATCTGTCCATTTTAATAATTGCAACTAGAGCTCTTTTTGAACTTTCTCTCTTGTTCTTCAAGCATACATCAAACCTGAGTTTAGAGGGTATTTGCGTCCTAGTTTCATGAGATTGGCAAGTAGTTTTTAGAGAGTATGTTTGTGGCCATTCTTTTCTTTTGATACTGACGGAGGGTTTCTTTTTTAATTTTTTGTTTGTTTAAGACAGGGTCTTACTCTGTCACCCAGGCTGGAGTGCAGTGATGCAATCACGGCTCACTGTAGCCCCAACCTCCTGGCCTCAAGTGATCTTCTTGCCTCAGCACCCCCAAGTAGCTGGGACTATACATGCATGCCACCCTGCTAGCTAATTTTTAGAGGAGGTCTCTCTATGTTGCACAGGTTGGTCTGGTCTTGAACTTCTGACCTCAAGTGAAACTCCTACTTTGGCTTCCCAAAGTGCTGGGATTACAGGCATGAGCCATTGCACCTGGCAATGGAGTGGTTTGTGGTTGGTTAGTTTTTTGTTTGTTTGTTTGTTTGTTTTTGAGACAGAGTTTCACTCCTGTTGCCCAGGCTAGAGTGCAATGGTGCGATCTCGGCTTACTTCAACTTCTGCCTCTTGGGTTCAAGCAATTCTCCTGCCTCAGCCTCCCAAGTCGCTGGGATTACAGGCGTCCGCCACAACGCCCGGCTAATTTTTGTATTTTTAGTAGAGGTGAGGTTTCACCATGTTGGTCAGGTTGGTCTCAAACTCCTGACCTCAAGTGATCCACCCGCCTCAGCCTCCCGAACTGCTGGGATTACAGGCGTGAGCCACCATGCCTGGCCTTGTTTGTTTTTTGTTTTGTTTTGAGACAGAGTCTCACTCCATTGCCCAGACTAGAGTGCAGTGGCACAATCTCAGCTCACTGCAACCTCCGCCTCCCAGGTTCAAGCGATTCTTGTGCCCCAGCCTCCTAAGTAGCTAGGACTACAGGTGTGCGCCACCACTGCCTGGTTAATTTTGGAATTTTCTTTTTAATAGAGACAGGGTTTTGCCATGTTGGCCAGGCTGGTCTCAAACTTCTGGCCTCAAGTGATCTGCCCGCCTCGGCCTCCCAAAGTGCTGGGATTTTGGGTGTGAACCACCGCACTCACAGAGTTTTTTTCTTTTTTTAATAAATTTTTATTTGAAATTATTTAGATTTGCAGAAAAAGTGCAAACTAATACAAAGAGTTCCTATATATTGCCATACCCAATTTACCCTAATGCTAACATCTTACACTAGCATATTTGTCAAAATCATCAGTGTACCAATTCATATACTGTACATTACTATTTACTAAAATCCAGAGTTTATTTGGATTTCACCAGTTTTTCCACTATGTTGTTTTTTGTTCCAGAATTCATAAATAGAGGGTTTTTTTTTTCCTATTTTTGATTCTTTAAGTTCATTTTTGTTGGTTGCATGGAGGAGTGTCATATACGCACTCATTCCACCAAATTCCCTTGATATCCTTTACCATTACTTTATAAACCATTTACATTTCTCTTGCAGAGAGCCACAACCTAAGTGCCTTACCTGATGACACTGACAGAGAGAATCACTGGAAATGATAGTTTTATACTTAATTCTTGTCACTAAAACTCTAATAGTGTTTTTAAAAACCTAATACAAGGCCAGGCCTGGCGGCTCACACCTATCATCCCAGCACTTTGGGATGCCTAGGGAGGAGAATTGCTCAAGGCCAGAAGTTTGAAACCAGAACAGCCTGGGCAACATAGTGAGACCCTGTCTCTGAAAAAACAAAACAAACAACAACAGCAACAACAACAACAAAAATACCTAACACAAATACTTAAATGCATACAACTATTTTTATAACTTTTAACTTTTACACTTAGTTGTCCATTTCTCCAAAATATGAAGTCCTCTGCGGAAGTGACTCCAGACCTTCAGAGCCGTGGTGAACTTTGTGAATTACTGGTAATGAACACCGTCATCTTGTCTGTTTTACCAGCACATGATCATATAATTGAAAACTGTTTTGAACAGGAATGTCTCATCATAAATAAGTTAATAAATTCTACAAACATCTACTAAACATCTGTTATGTTCTAGGTACAGATTGGGGAAATCACAATAAACCAGTCGGGCACAATACCTAGCTTCATGAAATGTATAGTCAATCTCTTCTACTTCAAGGCCCAGACTCTCTTAGACTTTGTTGATTAGCATCCAGGCTAAATGGATCCTCTCTGGATCTTCATGTGGAGGGCAATAAGGCTGGATTTGCTACTTGGCCTTTTTAGGGGTTGAGAAGATGTTACTTTAACAAAAGCAAGTGCCCAACAAAATCATAAACCCAGGTAATAGGCTGACCACTTTAAGCTGAGAAATCCTACCTAGTTCTCTGGGATCTAAGCCACTACTAATTTAATGCACACATATACCACCTTATTTTGAGGCTGTGTGTTAGGTATGTTATGTTTGTCATCCCCCCACCCCCAACACACACAAAAACCAACTTGCTATTCACGTGATTCATTTTCTATATGAATTGAAAAATGGCACTAAAGAAAAAAGTTTGGGGATATAGAAATAGCTTATTTTTTAAGGAAGAAACATAACCTTTCTAAGTACTGGATGTGTAATATTAAAAATGTAGTTAACCAAGGACAGAGGCTGCACCTAATGACTTTTGGAGGAACCTTCTTGCTCAAGACACTATGATTCTCGTTACCTGGATAGTATCACCCATGGATTGTATCATATATGAACCACTGAGGAACACACATTCCTGCAGATGTTTGCAGATTATTAATTGCTTTATATTTGAAGCACCCCTCCCTTCAATCAGCATAAATATTTGAGGGTGGGCTGTGTTTAGAAGATGTTTAGTCTCCAATGATTACAACATGATGCACCACTCTCCTATACAAATTTTGATTTAAGAAAAGATTTTATTTTTCAAAGGAAACCACAAGTGAAAGCAATCTTGAAGATTCAATAGCAGTTGGTCCTATAGTGCCAGGTAAGAACTTTGAAGTAGCACGTGGGATTATATGTATTTGTAAATATATTTGTATACAGGGCAGTTGCAAAAAAAAGAGTATTTATAATTGTCCAAAGAGCTTCCAAAGAGGAGCAGCATTGCAACAGTGTCGTGTATGAGCAAAAGTCAAGATTCTTGTGGCTTCTCCAGAGTGCAGGCAGGACCAAACTGATAGTAGGCAACGTGTCTCAGGTACAAGCAAACCAGTCCTTAGAAGCACCAATCAGTAAACTTCTTTCCTGAGATTTTTATTTTTATTCATTTTATTTTATTTTATTTTATTTGAGACAGGGTCTTACTTTGTCACCCAGGCTGGAATGCAATGGCAAGATCATGGCTCACTGCAGCGTCGACCTCCCAGGCTCAAGTGATCCTCCCATCTCAGCCTCCCCAGTAGCTGGGACCACAAGCATGTGCCACCACACCTGGCTAATTTTTGTATTTTTTGTAGAGACAGGGTTTTGCCATGTTGGCCAGGCTGGTCTTGAACTCCTAGGCTCAAGCAATTCGCCTGCCTCGGTCTCCCACAGTGCTGGGATTACAGGCATGAGTCACTTTGCCTGGCCTCTTTCCTGAGATGCATGGTGCTTATGATAAGCACACATTATGTCTAGGTCCCTGCTTCAAGTGTGGCACTTTGGACACATGCTTTCCACATTCCGATTTTGTGCCAAAACCTATGAGATGATTGCAATGTGGGAATCATGGATGGCTGTGGAAAATCCTAACACATTCGTAGTAGACAGGCAGAATCATGGAATGAAAAGGCATGGCGTTCAGACTGAGGGAGATGTGACTATGAATCCCTGTTGTGCCCCCCTTTCTTTCTCTCCACAGAAATGGCACAGGGTGAAGCCCAGTGGTTTCAAGAGGCAAAGAATCTGAATGAGCAGCTGAGAGCAGCTTATACCAGCGCCAGTTTCCGCCACATGTCTTTGCTTGATATCTCTTCCGATCTGGCCACGGACCACTTGCTGGGCTGTGATCTGTCTATTGCTTCAAAACACATCAGCAAACCTGTGCAAGAACCTCTGGTGCTGCCTGAGGTCTTTGGCAACTTGAACTCTGTCATGTGTGTGGAGGGTGAAGCTGGAAGTGGAAAGACGGTCCTCCTGAAGAAAATAGCTTTTCTGTGGGCATCTGGATGCTGTCCCCTGTTAAACAGGTTCCAGCTGGTTTTCTACCTCTCCCTTAGTTCCACCAGACCAGACGAGGGGCTGGCCAGTATCATCTGTGACCAGCTCCTAGAGAAAGAAGGATCTGTTACTGAAATGTGCATGAGGAACATTATCCAGCAGTTAAAGAATCAGGTCTTATTCCTTTTAGATGACTACAAAGAAATATGTTCAATCCCTCAAGTCATAGGAAAACTGATTCAAAAAAACCACTTATCCCGGACCTGCCTATTGATTGCTGTCCGTACAAACAGGGCCAGGGACATCCGCCGAT